>NC_000022.11:39959564-41209564 GCF_000001405.40 Homo sapiens
CCAGGGAGGAACCTCTAGGCCACTGAGACCTCAGGGCAGGCATGAGCACCCCAGGCCCTGCTCAGCCGGCTGCACCTGGTTGGCTCCAGTGCCTGAAGCCTTCCCTTCCCTCCCCAGTGCATCCTCTGTCCTCGCAGCTCTGGTCTATCTCTTCCGCAGCTGCCGGCAGGCGGCTGCTTCCTGCAGTGAGTCACTCCCACACTGCCCCATTTTGGTGCAGCGACACATTTCCATGATTCGTTTCCCAGGCTGGAGAGAGACTTCTCCTGGAGAGAAGGAACAAAGAGGGTGAATCAAGGGGAATGCTCCCTCGCCTTTCCTGAAAGCTGCCTGGAGCACTGGTTTGATTTCAAACAGCACCTGGTCTCTCTCTGCTCCCTACTGTACAGAGTCCCCAGCCTCTTTCCCTCTGGGTCACCTCTTCTCCACGTCTCCCTCTTGTCACTCCTGTGTCTCATCCTGATCCTTTTGTTTGATCTCGCCCCCACAGATGGTTTCACGAAGGCCTCTCTCGACACCAGGCAGAGAACTTACTCATGGGCAAGGAGGTTGGCTTCTTCATCATCCGGGCCAGCCAGAGCTCCCCAGGGGACTTCTCCATCTCTGTCAGGTACTGACCATTCCTGACACTGCCTTGGCCCTTCTCGGCCTGTTAACCTCACAGAATGCTGAAGCCATGAAGGGACCTCTGGAATATGACCCAATGGTCAGAAGCATGGTGGCCTAGGGGCCAAGCATGGCAGCAGCTTCACAACCTGCTGCTCCCAGTGCCTTCCCAAAACATGCACACACCACTCTTTAGAACACTGGTGTGTGTTTGAAATTATTTCTACGCCCATCTGCCTCCCCTTCTAGCCCAGGTGCTTCTGGAAGGGCAGGATTTTCCTCTACTTCATCTTTATGCCTTTAACAGTGTCTTGCATAAAAGAGAGACACTCAGTGAGTATTTGTGGAAGGAAGGAGGGATAGGAGGAGGAGAACTCCCACTTGTCCAGATCCATCTGGGGGTTTAAATCTTAACCTTTTCTTTTATGATTGATGCATATCTGAAGAAGAGTCAGAGAAAAATAGAAATCTCAAGTCACTGCTGTAGGATATACAGGGGCGGAAAAGTTGTGGCACCTTTCTTTGCCCATCAGAGGAGTCACAGCTGACACTCCTACAAGACAGGTTAACAAGAGGAGAGTGGACACATTTATTTAATCAAAGACTTGTGTGACACAGAAGCCTTCAGAAATGAAGACCCAAGACCCAGGGAAAGCCGTCTATTTTTATGCTTAGGTTTGTCAAAGGACAGACAGCCCTGTAGAAATGGGATTGGACAAAGGGGGTTTGATCTAAGGTAACAGACTGAGGTAGGAAACTGAACAAGGCCTGTCCCAAGTCTTCTTTTTTTTTTTTTTTTTTGGAGACAGCTGTTGCCCAGGCTGGAGTGCAGTGACGCAATCATTGCTCACCACAGCCTCTGTGTCCCAGGCTCAAGCCATCTTCCCACCTCAGCCTCTCAAGTAGCTGGGGATACAGGTGCACACCACCACACCTGGCTAATATTTTTTTAACTTATTTCTTTGTAGAGACTAGGTCTTACTGTGTTGCCTGGGCTGATCTCAAACTCCTGGCCTCGAGTAATCCTCCTGCCTTGGCCTCCCCCATAGTGACCCTTCTAGTCTCTCTGACCCACTGTGGGGAAGAGGAATTCTAATTTCTATGACTCACTCAGGGGGAGAAAGAGGAGCGGGAGACAGGAGGGCAGGAGAAGGCCAAAGGAAGACTTTGCTTCCAAGGCTGCTTCTGAAACCTTCCCATCTCCTTTGGTTCGAAGCACTCAGCATGCCAAGGGGTGTCGTTTTCTGAGCCCCAACAAATACATGTATAGTTGTAGGCAGCTGAACAAAAAGAAAGGCTACTTCAACACAGTACAGTACAGCAAGACCGAAAACCACAGAACAGAGGGCCAGGAGTGGGGGAGGACTGTAACAGCGAAATCTCACTAAGGTGCAGCAACCCATAGGAAGTGACTCAGTCCACGCGTAGACATTACACAGCCCCAAACTCAGAAGCCCAGTTCGGAACACACTGTGTGTGGTCAGCATGTTGAGGATCGCAAGTCACGTATCAGACTTCACCACATGTGAAACTGCAAGAATATAATGCTGTTAGCAGATCAGGAGAAGTACAGCAAAACCTTACTGTCAAGTTATTGGCAGGAAATACCGATCTGGTTTATTCAATATATTTTGAAAGGCATAAAGCTTTGTTTTAAGGACAGAAATCCAATCTCAAGTAATAAACTGTGGCCACTTTGCTGTTTAGAAAGAATGGATATTTGAAAGGATAGGTAGGAAGGACTTAAAAATAACAGGTCAACAATTTGTATGCATACATACCTTTAAAGTGGTCTCTTTAGCATTGCCCTTGCAATCTTGCTTAAACTCTTTTCTTCAGTAAAAACTTTATTTTCATAGCTTGGAGAATGGTTAACTTTAGTTCAGGCCAATATTGATGTATCACAAATTCTAATCTTGTTAGGTCTTAATTAATGAAATTTCGCTCCATTAACATATATTACAAGTCAGGGTCGGGCGCCGTGGCTCATGCCTCTAATCCCAGCACTTTGGGAGGCTGAGTTGGGAGGAATGCTTTAAGCCAAGGAGTTGGAGACCAGCCGGGGCAACTAGTGAGACCTCATCTCTACTAAAAATAAAAAATTAACCCAGTGCAGTGGCGCATGCCTGTGGTCCCAACTACTTGGGAGGCTGAAGTTAAAGGATTGTTGGAGCTGGGCGGTTGAGGTTGCAGTGAGCCAAGATCGATCGCACCACTGCACTCTAGCCTGGGTGACAGAGCAAGACCCTGTCTCAAGAGAAAAAAATTATTTACATATATTATATACATATATTATTAGAAAAAACAATTATACATATATTTAACATGCGTGTATATATATTACAAGTCAAATCTATTTCTTAAGCCTCCCCTCTTTACCCCATCATAAACTTGACCAAGTAATTTGTTAGACTGAGGGGTATCTCTTGGGCCTTTGGTTTGCATGAAGATGACTCTGGCTTTTTCAGCTAGAAACTATGGTTTTTGTGGTTTCGTTGGTTTTTTGAGACAGACTCTCGCTCTGTCGCCCAGGCTGGAGTGCAGTGGCGCAATCTCGGCTCCCTGCAACCTCCGCCTCCCAGGTTCAAAGCAATTCTCGTGCCTTGGCCTCCTGAGTAGCTGGGACCATGGGTTCGCACCACCACGCCTGGCTAATTTGTGTGTGTGTGGTTTTTTTCAGTAGAGACGGGGTTTCGTCATGTTGGCCAGGCTGGTCTTGAACTCCTGGCCTCATGTAATCCACCCGCCTCAGCCTCCCAAAGTGCTAGGATTACAGGCGCGACCCACTGTGCCCGGACCCAGAACTATGGTTTATATTTCCTTAATTAAAGTGAGTTCTACAAAACAGTAGGCCTTGACTTCTACCGAAGTCTTCCCCTGATATTCAGGCGATGAAGCTTCTAGTTATGGTGACAATTACCGTAATCCTTATCACGTCTTTGCAGAAATGTAGTATAATATTTTCCAAAGCAAAATCATTATTAATTATTTTTACATCTGTCATGGGCACAGATAATTAAGAGCTAATTGTAGTTCTATCACTCAGCATTTGTTAAGGGCCTGAAACACCAGATTTTGGAGTCCAGCGCCCTGAGTCGCATCCTTTCCTTTGTTCCTCTTCAGGCTTGAGACAATGGTCAGGCCATCCTCTCCTTGTAGACCCAGATAACCAGCTGCAACCCTCACACCCATCCTTACAGCTTATGAGAGTAAAAGGGTCAATGTTTCACACTCTGAGTTCTTTGAGGTGGTGGATGAAAAATTATAATATCACAAGAATATTTTCTCCTCCTCACCTGGATGTGAAGGATAATGACTTTGAGTTGATCCATGTTGTCTTAGAATGAAGAAAGTATCTGTTGGTGGCCAAAACCAAGGGGAAGACCACAAAGTGATTGCAATATGTTGATTACCACCCGAAATCAGTCAAGCAAGAGGCCACTTGTACAACCTGTGGCTTCACCCAGCTATGAGCAAATCCCAGCACATAAGATGAGATTGAGGGTCAGAATTTCCATCTCCTTCTTAACACAGGTCCCTAAATCCATCCCTAAGAAACCTCCATGGTCAGGCGCAGTGGCTCACGCCTGTAATCCCAGCACTTTGGGAGGCTGAGGTGGGCGGATCATGAGGTCAGGAGATCGAGACCATCCTGTCTAACACGATGAAACCCCGTCTCTACTAAAAATACAAAACTTAGCCGGGCGTGGTGGCGGGCGCCTGTAGTCCCAGCTACTTGGGAGGCTGAGGCAGGAGAATGGCATGAACCTGGGAGGTGGTGCTTGCAGTGAGCAGAGATCACGCCACTGCACTCCAGCCTGGGCGACAGAGCGAGACTCTGACTCAAAAAGAAACCTCCACTTACTCTCAGAGGTATCTTTACTCTCCGAGACCCTTTAAAATTCTTGACCTTTCTTTTACATCAGGCAATTGGCATCACTAGTGCCAGTTTATTTTTAGATATAAATGTATGTCTGTTTGAAAAATAAACTTTACATCCAAAAGAGAATGACTTGGCAATGAAGTAAAACTGGATCTAATGGTAAAGGCTCAGCCCACCCTTCCTAGATGGATAAAATCCATTTTCTCTAGCCCTGGTTCGAATGTGTCCCATCACTTGTGAGTCCAGACTGGCAACAAAAGGTGCTGATCTAAAAGAAGTTATCGTCCAGTGGCAGGGTCTGGGGAAGGGGCGGCAGGCGCCATGTCCAGCCACGAAGGTGGCAAGAAGAAGGCACTGAAACAGCCCAAGAAGCAGGCCAAGGAGATGGACGAGGAAGAGAAGGCTTTCAAGCAGAAACAAAAAGAGGAGCAGAAGAAACTCGAGGTGCTAAAAGCGAAGGTCGTGGGGAAGGGGCCTCTGGCCACAGGTGGAATTAAGAAATCTGGCAAAAAATAAGCTGTTCCTTGTGCCTAAGGAGACGGTGACCCTTTATTTCATCCGTATTTAAACCTCTCTATTCCCTCCTATAATATCTTTTGCCACCTATAGTTGGAATTAAGTGTCGTCTTGGAGCTGTTGTACATTTAAGAATAAACTTTTGTAAAAAAAAAAAAAAAAAAATCTTCCAGTGGCTCATCATCTCTTTAGTTGTTTTCACTAAGTCATTCCTACCATAACTGTGAATTTAAAGTAAAACCAGCTCAGAATCTTGCCAGAATCTGCTCTTTGGTCGTTGTTCTACCCTAAACTTTGTATCACCTGAAATTAAACCAACTCATTTGAAAGAAAAAAGAAGTTATCATGTTTAGGTGGCGTGACAGGCCAAGCTCACTAGACTGGAGTCAGAGACTCAGGGTTCTGGCCTCAGCCCTTACTCAGCAGTGACCTTGACCAAGCCCCTGCACCTCTGTGAGCCTCAGTGTCCTCATCTGTAAAATGGAGAAGTAAGGCTAAACAATCTCCAACATCCTTGCCAATTAAAACTCTATCATTTCACAGGGCGCAGTGCCTCACACCTGTAATCCCAGCACTTTGGGAGGCCAAGGCAGGTGGATCACCGGAGGTCTGGACTTCAAGACCAGCCTGACCAACATGGCGAAACCCCGTCTTTACTAAAGACTTGGTGGTGGGTGCCTGTAATCCCAGCTCCTCAGGAGGCTGAGACAGGAGAATCGCTTGAACCTGGGAGGCGGAGGTTGCAGTGAGCAGAGATCACACCACTGCACTCCAGCCTGGGCGACAGAGTGAGACTCCATCTCAAAAAAACAAAACAAACAAACAAACAAAAACTCTGTATTTCATACAAAGCTATTTCACCAAAAGCTGAAAACACTTTGTAACCTTATTTATGCAAAACATAAACCAAGATCAAGAGATCCTTATTACATAGAGAAAAAATGTGACATATTTCTTAGGAAAGAGAGTAGCTTCTTACCTGCCAGTGCTAGCTTATGGGCTTAAAGGAGATGGTTCAAAGAATTTCTGGTAACAGAAAGATAATAGGAGCTTGAAATACCCCTGTTGACATCTTGCGAATAAACATTGTGAAAAGGTCTTTGATCTCTTTGTCGTTAAGTCACTTGGAACATGCTTTTCTTGTAAAAGGTTAGTTCCAGTGTCCAAAACAAATTTTAGCTCATCTGATTACCTTCTGCTGATGTAAATCCCGTCTAGCATAGCCTGTATCCTAAGTGGTCCATCCTACAAAGTTCCTGCCGAAGCCTGACTGGGCTGGCCCACCTGCCCAGTGATGAGTGAGTCATCCATATCTACATCTCCTGCTCAAAGAGAACTCCACCATCCCAGATGTGAGCAGCCTGGAGGTGGTGACATTATCACCGTGTAACATACAATTTTGTTTTGCCTTGATCTCCAGGCATGAGGATGACGTTCAACACTTCAAGGTCATGCGAGACAACAAGGGTAATTACTTTCTGTGGACTGAGAAGTTTCCATCCCTAAATAAGCTGGTAGACTACTACAGGACAAATTCCATCTCCAGACAGAAGCAGATCTTCCTTAGAGACAGAACCCGAGAAGACCAGGTATGCTCCAGATCCAGTCGACCCCAATCTAGAGATTTTAGGCAGCCTGAGTTCTCACATGAACCACCAGGAAAAATGCATAGGATGGGTAGATCCTCTGAGTATACTGAAAGACAGAGCTCAGAGCTCTGAGGTCAGATCTCAACTTAACACTTCCTAGTCGTGTGACTTTGGAAAGTTCTCTGCGCCTCAGTTTCCTCATCCATAAAGTAGGGACAATGGTAATATCTACCTCCCAGAATGGCTGTGAAGGTTGGAGAAGATAATGTATCCCACGCCTCATGTCATTCCTCATCACACTGCGCTCAGCAAGCATCAGCTCTTACCACAGGTGCTGTTTTTTTGTTATTCATAGACATTGCTACACCAAAGTTTTCAACCTAGCTCAAGAGTTGCCCAAGGATGAAGGAGTTGGGGGTGCTACAGACAGGGACATTAGGGAACAGCCTAGAGTTCAGGAGTTAAATCAGCATGTGGAGTTTTATGATGGGATTGGGGGTAGGGAGGACATGGGAGGAGAAAACTGCACTTGGAATTATTGCTGTTGCAACTGTTTGCAATACAGACTATTGCTTTAAAAGGAAATGCGTCAGACAGACCTGGTATGAAATCCTGCTTTAATCGCTTAGCTACCTGTATTACCTAGCCAAGTTAAGAAACCATCTGAGTATCAGTTTTCTCATCTGTAGAATGGAGAGAGCAATAAAACCTCCCTCACTGGGCTGTTGTGAGGATTAAATGACTTAATACAGCTAAGCACTACCAGAGTCTGGTCCATATTAAACACTAAGAACATGTTAACTTGCCTCCCATAAGTAAATTCACACATGCACACACTCACACACACACACACACACCAATTTATGAACTATTTTTCAAAGGAAATAACATGGTTATAAGAGACAGGTATCATAGGAAGAAGCATTCACTAGAATAGCTGAAATCCTAGGGACAGGTTATTTGAAAAGATATTGAGACTGTGAAAGCAATGTGTGCTTTGGGGAAGTCAAGAAAATCCTCCTTTTTCGAGTCCCTAGTTGCTTTTAAGCCTGAGAAGTTACTGCCAAAGGAGAAAAGAAGTTACCACCAAATGCACACAGAAGTTCAGAAAGGAAAACAAAGGCTAGCCAAGACCTTGTGAATCACTCTAACCAGGAAACGGACAGAGGTATTAACTCACTAGGATGGGCATTCAGAGAAGCAATATAAAATTGCATTAAATGGGATTAAATGAGTTGATATTTGTAAAGCGCTTAGAACAGTGCCTGGTATATGCTGCCCTCAGGGTCCTACATAATTGTTTGTTAAATGAAACTAACAATACGGTATTTCTGATTTGTAAGGTTGTTGTAACATTAGGGAAAAAGGCCTTACTTCTTCCCCCACGTCCAGCCCGGCGGCAGGCCTGGTTCCCATGGTGTTGCAAGAATGTTGCTGTTTGGGTCTCTATCACCAGGCTGTAAATGACAGTTCAAAATCATGCAAAGTCAACAGTGGAGCTTATCTGGAGGGTAGATTGTCCAGTGGTGTGGCAACATGTGATAAGAAGGGGTGGCATTGTATCAGTAAAATGGAATATTTCAGCTTGATTACACAGAGAAAAAACGAGCGCCCTGGAAATGGACTAAATGGCTACCAGGCAAAAAGTGTTAGTCTGTGAACCAGAGACCTGCACTCCTAAAACTGGGAGGATCTGAGAATGCAGAGGCCACTTTGGAAAATGTGAAGGTCTAAAGCATCAATTATCTTTTAGCTGCCCCCACCCCACCAGCTATTTCTTGGAGCCAGATGAGCAGGGTCTGGGAACAACTGCCCGAGGGTAGGGTAGGGCCAGACGATCAGAGAGGAGGATGCATCTGCAGCATCTCTGTTCTTTCTCCCAGGGTCACCGGGGCAACAGCCTGGACCGGAGGTCCCAGGGAGGCCCACACCTCAGTGGGGCTGTGGGAGAAGAAATCCGACCTTCGATGAACCGGAAGCTGTCGGATCACCCCCCGACCCTTCCCCTGCAGCAGCACCAGCACCAGCCACAGCCTCCGCAATATGCCCCAGCGCCCCAGCAGCTGCAGCAGCCCCCACAGCAGCGATATCTGCAGCACCACCATTTCCACCAGGTATCTGGAAAGAAGGCAGTGGGCACAGTACGGTGGAAAGGAGAACCTGCCTCCCCTCCAGGCCTGGCCCAGCCTCTTGAGTTCTCAGAGAGTTCATGATGAAGACCCTGGACCCCCCCAAATGGCAGAAATAGGGAAACTGTTCTTGGCAAAGACATCTCTATGAATTAAATGGCTCCCACCTGAACACACACACACACACACACACTGTCTCACACACACACACACACTTAAACTCACACACACACACACTTCCCCTGAGGACCCAGTAAACAATTGCTTCATTTTCCTATCAGCACAATTCCAAATCTATTCATGCCCCTTAGCCCATCTGGCTGTCAGATCCACAAGAGAAAAAGGCTTAATACCCACAACAGAGCCTTGTTTATTACTTATTTATCTCCCTCCACCCTTGTTCCCGATGGGATTTCAGGCGGCTTACTGAGATGGACAATACGGCCAGATAACATCATTCCTGAATTCCTTAGCAGGGCACACAAAGTCCTTTGTGAGCTGCCAGAATCTATTTCCCCAGCCTCGTCCCTGCTGCCTCCCTGCCAACTCCCCGTGCAAACACACATTCCAGCAACCCCCCACGCTGCCTTAGTTACCCGAATGGTCCATTGCGTTTCCTCTCATGCCTTTGTGGCGTTTTATATGCTGATCTCTCTGCCTGATGAGCCCCTCCCTGGGCAGTCCTACCCCTCTAAGCTGGAGTTCAAGCATGACCTCCTCTGTGAAGCCTTCCTTGATTTCCCGGGCAGATACAGACATTTCTTCTCTCTGCTCACTTACCACTTAAATGTGCATGGTTCCCCCTCTAAATGGAAGCTCCATGAAGCCAGAGACCTTCTCTTTCCAGCTATATTTCCCTTGTGTCTGCTACTGGAAACATGGTAGGTGCCTGATAAATATTTCTTGACTGAATAAATAAAACCTGCCTTTGCCTTCTTTGCCTTCAGAATCTAAGGTGCCTTTAGACCTTAGGTCCTCCTCAACGTGGAGGGTTTATTGTCATTATCAGTAAGTATTCCTGGAATATACCGGCTCTGTGGATGGCATCTGAGCAAGGCACTGGGGGAACCGGTGGGAGATGTCCTGGCAGTGGGGTGACCAGTCTTCTGTTGTATGTTTCTAGGAACGCCGAGGAGGCAGCCTTGACATAAATGATGGGCATTGTGGCACCGGCTTGGGCAGTGAAATGAATGCGGCCCTCATGCATCGGAGACACACAGACCCAGTGCAGCTCCAGGCGGCAGGGGTATGGGAACTGTCCTTCTCTGGGATCCCTGGGGAAAGGCCTTGGGACAGAGGTCAATGGAGGAGATGAGGCAGGAGAGACTCAAACCACACAGATCTGGCTGGGCACGGTGGCTCACACCTGTAATCCCAACACTTTGGGAGGCCAAGGCAGGTGGATCACCTGAGGTCAGGAGTTCGAGACCAGCCTGGCCAACATGGTGAAACCTCACGTCTACTAAAAATACAAAAATTAGCCAGGCATGGTGGCAGATGCCAGTAATCCCAGCTACTTGGGAGGCTGAGGCAGGAGAATTGCTTGAACCCAGGAGGCAGAGGTTGCAGTGAGCCGAGATTGCGCCATTTTACTCCATCCTGGGCAACAAGAGCGAAACTCCGTCTCAAAAAACAAAACAAAACAAAACAAAAATGCACACACAGATCAACGAGAGGTGATGGAATGTTTGGGGAGGCCTGGGGCTGAGCCAGCACCGTCCAGTCTGTTGATCTCAGTCTGGTGCCAGGCCTTCCCTGTTCTCATAGTTCTCAGTTCTAGTTCTTTATCATCTTTATCATAGTCCTTTACCATTGCCTTTATCATTGCATCTTTTTTTTGTTTTTTGAGACAGGGTCTCACTCTGTCTCCCAGGCTCAAGTGCAGTGGCACAATCATGGCTCACTGCAGATTCAAACTCCTAGGCTCAAGCGATCCTCCTGCCTCTGCTTCCCAAGTAGCTAGGTATATTATTTGTAGCGATAAGCTCTTGCTATATTGCCCAGGCTGGTCTGGAACTCCTGGGCTCAAGCAATCCTCCTACCTCAGCCTCCCACAGTGCTGGGATTACAGGCATGAGCCACCGTGCCTGGCCTGTGATCCATCTTGACTTGTGACTTGATTGCCCTAACACCAAGGGCTGTTGTTTGGGGCATGTTGCCCTTCTGTTTGTCACTCAAGATAAAAATACCACCTATTGATGTGGAGAGAGTGGTTCTCAGGGAGTCTATTGGGGCTTTGGACAATAACATCTGTTGGTAAAAGTCCTGGGTCTCCAGAGTGACGCTGGTGCGTTCTGGGAACTTCTTGCTCAGGCCTGTGCATAGGTATCTGATTTAAATTGCAGCAGGGTAGCCGGGCATGGTGGCTCACACCTGTAGTTCCAGCTACTTGGGAGGCCAAGGCAGGAGGACTTCTTGAGGCCAAGGGTTCAAAACCAGCCTGAGCAACATAGCAAGACCCCATCTCTACAAAAAAAGTTTTTTTAAGCTGCAGAGGGGTCAGCCTTCAGGGAATGTTGCTCTCAAAGACTTGGATGTGGTGGGAGGAGCCAGCAGACCCTCCCCTGCCTGCCCAGCCCACAGCTCAGCAGAGCCTCTTCTGTGCTTCCCCCAACAGCGAGTGCGGTGGGCCCGGGCGCTGTATGACTTTGAGGCCCTGGAGGATGACGAGCTGGGGTTCCACAGCGGGGAGGTGGTGGAGGTCCTGGATAGCTCCAACCCATCCTGGTGGACCGGCCGCCTGCACAACAAGCTGGGCCTCTTCCCTGCCAACTACGTGGCACCCATGACCCGATAAACTCTTCAGGGGACAGAAGCTTTTTGTCTGGAGCTGCCCACAAGAAAGAGGGCAAGGAAAAAAGGCTGGACTCCATGACTATATATACATACATCTATCTACATCTGCCTGTGTACACACACAACTTTTTATACTAGTAATTTATTGGCAATTGGGCTGGTAATTAGTTGATGCAAAAGGGAACTCAGGTGGAGAATAATATTGACACTTGCTTTTCTGCCCCCCTCAGGGGTGTGTGGAAGGCAGTGGGGGAGTTGGGAGGGGGGCAGGGAAATGAAATGGAGTTTTGTCCTGGCCTTCAGCTGTCACTGCTTCCTCCTTGTCTTGGGAATTTTCACGGAGAACAGCTAAGCAGAGACCACACCTCGGCACTGGACACAGAACAACAGGGTGGGGTTGAACTTGGTGGGGCACGTTCTAGCTGACCTGCAAGCCCCGCTCACCTGGAGGGCTTGCAGAGCAGCTCTCCTCCTGTTCTCCAAGGGGTGGGCACTGTTGCATTAGGAATTAAGGTGCAGCCCAGTGCTGCGGGCAGCCAAGCGAGTCTGAGCGGGGATGTGAAGGCAGGACGGGGTTGGAGAGACCCTGCCTGTGCAAGGCTGGCCTCCTAGTCAACACCTAGCTGAGACATTCATCTCTGTTCAAATTAATATTCCTTGGGTCTTTCAAATGAATGTTTCAATGTGAGGAGCGAAGTACTGGGAAATCGAGGGATTTTCCACAATCCCCAAGCAGCTTACTCAGTGGAACCTCTGTTTCCCCAGCTATGAAGGAAATAGCATCCTACATTCCGTAAAGTGCTTGAAGAAGCTCTAGCTGAGAATGCTGAATTTTACAGTCATTGTTTTATGGTTACAAGGGTATGTCTTCAGGGCTCTGTTCATTTTCCCTCTTGATTTTCTCTTTTGAAGATGCCTTGCCCAGTGGCATGGAAAGAAGCCCACTTGATGATAGGAGCCTGACTATGAATTGATTGACTAAACATGACCCCAGGTGGAAGCTGGCTTTGACACCAGCTTCCTGTTCAGTCTGACCACTGCTGTCCTCCTGCTGCCCAAGAGTTGCACCTGGAGCAAGGAACCCCACCATGGCTGTCGCTCTCCATCCCATCACGCTAGAATCATGTGTCCAAGGGCTCACTCTGGAGGTGCACAGCACAGGTCAGCCTGGCCAGGGGCGAAGGAGACAGTAGAGAGGAAGCTCAGGGCCTTAGGGGAGGCCGGGTGCAAACCCGTTCTGCACCAAGTGCACTCGGAGTTTGTGGGTATGGGTGTGTACCCCTGCAGGTGTGCACATGTGTGCTTGCACGCACATATTTGTGCACTCCTGTGTGTATACATGTGTGCTTGTGTATGCATATGTGTGCATTCCTGCATGTGTGGACATGTGCGTGCATGCATCTGTGTGTCTGTGTGTGTGCTGAGACAGGAAAGGGGGTGAAAGTGTTGGTGAGGGAGCCTGGAAGTTTTCTCTTCCCCAACCTCTCTTGCTCTAAGGAGGGATGGGGTTGGGGGCAGCCGTTATTGAAGGTGATCGGAGAAGAAAGATTTTCTGACTCAGAAGTGACTGCCAGTGTAGCACAAGCAGTGTCCCTTGTGACTGTGATTCTACAGTTCTCTGATCCTCATGTTTCCTTTAGAGGAAAGAGGAAAAAAGGAACTCTGTGGTGGGTATTGGGAGGGAAAAGAAAATAGCCTGGTGGAGGCAGGAGGGAGTCGAGTGTGAGTAAGGAGCACCTGCAGCTTTTGGAAGTGAAAGCAGAGAGAGGGAAAGGTAGCTAAGACATCCAGGAGGATCAAGGGGCAGCGTGAGAGGCACAGGGGGAGGAAAGGGAGAGGGTGAGTGGGGCCAGGGAAGAGAACGGTGTGGAGTTGGTGGGCAGATGGTGCAGGAGGAGGGCTGGGCAGTGGGGAGAGGAAGAATCAGAGCAGAGAAACCGCTGCTGCGGAAGGCAGGGAGCAAAGAAGCATAAGGAAAAGAACAGGAGAAAGAACAAAGGCAGAGAAGACCTCCTCAGCTATTTTGGTGCTAGGTAATGTGAAATGCTGCAGTAAATAAAAGCCATAAGTAATGTTTGATTTTACAGTATTTACAAACCATATGCTTTAAACAGCCCACAAACTCCATCCAGTTGTCTGATGATGTGGGAGGACCAGCTCTAGTTAGACGGAGGTATGTGATTCGATTCTGGTGGAGACTTTGTGCCTTGAAAGGCTTCTCAGGAAAGCAGTAATAAAACAAAGTGTCCTTGTTTGGCCAGGCCGTGTCTGGTGTCTGCGTTGCATACCCCTCAGGTAGAGAGTGAGAACGAGACCAGGGGGTGACAGGGGTCATCGGCCTGCAGGAGCTGACCCCGTAGGCAGGCGGTATGAGCAGAGCTTTCAGAACCCCTGGAGCTCGGTGTTCTGTTGTAGCAAAAGCTACTGAAGAGTATTTTGTACTGAGATGCCAAAGCATCTTTCCCTTGCTCATCAGCCTCCATTCAGAAGGAAGCGGGAAAGTCACCCAAACCACCTACAAGGAATGAGGGCTCTTAGCGGCCAGGTAAAGAGGACAAGAACCAAACTGTCCACATTATGGAGGGGAGGGGGAAAGAGAGCTCAACCCCCCTCAGCCTCTGGTGCTGCCAGGGGGAGCCCCTCCGCATGTGTCCCCACGGGCCCTAGTTTCTACCTGACAGCATTTCAGCACCAGAGGAGGGTTGAGCCAGCTCCTCTCACCAGCCACAGAACCAGCAGCCAACAAACACATTGTCCCCGAGTTTGGCTGCAACACTCTATGTGACTTGGGAACTTGAAGCTTCCAGAGAAAAGCCAGGTCCTGTTGGACCAGTTGTTGGGTTTTCCTAACCACTTGCTGTGCCTCACCGCATTTCAAATATCTGGCACCTGCCACTGCCCACCCACTTTTAGATGGCCCTAGGGTGATCTAACCATGGTGCTTCTCAAAATTTAAAGTGCCTACGAATTGCCTGGGGACCGTGTTGAAATGCAGCTTCCAACTTGGTCCTGAATTTCTAACAAGCTACTGGGTGCTGTTGCTAGGTCCACATGTTAAGGAGCAAAGGCAAAGAACTTAGCAGTGAGCACAACTCTAATTGGGCTCTTCTTCTGAGGATATTCGGCCATTTTTTCTTCGCTGCTAACGAATAGGTCACTTTGGCTTTGGGACAGATGCAATTCAGAACGGTCATTATGACGTCATTCATATTTGGCTACCCAGGTGACTTATTATTTTAGCATCCTTATCTCTAGAATTAAAAAAATGTAATGTGAGAGGAATTCAGATGAAATGCAAACAGGAATTTCCTATAATAATTACTATTTCCTAATAGTAATTATTTTAAACATCAGCAGAGATTGCAGAAGTTGTAAAAGCTTTGTCAGGAAATCTTCAGTCATAAAATTGACTCTGGTCAGATGTGGCCCTGGTTGAGGCAGGGGACTGTGCTCCCAGCTAACCTAAAACACAACAGCCCACACTCGGGACAGATTAGCATGGCCAAAATATTTACTGTTTGCCTTGTCTAAGCCAACATTTTAGCCCCTCTATACCAAGGCAAGTGTGTGAGAAAAACCTTGATTGTCTCAATGCTTTTTAAAAAATGCCTCCTCAGTTCCTCCACTTTACTCCATCACCTTGGCCATGCCACCATCATCTCTTCCTTTGGCAACTGTCAGCTTTCATACCTTTCTCCCTGCATTCTCTCCCGTAATCTGGTCCTCCACACAGATGCCAAAGCGATCTTTGTAAAAATAAATCCGATCACATCACTCCCCTTCCCACTGGATTTAGGCTTAAGTCCAAAGTCCTAATGTGGCCCTGTGAAGTCCGGCCCCTGCCTCCCTCCTCAGCCTCCTCTTCTGCCTCCCCTGCCCCTTGCTTTTATGCTCCTGCCCCACTGGCCTTTCAGCCTCCAAATGGCCAAGGATTTGTCCCCAAACCTTTCACACTTGCCATTCTTGCTACCTGGAGGCACATCCCCTGCTAACCCTGCTAACTCTTGTTCATCTCCAGGTCTGGGTTGGTTTTTTGTTTTCTGTTTTTTGTTTTTTGTTTTTGTTTTTGTTTTTGTTTTTGTTTTTGTTTTGAGATGGGGTCTGGCTCTGTTGCCCAGGCTGGAGTGCAGTGGCACAGTCTCAGCTCACTGCAGCCTCTGCCTCCCAAGTTCAAGTGATTCTCCCACCTCAGCCTCCCGAGTAGCTGGGATTACAGGGTCATGTCACCACACCTGGCTAATTTTTGCATTTTTGGTAGAGACAGGGTTTCACCATGTTGGCCAGGGTGGTCTTGAACTCCTGACCTCAGGTGATCCACTCACCCTGGCTTCCCAAAGTGATGGGAATATAGGTGTGAGCCACCATGCCTGGCCCAGGTCTGGGTTTAAATGTCACTTCCAAACAGTCCTCCCCTGCCCTCTAATCTAAAATAATCCTTCCCCTAAGATGGTCTTATGAATCCTGTGCTTTTCCTGAATAGCACGTACACAGATGATGGTGCCAGACTGAGCTGTATGGCTATTACAGCTCACTGCAGCCTCTGCCTCCCAAGTTCAAGTGAACTTGGAGCTGTAAGCTCCACGGAGCAGGGGTCACCTCTGTTTTGTAAACCATTGTACACCCAGCATCTAGCACTATGCAAGGCACACAGAGGCTCAGTAAATATTTTTCTAATGAAGGAATGATTGGACCTGCTTCATCTCATCTATTTACTCATTTTGTAACTCAACTGTCTTGGGCCTAACAGACCTGTAGATGCAAACAAGGTCATATTTACAATGATGTCCAGGTTCCAGTAGCTTTAGCCACTGTCTTCGGATTCTCCTCCAGTTAACTTCTGAGAGGCCAAGAGAGGGAGGCTGTTATCTCTCACGTGTTTAGGCACCAGTATACTCACGCTTCCTACTCTGGTTCCAGTGTTCTGTTGCCCCACGCATCCTCTGCTGACAATGCCTTCCCAGATGCTGCGGATCCACTATGCACCACATTTATCTGCTGGTGAATTGACCCAATCCTTCAGGACACCAAATCTGCCCTGCAGTCCACATGACAAGGAGATTGGGGAAGAGGTAGAGGGGAGAATGGCCAGCCTGTGCCCAATTCTGAGAGGCACTGCTTGGACCCTGGCTCCCTCAGCATCTTCCATGAGCACAGCTGGCTCTCTTCTCAGCCGAGCCCTCCCTCCATCAGACAGAACAAGGGATACCAACCCTTCCCTCCGTCTCTCTCTTCTCACTCTTCCCTGTTGCCTCTTTCTCCTTGAGCTCAAAAGAAGGGGAATGTACCTACATGCCATCGTTAGCTCACAGCTAACCTGAAACACAACAGCCCACACTGGGGACTGATTAGCATGGTCAAAATATTTGCTGTTTTCTCAGTCTAAAGTCAACACTTCAGCCTGTCCATACCAAGGCAAGGGTGTCCTCTGCACCACACCATTTGTGCAGTAGATACTACCTAGAAGCCTAGTAGCTGTGCACTCACTTCTATTGTTTTAAGTTTTGCTGTAATTCATTCATTAAGTCAACAAATATTTACAAAGCACCTCTTCAGGGTCAGACACAATCAGCCATCGGGTCCTTCACATTCTCTCAACTCTGTCCCTTCTCTGCACCCATTCCACAGCCACTGCCTTACTTCAAACCTCTCTCACTTCTTTCCCTGATGACTGCAATAGTCTCAGCACTCGTCTCCCTGCCTTTCTGGCTGGCCCCCTGTAATACAGCCTCCAACGCAGTCAGGGAGATCTTATTCGCAGACAGGCTGATGATACCAAGCTCCTGCTCAAATCTTTGGGTTCTCCATAGTCTTCAGGCTGGAGTTTAACCTCCTTAGCTTCGCACTAAAGGCCTTTTGTGATCTGCCTGCTGCCTTGTTCGTTCAGCCACATCTTCTACCTCTCCAGTCCCAAACACTCTTTACTTCAGTCCCTTAGAACTATCTGTGGTTCCCAGAATGAGGCATGTTTTCTAAGACCTCTGGTCTCCTACATTCTGTTCTTTTTGCCTGGAATGCTTTCTCCCACTGTTTTGTCTAGACAAGGGCTGTCTATTAGGACTTTCTGTGATGAGGGAAAAGCTCTGTATCTGCTCCATCCAATGTGGTAGCCACTAGCCACTAGCCACATGTGGCTATTGAATACTTGAAATATGCCTGGTATAAATGACTGAAATTGCCACATGTGGCAAAGAGCTGCCTTATAGGGCAGCGTGGGTCCAGACAACTGTTACTTACTTTGAAATCATTAGCTCAGGGCTCCAGGTCTCCACTGGGAAACCATCCCAATATTATGGTTGATGTAAGTGCCCCCGTTCCCCCACCCCCACTTATGTTCCTGTAGTAACCTTGTTCTCCCTCTATCCCAATACTCAGAACACCATTGTCAGTGATTCACTGATCTGCCTCCTCTGCTAGACCAAATCTTTTTTAGGTCAAAGATATGCAGTGCAGTCAATAAATGGTTGATGCCTAGATGCAGTGACGTGCTGGTAAAGATTTAATAATTGGCTCTCTCTAAGAAGAAGCCCTAACTTGTGGTATTTGCCAATTCTATGGTGTAAACACTCCCACCATATGCCAAGAGAATGAGAAGACAAGTCACAGACCAGGAGAAAATATGTACAGAAGACATATCTGATAAAGGACTATGATACACAAAGAACTCTTAAAACTCAACAATAGGCAGGGCACAGTGGCTCACGCCTGTAATCCCAGCACTTTGGGAGGCCGAGGCAGGTGGATCATGAGGTCAGGAGTTTGAGACCAGCCTGGCCAAGATGGTGAAATCCCGTCTCTACTAAAAATACAAAAATTAGCCGGGTTTGGTGGCGGGCACCTGTAATCCCAGCTACTTGGGAGGCTGATGCAGGAAAATTGTTTGAACCCGGGAGGTGGAGGTTGCAGTGAGCCAAGTTCCTGCCACTTCGCTCTAGCCTGGGCAACAGAGCAAGACTCCATCTCAAAAAAAGAAAGAAAGAAAGAAAGAAAGTAAGAAACAAAAAAAACCAACAACAACAACAAAAAAACTCCACAATTAGAAGATGAACAACCCAATTTAAAAATGGGCAAAAGACATGGACAGCTCATGGAAGAAGATATAGATGGCAAGTGAGGAGATAAAAAGATGCTCAATATCATATGTCATTAGGAAAATACAAATTAAAACAATGAAATATCACCACACACCTATAAGAATGCCCCATATCTATAATACTGACAACACCATATGCTGGTGATGATGTGAAACAACAGGAACTCTCATTCATTGATGGTGGGAAGGCAAAATGGTACAGCTACTTTGGAAGAGAGTTCGACGGTTTCTTGCAAAACTAAACTTACGCTGGTCATAGGATCCAGCATTCACACTCCTTGGTATTTACTGAAAGGTGCTGAAAACATCCACACAAAGACCTGGACATGGATATTTATAGTGGCTTTATTCATAATTGCCAAAACTTAGAAGAAACCAAAATGTCCTACAATAGGTGAATGAATAAATAAACTGTGGTACCTCCAGACAATAGAATAGTATTTAGAAAGAAATAAGCTACCAAGCTATGAAAGATGAAAACCCTTAAATGCATATTATTATTATTATTATTATTATTATTATTATTATTAAGATGGAGTTTCACTCTGTCACCCAGGCTGGAGTGCAGTGGTGTAATCTCAGCTCACTGCAACCTCCACCTCCCTGGTTCAAGCAAATCTCCTGCCTCTGCCTCCCAAGTAGCTGGGATTACAGGCGCCCGTCACCACGCTTGGCTGAATTTTTTTTTTTTTTTTAGTAGAGACGGGGTTTCACCATGTTGGCCAGACTGGTTTTGAACTCCTGACCTAAGGTGATCTGCCCACCTCAGCCTCCCAAAGTGATGGTATTACAGGCATGCGATGCTGCACCCAACCCTTAAATGCATATTACTATGTGAAATAAGCCAATATGAAAAGGCTACACACTGTACCGTTTCAACTACATGGCATGCTGGAAAAGGAAAAACTAGAGAGGCGGTAAAAAGATCAGTGGTTGGAAGGGTTGAGGGTGGGAGGCATGAATACGCAGAGCCCGGAGGATTTTTAGGGCAGTGAAACTCCTCTGTGTGATGCCACAACAATAGACACATGGCATGACACATTTTTCAAAACCCATAGGATGCACAACAGGAAGAGTGAACCCTAATGTAAACTACGCATTTCGGGTGATTATGGTGTGTCAATGTAGGCTCAACAATTGTAACAAATATATCACTCTGCTGGAGGATGTTGACAGTGAGGGAGGCTATGCGTGTGTGGGGACAGGGGGTATTTGGGAACTCCCTGTGTCTTCTGTTCCATTTTGCTGTGATCCTAAAACTGCTGAAAAAAAAAAGTCTACTTAAAAAAGAACAACTCCCACCATGGCAGATTTCAGGCTACCAACATGACATCACTGAATCCAGAGTTGGGAAGAGATGTACACAATTGTTTTTCATGGGCAGATAGGAGCCAGCCCCAGCACACCACCGCATGAGTGAGTGAGTGAATGAGTGAATGAATGAATGAATGAATGAATGAATGAAAGAAATGTGCCAGATGCTGGGAATACCAGGGACGCCATCAGGCTCTTTAGGGAGAAGTCTATTCAGACCTGCGAGAGCTGGGCATGCAGCTGCTAGTCGGATTTCAATTCCAACTGAGGAGATAAAGGATCAGGGAGTCCCATCTTTGATTTAGTCAGTAAATCGAAGATATGGGACATTTGTTTTCTTTGGGTGCTTTACCTTTAATACCAAGACTTGTCAAGGCATCTCTATTAAGTGGCCCACTCAGACAAGTGCAAAGTGAGTGAGCTGGAGGCGAAAAAAACAGAGGCCTGACCAAAAGGCTCTAGAGCAACAAGAGGCTCATGATTTCCCATCACAAGAAGTCCAGAGACAAGACAGCCATTGGCTGGCTTAACACAATGGCCCAACAATGCATCAGTGATGTCTCTGAGCATCAGTGGTGTCTCTTCTCAGTGGCTTACAGCTCCAGACATCACATGCAGACGTGACAATGTCTAATGGAGAAGGGGCACATTCTCTCCCAATTCTACTCAATGAGAAACCCTTTCCTTCCTGGAGGTCCTTCAGCGGCCATTCACACAGATCCCACTGGCAAGACTGGATCCCATGCTGTTCTTACACCAGCCATTTCCAAGAGAATGAGGCCACCATAACTGGCTTAGGCCAATTGGTAGGACCCTTCAGGAGGCAGAACCTGGGAACCTAGGCAGGGCTCTGCCCACAGGAAGAAGCAGGTGAGCGTGTGGGGGTGGCGGATGGTTGTCAAAACCCAATATACAGGGAACATTACAGGAAGAGTCACTTACTTTACAATCATGTCATTTCATAAACATTTCTTGACATAATTAGGGAACAAGAGGCAGCATGAAGGAGCACAGCTTCCCTGCCATTCCCCCCGCCACAGTGAGACGCCTGCAAGGACACAGACACAGCCTTTCCATCAGCCTTCCTCTGTGGATCCCCCATCCACACTGAGCCAGCAGGTCAATGGGGACAGGTTCCATGCTGTTCAGAGAAACCAGCACTGTACACAGTGGGGCCCTGCATCCACTGCAGGGGTGGACGCCTCAGCCAGCCCAGGACTGTGCCGTCATCCCTGAGACTCACTGATCCTGATGTGAGACTCTCCCCGACAGGGGCTTCCAGGCATGGCTCTATGCAGGGTCATTTGTGGCCACACTATGACGTGGGCGATCCCATTTCTACACATCTAAATTCCCCAGGGCAGGCAGCATGTGGTATCTCACTCCCTCGGCTCTAACCTGGTTATGGGAAGTTGCTAGGTAACTGCTTCCCACACTGGAGGAGGCTTAGTTACCATGGAAAGTCCAGATGGGTGGGGGGGCACAGAGGAAGGGAGCACTGGCTGGGGGGTCTGCAGCTGGGATTCTGTCCCCACTCTCTCCTGAGCCCCTGGACCTAAGGGGAGTCTCTCAACCCCTCTGGGCCTCAGTTTCCTCCTAGTAAAATGAAGGAAAGGCTGGGTCACTTCTTGCTCTAAACCACTGATGCATGTGGATGGCATACCCTCAGTGAGCACTGATCCTCAGACACCTCTTCGGCAAGGAGTGACTCAAGATGGGTGCAGAAAAGGAATGCATTAAGTTTATGTCTTAGCCTGGGCAACATAGCAAGACTCTGTCTCTACAAAAAACATTTTTTTTTTTTTTGAGACAGAGTTTCACTCTGTCACCGAGGCTGGAGTACAGTGACGTGATCTCCACTCGCTGCAACCTCCGCCTCCCGGGTTCAAGCGATTCTCATGCCTCAGCCTCCCTAGTAGCTGGGATTACAAGCATGTGCCACCACACCCAGCTAATTTTTGTATTTTTAGTAGAGACAGGTTTCACCATGTTGGCCAGGCTGGTCTCGAACTCCTGACCTCAAGTGATCTGCCTGCCTCAGCCTCCCAAAGTCCTGAGATTACAGGCATGAGCCACAGCGCCCGGCCCTCAATTTTTTTTTTTTAAATTAGCTAGGTGTGGTACATACAGGCACCTGCCTGTAGTCCCAGCTACTCCAGACGCAGAGGTAGTAGGATCACTCGAGCTCAGGAGTTTGAGACTGCAGTGAGCTATGATTGTGCCACCACACTCAGCCTGAGTGACAGAGCAAGACCCTATCTTAAAAAACAAAAACAAAACAAAACAAAACAAAAGGCCAGGCGTGGTGGCTCATGCCTGTAATCCCAGCACTTTGGGAGGCTGAGGCAGGCAGATCATGAGGTCAGGAATTTGAGACCAGCCTGACCAACACGGTGAAACCCCATCTCTACTAAAAATACAAAAATTAGCTGGGCGTGGTGGCACACGCCTGTAATCCCAACTACTCAGGAGGCTGAGGCAGGAGAATCCCTTGAACCTGGGAGGCAGAGGTTGCAGTGAACCGAGATTGCACCACTGCACTCCAGCCTGGGCGACAGACCGAGACTCTGTCTAAAAAAACAAAAACAAAAAAGTTTTTTCTTTAAAAAAATAGAGAAACTAGCAAGCTTGTGTCTCTATTAGGATAAATAAAAGCTATAGGCCAGGCGCAGTGGCTCACACCTGTAATCCCAGCACTTTGGGAGGCCGAGGCGGGTAGATCCCCTGAGGTCAGGAGTTCAAGACCAGCTTGGCCAACATGGTGAAGTCCCGTCTCTACTAAAAATGCAAAAATTGGCTGGGCATGGTGGCTCATGCCTATAATCCCAGCACTTTGGGAGGCTGAGGTAGGTGGATCACCTGAGGTCAGGAGTTTGAGACCAGCCTGGCCAACATGATGAAACCCGTCTCTACTAAAAATGTGAAAATTAGCTGGGCATGGTGGCGGGCGCCTGTAATCCCAGCTACTTGGAAGGCTGAGGCAGGAGAATCACTTGAATCCAGGAGATGGAGGTTGCAGTGAGCTGAGATCACACCATTGCACTCCAGCCTGGTCAACGAGAGTGAAACTTCATCCCAAAACAAAACAAAACAAAGCAAAAATTAGCCGGGCATGGTGGTGGGCCCCTGTAATCCCAGCTACCCTGGAGGCTGAGGTGGGAGAATTGCTTGAACCTGGGAGGTGGAGGCTGCAAGGAGTCGAGATGGCGCCACTGCACTCCAGCCTGGGCGACAGAGCAAGACCCTGTCTAAAAAAAAAAAAAAAAAAAAAAAAAAAAAAAAAAAAAAAAAAAAAAAAATTGGCCGGGCGCAGTGGCTCACACCTGTAATCCCAGTACTTTGGGAGGTCAAGGCAGGCGGATCACCTAAAGTCAGGAGTTCAAGACCAGCCTGACCAAGATGGTGAAACCCTGTCTCTACTAAAAATACAAAAATTAGCCAGGCATGGTGGGGGGCACCTGTAATCCCAACTACTTGGGAGGCTGAGACAGGAGAATTGCTTGAACCTGGGAGGTGGAGATTGCAGTGAGCCGAGATCGTGCCACTGCACTCCAGCCTGGGCAACAGAGCAAGATTGCACCTCAAAAAAAAAAAAAAAGTTATAGAGATTCTCCCTTCTGCTAGGAGAAATTTCACTTCTGACATCAATATTCACAAGTCCTGGGGCTCCCTAGGTCCTCTTCTGAACCGAGGCTTCCTAAAAAAAAAACTTAGGATGCAATGTGTGTCCCTAAAACACCCAGCTTGCTAAAGCATGATGTCCTTTCAGACAGGGTCTCCCAGTTCTTGGGCTCTGCTGGTCCTTCTGCCCCAGATGGAGCCATGGCACAGGCCCAGCCCTCTCTAGGTTGCTGGGACCCATCCTGACTCCTCCAATATGGGCCACTGCATAAGCCTCTTGGGTCTGCTATTTGTTCCTTCTTTCATTCTGAGATCCAGCCCCACCTTCTTCCCTTGCTTCTGCAATAAGATCTCTGCCCAGGCCCAGATGCTGGGACCAGTGCAGTACCCAGCTCCCCGTTCACCTGCCTTGTTCATGCCAATCCCATTCCCAGAATCCATATGACATTTCCAAGCACTAGCTGCCATCCTCCTGTCTACACGCCCGAATCTCCATGATGCAGTGGTGGCTCCCTCTCCCACCATGCATGTCACCCACTCAGCACTCTGATGACCTTGTGCCGGAGCCCCTGCTCCTGCTGGCTGCACAACACCCCCACCACCATCTGTACCCACAGTCACAGGAGGCCCCTGTAATCCCCGAAGACAGGTTGGACCCCATCCCACCCCCAGAAGCTGGTCTTTACTCCCACTTCCTTCTCGGTCTCCACCTCCAGGGTCCAGTTTTAAGTTTTGGCCACTCCTGATCCCTCCCCACCACCATACAAACATGACAAACAGGGCAATGTCTGAGTGTGGCTAAGGACGCTGCAGTCATCATATCAGGTAACATTCTCCATCCCCACTCAACAACTGAGTTTTCTCCTGGCTGGGAGCAGAAGGAGAAATTCACATCTTTTACATATAGAGTGAGCCTCTCTAGGGTGTCAGGGTCAGTGGTCTCTCAGCTAACAGCTTTGCTCTGGGGCATTCAAGAACCTTCTGGCCCTGCAGAGAAAACCCCACCCTTGAGCTGTACACCCTGTCCCTCCCCTCCTTTCTAACTATTCTCTCTTCTCTCCTCCAGGCAATGTGGAGAGGTGGAAAAGTCACAAGCTTTGAGTCAGAAACACGTGGGCTGCAGTCCAGACTCTGCTACTTACGCTATCAGCCTGGACAAGTTTCTTGACCACTCTGAGCTGATCTAGAGAACTGGGGATAATAGCACTGAGTTGTCATGAGAAGTAAACAAAATTATAGGAACTACTTGGTAAGAACCTAGCAAGTGGGAGAGACATCATGACTGCTTTCTTCATTCTTTTTATTCCTATGGCCCAGGCCAAGCAACAGGGCATGAAGAGAAGAAACTCAGCTGGGCGTGGGGGCTCACGCCTGTAATCCCAGCACTTTGAGAGGCTGAGGCGGGCAGATCATGAGGTCAAGAGATCGAGACCATCCTGGCCAATATGATGAAACCCTGTCTCTACAAAAATACAAAAATTAGCTGGGTGTGGTGGCGCACCTGTATTCCCATCTACTTGGGAGCTGGGAGAGGGAGCTCCCGCGTAGGGAGAATCACTTGATCACTGAGGCAGGAGAATCACTTGAACCTGAAAGGCGGAGGTTGCAGTGAGCCGAGATCGCCCCACTGTATTCCAGCCTGGGCAACAGAGTGAGACTCCATCTCAGAAAAAAAAAAAAAAAAAAAAAAGAGAAGAAACTTGGTCCATTCCTAAGGTTCCTGGCCCTCCCAGGAGTCTTGCCCAGCCTCTACCTCACCCATAACTACTTTCCATTTTTGGCAGAAACAGCCTCTTCTTCACCCCTCCCTGCCCCACCCCAGTGGGACTTGTTGCTGCAACAGCCTCCTTCCCTTTGAAACTTGCCTGTCCTGTGTTCCGCCCTCCCCGGGGTAATCTCTCTGCACCCATCAAACTGATAACTTGCCAACACAGCACATCAACTTTGGGAGAGCTCCCCTCCCTCACCTCACCCACCCTCCTCCAGGGTACACCTGTCCTGTGATGGCCACCTGCAAGGGACAGAGTGCTGAGGGTGTTGGCCAAGTAAAGGAATAATTTTTGAAGGGAGAATGCCAGGTTAGGCAGGGGTGTCAGAGGCATCCCGGGTCACTTCCTCTGGTGGCTCTCCACTGCTTTGCAAGGCATCCCACCCAGATCAGTCACTGGCTTTACTAGAATGCCCTTCCCCTGCCACCCCCAGCTTGGGGTTCAAGCTGCCTCTTGGAGGTGGGGCTGCATGGAGGCAAGACATCTGGGCCACCCTCAACCCCTGCACCTTGCCCTGCACCTGCCCTCGACCCCTGCACCTTTCTCCTTCTTCGGTAACTGTGCTCACATAGGTCCCTCCACCTCCACCTAGGGGCCTCCTTCCTTTCTATTTACCTCTGTTCACATCCTAGCCAGCCTTCAAGGCCAGGGAAAAGGCCACCCCCTTCACAAAGTCATCTTTGATTCCACCCTCAGCCTAGAGCAAGCAGCCTTGCTGAACCTTCTTCTGACGGGTGCTCTCTCTGCCAGCCTTGCCCTAAAAGGGTGAGTGCACTCAGGTCCTGTGCCCTGGAATGTCCAGGTTCCAGGCCCCAAGGACAAGGCTGAACTAACACTAAGGAAATAATTCTAGCCCAGGCCTCTTGGTTGGGGTCAGAGCTGCTTTAAACTTTGCCTAAAAATGTTTCTGGTGCTGCCAGCCATAAAGCGGGGAGGCACTCCCTTGAGTCAGGTGTGTCTGACTCAAAAGCACTCCGCCTCTGTCATGTGGGTGAAGTTGTTCACCCAAGCAGCCCTGCGCTGCCTGCACAGCCTGCCAGGAACCTCTGCTCCAAGACTCTCTGTTCCTGTGTGGCTACCTAGAGAAAGCAAGAAAAGACCCCATGCCTCCCCGAGGCTTCCTTTCTGAAACTTCCCTAGTCTCAGAACCTGAGCAGCCCTCTTTCTGTAATGCTAAATGTCACTGGAGCCCACCGCGGGCTCTCCCTACCTCGGGTCCAGCCCATGCTCTTGGTCAGGTGCATCCATCTCAAGCATCATTTTTATCCTGCCATTCCCCAGTTTCCCAGCCTTCCATGGCTCCCAGCTGAAAACAAAATGCAAACTCAGCCTGGAATTCACGCACTCAAGAGCATCTGTGAGACAACTTGTATTTCTGGCTCCTTGTCATTTTCCCATCCCTGAAATACACATATATGTACATATTTACACACTGGTACACACATACACATACATGTACTTACATACACACATGTACACACACACACACACACACACACACACACACACACACACACACACACACCATGACCTAAACGAGTCAGTTGGTTTAGTCTGCATTTACCTTAAGCACTACATTTACTCAGTCACTCACTCACTCTTCATCCACTCAACTCTCTCAGTACCAGGTCTGTTCTAGAGCTGGAACATAACTTTCCTGCTTCCCTACCATCAGCTACTACCTAGAATATCCTCCCCTGTCCCTTCAAGCACTTTGGGAGGCCAAGGTAGGTGGATCACCTGAGGTCAGGAGTTCGATACCAGCCTGACCAATATGGTGAAACCCCATCTCTACTAAAAGTGCAAAAAATAGCCAGGCGTGGTGGCAGGTGCCTATAATCCCAGCTACTCAGGAGGCTGAAACAGGAGAATCACTTAAACCTGGGGGATGGAGGTTGCAGTGAGCCGAGATCATGCCACTTTACTCCAGTCTGCGTGAAAGAGCGAAACTCTGTCTCAAAAAAAAAAAAAAAAAAAAAAAAAAGCATTAAAGACCAGAGGGTAGAACTCAAGCTAATCTGCCACGGTCATCTCTCCAGTGACCAGCTCTTGCTCTGGATCAATGCACATCAGGAACACACCGTGGGGTAGTTCTAACAAACAACCCCTGTGCGGAGAGTCTTCAGGCGGGGAGAAGCGCCAAACCCTTAGGCCTCTTCCTAGGCAGCCTTTGGATTAAACCCTCTCTCTTCCTGATGCTGGTCCTCCATCCGCACTGGCTGGAGAAAAGGCCTCCTTTGGACTATGCCTCCCGGGAGGACATGGATGCCGAAATCCTTCTTCATCTTTAAAGATAATCAAAAATGTCTACCAGAGCCAGGCATGGTGACTGAAGCCTGTAATCCCAGCTACTTGGGAGGCTTAGGTGAGATCACTTGAGGCCAAGAGTTCAAGGTTGCAGTGAGCTATGATTGTGTCACTGCACTCTAGCCTGGGCAACAGAGCGAAATCCTGTCTCTAAAAAGAAAAAAAGGTCCACTGTGTACACCCTACCACACATATGCATTCTCTCTCTCTCTGTGTCACACACACACACACACACACACACACACACACATACACAGTCACACTGGGCAACAGAATGGCTGAAAAGACTCATGTTCAATTAAGTTGTCTTTGGCATTTGGGTTCTTATTTCTATGTTCCTATGGTATTTACGGCAGGGGAAGAGAGGAAACCCTACTAAGTTTTGAGAAAGAATTCCCAATCCGTTTGCAGTAAAGAGGGTGAGGGGGCCGGACGCGGTGGCTCAGGCCTGTAATCCCAGCACTTTGAGAGGCCAAGGTGGGCGAATCACGAGGTCAAGAGATTGAGACCATCCTGGACAACATGGTGAAACCCCGTCTCTACTGAAAATACAAAAATTAGCCGGGCTTGGTGGTGGGCGCCTGTAATCCCAGCAACTCGGGAGGCTGAGGCAGGAGAATCGCTTGAACCCAGCAGGCGAAGATCCGAGAAGTGAGCCAAGATCACGCCACTGCACTTCAGCCTGGCGACAGAGCAAGACTCCGTCTTAAAAAAAAAAGGCGGGTGCAGTGGCTCACGCCTGTAATCCCAGCACTTTGGGAGGCTGAGGTGGGCAGATCACCTGAGGTCAGGAGTTTGAGACCAGCCTGACCAATATGATGAAACCCCATCTCTTCTAAAAATACAAAAATTAGCCTGGCGTGGTGGCATGCCTGTAATCCCAGCTACTCAAGAGGCTGAGGCAGGAGACTCGCTTGAACCTGGGAGGCAAAGGTTGCAGTGAGCTGAGATGGTGCCACTGCACTCCAGCCTGGGGGACAAGAGAGAAACTCTGTCTCAAAAAAAAAAAAAAAAAAAAGCGGGTGACCTCGGGTGAAAGCCCAGGGGTTAGGGCCTAAGGCCTGGGAACACCCTGATGAATGTGACAGTCCTGCCATCAAGGAACTCACAACTGCTGGGGGAGACAGACCATGAGAACACAGAGCCTGGATGCTCAGACAGGTCTAGCGGGAAGCAAGGAAAGTCCCTGCACCCGGACTTAGAGGCCCAGGAGAGACTCTACAGAGGGAGTGACCACCAGGCTAAAGACAAGAGGAGCCAGAAGAGTCTCCCGTGGGCTGGGGAGAAACACGTGGTAGCAGCAGAAGCTTGGGGAGGGGAAGAAAAGTAGGTCTGAATCCTAAAAGGCCTCGAGGCGCTTGGGCTGTAGCCTGCAGGGATAGGGACCCTTGGCAGGGTTTTGTGCAGGGAAAGGACATAATGGTGTTTACCTTTTAGAAGAGATCTAAGGGGAGAATCCGGTTAGGGAGCCCAGTTAGGAGGCTCTTGCAAGGCTCTTGCAAGGATGTCCAGGAAGGGAGGAGTGGGGAGTGGCAGCAGGGAAGGAGGGAGGGGCAGTGACGGAACCACACCACGTCACCCCACATCACATCACACCCTAGCCCAGAGAAAGCCTCTTCTGGTCTGGTGGCCTAAGGGAAAGGAAAGAGTCAAAATGAGCCCCTGTTTCCCATGCTGGTGAGATGGAGGCTGGCTAGTGGAGGGCTGGGTCGTTTTGGACATGGTAAACCCAGGAGGAGGGGCATGCCTGGGGGGCATAGGAGAAGGGGCTGACAGGTGCCATTTGGGACAAGTTGTGTTGGAGGTGCCTGGGGGATGTGTGACTGGAGATGACCAGCAGGCAGCCTGATGAACTGGCATGGATTGAGGAGAGGGTTCTGGAGTTGAGCTAGAGTCATCCAAGCACAGGGAAGCGAGGTTGCCCACGGATGGGCGAGATGTGAAAGGCGGGAAGGTCAGGGCAGGGTCCCGAGGAACAGCGCGTTTCAGAGATGGATGAAGGAGAATGAGAAGGAGTGGCAGGGAGGCAAACAAACAAACAAAAAACAGGAATCACCAATTCAGAGAAAACAGTGCAATGGCAGAGTCTTCAGGGGACTGGGAGCCTCTGTACCTCCAAGGCTGGAGAAGCAGCAAAGCCCCTGAGTCTGGAAGGTCTGTGGGGGCAGGAACTTGCCTGGTACATAATTAGTGCTCCATAAACAGTCATTTAATGAACAGATGAAAGCCGTAGGTGAGTTCCGACACAGGTGAGAGACCTCGGTGTATGCGTATTGTGGAGCAGTCGAGTGGATCAGACGGGAAGGTTGCTTAAGTCGTTCAGTCCTAGGATCTCTGCCTCTCCTCCCAGTGGGCCTGGGGGAACCCCTTCCCCTTATTCTCTCTCTCACCCTCTCTGGCCAACCAAGAATTTTACAGAGGCATGAGAGAGAGAGCCCCTGAAGTTTTGTAGAGATGCTCATGACACAGATTGCTACAGAGGAAAAAAGTCACCCCTGGAAAACTCATCTAAGAATATATCATGAAGTGGGCTATTTTGGGACTCAAATTACACAAGAGGGCCTGGGAAGTGTGCAGGGATGAACACAGCTACAATTAATATTAACTAGAAGGTGTCATGTCTTTATCTTGTGAACACACAGCCCTCAGTGCCTGGCGGGTGGGCGAGAGGAAGGTGAATCCCTCCCGCCATGTACCCAGGCAGGAGTTGGGTGGTTTTGGGGGAGGGTGTCTGCCGGAGGAAGGAGGAGGGAGCCAGGCAGGGTTGCGGGGAATTGCTGGAGGAGGCGCCAGTTCTCAGGAAGCCTGAAGTCACCTTGGGCAAGGTGGCCTCCGAAGTTGGAAATGTAACTACGATCGGGCCTCACCTAGTTCAGGGAAAGTCCAGACTCAGGACCAGAGAGACCGGGAGAGGACCAGGGGCTTTCCTAGGGTGTCATGGCCTCATGGAGTGTCCCTGGAAAAGAAGTTACTTAGCTTAATCTATAGGGCCTGTGCCTGAAAGAAATCAGTTTCCACTCTCTAAAAAGAGATTTTTTTAAAAAAAATCTCAATCACGGCCGGAAACGGTGGGTCAGGCCTGTAATCCAGCACTTTAGGAGGCCGAGGCAGGCGGACCACCTGAGGTCAAGAGTTCGAGACTAGCCTGGCCAACATAGTGAAACCCTGTCTCTACTAAAAATACAAAAATTAGCTAGGCATGGTGGTGCATGCCTATAGTCCCAGCTACTCGGGAGGCTACGGCAGGAGAATTGCTTGAACTAGGGAGGCGGAGGTTGCAGTGAGCCGAGATTGCACCACTGCACTCCAGCCTGGGCCACAAAAGTGAAACTCTGTCTCAAAAAAAAAAAAAAATCTCAATCACATTGCACAGAGTATTTTGCTGGGCCGGAGGGTGGAAGGCCTGGGGATCAGGCTATGTGGAAATGCATCCCAGTATTTCCAGTCGCCAGTGGATCATCTTGAACTGGATGTCTCCCCTCCAGAAGCCTCAGCTTATTCATCTGTGACACCTCACAATAATCCGTTTCACGGAGTACTTCAACAGATTTGGGGAAAGGGGGATGGGTCAAATTAGATAAGTGTACATTAAAAGGCCTCCATAGCCTGCAACCTCTCTGTGAGTGGCATGGTATCACTTATCAACCTGCCTTGTAAAGACTGCTGTGAGAATTTGACTCCCAGCTAAACTAAGAGAGTCACCAGGGCAGCCAGCTATCATGTCTGATTCCTCTGTGTTATTCTCAGAGGCAAGCGTGTTATCTATCTGTGTTATTATCAGAGTCAAGTGTGTTATCTAGTACTGCTTATCTATTAACTGCCTCCAACTGTTGGTTGAATAAGTAAGTCATTGGTACATAAAGGTGAATATCACAAAACAAGCACAATATTTCATATTAGTTAGATCTAGGAAAGACCTTTTCCAATGTGAACTGTTACTAAAATATTCTGTTCTGCTTCTAACCTTCTGTCCAACTGCAAATCACATCACATAATATTTGTGGTCTTTGAGAGCAAAAACCATGCCTTAATCATTCTGTTTCAATGTGAGCTCCGGGTGGGCAAGGACTTGGTTTTGCTCAGAGCCTGCACTTGGAAACGGGCCTTGCGCTTGGTAAGACTCCATGAGTATTTGGTAAATAAACAAATGGTTTCTAACCCTTAACACAGAGCTACGCATTCAGCAAATGTTGGTTGGATTAATTATTAAACAAGGGGGATACTTTTTCTTTCTAATATCTCTTTCTAACATTCCCGACTGAGGCGGCGTAGCAGAATGGTTAGGTAGGCGGGCTCTGGAATCAGATGGTCTGGGTTTGAATTCTGCCTATTCTACTTACTGGCTGGGTGACCTAGAGTAGCTACTGAACCTCTCTGTGCTTCAGGTTTCTCACTTGTGAAATGAGGATAACATTTTTTCTCCTTTTTTTTTCTGTTGCCCAGACTGGAGTGCAATGGTGCAATCATAGCTCACTGCAGCCTCAAAGTCCTGGGCTCAAGTGATCCTCCTACCTTGGCCTCCGTAAGCACTGGGATTACAGGTGTGAGCCACTCAGCTCAGCTAACAATTTTTCTAATAGGATTACAGGGTTCATTTAAAGTGTACATAAAATAATTAGCACATAGTAATTGCTACTTTTTTGTGACCATATCAGTCTCAACAACCTTCACTGACTGCCCTTTAACCACTGGATAGACCTAAAGTCGAATTATCCATAATTTGGCCCCATATCCCCCTCTTTCCAGTCCCATCTTCCCATACTTTAACACTAGCTGCCCTTTACTGGCTGCTACCTGTGCCAGACATTCTTCTAAGTGGTCTATATCCATTAACTTGTTTCCCTTCTCAAATAACCTAGTAAGGTTGGACTTCATTTTTAAGAGACAGGGTCTCACTATGTTGCCCAGGCTGAACTCAAACTCCTGGGCTTAAGGGATCCTCTTGCCTCAGCCTCCCATGTAGCCAGGACTACTGGCCCATCACTGCGCCCAGCTGAGGTGGGACTTATTGCCCATATTTCACTGATGACAAGACAAAGGCCCAGAAAATAAAAATAACTTTCCTGGGGACACACAGCTAATATTAGGAAAGCTGGATTCATTCCCAGGACTCTGTGATATGAAAGTTCATGCTGTTATTTACCATCTCTGATATCCTTGCCATGCAAAGTTTGGTCAGTGGACCAGCACTCCTAGCATTACCTGGGGGCTTGCTAGAAATGCAGAGTCTCGGGCCTCACCCCAGACCTACTGAATCAGAATCTACATTTTAACAAGCCCCCTGGCTGCACAGGAAAATTTTGGAAGCACTATTGTAAACCACTTTCTACCAGGGATACACGAGTACTAATTAAGTCAAAGAAGTGTTCTCGTTTAATCCCTACACCAACGTGGGAGGTCAGGAGAGTTAAGCATTATTATCCCATTTTGCAGATGAGGAGACTAAGGCTCTGAAAGGCATCTTGAAGTGACTGAGTCCACATAAGCCTGATGCCAGCATAATGTTCTGACTAAACTCAGTTTTAAGTCCCTCCACCTATAATGTCTTCATTCCCTCTCTCCACCTTGAATTCTTCTCCTCCTTTTAGGCTCCACTTGAAATCCCTTCTTGCTGGACAAAGCCCTTCTTACCCAGTTCCCACTGGGCAGATTGCTCCTTCCTTCATATTCCCATAAGCTCCCTCCACATACCTTTCTCTTGGCTCAAATTCTTTAAGAAATGTACACTGGGTGCAAACTGTGTACCAGGCACATGGTAGGCATTGAGTAAATGTTTGTTGAGCCCATTTGCTCCCAAAGCATTTCTGACTGTGTTTATTAAAACACTATTGGGCCATGCCTGTAATCCCAGCACTTTGGGAGGCCAAGGTGAGTGGATCACAAGGTCAAGAGTTCAAGACCAGCCTGGCCAAATGGTGAAACCCTAACTCTACTAAAAATACAAAAATTAGCCGGGCACGGTGGCAGGTGCCTGTAACCCCAGCTACTCGGAGGCTGAGGCAGGAGAATCGCTTGAACCCAGGGGGCAGAGGTTGCAGTGAGCCAAGATTGCACCACGGCACTGTAACCTGGTCGACAGAGTGAGACTCCGTCTCAAACAAAACAAAGTAAAACAAAACAAAATAAACAAAAAAAGCCCAAAGAAACCACTCTCATTACTCCTATCCTCTTCTGTGTTTGTCTGTCTCTCCCACTGCCCTGAGCTCCTGTGTGTCTCCAGACTATTGAGTCTGGCATCTTGTAGGGCGTCAAGTCGTAATAAACTAAGTGCTCTCCCATCTAAGGACACAATCTGTCTATATGTACTTAAGAGTGGAGCATTACCAGGAGTGAAGCTTTCCAGTTCCCAAGAGGGGTAAAGGACAAGTGAGGTGATGGACACCTTGCTGCTCACCACTCCCAATCTTTGGGCTGACACAGGATGCCAGAACTGATTATTGTAAAAAAAAAAATAATAATAACAATAATGTGCAGACATTTGAAAATCTAACTCTCATTTTTTCCAGAGCATGAAAGGAAGGCCTAGAAATGGTAAGTGACCTTTTCAAATCCCCTGGGGTGAAAACCAGGTCCCCAATAACCTGTCGTTTCACAAGAAAAGGAGAAAGGGTAAAGGCGGCCGTGATGTCAGCGAAAGACCTCCAAGACAGAAAACCTTGCAGTCCCCGTGCTCTGCCTCTTTCACGGGAGACCTGGGCAACGCACACGTTGCTAGGCCTCAATTTCTTCAACTGTAAAATGAGGGGGTTGGAGGAGCTTGAAAAGCTCCTTCCAGCTCTGAGATGCTGCGCTATAAAGTGAGAGAAATGTGAACCTTTAGTTGTTATGATCTGAAAATATTTTGAATGTGGAGAATCAAATTGTAGAGCAGTGCATGAACAACATAATATGTTAATGACTAAGACGATTGTATTTAATCCGATGGGAAACAGCAGAGCTGCTGCCACCGCTGCTGTGTGTGTGCGTGTGTGTGGTGTGCACGCACGTGCGGTTTCCTTCCTTGAGCTCAAACATACATTTTGAATCACTAATATAGTAATCATGTCTCTGGCAGCCTATCTTGCCCAAACACACACGGAGAGACACCACACACCCTACTTCAAATTAAGGTGGGGGCGGGGGGAATTCCACTGCTGCTCTTTACATCATTTCTGTTTGGATAGCTATTTTTTAAAAGAAAGTTTTACAGTGAAGGTGTTGGACTCCCAGCCCAGAAGGGCTCTGATCTCAGAACTGGGACGCAAGGGTGGGGAGCTCGAGCTCTCATTAGCATTTCGCTTTTGCACACCCCCTGCCCGCTCCTCAGCCGTCACAATCCCGTCCTGCAGCAGGCCCCCCCACCAACACCGGACCCTCGACGGGGAAGGGGTCAGCTCGGCGGCCCCAGAGGCCACTGGGCCAGAACACGTGCTCCGGACTCCACGTGCGCGGAAAATGAACTCGTACCCGCGACGCGGCCGGCGGGGGCGGATGGCAGCGAGGGCCGGACAGCGAACCTTTACCCCGCGGAGGAGTCGGGGCCGGAGCCCGCACGTGGGTCTGCGACGGCCCCGCCCCCTGGGGGCGTCCCCTCAGGGACTCTAGCCCCGGCTGGTGGGCCCTGCAGGCCCGGGCCCGACCGCGTCCGCCAGGCCGCCCGGAGGTCCCGGCGAGCCCGGCGGAGGCGGCGGCCCCTCCCCGCCCGACGGCCACGCCCGCGCGGATTGGCCGCTCCCCGACGGCGGGGCGGGGCGGGACGGGCCGGGGCAGAGCTCGCGGCCAGGTGAGGCGCCCCGCCCCTCGGCGGCTCCAGGTGCGGCTGTGGGACCTCGGACCGCGGCGGGGCCGGGGCCAGGGCCGGGGCCGGGGCCGGGGCGCCATGGCCGAGTCCCAGCTGAACTGCCTGGACGAGGCGCACGTGAACGAGAAGGTGACCGAGGCGCAGGCCGCCTTCTACTACTGCGAGCGGCGGCGGGCCGCGCTGGAGGCGCTGCTGGGCGGCGGCGAGCAGGCCTACCGCGAGCGGCTCAAGGAGGAGCAGCTGCGGGACTTCCTCTCCAGCCCGGAGCGCCAGGCCCTGCGGGCCGCCTGGAGCCCCTACGAGGACGCCGTCCCCGCCGCCAACGCCCGGGGCAAGAGCAAGGCCAAGGCCAAGGCCCCCGCGCCGGCGCCGGCTGAGTCCGGCGAGTCCCTGGCCTACTGGCCCGACCGTTCCGACACCGAGGTGCCTCCTCTGGACCTGGGCTGGACGGACACTGGTTTCTACCGCGGCGTGAGCCGGGTCACGCTCTTCACCCACCCGCCCAAGGACGAGAAGGCGCCGCACCTCAAGCAGGTGGTCAGGCAGATGATCCAACAGGCCCAGAAGGTAGGCCCCCGCCTTCGCCCCCACACCGCTGGGACCTCGGCCCCAGTCCCCTGGACCGGGCCCCACCTCCCAGGCAGGGCCCGGGGCAGGCCGCCCTGAGCACCCTCTGGAAAATGGGCCCCAACCCGCCCCTACTTCCTGGGGCTGCAGTGAGGCCTGTAGAGCGAATGGCTGGGAACGTGTTTGGCAAATTACAAGGTGCTGGACAGATGTCAGCCGTCGGTATTCCAGCGTTCAGAGGCACTGGCTCTGCTCTGTACTTCTGAAACTTCCCTGTCCAGCCTTCCTCCCCAGGGAAGACTGGGGGCCGAGGCCCTGTGGTTAAAATGCACCACTCAAAGGTCTTGATGATAACCTACGTGCTGCCCAGAACATATCCCGAGCCGCTTTCTCATGTGATCGTCAAAACAACTTCAGGGAGTGGGTGGCGGTGACCTTCCCGGTCCCACCTCTGCCATGCTGCTCCTTGGACCACCCCTCTCCTCCCATAGTCAAAGCTGAGCTGGCGCCCTCACAGTCACAGCCTCTCCTGGGCCGGGTACTAGGCCCCAGCTGCCTGGAATGAATGGGGGACGGGGTATATTGAGGACCTACTGTGTGCCTGGCCCTGTGCTGGGCGCCTTGGCACAGCAGGTCACCTGACTCGGCAGCTCAGGAAAGGGCTCCTACTTAGCATATGTGTCCTGCTTGAGAGTTGGAAGGAGGGGCTGTTTCCAGGGTGGCTGGTGAGGCCAGTCCACTGTGGAACAGGTGGAAGACTTTAATCTTTATGCCTTTGGGTGGGAGTCCTGGGCAGCTTCCAGATCAAATGTAGGATGCCCCACTACATTTGAACTTTCAATAAACAACACATAACTTTTTAGTATCAGCTTATCCCAAACATGACATGAGACGTACTGATACTGAAAAATTCTTCGTTGTGTATCTGAAATTCAAATTGAATGGGAACGTTTTGTACTTTTATTTGCTAACTCTGGCTGCCCTACACTGAGATTTGTTAAGAAACAGCAGCAGCTTTTGGTGCCCAATTCAGAATAATACAACAGGAGTGGCTTGGGTTCACCACTCAAATTCCACTCAGTGAGTGAGGTTGGAGTCCTGGTTCCCCTCGAGGCTGAAGAGGCCTGAGGAGGGAAAATAGAGCTAGAAAGACCAGTGCTCAGGCTCATCTTCCTGGAAGGGGTGATTTAGGTAGTTGGGGTGATCTAGATAGTTGGCTACATTGGCTACCAGAAGGAAGGGTTAACTTTCCACTGCGCACATTTCTACCCTCCCTCTCTATAATTCCTCCCTGTCTGACTGAGTTTTCTTTGTATATTGTGTTCTGCAGAAGAAAAAGGCAAGATTGGACACAGAAGAGGGAAAAAGGATGTAGGCGGCAATACAGGCTGCAGCTGGGGTTAGGGGTCAAGTCTCATGATGTCATACTAACAAAGCCTCTATTTATTTAGCATTTAATATGTGCCATCCACTGTGTTAATGACTCACCTGCATTTTCTCATTAGCTTTTCACAACAACCGGGTGAATATGTGTTTTCCTTATTTTTGGAGAAAAAGACATCAGGATTCAGAAGTTTCTTGCCAGAGTTTCCATAGCTAGTAAGTGGCTGAGCCAGGACCCAAACTCCAAAGCCCTTGCTCTTAACCACTGTGCTACACTGCCCCAGTGTCTGAAATAATGGTGCAGTCCGATTAAGCAAGGGGTTTGAATGAAGCTAGCCTGGTCACAACCTGGAGTGCAGGTGGTGTACCCCTGTTACTAGAAGGGGGAGACTGGGCTTCTGGCCACTGAGGCATCTAGTCCCATGTGGGATGACAGGACTCTTTCCTGCATAGTGAGGTATTTTTGACTCTTTAAATATTTAACAACAGAAACTTTTAACAATTGTGAACCCATCCAATAAGTACAGGTTTAACCAGTGATTTCCTGAGGGCTGACTGTGTGCCAGGCACTACCTAGCCATGAAGAAGATACACGGTGTGGCTTTGCCCTCCAAGAGCTTAACAAATGCTAGGGCTCTGCTGGAAAGAAAAGAGTTTTTAAGGCTGAATGTGCCTAATCTGGGAAGGCTTCCTGAGGGAGGTGAGTTGCAGAATTGGAAAGGGAGAGGGTCAACTGGAATGGGCACTGTTTCAGTAAGAGAGCTTTTTGCTTCGAAAAAGCAAGGAGGTTTGATTGGCAGGTAAAAAGAGCTGTCGTGGGGGGAGGTGAGTACTGTGTGGGGCCTGGTTTGGGGACCCTAAAACTGGGCCCAAGGCAGGCAACCACCCCCAAGGAAGCAACAGTGTTGGACACTGTCTGCGCCCACCCAAGTATCAGGACCTCCGGGTCCCCACCCTTAATCACTGTCCTGCCTGTCCGCACAGCCTCTTCTTCCCGAAGACCCTGAGAAGAAGTTGGGACAGAGAGGTTGACCCTGTTTCACAGGTGAGGAAACTGAGGCACAGAGAAGGAAAGAGACTTGCCCAGAGGTCACGTGGGCAGAGGTCACTTGGTTCTAGAAAAACCCAGCTTCTGCTCTAGGGACTGCACCTTCTGATCACTGCCTGTCCCCCACCCCCACGCCAGCCTGTCCAGCTGGCAGGCAGCCTTCCCTGGCCATTAACTTAGATCCTTCCTCCTCCCCTTTCGCCCTGAGGGAGGGAGTTTCCTTTGTTTCTAGTGAGAGTCTGGCTGCTGTGAGGCCAGGTGGGGCAGACTGAGATGGTTTACATGCAGGGACACGGGGGAACTGCCGAGGGGAGGCAGCAGGACATGCACACATCCAACTGTGTGCCAGAGTTTTGCATTTTATTTCATTTAATCCTCAGAATAACCCTGTGAGGTGTTATCATTTTGATTCCTGAATCACAGACAGGAAAGTAAGGTTCAGAAGGAGTTGCCCGTGGCTGCCGTGCCTACAGTCACAGGCCAGCGGGTGATTCTATACCTGGTACTCAGGGATATGGAGAAAGGAGCCTAATTAGGAGAACATGAATGGGGGGTGAGGGGGGAGGGGCTGAGGATGGGGACCAGTGAGGAAACAGCCCAGCAGGGGCCTTGTGGACTGGTAGGAGGGCCTTTGAGGAGGTCTGGCTGAGCGGCCTGTACCCTGGGCCTCTGCAAATGTCAGAAAGCCCTTCCCAAACCGCCATTCAGCTGTTTACTTGTGGGGCGGGGTTTTTTTCTGCTGTTTTTTTTGTTTTGTTTTGTTTTGTTTCCTTTTGAGTGATCTGCTTACCTGGGTGCCTCTGAATGAGGGACTTTGTCTACTTAAATTAGAGGCAGAAAGGGCATCTTTAGGGACCCAAAAATGATCTCCTGACCTATGCTACGCTAACAAAGAAGACCAGGGGAAGTTGCTGATGCATGGGCTGCTCAGGTCATCGTAACTGCCCCGGAGTGGACTTACAGCAAGACCATGTGTAGACTGGGAAACTCTTGGTTCTTATTTGCAAAGCCAGAGTAAGGGGACCAATCTGGATAGGCTGGCAACTTGGAAGGATTGTGCATCCGTTTGACCACTGGACAAATATTTAGAGGTTTACTGCATGTGCTAAGCATACTTTAGTGGAAAGCAGATACCTAAAACACACCTCTGCTCTTAAATAGCCTAATCTTCTGCTGATCCATCATCTAATACAGTCTGAGGAGTGCTGGACAGAGGGCGTGGCGGGAGGGGCACTAGCCCAGCCCCTAAACCGGGTTAGGGAAGGCCCTTTGATGCCGAGGACCTGTCTACAGGCATGTCGGAACACAGCAGGAAGCTGAGATGGCACGAAGCTGTCCACCCATCTTGCGCCCAGGCTCCCTTGTGACCAGCGGCATCCAATTTTGAGGCTGCTGGGCGGATTTAGAGAACGTTGCCTTGTGCTTTGGGAACAGAGGCAAGTTTACCACATCCGCTTCTCAAAGATTGACCCTTGACCCCCGCATTCCTGGCTCACACCCAGATGAACCATTGACCCAGCTAACCAGCTCATCTTGGTTTATCACAAACTGTCCAATCTCCTCCGCACCTCAATAGCTGCGTAAGGCAGGGTCTTGTCTTCATTACACAGAGGCTCCCTCTGAGCTCCAAAAGGGTGAAATGACTTATCTTCAGACCAGGACAAGGAGGTTACACAACATCCCCAGGTCCTTGGTTGGGATTACCAGTGACGCCAGTGACCCCATGTGGATTGTAAACACAACGTAGGAGAGGGAGGCTGCTGGAGTAGGTAACCATGACTAACTAGGAGCTGCTTCTATTTTTATTCCTGTTGTAGTTAGTGGAAAAGGCCTGCCTGAATGGTTGAGGAAGGAGGGTAACCAGCCAGGCTGGTCCCTAACCCACCTCTGCCTGTCGATGGGTTTGTCCCTTTTCCTTCAAGGCCTGGCTAAGAGGCCACCTCTGCCTTGGCATTTTGTCAATTTAATTTTCAATCCAGAAGGTCCACACAGTTTGCTTTGGGAGAGTGCATTTGACCCTCCTGGATTGGGAACTTTGGAAAAGAGAGACTGGCTTACTCTCTCAGTTTCCTTTCCGGTACCCGAACAGTGCTCTGACTGTCACAGGTGATCAATTATCTGTTTATAGAATTGAAAACTGTCTTCTATTGGCCGCCTGTCCCTCTGGGGAAGCAAGTGTCTGGAGATGTCCCCATGGAATTGCACATTCCCTGGGGAACTCCTTTAATCTACATCGTAACAAGCTGGCTGGCAGCAGAGAGAAGAATGCTCTAAATTGGGGATATGGGGTGCAGGGAGGGAGGTGCATCAGGGGATTTAGGGAAAGGCTCCAGAGCAGGAGGCATGGCTGGCTGAGGTTAGCAGCCTTGGTTTGAGGTCTGGGCAGCTGGTGGGAGGAGGATATGGTGAACAGCTGGGATACAGATGCCCCCGGGCATGGCAAAGTCTTGGAGTCATCAGCTCAACTCCACAAAAGACTCAGCTTTGCATATGGTGGGCCTGGCCCCTGAGTGGAGCCTACCGTCTTTCCCCATTAACTGCAAATGACGTTTCCCTCATTCAGCTACACTGGCAAACAGTACCAAGCGCCTTCTCCATACCAGGCACTTTGCTGGACATTGAGATGCTGCAATGAAGCAGATGCCCAAAAAAACCCTAGTTTAAAAAGTATGTAATTTTTAAAAATGTTACTGGTTTTTGAATTCTGAAAGTCAAGCAATACATTCATTAGTCACCTCACCACCTTGTTTGAGAGCTGGTCCCAATTCTTGACTTGCTCCTAATACCTTCCTGCCTCCCTCTTTTCTCCCATTATCCTCCTCCCCTTCCATCTAAGGGGGACAATTGACTTTATCTAGAAGCTCGTAAGCTGCCTTTTAAAAGCCTGATTTAAATTCACAGAGCAAGAAGGGCCTCTCAGGCAGCCCAGGGACCCACAGGCCCCATGCACTCCTAATCGTTCCACCCTTCTGCAAGTGGCCATGCCACATGAGCTTTGTTTCAGAGGCACTGGGCAGTTCAGAGTCCTTGCTGCATTAAGGCTGGTGGATAATGGCACAGCTGCAGCTCCAGAGAATAAGCACTTAGCCTTTCTGGGATCTTGCCCCGGCCTGTCCAGGTATTCCTGGCAAGCCCTGGACGAATTGGCTATTGGGTTCTGAGTCTTTCTCTTTTATGCTTGATCAATGATCCCAGGAGCTGGCATTTCTGAGCAATGGACCAGCTTCATGTCAAAAACAGAAGACAGACTCTGAAGTTGAAAGGTCTTGATTTCTGCCCTCATCTGACCACTTACTCACTGTGTTCCCTTGAGCAAATCACCTCCCTCTCTAAAGCTCCTGGCTGATAAAATGGGGAAGATAATACTGAGCTTCCTGGATGGCTTTGAAAAACAAGGGAGGGTGGGGCATGGCGGCTCATGTCCCCAGCACTTTGGGAGGCCGAGGCGGGCAGATCGCTTGAGCTGAAGAATTTGAGACCAGCCTGGGCAACATGGCAAATCCCCATCTTTACAAAAAGTACAAAAATTAGCCAGATGTGGTGGTGTCTACCTGTAATCCCAACTACTCTGGAGGCTGAGCTGGGTAGGTAGGAGGATTGCTTGATCATGGGAGGTGGAGGTTGCGGTGAGCAGAGATTTCGCCACTGCACTCCAGCCTGGGTGCCAGAGTGAAACTCTATCTCAAAATAAATAAATAAAAAACAAAACAAAAAAACCCAAAAAGATAAGAAAAACAAGGGAGAAACCATGTGTGAAAGCTGAGGATACTGGAAAGTATCATACAAATGTTCATTATTTTAGAAAGTAACTGCTGTCATCTCTGCCTTTTTGCAGAGCAGAGGAGGGAAGGGTGGCCAAATTTTCTCCCCAGAAGTTAGGGAGCCCCACCCAGGAGATTAGAGGTAGGGGAATTGGGAGGGCCAAAGACCCTGTGCCGGCGTGTTTCCTGTTTCCACCTTTGAGCGAGACAGGAGTGGCTGCCCACAGCCCTCCCAGCCGCTCACTGTATTGATCTGTTTGCCTTGATTTGGTGGTGGTGGGCCGTGGTTGGTAAGGGCAGCTTTCTGCCGGCCTCCGAGCTGCCTTCGGGAGGCTGTGGCGTTGGAATCCTCAGCCCAGGATCTATGCTGGGATCTGGCATGGGCAGAGAGGGATAAAGCAGGAAGGTGCAGAGGCTTCCTTGTTCCTAAAGCGGGGGTCCCCTGAGGATGTTCCCCACACACGGTCATCCTGAAGGGCCAGACTGCTGCACAGGCCCAGCCCAGAGAGCCCCAGGGCAGCCTGGAAAGACTCCCCAAGTTCTTTTAGTTCTGGAGAACTAAAGCTTTCATTGGAACAAGAGGGTGGAGCTGCTGATGGTTAACCCTGATGTAATCATTGCCTTGGGCTGTGTTTCCCTCTTTGGGGAAGAGGGAGGGGAGAGTTGGCTCCTCTGAAATCCGATACTTTGGGTCCCTGAACCTCTGAGGATGGGTGTTTCCCAGAAAGTTCAAAAGTAGAAGTTGGGGCCTCAGTAAACTTCATGACCTTCTCTTGAAGGTTCACGGTAGCAAAGCCAGTTCTGTTGGGTGGAGGTCTCCAAAAGTCCAGGCCACTGGCGGGTGGAGGGATCCCATGCGGCTGGGAGCCAGGAGCCTGGGAATCGTCATTTTTGCCCTGGCCATCTCTTTCCTAGCTCACTGGGTGACGTGGGGTACATCATTTAGCTTTGCTGGGCCTCTGTTTCTGCATCTCTAACATGGGGATAATTCTTGCCTTCTTATTTCCACAAATTGTTCTGAGAACCTAGTTCAAGGCTATGAGAAAGCACTTTGAGAAGGGTGAGTGATGCGTGCAGTAAAAGGGATTTCTCTGAAGAAGGGCTAATGTTGAGTGACAGGATCGGTGCCCTGTGTGCCATTTCGTTTCGTTAATCCAACCCTCAGCACCTTGCAAAGGAAGAGATATTTTCCCTGAGGCTCCGGGAAAGCATAAGGTTGCAGAACTCAGAAGAGGCTGGGGGAGATTCCACCCAGGTCTCAGCTCAAAGTGGTGTCCATCCACGGCAGTTGCCCTTGGGAATTGTCCTCTGGGGCCATCTCTTCCTCTAAAACTTGCAGAAACATTCAAAGTCTGTATGTCGCCAGCCAGGCCCTGGGAGGCTCTTGGACCAGTTCTAGAGACAGACAAGTACACAACTGCCAGCTGGTCCACTCTGTGCTAAGGCTGGGGAAGAGGGTTCCTCCTGCCTAGTGACATTGAGGCAGGTAACACAGGGAAGCTGGGTACAGGTAGTTTCTCCAGAGACCTAGATTGTCCTCTTTATGGCCACTTTCTGGCCCCCTGGGACTTACGCCCCTCCCTGACAGGCTGAGACCTTGAAGTGAATCCTAGCCCAGCAACTGTCAGTCCCCCCATCTTCTCACCCCCAGGGATGCTGCCTCACCTTGGCTGGTGGCCAGATCTGCCTCCCTTTTCTTAGAGCGTGCAAAGCAGAGCCTATTTGGGGACAAGCTTCCAATCCAAGCTGGGGGAGGTGGGGAGGAGGGCAGAGAACAAATGAGCCCAGGGCTGCGTCCTAGCTGACCACCTGCCCCCTGCTCAGGGGGGGTGTCCTGAGCCACCCCCAAGGCTGAGTCATTCTAGCTATCCCTGCCTGCCCCCACCCCCACACACCATGCCAGGTGCCATGACCAGCCGGCCTCAGCTGGAGCTGCTGCCCTTCCCAGTTTCCTTGTTCATTCTCTGAAATCAGAGTCTGTGGACTTGCTAATGATCCCATAATCTTAGCCCTGGAAGAGAGCCTATGGCTTTTCTAATTATTAGTCTCTCTGGCCCAGGTTTCCAATAATCTGGAAACATATGCACGCCGGGGCACAGCTTGCACGCCGGTCATCATTCTGCTGGGCTCCTTGCAGTCCTGGCAAGGCATGTGGGAGGCTCCGGATAAGTGTTATTTTATTTATTTATTTATTTTTCAGCAGTGAGTCAGGAGATGGGGGTGCGGAGGTGGGACCCAGAACTCTCTACCTTTCAGTGGGCCATTGAGGACAGACTATGAGTTTCCCGAACTCACCCGCCTGGGAGGGCTCCCAGATGGCCTGGAGATTCCTTGCATTTGCTCATTCACTCACCATGTTTCACTGAGACCCAACTATGTGCCAGGAACCAGAAATTTACAGAGGAGTACGGTGAGAATTCTGCCTTAAGTCTAATGGGGGGTGACAAAAAGAAACTAAATTTCAGCACAGTGGTAGGGGTGGGGATATTGATAGCTATTACTTATTGGGCATATAAGTGCTAGGCAAATGCCAGCCCTTTTAGAATTTTATTTTATTTTATTTTATTTTATTTTATTTTATTTTATTTTATTTTCTGAGAGGGAGTCTTGCTCTGTCACCCAGGCTGGAGTGCAGTGACTCTTATCTCGGCTCACTGCAACCTCTGCCTACTGGGTTCAAGCGATTCTTCCGCCTCAGCCTCCCAAGTAGCTGGGACTACAGGCGTGTGCCACCACACCTGGCTAATTTTTGTATTTTTAGTAGAGACGTGGTTTCACCATGTTGCCCAGGCTGGCCTTGAACTCCTGACTTCAGGTGATCCACCCGTCTCAGCCTCCCAAAGTGCTGGGATTACAGGTGTGAGCCACCGCACCCAGCTAATTTTTTATTTTTAGTAGAGATGGGGTTTCACCGTGTTGGCCAGGCTGGTCTCAAAACTCCTGACCTCAAGTGATCCACCCTCTTCGACCTTCTAAAGTGCTGGGATTACAGGCGTGAGCCACCGCGCCTAGCCTATTCCATTTAATTTTTTTACAACAATCTAGCAGCTTTTCATTTTACGGATGAGGAAACTGAGGTTCAGAGAGGATAAGGTCACACCACCAGTAAATAGGATGCTAGATGGGAACTGAGATGTGTCGATTCTCAGGCTTGTGCACCTGTACTGAGCTCCAGGTGAACAGCAGCTTCCTGGGAATTGATGGCTGAATCAGCCAGTTGTGGAAAGGCAGGGCAGGCTGTGTACAAAACTGGAGGCCCAGGACACGTGGACTCACACTGTTTCCATCACTTGAATGCCCTCCTGATCACTTTCAATCATATCCCTCCCTGCACTCTCAACTTGCCTCCGTAGGGAAGCCCTCCCAGGTAACATCATCTGGCAATAGCCACAGAGTTATCCTTGCTGCGTCTCAGCACCTCCCAGGCAAACTGCCAACTCCATTTGTCTTACCCTGATAGATCAATCAAGAAATACCTCGACAGATATTTCTTGAGCCCTGCCTCGCTCTGTCCATGTACTTGAGAGCTCAAGGCTAGTAACACCAACCAGCAGATGATCCTAAAAATCGCTTGTGTATCTTCTTTGGATTTTTTTTAGCCACTGATTTATCTTTCTAATTATGTTTGGCTTTAAGCTAATGTTAAAATGAGCTTGCATTAGATAATTTTCACTAATTAACACCAACTTAGTGCCGGGAAAGTCATCCCAGAAGCTTGCCGTGGGGCAGGGAAAAGCTGGCCTAGGATCTTACAAAGAATTGCTCTGCCTACTCCCTGGCAGGTCACAACACGTGGCTGTTCACAGCTGAATTAGCTGGCCTTGCTCACATGGGTGCCATCTGTCTTCCTCCTCTGGAGAGCCAGCCTGGGTCTCCTTTGTACATACACCCTCCTTCATTCAACCTTGTCGAGAGTGATGGCCTCACTGGATCAGCTCGACAGGGAGTGAGCCCCAGGGGTTGCAGCAGGGAGACCTGACCTGCAGGGTCGGAATCAGAGCCCCACACTGAGGTAGAGGGCTCTGGGAGAGGAAGCGGCCTGGCTGGGTGGAATTGGGCTCTGCTGCTGCCAGTGTAGGGAGGGAGCCCAGTGTTTTATGATGTCTAATTAGTGAGTCCAAGACAATGGAACGCGGCCACAGATAGCTGGGAAGCCCCAGCGGACGAAGCACAGATGCTCTGCTGCTGGGGTGGGGGCAGCCTCGCCTCCAAGTGGGGAACAAGACCCTGTTGTAGCCGGGCGCGGTGGCTCACGCCTGTAATGCCAGCACTGTGGGAGGCCGAGGCGGGCAGATCATTTGAGGTCAGGAGTTTGAAACCAGCCTGGCCAACATGGCGAAGCCCCGTCTCTACTGAAAATATAAAAATTACTCAGGTGTGGTGGCATACTCCTGTAATCCCAGCTACTCGGGAGGCTGGGGCAGGAAAATTGCTTGAGCCCGGGAGGCAGAGGTTGTAGTAAGCAGAGATTGCACCATTGCACTCCAGCCTGGGCAACAGAGTGAGATGCCATCTCAAAAAAAAAAAAAAAGATGCTATTGCAGCTCTGGATTTGGCTCTGCCCTCTTGATGGACCAGGACTCAGGCCCAAGCCACATCTCAGCTCCCCAAGGGAAGCCACCTATGTGGAGGCATTCTGTTTAGATCGATGGCAGGGCTCTGTCCCCCACCCCTCCTGGATAGATGGGGAGACACCCTCATGTGCCTAGACAGACACAGCACTGGGCAGACATGTGTCCTAGGGAAGGCACACACTACACTGGGGACTGAGGACAGAGGACAATCCTGGGACAGCCCTGGGAAGAGTGAAACAAGGACCTCAACAAAGAGCATTCCCATCACTACAGGCTTAGAGAGTGACTGTGTGAGTTAAGGCACAAGCCGGGGCCTGCTGGGTGAGTTTGGAGAACATCAAATAATCTTGTGGGGTATGAGCTGATTATCTGGGGGAAAGTGGATAAATGCCTCTTTGGGTTGGACGCACATGAAGGGTCTGCAGCCAAGCTGAGGGCCTTGGACTTGGCTGTAGGCAGAGTCCGGAGCCGCTGAGTGGGCAGGGAAACGGGGAAACAGGGCACTTGGGTTGTGTTACGGGGTCCGTCTGCCAAGAGGGGAACAGTCAGGGCAGCGTGAACTAGCATTGCTGCACGGTGACCCTGAGCACCTCCTGTGTGTCAGGCCCTGTCCCAGAGGAAGGGCAGAGCTCAGCCAGCTGGGGCAGGCACCAGGCAAGATTTTATCTAGGCTTGATCACATTTCTTTTCATCTTCATAGAACCATGAAGTAGCCTCATTTTACAGGTGGAATTCAGAGGGCTTAAGTAACTTGCACAAGGCCTCACAGCCTGCGTGGAATCTGTGGCACTTTCCCCACTGCAGTACACTTCCGTACTGTTGGATCGATGTGAATCTAGAGACCAGGGATGGAGGAAGTTAAAGGGGTGCTCTGTGGGGGTCTTGCAGCAGGAGCCCCTCCTGCGGGCAGCTGTGCAGCCTCCTCTCCTCTCCTCCCCTCCCCTCCTCCTCTCCTCCTCCTTTCCTCCTCCTCTCTTCCTCCTTTCCTCCTCTCCTCCTCCTCTTGTCCTCTCCTCTCCTCCCCTGTCCTCTCCTTCTCTCTTCTTCCTTTCCTCCTCCTCTCCTCTCCTCTTCCTCTCCTCCTCCTCTCCTCTTCCTCTCCTCCTCCTCTTCCTCCTGTCCTCCTCCTCTCCTCTCCTCCTCTCCTCTCCTCCTCCTCTCCTCTCCTCCTCTCCTCTCCTCCTCCTCTCCTCTCCTCTTCCTCTCCTCCTCCTGTCCTCCTCCTCTCCTCTCCTCCTCTCCTCCTCCTCTCCTCCTCCTCTCCTCTCCTCCTCCTCTCCTCTCCTCCTCCTCTCTTCTCCTCCTCCTCTCTTCTCCTCTCTTCCTCCTCTCCTCTCCTCTCCTCTTCTCTCCTCCTCGTTTCCTCTCCTCTCCTCCTCATTTCCTCTCCTCTCCTCCTCATTTCCTCTCCTCTCTTCCTCCTGTCCTCCTCCTCTCCTCCTCTCTCCCCAGGGTATGTACATGGGGAACTTAAGAGAAAGTTTGTTGTTTAGTGGTTCCCACTCTACTGGCATAAACATTGGTGATAATTCAGATGGGGTCTGTTGCAGTCTTGGTGACAGTCTTTGCAGTGTACCCAGAGTACTTAACGACACCCTCTCCTGGATGCATCGTCTCCACAGAGCACCTTTCTGTGCTCTGGTGGCAGCTGTGCCAGTTAGAAGTTGCACTGGTTCCCCGCAGCCTGCCTTGAGATACTTTACTCTGGCAGCGGTTTTCTTAGCCGTGCATTGCGACATTCAGCATATGGGTGTAGACACCCGGTATGGCTGGGTGAACGGTTCATCTTGTGGGTTCTTCCTTAATTGGGCTGCCCTTCCCCTCTATTAGTTCAAGTTTTGACCTTTCTGGAAGTGTCGTGTTCCCTGAGCTTTAATCAGCACCGTTGGCAGGGCCTGCTGGGCACGGCATTGAGCAGAGGAACGACATCCCCACCTTGATGTCTGTGCCGCGGGAGGCGCGGGCTGCCTGGCTCCTCGGGAGCTCAGCGGGCCCCCCATGGGCTGTCTCCTTCTTTCTCGCCCCCTCTCCTGAAGTGGTGGCCCCTTTGTTCTGGGCTCCATCACTGAGGAGAGAAGAGGGCACCTGCATTTACCCATCGCTCACAGCAGGACAAGTACCGCGCTGTTGCAGCATCTCATTTAAAGCTCAGAACAGCCCTGTAAAGGCATCACCTCCCCACTCTAAAATGAGGTAACTGAGACCCAGTAGATGACTCACTCCAAGCCAAACAACCAGTGTGACTTTCTGCTTCCAGACCATATATTATCCTGCACGCAGCAGCCTTCACTCAAAGTGGGACGTCCCCCTCGTGCATTCAAGTGACCTGAGTGGGGGTGGAAGACGGAGGCTGCTGTTAAAATGCATTTTCTTGGGCCTTTGCTGAATTCGAGTCTTTGAGGATGGGGCCCTAGAATCTGCATCTTCAATACGCATACCCACATCCCTGCTCCCAGGTGATTCTTTACACACTGAAGTTTGACAACCTGCCCCATAGACCTTGATCCTCTCTTTGGGGAGATCAGAAAAGGAGATTCCACAGCTGGAGATGTGTGAGTCAGAGGCTGCAGGCAGACCCAGCTCTACCCTCTGTGGGAAAGGGAAGAATTGCCCTCTGGTCCCAGATAGACTAACTCCCCTGGGCTGCCACACAGACGGCCATTCTGGGAGACAGCAGTTTGACCTGTTTGCTCAGCTGCTGTCCTTTCCACCCTGAGAGACTTAGGGCTTCAGATGTGGGGAGTTCCCCCCATTTGCCTTATAACGATCCCTCATAACTGCACAGCGTTTTTGTGGGATTTCGTGGGCATGATCTCATCCGAGCCTTCCAACAGCCCTTGGGAGGCAGGCAGGGCAGGTGTGGGAGGCGACTCGGCCCCAGGCGCACATGGGTAGGTAATCAGTGGGAAAGTGTCCCTAGCTGCTTCCCTTCCTTCCCCAGGATAAGTGACTGTCACCAAAAGGCCCCCCCGAGATCAGCAAGCTTGGCCTGTGGCCTTTTGCTTTTTCACACCCACAGAAGGGGTGAAGCTGGGGCTCTTTGCAGGCAACAGCAGCCGCACCCGCCCGAGTCCTGAGCTCCACGTCAGCAGGGCAAGGGGACGGATGGTGTTGTCTTTCTCTGGCCATGCATCTCAGTTTGCATCCTGCTGTGCAGGATGAATTGGAGGGCAGAGGTGAGTAGGAGAGAGCAGTTAGGAAGCTCATCAAAGCATGGTAGGAAAGGAGGAGAGTCCGAGCTGGGGCGGTACCAGTGGGGACAGAAAGGATTAACCCTGAGAAGGTGCCCGGGGTGGGGCCTGCTGGATTCAGTGACTGATGGGATTTGGTCGGTGGGGAGGAGGAGGAGGCCTGGGCTTCTGGCCAGAGTGACTAGGAGGATGTTGATCTGGGGAGTGCCTGTGTGGCTGAGGGACACGTCCAAGCTGCAGTCGGCTCTGTGGTTGTGGACACCTGGCAGAGCCATGCCTTCTCTAGTCTGGGTCATCCAAACACACGTGGGGTGCAGGGGCCAGGTGGAGCCCTCTTGTCGTTTTTGTTATCTAACGGTAATTACGGAGTCCAGAAAGAGAATTGGAAATGCCGGCAGTTTAATTAAAGCTGAATGGCAGGAGAGGGGCATTTGGAGGCTCCCTCCCTGCCTTCACTCCCCGTCCTGCCGCCCAGGCAGGATGTCAGATGAGGAGACGTTGAGCTCATCAAACACCCAATGAGAAGTCTTACAACATCAGAAGCTGTCTGCCAATGCGCCTGCGACAGCTTATAGAAACTGCTGCCGCCTCGAATCAACCTCTCTCCCCAGGCATTGCACGTCAGTAGGTAACCAGGTAAAGGACGCCGGGGGTGGGCAGCCAGCTGGAGGGGGCGTGATTTCCTCCCCCAACAAAATCGGCTTCCCTGGGTTCTGAGCCCATGATATCATGTTTTTAAACCCGATTTTCCATCTACACTGGGAGCTTTGAAGTTCGCTCGGTGTGGGGAATCACGTGCTCAGTGAAAGACCCAAGCGGAGAGACTGGGGAGCTGGTTCCCCTGGGCCTGACACTGCGGAGCTGAATGTCAAAGCAGGGCCCTCAGAGACCAAAGCGGAGGGTAATTATCACTTCTCCACAACTAGATTGCAGGAGTCAGCCAGCAATTGATTTTTTTTTCTACTTCAGATATTTCATTGTTTAATTGGTAGTGACACAGATGGCTGGCTCGCATCAGGGCGTCACAGTCCGACTCGCGAAAGCCAGGCTGTGGGGACTGCTGCCTCTCCTGACATCCTTAGGCAGGTGGGGCTAGGACAGGCCAGCTTCCCTGCTTAATTTTTCAACCACAAAGCAAAAGTAAGCTTGTGAACCTGAGACATGCTTCTGCAAACCGGTCAAGCTGTCCTCAGCGACATGAGTCCACTCTAAACTGGACACCTTGGAGTGTTCAGAAATGAGAGGACAGTGAACTCTTGCCTAGACAGCTCGTGGGAGATAAACTATCAGCACTAGGAGATGGCGATCAAGTATCAGAGCCCTGGAAACTGCATTGCTGGTGGAATGAAGCCAGAACTCTGTACATTGTGTTCAAACCCTCCGTATCCAGCCCGTGTACCTTCACCCTTATACCTACCCCATACCTGCCCTGAACTGTGCCAGCCCAGCTGGAGGACTCGAAGGTGGTTTTGGTTTGGTTGGTTGGCTATTTTGGACCCCAGGTGCAAAGAGCTGATTGTGCACTTTAGTTCACGGCACAATGCCACCAGAGAGCCTTGAAAGGCCTCATACTTTACCTTTCTCCTTCCCTCCCACTCCTTTCTCCTTCCACAGGCAGCCACCCTTATGTGTTCAGCATATGTCCTCAGACATCTTTGTATCCTTGAAAAGTATGCAGTGTTATGTTATGCAGTGTGCTTTTTTGTTTTGTTTTGTTTTTTGAGATGGAGTCTTGCTCTGTTGCCCAGGCTGGAGTGCAGTGGCATGATCTCAGCTCACTGCAACCTCCACCTCCCGGGTTCAAGCCATTCTCCTGCCTCAGCCTCCCTGGGATTACAGGTGTGCGCCACCATGCCCGGCTAATTTTTGTATTTTTGGTAGAGACGGGTTTCACCATGTTGGCCAGTCTGGTCTCAAACCCTGACCTCAGGTGATCCGCCCGCCTCGGCCTCCCAAAGGGCTGGGATAGTTTATCTATCAGTGCTCCTGATAGTTTATCTCCCACATGCTGTCTAGGCCAGAGTTCACTTTCCTCTCATTTCTGAACACTCCAAGGTGTCCAGCTTAGAGTGGACACATGTCGCTGAGGCCTGTAGTGTGTTTTTATTTACATGAGTGGTATTAGGCTATAGATCTCACTCTTTAACATTTTCATTTGAACTATCCATTTTAAATGGAATTATCCAAGTTACGGCACATGGAACTAGTTCGTTACTTCTGTCTGCTGTAAAACATTCTATCACATTCCTCACATTTTCCTTACCCAGTCTTCTAGAAATAGACATCTAAGTCATTGCCAGCTCCTTGCTATCCCAAAGAAAGATGCAGGCAACATCTTTGTTCTGGCCCCCATATAGACCTGTGCAAAGATCCAAGAGATTCCCAGGGGTGCACGGCCAAGAGTGGCTTTGCTGGCTTGTAGCGGTGCACTTGCTTAAATCCACTCACTTCTGCCTGTTGCTCTACAGAATAGCTGCACCAGTGCTCCCACCCACCAGCAGTGACAACGGTCCCCTTTCCTCCACCTACCAATATTTTGGATTATCCAACTTTCTGATTTTTTGTTAATCTCATAGTTTGGATTATCCAACTTTCTGATTTTTCATTAATCTCATAGTTGTAAAGTAGTCTCTTCCTTTCATCTCTTCTTTTCTTTTTTTTTTGGAATGAAGTTTTGCTCTTGTCACCCAGGCTGGAGTGCAGTGGTGCCATCTTGGCTCACTGCAACCTCCACCTCCCAGATTCTAGCAGTTCTCTTGCCTCAGCCTCCCGAGTAGCTGGGATTACAGGCATGTGCCACCACGCCCAGCTGATTTTTGTATTTTTAGTAGAGATGGGGCTTCACCATGTTGGCCAGGCTGGTCTCAAACTCCTGACCTCAGGTGATCCATCCGCCTTGGCCTCCCAAAGTGTTGGGATTACAGGCGTGAGCCACTGCACCCAGCCATCTCTTTGTTTTAATTTGAATTTTTCTGATTACTAATGAAGATTGCTTATTTTGCCTGGTGCGGTGGTTCATACCTGAAATCCTAGCACTTTGGGAGGTCGAGGCAGGTGGATCACTTGAGGTCAGGAGTTTAAGACCAGCCTGGCCAACATGGTGAAACCCTGTCTCTACTAAAAATACAAAAATTAGCTGGGCGTGATGGTGTGCACCTGTAATTCCAGCTACTCGGGAGGCTGAGGCACAAGAATCGCTTGAACCTGGGAGTCAGAGGTTGCAGTGAGCTGAGATCGCGCCACTGCACTCCAGCCTGGGTGAAAAAGGAGACTCCATCTCAAAAACAAACAAACAAACAAAAGGGCCAGGCACGGTGGCTCACGCCTATAATCCCAGCACTTTGGGAGGCTGAGGCAGGCGGATCACGAGGTCAGGAGATCAAGACCATCCTGGCTAACACGGTGAAACCCTGTCTCTACTAAAAATACAAAAAAAAAAAAAAAATTAGCCAGGCATGGTGACGGGCACCTGTAGTCCCAGCTACTCGGGAGGCTGAGGCAGGAGAATGGTGTGAACCCAGCAGGCTGAGCTTGCAGTGAGCTCAGATCGCACCACTGCACTCCAGCCTGGGCGACAGAGCGAGACTCCGTTTCAAAAAAAAAAAAAAAAAAAAAAAAAGACTGCTCCTTTTTACATACTTATTAGCGTAATTTTATTTGCCTTCATGGTTTGTGCATTTAAGAGATTCTTTCTTACCCCGTGTCATGAAGATAATTTCTTGCATTTCTTCAACTCCCTTATTAGTTATATCTTTCACATTTAAGTACTTAGCCTACCTGAAATTTTCCTTTACATGTGGTGTGAAGTAGGGATGGATCCACCTCTATTTTTCTCTATGTAGTAAGCCAGCTTTCCCAGTTGCATCTGCTAAAGGGCATTTTTTTTCTCCACTGAGTTGTGATTCTACCCTATCATACATGAAGTTTTGTGGATGTGTGTGGGTATACATGTATATATGTGTTTGTGTGTATACTTTAGGTCTCACCATTCTGTTCCATTGGTCTATTGGTCAGTTCCTTCCTACTTAGGTAGTACAAGTAATTCAATTCTTATTGCTATGGTGCTGTAGTATGCCTTACTCTCTATAGGACAAGTGTTCCCTTTTAGTTTTTCTTTTTCAAAATGGATGTAGCTATTTGTGGATCTTTATTCTTCTTTATATCTTACAAGTATTTGAGTTTCTCAAAAACATTTACTGAGCTTTTTATGGAATTGCATTGAATTTTATTAATATGGAGAGTATTCGATTTTTAAAATATTAAATCATATTATCTTTTCATGATTTATTGCTTCATTTATTCACATATTTTAAAATGCCCTTTAGTAGAGTTTCCAATATTTCTTCCTGAAGGTATTTATTTCCAAATGCCATGTGGTTAGGTTTTAACTGTGAATGGATCTTATTTTCTTTCTTTCATTCCTTCTTTTATTTTCCTTTTTTCTTTCTTTTGGTTGATTATTGCTGGAATAGAAGAAGGCTATTGGTTTTTGTTAAGTTTTTCTTGGATCTGGCAATTTTGCTGAATTCTCTTATTAATTCTAATTGCTTTTTTCTTTATTCTACTGGATTTTCTATGAAAATTGTATTCTTAAATACTGGTAGTTTTGTCTTCTCTAATCCTTATGTCTCTTATTTCTTTTCTTTTTTTTTTTTTTTTTGTCTTATTGCATAGGTGAGGACCTCCAATACTATGTTGAACTATAGTAGTGATAGTGAGTATCCTTCACTTGCCTGAGACTTAAAGGGAGTACATCATAAATTTCTCTGTTAAGTAAAATGTTTCATGTGGGTTTTTGGTAGATAGAGCTGACCAAGTTAAGGAAGATCCCTCTTATTCCTTGTTTTCTGAGAATTATAATCACAAGTAGGGATCTCGCTTTATTAAATACTTTGTAAAATTATTAAGATAATTATGATTTCTTCCTCTCGACCCCATAAATGTTTTAAATTAAAATGATACCATTTCTGATGCTGAGTCACCCTTAACATTCTTAGGATAAACTTTACTTGCTTATGGTATATTTTGAGTTCACTTTTTTAAGTGAACTCTCATGTCATGTGCATTTTCAATTGCATTAGCAGATAATTGGCCTTAATATTCTTTTTTACCATGTTTACAATTCCTTAAATTTCTATTATGTCTGTAGTAATTTCTTCTTTTTCATTCAGTATTTTATTTACATCTCCTCCTTTTTTGTCGGTTTTGCCAGAAGTTTGTCTATCTTGTTCAGTCTTTTTAAACAGCCGGTTTTTGATTCAGTGTTCCTGAAGTACCTCCCAGCAATCCCATCTCTAGGAAGCAGTGAAATGAAGACCCTGGAGCCACCTAGGACTGAGTTCCTTGCTCTGTCACATGGCAGCTTTATAACCTTGGACATAGGACTTTGCCCCCTATGTGTTTACTTCCTCAATTGTAAAGTGGGAATAACTCTTTCTCAAAATAGTTGTGAGGATCAGATTAGAAAATTTACCTAAAGCACAGGAAACAGCCTAGAGTGCACTGAAAGTATTTAGTACATGTTAATTCCCATCCTCAGTGCCTGTATTAGTCAGGGTTCTCCAGAGAAACAGAACCAACTGGATGGGCATGTTTGTGTGTGTGTAAGAGAGATCCACGGAGAGACAGAGATTGATTGATTTTAAGGAATTGGTTCATGGGATAATGGAGATGCGAGGCCAAAGCCTATAGGATAGGCTGTCAGGCTGGAGATGCTGGGAAGAGCCGCAGTTTGAGCCCAGAGGCAGTCTGCTGGCAGAATTCCTTCCTGCCCAGGGCAAGTCAGTCTTTCTTCTACTAAGGCCTTCAGTGGATTGGACGAGACATACCCACATTATGGAGGGTAATCTGCTTTTCTCGAAGTCCAGTGATTTAAATGTTAACCTCATCCAAAAAACCACTCTCATAGAAACATCCAGAATAATGTTTGCCCAGCCAAGCGAACACATAAAATTAACTGGCACGGTCCCTTTGTTTGTGCTGTGCCCTTTCCCTGAAATGCTCCCCTTGCAGGCCCCTGCTAGGCCACGTGACACCTGTACGTAGGTTAGAAAAAGGTGACCCTTCCCTGGGCAGACGCAGCTCCCACTCCCCTCCTCAGCCAGTGCCCGTGTGCAGGACACACTCGTGCAAGGCAGCCCAGACAACCTCCCTGCTCAATTTTTCTCCTGTTCCTTTCTCTGGGTGCCAAAGGCTTCCCGTCCTTCACAGTTCAGCTTCCTTGGTAAAGTCTTATCCTCCCCTGGCTAGAAGTAATCTCTCCGCTCACCCACTCACCCCAAACCCACATCACATGTCATGTTCTTAAAGGCATTTATCTCATTTATCTCATGTCTTAGTTATTTTGTGCAAAGGTCTTGTCATTCCACTTGGATTAACCCCTTGAAATCAGCGTTGTAGCTTATCTGTCTTTAGGTCCTCTCTCTGCCTGTGGGGCTCAGGAAGAATTCATTCTCCCTTCATGAATGATTATCACAATATCAACCTCAAAGGAAGACTCTGAGGCAAAATTAGTATAGAGAGTTTATTTGGGCCAAGATTTAGGATGGCATCCCGGGACACACTTCCAGGTTTCCTTGGGGAGGTTCAAGTTTTTAAAGAAAAAAGGATGAAATCAGGAGAGGGGGGGACAACCAAAGCCATTGGTCAGGAAGTCTCATTGGTTTACAGAAATAACATTGTCAGTGATTGACTATACGTTGTTGTTGTTGTTTTTTTATTTTTTTTTGAGATAGAGTCTCACTCTGTCATCTAGGCTGGACTGGAATGCAGTAGTGCTATCATGGCTCACTGCAGCCTCAACCTCATAGGCTCAAGCAATCCTCCTGCCTCAGCCTCCCAAGTAGCTGGGACTACAGGCATGTGCCACCATGCCTAGCTAATTTTTGTATTGTAGAGATAGGGTTTTGCCATGTTGCCCAGGTGGGTCTGAAACTCCTGAGCTCAAGCAGTCCTCCTGTCTCAGCCTCCCAAAGTGCTGGGATTACAGGTGTAAGCCACTGTGCCCAGCCTACCTTGTTGAACTATGGAGTGTGTAGCATTTTATAGCTACTTAGAGTGAGTCTAGAGGCCTCATACAGCAAGTGGCTTCAAGCCACTTATTAAATAATAGTAATTATTTAGCTTGAGGGAGAGTGAGACATGACTGCTATTTTATTTTAATTTTATTATTTTATTTTATTTTATTTTATTTTAAGATGGAGTCTCTCATTGTCCCCCAGGCTGGAGTGCAGTGGCACAATCTTGGCTCACTGCAACTTCCGCCTTCCTGGCTCAAGCAATTCTCCTGCTTCAGCCTCCTGAGTAGCTGGGATTACAGGCACCCGCCACCACGCCTGGCTAATTTTTGTATTTTTAGTAAAGACAGGGTTTCACCATGTTGGCCAGGCTGGTTTCGAACTCCTGGCCTCAAGTGATCCGCCCACCTCAGCCTCCCAAAGTGCTGGGATTACAGGCTTGAGACACTGTATCTGGCTGCTGTTACATTTTAAATGCCTCTCTGGGCCTGGTAATTTAAAAGGTCTCTGATTCCTCAGATAAAACTTTTTTTTGTTTGTTTTTGTTTTTGTTTCTCAAAATGTAAGAGCTATGAAGAACTTTAAATGGTATTGTGTAGGGCAGGGCACAGGAGTCTTTAGAGTCAGGGTGATGGCAGAGCACACATGTGAAGGTGGTGACACCCCCGTGACGGAGGCTGATTGAGCGTACCTGGTGGCAGGTGCTGCTCTCAGCACTTTCTTTTTTTTTTTTTTTTTTTTGAGACGGAGTCTCGCTCTTGTCACCCAGGCTGGAGTGCAATGGTACAATCTCGGCTCACTGCAACCCCTGCCTCCTGGGTTGCAATGAGCGATTCTCCTGCCTCAGCCTCCCCAGGAGCTGGGATTACAGGTGCCCACCATCATGCCTGGCTAATGTTTGTATTTTTAGTAGAGACAGGGTTTCACCATGTTGGCCAGGCTGGCCTCAAAGCCCTGACCTCAAGTGATTCACCCGCCTCAGCCTCCCAAAGTGCTGGGATTACAGGCGTGAGACACCATGCCTGGCCCTGCACTCAGCACTTTCATGGTGCATCTCACTAAGTCCTGGGACAACCCTTTGAGATAGGTGCAGTTATTAGCTCTATTTTGCGGCCAAAGAAGCTTGGGCCGGCTGTGGCATGGGGATACCAGCCTGGTCTGCCTGACTTTAGAGTCGGTGCTTTCAGTTTTGAAGGCAAACCGACTTCCTGGACTGTATAGCAGTTACTGTTTACTGAGGACTTATTACATGCCAGAGGTTGTGTTTGCTGCTTTACCAAGTTATCCCTAATCCTCAGGGCAAAAGTGTAAAATACAAGGTATCCTCACTTTGCAGATGAGGAAACAGAGTCTCATTAAGGTTAAGTGACTTGCCTAAGGTCACAACTAGGAAGTGGGGGATCCACAGTTAAAACAAAATCTCTCCGACCCCAGAGCCGAGGACTTTTCCTCAGCATCACACGCAGGGTGTTTGGGCCAATAAGAAAGCCTTCAGCTGGAGCGTGGAGCATGGTTTGTGTAGGAAGCTGGAAGTAGCTGTGGTTAGAAAGGTGGAGCTGCCTCAGGCTGCATAAACCTTGCCTTCCAGGGTGGATAATCAGGACTGATTTTTGTAAATGAAGGGTCCTGAGCAATGACCTTGATTTGAGGATGGCGTAGGATGGGATGGACACCTGAAGGCCAAGGGAATCCAAGCCAGCCGGAGCTCTGCCTGGATCTGTGCCTGGGGAAGCACAGAGCTTCGCACAGCTGCAAGGCCATCAGCGCATCCAGGCCTGCTGAGAAAGTGATGTTTGAGCAGATGTGTGGCTCACGGAGATGAGCCCACCCCTGGCATCTCCGTGATGGCATCTCCTTGTGCCTGCTTGTTTTTCTAGGGTGTCAGGAGCAACTTTCCTCAGGCCCCTAGATCTCCCATGATATGGCTTCTTTATTCCATTTTATTTATTTATTTATTTGAGACAGTCTCTATCACCCAGGCTGGAGTGCAATGGCACGATCTCGGCTAACTGCAACCTCCATCTCCTGGGTTCAAGTAATTCTCCTGCCTCAGCCTCCCCAGTAGCTGGCATTACAGGTGCCTGCCACCACGCCTGGCTAATTTTTTTTTTTTTTTTCGCTCTTGTTGCCCTGGCTGGAGTGCAACGGCGCAATCTTGGCTCACTGCAAACTCTGCCTCCAGGTTCAGGCAATTCTCCTGCCTCAGCCTCCCAAGTAGCTGGGATTACAGGTGCCCGCTACCATGCCCAGCCCATTTTTTGTATTTTTAATAGAGGGTTTCACCATGTTGGCCAGGCTGGTCTCAAACTCCTGACCTCAGGTGATCCACCTGCCTTGGCCTCCCAAAGTGCTAGGATTACAGGTGTGAGCCACCTTGCCTGGCCCTGATACAGTTTCTTAAGAGCTGCTGGAAGACCCCCAGGATGGGGAGGTGGGGATTTGTCCAGGATGAAGTACAAGCACACGGCCTGCACCCCCAGGCCCATCTCCAGGGCTCAGATATGCTCAAAGATCGGGGGACGTGGAACTCCAGGAATGGTACAGGTGGAGTTTTTGACTCTTGGCCACCAGTGACCCCAGGGCGAGGTGGTACCATCTGAGCAGGGCATGCCTCTGTGGGCGTGTAGACACCGTGTGCCTCACCAGTGCCTTTCCCCACCCAGGTCATTGCTGTGGTCATGGACCTCTTCACTGATGGTGATATCTTTCAAGACATTGTGGATGCTGCCTGTAAGCGCCGGGTCCCAGTGTACATCATCCTGGACGAGGCAGGAGTGAAGTATTTCCTGGAGATGTGTCAGGACCTGCAGCTCACTGACTTCCGGATTCGGGTAAGTTGCACCACTGGGGTGGAAAGTGGACAGGAGATGAGACAGAGACTACCTCTGCCCCGTCCTGCAGCTCCCCCCTGCCTCTTCCCTGAATGGGGGCTCAGGCGAACTTCAAGATCTCAACACCTTTCCTTTTGTTGAAAGTCAAGCCTTTAACCTTGGCTTTACTGTTAACTACTGAATCATATGCCCAGTTTCAATTTTATCCCTAGGCTGCTGAGACTGAAGGAGGGAGCTCTGGGCTGGTCCTGGGGTGCTTAGCCTGCAGAATCACTGATGTCAAAGTGAGGGCTGTTGTTCTCTTCTGGGGCCTTTTGAGAAGAGGCAGGAACCACCCTGGGCTTGTCCATGCCTGAAGCAAGATTTGGGGACTTCTTCCTGCTCGCCAAAGAGGGTTCCCTATGGAAGGCTGTAGGAAGCAGAGCGTCTAGTGAAGACAGGAGCCTGCAGGCAGGGTCCATACACAAGGGGGCTCTTCCTCTGCAGAAGCAAGGACCTGGCACGGAGGCTGGCCCAACCCAGGTGACAGGGCCTTCTGCTCTTCCCAACAGAACATCCGTGTCCGCTCTGTGACAGGCGTCGGCTTCTACATGCCCATGGGGAGGATCAAGGGGACCCTGTCATCAAGGTTCCTGATGGTGGACGGTGACAAAGTGGCCACTGGATCTTACAGGTGAGTTGGGCCGGATCAAAGAAGGGCCCAGGAGGCCTTGATTCCAGGTAGGTGTTCAGGAAGATGCCAGACCGGAGCCTCCGTCATCATGAGTGTGTAACAGGGATCATCTGACGCAATAGCAAAGGACAGCTTTCTGCCCAGTCCCTTCCCTCAAACTTCCTGGTTGATGGATTATTCTAAAAAGAGGGTCAACTCTTCCTAGGCATTACGCACTGTCTGTTTTTCATGGTCCATTTGCAGCCAGTTGCATTTTGAGGCTAGTCATTAGGTAGGACAAGCAGGAAGTGGGATGCACCAGATCTGGAAAGAAACGGGAAGGTGTGGTGTGCAGGGAATGTCGCCAGAATTTTTTTTTTTTTTTTTTTTTTTGAGACGGAGTCTTGCTCCGTTGCCCAGGCTGGACTGCAGTGGCATGATCTCGGCTCACTGCAACCTCTGCCTCCCGGATTCAAGCGATTCTCCTGCCTCAGCCTCCCTAGTAGCCGGGATTACAGGTGCCTACCACCATGCTCAGCTAATTTTTGTATTTTTAGTAGAGAAGGGGTTTCACCATGTTGGCCAGGCTGGTCTCGAACTTTTGACCTCAAGTGATCCGCCCGCCTCAGCCTCCCAAAATGCTGAGATTACAGGTGTGAGCCTGGCCTCAGAATTCTGATTTTAAAATAATTTAGCAGGAACACGAGAGACTGTATCTGTGTAATCTCTGCCCTCCAAGTAAATTAAAATATAGGTGACGAGAAGAGAGAGCTGAGCACATGAAACAGTGAATAGCAGGGTAAGTCCTGTCACATGGTCAGAGTATGGGTTTCTGCAGACACTAAGTGCTTAAAAAAATCAGAAAAGAACCAATACAGAGTAGAATAATATTCATAATAGTGGCAGCTGCAGTTACTATTTTTTAAATGTGTGTTTGTGCCAGGGACTGAGCTAAATGTTTTATATGAGTTACTTCATTTGTGCCTCACAACAACCCTGTGAACATATGTCCTGGGAGCCCCAGCTTACAAGGCACATGAGAATATAAACCAGGTTTAAATGCAGGCCTGACTTCCCATGCTCTTTCCCTGCACCCACTGCCTGCTTGCTTCATTTGAGGCCAAGCTCTGGGGAAAGGGAGGCTACGGGTGGGTGGAGGGAATCAGTCCAGCGTGTGGCCCACAAGGAGCCGTACACCTGCAGCAAGGGTCTGGCCACAGCGGAGGGGCAGGTGGGGGCGGGGGCAGGGCAAGAGAGAGGCCTGGGCACATGTGTCTTGCTTTTCTGTCCCCACGTTCCCAGGTTCACCTGGAGTTCCTCCCATGTGGACAGAAACCTCCTCCTGCTCCTGACAGGACAGAACGTAGAGCCCTTTGACACGGAGTTCCGGGAGCTGTACGCCATCTCCGAGGAGGTGGACTTGTACCGGCAGCTGAGCCTGGCGGGCAGGGTTGGCCTCCATTACTCCTCCACTGTGGCTCGAAAGCTTATCAACCCCAAGTACGCCTTGGTGTCAGGCTGCCGCCACCCGCCTGGGGAGATGATGCGCTGGGCTGCCCGGCAACAGCGGGAGGCGGGCGGCAACCCGGAGGGGCAGGAGGAGGGCGCCAGCGGTGGCGAGTCGGCCTGGCGCCTGGAGAGCTTCCTGAAAGACCTGGTTACGGTGGAGCAGGTGCTGCCCCCCGTGGAGCCCATCCCCTTGGGAGAGCTGAGCCAGAAGGATGGCAGGATGGTCTCTCACATGCACAGAGACCTGAAGCCCAAATCCCGAGAGGCACCCAGCCGAAACGGCATGGGAGAAGCGGCCCGGGGGGAGGCCGCCCCCGCCAGGCGCTTCAGCAGCAGGCTCTTCAGTCGCCGAGCCAAGAGGCCTGCGGCGCCCAATGGCATGGCCAGCTCTGTCTCCACCGAGACCTCTGAAGTGGAGTTTCTGACGGGGAAGAGGCCCAACGAGAATTCCAGTGCTGACATCTCAGGTGAGCCCTCTTCCCTCTGGCCTGGTGCCTCCCCAGGCCTCTGGCCCTCGCCCCGCATCGGCTCTTATCCAGGAGCACTGCCTCATACCTGCAGAGGAGTAGATTCCATCTGTGGGCACAGAGAGGGCAGGAGCTCTGGGGTTCCGGGGTCCTTGGTTCCCATTCTGGCCCCGGCCATTAGCTGCCTGGAGGCCTTGGGCAAGTCCTGCAGCTCTGAGTTTCATTTTCCTCTTCTCTGAAAAAAGAGAAGGATTCCAGGCTTGGCATGGAGGGGTCTCAGAGCTTCTAATGCTACTGCTAGAAGGCATTCAGATCAGCCCTCATGGTAACCCAACAAATCAAATAAGCTGAGAAACTTTCTCCTTTGTAAGTGAAGAAACGGGGGCTCTGCACAGTGGGGTGCATGGCTGCAGCTCGACCCTGGCTCTGAGTTGAGGGCTCTTTCTAGCAAACCTTTTCCCTTGCCAGATCACCTATTGTCAGGATCTCACCTGGTTAGACACACCCCACCCTCCCCTGTACCCTACTGGTGCCCTGACCCAGTTTCCTGTCTCTGTGACGGGCAGTCCGACTTGGTTTCTCCACGTCCCTCTGCTGAGTGCTGTCTGCCCAGCTGCTTGTCCCTGGGTGGGATTGTTCCATGGCAGCGTCTTTCTGGGCATCTCTCTGGGATCCCCAGGAGGCCCTGGACTTTATGTCTCTCTCTGCAGCAGTCTCTGGGGTGGCCTTTCAGGTGGCTGGTGGCGGTGCCTTTCTCATCTCTGCATCCCTGAGTCAGGGGACTTTCCATGGTGGGGTTTCTCCCTCCATCGCTGTGGAGCCCAGTGATGAGAACTGGGCTCTGGCTGGCCAGGTGGGCGATGGCAGGGCCTGAGGTCTTGTGTGCCCGGCCCAAGGGCTTCCAGGACTCCTGCATTCCTGCACACCAGCTTTAACCGGATTGTGATGGTGTGAGAGCAGGGAGCACAAGTGTCATCCCCTCTGCTAATTCCCCAGCACTGCTTTGGAGTCTGACACATTCTGTGCTCAGGAAATGTTGGCTAACTTTGCTTCTTGGAGTTGGAACAGGCCTGGGCGCCTCTGTGGCTGTGGGCACAGTGGGAGTGTCAGGGCGTTCCTTCTGTTTGGCCTGGAGACGTTGACTGAGCTGCTGGCTTGCCAGGTCCTGCACAGGCACTCTCTCTCCCCTTCTGCCCCCACAACCACCCTTCAAGCACAGAGGTGGCAGATGGCTCGGAGAGGTGAATGAAGTGGTCCCAGGTCACAGGAAGTGGTAGTAAGGCCAGGATTCAAGACCAGGCATGGGCACAGCCATGTTCTGTCAGGGGAGGGGTGGCTGGCCCCATCCCCATTCCTCCTGGGCTCCCTGGCTCCCCTAACACCAGCTGCTGCTGCTGCTGCTGCTCCTGCTCTGTACCTCTGGTTTGGAGGAAGGGTTGCCATGGTGAACACCTGGCAAGGGAGCGAGGGGAAGAGGGGAAGGAGGTGGAAGAGGGGAAGGAGGGGGCGAGCCGACAGCAGCAAGGACTATTTCCCGAGTCCTGACTGAAGTGGAGTGGAAGCTTTCTCTTCCTTCAGCCCCTCGCCCTGAGATGCAGTTTCCATGGAAACTCAAAGCCCATTGTCTTGTCCCTTCCCGCTGCCTTCTGCGTGTCCCTCCACATCCATGTCCCTGCTCCCACATCTCGGGTGGTCACGGCGGCCCTGCCCCTGCTGCCGCTCTCTGGTGTCTGCACATGGTGCCCAGGAGCCAGCCTTGCAGACACAGACGGTACCCTTGGGAAGCTCCTCTCCAGGGCACCTGATGCTGGGATAGAGAGAGAGAGGGAATAGTGAGGGCGAGGGCACGGACAGCCAGGAAGGTCCGGGGATGCCCGGAACCATCATCCCGTTCCTTGTCCGTCCTTTAGACGAACACAGAGCAGCCTCCTCCGGTAAGGCTTCTGCCCACCTGGGTGGGCGCCCAGTACCTGCAGTCCTGAAATTCACGCACCTTTCCTCTCCCTCCCAAGGCCTGAGGGAGAAGCAGCAGCTCCTCTCCTGTCTTTTGCTGGTTTTGTTTGTTTTTAAGACAATGTCTCGCTGGAGTGCAGTGGTGCGACCACAGCTCATTGCAACCTCAACCTCCTCGGTTCAAGCGATTCTCCCACCTCAGCCTCCTGAGTAGCTGGGCTCACAGGTGTGTGCCACCATGCCTGGCTAATTTTTTAAATTGTTTGTATAGACAGGGTCTCATCATGTTGCCCAGGCTGGTCTCCTGGCCTCAAGTGATCCTCCTACCTCTGGGCCTCCCAAAGCGCTGGGATTATAGGCACAAGCCACCGCGCCTGGCCAGGAGCTCCTCTCCTAAGAGGCCCTTTTTCACGGCCTCCAGCTTCCCACACCATGGCCAAGTGGGGCTGCTTCAGTGTCTCCCCTCAGGCAGCAGCAGCTAAGCAGCCAGGACTGCATGTGTGAGAAGGTGGGCCCCTGACAGCATGGGGCACCCACCGTGGGAATCAGTGAGAACCTGAGCTCCTGCCTTTGGGCCCCCATGCAGGGAAAGTGTCCCCTTCCCCTGGTAAATGTTCAGAACCTCCCAGAGCAGCTGCCACCTGGCTCTCAATTCGGGACACATTGCTCCCTGTACCCAGGACACATCCGTCCCCTCCCTGGGGCTGTGTTCTCATCTAGAAGGTGGGGGAGTGCACCATTGAGGGTTTCCGAGGTCCCCTGGAGTTCAGATTCTGCCTCTGTTCTTTCTGTCTCTGCTGCCCTCTTGTCAAGGGAGAACCTGAGTTGATGACAGTTTCTGTCATAAGAGAAAAAATAGAAAAAGCTCAGAGCTGACAGCCTGTAAAATTGCTTGATAAGGAGTATATAGTTGTCAAACAGCATGCAAATTTTTGCAAACCCAGGTGTGGCCCTTGGGAGAACCTTAGGGAAGTTGCTTCCTCCTTTCCGGCTGGGGATCCAGCTGGGGGCCAGGGGTGCCCAGCGGTTTCAAGGCTCACGGCGCACTCTAGTGGCAGAAGCTAGGCGCCTCTTCTACGTCTTCCCTCCGCCCTCGCCTCCTGCTGGGAGTGTTCATCCCTTATTCTGGAGCTTCTGTGCCCTCCGCACAGGCTCCCTGGGTCAGGGACCCCCAAACTCACAGAGCAGCCTCAGTGGAGAGCCTTGGTAAACATGCAACGAGGCCAGGCGCGGTGGCTCATGCCTGTAATCCCAGTGCTTTGGGAGGCTGAGCTGGGAAGATCCCTTGAGCCCAGGAGTTCCAGACTAGCCTGGGCAACATAGCAAGTCCCCATCTCTTAAAAAAAAATTTAATTAGCTGGGGGTAGTGCCGTGTGCCTGTAGTCCCAGCTACTTGGGAGGTGGAGGCAGGAGGATCACTTGAGCCTGGGAAGTCGAGGCTGCAGTCAGCTGTGATTGTGCCACTGCACTCCAGTCTGGACGACAGAGAGACCCTGTCTCAAAAAAATAAAAGCAAAAGTAAATACAAATTTTAAAATGCAACAAATACGCTTGGAGAGGCCGAGGCAGGTGGATCACCTGAGGTCAGGAGTTCGAGACCAGCCTGGCCAACATGGTGAAACCCTGTCTCTACTGAAAATACAAAAATTAGCTGGGCATGGTGGGAGGTGCCTATAATCCCAGCTACTTGGGAGGCTGAAGCAGGAGAATCACTTGAACCCAGGAGGCAGAGGCTGCAGTGAGCTGAGATCACACCAGCCTGGGTGACAGAGCGAGACTCCATCTCAAAATAATAATAATAGAATTTTTAAAGATAAAAATAAAATCCAACAAATAGAGTCTGTACCACTGGGCAGGGCTTAGGAATCTGCATTTTAAATTAGGGCCCTCATTTTCCAGTGTAGCTCCCCAGTGCAGAGGGTCCTCAGACCAGCCGACTCCGTGGCGACTGAGGAAACACAGATGAGGCCCTGCCCTTTGAGTGCTGCCAGCCTAGGGGAGGAGATCCCTGTGCTGTGCCTGAGACCCCACCCAGTTCCCCCAGGGAGATGACTGGGAAATGGCCAACACTTTTGAAGTGGCGAGAGACATGGTGCCATACTCCATCACATGGAACTGGCGTCCTCCTCGCTGCCATCCTGCCTGATGACAGCATCTCACAATGAGACCCCCAAGGTTCAGAGAGGCCAGGCCCTGTGTCCGTGGCTGCCCAGGGAGAAAGGGCAGTGTGATCTCCTGCCTCCCCAGCCTTCTGCAGATATCATGGCCATCTCCAGAAGGCTAGGATCGGCACCGTTTCCCTGCACCTTTAAAGACTGTTTGGGCCCGGCGTGGTGGCTCATGCCTGTAATCCCAGCACTTTTGGAGGCCTAGGTGGGCAGATCATGAGGTCAGGAGATCGAGATCATCCTGGCTAACACGGTGAAATCCTGTCTCTACTAAAAATACAAAAAATTAGCCAGGCATGGTGGCACTTGCCTGTAGTCCCAGCTACTCGGGAGGCTGAAACAGGAGAATCTCTTGAACCCGGGAGGTGGAGGTTGCAGTGAGTGGAGATCACACCACTGCACTCCAGCCTGGGTGACACAGTAGGAATCTGTCTCAAAAAACAAAACAAAACAAAACAAAAAACTGTTCGGAAGAACCAGAGCCCCAAATAGAGGACCAGCCCTTTCCCACGGTGTTGTGGGGGCCGAGAGGAAGATGACAGCAGCAACTTGCTTCCCAGAGTGCCTCGGGGTCCTTTCCTGCCCCAGAGTCCCTGGGCCTGTGCTTTGCTTCCCAGTTTCTCTGAGGTGACCTGCAGTGACAGTCCCTTTCCAGAACTCTCCTGGGGTCCCTGGATTTATGTGTGGTTGGCCCCCTGGCTGGCAGTGTGGTCTGGCTCTGTAGAGCTGTGGCTGCTGGGCCGCTGGATTGGGGGACTTGTTCTCCTGTGTCATCCCTTGGGGCCGCAGGTCTCAGATCTCTCTCTTGCTCTTGCTGCGTCTGGGGCATCTGCTGCTGTTATTACTGTTGTTACTAGGATTGTGCTAAACCCCTAAGTAGCTCGCCGTTGCTGTCTCATGCATTTTATTCAATAAATATGTGTCTACGAAGTGTCTGCTCTGTGCCAGGCCCTGCTCTAAGTTCCTGGCACAGCTGTGAACAGAATGAACATGGTCCTTGCTTTTATGGAGCATGTTACCCTGGGGAGAGACGAGGATTAGGGGAGGATGACCCTTCTATAAAGGGTGCCAGGGAAGGCCTCTCTAACCAAGGAGCCTCGGAGCAAGACTTCAATGGAAGGAGAGGGCCCTGTGGACATCTGAGGGAAGATTCTTCCAGATACAGGGAATGCGAAGCCCTGGAGCCTGTGCATGCGGTTTGCACATCATTGTCCTTGTCATGGCTTCCATGTGGGTGACCTCTGCCTCCCTCTCTCCCGCACCACCTCACCTGCCAGCAAACCAGACTGACTGCAGGTCCCGAGTGCCCCAGGCTGCCACCCTCACCCCATGCTTATGTCACATGGCTCCGCTCCGCTGAGCGGCCCCTCCTCCCACCCTGCACCCGTTTTCAGCTCCACCTTGGCGTCACCTCTGAAGCTCCCAGGCCACGCATACTTTGTAAAAAAGACTATTCTGGTCATTTATACACCTTCCCTGTTCACCTGAGCAGGGCTGACTCCCCACACGTGGTCAGCTCCCAATATGTGAGCACTCAGGGAATGACAAGGGACACAGAGTTTGTCCTCAAGCCAAGCCAGTTTCTCTGTCCTGTCCGGGGCTAGGAAATGAATTCTGAGTCTAGGTGCTGTCTCCAGGCTTTCACCCTGCCTTACAAAAAAGTGGGGAGCATGGTGCTGGTGAAGATGGGCCCTGCCCCTGCCTTGCCAGGCTTCTCCCGGAGGCAGCCAGCCGGGTGGTGTGCAGGCTTGGGAAGCAGCTACCCCCACCACCACCCACCACCATCCCACCCCCAGCTACACCGCCTCCCCTGTTTAACGATCTGGAGGTTGATTTGCTTACCTGCCTCCAAAATGCTGCTGCCTCTGGGGAGGAACTGACATCTGCTTAGTGGGCCACGCAAATCAAACCAGCTGATGGGGGGAAATGGGGACGAATGTGTCCATTGCAGCAGTGAGTGACTCTAAGATGGCCGCATTTCATCCCACTAGCAGAGCCGCCCCAGACGTGCTCGGCACCACTGCGGAAAGTGACCCCCAGCGCCTTGGCCATGGAGCCCTTGGGGCGCAGCCTCCTGCCCAAAGGTGGGGGAACACCCTTAATGAGGGTGCAGCTGGATTTGTGGTCAGTCCTGAAGAGCTCGTTCAGTCTGCCTGGATGGATGAGGCCCGAGGCCGTGGGTCACAGTGCAGTGGGCAGGAGCAGCAGCCTGTGTGGCAGGGCAGGGCTCCAAGTTGGGCTCTGTTCAGTGGGTCCTGCTCATGGCCCAGGAGAGGAGGCAGACATGGCCTTAATTAAATTCACAGCTGAAGTGATACTGGAAGGTTGTGTGAGCACCAGAGAGGCAGCCCTTGCTGTGTGGAGGGGAACTGGCAGGAAATAACACGAGCGCCTTCCACCTGGGGAAAGGCAGCCAGCGCTCCGAGGACATGGGCTCCCCGCTCCAGCGCCTGACACCTCGCAGGCCTGCAGGTGTCAGGCCTGCCTCGCTACTCCCCTGCACTCCCTCCGGAGGTCCGAGAGCAGGAATCCAGCCAAAGGAACCGCAGGCCTCATCTCAGGACTGTAAAGAGAGTGGGAAGGAATGGTAGAGGCCTGGGGAAGAAGAGAAATCAGCTTCTCTGGCCGGGGGCGGGGGACAGCTTTCTCTCCCCCTTCCCTCCCTACAGGCAGCGCGTTCCTCTCTGTCCTCCCTTCAAAGGCGCGTCCTAAGCAGTGTGATCCACCCCACGGTGGCAGCTCTTGGCCAGCGCCAGCCTTTCCTGAGGCGCCAGCTTTCCTTCTTCCAGCCTAGGCGGCCTGTGGCGGAAGGAGCTGGAACTGGACCGGGAAGGCCAGGTTCTGGCACTGTCGCTGGCTGGCTCTGGGAGCTGTGGGCACCTCAGCGGTAGAATGCGGCAGCCCGGGAGGGGAACCAGAGAGAAGGACCGCAGTCTTACTTTGCAGGCGGTGGAGCTGCATGTACTAGCTGGTAGTGAGCGGCCTCTTGGCTAGACGTGTGTGTGTGTGTGTGTGTGTGTGTGTGTGTGTGTGTGTGTGTGTGTGTGTGAAAGCAAGTTTATTAGAAAAGTAAAGAAACAAAAGAATGGCTAGTCTGTAGACAGAGCAGCCAAGACTTTGGACTTGATGGTTGTTGTCATTGATTCTGCAGCCTGGATCCTTCCCCGACCCCTCTTTGGTCAGGAGATGGCTGTCACCTTGATGTCCCACCCAGTGGGGCTCCTGCCGAGGCTGCTGAGACAGGCAGAATCTTCCCTTCTACTTTCCCGGGTGCCCTATTGACTTGGTTTCCAGATCAGCAGCTTGGGAGGGAGACAGTGACCCCAGCCCCTCAACTGGAGATGTGGACAGCACACAGGGTAGGAACTGAAGCTGAATCCACCAAGCGTTTCACTTACATCCTTCCCCGCCTCTGTCCCTTGCCTCTGCAGGTAAAACAAGTCCCAGTTCTGCCAAGCCTAGCAACTGTGTGATTTCCTGAGCTGCGGGATGGTGGTGGGCAGGACGTGTGGATGCCTGCCTGCCCTGCCCTGTGCTGTGGAGAGCGCAGGTCGCACACTGCACCAGTTTGCACATCAGACGCCAACTGGCCTTCTGCCCTGCAGCCTCCGTCCTGGCCTCAGGGACGCTGGATCCCAAATGAGAGGGTCCGAAGCATCTCAGTCACACGCCTCCACCGGACTGTCGGTGGCTGGGCAGGGGTCAGTGCCACGGCCTCCTTGTTTACATGAAGTGGAAGCTTGACCAGTGTCTGCTCGCCTTTGTGCCCCACCCCCTCCGCTGATTGCCAGATGGGGTGAGGGCCCATTCTTTAAACCTTTATGGGGTGGGGTGTCTGGGGCAGCTGCAGTGGCTTCTCCTTTCCCAGGCTTCCTGGTGCTTCTGGTTCCCCACGCCACTCCCCACCCAAGAGATTGGTGGAATAAAAGGGAAGAGGGCAGGGCCCTGAGCCTGGGATCCCAAGTTCCAGTCTTTCTCTAGCCTCTGAACTCCAGATGTAAGGTGCAGCTGGAACTGCAGGGGCACTGGCTGCAGTGGCCTTCCTGGCCCCATCCCTGCAGGCTCCTGAACTAGACTTGAATGAGGGTAAGATCCTGCGGCCTCCCGCAGTGGGGGCAGAATTTGACACTGCTTTTCTGAGAGCGCTCGCACTGAGGTCTCTTTTTCCCTGCCCAGTGCCGTCCTGGCAGTCTCGGCATGGGTGGTTGAGACCTCCTTGGCTGCTGCCTGCTGCGGGCCTATGTGGGGGTCCTTACAGGGCCTTTACCTGGGACTGCTCCTTCCCTCAGTCAGTAAACTTTGGTTTACAGCCCAAGGCAGGGAGGGAGCTTGGCTGAGAGGGGATTGGGGGTGTGGGAGGCTGGGCCCTGAGGACAGGAGCATTTGCCTTTTCTCCCTCAACTCTAACGGGGTCCTCGGACCCCTTCACCAACCAGGGCTTCCAGGTTACACTTTGGCCAGACTGGCCTTTGCCTCCTGCGAGAGTCAGGCCATTTTTAGGAGCCTGTGCCTCGCCAGAGCAGGTCAGCCTAATGGCCATGAGGCTGAGCTGGGAGGCCCAGTAAGCAATTCCATTCTGCCTTCCCCACTTGGGTGACTGGAGAGGGCCGAGGAGAGTTTGTGAATGGACCTGGGAGAAATTGCCAAACTGCAGACTCTGTGAGCCGGCCCTGCCGGCAGGGCGATGGGGGATCCAAGCCCTGTGGAAGAGCCATGCAGCGGACTTTCTTGCCCTCTGACCTCTGAACCAAACTCTCATCCTCTTTCTTTCCTTCTAAAAAACCCTAGGACACTACCAGCACCTGGGGGAGGGGTACAGATGTCTGCAAGGCAGCTGATGTGAGAGCAAGAAAAGGGGCTGCTCTGGCTGGGCTGTGGGAGCCAGGCATTGCTTCTGAGGAAGCAGGAAGTGGGGACCACATGTGGCGGCCATTGAGGAGATGCAATCTCTCTGGCAGTGGGGAGGGGAAGGGAAAGGAAGGGTGAGCCTGTCCCCAGGGTCTTCTCTGTTAATCCCAAGGCTGGCTTCTAGGGCGTGTGGAGAAGGGACTCTGGCCCACCTCCCTGAGCTTTTATGAAGGTGAAATGCTTCTGGGAAGTGTTTCCTTAGGCACCAAGACCAGGCAGTGTGGCATGAGCTCATTCTGGAGGGGAGGGAAGGGAGAGAGGGGGGAGGTGGGATGTGGGGGTGTTACACCTCAGCTCGAGGCGGACACCTTGAAGGTATGGGACATGAAATGTGTAAACTGCAACGCGGCAAAGAGATCACTCTCTGGTGTGGAGGGTGGGTGTCTCTGGGGATTAGGGAGGCAGCCTGGGGAAGGGACCGGCCTCCAAGCAAGTCAGCCAAGGGCATCTGTGCCTCCCCTGCCAGAAGAGCAGGCCCTGCTTTGTCCCTTTACCTCCTCTAGGCCCAAAGCACACCCAGGTCCCTCCCCTGCCCTGACATCTAATCTGGGAGGATCCCTGATTGGAATCTCCAAGTCACCACAGCCTTGAGCCAGGCCTTCCTTTCTGCCTCAGTTTCTCCATGTGCCAAGATGGCGTTTTTCACACTTTCTTGGTAGAAATGATGGGGAGACCATATGTTAGGAAGCAAGTTGGCATAGTGGGAAGAGGGCCAGCCACAAGGCAGGAGTGCCCAGGCAGGGTGCCTCTCCCTGCTGGCCTGTGTCCTCGTCCTTATAGCAGTGTGGACAAGATGGTGTCGGCACCCCCCGCTCCAAAAGGCTTGAGACAGAAACTGTAGTCCGAGATGGCAAGGATTTTGAACTCACAAAATGCAGCTCTTCATGTTTGCCTGTCTGCCTAGGCACCGGCCCACTCTGTTCTGCCTCTTGGCTTCTCAGCTGTGAGTACGCCTGCCCTCTGTTCCAGCACTTGCACATACTTTGTGAAGCAGTCTCTTACTCATCAAATCTCAAGGGTACATCTGGCCCTCCCAGTTGGATGGCAAGTTCAAGGGTGGATCATGCCCTTGGTCCCTGCACAGCAGCTTCTGCAAGGCTGGTTACATTGGAAGGGCTCTAGGAGGAACAGGATAAGGCAGCACTCTCGGGGCTGGGGTCTGGCTTCACTGCACCCCCCTCCCACCCCACACCACCACCAAGCTGCTGTCTTTCTGAGTCAGCTTCTGTAGGGTAAGTGTTCACAGCTGGTGCAGCTCTTTGGGAAACCTAACCTCCCAGTGAGCTGAGCCCCTGGTGCGGCCGCCACGCTTGCTTCTGCCCCACAAGGGCAGTAAGCACAGGACTTCTGGATGGATCTGGGAGCCTGCCCCTTGGGATTTGGCAAAACTTCCCATCTCCTTAGCTACCTGTCCTTAATCTTATCCCTGACCCCTCGAGGGCTTTCAAGATAGCCTCTGTTAACATCACTACCCTCTGCCTGTGTAGAACTTTATAGAAAGGCTAGGCAAAAAATGAGACCCAGAGATATGGAAGAAACTGGCCAAAGAGGGGAAAGTGGGCTATTTCTTTTTTTTTTTTCTTTTTTTTTTCTGAGACAGAGTCTCACCCTGTTGCCCAGGCTGGAGTGCAGTGACAGCGATCTTGGCTCACTGCAAGCTCCGCCTCCCGGGTTCACGCCATTCTTCTGCCTCAGCCTCCTGAGCAGCTATGACTACAGGTGCCCACCACCATGCCTGGCTAATTTTTTTATATTTTTATTAGAGACAGGGTTTCACCATGTTAGCCAGGTTGGTCTTGATCTCCTGACCTTGTGATCCGCCCGCCTTGGCCTCCCAAAGTGCTGGGATTACAGGCCACCGTACCCGGCCAGGCTATTTTTTTGTTTTGTTTTTGTTTACTACTGTATTGCTTTTCTCTTTTTCATATTTATTGAGCACCTACTATATGCCAGTCACCATGCTAGATGCTTTAGTAACATGAAGGTTTCAAACTAAGAAAAGCTCAACAAAGAGCCCTTTAGAAAGGTAACAGTTTTCCTGTGTATTGGGGGAGTGGGTCTCATAAGGTTGTATGATGAGAAGCGCAAGTAATTGTTTTGTTTTTTTTTTGAGACAATGTCTTGCTCTGTCGATCAGGCTGGAGTGCAGTGGCGTCATCTCAGCTCGCTACAACCTCCACCTCCTGGGTTTAAGTGATTCTCTGGCCTCAGCCTCCTGAGTAGCTGAGATTACAGGCACGCGCCACCACGCCCGGCTAATTTTTGTATTTTTAGTAGAGACAGGGTTTCACTATGTTGGTCAGGCTGATCTTGAACTCCCGGCCTCAGGTGATCTGCCTGCCTTGGCCTCCCAAACTGCTGGGATTACAGGCATGAGCCACCACGCCCAGCCTGGCTAAGGTTCATTATCCCCATCTTTCAGATGAGGAGGCACACAACTCTCCCCAGATCCCACGTCACAGAGAATGCAGGTCTGAGTCTGTTCCTTGAGCTCAGGGTCTTGGCAATGGTGATGCTTTGGAGCTGCAGAATCCTCTGTTGGGGATGGGGCTGCCCTGTGCATTATAGTACGTTTAGCAACATCCCTAGCTTCCACCTACTAAATGCCACTAGCACTCCTTCAGATGAGACCACCAAAAATGTCTCCAGATGTTACCACATGTCCCCTGGGGGGTAAAAGTGCCCCCGTTGAGAGCACTGGCTCTTTTCTTCACAGTCCTGACCTGGTGGCCTGCACAGGCCACTTCTCCGAAGTGTTTCAATGCACTCTCTGCCCTGGGTACCTTGGACACAGCACCCTGGCCCAGAGAGGTTGGCTGACTTGCCTGAGACGCTGCTTCCTGGGAGACGCAGTAGCATCTTTCCTTTCTGTTCTGGTTATCTTTCTTAGTTCTTTACCACCTTATATTCCCCATGACAGGTGTGTTTATGTACACACATCTGCCTCACTCCACTCAGCTCCCTGTCAGGTTTCCTGCCAGTCTGTCCCTCTTCCTTCAGGCTCAGCTACGTCCTGCACAGACAGTACCACTGCACATACCTGTGTGTGCCCAGCGGTGGACCCACCTCCAAAAGCAGCCAGTGCTGACAGCAGAGAGCCTTCCACACTCAAGTCAGGCCAAGCAGGAATCGCTACCTGCCTGTCATGACCACATTCTCAGTGAACATTGACAAAGCCCCCTTAGCAGCTAATTAGCCCTGCCGTGCGCTAGGGATGCAATTTCTCATCTGGCAGTGCGCCACACTCCTGCCTCCCTGCCCAAAGGACGTAGTGGCTGCTGCTGATCGTCTGCACTGCTGTTCCAGGGGCAGGAGGTTTGCTGCAAATCAGGTACCCCCAGCTCAGTGAGCAGAACCAGTCCAAGGTTGAGTGAGGAGAAGGGCAAGAAGGGCAGGCACAGCCGTGAGTATGTTCTGGGGCTAAGTAACCATGAGATCAGCCCAGAGACCTTGCACAGTTAGGCAGGCCTGGACTTCTCGCCCTTCCCCTTGCAGCTTCTGCTCTCCCAGCTAGGGACTGAGGAAAGCCCTGCTTCTAGATGCCATGTGCTGCTGCCTGGCACGATAGGTACCCATCTGTCCTTGGGGTTCCTGAGCCTGGAGAGCGGGCTTTGTGAGCACTGGTGCCTCACCTGCCTGGCTCAGCTCTGCAGCCACAATATATGCTTAATACCTATTTGTTAAATGATTGAAGACTTGACTGCCATTCAGTACAGAGAATTAGCCAGGTGAATAAACAGGATGTGTCATAGAGGTTCTAGAATTGATCATGACCCTTTCTGTCTCATTCCTGACTTCTAATACCGTATATGCCAAATGGGGTTCTGCTGTGATTTAATTTCTTAAGGACTGGGTTTATCAAAAGTCCCTCCTGATCTAATCCTTTCCTCTAGGAAGGCTTCTCCTTTCTTCATCTGTCCTAAGTGCATGGTCTTCATCTCCTGGGTGGTCCAGACTAGGTGGCACTGGGCCTGCAGGCCTCTAGCTGCTCAAGGATGGCCCTGTCTGCATGCTTCCTTTCAAAAGCTAGCATAGAAAGGAGGGCCCAAGGTGAGGAAATTTGTCCAAAGTCACCCAATGAGTCGCAGGAAGGGCTAGAATCTGGTTATCTGGACCGTCCTAGAGCACTTTCACAGTGACAGCCGGCTGGAATCAAGTTTTCATTTAGAAAAATGGCTAGAAGTTAGGGCATTGCCTGCAGCCACTGAAAAGCAGCTTTAGGAGCAGATGTCCACGTAATAGAAGGAGATGGGCTAGGGCCTGCCACGGAAGCCAGCAAGCGCGTGGGAGCTGGGGGAGGAAAGGAGCAAAAGGCAAGAACAGGCAGTATGTCCGCGGTGCCCACAGTGCTGTGGGTACAAGCAAGGGGAAAAGAGCCCATGGTGTGCAGAAAACCATGCGTCATGATTCTTATTTCCTGCTCGCAGCTTTGACTCTCTGCCTCATCTCTTCCTGGAAGTGTCTTGGAAGTTAGGCGACTGCACAGGGAAAGGTTCGCTGCAGTGCTTGCAGGCCTGCACCCATTTATTCATCCGGTGGATATTTGCTGGGTGCCCGGCCTGGGGATCCATGGTGAGCGAGGAAGGCATGGTATTGAAGTGGTATGCCTGCATGACCTTGGCGGGGGCGCATGGCATAGAGAGGACAGGCTTCAGAACAGGCAGGCAAGGGCTGAAATCCTATCTCTGCCACCGAACAGCTAATGACCCCAGCAAGCAATTTCACATCCCCGAACTTTCCTGTTTCCTCATGTGTCAAATGGGGATGATCTCGAGACGACTCTCCAGAGTAACCACGTGAAGCACCTAGCACAGGGGCTGACGCAAACAGCTGGGCATCGGAGGAGCCTCCAGGGTTGTGACCTCCAGTGGCTTATTTTCCTTTTGGGATCTTCTCTCCTAGATCCTCCCCTTTAATTCCCTGTGAAATTTACCACTTTCATATTGAATCGTTGGCACACAGGGCTAACTGCTTGTTCACCTGAAGGAAGCTACAGAGTTCAGGTTTCTTTTTTCTTTCTTTCTTTCTTTTTTGCTTTTTTAAGATGATCTTGCTCCGTCACCCAGGCTGGAGTGCAGTGGCGTAATCATGGCTTCCTGCAGCCTCAAACTCCTGGGCTCAATGAGTTCCTTGAGATCTTCCATCCTCAGCTTCCCAAGTAGCTAGTAGTAGTAGTGGCTTGCACCAACGCTCCTGCCCTAATTTTCAATATTTTTTTGTAGAGATAGGATCTCACTGTGTTACCCAAGCTAGACTTGAACTCCTGGCCTCAAGCGATCCTTCCGCCTTGGCCTCCCAAAGTGTTGGGATTACAGGCATTAGCTACCACACCTGGCCAAGGCCCAGGTTTCGACAGAAAGGGAGAGAAAACCTGCCAGAGATGCCATTTCGGAGCCACTCTGCTTGGCAGGGACCTGTGTTCCCCTCATGCAGGTTCATCCTTAGAGGGCTGCGGTCTTATCTGGTTGTGCAAAAGTCCCACAACCTTTCTGGATTGATAGTTTGTGGTGAAATAAACAATTTTAGTTTGTTTGGAGAATCTTTTGTATACAAAATACAAATAAAACCTAAATCAAAGAAACAGAGCATGTCCGGAGAAGTCTGCCAACCCTTCTCCAGGCCATGGGGCTTCCCAAGCCAGGCCTGTACTCCTCATGTAGATTCCACACCCCGCCTTGATGTCTTTGGCTTTCACACTAGTGACTATAGCCTGGTGGGACGGGGTCTAGGGGCCACAGTCCTGGTCCTGCGCAGGTGGCCCTGGAGAGAAGCCTTGGAGAACTTGGAGAAGCCCACGCGGCTGGCAGCATCATGGTGAGAGGCTGACACCTTGTGGCTGGCTGGCAGCATACGTCCTTCCTCCCCTAGGTCAGCTAGACGGCCAAAGCAGGGATCTGCAAGCTCCTTCTGTGGCGGGCCAAAAAGTGAACATTCAGTGTGTCTGTTGCAGCTACTGTCATAGCACTGAGGCACCCCTAGACAGTACAGAAACAAGCAGGTGTGGCCATGTTCCAGTGAAACCTTATGAATACTGAAATCTGAATCCATAATTTTCATGTATCACAAAGTAGTAATATTCTTTTAATATGCAAAAACCGGCCAGGTGCGGTGGCTCATGCCTGTGACCTCAGCACTTTGGGAGGCCGAGGTGGGTGGATCACCTGAGGTCAGGAGTTCGAAACCAGCCTGGCCAACGTGGTGAAACCCTGTCTCTATTAAAAATACAAAAATTAGCCTGGTGTGGTGGCACATGCCTGTAATCCCAGCTACTCGGGAGGCTGAGGCGTAGGAATTGCTTAAACCTGGGAGGCGGAGGTTGCAGTGAGCTGAGATCATGCCACTGCACTTCAGCCTGGGCAACAGAGCTAGACTCCATCTCAAAAACAAACAAACAAAAAAACAAAAGCAAAAACCAGTCTTAGCTCACAGGCTGTGCCAAAACAGGCAGTGGGCTGGATTTGGTCCTCAAGCCTGGGCTTGCTGACCTCTGGCCTAGGACACCTCTCCTTTATGCCTCCGCTCCCAACACGGACTCTCAACTCTCATGTTTACCTTGTCATTGTTCTGTCAAGAGGAATTCACTAGTCTCACTCCTCCAACCAGACCGCTGCCACTAAGGCTTCTTCTGAACAGAAATTCTGGATTTGTTCTCACCCATTTCATAAATGTACATAAGCACCCATCAGGTGCCAAGCCCTGTGCTGAGATGCCTGCAGAGCCCAGAGTTTTCACCAACTTTTTTTTTAAGAGATGGGGGTCTCTGTTGCCAGGTTGGAGTGCAATGACATAATCATAACTCACCGCAACCTCAAACTCCTAGGTTCAGGTGATCCTCCCGCCTCAGCCTCCCAAGTAGCTGGGACTACAGGCATGCACCACCCTGCCCAGCTAATTAAAAAAAAAACTTTAGGGATGGGGTCTTGCTATGTTGTCTAGGCTGGTCTCTAACTCCTGGGCTCAAGTGATCCTCCCACCTCAGCCTCCCAAGTAGCTGGGCTTACAGATGTGAGCCACTGCACCTGCTCAACATTTAATTTTTTCATTCATTCATTCGTTCATTCATTTGTTCAAACGAACTTATTGAGAACTTACTGTGTTCCAGGCACTGTGATAAGATAGACCTGGCCTTTACCTTCAAATGTTCAGAACATGGTTAGGAAGATGGATACTGGGAGGCAAGTGTTCTGATGGGAAAGCACAGCATGTAAAGAAGCCCAGAGGAGGCACTTAACCTGGGGGAGAAGAACAGGGTAGGCTTCCTGGAGGAGGAGGTAATCTCTGAGCCGATACCTGAGGAGTGAATGGAGGAGGGGACAATGAGGCAAGGCATTCCAGGGAAAGGTCCAGAGCCTAGACAGAACTCTTTTAGGAGAATTATGAGAATCACAATTATCGAGGACACAGTGAAGACTCAGATAACTCAAATATAGGTTTTGCCCGCAAAGCCTTCCTGTCTGGTGGGTGAGACAGTCTACAGCAAGCTGCTCCAAGGATATGGAGAAAAAAGTTTTTCCTCTGGCCTTGTAGGATTGGTTATTACTGAGCCTGGAGTACGCAAAGGCCAGCGAGTGCTCCTAAGGCAGGGAGGGGGCTGCCTTCACTATGGGTGCTCAGGAAATCTGCCAGGGGAAGGGAGATGTGGGCCTGCCTCGGCTGCAGAAACCCCTCAGAGGAGGAGGAGGGGCTTGAACTGAGCTTTGAAGAAAGTGTAGACTTGGGGACAGGCAGAGGAAGAGGGGGCATCATAGGCAGCAGAAACCACATGGACAAACTCTCTGCCGGAGAATGGGCATGGCCGGGCTGAGGGGTCCCTGGACAGGAACCAGCCTTCCCTATGCACCTGCACCCGTGAGTCTCACAACAGCCCCAACAGGCAAGTGTTATTTTCCTCAATTCTACCAATTAAAAACTGACCTTGGGCAACTGCTTAACCTATCTCTGCCTTACTTTCTTCATCTGTATCTACCTCAGAAAGTTACTATGAGGACTGAATAAGCTCATACATATACAATGCTTGGAGCAGAGGCTGGTACTAGAGCTGGCTTCATGGGCATGAAACCTGTGAACACAGAACCCCATGCTTTCATTTTCCACTTAGTCCTGCCTGGCATAGTATGCAGTTTTTTTAATTTGAGATGGAGTCTCCCTTTGTTGCCCAGGCTTGAGTGCAGTGGCGCGATCTCAGCTCACTGCAACCTCCACCTCCCAGGTTGAAGCAGTTCTCCTGCCTCAGCCTCCTGAGTAGCTGGGATTACAGGTGCGCGCCACCATACCCAGCTAATTTTTGTATTTTTAGTAGAGATGAGGTTTTGCCATTTTGGCCAGCCTGGTCTTGAACCTCTGACTTCCATGATCCACCTGCCTCTGCCTCCCAAAGTGCTGGGAGGATTACAGGCATGAACCACTACGCCTGGCCTGGTATGTGGGTTAAAATGTTAGGTTTTATCATTATCTTAGGTGGAGAATAACAAATCCGATTCAATATATTCATTTTAGAAACGAGGAAACTGAAGCTTAGATAGTTTGTGTGACTTGCAAAAAGTCACGCAGCAAACAAGCTGCAGAATGAAGGGTGGAGATGGAGAGATAGAATTCTCATCTTAGAGGTGAAAGTAGGATAATGACCCAGCTGAGCTTGCTGAGTCCTGCGAGCGTCGCACGCCCCCAGAGACAACATAAGGAGAGAAGTGCAGACAGATTCCTTTGAAGGAGCTTAGAGAAAGAGATGGTAGGGAAAAGAGCATGAACAGTTGTAGAGGTAGGAGGAAAGCTGGCTATTTGGGGAAGCAAAGAAAAGATTCTCAGAGTAAAACGTATTGGTGAAGCCATGGAAACAAGGACTGAGAAAGTCTCTTGGATCTTGGCCACAAAAAGGTTATAGATGAGCTTAGAGAAATGAATTTCAGTAGAGTTAGGGCTAGAAGCCAGGTTCAGAGAGAGAAAACGAGAGAGCATTCCTGGTGGTGGAGATGGCCGCAGGCCATTATTTAAAAAGCTAGGATAAGAAAATAGAGAAGAAAGGGAAGGAAGCTATTTGAAGGGAGTGGGAGAAAAGCCAGATCTCAGTTGGGACGTGGAGGAAGGACCACCAGAGGCAGTAATTTAGCCGGAAAGAGGTGTATTTCTTTCCTTGAGTTTATAGGGGGTAAAGAGGATGGGGCTGAGATACTAAAGACTACGAGGACAACTGTTCATTGAGGGCTGGTCATCTCCCCAGCTGCACTGTGGGGTTCCCAAGTCAGACATCCCAGAGGCAATATAGCAGCGTGGACAAGAGCTTACTCGTTGGAGTCAGACCGCCTAGGTTCAACGATGGGTTAGTTAGCCCTTCAGTGCCTCCATTTTCCTATCTAGAAAATGTGGATAACAATGGTTGTTGTGAAGATTAACAGCCATAATCCACGTAAAGCCCTCAGTACAGTGTATGACACACAGCAAGTGTCCACCAAAGGGTAGTTATTATTAACCATAATCCTGGTTCTCTTGTGAGCTGCCTCCTGTGTGTCTAGCATTGGCCAGCACACATGAGGGGGTCCAGTGTTTGCTGCTTAACTAAGTAGCTTCTCAGGAAGTGTGGTCATAAAAAATGATAGGTGATTTAGAAGGTGAGACAGACACAAGGGATGTGTTGCACAGTAAATGCTCCCAGACATGCAATAAATGCTTATAAGCATGCCCTCTGTAATCAGCCCTCTTTAGAGAGTTTCCCTGCCTCATTGCTCTTGGTCTTTGGCAATGGCTACACCCACTGCCCAAGCAAGCAGTATCAGCTGTCAGCTGTCCCCTTGTCTTTTGGATCAGATTCCTTTACAGGGATCTTCCCATTGTTATAAGCTTCAAGAATTGGAGAATGCTTAATGAACACTTCCAAATTCTTCATAGCTATGAGGGGCCAGTGCAAAGGGCGGAAGGAGTTCTTCTGTGTCACAGAAATTAGAGCTGGAGCAGATCCAGCTTGCTATCCCCCCTTCCCCCAGCTTGTGGGTTATTGCAGAATTGTTCACAAAAATTCCCATTGCCTTGGAATTTGTCCAAGCCGAGGGCAGGGATCACAACACAACCTCTCAAGGGAAAAAAGGAAGGCCTGTTGCTTGAGATGGCTCAGAGCACTTTTGGTAGCCAGCCAAGGCAGCTATCACTCATGAAATCTGCCTTCCCCTCCAGCAAAAAGCCAACTGTATAGAACACCACATATAGAGCGCTAAGAATAGCACAGCGCTCCAAGAACATAGTGCACTTGGCCTGCATACAAGTGTGCAGGGCTTAACGAGTCTTTTTACTCTGAAAGCTGGGTGGGTTGGAACAAACAAACAGAAAAATATTTTCCCCAAGTAGCATGCAGAGAGGAAATGAGAGCAAGCACAAGAGAGCACCCTGGCATAGCATTCTCTGACCTGGGCTGCCTTTTCAGGGTATGAGTTGATTCCGCAGGCACCAAGGCATGCCTGTAAGCCCTACAGGGCAGACGCCCTCACCCCAATCATTGGCTTAACATTCACACCAGGCTGAGTAAGCCCCAAAAGTCCTGCCATTGGCTCTGACAGGAATTGAAACCCATCTTCTCCACAATAAATATTTGATTGACAGATTGGCTTCCTTCCTATAAGTATAGAAAGCGAGGGCAGGTTCCATCCAAAGCCGCAGTTCTGGGTGATGAGAGCTCTGAGAGCCCAGAAAAGACCCTGAACCACATCCCACTGTTTGTTGGAAGAAGAAACTCATTTGTGGGTCTGTTCATAAAAGAGTCTGGGAAGATAGTCTCCTTAACAGTGTCTGGATGTAACAGACTATGGGCGGCTTTTACTTTATAACTTTCTATATTGTCTGAAATACAGAATATTAAATATTGAGTTAATATTATATTTACTCAATGTTACTTTTTTTTTTTTTGAGACAGGGTCTTGCTCTATTGCCCAGGCTGGAGTGCAGTGGTGTGGCTCACTGCAGCCTTGAACTCCCAGGCTCAAGCAATCCTCCCACCTCAGCATCCCAAGTAGCTGGGACTGTAGGCGCAGGCCACCATGCGCAACTATTTATTTTCTTTCTTTTTGTAGAAATGGGCTCTGCCTGTGTTGCTCTAGCTAGTCTCAAGCTCCTGGCCTCAAGCAATCCTTCCGCCTTGGCCTCTCAAATTGCTGGGATTACAAGCATAAGCCAATGTGCCTGGCCTCAATGTTACTTTTATGATCAGAAAAACGGCCATCTTATTTGGAAATTATTTTCCTATTCTCAAGTGGGCAAATAGGAGAAGGTTTCAGGCATTTGTTTTGTCTCTGGGAGGGAAGGCACAATGAGGTGGAGTGGACAAATTGCTGAGGCCTTTATGGACAAAGATTCTAAGAAGAACAGGCTTTGGCCATCTCTGGATATTCCCATTCTGCTCCCTGCCACCAGAGAGCAAATGTCGTAGGTCACCACACATCACCAGTCTCTTGCCTAGCTAACCGTAACTCATTCTTTAGTTCTCCTTGAAGGTGTCACTTCTTCCAGGAAGCCATTTCTGTCCCTCCCGAGATGGAGTCCCATGTCCCTACCATTTGCTTCCAGGGCACCTTCTCACAGCACTGCATCATGGTTATCTGCTTATCTGCTGGACACCCCTACTCGACTGAGGTCCTTGAAGGAAGAGAGAGTGTATCACTCATCTGCATAGCCTTTGTAACTTAGTAAAAGTGCCTGACATGCTCACTAAACATTTACTGAGTAATTATTTATTTGGGGGCCTTTTACGATCAGAACAATGTGAAGGACACAAAGATGAAAAAGAAACCATCTGCTTCAAGGTACTTACAACTGAAATGTATCAAACAATTACCCAGAAAGTCAAGCACCAACTTAAGTGCTAAAATAGGGGTCCAAGCAACCAACTTTGAAGATTAGGAAGGTTTTAGATTCTGAATGTTTCTCATTCATTGTGTTTTTGAGTTCAGAATCCCCATACTGGAAGGCTAATATGGGGTATGTGCATACAATTTTAAGGACTCACGTTCTTACAACCTATATTAGAATTTGACGCACGATCTTTCTTCTGTCCTTCTTGCAGTTGCCCTAGGAATACATGCCACTTACTCTTAATTGACGTTTATGAAATACCTTGGCTTCATTTGCTGAAAGGCTCTAAGTGTTGAGCATTGTTACTATGTTACAATGGTTGTTTTATTATTAAAGCAGTGCCAAGGAGGTTACACAACAGCTTGGATCAGGAAGTGAAACAAGGGCGGTGATCCCACTGAAGCTACAGGGGATGGGGATTTGGGACGGTAAAATGTTAATTACCCAAGATGGAATGTGGGCTAGAGTCCAGCGTTGTGCTCCTGGAGATCATTTCGGTCGCAAAAGCTCACTGGCAATGGGTCCTAAGCGTCCTGCCCTCCTCTGGCTGAAATGTTGGATTCACTTCGATGAATGCTGCTATAGGGAAAGAACCCAGTGGCCACCAGCCAGGAGCACACGTCTTGCTCAGCATCAACTATCCTGGAAGATTTCCAGGAGCTGAAGGGCTGTTCTCTTTGCATGCAATAAATTATTCATTTCTAAGACGATTTATTCTGTCTCTCTCTTTAGACTTGATTTCTCCTAGTTTTCCAGCTCTTGAGGACTCTCTCCAAAGAATGAGTTGTAGATGGTTGGTCAGGGGTTGCGAGTGGTGCCTAGGCTTCGCATAAAAGGAGGCAGAAATGTCTACCTTAAAGGGGAGAGGAATGGGTCCTGGGGAGGAAGATGTGGTGGAGGCAATGACAACCTTTCCATAGTAAGTCCCCAACAAAGTCACTTCTAGAAACTGACTGAAGACTTTGAGTTCCAAATGAAACGTTTTTAAGATGCTAGGTTGGCTGACAAGTACATCGTCTAAGGTGGAGGCACTAAAGCATAATAAAAAGAGTGAAGTCTCTGCAGTTTGACCCAGGACCAGATGCCAGGCCCACCAACGACTCTGTATCTGGATGACCTTGGGCAAGTTTTCTAAGCTCTCGCCAGCCTTAATTTCCCATCTATAAAAACTGGATACTGCATTACTCCCAGGTTTAACCAGATAATGTTTGTGAAGAAAGCAGCCCAATACTTGGCACAAAATAGGCAAGGGAGTCACTATTATCGTCAACTACTGGCCAAACAACCAGAGTTGACCCCAAATCCCCAGTAAACAATTAACCGTAGCAGAGCGAATCCGGATCTGACGCACCTATTTGCCCAATAAGGTGCCAGGAAATAACACAGTGGAGTCAAACCAATGGTATTAGCCCTTGTTGATGGACGGGCTTTCTTGCTGTTCCACCAATAGCTTGAAGATTTGACTGGGGAGTGACATCCTGACAGTCCAATGACGCACAACCAGCCCACACTCAGCACTTCGGAGGGGATAAATCAAGGAGCCGGCACGTATGGATTCCGTTATAGGGCAGTACTGGTTGGAGAGAGGAGCTTAGGGAAACAGCGCCGAGGCAAGGCACTAATGAGCTAAAAATAAAGAAAAAAGACGATGGTTGCGCCAAGCGACCTCGGCCGCCATCATGCTCTAATTTCCCCTGAGTCTCTCTGGGTCCTCGACCGAGGAAGCGGCCTCTGGGATGCTGAGGGGGTGTGTCCCCACATGATTGGCTCAGGCAGCTCAGCCAATCCTAGCTCGTTAAACGGGAAGCACTTAACCAATGAGGGGCGAAGGCAGCAACGAGGAATTGGAGGGGCGGAACGACAGCTTGACGGGCACAAAAGCCAGCCAGTGAGAGCCGGAAGCATCCTCCCTGCGGCCAATGGAGTGGGGCTCTGGGCGGGCCCCCGAGTGTTTGTGTTGTGGTTTTGGGGGAGGGATGCGGAGGGGAAAGTTTGTTTATTTTGTTTTTAGTTTTTGGGGTCCCCGTGCTGCTGCAAGGCGAAACGGGAGGGAGTGACCCCTGCGCCCCTCAGTCCCCCCTACGACGTCGCCTCCATAGTCTGCGGAGAAGCGGAGACTGCGCGCCTCGCCTCACAGCGAAACGCCGCGCACTCGGAGCCGGCACGGCTCGGCGGTGAGTGAGGTGCGGCGGCCGCGCCGTCCTTCCCCTCCCCCGCGCCCCGCCGGGACGGAGCGGGGCGGCCGGGGGTCGGCGAGGGCGCCCCCGGGGGCGCGCGGCGCGGCCCGGGGCGGTGAGCGGAGGCGCGGCGTGTGCGTGTCCTCGCGAGGGAGCGCGCGTGGGGCGGGGAGCGGGCCGGGGAGGGGGCGTGAGCGCGCGCGGGGCTGGTGCGGCCGGCGGCGCTGAGCGCGCGCTCCGCGGGAGCGGGCGCCGCCGAGATTTGAGTCGAGGGGCGGGGAGGGACTCGGGGCGACGTCCGGCGCGCGGGCCGGGGCGCCCCGAACGGCCGGGCAGGCACTGGCGGGCGCGCGCGCGGCTCCGGGCGTCACGCGCCAGCAGGTGTGAGCTGGGGGAGGGCTTCCGGGTGGGCTGGCCCGGCCGTCGAGTTCGCTTCCCGTCTCCGGGGGGCCTCGGCGCGGGGACACCTTCCCGGCCCGCGGAGGCGCGTCCGCCCCTGGCTGGCGGTGGCAGAGGGAGGCGTCAGGCCTCGGATCCTCGGGTCCCTGCGCAGCGTCCCGGCCTGTGTGCAGGACCTGCGTGACAAGGTGAATGCGTTCCACACCCCTCGCCAGGGCCCTGCGTGTGCGGCCACTTGGGGAGGCGGCTCAGACTCTGGACAAGGAAACGAGGGGCACGGAGAGTGTTTTTACACCTTCCCGTGGTCCGGTGCCCTTCAGTTCCAGACTACCGGTTTATTCGGCTGTAGAGGCTGGACATCCGATCCAGCGAGACACGCTGTAGTGGTTAAAGACGTCCAGTAACGGTCACCTCTAGTCAAGCGCCTTAAGGACCAGCTTATTCTGAATTCTTTGGAATTCAGGTTACCAGCCTGGGACTTTAAGTTCGTGCTTTCTCATGTGTTTTGGCTGTTTTATTACTTTTTAGCATCAGTGCTAGAGATTGAACGAGAGGATGGTGAATTTCAAGTTGGTCATTTGTATTATAATTTAAGCAAAATTATACAAAATTGGTCAAAGATATTTCTTCATAGTGAATAAAACAAGCCAAGAATCAGTGAATGAAACATTAGTGCCCCCACCAACAGTTAAGTATATATATAAAGTGTGTAGAAATGATAGACATTAGCATTTTGTGAAAGTTTACTAATAGAGGTTACTTCTCTCTTCGCTGTGGGAGATTTCAGTAGTATAAGGTTTCTCTTGATTTGGAGAATCATCAGTGATCTTGGCTTCGAAAGTACAGATGTGTTTTGGGTAGTGTTGTGTAAATGCCTCTTATAGAGCGGAACTTTTAGCGCATTGTCTCTACAGCGCGCAGCATTGCTGTAGGCAGGTAGTGGGAGGGCTGTGTAGTGCCCACTTGCACGAAGGCACACTCACCAATATCCAGAATACAAATCAGACTGGCTTGTCCCACGTGGGACGTGGTGATGATGATAATAATACTTTTATATTTTCTTAGTTCTTTACTATTATTAAGGGCTTATCCCAAACACCATTATTTGAGCAGAGTGGTTTCTGATAGGAATTCCGTAGCTGCTTTTCTGTGGTAACATATAAATGTCATGCCCTTGAAAAAGATTTCCCTCATTCAAATGGAAGCACTTAAATTTTTTTTTTTTTTTTTGAGACAGAGTCTCAATTTTTTTTTTTTTTTTTGAGACAGAGTCTCAAAGATTGTGCCAGGCTGGAGTGTAGTGGCACAATCTCGGCTCACTGCAAGCTCCGCCTCCCGGGTTCACACCATTCTCCTGCCTCAGCCTCCCGAGTAGCTGGGACTACAGGCGCCCGCCACCACGCCCGGCTAATTTTTTTGTATTTTTAGTAGAGACGGCGTTTCACCATGTTAGCCAGGATGGTCTCGATCTCCTGACTTCATGATCCGCCCGCCTCGGCCTCCCAAAGTGCTGGGATTACAGGCGTGAGCCACCGCGCCCGGCCTTAAAAATGTTTTCAAGTCGGAGCAATACCACTTGTTGAAATGGCAGTAATAATATTAGCTAACATTTATTGTATGCTTACTCTATGCCAGCCTTTTGACATCTTTTCCCCTAATTCTTAGCCCAAGCCTGTGGGGTAGGTATCGTTACTATACTATGAATGAGAAAAGGGATCTCCAGGAGCCACACAGCTATGCAGTTCCAGGGCATAGGTTTAGTCTCAACGTCTGTCTGGTTTGAGAGCCTACGCGTGTTTCATTTTGCCTCCTCCTTGAATTATCAGAGGGAGAAAGGGCACTGAAAAGTAGAGAGGAATAGAAAAGGAGAATACCACTGATGATTAGGTTGCCCATACCTAACTTAAGAATTTAAATTAGGCTGGGCGCGATGGCTCACGCCTGTAATCCCAGCACTTTGGGAGACCGAGGCAGGTGGATCACTTGAGGTCAGGAGTTGGAGACCAGCGTGGCCAACATGGTGAAACCCCGTCTCTACTAAAAATACAAAAAATTAGCCGGGCGTGGTGGTGGGCGCCTGTAATCCCAGCTACTTAGGAAACCGAGGCAGGAGAATCGCTTGAACCCGGGAGGCGGAGGTTGCAGTGAGCCGAGATTGTGCCATTGCACTCCAATCTGGGCAACAAGAGCGAAATTCAGTCTCCAAGAAAAAAAAAAAGTTTACATTAAGCTCATTCTTGGCTTTTAGAAATTAATAACATTTTTGCAAAAGTACATCTTATTTCTTCCCTGTTTAATTTTTATAAAGATTGTAAAAATACATTTTAGCTCAAGAGTTCAAGGCTTTCAGAGCCCTTTGTGCAGATTGCTGCTCCAGTCCCGGGCTATTGTGTATTGTGATAAATTGTGTGCTCTTCCAGGGACTGTTACTCATTTTTCTATCCAGCACAGTGCTTGGCACATAGTGGGAACACAGAAAACGTTAGTTGACTGACATTTGATTCTAAGGAGCAGAATCAAAGTGTAGATTTCGGATTCATTTTAGTCGTTGAATTGTGCAGTTTTAGTTTAACAGGACAATAAGAAAATGACTAGTTCATGTGCAAAATGCGCGTTTTGAAAAAATACTTAAATGGAGCAACTCATGGGGTCTTGGAAAATTCTGTCAGTTTGCTGGATCTCTCCGTTCTACTATCATGTTTGAGCTTCTGTTCCTCTCACTTCCAGAGTTCTGAAAGAGCAGTCTATGCTGGCTGCTTCCCTTTCTTCACGTCTTCACTACACAGTCATTCTTTAAACTTTTGCAGCCAGATTGTTCCAAGGTTGCCAATTACCTAGTGGGTAAATTTCCCACATTGGCCGGGCGTGGTGGCTCACGCCTGTAATACCAGCACTTTTGGGAGGCCGAGTCAGGTGGATCACGAGGTCAGGAGATCAAGACCATTCTGGCCAATATGGTGAAACCCCGTCTCTACTAAAAATACAAAAAAATTAGCCGGGTGTGGCGGCGCATGCCTGTAGTCCCAGTTACTCGGGAGCCTGACGCAGGAGAATTGCTTGAACCAAGGAGGCGGAGGCTGCAGTGACCTGAGATCGCGCCACTGCACTCCAGCCTGGGCAACAGAGCGAGGCTCCGTCTCAAAAAAAAAAAAAAAAAAATTTCCAAAACTCTCTCTTCAGGTTTCATCCTTTTCTGTCTCCCTGCAGCAGTCAATCCTTTTTGACAATTCCTATCCATTTAAACATTTTTTTAAAAATAACATACAGTAATATTGACTTTTTATGTGTGTTTACAGTTCTGTGAATGTTCACACATGAATGTACACAGTCAGGATCAGAACGGTTCCATCACTCCAAAAAAAACTCCCTTGTCCCATCCCTTTGTATCACGGCTTTCTCTTTTCTTTTTCCTTCCTTCCTTCCTTCCTTCTATCCATCCATCCATCTTTCTTGTCTTTCTGACAGAGTTTCGCTCTGTCGCCCAGGCTGGAGTGAAGTGGCATGATCTCGGCTCACCACAACCTCTGCCCCGCTCCCCCCTCCCAACTTCACTGGGTTCAAGCGATTCTCCTGCCTCAGCCTCCCAAGTAGCTGGGATTATAGGCGTGCATCACCACGCCCAGCTAATTTTTGTATTTTTAGTACAAAGAGAATAGAAGGTAACATTTGTTCATTTATTTAAAACATTTATACACTGCTGGCTGGGCGCGGTGGCTAACACCTGTAATCCCAGCACTTTGGGAGGCTGAGGCGGGTGGATCACGAGGTCAGGAGTTCAAAACCAGCCTGGCCGGTCACTGTGTTAGCCAGGATGGTCTCGAACTCCCGACCTTAGGGATTTCACCATGTTGGCCAGGCTGGTCTCAAACTCCCACCTCAGCCTCCCAAAGTGCTAGGACACGGATGAGCCACCGTGCCCAGTCAGCTTTCTTAACTCTCTGCCTTTTCTTAAGTTTTTCTAACATCGTACTGTCCTCCTTCTTACCTTTTGGGGCGTCGTTCCTTTCCTGACTTCTATCCCGGAGATAAACACTAAGGTCAATTACTAAGGGCTCCTTTTATTGTTTTATTTTTCTCTTTTTCTAATCTTCATAAGTGTTATTTATGAGACTTAACTGTCACCTCTGTATATGCTAGCCTGCATATCCATGCCTCACCTCTCTTCCATACTCCAAAACAAAATCCATATTTACCTGCTGGCATTCTTTTTGTTTTGTTTTTGAGATGGAGTCTCGCTCTGTCGCCCAGGCTAGAGTGCAGTGGTGTGATTTTGGCTCGCTGCAACTTCTGCCTTCCGGGTTTAAGTGATTCTCCTGCCTTAGCCTCCCAAGTAGCTGGGATTGCAGGCGCACACCACCAAATCTGGCTAATTTTTGTATTATTAGTAGAGACAGCATTTCACCATGTTGGCCAGGCTGATCTGGAACTCCTGACCTCAGGTGATCTGCCCACCTCAGCCTCCCAAAGTGCTGAGATTACAGGCATGAGCCACCGCGCCCGGCTGGCATTCTTTGCTACTTCTTCGTACTCAGTATGTTGAAAGTCAAGTAATGCCTCCCATTAGTATTAGTTTCTATTATCGTTAGTTTCTATTAATTATTATTCTATAATTTATAATTATAGTTATTATTAGTGTTTTTCAGTGGTGCCATCATCCTCTCAAGTTTGCAACCCTGGAGCATTTGGAGGGCCATATAATAAACTCTGTTATTTCAAACCTGGAATCCTGCTACTTAGTTACGATACTGGCTGCTGCCCCTTTGCTACCAAGCCAGCCCGGATCCAGCGACCTGAGAGGAGCATGGGTAGTTGGAGCACTTAGAACCCCTTTAGGATTGTAGCATTTCCTTGTGGTCAAAACCCTTCTATGACTTCCCATTGCACTCAGGCCGGTTTGGGATTTTACTTTTTATCCTATGAGGCTCTGTGTGTTCTGGCCTCCCCAACCTTCTCTCACTTCTTTTACACCCCATCCTCCTCTCTGAGCATCTTAACTGCAAGGTCCTTCTTTCAGTTCCTCAAATTGCCCAAGCCTTTTCCGGCCTTAAGGCTTTTGTTTTTGTATACACCTGCACCACTCTCTTGGCTTGGGCTGTCCTTGCTCTGCTCCCCACTAGCTTTTACCCAGCTAACTTCAGGTTCAGATTAAATTGTCACCTCAGAAAGGCCCTCCTTTATGCTCTCGTCCCACTACCCCCATCCACCCTCAGTTAAGACTGGCAGAGCTCCTGTTATTTTTTCATAGCTGTCACCACAATTCATGATTCAGGACCATGTCTGTTTTGGTCCTGAATCTCAGTGTATCTCCAGAGCCTGGCCAAGTGTCAGGCATACAACAGACTTCCAGTAAATATTTGTAGGCTGTGTTGTAAGTCTGGGCTTTTGCTTTTGTTATTTATTGCTGTCCTGTAGTTTTTTTGTTTTTGGGTTTTTTTTTTTTTTGAGACAGAGTCTCGCTCTGTTGCCCAGGCTGGAGTGTAGTGGCGTGATCTCGGCTCACTGCAACGTCTGCCTCCTGGGTTCAAGCAATTCTTCTGCCTCAGCCTCTCGAGTAGCTAGGACTACAGGTGCGCACCACCACACCTGGCTAATTTTTGTATTTTTAGTAAAGATGGGGTTTCACCATATTAGCCAGGCTGGTCTTGGACTCCTGACCTTGTGATCCACCTGCCTCAGCCTCCCAAAGTGCTGGGATTACAGGCGTGAGCCACCGCACCCAGCCTATCCTGTAGTTTCTGGTAGCCTTGCCTACGTCCTCAGTGTCTCCTCTGGGACTTGATCTCACTGTTGGAAGTCTTGCCACAGTGAGATAGATTCCAAAATTGCTGAAGAGGACACCAATCCTGTTCTGAATTGTACCTCTGCATGGAATCCCTTATCACTAAGCCAGACTAGATCTAAACTAAACTGTGCTAAGCTCACTAAGTCCCACAAGTATTGCACCTTGGTTGTCCAGGCTGGGGTCAGCACTTGCAGCTGTTATTCTTCCGTATTTCAACCTGCTCTTGATTTCTTACTCCTCCCTCCACCCAGCATGGGGCTTCTAAAGACGTTGTATACTTTCCAGCTGAGCCTACTTACCCTTTGACATTTTGCAGCCTGTTGACATTGACAACTGCCTCCAGTGTCTCACCCCTACAGATTGCCCCCACACTGATCTTCCTGAAACAGTGCTTTGTTTATGTTTCCTGCTCCCTCCCAAATCGACCACAGGCACTACAGTTTGAAAGCCTTCAATGGTGTTTCATTGCCTAGAGGGTTTAAATGCTTTAGCTTGTTATTTAAAGTTTCTGGACTAGCACTGTCCAATAGAAATAGAATGTAAGCCACAAATATGAGCCACATATGTATAGATTTTCTAGTAGCTACATTAAAAAAGTAGAAAGGGGTGAAATTGATTTTTATAGCATTTTATTGACTTCAGTATATCCAAAATATTAACATTTAAATAGGTAATTGGTAAAAATTATTAATGAGATACTTTACATTCTTTTTTCTAGTTAAGCCTTTGAAATCTGGAGTGTATTTTTCGCTCATAGACATCTCAGTTCAGAGTAACCACATTTCAAGTGCTCAGTAGCCACATGTGGCTAGTGGCTACCATGTTGGACAGCACAACTCTAAACCATGCTCTCCACATAGTTGAAGGGCCATACCTGGGTACTTCCAGCCACTGGTCTTTTGGCTACTATTCCCCTCACCTAGAACCAGCTTCCTTATCCAAATGTGCCAACCTTCCTTGCCAAGAAACACAAGGGGACCCCAAGATCAAAGGGGGACCCTAAGATTAAAATTTAAGTTCTCGTCATATTCTCTGAAAACTTTTAACAATTTTTTTGGTGTCATTGTTTTTTTCATATAGTGATTACTTACGGTCTTTACCAATTTGCGTTATAATCAGAGGTAATATTACAATATTTAACAACAGATAAAGCATGAACCAATAAGAATCGGTGTCTGATGAATTAGAATTGATGGCAGCTGTACACAGCCTCAGTGTTCTCATTTGTGTGTACCTGCTTAATAGCAACGCTGTGTATTGTATTTTTTTTTTTTTTTTTTTTTTTTTTTGTTGAGGCAGGGTCTTACTCTGTCACCCAGGCCGGAGTGCAGTGGCATAAACATGGCTCATTGCAACCTCCATCTCCTGGGCTCAAGCAGTCCTCCCACCTCAGCCTCCTGAACAGCTGGAACTACAGACACGCACCTCCACACCTGGCTCATGTTTTGTAGAGATGAGGTCTCACTATGTTGCCCAGGCTGGTCTGGATCTCCCAGGCTCAAGCAATCTGCCTGCCTTAGCCTCCCAAAGTGCTGGGATTACAGGCGTGAGCCACCATGTCTGGCCTGTGTATTGTTGACTTCCCCATAGGACTGAGTTTCTTGAAGGCAGGCATTTATCTTACCCGCTTTGTATCCCTAGAACAGTTTCTGACCAGTTGTGTAGTAGTAGGCAGTGTGTAAATGTTTTAAATAAATGAACAAATGTTACCTTCTATTCTCTTTTATTCTTTTTATGTGCTATGCTTTGTCTTTCTAGTTAGAAACTGAAATGTAAGTCCTTTGAGTACAGAGATCATGAATTACGAAGGTGTATATGGTATATTTGCTTGGTTGTCTTCATGGGAGCATTTCACCATCCTCTGAATGTCGATTTGTGCTTTCTTTTTCCCCCAAACCACCTTATTGAGGTATGACTGACATACTAAAAGCTTTAGGTATTTAACATATACCACTCGATGTGTTTGGAGATTTTCTTTAAAAAAAAAAAAAAAAAACTATGTTTAGATATTGTTATGGATTTTCAGGTTGGGTCATTAATGAAGTTTGACAGTTTTAATAAGACTGACTTTCTTTGTGGTTTATAAACAGGCTCCGAAAGCAGCTTCAAAAGTAGAGCTCCAAAATAGTTCCATAATTATTGTAATTAATGCAAGTCTTCCAGAATTCGGGCAGAGTTGGAGAGTCTCTGAATTAGGAGTCAAAAGTCCTGGATTCATTTGTATTGCTGACATTTGCTTGAGTGCATACTGGGTGCCAAGCGCAGGAATGACTGAAAATTCAAAAACTACAGTATGGAAAAAAAAATACCCCTTTAACACACAGGTGAAATGGTTAATTCTTCCTAGGAAGATTGAATTTCTCTCTGTTCTCTTAGACTTTACTCATTTCTGACATAGACTACATTATATCATGTTTCTTAATCTGTCTCTCCTGCTGGATTGCAAATTTCTTAAGTGAGACTATTGTAGTCATCTTTGCATCCCTAGGCACATACTGTACTGTGTCTGTCATATCGTAGACACTCAAATGTTTGTTAAATAAATAACTTGAAGTAAGTTACTTAGCTTTGCAGAGTCTTAGTTTTTTCTTTTGCAAGTAGGAACTTCTCTACTTCAGAGAATTGTTGAAACTGTAGTGAGAATAATCTTTTAAAACTACAGATGTGTTCTGTGTATATCTTAATTTAAAACATTTACTTAAAAAGCAAGTGTAAATCTGATCATATTTCTCCCCTACTTAAAACTGTTAATAACTGGGTGCACAGGCTCGTGCCTGTAATCCCAGCACTTTGGGAAGCTGAGGTGGGTGAATATCTTGAGCTCAGGAGGTCAAGACCAGCCTGGGCAACATAGCAAAACCCTGTCTCTGCAAAAAATACAAAAATTAGCTGGGCGTGGTGGTGCCTGCCTGTAGTCCCAGCTACTCAGGAGGCTGAGGTGGGAGGCTAGCTTGAGCCTGGAGGCAGAGGTTGCAGTCAGCCGAGATTGCGCCACCACACTCCAGTGTGGGTGACAGAGTGAGACCCTGTCTCAAAAACAAAACTGTCAGTGAGGCCTAAAGACCCTGATAAGAACCTGAATTCTTGTTCTTGCCTTTTTCACTGACTGCCCAGTGAAGCTTCTGCCAGCGTCCCCTGCCTCTTTTCCTACTGTCTTCCCCCTTGCTGAGTGTACTCTCACCATACTGACCCTCTTCAAGTTCCGGAAATGTGTGTTCTTCACTACCCAAGGTCCCTTCCTTGAGCATACTATTCTCACAGCTGGAAGCCCGCAGGCCCAACCTTAGTTAATGCCTCTTCAATCCTGAGCTCAGTGTGTGTGTCTCCTCTTTAATGACTTCCTAATCACCCCGCCCCACATTAGAAGATATCAATTGTATAATTATTTAATTTGTATATTATATTTCCCCTTCTGGAAAATAGCTACATGAATAAAAATACTCTGTTTTATTCACATTTGTGTCACCAACATCTAGCACTGTGAGTTGCACATAGTAGGTCCTCAATAAATATTTTTTCAAATGAAGTTAAGAAAGAGAATTTAAAATAGAATTTCTAAAAAACCTCATTTTAGGCAAAGCTTGGTGGCTCATGCATGTAATGCCAGCACTTTGGGAGGCCAAGGCAGGCAGGTCACTTGAGTCCAGGAGTTCGAGACCAGCCTGGGTGACATGGTGAAACCCATCTCTACAAAAAAAAAAAAAATTAGCTGGTTGTAGTAGTGCGCGCCAGTAGTCCCAGCTACTCGGGAGGCTGATACAGGAAGGTTGCTTGAGCCCGGGAGGCAGAGGTTGCAGTGAGCTGAGATTGCACCATTAAGCTCCAGCCTGGGTGACAGAACAAGACTCCGTCTCCAAAAAAAGAAAAGAAATTATGCTTGGGCTTGACATGATGACGCTCTCACTAAACATTTGAATGCATAGACATGCTGAATGCTGTGCTAGGAGCCAGGACTACAGAGGTGGGGCGAAAGGAGATCTTTGTTCCCAAGGAATGCACAGCCAGGTGGGTGAGACAGATGTGGACACAGATGAGTGCCATTTAGTGTAATAAGTGCTGTAATAGACAGTACAAGAGGTGCTGCGGGGATGAAAAGGAAGGTCATCAACACGATGGGGAGGTTGAGAAAGCCTTCCCAGGGAAGGTGACACTCACACTAAGTTGTGGAGGAAAAGGGCATTTCCGGCAGAGAGAACAGCCTGTGTAGAGGCATGGGGGAGCGTTTTTAGTATGTGGAGAAGATGACCGGCACAGCGGTATGCTTTACAAGGCTGGCATTAGGGTACAGGGCTAATAGCTGACTTACAGTTGAACCATGATATGTCAGACTCAGCCTCTTACTCCACTGCAGTTTAGGACAGGAAATGACCTTAGAATAATGATCTGAATCTGTATGTTTGAATTCATAAAGGCATAGAGTACCATTCAGAGAAGATAATCATAAACCACAACGGCACTTGTCACTTCTAGTTAATATACTTGCTTCAGTGGTGTACCTATAACCATGCAAATGATGTTAGGTGGAATTAGAAAGTGGTGACTCATTTAAGCTTATCTGTAGGAGCAGAGAGTGTAAAGGAAGTGACTTCTAGATCACCTGAGGTGAGTGCTGATACCATCTCAAATGGATCAGACACTGAACCAGTGAAAGAGAGGAAATCAGAAAAGAGGACTACCCAGAAGGGCCTCTGGTATATGTTCTGGGAAAGACAGTTCCTACAGCTTGAAGGTCTTTACATATCTCCAAGTCTCCAAGTGGTTCACTGAGCTAACATTAATCTAATTTAATTCTCAACCAGATTTGAAAAAGGGAGATTAATTGGATAAAAATGTAGCCCATTTTCCTTCATTTACTCCTATTTGTTTTCAATGTCTCTTTCCTTTTCTGTCTCCTCCTATCCATTTTTCTCTCCCTGTTACTCTTAAGTAGTGTCTCCTTTCCCCATCCACCCCATCTCTAGCCATCTTCCATTCTATTTCCGCTAAGTTGCTTTCAGTTGCAGGATGTCCATACCTTGTTGGCTAAACTAATGTTTCTCAGCTTTGCATATTCAGAGCTTGATATTTTTCAAATGGGAAGAAGTGATTATGCTCTGGTAGTGCTGATTACACTCACAAGATGTTAATTGACTTACGGTAATGCCGATTTCTGCAAGTTCTGTGTATGTATTTGATCTACATAACAAAGGGCTAAGGAGCTAAGTGATGATAGGGAGAATGGTAGTAATGAATGCAGTTTAGTTTAAGATGTTTGGAAGAGAAAGGACAGAGAAAAATGGAAGCAGGACGAGGTTGAGAAGGCAACACCTTTAAGTAAGATAGAAAATCAGGCTGGGTGCAGTGGCTCATGCCTGTAATCCCAGCACTTTGGGAAGCCAGAGTAAGAGGATCACTTGAGGCCAGGAGTTCGAGACCAGCTTGAGCAACATAGTGAGACCCCCATCTCTACAAAAAATGTTTTAAACATCAACTGAGCATGATGGCACATGCCTGTAGTCCTAGCTACTCAAAAGGCTGAGGCAGGAGGATTGCATGAGCCCAGGAGTTGGAGGCTGCGGTGAGCTAGGATTGCATCACTACACTCCAGCCTGAGAGACAGAGTGACACCCTGTCTCAAAAAAAAAAAAAAAAAGAAAGAAAAATCTATAATCTATTAAAAGATATACAGGAAGCACCCAGCGGAGAAAGAAAAATGGAAGTTGCTTGAATAGAGATGGTAGCAGATTTGATGGGGCAAGGCCACCAGATTCCTCCCATGGGCACAGGTAGACTATATTCATTGGAAGTTCCTTGTAGTATCTCAACAGAGTAAGAAGTCGTCATGGGTTCTCATCTTGGATACCTTGAGCTCAAAATGAGTTTATGCTACTTTGTTTTGTCATGGCACCCACTAGAATGGTTTGCACATAGTAGGTGTAAACAGTCGAGATAAAGTCACAGGATTGAAAGATGATACTGATTATACCTTTAAACTTCTTACCAGGTAACACTATCTGTGGTTTATGACAAGGGAACATGTTTATTAATCCTCTTGTGAATAGTACAGTTACATTGAATTTTTTTCCTAAAGGTGTTGATTTATTAAATGTGTACATTGAAAATATGCCAGGTTTTTTTTTTTTTTTTTTGAGACAGAGTTTCGCTCTTGTTGCCCAGGCTGGAGTACAATGGCACCATCTCGGCTCGTCGCAACCTCCGCCTCCTGGGTTCAAGTGATTCTCCTGCCTCAGCCTCCCGAGTAGCTGGGATCACAGGCGTGTGCCACCACGCCCGGCTAATTTTGTATTTTTAGTAGAGACAGGATTTCTCCATGTTGGTCAGGCTGGTCTCAAACTCCTGACCTCAGGTGATCCGCAGCCTCCCAAAGTGCTGGGATTACAGGCGTGAGCCACCCTGCCTGGCCCAGAATTTTCATAATGGTGTTTTGGCATGTCTTTATTTAAAAAAATATATATACATATCTCGAGCCTCAAAAACTGGAAGTGGACCAGGCTTTCTAACCTGGAGACCCCCTGGTCAGCATATCAAGAGAAATGTCTTGGGTACTTGCTGGGTACAAGATTCTGATGTGGAGGAAGGCAATCCAAAGTAAAAGATGAAACAGCTGCTCTCTGAGGAGCTAAATGTCTTTCTCCTGTGAAAATCCTGCTGATGGTGTCTCATGCTCAGTAATATCCTTTTCCTGAGGAGAGGTTTTACTCAGATGTTATCTCTGTAGACCTTCTAAATAAAGACTTTCCTGTTAGATGTACCATGGACAACAGATTTTAAGTTAATATTTCACCATCTACTCTTTAGTCAATTTTGTCAACCTTCTTTTTACTATACAAGTTTTATATTTTTACACCAATATGTTTAAAATTTACAGTGTTTTATCTTGCATTTTGGCTCAATTGCCTTAAACAAAAGGCCACAATACTTACTGATTCCAGCTTAAACCATGCAGGTGGGTCTGTGGACTGCTCCAGAAAGAGGAGATCTTTTTATGCCCCATACCCCAGTATGTAGCCAAAAGGCTCAGAGGGGAAAATACTACTTTTACAACACCAAAAAACAAAAACAAAACATAAACGGTAAAAAAGGCTCTTGGTAGAAATCACAAAGAGAAGAAGAATGAATGAAGATGTAAAAGACATCACATTTCAAGCCAGTAAGGGATGGTTTGAAAACTTTAAAAAGGGGGCCCTCTACCTGTCCTCCAAAACTTGTGACTCAATGTGCTTTAGCACAATGTGCTTTAGCACAATGTGACACAATGTGCTTTAGCACATTGTGGCGCCAGCCTGCGCTTCCTGAACTGGCCAGAGCCGGGACTCAACCGATGCAGCACGTTAGCTTTGGAAGCAGACAGTCTCTAGACTGACTGACTGTACTGAAAAATGTGTATTTCATGTCATTTTCTCTTGCTTTGCTTTAACCTCCTATTTTTCAGACCTTGGGCTTATCATTCAGGGTGCTTTTCAGAAAGGTAACTGGAGGCTGGAGAGGGGCCCCTACTTCACCTCCGTCTGGAGAGGCGTGATGCTGTTGGATACCCTGTCGCTGGCAACCCACCTGCCCAGTACTTGAATCTTGAAATTCTGACACATTGAATCTGGAAACATTGCCATATCCTTTAGTTTTTCTTTTCTCTGTGGCTTTGGACTTTGACCTTCTCATTTTTATGTTCATGCCACCATCCTGAATCTAAATCATCCTTGGTCTATTTCTGGGTTATTTAAATAGCTCTCTAGTCAGTTGTCTTGTTTCTAGTTTCTCCCCAGAAAACATTTCCTACGTACTATTTTCTTTTCCTTTCTTTAGCAACCTGTCCTTACTGTGTGAAATCCAAACACCTTTGTTCCAGCCAAGTTCGTTTACTGCTCCCATTTATCAACTGTCATTTCTTTCTTTTGAATCTTTGCGTTCTGTACAATCTTTTCTCTGTTTTCCATATTATTTTCTCTCTTTTTGTCCCCATGCTCTATAAAGGTTTGACTTATGTAAAATTTTCTCCCTGCTTCTGGCTGCCAATTCATTGTCCCCCTTACTCTCAAAAAGCCTTCTCGAAACTTTGTCTTCCTGAAAGCCTTTCTTAAGTAACGCCTCCTTCATTTGGATATAGTTTGTTCTTACTGATATGATTGTGATGATAATGAATTACGTAGACTTTGCTAATTGCATTCATTAGTTCTAATGGCATTTTTATAGATTTCGATGTTTTTTTAAACAAATATATCATTTACAAAGAAAGACAAATTTACTTTCCAGTCTTTGAGTTCTAATTCATACCTTAATGTCCTGGCTAGTACTTCGAGTACCATGCTGAACAGAAGTGATACGAGTGGGCATTCTTGCTTTTCTCCTGTGTCTTAGGGAGAAAGTATTTAGTCTTGTATCACTAACTGTGGTATGATCTGTGCGTTTTCATAGTTGCACTTTATCAGGTTCCAGAATTTCTCTTTTAATCCTAGTTTACTGAGAGTTTTTAATCAGGAATGGAGATTGTTTCATTGGATGTGCTTTTTAAAATATATTAAAATATGTTTTTTCTTTTTTAGTCTGTTAACATGGTAAATTATTTTGACTGACTTTTGAACATTAAACAACCCTGGATTCCTGGGATAAGCCCCATTGGTCATGATAGAGTTTGGTTTTTTTTTTTTTTTTTTTTCCCCCCGAGACGGAGTCTCGCTCTGTTGCCAGGCTGGAGTGCACTGGTGCAGTCTCGGCTCACTGCAACCTCCGCCTCCCAGGTTCAAGCGATTCTCCTGCCTCAGCCTCCTGAGTAGCTGGTACTACAGGCACACACCACCATTGCCTAGCTAAGTTTTGTATTTTTAGTAGAGATGGGACGGGGTTTCACTGTGTTGGCCAGGCTGGTCTCAAACTCCTGGCCTCGTGTGATCCACCCGCCTCGACCTCCCAAAAGTGCTGGGATTTCAGGCGTGAGGCACTGTGCCCGGCCATCATTTTTTTTTTCTTTTTTTTTTTTTTTAATTTAGCAAAAAAAGTTTTAACATAAAAAATGCACATGACTTTTTTTTTTATTATTTTTATTATTTTTTTATTTTTTTGACAAAAAGTCTCACTCTGTTGCCCAGGCTAAAGTGCAGTGGCACGATCTCCACTCACTGCAACCTTCACTTCCTGAGTTCAGGTGTGTGCCACCACACCCGGCTAATTTTTATAAATTTATTAGCGACAGGGTTTCGCCATGTTGGCCCACCTTAGTCTTCCAAAGTGCTAGGATTACGGGCATGAGCCACCATGCCCAGCCAACCTATGGATTATTTAGAAGTGTTATTTGATTTCCAAATACTTGGAAGTTTCTACATATCTTTCTGTTATTGATTTCTACTTTAATTTTATTGTACCAAAGAATAGACTTTGTGTTTCTAGGGTCCCCAAGACTATCCCTAGGTTCAGTGATTACTTAGGAGAACACACAGGGCCCAGCATATAGTCATACTCATGACTAAGATTTATTTCAGTGAAAAAATACAGTGCAAAATTAAAAGGGAAAAGGTGCTGGTAGAAGCCAGGTGCCCAGGTGCAAGCTTCCAAAAGTCTTTTCCCAGTAGAACATACAGGACACACTTAATTCCCCCAGGAACAAGTTGTAACAATATGTGTGAAGTGTTGTCTACTAGGAAAGCTTGCCTGAGCCTAGGAATCCAGGCTTTTTATCAGGAGTTAGTTTGGTACCTAGCATGAACCAAAATTTCAGGCTCCCAGTAGGAAAACAGGTGTTCTGCATGAACCGCATGGTAGGTAGAGTTTAGACACAGTAAACCACCCTTATCAATTAGAGAATGGTGGAAACAATCCTGAAATTTAGATTCCCAGATGCCACCCAAGAGCCAACCTTTTTGCAAGCCGACTTTTCCAAGGATAGTAGCCTCTGGTTATGCTGTTTGAATTCTTTTTGGTACACTTTGTATAACTGAATCCTTTAAAATGTATTGAGATTTGTTTTATGGTACAGAATATGGTCTATCTAGGTAAATATTATTTGTGCATTTGAAAGGAACGTATGTCCGCTGTTGTTGGATTTATTATTATTATTTGAGACGGAGTTTTGCTCTTGTTGCTCGGGCTGGAGTGCAATGGTGTGATCTTGGCTCACTGCAACCTCCGTCTTCCAGGTTCAAGCGATTCTCCAGCCTTGGCCTCTTGAGTAGCTGGGATTATAGGCATGCGCCACCACGTCTGCCTAATTTTTTTTTTTTTGTATTTTTAGTAGCGACAGGGTTTCACCATGTTGGCCAGGCTGGTCTCGAACTCCTGACCTCAGGTGATCCACCTGCCTCGGCCTTCCAAAGTGCTAGGATTGCAGGTGTGAGCCACTGTGCCTGGCCTGGATTTAATATTTTATAAATGTCAATTAGGTCCAGATGGTTGGTAGTATCTTTACTAGTTTGCTGTTACTTGCTCATATATTATTTATTTTTCTTCTTTTTCTGCCTTCCTTTTCCCTATTTTTAAATTTCATTTTATCTTCTTTTTTGGTTAATTAGCTGTATTTCTTTGTGTATTATTTTAGTGATTTATAACATGCATCTTTTACATACCACAATCTATCTTCAAATAGTATAGTATCACTTTCGTTATAAGAACTTTACAATTAGGCTGGGCACGGTGGCTCACACCTGTAATCCCAGCACTTTGGGAGGCCAAGGTGGGTGGATCATCTGACGTCAGGAGTTCGAGACCAGCCTAGCCAACATGGTGAAACCTTGTCTCTACTAAAAATACAAAAATTAGCTGGGCGTGGTGGTGGGCGCCTGTAATCCAAGCTACATGGGAGGCTGAGGCAGGAGAATCGCTTGAATCTGGGAGGCGGAGGTTGCAGTGATCTGAGATTGTGCCATTACGCTCCAGCCTGGGCAACACAGCGAGACTCTGTCTCAAAAATAAAAAGAAAACTTTACAACTATATGTCTCCATTTCAGCCCTCCCAGGTTTTGTATTATTGTTATGCATTTTACTTATACGTATGTTATAAATCCCACAATATGTTATTTTTTAAATTTTACTTTATTTATTTATTTTTTGAGATAGAGTCTCACTCTGTTGCCCAGGCTGGAGTGCAGTGGCGTGATCTGGGCTCACTGCAACCTCTGCCTTCTGGGTTTAGGCAGTTCTCCTGCCTTAGCCTCCTGAGTAGCTGGGATTACAGACGTCCACCACCATGCCCAGCTGCCCAGCTGATTTTTGTATTTTTACTTGAAATGGGGTTTCACCATGTTGGCCAGGCTGGTCTCAAACTCCTGACCTCAGGTGATCTGCCCATCTCGGCCTCCCAAAGTCCTGTGATTACAGGTGTGAGCCACTGCCCCTGGCCATATATTATTATTTTTGTTTTAAATTAACCATTTGACGAACAACCAGACTATTTTCAAAAAGGGCTGCACCATTTTACAATCCTACCAGCAGTATATGAGGGTTCCAGTTTCTCCAGATCCTTTTCATTGTCTGGCACTTTTATTGTCAGCTATCCTACTGGGTAGGAAATGGTATTTTCATTTGCGTTTGCCTGAACGCTAATGATTTTGAGCACGTTTTCATGCACTTATTGGCTATTTGTATATTATTGTTGGAGAAATATCTATTCAGATCCTTTGCCCATTTTTAAATTGGGTTACTTGTCTTATTGTTCAATTATAATATTTCTTTATATATCTAGATATAAATCCCTTTTTAGACACGTTTTGTGAAATTTTCTCCTAATCTGCAGGTTGATGCACTAAACTTTTAATTTTGATAAAGTTCAGTTTATCTTTTTTTTTTCTTTTGCTATTTTTGCTTTTGGCATATCTATGTAGACTTTGCTTAACCTAAGGTCACAATGATCTAATTCTATATTTTCTTCTAAGATTGTTATAGTTTTAACTCTTACATTTACATCTCTGATCTATTTTGAGTAAATTTTTGTGTATGGTGTAGGGGAGGAGTCCAACTTAATTCTTTTGCATGGGGATATATAGTTTTTCCAGCCCCATTTGTTGAAAAGACTATTCTTTTAATTCATTTAATTATCTTGGCAACTTTCTTGTGAAATTGGCTGTAATTGAGGGTTTATTTGTAGATTCTCAATTCTATTCCATTGATCTATATGTCTGTCTTTATGCCATTACCACAATACACTGATTATTGTAGTTTTGTATTACGTTTTGAGATTAGGGAGTTTGAGTCCTCCAACTTTGTTCTTTTTCAAAATTGTTTTGGCCCTTCTGGATCCCTTGAATTTCCACATGAATTTTAGGATCAGCTTCTCCATTTCTACAAGGAAGTCAGTTGAGATTGTGATAGAAATGTGCTGAACTTACAGATCAATTTGGCAAATACTGCCATTTAAACAAAATGTTGCTCTATGAACATTTGCTGCTTTTCCATTTATTCAGATCATTTTTAATTTATTTCGACGTTTTATGGTTTTCAGCGTATAAGTGTTGCACTTCTTTTGTTAAATTTATTCCTAAGAGTTTATTCTTTTTGATGTTAGGTTTTTTTCTTTTTTCTTTTTCTTTTTTTCTTTTTTTTCGTTTTTGTTTTTGAGACAGGGTCTCACTCTGTCACCCAGGCTGGAGTGCAGTGGCACGATCACAGCTTACTGCAGCCTTGACCTCTTGGGCTCAAGTGATCTTTCTGCTTCAACCTCCTGAGTAACCAGGACCAGAGTTGCACGGCACCATGCCTGCCTAATTTTTTAATTTTTTGTAGAGACAGGGTTTTGCTATGTTGCCTAGGTTGGTCTCGAACTCCTGGGCTCGAGTGATCCTCCCGCCTCAGCCTCCCAAAGTGCTGTGATTACAGGCCTGAGCCACTGCACCCAGCCCAATGTTAGTTTACATATAATTGTTTTCACAATTTTATTTTTGGTTTATTCACTGCTAATATGTAGAAATACAATGGATTTTAATACATTAATCTTGTATCCTGAAAACTTGCTGAACTCATTTATTAGTTGTGATAGTTTTTCATTGGATTCCTTAGGATTTTCTTTATACAGGATCATGTCATCTGCAAATAGGGATAGTTTAAATTCTTCCTTTTAAGTCTAGATGCTCTTTGTTTCATTTTCTGCCTAATTGTCCTCCAGTACAATGTTGGCCAAAAGTGGCAAGCCTGGATATTTATCTTGTTTTTGGTCTCAGGGGGACCACTATGATCTTCAGTCATTTGCCACTAAGTATGATGTTAGCTGATTTTTTTTTTTTTAAGATGGCCTTTATCGGGTTAAGGAAGTTCCTTTTTACTCCTAGTTTTGGGTGCATTTTTATTAAGAAAGGGTATTGAATTTTGTTAAATGCTTTTGCTGCTTCTATTGAGATGATCATCTAGTTTTTGTTATTTATTCTACTGATGTGGTATATTACATTGATTTTTGTATATTAAGCTAACTTTGCATTCCTGGGATAAATCCCACATGGTGATGGTGTATAATCCTTTTTTTTTTTTTTTTCTTTTTGAGACAGGGTCTCACTCTGTCGCCAGGTGGAAGTGTAGTGGCACGATCTCGGCTCACTGCAACCTCTGGCTCCTGGGTTCAAGCAATTCTCCTGCCTCAGCCTCCCGAGTAGCTGGGATTATAGGCATGTGCCACCACACCCGACTAATTTTTGTATTTTTAGTAGAGACAGGGTTTCACCATGTTGGCCAGGCTGGTCTTGAACTCCTGACCTCAGGTGATCTGCCCACCTCGGCCTTCCAAAGTGCTGGGATTACAGGCGTGAGCCACTGCACCTAGCCTATAATCCTTTTTTATAGATTGCTATATTTAACTTGCTAGTATATTTTGTTAAGGATTTTCACATCTATGTTCATAAGAGATAATGGTCTATAGCATTGTTTTTGTATGTGTGTGTTTTTTCTTGTGTCTTTTTCTAATGAGGGTAATACTGGTCTCATAGAATGAATTGGGAAGTGTTCCCTTCGTTTTTGGAGGGTGGGGGTGGAGGGAGGGTTTGTAAATAATTGATATTAATTTTTCTTTAAATATTTGATAGAATTCCCCAGTGAGCTCTGTTGCCTAGGCTGGAGTGGATCTTAGCCCACTGTAACCTTGAACTCCTAGGCTCAAGTGATCGTCCTGCCTCAGCCTTCTGAGTAGCTAAGACTACAGGTGTGTACCACCACACCCAGCTAATTATTTTGTTTTTGTGGAGGTAGGGTTTTGCTATTTTGCCCAGGCTGGTCTTGAACTCCTGGCGTCAAGCAACCCTCCCACCTTGTCCTCCCAAATCGTTACAACTACAGCCACCTCTCCTGGCACTGGGGTTTGCTTTATAGGAATTTTTTTTATTATGAATTTAGTTTATTATAGGCCTATTCAGATTTTCTGTTTCTTACAAAGTCAGTTTTGGTAGTTTGTGTCTTTCTAGGAATTTGTCTATTTCATCTAGGTTTTCTAATTTGTTGGCATACAGTTCATGTCTGGTGATTTTTATTGGATGCTAAACTTTGTAAGTTTTATATTATTGGATGGTGGATCTTTGTGTATCTCTGTAAATATTATTGAGCTTTGTTCTGGATCGACGCTGTTTGATCCATTTGGGTGTTGCTTTTAAGCTCTGTTAGATGGAAGCAGAACAGTACTTTGGATTAATGTTCTTCACTACTGAAGCAACTGAATCTTCTGAGTCTTCTACTTAGTGCCCCACGAATGATGGTTTTTACTCTGTCTGGTGAGATTAGGCACAATTCCTGGCCCCGTGTGAGTTCCAAAGATTGTTTCTTCTAATCATTTTGGGTAGTTATTTCCCCAGCTTAGGGCAGTTTTCTCACATAAACGTGCTGTTTTTGAACTCAGCTGAATACTCAGAGGGTCTCCTACAGATCTCTGGAGTTCTTTCTCTGTGCAGCTCTTTTCTCTCTTGGTACTACTGTATGCTGCAAATTCTGATTCCTTGGCCTTTTCAGAATCTAGCTCTGGCTCCTCAAGTAAAGGTATTCCTCTGAGTTCCCCCTGGGTTTCCCTCCCTGTTCTGTGACTGGGAAACTTTCCCTAGGCAGCAAGCTAGGCCAGTCATAGGCCACCTTCTTCATTTGCCGTGTCTCAGGGATCACATCACTGTCCCATGCTGCCTGTGGCCAGTATCTTAAAAACTGTTTTATATATTTCATCCAGTTTCTTAGTTGTTTCAGGTATGAGGATAAATATTGCTCTCGTTACTTCACCTTTTCTGGAAGCGGAAGTCTTGCCTTTTCTTAAAATATCAGGAATTCTTTAGGGGTTGCTTCCAGAGTATGAGATATTCTTTGGAATTTCCGTAGGGGGAATATCTTCCTTCTTTCAGGATGGATTTGATTTTGAGGAGCAACCAGGAGTATGTTTTCAGGTCTGGATATGTGATTTCTCATCTGGGTAATACTGTTTGAGGTCCAAAATGAGCTCAGTGTAATAAGGCAGCTTTCCTTGTGTGATTTGTAAACTAGTTTGGAAACAAAATAAGAGTTGCAAAGTATTTTCATTGGTAACCTGATTAAGATAAGGATAAAACTTCTTAGGGGTGTGTATCTTGAAAAATAACTTTAGTTTGAATGCTTCTCTATATTTGCTGGTATATATTATTGTTTATATTTAAAATTTGAACTGAAGTATTTAAGAAAGCTTGGTTTTATGTGATAGTCTCCCTCCAACTTGATTATAAACTTACTGATATTTGAATACTTTTGTACATTTCTCCTTACTACATTGCACTCTTAACTGTGGAAGCTTCTTTTCTTTTTTTTTTTTTTCTTTTTAAATTTTTTTTGAGACAGAGTTTCACTCTGTCACCAGGCTGGAGTGCAGTGGCATGATTTCATCTCACTACAACTTCAACCTCCGAGGCTCAAGTGATCCTCCTACCTCACCTTCCTGAGTAGCTGGGATTACGGGCACATGCCACCATGCCCAGTTAATTTTTGTATTTTTTGTAGAGATGGAGTTTCGCCATGTTGCCCAGGCTAGAATGTGGAAGCTTGTCACATCATGATAATCAACTAATTAATTTCTGTGTAAAGAAACTGATATCACTCTGTCAAAAATATGTTGCATGATACAAAGTATGTAAAATTGATTTTTGTTACCTGTACAGTTTATAATGCCTTCGTAAGTTTAATTAAAAGCTATTCATATACGATGTTGAATTCCAGTAGCATGAGCGCATATCTGTATTTGTCTTGTACTGTGGGAATTATGTGAATGCCCTAGTTCAAAGAGATGCCTTGACTCTGGATATATTAGGGTTCTCTAGAGAGACAGAACCAACAGAATATATATTTGTATGGATACATGAGAGAGGATTTAGTAGGAGAATTGGCTCCTGTGATTATGAAGGCCGAGAAGTCCCACAATAGCCCGTCTGCAAGTCGGAGAACCAGAGAAGCTCAGGCGTGTCTCAGCCCAAGTTGAGAGGCTTAAGAACCAAGGAAGCCAGTGGTGTAACTTTCAGTCCAAGGCTGAAGGCCTGAGAGCCCCAAGAGGCTGCTGGTGCAAATCCCAGAGTCCAAAGGCTGAAGATCGTGGAGTTCTGATGTTCAAGAGCAGGAGGAGGAGGGAATCCCATCCTGGAAGAGACAGAGAATGCACCCTTCTTCTACAGGGTTTTTCCATTCAGGCCCCTAGCCAATGGGATAGTGCCTGCCCACATTGAGGGCAATAGTCTCACTCCCCGACTTACCTGTCAGTCTCCTCTGGAAACACCCTCCCAGGCACACCCAGAAGCAATGCTTCACCAGCCATCTAGGGATCTCTCAACACAGTCAAGTTGATACCTAAAATTAACCATCACAGTGGATATGTTATGTCATTAACCAAAGAATGTCCATAGAACCAAGTAGATTGGAATATACACTCTATCATATGCCACCTTAATCACTGGGTCAAATTCTTTTTTGGGGGAAAGAGGTTAAAATTGTTTTTCCATAGTCTTTGTTTTCCAGCACCCTAAGATCCTATTAACCTCATCCCACCCCCAATTCAGAAAGATAAGGACTTTAAAAAAGTATTCTTATGGTTTGAATTCTTAGATTTTTAGCTTTCAGCTTTTATTTTCTGTAATTTCATCTTTTTAGTTAACTGTATAGTTTCACAGTTCCTTTATAGTGAATAGTGAACCTTATAGTAGATAGAGTGGATACTCTTTTACTTACGTGGTTTGTTCTTTTGTTTTGTTTTGTTTTTTGAGATGGAGTCTTACTCTGCTGCCCAGGCTGGAGTGCAGTGGCGCAATCTCGGGTCACTACAACCTCCGCCTCCTGGGTTCAGGTGATTGTCCTGCCTCAGCCTCCTGAGTAGCTGGGACTACAGGCACGCGCCACCATGCCCAGCCAATTTTTGTGTTTTTAATAGAGACGAGGTCTCACCATGTTGGCCAGGCTGGTCTCGAACTCCTAGCCTCAGGTGATCCTCCTGCCTTGGCCTCCTGAAGTGCTGGGATTACAGGCGTGAGCCACCGCGCCTGGCCTCTTGGTTTGTTCTTTATCTGGATGTTCTTGTTTAGTATCTTAGTAACTTTTCGTTGTCTTGTTTTCTTTTCATTTTCTTTCAATTCTGTGTTTTGTTTAAGTAAAAGGAAGGTTACAACAGGAAAATCTTCTTTTATTTTTTATTTCTACAGATGAGGTCTCGCCGTGTTGCCCAGGCTGGTCTCAAACTCCTGGCCTGAAGTAGTCCTCCCTGCCTCAGCCTCCTAAAATGCTGGGATTACAGGAATGAACCATTGCACCTTGCCAGATTTTTCTTTTAAATCCATATATATGAGGTGGACTTTTTACCTTGAAATTTGCATTGAAATTTTTAATTTTTATTTTTGATTAATTTAGAATTCCATACATACTATTTTTATGACCACATATTTTTCATGGAGAGTAAAAACCACACTTTAGTAAACAATAGTGTAAAGGTAGCATTATCCTTTGTTTCCAGGACCTAGCCACAAATTTGCTATGAAAGTTTTTTGTTTTTGAGACAGTATCTCGCTGTCTCGCCCAGGCTGTAGTGCAGGTACAATCATGCCCCACTGCATGCAGCCTCAAATTCGTGGGCTCAAGCAGCCCTCGCACCTCAGCCTCCTGAGTAGTTGGGATCACAGGTGCACACTACCAGGTTGACTGATATAAAATTTTTTTTTTTTGTAGAGCTGGGGTCTCCCTATGTTGTCCAGGCTGATCTCAAACTCCTGGGCTCAAGGGATCCTCCTACCTCACCCTCCCAAAGTGCTGGGATTACAGGTGTGAACTACTGCACCTGGCCTAAAAGTTGTTTTAAGGAATATTTTGTGTTATTTTTCAGTCTTTAGTTTCTTTGAGTATAACTTTGTAAGAGCTTTTTTTTTTTAATTTTTTTTTTTTTGAGATGGAGTTTCGCTCTCATTGCCCCAGCTGGAGTGCAATGGCGTGATCTCGGCTCACCGCAACCTCCGCCTCCTAGGTTCAGGCGATTCTCCTGCCTCAGCCTCCAGAGTATCTGGGATTACAGGCATGTGCCACCATGTCTGGCTAATTTTGTATTTTTAGTAGAGATGGGGTTTCTCCATGTTGGTCAGGCTGGTCTTGAACTCCCAACCTCAGGTGATCCACCCACCTCGGCCTCCCAAAAGTGCTGGGATTACAGGCCTGAGGCACTGCGCCCGGCCGAGAGCTTCTTTTAGACAGAAATAATTAGGGGTTCTTTTCTATACCACACATTTATTAAAAGAGATTTTCACGGCTATCAGTTATGAAATGAGGTTCCTATTTGGCTGGAGTGTTTCTGGCATGTTAGTTGTGTTGTAGGAGGTGGGGAGTTGGGAGGATTGGTGTATATTAAAAGAAAAAATTTTAACTAATTATGTTTTATGTAGGTACAAGTGTTGTATTTATGTTTATTAAAGTGTTCATTCTGTGCCTATTTTTTCGTATCTTCTAAAATACCCTTCATTGTAATTAATTATAGGTTGTTAGTTTTATGTCTTAGTTCTTGCTTTAATCTGGCTTTATAGTTTTTTTCTCTAAGAGAGACATTTGAGTTTTGCGTGTTCCGTGTGCCTTTGTCATTTATTCGTATAATAAAATCGATAAGTAACTGGGCTAAAGTATATAATTTTCATTTCTTGTAGCTGTTCTATTACTTGACTTTTATTTTGTGATTTAGTAACTTCTTGGATTTTGTGACTTTTTATTTGATTTGATTCTTTTAATGACTTAAATTGGGATTTATTAACTTTTGAAATTAATGTTCTTTGATACATCAGAAAATCTCATGCTGTTTTTCTTTAAACATAAAAAGAAAGGGTGAAGCTCGTTGACAGAGATCTGCTTTTTTAACTTTGTCTTCACTCCATTCTGATACCATCTGCTAAAGGCTGATTTCAGTGTTTCCTTCAGAAAGAAGTTAAAATAAGACTTAATGTTGAAGTGGAATAAAATATTGTAACTAATAATACAGTTATATCTTTATAGATATTCAAAGTAGAATATTTTAAGTTTGAGGAAAAGAATTAGTTCAAATTAATTTACAGGTATTTTAAGAAAAAAATGGTATATTTCAGGAAGGTTGACAGGATCATTTTAATAAAAACTCATTTTTAGGTTCACAATTCCTTATCAGAAACTCTTAAGGGCCAGATGTATTTTATAGCTCAGATTTTTTTTTTTTTGAAAACTAATAAGATGCACTTACCATATGTTATACAATGCCCCTGCAGGGTCAGAGGCAGCACTTCAGAGTCAAATACATTAGTATTTCAGCAGCCAAAGCTATGACTAAAGTCTAAAGTGGGTAGACTATAAATAGTTTCATGTCAGTTCAGGTCAGACCTTGCCACCAATTAAATTCCCATCAGGTTTCACCACCAATGAATTCCAGAAAAGTTTTGGTTTTCAGAAGTTTTTGGATTTTGGAATTGTGGGTAAGGGACTGTAGACTATTTACTTTCTTAGCTCTAATGTTTGCTAGCATTTGTTACTCTCTGAAAATGGAACCCACTTTCCTTTTTTTTTCTGCTACAGGATGTAAGATTAAATCTGTTCTTTCTCTATAGGCCAGTTAATAGAAATTAGGACACCTCTTCACAAAGCTCAATACCTTAGGCAGTTGCCACTGTCCCCTGATACCTCCACTAGATACTTCCTACTCCTTGCTGGCTTTATATGAAGGATCTCATAGTTCCCCTCTTCTCCTCTCTCCTTTCGGAGGTACCTCGTGTTAATAAATGCTAAGTAAAAGAGATTTAAAATGTACAGTACCTCATGTAATATCTATCCTATCTCAAATAGAAATGTTTCAGAAGGTGCAACATGCTTTCTCTGGACCGACTTTTCCTATTACCAGCGAATGTGGAAGCTTAAAAAGTAACGTATACTTGTGTGTCATTTGGACTTTGGTATTACCATAAGGGAATATATACTTATGATAACATGAAACTCCAAATGGTACAGAAGTATAAAGGAAAAGCAGAAGTTTTCTCTTGCCCTACTGCGCCCCTCACTCCTCCAGCTTCTGACCACAAGGTTTGGACCCTTTTAAAATAATTTTTTTCTTTAGCTCAGACATTCCAGGGGACAGTTTGGGGAATTCTGATTAGGCATTATAACCCCACTTGGATTGATTTTGTGTTCATTGTATGTTAAATTATGGAGATGGCCTTTTCTGTGTTAACTGGCAGTTATAGCTTTTATTTCTAGAGCGATTTGTTCAGATTGCATGGTTTTGAACTGTTAATTAAATACTTTTTGTTTGTTTCGAGACCGGATCTTGCTCCATCGCCCATGCTGGAGTACATTGGCGCGATCATAGCTCACTATAACCTCAAACACCTAGGCTCAGTCTTCCCACCTCAGCCTTTTGGAAAGCTGAGACTGCAGGCATACATCACTACGCCTGACTGATTTTTAAAAATCTTTTTGTAGAGACAGGGTCTCACTGTGTTTCCCAGACTGGTCTTGAATGCCTGGACTCAAGCGATCATCCAACCTCTGCCTCTCAAAGCACTGGGATTACAAGATACATTTTTTAAGAATATTAATTGTGACAGATTGAAAGTGTCTGAGTATTATTCAGACACAGAGATTGAAATATAAATTATTGATCTATTTAATGAAAAATAATTTTTAGGAGTCAAAAACAGCATATAATATATTTGACAGTGAGGTTTCCCTAACGGAGCGCTTACTTAAGAAACGGGGTGTTGGCTCATTCACCAAGTCAGTTGTTCTCAAGGTAAGCATGTGGGCAGTGGGATGCAGATGTCATCCTACTAATTATTCCCAAGGATGTTGTTGACATTATTTATGTTCTTAAATCCATAATAAAGAAGATCACGATGCATTTAAACATGAATGTCCTTTTTGGGAAAGTGTAAACTTTTGTCTTAATATGGAATCCACATTCTTTTATTGTTCAGTTCAACAAACTTTTATTGAGCACTAACTTAGTCAAGAACTGTCTTTGGCCTGGCAAGGTGGCTGAGGCCTGTAATCCCAGCACTTTGGGAAGCCCAGGAGGGCAGATCACCTGAGGTCAGGAGTTTGAGACCAGCCTGGCCAACATGGGGAAACCCCAGCTCCACTAAAAATACAAAAATTAGCCGGGCATGGTGGCACGTGCCTGAAATCCCAGATACTCAGGAGGCGGAGGCAGGGGAATCACTTGAACCTGGGAGGCGGAGGTTGCAGTGAGCCAAGATTGTGCCATTGCATTCCAGCCTGGGCAACAGAGCGAGATTCTCTCAAAAAAAAAAAAAAAAAAAAAAAAAAAGCTGGCTTCACAGTGGAGGTATAGAGCATTGGGACATAAGCTAGAACAAAAGATCAGAAATCACTTTTGCTTGTCATAATGAGGCTATAAGATATTTCCTTTCAAATGAGGGCACACGTAATAAGTATTGCCTGACATGTATTCTACATAAGGACATTCAGTCTCAAGTTGTTTGGTCAAGTCCCTAACAGGCAGTCACTCCCAGACTCCTATCCCCTACTGCCCCACACCCTACACATACATAGGGCCTTGGTTTTTTTTTTTTTTTTTTTTTTTCCAATCCTTATATTTAGAGCCATATATGTGGGACAGCAGAAATGGTCATTGGGATTCCAGGGTGCCTGTTTCCTAGCTGAGAGTCTCAGAGTCCTTGTTTTTGCAGAGTGTAATATAGAACACGTTTTTTGTTAAGTGAAGGTCAAGAACTCTTTGTCTTCCTTTAGGGACAGCAAGTCCTGTGGAGCCTTTTAGGATTCAGTACTCTGCATTAAACAGGAGCTTTTCTAATATGGCTGGAAACTGTTGGGGGTGGATTAGAGATTTTTAAGGATCTTATGGCAAGCTTTGGCTGGTAGAGTACAAGAATCTAGTGGTGTCTTTTATTGGGGTTTTGGGGGTGCTGGGAACTATGACATTACAAAGAGCCACTAATTGTTAACTGAAGGAAAAAATACTGGTCAATGAAGGGAAACTTAACTATAAAATCAACTTAGTAGAAATAAACCATTAAGTGGTACTAATATGGGCAGGCACAGTGGCTCACAGCTGTAATTCCAGCACGTTGGGAGGCTGAGGCAGGTGGATCTCTTAAGGCAAGGAGTTCGAGACCAGTCTGGGTAACATGGTGAAGCTTCATCTCTACTAAAAATACAAAAATTAGCAGCCAGGGCTGGGTGCGGTGGCTCATGCCTGTAATCCCAGCACTTTGGGAGGCCGAGGTGGGCAGATCACCTGATGTCAGGAGTTCGAGACCAACCTGGCCAACATAGCGAAACCCCAGCTCTACTAAAAACAAAAAACAATACAAAAAATTAGTCGGGCATGGTGGCGTGTGCCTGTAGTCCCAGCTACTCTGGATGCTGAGGCAGGAGAATCGCTTGAACCTGGGAGGTGGAGGTTGTAGTGAGTGGAGATTGTGCCACTGCACTCCAGCCTAGGCAATGAGAGTGAAACTCCATCTCAAAAAAAAAAAAAAAAGCCAGATGTGATGGCCTGTGCCTGTAGTCCCAGCTACTCAGGAGGCTGAGGCACGAGAATTGCTTGAACCTGTGTGACAGAGACTGCAGTGAGCTGAGATCACACCACTGCTCTCCAGCCTCGGTGACAGAGTGAAGGTCGCTCTGTCTCAAAAAAAAAAAAAAAAAGAAAAGAAAATGGTAACTAGTTCAAGCTAATAATTTAAGAGTAAATAAAAGGTATACATATGGAAAAACTATCTTTAGAGTGTATGAAATTAGTACATTTCAAGATGGTGGGCCAGGCATGGTGGCTCATGACTGTAATCTCAGCACTTTCGGGAGGCTGAGGTAGGAGGATTGCTTGAGTCCAGGATTCAAGACCAGCCTGGGAAACATATGAGACTTTATCTCTATAAAAAATAAAGAAAATGGCTGGGCGCGGTGGCTCACGCCTGTAATCCCTGCACTTTGGGAGGCCAAGGCAGGTGGATCATGAGGTCAGGAGATCGAGACCATCCTAGCTAACACGGTAAAACCCCGTCTCTACTAAAAATACAAAAAAATTAGCCAGGCGTGGTGGTGGGCGCCTATAGTCCCAGCTACCTGGGAGGCTGAGGCAGGAGAATGGTGTGAACCCTGGAGGTGGAGCTTGCAGTGAGCCGAGATCACGCCACTGCACTCCAGCCTGGGTGACAGAGCAAGACTCCGTCTCCAAAAAAAAAATAAAATAAAATAAAGAAAATTAGCTGGGCATGGTGGTGTGTGCCTGTATTTCCAGCTACTCGGGAGGCTTAGGTGGGAGGATTGCTTGAGCCTGGAAGGTGGAGGCTGCAGGGAGCCGTGGTTGTACCACTGCACTCCAGCGTAGGCAACAGAGCGAGACCTTGTCTCAAAGAAAAATACTGTTACCATAAAACACATGCAATTTCAGTCCTTTGAGATCTGTCATGATTTGTATGGTCTTCTTTGTGAATAGTTCTATGTGTACCTGAAAAAAATGTATGTTCTGCTATTCTTGGGTGTAGTGTGCTATTAATGTCAATTTAGCCAAGTTGATTGTTGGTTCTGTTCATATATATATATATATATATTTTTTTTTTTTTTTTTTTTTTTCTTACTGATTTTCTTTCTACATTGATATAATGTAGTTTCTGAGAAGTGTTGAAATATCCAACTATAATTGTGGATTTGTCTATTTCCCCTTTCAGTTCTGTTCATTTTTGCTTCATGCATCTTGAGCCTCTGTAACTATGTGTATATACACATTTAGGATTTTTATGTCTTCTCAATGAATTTAGCCCTTTGTAATTATAGAACGTTTCCTTATCCCTGGTAATATTTCTTATCCTGAAGGCTATATTGTGTGATATTAATATGGTCACTCCAGCTTATTTATGTATTTGTATATCTTTTTGTTTCCTTTTACTTTTAACTTATTCGTGTCTTTATTTTTTTAATGAATTTATTTTAGATAGTAGATAGTTGGATTTTTAAAGTCCAATCTTACCATCTTTGTTTTTTAATTGAAGTGTTTAGACCACTTACATTTATGTCATTTTCAATATGGTTGGGTTTAAGTTTATCATTTTGCTGTTTGTTTTCTATTTATCCCATCTGTTTTCTGTTTATTCTTTCCTCTTTTCCTGGCTTCTTTTTGATTACTTTTTTACTATTCCATCTCCTCTGTTAGCTATAAACCTTTGTTTTACTTTTATAACAGTTGCTTTATGGCTTAAAATATGCATCTTTAACTTATGCAGTCTGCCTTAAAATAATATGCCACTTCATTTATAGTGTAAAAACTTCAAAAAGTGCACTTTCATTTTCCCATTATATCTTTGGACTATTGTCATACATTTTACTTCGACATGTTAAATGTCCCACAATTCATTGTTACCAATTTTGCTTTTAATGACAAAAAGCCTGAAAAAGAAAAGTATTTTCCATTTACCCACATATTTGCCATTTCCAATGCCCTTTATTCTTTTGTTTAGATCTGAGTTCCCATCCGTATTATTTTATTTAGCCTGAAAAGCTTCACCGTTTTTTGTACTAAAGATTTCTTCTAGGCTGTGCACGGTGGCTCACGCCTGTAATCCCAGCACTTTGGGAGGCCAAGGCAGGAGGATAGCTTGAGCCCAGAAGTTCAAGACCAGCTTGGGCAACATGGCAAAAACCCATCTCAACAAAAAATACAAAAATTAGGCAGACATGGCAGCATACATCTGTAGTTCCAGCTACTCAGGAGGCTGAGATAGATCACTTGAGCCTGGGGAGGTTGAGGCTGCAGTGAGCCATGGTCATTCAGTGGGCCACAGATTTCTTCTAGTAGAGACCTGGTGGCAATTAGTTGTCTCAGCTTTTGTTCTTGAAAAATCTCTTTATTTTTCCATCTTTTTTGAAGGCTATTTTTGCTGGATATCAAATTTTAGATAGACAGTTTCTATCTTTTGGCACCTTAAAGATGCTTTTCTGTTGTATTGTTAAAGATCCCTATCTTGTATTGTTTCTTTCTTTTGTAGAGACAGCCTCTCTCCCTTTGCCCAGGCTAGTCTTGAACTCTTGGCCTCAAGCAGTCTTCCCACCTAAGCCTCTCAAAGTGGTGTGAGCCACCACAACCAGCCACTCAAAAGCAATTTTTATTAAGAGACTGAAAAAATGCTTTAATGAAAAGTCTTCCAGTAATACTGTAGTATGGATGCTTCATAAAAAAACTTTCCACTACTGTTTCTAAGCTTTACCTTTAGCTTGACAATGTGTATCTTTAAAGCCTTAAAAAATATCCACATACCCTGTGACCCAGCAATTCTTAGCTGGGTGCGGGGGTGTGCACCTCTAGTCCCAGCTACTCTGAGGAGTGAGTTTGGAGGATTGCTTCAGCCCAGGAATTTGAGACTAGTCTGAGCAAAGTACCAAGACCCTATCTCTAAGAAAAGAAAAGAGAAAAGAAAAGAAGAGAAAAAAAGAAAAAAGAAAAGGAAAGGAAAAGGAAAAGAAAAGAAAAGAGAGAAGAGGAGAGGAGAAAGAGGGAGGGAGAGGAGAGGGGAGGGGAGGGGAGGCGGGGCACTTCTTCCTATACAGTATCGTGCCTTGGAAACCCAGCTTCCTCAACCCCTACAAACCCTGAACTCAGGCTCCTCTGATTATTTCGCTCACGGTAGTCTGCATAGGTTATCTCTCCCATGCCATGGTCTGCAAAGTGCCCACGAGCAGAAAGCCAGAGCCTTCAAGGACTCACCTCTTTGGTTCCTTTCTCTCAGAAATCACAGTGCTAACTGTTCTTCACTGCCTGAAGTCATTGTTTCATATGTTTTGTCCAATTTTCTAGTTGTTTATAATGGGAGGGCAAGTCTGGTAGTAGTTGCTTCATCGTGGCCTGAAGCAGAAGTTGAGATCTCATTCAATTCCCACTGCTGACCTTTACCTTGCATATCTTTTCTTATAGTAACCATTAAAATTTTTATTTCTGAATCACACATACGGTGATTCAGTATTTTGCATTTGCTGGGCTACAAGCAGTTTTTCATTGCTTTTACTCTGTTTGATGGGACTTGAATACAGGTATCTTTAAAAAAAACCCTTTATTACACAAGTAATAAATATTTATTGTAGACAAATTCAGAACATACACATAGCCCATGATCACTGTAATCCTCTTACGCTGAGATAACCACTGTTAACATTTTGATGGCAGTCTTTTGTGTGTGTGTGTGTGTATATACACACTTGGAGAAGTTTTTTCATGTCAGTGGATACATACTGCATTGAGATCAGCTCTGCTCACTCAGTGTGTGCTGTGACTATCTTTCTGTGTCAGTAAGTAGACTTCATATTTAATGGCTGCACTGTTTTTCACTACATAGGTACTTAATTTCTCATACTGGTTGTAGCTTATTTTCAGTTTTTGATTAGTGTCAACAACATTGCAGTGAATATATTTGTACACCTATGTGTGCACACATCCATAGTTATTTTATTAGCTAAATTTCCATAAGAATTGCTGGGTCACAGAGTATGTGGATATTTTTTAAGGCTTTAAAGATACACATTGTCAAGCTGAAGGTAAAGTTTAGATACAGTAGTGGAAACTTCTTTCATGAAGCATCCATACTACTGTACTACTGGAAGACTTTTCATTAAAGGAGTTTTTCAGTTTCTTAATAAAAATTATTTATGATTGGCTGGTTTTAGTGGTTCACACCTAAAATACCAGCACTTTGAGAGGTGGGAAGATTGCTTGAGGCCAGGAGTTCAAGACCAGCCTGGGCAACATAGGGAGAGAGCCTGTCTCTACAAAAAATTTAAAAATTAGCCAGATGTGGTGGCACATGCCTGTAGTCCCAGCTACTTGGGAGGCTGAGGCAGGAGGATCACTTGAGCCCAGGAAGTCAAGGTTGCAGTGAGCCCTGATTGTTCCATTGCACTCCAGCCAGGAGATGGAACGAGACCCTGTCTCAAAAGAAAATTATTTATGATTAATCACCAATTAATTACTACTGAGAAGCAGTATCTACTTTTTATTATTTATTTATTTATTTTTTTTTGAGACAGGATCTCACTCTGTCATCCAGGCTGAAATAAGGTGGCACGATCTCAGCTCACTGCAACCTCCACCTCCCAGGTTCAAGTGATTCCCGTGCCTCAGCCTCCCAAATAGCTGGGATTACAGGTGTGCACCACCATGCCTAGCTAATTTCTGTATTTTTAGTAGAAACAGGGTTTCTTTGCCAGGTGCGGTGGCTCGTGCCTGTAATCCCAGCAGTTTGGGAGGCCGAGGTGGGTGGATCACCTGAAGTCAGGAGTTCAAGACCAGCCTGCCCAACATGGTGAAACCCTGTCTCTACCAAAAATACAAAAATTAGCTGGGCGTGGTGGTGGGAGCCTATAATCTCAGCTACTTGGGAGGCTGAGGCAGGAGAGTCGCATGAACTCGGGAGGCAGAGGTTGCAGTGAGCCAAGATCACACCATTGCACTCCAGCCTGGGCGACAAGCATGAAACTCTGTCTCAAAAAAAAAAAGAAAAGAAAAAGAAACAGGGTTTCGCCGTGTTGCCCAGGCTGGTCTCAAACTCCTAAACTCAAATGATCTGCCTGCATTGGCCTCCCAAAGTGCTGGGATTACAGGCATGAGCCACCGTGCCCGGGCAATATCTACTTTGCAAATGAAAGCTTTCATTAAAGGAAGATCTCTCCCTCATCCTGGAAGCTCTAAGATGCTTCTGGTGGGCGAGTGGGTGTTACAGAGCTCTCCAGGTAGCCTTGATAAGCAGCAAGGTATGGGGACCATTTTTATAGACCGGTGCTTCTGGTCTTTTCCAGCAGGGTGAATGTAATGACCTGAATGTTGGTAAGCAAGCCCACATTAGTCTGCCACCAGAATAAAATTTCCTGGAAGTCTCCAGTTTTAACTGAGAAATTCCTATAAAATTTATATTCTACTCCATGAAATATTATTTTGTTTTAAAAATAATTATTTTATTATTTATATTTAATCCCAAATCTAAGTATATATATATATTTTTTATGATATGAAGAAGCAGGTCTAACTTTATTTTTGGGTTATTTTTTTTGAGACAGGGTCTTGCTCTGTCATCCAGGCTAGAGTACAGTGGCACAATCATAGCTCACTGAAACCTCCAACTCTTGGACTCAGGAGATCCTCCCACCTCAGCCTCCCAAGTAGCTGGAATTACAGGCATGTACCACCACACCTGGCTAATTTTTTTTTTATTATTTTTTTATTTTTTGAGATGGAGTCTCGCTCTGTCGCCTAGGCTGGCGTGCAGTGGCACAATCTCGGCTCACTGCAAGCTCCGCCTCCCGGCTTCATGCCATTCTCCTGCCTCAGCCTCCTGAGTAGCTAGGACTACAGGCGCCTGCCACCACGCCTGGCTAATTTTTTGTATTTTTAGTAGAGATGGGGTTTCACTGTGTTAGCCAGGATGGTCTCGATGTCCTGACCTCATGATCTGCCTGCCTTGGCCTCCCAAAGTGTTGGGATTACAGACGTGAGCCACCGTGCCTGGCCTTTTTTTTTTTTTTTTTTTGTGTAGAGACACAGGTCTCACTATGTTGCCCAAGCTGGTCTCGAACTCCTGACTCTTGGCCGTAAGTGATCCTCCCACCTCAGCCTCCCAAAGTGCTGGGATTGCAGGCATGAGCTACCATGCCCAGCCAATTTTTTTTTTTTTAATGGATAACCAGTTGTCCCTAGGGCATTGTATTGCATGATTTATCCTTTCTCCACTAATTCAAAATGCCACATTTATTATACATCAGATTTCAATGTATAGTATGCACAGGTTTATTTTTGCATTCTGTTTGATTATAGATTCCTGTATGAGGACTATGCTGTTTTAGTAACTGTGGCTTTGAAGCACTTTTGTTAAGCAGTTATCTAATCTTATTATGTCACTCTGCTATTTAAACACAACATTAAATCCACATTTCTTATGATAAGATACAGTGACATTGAAGATTACATCTGCACTCAGCTGCCACTCACCTGTAACCCACTCTTTCCAAATCTGTCCATATCCAACTTCAAATTCTCACAGTTCCCCAAGTGTTCCTTGCTTTACCAGATGTCCATGGCTTTGTGCAAGTCACTCCCTTGCCTGCCCTCTTATCCTCAGGCAGTTAATTTGCCCTTCAGGATCCAGCTCAGCCACATCTCTTTTGTGAAGTCTTCTCAAATTCCTGCTAGGCTGCAAAGAACCTGCCTCCTTTGTGCCTTCAGAGTGTTTCATGTATAACTTTCTTTCTTTTTTGTTTTTTTTTTTTTTCATGTATAACTTTTTCTTTTTTTGAGGCAGAGTCTCGCCGTGACACCCAGGCTGGAGTGCAGTGGTGCAATCTCAGCTCACTGCAAGCTCTGCCTCCTGGGTTCAAGCGTTTCTCCTGCCTCAGCCTCCCAAGTAGCTGGAATTACATGTGTGTGTCACCACACTGGCTAATTTTTGCATTTTTAGTGTGTGGGGGGGTGCGTTTCACCATGTTGGCCTGGCTGGTCTTAAACTCCTGACCTCAAGTGATCCACCCGCCTCAGCCTCCCAAATTGCTGGGATTACAGGCGTGAGCCACCACGCTCAGCCCATGCATAACTTTCTCATAGTGCTTCATCTTTTGTCTCATAGCCTAAGCCCTAGCCCAGTGTTATTCATTACACTCAGTTTTAAAAAATAAAACTCTAATTCTTCAATGTATCCAGGGTACATGATATTCCTTTAAGTGTCTGCGTGTTTTTTTTTTTTTTTTTTTTGCACATACTTTTTCCTTGGACTTCATTGCCTAGCAATTTCCTGCTTAAACTTTCAGACTGCTGAGAGGTCACCTCTGGAAGAGCCTTCCCGCCCTTTCGTCTCATCAGAGTTCCCTGCTTGCTTCCATTGTACCTTGTGCATGTCTCTGCTGAAACGTTTTTCATAATGCTCTATACCATAATATGTATCTGCAAGTTCAGTGTTGTTTAGCGGCATGGCTTTGGAATTAGATAACCTAAGTGCTCAACCTGGCTTTGCCACTTTCCAGCTTTGTCACCTGCAACCAATTATATAATATTTCTAAGCCTCAGTTTCCTTAGGTACAAAATGTGGATAATAATAGTTCCTCCTTTATAGGGTTCTTGTGAACTAAATGAGACAGTATCTCTGAAACGCTTAGCTCTATCCAGCACATAAGTGGCCCTCAATACATACTTCCTATTATTGTATCTTTCTACTCAAGACTTTGGATAAGACTTTCTCTTGTTTATCTCTGAAACTCAATACTTAGCCAAGAGCCTAGCCGCCAGTAGGCTGATGAATAAATTAACAACTGTCCTCAGAACTCTCCTTCCTGTGTCACTTTTCTCGGTGGTGCCATTATTCTCTTTAGAGTCATCTTTAACTTTGCTTCCCATTCAAAGCAACAACAACAAAATACTGAGTTTTTATCACAAGCTAGCCGCAGTGCGAGGCCCTGGGTGTATATATAATGAGAGAAAAAGATGTAGTCTCTATTCATTGATGCTTACAGTAGAGCCGGGGAAGTAGTTGAAAACAAAAATCCTAGAAGTTTTGGGCTCATTCTACTGCTTGTTCTACTTTTGTATATGTTAGTAAATTTTCAAAGTGAGTTTTAAATAAATGAATAAGCAATTATAAAATGTTATATGCTATGAAGAAAATGAATAAAACCTGTGTTATAAACTGTCAGGGAGAACTATTATAGATACAATGGTCAGGAAAGATCTGAGAGTTCACATTTAAGTTTAGACTGGAAATTGAGAAGGAGCCAGCCAGAGGAGAGGGTGTTTCTGACAGAGGGAATAGCATGTACCAAGCCATAGGAGAGCAAGTCTTAGCATAGTCAAGAAATGGAAAGGTCACTGGGGCTGTATTAGAGTGAGGAAGAATGGATAGATGATGTTGGAGAGCAGGTAAACAGAGTCCATGTTGCTTAAGAGCTTGAAGACAAAAAGAACGGGTTCAGGTTTGATTCCTTTTACAGTATGATGCTGTTGAAGACTTACAGCAGGGAGTAAGCCAGTCTAATTTGCATTTTTACAGGTATGTATCCAAAAGATTGGAGGAAGACAAGGCTGGGAACAGAGAGACCAATGGGGAAGCTATTGCCATAGTTTAGGGAAGAGATGATAATAGTCAGAGAAATGGAGAACAGTGAAAACATTTGGGATGTATTTTGGAGGCAGACTCTGTGGGACTTCCCGGTGGATTAGAAGTGGGAGTGGAGGAAGGCATAGAAATCCAGAATTCTGGCTTGAAAGCTGTATATTGTGTTATTTACTGAGATTTACTCAAGTAGATGGAATGTTTTGGGGGGAAGTCAAGAGTTAAAATTTGATTATATTAAGTCCGAGATGCTTTGGGGCACCCAAGTGGGAATATCAAGTTAAGTAATTGAATACAGGAGAACTGGAGTTCCAAGGAAAGTTCCCAACTACAGATATAAATATGAAGGTTTTCATTATAAAGACAATAATAAAAGCCATGAGAATGGAGAATATTGTTTAAGGAGAAAGTAAAGAGAAGGGGGTTTGATATTAAGTTCTGAATTACTATTAGCATTTAAGGATAGAATCAGAGGAGGATGAAGGAGAGAAGAGGAGTCAAAGACATAGAAGGAAAGCCAGGAGAGTGTGGTGCCCTAGAAGCTGCTGTATCCCTCACCAATCCCAGGACAGTGACTGGCCAGGACAGTGTTCAGTAATTATTGGTTGAATGAAATCAAAAGGAGATCATTTTAAAAAAGAGGGAATAATTAACTGAATTGAGTGCTGCTGAAAGGGTTACATGAACTATTCATTGGATTGGCAGCATGGATATTGCTGATGATAGGGGCAGAAGTCATGTCGGAATGGTTTTAACAGAGCTTGCGTAGGAGGTGAGAAAGTATGAGAAAGATAGCAGGTTCTTAATTCTGATGAAGTTTGGCTGTGAAGGGAGCAGAAAAATGGAGTATTAGCTGAAGAGTGATACAGAGTCAAAGAATAATTTTTGTTTATCTTTTTAAGATGGGACATACTAGAACATGTATGCACGTGGGGGTGATCCAGGAAACAGTGAGTGAAGGTTGGTGGAGGAAAAAGGGGAGAATTGCAAGATTGGAGTTTATGAGTAAGAGAGAGGGGATGGGATCAGGAGCATAAGTATTCTTAGAAAGGAGGAGGGCCACTTCTGTTGAAATAGGGGAAAGAGGGGAAAATTGATGCAGATTCAGGTAGGTTTATACAACTGGTCGTGAGATAGCAGATCGTTGTATTATGGTATTTTTGTTCTCAATGAAGAGTCATTGACATTAGCTTAAAAGGCAGGGAAGGGTTGGGGAGGAGGGGAAAATAAGTAAGAAATAGCCTTCTTGCAGAGGGGAGAGTAGGAGAGCCAGCCTGCTAAAGAGATCTAGTTAGACTGCCAATTTAAATTGAGTGCCCATTTGCCTGACCTTTAATTTATGGTAAACCTGCCAAGTTAAATGCTTTTTCATCAGTATTCTTGGCATGGAGAAGGGAGTTGCTTGAGTTCTGGGATTGTGGAGTTTGAGAGAAGGAGACCTTGGAAGCGAATTGAAGGTTCTTGCAAGTAAGTGATTATAATGATTAACTATGTAATCTAAGCTAAAGAGAAAAATTAAGTCAGGAGAAGGAAAATGGGGTCAAGGGGTAGAAGGACCCATGGCAGTTGAAAAGTTGTTTGCATGGGACGCTTGAGCCAGTGAGCTAAAATAATCACACCGTGAATTGAATTTGGTGACACAAGATGAGCTGAGTTTGATGATGGTAGAGTGTGAGTGAGGCAGATTGAAGGACAAGGTCCTTCGAGCTGAGCAGTTTCCACAACTGCAAGGCCAGGGTGTTGGGCTAGGTTATGCATTTGAAGGTTAAAGGTATGTTAACCGTAGTGACTAATTGTGCCAGAGAGTTTAACACTGAGCCAGATGTGCTCAAATGTCAGACGGTGATAAGTGTTCTGCCAAAAAAATTGAGTTCTGGGACAGAAAGAGGATAGATGGCCTTTTAGACTTGGTGGCCTCTCTGAGGAGGTGCTATTTATGCTCAGATCTGGATGATAAAATGATGAGTGGAGAGAATTAATCCAGTCTGAGGGAGCAGTTAATATAAAGGCTCTGAAATAGGTACAAATCCCTCACCTTTGAGGAGAAGGAGGAGGCTAGGAAGGCTGGAGTTTATTGGGCTGAGAAAGGGTGGGATGAAATGAGGTTAGAGTGCAGTAGGAGTCAGATGACGAAGGGTTTTGAAAGTCATGCTCAGGAGTTTGGTGCATGTATGTTAATTCTAAGTGCCTTGGTGTGCTAGCCAGCCTCCAAGATGGCCCAGTGGTCCTTGCCTCCTGGTATCATGCCTTTGTGTAGTCCCCTCTCCTGCTGAACAGGGCTAACCTGTGTAACCACTGGAATATCGTGGCAAGGATGGTTTGTGATTTCTGTTGTTAGGTCATTGCAACTTCTGCCTCCCTCTTGTAGAGCACTTGCTCTGAGGGAAGTCAGACTGCTGTGTTGTGAGGACATTTCAATAGCCTGTGGAAAGGCTCACATGGAGAGGAACTCCAGCTAACAGCTACCATGTGAGCACTTTGTTTTGGAAGAAGATCTTCCAGCCTCAGACAAACCTTCAGGTGACTGCAGCCCCTCACACGTACATATTTCATTCATAAATATCCTGTGCGTCTCTCTAAAAGGCAAGGACTTTTTTAAAAAAAACTTAAGCCTTATACAATTGTCACATCTAAAAATGTAATTCCTTAATATTACAAAAAATTCAGAGACTTTAAAAATTTGTTTTAGTTGTTAAATTTGGTTTATTTGCATTAGGATCCAAAAAAAGGGACCAACATAGTATCTGGTTAATGTTTCCTAAGCTTCTTTATCTGTAGCTTCCCTCACTCTTCTTCCCCTCAATTTATCTTAAAAAGAAACTTGGTTGTTTGTCCTATAGTTTCTTACATTCTGGATTTTGCTAATTGTGTCCATTCAGAGTGCAAGGAAGAGTGTTCCTTTACCTTGAATTTTATGTAAACTTGTAGTTATATCCAGAGGAGGCTTGATCTAATTCAGATTGGGTTTTTTTGGCAAGAATATTTTATAGGAGGTGGTGTTTACTTCCATCAAGAGGCACATAATAACCAGTTGTTTCATCTAATCTTATTATGATGTTAACAGCTATTGAAGAGCAATACTAAGATATGTTAATTAGGGTTTACAAAATGGTAATATCCTAAGTCATTTGTCTTTGTTTGTTAGCTAGAGAAACTATTTTTGTTGTTGCTGTTGTTGTTGTTGTTGTTGTTGTTGTTGTTGTTGTTGTTGAGACAGGGTCTTGTTCTATTGTCCAGTCTGTAGTGCAGTGGTACAAACATGGCTTATGGCAGCCTAAACCTCCCGGGCTCAGGTGATCCTCCCACCTCAGCCCCTCTAGTAGCTGGTACCACAGGTGCACACCACTATGCCTGGCTAATTTTTACTTTTTTTGTAGAGACGGGGTCTTGCCATGTTGCCCAGGCTGGTCTTGAGCTCCTGGGCTCAAGCAATTCTACTGCCTTGGCCTCCCAGAGTGCTGGGATTACAGGCATGAGCCACCATGCTTGGCCAGAAATAGTCTCTTATCCACTCTGTGGTTAATCTGAGGTATATTCCATTTAGGAAAGGCAGATTAAATGATTGATTCTTTCTCTTTTTTATCAGTTTTCATAATAATAAATTGATTCCCTAGTATCCTCCAAAAGAGACCAGTAAGGTCTTAAAATATACTTATTTCATTATGAACTGATGGATTTCATCATATTTCATAGATGTGAATCCATTGCAATGATTATTTTTTATTGATGCTCAAATGATCCCATCCTTGACTAGTGAGAGGAGCCCCTTCAAGTTGGTTTCTGAAGACTTTTTATAGTGTCCTTCCTTTTGGTATGATGATATGTTTAGGTTCATCTTATGCATCTTCTGTCTCAGCCCTCAGTCATTTCTTCAGGGAGCTCTCGTTCTTTTCAGCAGGAAAGGATATATGGAGGCACATTTGGATGCTTGAACAATGGATGACAGACTTTTTAATAGATACTTATCAGAATATCTGTAGAGTTCAAAAGATGTCTTCTTTCACCTTGAATTTGAATGGAGAGAAATTCAATTTTTTCTTCTATGAAATATGGAGTGTTTTCGTTTGTCGTTAGAGAAAAAGGAAAACAAAGGTTTTAGATAGAAATAAAATGAAGCCTTAACTCCCCTTTAAAATTGATTGTCCTCTCTCTGCCATACTTTGTTCATCATGTCCAGTGAAGAGAGATGCTAATAAGCTTTTCATATTTCCAGCTACATAAAAACCAGGCAGTGTTTAAAGATTATCATTATAGCATTTGTTTGATGTATTTCTTAAGTCTTTTTTTTATCTCCAGGTCCCCCGTCCCTGTAGGCTCCCCTCTCACAGACACAAGCCTTCTTCCTGGCATTTTTAGGAGGGCCTGGTGTTGTGTTTGGAAAATTTTGCTTTATTATATATCCTCAGCTTATACTGCATCAGTAGTGAAAAGCTTAGTTTTGTGTTTGGTGTAAGTAATGTGTTTCTGGATATTTTTATCATAAAAACTCATTATAGATAAGAGATGGAAATATATCATTAGAATGATTGTATATTTAAATTATGAATCAAGTTAGAGGAGAATGGAATATTGCCCCCTTATGGGAAGACTCTGGAATGTAGAAATTTTTTTCAGTATGTAACAACTTGGTCCTGCCTTCTTTCCCAGTGTTCAGGATCTAATTCAGCCATTTTATACATGATATGTTAAGCTTTTCATTAATTCAGTTATTCATTTGACACATACTGAGCACCAGAGTAATACCAGGCATGGTACTAGGAAATGAGAATAAAGAAATAAGAAACACACATGCTAAACTGACCATTTTCTAGTGGGAGAAAGACAATTATATATGTAATTCCAAACACTGGTAAGTGCATTTTAGGAAAAATACAGGGAGCTGTAAGAGTGATTAACTGGGGGGAGCCTGGCTTAGTCTGAGAGGACAGAAAGGCCTTTCTGACAAAGTAACATTTAAGCAAAGATTTAAAGGAAAAGTAGGCATTGGCCAGGTGATCATTGGGTCCAGAGCCTTCAAGCAAAGGGGCTAGCTATGTGTGAAGGTCCTGAGGGAGGAAAGAGCTTGAAGCCTTGGGGGACCTGGGAATGCTAGTGAGGCTGGAGACTGAGAGGGAGGCAGGGAATTAGGAGAGGAGCTGGAGATGTAGGCAGGGCCCTCATCACAGAGGCTGCTGTTGGCCTCCATCTCCGTTACAGATGTACAGCGTTTGGTGACCCAGACTAGAGACCAGACATAATACTTTTCAGGACCTCTTGGTCCTCCTGGGAGATGCTGGGAACTCTGAGTTCAGCTTTTCTCTCCTATTTCTCGAGGGTCCTTTGTTAATAAAGAAATATTTTTAAAATTATTCCTGCTTACCTTGTACTTAAGAGTGAAAGAAACTTTTAATAAACGGAATTATTTTTGGCTAATCTTCAGAAACCTTCACTCCAAGGATGAACTCATAAAAAGTTGTACCTTTAAAAGACTTTCCTATCTCGTCTCATCCTCACAGCGACCTTATAAGGTGGATATTTACTATTTTTCACATCATACAGAAAAGAGACTGAAGCTCTGAAAAATTAGGTAGTTCCTCAAGGCCAGCTAATAGGTGGTGAAGCAGGAACTGGACAGCGGGCCTTCTGACTACAGACCCAGTGGTGTTTGTGCTCTGTTCTTCCACTTACTATGAATGCAAGAGCTTCTACATATTTTGATCTCAGTATCTGCAACTTATTTATTTTGTTTTCTTTGTTGTTGTTGTTGTTTTTGAGACAGAGTCTCACACTGTTGCCCAGGCTGGAGTGCAGTGGTGCAGTCTCAGCTTACTGCAACCTCCGCCTCCTAGATTCCAGCAATTCTCCTGCCTCAGCCTCCTGAGTAGCTGGGATTATAGGCACCTGCCACCATGCCCGGCGGCTACTTTTGTGTGTGTGTGTGTGTGTGTGTGTGTGTGTGTGTGTGTGTGTGTGTTTTAGTAGAGACGGGGCTTCACCATGTTGGTCAGGCTGGTCTCTAACTCCTGACCTCAGGTGATCCACCCACCTTGGCCTCCTGAAGTGCTGGGATTACCTGTGTGAGCCACCTTGCCCAGCCAATTTATATTTTTTTAATGGAAGAATAAATCATACAAGCTTAAAAATTATGAGAGAAGGAGGAAGGAAATAGGGTAGAGGGGACAGGGAGAGAAGCTAGACTGCCTTAAATATGGTTGATAGCTTTTTTAAATGGAAAATGAGAAACAAGTAAACCTAAATTTTAAACCTCACTAATTCGAACTTTACATTCTTAGTGGGTATATGCCCTGAGAGTGAAAAAAGAACTGCAACAAACAGTAGCAACAACAACAAAGTCCTTCAACTGTACTCATGTGGAACATACCAGTGATCTTGTTAGTACTATTTTGAGATTGTTGTTGAGTGTATATTGTCAGAAAAAAACAAATGAGTAATTATGTGGTACTTTATAATTTCCACTGTTTTGAGATCCAGATTCCCAACATGGGTGAAAGGAGATACAAATATAAAATAAAAGAGGTTAAATAAAACCCTGTTAACTTGATTTCTTCATAGACTTTTTTTTTCTTTTTTTTGAGATGAAATCTCACTTTGTCACCCAGGCTGGAGCGCATTGGTGTGATCTTGGCTCACTGCAACCTCCGCCTCCCGTGTTCAAGCGATTCTCTTGCCTCAGCCTCCCCGGTAGCTGGGATTACAGGCACACACTACCACACCCAGCTAATTTTTTTATTTTTAGTAGAGATGGGGCTTCACCATGTTGGCCAGGCTGGTTGTGAACTCCTGACCTCAAATAATCCACCCGCCTCAGCCTCCTAAATTGCTGGGATTACAGGCGTGAGCCACTGCGCCCAGCGTTAAGACTTTTTTTTTTAATTGGCAGTTTTAGGGTCACAGTAAAATTAAGCAGAAAGTATAGAGTTATCATATTTGCCTGTTCTGTGTCCCTGCCAGCCTCCCGCAGTGTCACATCCCACACCAGAAAGGTCTATTTGTTATAAATGATGAACTTATGTTGGTACACCATTATTACTCAAAGTTCATTTGCATTAGGGTCCGCTCTTGGTGTTGCACATTCTATGGGTTTGGACAAATGTATGATGGCATGTATCCATCATAGAATCATGCAAAGTGGTTTCAGTGCTCTCAATCTTCTCTGCTCCACCTAGTCATCCCTCCATCTCCCTGTCTTCTGGCAACCACTGATCTTTTTACTGTCTCCGTAGATTTTTCTTTTCCAGATGTTATGTAGTTGGAATCACATAGCCTTTTCATGATGGCTTCTTTCACTTGGTAGTATGTATTTTAGGGTTTTTTCACATCTTTTCATGGCTTGATAGCTCATTTCATTTTAGCATGAATAATATTCCATTGCCTGGATGTACTCTAGTTTATCCATTCACCTATTGAAGGCCATCTTAGTTGCTTCCAAGTTTCAGTAAATAAAAATAAAGCGGCTGCAAACACCATGTGTGGGTTTTTGTGTGAACATAAGTTTTCACCTCATTTGACCAAATGTCAAGGAGCACAATTTCTGGATTGAATGGTAAGAGTAAGTTTAGTTTTGTGAGAAACTACCAAACTTGTCTTGCAAAGTGGCCATACGGTTTTGCATTCCCACCAGCAATGAAGGAGCATTCCTGTTTCTCCATGTCGTTACCAGCATTAGGTGGTGTCAGTGTTCTGCATTTTGGGCATCTAATGGGTGTGTAGTGGCATCTCATTGTTTTTTTTTTTTTTAAATTTGTAGTTCCCTAATGACATATGATGTTGAGTATCTTTTCGTATCCTTATTTGCCATCTGTATATCTTCTTCAGTGAGGTGTCTGCTCAGGTCTTTTACCATTTTTAATCAGGTTGTTTATTTTTTATTGCTGAGTTTTAAGAATTCTTTGTATATTTTGGATAACAGTCCTTTATCAGATGTATCTTTGTATTTTCTCCCAGTCTTTGACTTATCTTCTCATTCTCTCGATTAACTTAATTTTGAATTACAAGTTGTGGTATGAATTATTGATATATTTTATCTTAGACAAAAAACACCTCCTAACCCATTCAATTGAAAAATCCTATAAACAGTGACCAGTAGCAATGTGTAACCCTAGTCCCCAAATTGTGGTCTTGGAATACCAATTCTCACTAACAGGAAGCAGGGTTATTTGGAGAAATCACTGATACAGGAACCGGCTACACCACGTAACAAGGAAGTCATAAAAGACTGTGATCAGGATCACATCAAAAGAACCAAAGAACATACAAGAGAAGACTCTCTTCATCCAATGATGAGACAATCTGAATACCAATAAAGTTTTTTTTATTTTTTTGAGACGGAGTCTCACTCTCTCGCCCAGGCTGGAGTGCAGTAGCACGATCTTGGCTCACTGCAAGCTTCGCCTCCCGGGTTCACGCCATTCTCCTGCCTCAGCCTCCTGAATAGCTGGGACTACAGGCGCCCGCCACCACACCCGCATAATTTTTTTTTTTATTTTAGTAGAGACAGGGTTTCACCGTGTTAGCCAGGATGGTCTCGATCTCCTGACCTCGTGATCCGCCCGCCTCAGCCTCCCAAAGCATGATGATATTTTTTAAAAAAGCTATTGGATACCACTTGCTAACACTACATTAACCATATACCATCCCTTTCCTATACAAACAGATCTGGCTTCTAGAGCTATATAGTAATTTATAAGAATTACAGAGGACAGAGCAGCATATTAGTACCACCATCGGGTACAGTTGGAAAAATCCAGATTATGTGAAGCTCTGGGGTCTTCAACAAATAAATTGCAAAGAAAAAAAAAAAGCACAGCAAAGCAAAGTCTTGTGTGACATTTACGAGACAGTTGGAAGTTTGAATACTGGCTGATTACTTGATGGTATTGGGACTGTTACTAATGTTTTTAAAGTGTAATGATGGTATTATAAATTTTTAACGGTTTTTAAAAATATATTAGAGATAGGTATTTACCAGTGTATTTATCAATGAAATGTCCTTGCATTAAAACTAATGTGAAGGCAGGGATACCAATAAGGGATACAGGTGAAAGAGTGTTGGCCGGGAGTTAACTATTTAAGCTGACGATGGGAACTTGAACGTTCATTATATTATTGTCTACTTCTGTGTCTAGCATTTTTTATAATGAAACTTAAAAAAAAACTTTCCTTGAGAATTTATAACCACAAACTGGCCCGTGTATGGGTGTGAGACTTGAATTCATACTATCTGTGCAGTGTAAAATTTAAATTGTTCTTGGGTTAGTAGTGCCTCCAGGAACCTGCCAGAGAAACATAAATCTTCTCAGGAGAAAAATACACCTTACTTAGGACTCAAATATGTCTCACAAATAAAATTATTCAGAAGTCGAAAATGAAGAGTCACAAAACACTCAAAACACTGAGCTACAGTGAATGAGTCAGCAGAACCAACAAAAATGATCAGATTTGAGGCCAGGCGTGTTGGCTCACGCCTGTAATCCCAACACTTTGGGAGGCCGAGGCAGCTGGATCACTTGAGGTCAGGGGTTCGAGACCAGCCTAGCCAACATGGAGAAACCCCATCTCTACTAAAAATACAAAAATTAGCTGGTCATGGTGGTATGTGCCTGTAATCCCAGCTGCTTGGGAGGCTGAGGTGGGAGAATCATTTGAACCTGGGAGGCAGAGGTTACAGTGAGCTGAGATCTACCACTGCACTCCAGCCTGGGCAACAGAGCAAGACTCTGTCTCAAAAAAAAAAAAACAGATTTGAAAAGTCTATAATATTGTAATTATTGGAAACTGAACATAGAATAAGTATATTTAATATTTTAAGGAAATTGTGTTTTTTTATGGTTTTGGTGATTAATTAATTAGAGATGGGTTGTTGCTATGTTACCCAGACTGAAGTACAGTGGTGAAATCATAGTTCACTGCCGCCTCAAACTCCTGGGCTCAAGTGATCCTCCCACTTCAGCCTCCCAAGTGGCCAGAACTATAGGTATGCACCACCATGCCTGGCTAATTTTTTAGTACTTTTTTAGGGGCAAGGTCTTGCTCTGTGTCCTGGGCTGGTCTCAAATGCCGGCCTCTGGTCTTCAAATGACCCTCTCGCCTTAGCTTCCAGAGTATCTGGGATTAGAGGTGCAGACCGCCATGCCTGGCTAAAAACAGATACTGTAAGTGTAATGTAAATGTAATTAGATATTGTAAATTGTAAATGAAAGAATGCTGCCAATTAACTTTAAGGTGTAAGATGGCAACTGAGACTATCAGGAATAATCAGGCCAAAAGTCCTGTGTGTCAAGGATGGGTTTTGCAACTGGTGTATGCCACTATAGAGGTATTTGACTAGCTAAAATAATAATAATCAGATATATTTGAAAAAGAACCATTTCATCAGTTTAGCCATCCACAGTTTATACCTACTTGAAAACATGCTGTGCATGATAAATACAATTTTTATCAATTAAGAAAATAAGAATGAAAAAATAACCATTTCAGAAGCAAACAACATCATTGAATTTGGCATTTAGTAGACAAGTCTAATCTTAAAGCAAATTAGACACAAGTGAAGCAGGACTTACTGAACTAGAAGATAAAGCTAAAGAAATTGTCCACATAAAACCCATAGAGACAGAGAAAATGTTAAAGAAAGGTTAAGATGCATGGAAGATAGAATTAGAAGGTTTCATATAACATCTGATCAAAGTTCTAGGAGAATAGAAGCACTGGGGGAGAGGCAGTATTTGAAGACATTTTCCAAAATTGATGAAATAACTAAATCGTCTGAATCAGGAAGCTCAAGCAGGGTAAAGAAAGAGAAATATCACCTGGATACATTGGCAAATTCAAGATCCTAGTACAGTCCTGAGAGAAAAAGCAGACTGCAGACTGATAGCTGACTTTTCAGTGACAGTGGAAGCCACAAGACAATTCATCGTCAAAGTGCTGGAAGAAAAGTAACCATCTGTCAAGAATGAGGGCAAAACAAAAGCATTTTGAAATAAAAACCATTTTTATTATGAATGGAGAAAAGTAGAAGAGTATTTTTGAGCTTTCAGTTAGGACAGTTGTTAAGAGCTTAAACTTTGGAGTCAGATAGTTTGAGCTGTACTGCTAGTGAACTGTGTTGTTTAACTTCTCCGTTTCCTTCTCTACAAAATAGGATGACAAGTGGGAATGGTTGATGGGTACAAAAATACAGTTAGATAAAATGAATATGATCTAGTATTTGGTAGCACAATAGGATGCCTATAGATAACAATAATCTATTGTATATTTCAAAATAACTGGAAGAGTAGAATTGGCACTTTTCTAACAAAGAAATTATAAATGCTTGAGGTAATACCCCAGTTACCCTGATTTGATCATTACATGTTGTATACCTGTATCAAAACATCACATGTACCACGTAAATGTATACAACTATTATGTACTCATAATAATTAAAAATAAAAAAAATTTTAAAAACAGGATGACAGTAGTACTTACTTCATGGAATGCTTTGATAAGCAGATGAATTATATGTAAAGCACTATGAGTCCTACACAGTACGCATCTAGTAAATGTTAGGGATTGCTGTTACCATATTTTATGGAATTTAAGATGCCATCATTCCTAAGACATATTGTATTTTATGCTCCATTAAGAAAGAAAGAATGCTGCCAATTAATTGTAAGATGTCATTAATTGTAAAATCTGTCCAGATTTCACAAATGTTAACTTGTAAAGAAAAAAACCATGAATCTCAAAATTGATGAAATATAGTATTTTGATAGCAGATACTCAAGTACAGGAGAAAATACTGTATATGAAATATTTAAAAAAACAAAAACAGTTTGAAGAAGAAGTTGATGAAAGTGTTGTGAAGCCCAGAATTTAAATGTGTAGTACCCATGGCTGGAGAGTTTTGTGTATAAATTATTGAAGGTTAAAACAGCTGTTTCACTTTCATTTCTTCAGAAGTAAATATGAACTACAACCAAACTGCCCTTGAGTTGGCTTAAGATTTCCCAGTGGCTGTTACTTAAACGAAAAGTGTTCTTTAGCATTTCATTGGTAAGCACTAGCTTGTGGAAAGGCCAGATGTTGAATGTTGAACATGTTTGATAAACAGAAGTTTAATATGCAGCTGGAATAGTAGCATTCTTCTGCAGGTGCTTTTTGAAATGTTTTCAGTTTTTCTTTTCCACTTGGTTTTGATTACCACTTGCATGTAGTTGAGAGGAGATTTTTGCTAATTTCGTATGAGGCTGGATGTTGCTCTGTTTTAGTTGGTCTTATTGCTGATGATACTGCAGTATGTCTCGGAGAGCATGTAAGCATCAACACTCTTTCCAAACATTTTGATTTGGTTAGATCATCTCAAATCATTATTGAAGCTGCTAGCTAGAGTGTTGTCGTTTCATGAGGCCGTACACTCCAGAAATCTTTACAATTATATTACCACAAAGAAGTTGACTACTCATTCAGTTATTAGGATACATAGATTATTACAGCAGCCTCATAACTCTTTTTGCTACCTCTGTGATTTTATCAATTAGAAATAAATTAGGCTCTGTGTAATGGAATATCCAACTTTGCTTTAACCAAATAAAGATTTATTTTTTCCTACACACCAGAAAATTGGGAAATAAGTAGTCACTCCCAGTGTTGTTAATATCTCAAATTCCTTTGATCCATCCTTGATGGTGGCAAGGCCATTTCTCTGCTTCCGTTTCAGACCACGCACCCTCCCAAGTGAGGTATAAAAGGTGTGCCTCATCTAATGATTGACCAGAGCTGTGACATGTAGCCACCTCTCTTCTTAAGAAAAGTTGGGAAATGTAGCTTTCTAATTGAACCTAAGTTTACCCCTAGCCAAATCTGGATTCCAGGCATTTGCAAAACAAATAATGATATTACCACAATTGCCATGATTACGATGTAACCATGATTTGTGACCATGAAGCACCCATAAATTTAACTGACCTACATTGTGACTGAGCCCACAGCCTAACATTATCCTTTAAGTAACTGAGTTTACCACCTCATGCCATCTAGTAGGCAATTATCAGTTTTGCTCACTTGCCCCTTTATTATATGATGTGTATTTCCTTATACCTGTGCTTCATTAATATAGCCAACATTCACTGAATACCTACTCTGTGCCAGGCACTGTTAATACAGAAATGAATAAGGTACCCCATTTGATAGGGGAGATGGATATCAACAAAATTTACAAGTACCACAACCTGTAACCCTCATGCTCAAGGCGGATGTTATTGATAAAGTGGCTCATCCATGTCATCACCAGGTAACTAAGCTGGTGACTTTAGCCTAGGCCTTCTAAGCAGTGTAGCTCCTCTGTACCCCTCCTATCCGCAGCCCCAAATCCTTGTGTCTTACTGAGTTGATTGTCTTAGAAACATATAAACATGACTATGAGACCAGCTTCAGAAAGCACGATCTGTTGTATTGAACACATTGGTGCTTCTTATGGTAAATGGTCAACCACTCAATGCCAGGATCATGGCCAAAACTTTATGAGACTTCAGATTCCAAATCTTTAGCCACAGGGAACTCTTCCAATGGCCAATTCTTAGGAAGTCTGTGAGGACAATCATTGGCCATAAGGAACAGCTTAGAGTAAAGCACAGGTAATACCCAGTGAATACTAAGAAACCATGGTTGTTATGGATAATCAGAGGAGACAATCTGTTATTCCCACATAGCGTTACCTCTTTTAGAAGCATCTACATTTCCTGCAGAGATAGGATGTTTTTATTAACTGAGCCCTGGATCAAACTTGCACTAGCATACAGGTGGTGTGATAATCTCTTTACCTTGACAGCAACATGAGTCTGGGCTTGTGAGATGAATGGTAGGACTTCATCAAGATGTTGTCCAGCTACTCAGTGTGCATCATCCATTATGCCCCAGCCAAGGAGATCACAAAACTGGCTCCACCTCTCATCACTTCTAAGAAAACTTCCCCCAGTCTTCTCTTGTGCCTAAACAACTGTAATTTTTATAGTCATGTGTTACATACTATGCCAGATATATGCCAACGAATGTCTATAAAAAAAAGTTAATATTTATTAGCCAGAAAGCATAATGTTAGATTTTGGCTTTTAGAAGGGGAGGTTTTATTGATCCACCTACACATTGGCATGTGAATTTACTTCTCCATGAAAGCAGAGAAGAAATTTATTAATTTATTTGAACAGCTTTGTCAACATTGTTCTGAAAAGAACAAGTTGGAATGTAGTAGCAGTGTGCTCCATTATGACAAAAGCTTTGCAAATGACACAAAAGGTTATCAGAGTTGACCATTAAGGACCATATGGCACCAGGCTTCAGGAAAGATACAGTGGAGGAGGGAGAACAGAGACCCCATCCTTACCTGCCCCATCAGGGGAGTTCACCCTGGTGATGGGTGAGGTGTCAGGTGGCATAGCTGAACCATCCTTACATCTCACTGGGGAGTTTGGACTGTGTTGTCTGTGGGCTGGAAGGCTTTTGAACTTGTTGAACAAAGGAATGACATGATCAGATTTATTTTTTATTATAAGAGCAATTTATGCTCTTTGTAAAAACTTGATGTTTATGAAGTAGAAAATGGAAAATTCTTGCATCCTATTCCTCAGGTGTGTCCTTTTTTTTTGTTTTTGTTTTTGTTTTAAGACAGCCAGACAGGGTCTTTCTCTGTTTCCCAGGCTGGAGTGCAGTGGTGTGATCATGGCTCACTTCAGTCTCCAACTACTGGGCTCAAACAGTCCTCCTGCTTCAGCCTCCCGAGTAACTAGGACTACACGTGGGTGCCACCACACGCGGCCAATTTTTAAAAATATTTTTGTAGAGATTGGGTCTTGCTATATTGCCCAGGCTGGTCTTGAACTCCTGGACTCAAGTGATCCAGGCCTCCCAAAGTGCTGAATTTACAGGTGTGAGCCACTGCACTCTGCCAAAGGTACCTATTTTTAAAGGCTGTTGGATGTCTTGCCAGACTTTTCTCCATGCTTTCAGGTATATCATACACACACACACACACACACACACACACACACACACACACACACACTGTATTATACATTGTATACATTATATATACACGCAGATAATGTATAATGTAATATATATGTTTTATATATTTATTTGTATATTTTTGACCAACAGGGGATTAAGATATACAAAATGTTTTATAATGGCGTATCTTATTTACTTATTTAAGACAGGGTCTCGCTATGTTGCCCCAGCTAGCCTCAAAATCCTGAGCTCAAATGATCCTCCCACCTCAGCTTCCCAAGTAACTGGGACTACAGGTGTATGCCACCACTCCTGGCTGGCTCTTATTTTAATCTAACAAGTAGTTGTTAGATTAAAACAACTTTAAATAAATACATTTGTATACTTGTGAGGTGTGTGTGTGTGTAAGTGTATGTAAAATCCACCCTTAGAGGGGGAATTGCTGCTGGGCATGGTGGCTCATGCCTGTAATCCCAGCACTTTGGGAGGCTGAGATGGGCTGATCACCTGAGGTCAGGAGTTTAAGACCAGCCTGGCCAACATGGTGAAACCCCATCTCTACTAAAAATACAAAAATGAGCCGGGTGCGGTGGCGGGTGCCTGTAATCCCAGCTACACAGGAGGCTGAGGCAGGAATATTGCTTGAACCTGGAAGCGGAGGTTGCAGTGAGCCAAAACTGCGCCATTGCACTCCAGCCTGGGCAACAGAGCGAGACTCCGTCTCAAAAAAAAAAAAAAAAAAAAAAAAAGGGAATTACTATATCAAAGAGATGCATATTTCAGGTTTTGGCAGATGTTGTCATATTGTGCTGTAGAAAGGCACTCTGCATCCCGCCATCAGTATATGATCGTGCCTGTCTACACACCTTTGCATTATCAGACTTTTTAATCAAAATTGTTCTAAGTCATAGAAAAGATTTAGATTTTTATGTAGTGAAATGTATTAGTAATTTCTTACTCCCTTGGGGTGGGTTTATCATGCTTTTAGGAATGTCTTCCTCAATTCAAGATTATAAAAATATTTTTACCCATGGTTTCATCTGCTACTGTCATATTTCTTTAATTTTTTTTAGTTTTTTTATTTTAAGAGACAGTCTCACTCTGTCACCCATACTGGAGTGCAGTGGTATGATCATAGCTCACTGCAATCTCGAACTCCTGGGCTCAAGTGATCCTCCTGCCTCAGCCTCTCAAAGTGCTGGGATTTAAGGCATATGCTACCATACCCAGCTCTTTTTGTTTTTAAATTGATGTGTTTGATTTTTCTGGAATTTTATTTTGATATATGGAGTAAGAAAACATAAAGTAGGACCAGGCACGGTGGCTCGCACCTGTAATCCCAGCACTTTGGGAGGCCGAGGCGGATGGATCACAAGGTCAGCAGTTCGAGACCAGCCTGGCCAAGATGGTGAAACCCCGTCTCTACTAAAAATACAAAAATTAGCCGGGCACCGTGGTGGACGCCTGTAATCCCAGCTACTCATGAGGCTGAGGCAGGAGAATTGCTTGAACCTGGGAGGCAGAGCTTGTGGTGAGCTGAGATCGCGTGCACCACTGCACTCTAGCCTGGGCGATAGTGTGAGACTCTGTCTCGAAAAAAAAAAAAAGGAAAAAAAAACATACAGTAAGGAATATATAGCTTCCTGTTCTGGATTCCCACAGTGACTAGCCAGTTATTAAAAAATCATTTGCTGAAATAATTCATCTTTTCTCCACTGATTTGAAGCACTCTTTTAATCATAATTTTCCACATTGTGGTATGTGTCTTTTTTCCTTGACTACCTAGAGCCTCAACAAGATTAGTACAGCGGTCCTCCATATTCATGGGTTCTACATCCATGACTCCAATCAATCATGGATCAGAAATATTCAGGAAAAAAATTGCGTCTCTGTTGAACACATATAGACTATTTTCCTTGACATTATTCCCTAAATAATACAGTACAACAGCTGCTTACATAGCATTTGCATTGTATTAGATATCATAAATAACCTAGAGATTACATTTAAAGAATACAGGAAGATGTGTACCTAAGGAGGGGGCATTAGGTTATTTGCACAAGTTATACACAAATACTTCTCCATTTTATTTTATTTATTTATTTTTTGAAACGGAGTCTCGCTCTGCTGCCCAGGCTGGAGTGCAGTGGTGCAATCTCAGCTCACTACAAGCTCCGCCTCTCGGGCTCACGCCATTCTCCTTCCTCAGCCTCCCGAGTAGCTGGGACTACAGGCGCCCGCCACCATGCCTGGCTAATTTTTTTGTATTTTTAGCAGAGATGGGGTTTTACCATATTAGCCAGGATGGTCTCGATCTCCTGACCTCATGATCCGCCCACCTCGGCCTCCCAAAGTGCTGGGATTACAGACGTGGGCCACTGCGCCTGGCCCCTCCATTTTATTTTTATTATTTATTTATTTATTTATTTATTTATTTATTTATTTATGGAGACAGGGTCTCTCTTGCCCAGGCTGGAGTGTAGTGGTGTGATCTTGGCTTACTGCAATCTCCACCTTCCAGGTTCAAATGATTCTTGTGCCTCAGGCTCCTGAGTAGCTGTGATTACAGGCCTGTGCCACCACACCCAGCTAATTTTTTTTGTATTTTTAGTAGAGACAGGGTCTCGCCATGTTGCCTAGGCTGGTCTCGAACTTCTGGCCTCAAGTGATCCGCCTGCCTTGGCTTCCCAAAGTGCTGGGATTACAGGCGTGACCACTGCGCCTGGCCTATTTTTTAGAGACGGAGTCTGTCTCTTGCCCAGGTTGGAGTGCAGTGATAACAATCATAGCTCACTGCAGCCTCGAACTCCTAGGCTCAAGTGATCCTCCTGCCCCAGCCTCCTTAGTAGCTAGGACTACAGGTGCACACCACCATGTCAGGCTAATTAAAAAAAAAAATTTATAGACATGGAGTCTTAATTATTGGGTCTTACCAGGCAGAACTTAAACTCCTAGCCTCAGGCGATTCTCCCGCCTTGGCCTCCCTAAACACTGGGGTTTTGGGCATGAGCCACTGTGCCCAGTCTCTATACCATTTTGTTTCAGGGACTTAAGCAACCATGGATTTTGGTATACACCAAAGGTCTGGAACCAATCTCCCAAGGATACTGAGGGATGAGTGTATTATATTGGATGGAGACTGGGGGAAGGAAGATTGAACCTAAGCACTGTAGAGGGTTGTGGTATCAAAAGTCAGTAACACCTAGAGATAGGTTTGGAGAAGAGTTCTTTTTTGATAGGGTGGTTTGGAGATTGGAGGGACATTGTGGAAGACATTCTCAGCAGGTCCCCAAGTTCTCTCCTCATCTGGGCCCATTGCTTTCTCTTCAGCATTTTTTTTTTTTTCCTTTGAGATGGAGTCTCACTCTGTTGCCCAGGCTGGAGTGCAGTGGCATGATCTCGGCTCACCACAACATCCACCTCCCGGGCTCAAGCAATTCTCCTGCCTCAACCTCCCGAGTGGCTGGGACTACAGGCATCTGCCACCATGCCCAGCTAATTTTTTGTATCTTTAGTAGAGATGGGGTTTCATTGCGTTAGCCAGGATGGTCTCGATCTCCTAACCTTGTGATCCGCCCACCTCGGTCTCCCAAAGTGCTGGGATTACAGGCGTGAGCCACCACTCCTGGCCCCTGCTTCTTTAAATAACTAATTTTCAAACTTTAACCTATGTCAGAATCACCCCGAGGGCTTGTTAACAGCACATTGCCGGCGCCACCCCCAGCATTTCTGGCTCACTAGTTCTGGGATAAGGTCTGAATATTCACATTTCTATCAGGATTCCAAGTGCTGTTGCTGCTGTCTGGGGACCACACTTTGAGAACCATTGCTCTAGACTGAGTCCTCTTCACTCCCCTTTTAGATTACTCTAATGGTCTCTAGTTGGGCTTTTTTTTCTAGTTTTCCTGTCCTTTATAGCCTCCTGACTCAAATTAGGACTGCAGTGGTGAGAATAGAAGTGGAGAGAAAGGAATGAAGCTGAAAGACATTTCAAAAGAAGGATTAATGGGCTTTAGAGACTGAGTAGATGTGTGGGACAAAGGACAGGAAGCAAAGAGGCATTTTCTAAACATGGACACCAGATTTACTCTTTGGAAAACACTTCTTTCATCTTGTTATTTCCCAGTTCAAGAATCTGCAGTGAGATAAATCTAAAATGAGATTTATTTGAATAAAATACAGCTGACAATTGACACCCAACCGGTGTCGCTTCTCTGGTTTTGTCTAAGTCAAATCTCATTATGACAGATGACTTTGCAAGTAGATCTCTGCATTACCAAATACTTTCATGGCCGAGCCAGTGACCTACTTTAAGCAGTATCCAATTTAACAATTCCAGTTCAGCAAACTAGTTTGGATAGCATTTTAGGACTTGCAGAATTTAATCTGAAGTACTATGGTACATTTGTGTATATAAAAGAACTGTTAATTTCTAAGGGTTAGTTTAAACCCTATTTAGAAATCGTGTTTATCATATGAATATATTTTTTTAAAAAAACATTATATACTATGCTTTCTGATTTACCTTTTTCTTATGCTTGCTGTTGGACAAAAACAAGGAGGGAGATATTGTGCCAGATACTCATGTTTGCAATTATAAATGCAGATGAGGCCAAAGTGTGTGTTTGTACAGGTGGGATGAAATAAACAAATGACAGTGAAAGCCTGCTTATCAGGATCATTATTTGTTGTTGTCCCTTATTAGGATTCATTATTTGGAAAATAAGTATAGAGAGGACAGTTTGGGTTTTTAAGATATTTAGTATGTGACATTTAATTATTTCTTAATTTTTAAAAGCTGACTTCTGTCTTAGTCTTACATGATTTGGCCTCACATGTGTGGATGAGATTTTAAATATGTGAGAATCATAGCTAGTTATAAAAGAGTGCCGGGTATTTGCATTATAACAAAACACCTTTATTTGTGTATAATTTATATACATCATATATATAAACTTCACCCAGTTTAGATATACAATTAAAACATAGTAAATTGCCCAGTTGTGGTAGCTCACACCTAGAATCTCAGCACTTTGAGAGGCTGAGATGGGGAGACTGCTTGAGGCCAGGAGTTAAGAGACCAGCCTGGGCAACACAGCTAGACCCCATCTCTAAAAAAATAAAAATAAAAAAATTGACTGCGCGTGGTGGCTCACACCTGTAATCCCAGCACTTTGGGAGGCTGAGGCCGGTGGATCACGAGGTCAGGAGACGGAGACCATCCTGGCCAACATGGTGAAACCCCGTCTCTACTAAAAATACTAAAATTAGCTGGGCATGGTGGCACATGCCTGTAATCCCAGCTACTCGGGAGACTGAGGCAGGAGAATCGCTTGAACCAGGGAGTTGGAGGTTGCAGTGAGCCAAGATCGCACCATTGCACTCCAGCCTGGGGACAGAGTGAGAGTCTGTCTCAAAATAAATAAATAAAAATAAATAAATAAATTAATTAATTAATTTAGCTGGTCATGATGGCATGTGCTTGTATTCCCAGCTACTCGGGAGGCTGAGGTAGGAGAATGGCTTGAACCCAGGAGTTTGAGTCTGCCGTGAGCTCTGCTCGTGCCACTGCACTCCAGCCTGGGCGACAGAATGACACCCTGTCTCAAAAAAAAAAAAAAAGTCTATACAGTTGTACCATCATCATTCGCAACCCAGTTTTAGAACATTTCCGTCAACCCACAGAGATCCCTCTTGCCCAAGTGCTGTCAGTCCCTTTTCCCACGCCATGCCCCAGGCAGCCCCTGAAAATTGAATCATACGGTACGTAGTCTTTCAAGTCTGGCTGCTTTCATTGAGCACAATATTTTTGAGGTTCATTCATGTTGTAGTATCAGTAGCTTGTTCATTTTTATTGGTGAGTAGTTTTCTACTGGATAGATTTACCACAGTTTGTTTATCTATTGATTACTTGAAGGACAAAAAAGACATTTGGGTTGTTTCCACTTTTTTGGCTATTATGAGTAATAATTCTTTTTTTTTCTTTATTTTTTACCTTTTGAGGTGGAGTCTCACTTTGTCACCCAGGCTGGAGTGCAGTGGCACGATCTTGGCTTCCTGCAACCTCTACCTCTCAGGTTCAAGCAATTCTCCTGTCTCAGCCTCCCGAGTGACTGGGATTATAGGCATGTGCCACCACACTCGGCTAATTTTTGTATTTTTAGTAGAGACAGGGTTTCGCCATGTTGACCAGGCTGGTCTCAAACTCCTGACCTCACGTGATCTGCCCACCTTGGCCTCCCAAAGTGCTGGGATTACAGGCATGAGCCACCGCGCCCAGCCAAGTCTATCTTTTAAAAGAAAAAAAGAAGGCTGGGCCCGGTGGCTCATGCCTGTATTCCCAGCACTTTGGGAGGCCGAGGCAGGTGGATCACAAGGTCAGGAGTTCAAGACCAGCCTGGCCAACATGGTGAAACCCTGTCTCTACTAAAAATAGAAAAATTAGCCAGGCGTGGTGGCGGGTGCCTATAATCCTAACTACTCAGGAGGCTGAGGCAGGAGAATCACTTGAACTCAGGAGGTGGAGGCTGCAGTGAGCGGAGATCACACCATTGCATTCCAGCCTGGACAACAGAGCAAGACTCCGTCTCAGGGAAGAAAAAAAATGGTTTTCATAGTCATTATCATTTGAGCCCTACAGTAGCCTTATAACAAGTAGACAGGACAAGTAGTATTACCCTCATTTGTTGCTATCCAGAGGGAGTCTACACCTGTATTCTCAGGTTATTGCCATAGGAAACCTATCAAGAGTATGCTTCCATTTTGTGGTGTACACACAGGATAGAGCAGCACCAAAGGACTACTTCTGTATGTGATGTAGATCCAAATTTGGAGTCAGTTTATTCATTCTGCAAATATTCACTGAATATCTGCTACCTGCCAGGCACTGTGCAAGATGGTGGAGGATTGAGATGTGAAAGATTTAGTCTCTGCTTTTGAGGAGTTAACTGTCCATAAAGGCTGTATACAAGAAAAAACTATAATTCTGGGCCATGGGAACCCAGAAGCAGAGGATCTAACAAGGTAGAGTGGGGAGCAGAGAGGAGGGTGTCAGAGTATATTGATGATATCATAGCTCACACTTACCTGGTGCATACTCTGTTCCAGGCACATTCCAAAAATTTTACATATGTTTACTCATTTAATCTTCACTTCAACCCCTTACCCTGTTTTACAGACGAGAAGGCCGCAAAACTGAGTGTGGTACTTTGACCAATCGCACACTACTAGTGAATGGTAGACCTGGAATTTAGACCAATCAGTCTGGCTCTGGAGTCTGTCTCCTGAAAAGGTTTCTCAGAGGAGAGGCACCCAAGCTGTGTCTTGAATAACAGCTTGTAGCTAGTCTGCAGAAAGGTGATTGGGATATGTCTACATGGTTTTCTAGGCAGAGAAGTGTCACAAGTAAAGGTAAAGAAAGCACACGATTGAGAGCAAGTGTGGCAGACTACTTGTGAGAAAAGATGGGTGGTAAGGAATGAGACTAGAAAGACAAGGCTGAGGATGAAGGGCCTGGCAGGCCATCCGAGGAATTTGGGTTCCGTGATCTAATTTTTAAAGTTATACCAAAAATACCATTTTTCCTTTTGTATTAATTTTATTTTTGTTTTGATTTAAATCTTTTTAATTGTGAAATATATCACACAATCAGAAAAGTGCATAAAGTACAAATGTAAAACAATGAATTATTTTGAAACGACCACCTCTGAGGTTAAGAAATAGAACATTATAGCGGCCCAACAGCCCCTTCTTAGTGACCTTCACTAGTCACAGTCCTTCCTCTCCCACCTACAGGTAACCACTCTTTTGATTTCTTTATTTTCCTTTCTATTTTTACTGTCCATGTCCCTGTAAACATTATAGTTTTGCCTGGTTTTGAACACACGGAGTCATATGCTGTATCTCCTTTTGTGTCTCGTCCTTATGTTTGCGAGATTCATCCATGTTGTTACATGTGGCTGTCCCTTTGTTTTTGTGCTGTATGACATTCTACTTTATGAATATACCAGTGTACTTACCATTGTGCTATTGAGGATATTTGGGTTGTTCCCAGCTGGGGACTATTATGGATAGTGCTGCTGTGTGTGCCTTTGGGGTACATGTGCATACATTCTGCTGGGTATGTACCTAGGAGTGGGATTGCTGGATCATGGGGCGTATCTGTCTTGAACTTTAGCAGAATCAAGCCAAACCATTCTCCAAAGTAGATGTAATAATTTGCATTCACACAAGTAGTGTGTGAAGATTTCTGTTGTTCCATAGCCCGAGCAACACTTAATCATATCAGACTTTGATGTTTTTAGCCATTGTGGTATATAATGGTGTATCATTATGATTTTCTTTTGCATCAACCTTACTTACTACTGAGACTAGATGCCTTTTCCTATGTTTATTGGCCATTTGGATAATTTTGGTTTTTTTGTCATCGTTTGATGACATGTTTCATCTAGCCTCTTGCCCCTTTTCCTGTTGGGTTATCCTTTTCTCTTTTAGAACTTGTTAGAACTCTTTATTATTTTGAATATGGGCCTTTTATTGGTTTTATGTTGCCTGCTTTTTCATTTTCTCGAGGTTGTCTTTTTTTTTTTTTTTTTTCAATTTGAGAGCAGGTACTGTTTATTAACTGACCAGCTTAGAAAAATAATCATGGTAGACACCTTAGTTTATTCTTCTAATAAGCCTGTTGATCTGGTCCTTCTTGTTGCCAGCATCTCCACCTTCTACAAAATGGGTGGTCTTTTTCTTCATTCTGCCTCATGGAGAAGATAATTTTAAGGGCCACAGGAAGTTATTTGCTTCTTTGAAGCATTTTCCAACAGTATAGATCTCATGAATCAGATCCTCCAGCAGATGATGCCATATTTACCAAGAGATCGAGCAATCAAAGTGTTATCTGTCAAAGCAATTCGCTTCTTACTGAATTCTCCATAACCACGCTTGTAGATAAGTTCATTTAGTGACTTTAGATTTGGGTACCCCCAAGCAATATATGACTCTACAATCCTCAGCATGTTAATTGAAGCCCTGTTGAGCTTCACAAACGTTCCATTGAAGATTTCAGGAAGGCGAAGAAGCTGCAACACCTTTCGGACCTTTGGGCTTACCCCATTGATACCTCTGATCCTGATGGCAAATGCCAATTTGGGTTCTGCAGGTACATAGAAGTTGCCAGCTTTTCTTGCCACCCTCGCCATTCGAATTTCAGTTCTGTCCATCTGCCTATGTTCCTTGTGACAGTGCTTCGCTTTTTCATGGATAAACTTCCTCCTTGCCCTTTGAAGCATCTTTTGGGCAAACTTCTTTCTCAGGCGCTTGATCTTCAGCTCTGCAAAATTCCTTCACTTTTTTCTTAAGGATTTCTGGCACAGCAGGAACCTTCTTCTTCTTCTTTTCTACACCCTCCGTGGTTCCAGCCGGAAAAAGAGGGAGGGTATCTTTTGATGAACAAATACTCTTAATTTTCATGTAGTCATGTTTGTCAGGTTTTTAATACTAGGTACTTTTTGTATCCTATTTAAGAAATCCTTCCCTACCCCTAGGCTATGAAGCATTTTCCCATATTATCTTCTAAAAGCTTTATTATTTATCTTTCACATTTGAGTATACAGTTCACCTGGAATTTGATTTTTGTGTATGGCAATTCTTAGCTAACTTATTAGTACTCCTCTGCCTTTAAAAATTTTTAAATATTCTATCCAGACTTTCTGGCTGTCCTCAGCAGAATGGTTGGTCTTCATTACCTGGTTTACCATTCCCAGAAGCAGAAATGTCTTTTAAAGTTTCAGTTTCACTTTGACTTAAAAATGATCTGTCCCGTCTTGTTAAGGGGCCTTAATGAATATGTTTACTAAAAAATAAAAAAAGACTGAAAAACTATATAGATTCATGACTGTTTCTATTTTTTATTTTTATTTTAAGAGACCAAAAAGAAGCTTCTGTTTCCTCTCTGCTTCTGTCAGCTATAAAATACTGTTAGACAAATTTAAGCTCGCTACATAAAATGAACATGGTTATACTTATTGCAGGATAATTTCAGAACATTAATCACAGGAAAAAATTAAATTAAAAAATACACACTATCCAACATTGACTTTGATAATAAAATGGCTTTAACTAAGGCAGTGGCTACCCCCCTTTCTCTGTTTATCCATAAATTTAAACCTCTTTTTTGGCCAGAGATGGACTGTATGCAAACCGCATCCAGAATGCTTTTAGTTTGTGCCACAAAATATGAAGAAAATGTTTTCAGTTTATGGCAACTAGATCCATGACATATGATGCTCCAGGAACTGTTTTTACAGTGCGCAAGATGCACAGGAACAGAATAGCAAACTCACATGATTGTTGGCAAGGAAAACCTGGCTACGTGGCTGATGTTAAATTTGCTTTTTAAGACAGCCAGATCAAGAAATGTCTGAAGACTTTGAGACTGCAGCAGGGAGATGATTTTGCAGTTAGTAAACACAGCCCTGGGAAGCCATGGCAAGGCAGTTCTGGTAAGCCATTTACAGCTTCTCTTCTAGCAGGAGAGCACAGTGGAGGCTCTGGAGAGGAAAACCTGACGTGGCCTCTAGAGAATGTTGCCCAGGGCAGTAGAGCCTCCCTGGTGGCACTGCTGTCAGCACCACCCTGCACAGCCCGGCAGAACCCTGCCTTGCCCTGGCCATCTCTGTCTCTGAGATTCACCACGGAGGTTAGCTTGGTTATAGGTGAGCTGTTAAGAGTAGGGGTTTGTGTTCTTGGAAGTTAGGGCTTAGGAGCCACACATTTCCTTCTTGCCCAGCTCTTGCTTGCTTAGACCATTTTCTTTATCTTTTTCAATGAACACTTGTCAAAGTGTGCTCCTTCCTCCCATCCAAGACCCTTTCAGAAGGTCACAACTATTTTAATAATACTAAGATGCTGTATGCCTTTTAAATTCATTCTCCCATGAGTGCACATTGGAGTTTTTCCAGACATGTGATACTGCAAAAGATTGAATGCAAAAGTATATATTTGGGTGCAGCTGTTGTTGCTCAAGCTAGACATTAAAGAAATTTGCAAAGATGTAAAACAGTGCCACTGTCCTCAAATTTTTAATCCTTTGAAATACCATTTTTAATTTAAAAAGCAATAGTTTATTATTTCTAAGTTTCAGGGTACATGTGCAGGATGTGCAGGTTTGTTACATAGGTAAACATGTGCCATGGTGGTTTGCTGCACTGTGAACCCATCACCTAAATATTAAGCCCAGCATACATTAGCTATTTTTCCTGATGTCTCCCTCCCCCCGCCACCCACCCCCAGCCAACAGGCCCAGTGTGTGTTGCTCCCCTCCCTGTGTCCATGTGTTCTCATTGTTCAGCTCCTAATTATGAGTGAGAATATGCAGTGTTTGATTTTCTGTTCCTGCATTAGTTTGCTGAGGATAATGGCTTCCAGCTGCATCCGTGTTCCTGCGAAGCACATGATCTCATTCCTCTTTATGGCTGCATAGTATTCCATGATGTATATGTACCACATTTTCTTTATCCAGTCTATCATTGATGGGCCTTTGGGTTGATTCCATGTCTTTGCTGTTGTGAATAGTGCTGCAGTGAACATACGCGTGTATGTATCTTTATAATAGAATGATTTATATTCCTTTGGGTATATACCCAGTAATGGGATTGCTGGGTCAAATGGTATTTCTGGTTCTAGGTCATTGAGGAATCACCACACTGTCTTCCACAATGGTTGAACTCATTTACATTCCCACCAACAGCGTAAAAGCGTTCTTATCTCTCTGCAGCCTTGCCAGCATCTGTTGTTTCTTGACTTTTTAATATAAAATCACCGTTCTGACTTGCATGAGATGGCATCTCATTGTGGTTTTTCATTTCTCTAATGATCAGTGATAGTGAGCTTTTTTAAGTTTGTTGGCCGAATAAATGAACTAATACTTCTGATGTTTCATAGTTATAATTTTTAGTATGGCAAATATTGATAATTAAAATTAAGATAAACAAGAGCTCTTTGAGGTCCTCCATAATTTTCGTAAGTGTAAAGGGATCCTGAGACAAAAGGGTTTGAGAATCACCTGCTTCAAATCCTGTCAGTTCCAGCTGGAATCCCAGTTTCTCTCTGAAGGCGGCACAGGTTATCTAGCTCACCGTTTTCTCTACGTTCTCTAAACTTCTGTGCCACTCAGCTTAGCGCTTAGCTTTTTTCTCCTTATATTTAGTGTAAGGCCCCTGAAAAAGGGGATCAGATCTGAAATGAGAGATTTTTAGACTTCCAAGGTACACAGTGCGGGGCACAGCATAAACAATTGTTAATGATTATTCATATTACTATCATCATTATCAATGTTCAACTCACTGGTTAATTGGAGAAGCAGTATACATCTAAAATTTGTGAACAATCTCACCTCATAAAATCAATATGCAATATAGAAAAAGAACAAAGGTTTTTCTTTAATCACCAATAAATTGGTCACAAAAGTTAACATGTTAATCTGCTTAATTATTTCTTTTAATTTTAATTTTTAATGTAAATTGCCAAATTATAATTGCATATACTTATGGGGTACAAAGTGATATTGTGATTTATGAATATAATATGGAATGATTAAGTCAACCCAGTTAACATATTTATTACCTCTAATCTGCTTAATTCTTATGTGACCAACAATTGCAATAAAACCTGGACATAGGCCCTTGCTCTGAAAACTTGCTGAGCACAGTGCCATGTACTTAGTAAGCATTCAGTAAAGCTGGTTGAGTTGAATCTGCTGTTTCAGTAGCTGCCTCTGCTGTTCTTGTAACCCTCGGTGAATTCCCTACCATCCCTGCCTCTACCTGTAAGTGATTTGCAGTTGTTTTAGGCTTTTAGAAGGCAGTCTTACTTTCTCAAGCCTTTTCTGTTAAAGAATTGACAGATTATTCTGGGGCCAGGCTGGAGGGCATAAATTAGTTGAGCAAGCTGGATTAATACCCCAAGGTTGGGTATGAGTCTTTCTGGTCATTCCTACTTTGGACTGAGTTTGTTTTTCTTAGGCAACCTTTCCTGACTTCCAAGACATAAAAATCAGATTAACATTCTTGTGCCAGGGTCCTACCATCAGTCCCAAAGTTTCCTTCACTGCTTCTCCCAGGAAGTCTGGGGATGCTGTGCAAGTAGTACACTGCCCTCATAGACTGTTACAGCTGATAAGCCCCAGCTTTGTTTTTGTAAGCTCAGAATGTCATATTGTATTGAGTTGATTTTAGTTTTTTCATAAAAATGTGTGTGTTTATTCCACAATAATTTATTGGGAACGTCCTTTGTGCTGGCACTATATTGAATGACAGTGATAAGGAAGCCTTAGACCGGGAAGCTTACCACCTCCTAGTGTACACACACATAAGCAAGCCTAGTGTGTGTTCTGAGTGCAGTTGCTCACCAGGGGAAGGATCCGTCCAGATCACCTGTGAGAAGAGGGAGTCAGGAAAGACTTCACAGAACAGGTTTCCCTAAGCCTGCATCTTGAAAGTTGGGAAGAAATTTGTCCTGTCCGTGGGAAGGCAGTCCAGGTGCAAACAGCACGTTCAACGGCACGCGAAACCACGTGGTGCTCAAGGGAAATGGAAAACAATTGGGCTTTGGAGGCGAAGGCAGTGGGGCGAGCAGGGACCGGGGTGAGCAGGGACCAGGCCTCGCCGACCGCAGTGGGAATGGGGTTTTATCTACAGGGTGGTTGAGGCACATTGCAAAGGCAGTAAGGATTTCTACTTTTTAAAGGTAATTCTAGTGGTGTAGGGGAGGGGTGGGTCTTGAGGGTAGGAAAACCAGTTGAAAAGATAACTAGCTTAAGAGTGGTGAGAAGCTATGCCAGAAGCAGGGCAGTCAGTGGCAGTAGGAATAAGGAAGTATATACTAGAATAGTTGGGAATTAGAACTGACAGTTTGGTGAGAGGAAGGAACTGCTGATGTTCACAGACTTCTGATTTGAGTGGGATGGCAGTATTCCCAAGTGAGGCAGAAGAACACGCTTTGGGGGAGGGTTGTTTTATTTTAGGGCCCTGTGGCACCTGAGGTGGAGCTGCATCAGGCAGTTATGTAGATAGTTCTAAAGACTGTAAGAAAGGTCAGCACTAGAGAAAGACTTGGGAGTCATCAAGATCCAGGGGGAAGCTGTATCTATGAGAAAGCATAAGACCAGGCTGGGCGCAGTGGCTCACACCTGTAATCCCAGCACTTTGGGAGGCCGAGGCGGGTGGATCACGAGGTCAGGAGTTCAAGGCCAGCCTGGCCAAGATGGTAAAACCCCAACTCTACTAAAAATACAAAAATTAGCTGAGTGCGGTGGCAGGCGCCTGTAATTCCAGCTACTTGGGAGGCTGAGGCAGGAGAATTGCTTGAACCCAGCGGCAGAGGTTGTAGTGAACCAAGATCGCGCCACTGCACTCCAGCCTGGGCAACAGAGTGAGACTCCCTCTCAAAAAAGAGAAAGCAAAAGGATGGGTGTGTAATAAAAAGAGAAAGGGAGGTGTGGACTCCGGAGGAGGAATACACCAGTAATGAAAGGACAGGGAGAAAAAAAACTGTCCTGTGAAACAGACTGGAAAGAAACAGACCAAGAGGTAGCAAAAGTACTGCCGTGGGCCCTTCCAGGGGGGTGGGTGAAGGGACTAAACCTGCTCCATGTCAGATTGGGCATCAGAACTGAGTTCAATCCGTGAAGCCAAGAGTTGAGTTTGGTTCCCTCTCCATGACCCTGTCCCCCAGTCTGCCATGTACAGCAGCAGCTGAAGCAGCAGCTTTTCACCGTCTCACCCACCCCAAACCCTGCCCATGATAAGAAGGCTGGTTGCAGACCCAAGGGAACAGGAGGACCCGACACAGCCTGGATACCAGGAACTAAAACAGGATGCCCCTGGCCCAGTGGCTGGATCTTCAGTATCCTTACTCTTAAGACAGGAAAGGAGCTCCCAAATGACAGGTTTCAGGTGGTTCTGCTTCGGATTTTTATTTATTTATTTTGTGTTTATTTTTAGACAATGGTTCTGACTTTTAAATGCTAGAGAAAGATTAAAGGAAGAACAGTTGAATAGTATCTGTTGCATTGACACTGAGATTGATAGGGACAGAAATCAAGTTGTGATGATTAATAAGTGAATGAGAAATTAGTATGTTGAGACCACAAATATAAACTGCTTTTTCTAGAAGCTTGACTAGGCCAGGTGCAGTGTTTCACGCCTATAATTCCAGCACTTTGGGAGGCCAAAGAGGGTTGATCACTTGAGGTCAGGAGTTCAAGACAAGCCTGGTCAACATGGTGAAACCCCGACTAAAAATAGAGCCAGGCATGGTGGCACACACCTGTAATCCCAGTTACTCAGGAGGCTGAGGCAGGAGAATTGCTTGAACCTGGGAGGTGGAGGTTGCAGTGAGCTGAGATTGCGTCACTGCACTCCAGCCTGGGCGACAGAGCAAGACTCCATCTCAACAACAACAAAAGCTGGACTAGGAAGGGAAAGAGGGGAGGAGGAGCGCAATAGCTAGAACAGATTTTAAGGTTAAAGAGGATGTTTTTAGGAATGGACAGACAGTATTTTTACAGAACTTCCAAAGCGTTGAAGTGAAGTAGGGAGTGGCCTAAAACTGCAAAGATAGTATTTCCAGGTCTTGGAATGATGGTAAATCTCTTGTGTATGGGGACTAAATAAAACCATCTGTTTCTAGCAGATCTACCTCCACCTGTGCTCCTTTTGAGACAAGGTCTGGCTCTGTTGCCCAGACTGGAGTGCAGTGGTGTGATCTAGGCTCACCGCATCCCCTGCCTCCTAGGCTCAAGCCATCCTCCCACCTCAGCCTCCTGAGTAGGTGGGACTACAGGTGCATACTACAATGCTGGGCTAATTTTTTTGTGTTTTTTGTAGAGATGGGGTTTCACCAGGTTGCCCAGGCTAGTCTTGAACTCGTGAGCTCAATCAATCTGCCCACCTCTGCCTCCCAAAGTGCCAGGATTACAGGTGTAAGCCACCACACGTGGCCTCCTTAAACTTTTGATATTATTATTTGTGTTACTTAATTAACTAGATATCTTCTTGTCCGCTTGGGCTGGGTGCCCTGCTCACAGAGCTGGATGGGTGGTACCCTCCTGTCTGCCACCAAGTCTCCTGGCATCCCCCCTTGCTTCCTGGGAAGACCTTCCAGGCCTCCTTGCTGGTGTTGTGCTCCTCCCTCACATCTGCTGCCTCACTTAAGACATCTCTTCTGGACATCTTGCTTGAAGTTAGGCCAGTTGCCAACAATGTAGGCAGACAGGGTTTTCAGAGTTATTTGCGACTCAATTAAAAGTTTATAGTGTATTCTTAATAATCTGTATCCCAAGAATTATGCTGGATATCAAACTGATAGGAGTGGTGAGTCCTGGGAAGACTGGAATGGAAGGAGAGGGGACATTGGTTAAGAGCCTCTCTATACTGCTTGAATTTTTAAAATGAGAATTTAAATGTAAAATAATTGTGCTGAATAGTCAAGTTTGAAAATTAAAACCCTGCCATACTCAGAGGTGATACTAGTAAGATACCAGCAAAATAAATATAGTTTGTTGAATATGTATTTCTTTCAACTTGCCATATTCTCTAGGAAAGATTTAGTTCTAATTAAATCCTGTGAGTTTAGTTAGGTACTTGGCTTTGGAAGAATTCTTTATTTTTATTTTCATTTTTTTGAGACTGGGTCTTACTGTGTCATCCAAGCTGGAGTGCAGTGGTGTAATCATGGTTCACTGCAGCCTTGACCTCCCAGACTCAAGCAATTCTCCTGCCTTAGCCTCTTTAGTAGCTGAGACTACAGGCACATGCCACCATGCCCCGTTAATTTTTTACATTTTTTTGTAGAGATAGGGTCTTCCTGTGTTGCTCAGGCTGATCTCGAACTCCTGAGCTTAACTGATCCTCCTGCCTCGGCCTCTCAAAGTGAAGTGCTAGGATTATAGGAGTGAGCCACCACGCCCGGCCTAGAGGAATTCTTGCAGCCGGCTTGCAGTTTAGCAGGACCTGGGGATTGATTTAACCCAAGATCCACTGAACATTCCCACCCCTTCTATGAATTCCAAGACTAGTTTGGCTGCTCTGAAAGAGAAGAGAGAAAACTGGAGTGGTTCACAGTTTTACTGCTGCAGCTGTACCTGATCAGATGGTAGGATTACCGTGTAGTTCTGAGCATTTCAAAGCAGTTGTGGAGGAATTTGCCGCTATTTATACCTTGGAAGGAAAATAGTGCTGTAGGTAACTTCAACTAGATAATTTCAAATGTTGATTTTATAATTAATTTTTATGTTTATTTTGAATACGTGTGTACCTGATACAGAGGTTCACAGCCTGGCAGAGAAAGTAATGCAGCTGTTCTGTAAAACCTGGATTCAAGAGTACTTGGAAAACTGCTCAGTTTCCCTAGCCTACCTGTCCTCTACCTTAATTCTTTTTTTCCCCTCCCTTCTGAATACAGGCAGTGTCTGAGACTCACTGCCAAGCAGGCTAGGGACTGAGTGACATGGTCTCTTTCTAGCCTTGTCTGTTAAGGAGACATGTAATGAACAACTTTACAGGGTTGGCACACTATTTGGACTAATGATAGATCCAGAGAAGAGGCTGTGTTTTAACCTAAGCGGGAAACTTTAATCAGAATAGGGAACTAAAAATTAGTGTTATTCTCTTGATAGTCTCTGCGGTTGACAAAAAATTAATGAATCCAGTCGTCCTCTGAAGTGCTGAGGGTCAGACATAACCACGTAGCCTCGAGTTCTCTGTAAGGGCCAGACCCATCTTGGAGGTTGCAGCTAACTTCAATTTTTACCAATGCATTTAATTAGGGGACCCATCCACATTCAAGTACTGAATTGCTGGGATCCCATTGGGATTCAGTTCAGCTTATGTTTATTGGACTCTACCCAATACCAAATTCAAAGGTGTGTCAGACATGGTCCTTGCTATCAAGGAGCTCCTGCTGAGTGAAGAAAATGGACCCGTGGATATTACCAATATAATGTGTATCTCGGAGGAGGAACACTTTGTCCAACCAGGGAGGATACAGAAAATTTCTAGGAGATAACACCTAAAGGAAAAGGGGAAGGGAATAGGCAGAGGGCTCTCAGACATTAATGTGTGTGTTGTGAGTAAGGAAACTGTGCAGTCATGAAGTGATAATGGGTCTGGAGAGGCCTTGGATTTTACCCTAAAGGTAGTTATTGACTGAATTTAGGTGGCGAGATACCCAGAGGTCAAATTTGCTCTTCAGCAAGAAAGACTGCTGTGATACAGTGTACAGTAGGGAGATAGGGAGACAAGTCAAAATATTTCTAATTCTCATCACAGTTCCATCTGAGATGTATTGATTCAAACACTATTAAATAAAGTAAGTCAAATAGAGGGGACGACAGATAGCAGGGCAGTGAGGTGCTTTCAGATTCCCTGCAGCACCATCTCAGCACTGTGCTCTAACGTGGGGCTGAAGCCCTGACTTACAATCTCTAGCTGTGGGGAATGGAGCACGCTGTCTTGGACAGAAGTATTGGGTTGACTGTGAAACTAAGGGGCCAACTTCCAAATAGTGCCAGCTTTCTGACAGCGGTGTAGATGCTGGTCCCAGATGAGCCTCTGCTGGGCTCGCCATTGCTTTGAGCACCTACACACACATAGGTAGCTCCAACCTTGAGGAGCATTCCTTCTGCGTTTGTTTGTTCATTGTAAAATGAAGTTGCTGGCCATTTAATATATATTCCTATATCTCTGTATTCAAATACATGAATATATATTTCAGAGAGAGATTCCATCATGGAATAAATAAAATATTTACTGCATTTACTAGCAACTTGCTATGAATTGATTTTGAAGAGACTGTTCCAGCCATTATGGGGGAATGGATTGGGGAGGAGCAAGAGTAGGAACAGAGAACCAGCGAAATGGCCCCAACAAGCAAGAAGGACAGCAGTGAAAATGAAGAATTATGGGTAGATCTGAGAAACAGATTTTGAAAGAGGAAATGATAGGACTTGCTGATGGGCTGATATGAGGGGTTGGGTGAGAAATTCATGACGGATGTCAGGGTCTGACCTAAACACCTGGGTAGGGGGTGATGCCCTTGATTGTACAAAGCCTTAATATTAATAACCACTTGCCTTTATTGAGCATGTGTTTGGTATCCTGCCCTGTACTAAGAGTTTTACACATACTTCATTTAAACTTCAAAAGAACCCTATGAAGAAGGTGTTGTTATTGTTCCCAGTGTTGGTTGAGGAAGCTGAGCTCTGAGGGGTTGGGCTGCGGGCCTAGAAACAATAGCTGGTGAAAGGAGGAGCTGGATTTCCACAAGTCTGCCTGTGCCACTGTTTCATGTGGCATCTTGCTATGAGCATACAGTTCATAGTGATTTTTTTCTCTTTTCAGGGTTGTGGTTTTTTGCACTGAATGTAACCTAGACTCATCTTCACGGGCTTGTGTTGCCCCAGGTACTGTCAAAGGTAAGTTTTTAAAATATATATCTACCATGTATTGGCAATAGTCTTCTTAAAAAGAAGAAAAGTACTTTTTCAAAAACATTGTTGCCCTTTTACCAAGTTCTTACAGAAAGATATTTTTAAGGTGACCATCATACCAGCCCCTTGCTTTCCTACTATATGGTAGGTGCCTTTTAAAAGCACTGGTATTTAGATGGATACTGACATTTGGTGCCTCATGCTAGAAAGCTACAACTTAGTTATTAGGATTATGTGAATTTTATGTGAGTGTTCCCCTAGCGTCTCTGTCTCTCACCTTTCCCTGCTGCGGTCTGTAGTCCACATTACTGCCAGGGTTCACTTTCTGAATGATAGATTTACTCAGGTCATGCCTTTGCTTAAACAGCCCTCATGGCATCCAGTTGCTGCAGATGTTGTCCCACAGATCCCTTCAAACCTAATTCCAGTCAACATTTCTGGTTGCTTTTTTAGTGAATCCTTATCTGTAAGCCTTAATGGACCATTTTCTTTTCCCTAGATATATATATAGTATTTTTTCGTGGCTTTGTGCCTTGGTTGATGCTTTTCTCTTTTTAGAGCTTGGAAGCAGGGAGAAGAATGTGACTATCTACTCTTCTTGTTGTATTTTTCCTGTTATCTTCTTCTCCCAAACTCCCTTGGCAGAATTTCTTTTTCATCTGTATTCTAAGAGCACCTGTTGTTATTACAGTAATAAATTATTCAATATTTTATATTAAAGTTGTTTATTTGTATCTGTCTCCTTTACTAATATATAAACCCTTTGAGACTGCTTGGAAAGGAGCTAACCTATTTTCAATGCCTAAAAGAGGCCCCCACAAGCAAGAAAGGATGACAGCAGTGAAAATGAAGAATTGTGGGTGGATCTGAGAAACAAATTTTGAAAGCAAAAATGATAGGACTTGCTAATATGAGGGGTCCAGGGTAGGATTGCTAATATGAGCTAATATGAGGGGTCCAGGGTAGGATGATAAATTGATGATGAATTTCTCCCCAACCCTTTGCTAGGCTTATGTGCCTAGTGTATGCACCTTGTCTCTATAGAGACAGCCACTTACCTGAAGACAGTAGCCATAACCATAGCCACTGCTAAGGTCAAAATACTGTGTGGCCTATGGTTTTTGAACCTCCAGTTCAGCCTCAGTAGTATAGAGAAATAAGATAAAATGCTCTTAGACACCTTGCTAAGAGTTCTACACACATTGTTTAATTTAGTCTTTATAACACCTTTTCCTGCACAGCTTTATGGATGAAAATATCAGGATTAGAAAGTTAAATAACTTGCCCAAGACCACACAGCTAATAACTGACAAAGAAGAACGGTTCTACATTTTCAAAGCCACAGCTCATTCCAGCATAACACAGTATCCCAGCACCATCTGGCATGTGATAGAGGCACAGTAAATGTTTATTGAATTGATATCTATTGCATTTTAAAGAAAAAGCACTGTCATTGATTAATTCAGTCATTCTTACATAGAAATTTATTGAATACATATTAAATGCCAGGTACACAGTTTTGAGTAGACTGAATACAGAGATTAACAAGATATAGCGTCTGGTATCAAGGGGTTGACAGTCTAATCCTTATCACATAGAGGAATCTATGTGAGTAAATAAATCCAATAAAGTGTTACAGATCCCATAATAGAATTCAAACAAGATCCACTGGAGGCACTGAGGAAGGAATCATTATTTCTGCCTAGAGATGGATCAGGAAATAGTTCATAAAAGCTGAGCCTTGATTGGAAAGTAGGGTCTCCCCTTGTGGCACCAGAGGAGGGAAAGGCAGAGGGAGTGATAGCAACAAAAACATGGAAACCTGAAACAGTCTGCCATATTGGCAAAGCTGTAAGATGTTCATTACGGCTGGAACAAATGGAACAGAGACCAGGCAGACGAGGCTGGAGAGACAGGCAAGGGCTGGATCCTGGAGGGCTCTTGAAAATATTAACATATTTGGCAATTTTCCTGGAAGAACTTGCACAGGTACTGTAGGACATTACTTGTATTTAGTTCTTAACATTTGCTGAGTCCTGTCATGTGTGTAGCAAGCACTGTGCCAGGTCAAGACTATCCACCACCTACCACAGGTCACAGACTGGTGACTGCTCCAAGTTGAAGTGATGTGCAAAAACAGAAATTAAACACTTGTGTCGGTCGGACACGGTGGCTCACGCCTATAGTCCCAGCACTTTGGGAGGCCTAGGCGGGCGGATCACTTGAGGTCAGGAGTTCCAGACCAGCCTGGCCAACATGGTGAAACCCTGTCTCTACTAAAAATACAAAAATTAGCCAGGCGTGGTGGCACGTGCCTGTAGTCCCAGCTACTTGGGAGGCTGAGGCAGGAGAATCGCTTGAACCTGGGAGGCAGAGGTTGCAGTGAGCTGATATTGCACCACTGCACTCCAACCTGGGCAACAGAGCAGGACTCTGTCTCTAAATACATACATAGATAACATACATACATACATGCATACGTAAACACTTGTGTGTTGTCTCATCATCTCATGAGGGGACATGACTTGTCACTTTGGCATGACTTGTTCACCCCTCTAGTTTTCATGTAAGTGGGCTTTGCCCTGACTTTTTTGTGACTCTGTTAGCACTGATACATTAGACTTTGTCACTTCTTACATGGAACCCTTAGTTAACCGCACACTTCTGCATTGCCTACCTTACTTACCTTCTGTTTTGTCAAAAGGAAAGTAAAGTTGCCCTAGACACAACCATAAGCCATGCCTTCAAACAAGAATGTTATCAAGGTTTGTTCAAGAAACATTGAAAACTAAGGACAGCTCCAAAACAACAAAAAATGAGAGCAAGTGAAATAAAGGACAAAGATAAAAATGGGTATCAATATGACATTTAGTAAGTGGGCACATTACATGGTTTTAATCAGGAAAGATTTTTAGAAATAAAAATTGACTGGAGGCCAGGAACTGTGGCTCACACCTAAATCCCAGCATTTTGGGAGGCCTAGGCAGGTGGATTGCTTGAGCTCACAAGTTCAGGACTAGCCTGGGCAACATAGTGAAATCCCAACTCTACCATAAATACAAAAATTAGCTGGGCATGGTGATGTGTACCTGTAGTTCCAGCTACTTGGGAAGCCCAGTGAGGCTGAGGCTACATTGAGCCGTGATCATGCCACTGCACTTCAGCCTGGGTGACAGAGTGAGACCCTGTCTCAAAAAAAAAAAAAAAATACTGAATAGATATTAGAAGGGTAGAGATGTGGATTGGTGATGAGGGGAAGGGTTTTCCAGTAGGGTGTGGACTAGGATATACATAGAGAGAGATTAGCATGTTGTGTGCTGAGAATGGAAAGATTTGCCTGCGTGAATGCAGAATACAGGGTGCTTTGAGAGTAATTAGAAATGAGGTTAGTGAAAAGCTTAGGAAGTAAAAGTGTGTGATTAATGCTGTGGTAATGGAATAATTTGGAAGACAAGGCTGATATGGAAAACTGAACTTAATTCTGAGGAGGATACATGTCAGATATAAGTTGAGATCAAAGGGTATCCAATAAGTAATATTCTCTTCCCTGCTCAAGTTCTGAACCAACAGAGACTTAGCACAAAGGAGTAAGGCAGACAGGTGGAGATCAAAATTTCACGTTTATCATTCATAAAGTTGCCATAGGAGAACTGGCTTAAATCTAAGGGCAAGCAGATTTTTAATACTGAACTGCAGGACTTAACAGGTTTATTCGCCCACCACCACTAGTCTGGGATAGACCTGCCTTCTCGCCTGCCTCCTAGCCAACGAAAGGAGCAGAGCAGAACAGGTGTCCCCAAGGGAAAAGGGAGAGAAAAGGGCTGGACTATGCAAGCCTGGTTTCTTCTTCCAAACACACTCATCAGAGAAGTGACTTCACCCCTGACAGCCTGAGTCAGGGATACAAGGCCAGGAATATGAAAAATTGGATATTGTCCCATGTGGAAGGAAGCATCAGGAGCAGGGAAAAAAGTTTTCCTCCCCTAGCATTCCCTAGCTTTTGTTTCTTAGTACATTGTTCTTAACCAGTAAGTCTAGGTCAGCCAGGGTTATGCCAGTCTTCCTTCCTCCTTTCCCTCCTCCCTCCCTCCCTCCCTTCCGTCCTTCCTTCCTTCCTTGTATAGCCAGAAACCTCTTAATTTTCATTTTCCTTTTGAATCACCTATATAAACCTAGCACAAGCAATTTAAAGGAAAAACTTCACTGGTTTTGTAATGCATGTGTGCTATTTGAAATTCAGCTGCTTTGCAGCTTATATGCAGCGAGTAATTGTTCCACTTTCTGATGTCTAAAAGGCCTGTAGGAAGAAAGTCTGTTTTCCCTGAAGTCTAATCTTTCCTCAGCCATGCCTGCTTAGGAAAAGCTGTGCCGGCATAATTCAAGGTCAAGCAGCAGCCTTCTGTACACTGAAGCCACCCAAGCCCACTAATGCCCTATTCCCTTTGCTGAGGCCAGCACAGCTGGCATTTGCTTGCTAGGCCAGAGCAGCCAGTGTATGCTGAGACTGCCTGCACAGCTGATATGTAAATGAGCTTTCAATACCAGCATCACCACCACCGCCACAACCGTCTGTGGCTTGTTTCTTGATGAGGCCTGCAAAGCCCCCAACCCTTTGCTAAGGCTTATGTGCCTAGTGTACGCAGCCTTGTCTCTATAGAAACAGCCACTTACGTGAAGACAAAGTTGCCATAACTACAGTCGCTGCTAAGGTCAAAATACTGTGTGCCTATGGTTTATAAACCTCTAATTCAGCCTCAATAGTTACAAGCTAGTGTATAACTATAAAAACAACAGTAAAAAGCCTAATATAAGCTTCTACAAGAAAATACTGTGCCCCCTCATTAAAGTCCAAGGCCCAAAGTCCTGGCCTTAACAGAAGCCTCAAAAATGCCACATGTATTTTACTCCCTTGAATTTTAGTTCTTGTCTATTTATCAAAATTTTGGTGCCACGCACCAGAAGTTAGGGTCTTTGAGACCCAATAAATAGCACTCTCCTTCCCTTGACTGGGCTCTCTATATTTTGGTCTCCCAAATGTCCTCCTTTTTAAAAGCTTATATGCAGCGAGAAATTGTTACACTTTTCATTTTTCCCTCCTTTTTAAAAGGAGGGCATTTGGGAGACCAAAATACTGTTTCTCTGACTAATAAAGCGGTATTGGACCGCCCATTCCCGCTGCCACTGCTATTATGTGTGCCACTGGGCAGAGGGGCCGGGCTTAAAAAAAAAAGCTGTATTGGAGAATGTGACACATCTACAGGCCAGTGAACTTAACACTGAACTTCATAATAACACAGACTGACCTACTCACGGGTAGTTGTGAGGGTCCTGTGTTTATGGGTGGAGGAGAAGAGGAGAATGCAGGCTTCCTGGGGCAGCTGGTTTCCAGAAGGAAGGAAAAGACAGGGCTGAGCTCCACCTACGTTGTTTCTCCTTCCAAACTCACCATTAAAGTAAGATCCTGTTACCTTCTCTGGAGTGGATTGTGTGCAGGTGGAGAGGAGCCAAAGGTGGAAACTCAGGAGCCAGGAAGAAGCATTCCCCTTTCACAGCATGTCCAAAGGGAAATGGAGATCACTGGGGATCGGACCCTGAAAGAATAAGAATTCAGAGTAGAGAATGTCTTGTGAGTTGGTCATCTCCATGTACTTATTAAGTACCTATTATGTATCAAGTGCAAATACATTGTCAGTGAATCCTCAGAATAACTACTATTCCCAAGTTTTGGTAGGGAAGCTGAGACTGAGACAAATTGAGTAAATTCCCTCAAGGTCACACATCCGTAAGCATTCGGGTCTGTTGGACTCTTCAGTGACGGCCACAGCTCCCCCTCCAGGTTCCAGTCACTGCCCCTTCCGCTTCAGGTCTAGCAATAGTAAGGTTCCCAATTGTTGTCAGCCACTGGGTGGTTCAGTAGCCTTTGTTGGTTTCCCTATTTCCATTCTAACATGTTGGAAAACTGAGGGCTGTAGTAGTAGAGAAGGTAAGACTTGGGCCTTGGTAGGATCTTATTGGGACACGATGGATTTTAAGAAGTGAGTGGAGGGGCAGAAGTCTTGGTTAAAGCCTTGGGTAGAGGGTGATAGCATGGGGGAGGAGAGATGACAGTGTGCAGTGTTGGGGGATAGGGAGGAGGAGTCGGTAACGGGAAATAGCAGTGATTGTCAGAGAAGGAAAAAACTAATTTAGCCAGGCAAGTCAAGCTAGAAAGAGACTTAAGAAAAATAGAACAGCCAAATAGGAGAATCCAGAAAGGATGAAAGTAAAAAGATTAAAGCTGAAGGAGAAGCCAGCAAGTTGAGAGCAGTGCCCTTTCATAGAAGAAACAACCACTGCCATCCCTTCTTCCTCTCCCGACCTCCTGTCTCCAGTCAGTGCCTCCCACTGGCTTAGCCCAGCCAGCAGCCAGAAGATAAGGAGCCCAATGATGGTGTCCCCTGGGGCACACAGTTAGGCGGAGAATGGAGCGTGGGTCTGGAGGAAGCAGACAGTACAGCACCAGACCAAGGAGTGTGCTGAGCACAGGCCTGCAAGCATGAATGGAGTTCCAAGGAGTTTTTCTGGTTCAGCTATGCCTATAATGCATCATCTGGTTCAGCTATGCCTATAATGAAACAGAGAAATGCAGTCTCTGTTTCAGTGAAGTAGGAGAACTTAAAGACATCTGTGAAGCAAATTACACATAAAATCTTTCTGGATAAGTTATTGAGTTTTTCCAATGCTATCAACCTAATTTTTATAGAAAGAGAACTTTTTTTTTTTTTTTTTGCACAACTGTGATAAATAGGTGAGGGACAAAATCAACTAGAGAAAGCCTATTTTCACTTGCTGTGAGCATCCCTCATGTGTTTTACAGAGAGGATGGGCAATGTTGATTAAGCTGGGAGCAAGTGAATGGATATCAATTGAGAGCTTCTACTGTACTGATTTTACACTTCACATCACATAAATATGCATTTGTTCCCAACAAGACCTTGCTAGGTGGGTGAGCAAAGTAGATATTTTGGTAACCCCTTCCCACCCAGTAGATGAGGCAACAGCTTCCTGGAAGTGCCTTCTTAGCCTTGAGTCTTGGCTGGTTATAGAGAAGCCTACACCAAAACAGATCATCAAGCGTTGTGCATTAATAGATTTTTCTTGCACACACAAAAAACATACACTACCAGCATCTTTTTACCTTTTTTTTTTTTTTTTTTTGAGACAGGGTCTCACTCTGTTGCCAAGGCTGGAGTGCAGTGGTGTGATCACAGCTCACTGCAGCCTTGACCTCCTGGACTCAACCAGTCCTCCCACCTCAGCCTCTCAAGTAGCTGGGCCCACATACATGTGTCACCACGCCTGGCTAATTTTTGTATTTTGGGTAGAGGTGGGGTTTCGCCCCCAGGCTGGTCTTGAACGCGTTAGCTCAAGCCATCCACCTGCCTCAGCCTCCCAAATTGCTGGGATTATAGGCATGAGCCACTGCACCTGGCCTTTTTTAGTTTTTATGTTTTGTAGCTATGAGCTTTAGAGTAGCTGATAGGTTTGTAAATATTCATACCTGTATTATAATGGAGATTTGTGTCATTTGAATAATTATTCCTCAATAGGGCCAGGAGCGGTGGCTCACGCCTGTAATCCCAGCACTTTGGGAGTCTGAGGCGGTCGGATCACGAGGTCAGGAGTTCAAGACCAGTCTATCCAACATAGTGAAACCCTGTCTCTACTAAAAATACAAAAATCGGCCGGGTGTGGTGGCAGGCGCCTGTAGTCCCAGCTACTTGGGAGACTGAGGCAGGAGCATCGCTTGAACCCAGGAGGTGGAGGTTGCAGTGAGCCAAACTCTCACCACTGCACTGCAGCCTGGGCGACACAGCAAGACTGTGTCTCAAAAAAAAAAAAAATATTCCTCAATAATTACATATGTAATGAATTCTTGAAAATGTTGCATAAATTTTTAGTAGTTTCCTTTTGGTACATTTTAATTCATAAAATTTTAACAAACTTTTTCTTGACTCATTTTATTCTTTGAGGAAAACTTAATTACTTTTTACTGTCTTGCCCTATAAATAGTCTCATATAAAAATAAATGAACTGACATTTAGTTTATTAAGCACATTTCCTAAAAATGAAAAGTGGGGCCAGCCATTATAGTGTACTTTAATTTCAGTTATAAAGAAAGCAGGAACGTTATTCATAAATTATAAGCCCGGGAAACCCTGCCAATTCCAATAGCCTTAGCCTAATACCCAGGCACTGTGACCTGCAGGGGCGGAACAACAGGTGCGCCGCTTTGCTCACTGCCATACTTTCTTGCAGGTCAGTGTCTGCTGTAAGAATTTCACCACCACCTCTGCCAAAAGCCAAATAAAATAGGGAAAGAAATCTAGAGCTATTAATATCCCAATGCTGGAAACCTTTCCTATCTACCCTTCTCCCCCAAGATGGGAAACATTCCCTCCCTGCTTCTCTCCCTCCCTTTCTTACCTTTAAGATGCATGTGCATAGACACACACACACACACAAAGTTACTCAAAGTTACTTCACAGTATCTGTGGCCTTATTGAGAGAATTTCAGTCTAAACCTTTGAAAAAAAAATTTTTTTGCCCTGAATTCCTTACATACTTTTTTCTTCTCTCTTCTTTTAGGCAGTATTTTTGTGTTTCTGCAGAGTTTTGCACAAAATCTGTTCCCATGCAAACCAATGAGGGAGAAGTATCGGAAGAAAGCAGTTCCAAGGTCAGTAAATTACTGAAAGGTACAGTTTGGGTAGAAATTGAACAGTAGAGGCTGTGGATGAGTAGAATGGGTATTTCATTTTACATGACTGTAAAAATTCGATTGAGTTAAATTAGAACCTAACATAAGATTGAGAAATATTTTTTCTTTTCAGTATACTTTTTAATCCTATATGCTAATTTAAAACAATTTTACTGAACTACAGAGAACTTTATAATTTATTTTTAGAACACTAATACTATGTCTTTTAAAGTTTGTTACGAAAGTTACTATAGGCTTATAAAAAATCAGAAGTATATAAAGTCAGGAGTCAAAGCTGGTCCCCTGTTCCTGCTGCACAGAGGCAGTCACTGATAATTTTTAGGTGTTTTTCTATTACAAATTTTATTTTATTTTATTTTAGATTTAGAGGTACACGTGCAGGTTTGTTGCATGAGTATGTTGTGTGATGCTGAGGCTTGGGGTACAAGTGATTCCATCACTCAGGTAGTGAGCATAGTACCCAAGAGCTTGTCTTTGAACCCTTGTTCCCTTCCCTCCCTCTCCCTTTTGGAGTCCCCAGTGTCCACCGTTTCCATCTTTATGTCCACATGTACCCAGTGTTTAGCTCCCACTTATAAGTGAGAACATGCAGCATTTGGTTTTCTGTTTCTGTGTTAATTCATTTAGGATAATGGCCTTCAGCTGTATCCCTGTTGCTACAAAGGACGTTATTTAATTTTTTTTTTTTTTTTTTTTTTTTTTTTTAGACTGGGCCTGGCTCTATTGCCCAGGCTGGAGTGCAGTCATACGATCTTGACTCATTGCAGCCTCTGCCACCCAGGCTCAAACCATCCTCCCACCTCAGCCTCCTGAGTAGCTGGGACTACAGGTGCACACCACCAAACCTGGCTAATTTTTGTATTTTTTGTAGAGACGGGGTCTCACTTTGTTGTCCAGGCTGGTCTCACACTTCTGATCTCAAGCACTCCACCCACCTAGGTCTTCCAAAGTACTGGGATTACAGGCATGAGCCACCATGCCTGGATGATTTAATTCTTTTTTATGGCTACATATTATAAATTTTTAAATGGTAATTTGTTTGCTTTGTTTTTTCAATCTAGAGCCTAAGGAGTGTTATCATCATCAAATCTTGTATGTAAATATATATAATAAATAAAATAAAAATAAATATATATTAATCCTATATATAAATCCTATATATAAATATTTATCTATATTTTTGTCTATATCTGGCTCCATGTGCTGATTTTCCTTGGCTGCTTCTTAACATAGTTACATGAGACCCTTAGTATTACTTTTACTTCCCTCTCTGTCCATTCAGAATTGTCTGTAGCTCTTCCTGGGAGCTCTGAAAACAACTCTTTCCATTTCTTTCTGAATGCCCCCTCTGCGGGGCTATGATCTAGTCCGTGGCTTGGGTGGAGGGACAGATGTCATCCTGTCCTCTTAGTTTTCCTTTCCCATATCACCAGATTTCTTTCTTCTTTCCGTAGCTAAAGCAGAAGCATATAGGTTTTCATCAGACTCATTTAGACCCTGAATCTGATGTAGGGTTAGTCAGAGCCTGTGAGGTACACACACGATCTAGGAATCTCCCTCACACACACACACACAGAGGCACACATACCCAGGACACCCAAGATACACACACCCCAGAATTTCTGAGGTACATATACACCCTTCCTCAAGATCCTAATTTACTAATTGATAGTGAAATATAATGTTAAGGAAGATTGGGGCTCATGCCTGCAATCCCAGCACTTTGGGAGTCCGAGGTGGGCAGATTGCTTGAGCTCAAGACTTCGAGACCAGCCTAGGCAACATGACAAAACCCTGTCTCCAAAAAATACAAAAATTAGTTGGGCATGGTGGTGCATGCCTGCAGTCCCAGCTACTCAGGAGGCTGAGGTAGGAGGATCATTTGTACCCAGGGCTGTTGACGCTGCAGTGAGCTGTGATCATGCCACTGCACTCCAGCCTGGGCAGCAAAGCCAGACCCTGCCTCAAAAAAAAGGAAGATTGGATTTCTGGCTAGTACATTTTCTCCCTGGAAAGAGAAGGTATAATTGGGAGATTGCTTGGTGAACATGTAATTAGACTGGTATAGAATATATTACTGTGCCATAAACTCAGTTTTCAACTTCTTTTTGGAAAAATAAATGACTAGCTTTCTTGATTTTTCAATTACTGAATAGTTTATCAGTTCAGAATGAATTAGACTCAAGAATAAGAGAACATTCTTTTTATACTTGCACTAAGTGGATGCTTCTGTTATAAATTAGATTATAACTTCAACTTCATCAGCCTTAGTTTAACTCAGGCTCTTATGTTTTTCCTCCTGATGTTTGCTTTTGTTTAAAATCTTATATTTGGAGGCTGATCTCATCTCGCAGGGGTCAGTCCATTCTCCTCCTCCGAGGGTGTAAATCAATCAATCAATAAAATCTTATATTTGGAATGATTTAATGTATGGCTGGAATTTGTCATTTTGCTGTGGTTACATAGTTTGTGGATGTCTGTTAACAGAAGGCCATTAGGAAAGGTAGTAGGTTTTGAGGAAAAGTAGAGAATTTTTTACCAAAAAGTGATTTTCAGCTGAATTTATTTTTGTTCAATATATTTTTTTTGAGACTGGATCTTTCTCTGTCACCAAGTCTGGAGTGTGGTGGTATGATCACGGCTCACGGCTCACGGCTCACGGCTCACGGCTCACAGCTCACAGCTCACAGCTCACTGCAGCCTCAACCACCCAGCCTCAAGCAATTCTCCCACCTCAGCCTCCCAAGTAGCTGGGACCACAGGTGTGTGCCACCACACCTGGCTCTCTTTTTTTTTTTGGTAGAGACAGAGTCTTGCTGTGTTGCCCAGGCTGGTCTCGAACTTCTGGGCTCAAGTGATTCTCCTGCCGCAGTCTCCCAAAGTGCTGGAATTATAGGTGTAAGCCACTGCGCCTGGCCTTCAATAAATAATTATTAAGCACGTGTTATCATGGGATACAACAGTGAACCAAAAATACATGGTTCCTACTCTCAAGGCGGTTTCATTTTAGTGGGAGACATGAATAAATATAAATAAAGATAATAATTATAAATGATGGTAAGTACTATGAAAAAAATAAAGCCATGTCATGCAGGGCAGCTGGGAGGAAGAGCGTAGCTAGTCAAGGAAGGTCTCTCTGAGACGGGGACATTTCAGCTGAAGCTAATGGGCAAGGGAGCCAGCTGTGTGGAGAGCTGAAGCAACAGTGTTCTAGACACAGGAAACAGCTGCAAAAGCCCTTGGCCTCTTCTAAGAACTCTCAGAAACCTGTGGGCCAAGTGTGACAGGAGGTTAGAGAGAGAGACAGAGACCTTGCAAGACCTCAGAGGCCACAGTGTGCAACGTGGACCTATTCTCCATGCCTAGGGCAGCCATTGAAGGCTGTTCACTCGAGGAGTGATGTGATGTGTAGGATTTGCATTTTAAGAGGTGGCTCTGTCTGCTGTCTGGACAGTGGATTGGAAAGAGGTAAGAGTGGAAGCAGGGAGCCTGGTGAGAAGGCACGTGCAGCTGTTCGGGTAGGACTACATTCATGGGTGTTACTGGAAGTGGAGGAAAGACAGACTTGAGGTGTATTTTGGCGCCAAAACTGATGTGACTCGAGGATGGATTGAGATCCTTTTGCATCATAGAAATCAAAAGGGGAATTTCAAGAGAAAGGCTCACTCAGTAACTTCAGATGCTGCCAAGAATCAAGGAGGTTGACAAGTGAGAAAAGACACCTGGATTTGTTTAAGAACTAATTAAAGAGAAAGGATATGAGAAAACTTTCTAGGGGGTGATGGAGATGTTCTGTGTCTGATAGGGGTGCAATTGTTTATAATTACAATAAAAATGGTTACAGTGTAGGTATGTTTTATGTGGTGAAACTGACAATCAAATGGAGTGGAGAATACATGGAAGTATAGATGAAGCAGGAATGGCAGAATGTTGGCAACTATTGAAGTGTTGTGATGGGTACATAGGAGTTTATTTGTATTTACTTTGTACATGTTTTAAATTTTCTATGATAGTTTCTAAAAAGAACTTACTGGTGTTCAAGGGTGCCATTTAATTGGAGTAGGAGGTGCAGAAACCAAATTTTATGGGTTAAAGAGAAATTAAATGATTTTTAAAAATGAGTTATGACTATAGTCCACCACCCAATTTTAGGACATTTGGAAATAAATGGAAGAGAGAACAATGAGGAGGAGGATTAAGTTCAAGTGAAAGATTTTTTTTAAATGGAAGAGGACTATGCATGTTTGAGAAAAGAGGGAAGAAATGGGTTGAGGAAGGCAGAGTGCAGTTAGAAAAAGGTTTCTCAGATTCCCAGGCTTAACGGGCCTCGTACTGCAGTAATGCCTGAGCTCAGGCCCAAATCCTGCTCTTCTGACTCTTGTTTAATGGCGGAGGGAGTTTTGGAGGAGGAAAGAAAGAAAGGAAGTGGGTTCAGCTTTTCTTTGTATTGCCTTCGAAAGAGAAGTCATTGTAGTTGGTAGAGTGTAGAGTACACAGTTGAAGACTTGAAATGACAAGTTTTGATTTCCTATTAAGAGGAAAGGCTTGGAATTGCAGTTGTAGCGAAGGTGCTAAGAATAGTTAACAAATGAATTGGCCGGGCGCGGTGGCTCACGCCTGTAATCCCAGCACTTTGGGAGGCCGAGGCGGGCGGATCACGAGGTCAGGAGATCCAGACTATCCTGGCTAACACGGTGAAACTCCGTCTCTACTAAAAATGCAAAAAAAAAAAATTAGCCGGGCGAGGTGGCGGATGCCTGTAGTCCCCCGCGGGAGGCTGAGGCAGGAAAATGGCGTGAACCCGGGAGGTGGAGCTTGCAGTGAGCCAAGATTGCGCCGCTGCACTCCAGCCTGGGCGACAGGGAGACTCCGTCTAAAAAAAAAAAAAAAAAAAAAAAATAGTTAACAAATGAATAAACGGTCAATATGGTTTACAAAATATCCAGGTAAGTTGTGCAAGTATAGATCAGGAGCCCTTATGGATGGGCAGGGTTGGTATAGAAGTCTTTTTTTTTGAGACAGAGTCTCGCTCTGTTGCCCAGGCTGGAGTGCAGTGGTGCGATCTCGGGTCACTGCAAGCTCCGCCTCCCGGGTTCACGCCATTCTCCTGCCTCAGCCTCCCGAGTAGCTGGGACTTGACAGGCGCCTGCCGCCACGCCCGGATAATTTTTTGCCCAGATAATTTTTTGTATTTTTTAGTAGAGACGGGGTTTCAGCGTGTTAGCCAGGAAGGTCTCGATCTCCTGACCTCGTGATCCGCCCGCCTCAGCCTCCCAAAGTGCTGGGATTACAGGCTGAGCCACTGTGCCCAGCGCGGTATAGAAGTCTTATTGGAGGAAGTGAATTTTGCTGTTCCTCTTGAAGAGTGCTCTCTGAAACTGTGCAGCATCTTCCGTAACATTTTCTTGGAGAGAGATGTTTATTGAAGTTCAGAGATGGATTAGGATTATATATTCTTCGGGAGTTGGGAATTGTAGACTTTGACCTCTTGAGTTTAGGGATTTTTTTTTTTTTCTCTGCCAGAAAGATATAAAGCAGGTGATGGTTTCTAAAAGACTGCTGTAAACAGATTATAGATCATTCCTGAATTATGCACAAGCATAATTCCTTATTTTTGCCTCCTTTCCTCCCCTCCTCTCTCCTGATTAATTCAGCACATATTTATTGAGCACCTACTGTGTGCTAGGAACTGTGTTGGGTGTTGATACACAGAATTGACTCCTTAAACTATTATTTATTCTTTGTTTTAATTATTGGAGCTCCAACCACTTAAAGTGGAGGCAGGAAGAAAGAATGTTAAATTTCACATCAGTTTAGAACGAGCTTTTTTTCCCTGAATGGTCACCAGATTGCAATTTTGTATGACCTAACAAATTTCTCAAAGAGAGTTCTGCTATTGTTGTGAAAGCTTCTATTGTAAATGCTGAAGGAAGACAAGTTGACAGAGTTTTTGTTAATGTAAAACTTCAGATGCCTCTGAACATATCCTTTGGAGGAACAGTGAATATTTCTTACATTTTTCCCAAGGACCACTTCAGGGCTTATTTAATTTTTCTGCTGTGTATGTGAGAGATAAAATTGAATCAAATTAACAGAGTTACCCATGGATCTGTCTTATTGTTCCATATTTTTAGAGGTTAAATATGAAAATTACCTTCTGTGACTGGGTGCAGTGGCTCACGCCTGTAATCCCAGCAGTTTGGGAGGCCGAGGCAGGCAGATGACTTGAGGTCAGGAGTTTGAGACTAGCCTGGCCAACATAGCAAAACCCCATCTCTACTAAAAATACAAAAATTAGCTGGGCCTGTTAGTGTGCACCTGTAATCCCAGCTGTGCCTGTAATCCCAGCTACTCGGGAGGCTGAGGCAGGAGAATCAGTTGAACCCAGGAGGCAGAGGTTGCAGTGAGCCAAGATCACACCACTGCACTCCAGCCTGGGTGACAGTGTGAAACTCCATCTCAATAAAGACGAGACGAGACGGGACGGGACGGGACGGAGCCAGGAGGCAGAGGTTGCAGTGAGCCAAGATCACACCACGGCACTCCAGCCTGGGTGACAGTGTGAAACTCCATCTCAATAAAGGCGAGGCGAGGGCGAGGGCGAGGGCGAGGGGCCTGTAGTCCCAGCTACTTGGGAGGCTGAGGCAGGAGAATTGCTTGAACATGGGAGGCAGAGGTTGCAGTGAGCCAAGATCATGCCCCTGTACTCCAGCCTGGGCAACAGAGTGAGACTCCATCTCAAAAAAAAAAAAAAAAAGGCTGGGCGCAGTGGCTCAAGCTTGTAATCCCAGCACTTAGGGAGGCCAAGGCGGGTGGATCACGAGGTCAGGAGATCGAGACCATCCTGGCTAACACAGTGAAACGCCATCTCTACTAAAAATACAAAAAAATTAGCCGAGCATGGTGGCAGGCGCCTGTAGTCCCAGCTACTTGGGAGGCTGAGGCAGGAGAATGGCGTGAACCTGGAAGGCGGAGCTTGCAGTGAGCCAAGATCGCGCCACTGCACTCCAGCCTGGGGGACAGAGCAAGACTCTGTCTCAAAAAAAAAAAAAAAAAAAAAAAAAAATATATATATATATATATATATTCTGTAAAATCCGGAGGCACAGATATGTATATGCTTCATTGGCCTGATTCCCGTAGAGAGAAATTCATGTGACCTATTTTATTTGGCATTTATGTGCTTATATTATCACACTGATCTGAAAACAGATACTACTATTTTATCTGTCACATGTGGCTTTGACTGGTTAAATGTAATGCTCATTTTTCTTAGTGTCTGGTTTCGCTGTCACATAGTGGAACTGTACATTACTGGGAGGTTTCAGCTCTATTGTGGATTTACTGACACATGCTGAACTAAGCTGTTTATTTGTATCATCTCTTCTTTTTATTGAGATATTATCAAAAATGACATACTTTTATAGTCATTCAGTTTTTTTAATGCAACAAACATTTATTGGGCACCTACTAGTTGCTGATGTCGTAGGTACAGGCATGCAAAGTGATTTATGTAAGACATGGTCTCTGCATTTCGGGCACTTTTAACCTAGTTGAGGGAGGTAACCATACCATACAGGCTATGATACCGATATTAAATATGTGCCTAGGGCAAAGCAATGAATTCTTTCTGGAAGGAAGTCCACAATGGAGAGGGAACACTTGAACTGGGCATTGTAGAAAGACGGGTTTCATGGTTTTTATTGGTTTGTTGTTGAATGGGTGAGGGGGAGAAGGCTATTATATGCAGAGGGAACTGTGTATAGCATATAAGGGGTAATGTGCCGGGCACGGTGGCTCATGCCTGTAATCCCAGCACTTTGGGAGGCCGAGGCGAGCGGATCACCTGAGGTTGGGAGTTCGAGACCAGCCTGACCGACATGGAGAAACCCTGTCTCTACTGAAAATACAAAAAATTAGCCAGGCATGGTGGCATGTGCCTGTAATCCCAGCTTCTCGGGAGGCTGAGGCAGGAGAAGCACTTGAACCCAGGAGGCGGAGGTTGTGGTGAGCCGAGACCGTGACATTGTACTCCAGCCTGGGCAACAAGAGCAAAGCTCCGTCTCAAAAAAAAAAAAAAAAAAAAAAAAAAACAGGTAATATGCGATGGGAGATGGTGAAAAATTTGATTGTGTTTCAGATATCTTGATGTCTGTTACATCACATCAAAACTTAGTGGTTTAAAACCACCATTGTAACCTCCTGAGTGGAATAATTGCAAAAAGTTTAGTAAATACTCTATCCTCAAGGATGTGGAGCATAACTTTCCACTCTTAAAGTGTGGATTCACACAGTGGAGAACCCTAAAGTCAGGCAATCAAGTCAACATCAACAGTGATAAGTCATTTTTATACTTTGTACCCTTGGTACGATGTGAGGAAATGGCACTTCAATTTCTAGTTGTCTTCCCTAAAACCCATTATCCCAGTCTAATCATGAGAAAAACATCAGACAAATTCCACTAGCGGAATGTTCTGCAGAATACCTGATCAGCACTCCTGAAAACTCAAGGAAAACTGAGAAAAATCTGAGGAACTGTCACAGCCAAGAGACAGCTAAGGAGACACAATGACAATGTAATGTGGTATTCTGGATGGGATCCTGGAACATTAGGTAAAAACTAAGCAAATTTAATAAACTATGGACTTTAGTTAATGTATCGGGTTGGGGGGCTACGGGAGGGATAGCATTAGGAGAAATACCTAATGTAGGTGATGGGTTGATGGGTGCAGCAAACCACCATGGCACATGTATACCTATGTAACAAACCTGCATGTTCTGCACGTGTATCCCAGAACTTAAAGTTTAATAAATAAATAATAATGTATCAATATTGGTTCATGAATTGTGACAGATATACTAAGGTAACATGTTACTAACAGCAGAAACTGCATCCGGATAAATGGACTATCTTCCTAATTTTTCTGTAAATCTAAACCTGTTCTAAAAAATAAAGTTTTCATATATTTTTAAGACTCCATTACCAAGACAGCATTTTATTTCTCATAATTCTGTGTTTTCCTGGGCTCACTAGGGCAGTTCTTCTCTTCCAAAGTGGTATTGGCTGGAGTTACAGTCATCTGGAGGCCCAATTGGCCAGAAATGCCTGAAAGGGCCCACTCACATGGCTGGCAGTTGGTATTGGCTGTCAGCTAGGAGACCAACTTGAGGCTGTTGACCCAAGGTTCTCCTCCATATGACCTCTGCATGCCTTGGGTTTCTCACAGCATGGTGGCAGGGATTCAGGAGGGAGCATTCCAACTGTGCAGGAGCTGCAGACACCTTAAGCCCAGCCTTAGAAGTCACCCAGCTTTGCTTCTTCCCCAGTCTGTTGAATTAAAGCAAGTCACAGGACCATCCCAGACTCAAGGGGAGGAGAAACAGACCCCACCTTTCAGTGGGAAGACTGACCTTAAATATGAGATCATCTTTCATCCACCATACAGCGACTAGAGTGTTGGGTGCCAGGGAGACGGGGGCATGGCAGAGCCCAGATTATCTTAGGCTGAAGAGTTTCAAGAATAGACCACAGATTAAACAAATTTATTTTATTTTATTTTTATTTTAGCAACCTTATTGACACCTTGAAGTAGCAAATTTTTTTTTGTTTAATAGAAACATGTTCTTGCTCTTTTGCCCAAGCTGTAGAGCAGTGATGTGATGATGGCTTGCTGAAACCTTGAATTTAATGGGCTCAAGTGATCTTCCCACCTCAGCCTCCGGAATAGCTGAGACTACAGGTGTGCCACCATGCCTGGCTAGTTTTTCTTACTTTTTCTGTAGAGACTGGGTCTCACTATGTTGGCCAGGCTGGTCTCAAACTTCTGACTCAAGTGATCCTCCTGCCTCGGCCTCCCAAAGTGCTGAGATTACAGATGTGAGCCACTGCAGCCAACCAAAGCAGCAGACTTTTAAAGCAGGGAAATGAGATGTACATTTTACTTTATGATTTGCTGTGTTAGGATAACTGGTGTTGATGTAGAGAGGGTAGGTAGACTAGAATATCTGTATCTTTACATTCAGCTTCTCTAAAAGAAAAGAGGATTTAATAGGCCTACTTCAGCCTGTGGACTGATTTCCATTGGGTCCTGAGTTCTCAGGAGTTAGGAGAGCAAGAACCGTAGGTGAGGAAGTAGATCCCATAGAAGGTCAAATGAATTGGGAGGCGAGGACTGGCATTTCTGGCACGGTCTCCAGACCTGATGTAATCTTTCTTTATGGTTCTTAACAAAGATAGATTGGAATGCTTAAACTCTGTAGCCATTTCTCACTTTAAATGTAATGTAACTTAGGTCGATATTCTAAATGAGTTGGTGTTAGCTTACTAGTTGTAGAGATTCTGTAGCTCTAGACTTGAAATGTTCATTTTTTAAGTGAAATCTAAAACAGATATAGTAAAATTTGTTATAGAGCTGAGCCGTTGGGTGTCTGTGATCATATTCTCTGTACCTTTGTGTATGTTTATCTTGTGTGTGTGTGTGTGTGTGTGTGTGTGTGTATACTTTTTTTTTTGAGGCAGAGTGTTGCTCTGTCGCGTAGGCTGGAGTATAGTAGCCTGAACACAGCTCATTGCAGCCTGAACCTCTTGGGCTCCAAGGGATCCTCCTGCCTCAGCCTCCCGTGTAGCTGGGACCATAGATGCATGCCACCACACCGAGCTAAATTTTTTTTTTTTAACTCTTTTTGTAGAGACATGGTCTCACTATGTTGCCTAGGCTGGTGTTGAACTCCTGGGCTCAAGAGATCCTCCCACCTTAGCCTCCGAAAGTGTTGAGATTACAGGCATGAGCCACCATGCCTGGCCTGTATATTTAAATATTTATAATAAAACAATAAAAGTAAGCTCTAGGGTTTCAAATTTATAGCTATATATTTAAGTACCCACGTGTTTCTACTAATTACTGCAAATAAATATTTACTGAATCAGGAAGCTAACATTTTAGCTATTAATATAACATTATCATTATCAAAGGCAGCAAGTAAACGTAGTCTTTGTCTACAGAGAATAAAGTCATCTGTTGATTTGCTTAACATTAAAGATAGTTAAATAGGGTAACTTAGACATAAAATACACAGTAGTATTTGAATGATCTGTTTTAATTGGTTTCATTGACAAAGAACTGCAAGATCTGTTCTTAATATTAAGTGCTCATTTAGTCAAGAAAAGTGTTACACAGAAGTATTTTAGGAACTTGGTAATTTGTTTTGTTTGTGTTTTGGTAGGGGATGCAGAGAAAAAAGATTTACCCATTGTTTAATAAAGTCTTTTGCTTTCCAGAGCTTAGGATATCTCTACCTTAGGCTGGATCTGCTTTAGCAAAAGTGATAACAAGATTTCATGGATTTTGGTATTCTGAGAGCAGATTGGAAAAGCAAACATGCAGCGCAAGTGCTTTCCCCATTTGTTTACGTAGCTGGTAAGCAACATCATTTGGGTTGAACTCCAGGCCTGTCTGACTCCAGAGGCCATAGTAGTTCAATACTCCATCCTGGACAAGTTACACGGCAGAGTAATCAGCTGTTTCCTTATGTCAGATAAACTTACTGGAAAAGTCAGTTTATAGAACTATAGACTTCTATAGGTACAGAAGAATCCCTAAGAAGGGAGAGGGTGCTTTGTGCGTATTCAGAGCCACACATTTCTCCGGAGAAGAGATGGTTAGAGCATTGAGAGATGTCTGTGAGACCCTGGAGATGGAGTTAGAAGCAGAACCCCTGCAGGCAATAGGGAACTATTGAAGGATGTTAAGCAGGGGAGAAACCTGATGATCTGATGCATATTTTAGAAAGATGGACCTGCCGGGCCTGGTGGCCCACACCTATAATCCCAGCACTTTGGGAGGCCGAGGCGGGTGGATTACTTGAGGTCAGGAGTTCCAGACCAGCCTGGCCAACATGGTGAAACCGCATCTCTACTAAAAATACAAAAATTAGCCGGGCATGGTGGCAGGCGCCTGTAATCCTAGCTACTTGGGAGGCTGAGGCAGGAAAATCGCTTGAATTGGGAGGCAGAGGTTGCAGTGAGCCGAGATCACACCACCACACTCCAGCCTGGACAACAAAGCTAGACTGTATCTCAAAAAAAAAAAAAAAAAGAATGACCTGGCAGGAGTGTGGAGAAATGATTACCAACAGGCTGTAAAATGGAGACACGGAAACCAGTTAGGAGAGTTAGGAGTCCCCTCAGGAAGACTGAGGAAGGCTTTTGAAATAAGGCAGTAACAGTGGTCTGCAGAGGAGGGGACTGACAGGAGAAGCATACAGGAAGGATGGGAGGAGAGCACAAATCTGCAAAGAGTGGGTTAAATGATGCCATGTGAAATAGGAGATAGAGCAAGGTATTGGATGTAGCTGTTGTTACTGTTATCGTTATTTTTTTGAGACGGAGTCTCGCTCTGTTGCTCAGACTATTGTGTAGTGGTATGATCTCAGCTCACTGCAACCTCTGCCTCCCAGGCTCAGGAGATTCTCCTGCCTCAGCCTCTTGAGTAGCTGGGATTACAGGCACACACCACCATGCCCAGCTAGTTTTTGTATTTTTAGTAGAGACGGGGTTTCGCTATGTTGGCCAGACTGGTCTCGAATTCCTGACCTCAGGTGATCCGCCTGCCTTAGCCTCCCAAAGTGCTGGGATTACAGGCATGAGCCACCACGCCTGGCCTGTTACTGTTACTTTTAACTGGGTGTGGATTTTGAAATACTGAGGCACCTGCAGGCAGCCCAGGTAAAACTAAATTAGTAGGCATTTTAGAGCTCAGTAGAGAGAGAGGACATCAAGATACGTATTAGGAGTTCTCAGCATATAGGAATAGATGGGGCTGGGAGATGAGAAAAGGCTCAAGTATAGAACTGTAGGAAGTATTTCAGACTGTGTCCAACCTGAGCATGGATAAGAATTCACTCTCTCAAAGTACCAAAACAAACAAAACCCCAAACAGCAATTCAAAGTACTAAAAAAAAGTAAAAATAAAGGTAAATTAAGGAAAGAAAAGAATTAACTTGGATGTTCTTTCCTTTTCCTTTTCAGCAGCTTTATTAAGGTATACTTTACATCCTATAAAACTTACCCATTTATAGTATACAGCTCAATGGTTTTCAGTGTATTCACAGAGTTGTACCACCATCACTGCCATCTAATTTAAGAACATTGTCATTACTCCAAAAAGAAACTGTATCCATTAGCAGTCACTCTCTATTCCCTTTCCTCCCAGGCACAGGCAACCACTAATCTTTCCATCTCTACAGAATCACCTATTCTGAACATTCCATATAAATAGAATCATACAGTATGTTTTCCTTCTGTGTGATGTGAGACTTCTTTCAGTTAGCATCATGTTTTCAAGGCTATCCATGTTAAGCACATTATCAGTGCCTCAGTCCTTTGAATGGCTGAATAATACCCTATTGCATGGGTGTACGCATTTTTTTTTTTTTTTTTTTTGAGATGGAGTCTTGCTCTATGGCCCAGGCTGGATGGAGTGCAGTGGTGCGATCCTGGCTAACTGCAGCATCTGCCTCCTGGGTTCCAGTGATTCTCCTGCCTCACCCTCCTGAGTAGCTGGGATTACAGGCGCATGCTGCCATGCCCAGCTAATTTTTGCATTTTTAGTAGAGATGGGGTTTCACCATGTTGGCCAGGCTGGTCTCGAACTCCTGACATCAGGTGATCCTCCTGCCTTGGCCTCCCAAAGTGCCGGGATTACAGGCGCGAGCCACTGTGCCTGGCCTGCATTTTATTTATATACTCAACAGTTGATGAATATTTGGATGATTCCCACCTTTTGACTGCTATGAACATTAATAATATTATGAAATGAACATTTTAATGCTGCTTTGAACATTTGTGTACAAGTTTTTGTGTGGAATATATTTTCATTTCTCTTAGTTATATACCTAGGAGTGGAACTGCTGGGTCATATGGTTTAACTTTTTGAGGAACTGCCAAACTGTTTTTCAAGTGACTACACCATTTTATATTCTCACCAGAAATGCACGAGGGTTCCAGTTTGTCTGCATCATCACCAATACTTGTTATTGTCATCCAAAAGCTTTAACGTTTTAGCCCCCACAGTTAGGTCTGTGATCCGCCTCAAATTAAGTTTTGTATATAGTATGTGACATAGAGGTCATGGTTCATACATTTCCATGTGGTTATCCAGTTCCTCCAGCACCTTTTCCTCACTGAATTACATTAGTCTTCTGATAGTTTGTTTCCAATTGTGAAGTCTTATGCTTTAAGTTCAAAAGAATCAATTATACAACTATAGGATGGGCAAAACCAGTATACCAGCAGTGTCCAGACAATGTGATTGACTTCTGAAACAAAAAAAAAACCACTTCTTGCTTAGCTATAGAACCACAAATTTTAACTGATAACATATTTTAATATCCTTTGAAGCTTATTTTGACCATGTGATTAAATTCTAGTCAAAGAGATGTAAGCAGGATGTAAAGTGCAGCTTCCACAAAGTCTTCCTAAGTAAGTGACAGGTTCTTCTCTCCTTTCTGCTACATGGAACACAGACATGAAGGTTGGGACTGGAGCAACCATCTTAAAACACAAAGTGGAAGAAACATATTGAAGATGGAAGAACAAAATAGAAGTCTCAAGTCCCTGGTAATTGGAAAGTGACCATACCAGTCCTTGACCACTTACACAGATTTCTAAGAAAGATATTAAGAGCAGTCTTCATATATTTGAGAGAGTGGTTGTTGAATAGATGGTAATTTTTTTTCTATCTTATTCCTTTTTTTTTGAGATGGGGTGTTGCTCTGTTGCCCAGGCTGGAGTCATGATACAGTCTTTGCTCACTGCAACCTCTGTCTCCCAGGTTCAAGCAATTTTCCTGCCTCAAACTCCCAAGAAGCTGGGACTACAGGTGCATGCCACCATGCCTGGCTAATTTTTGTATTTTTAGTAGAGATGGGGTTTCACCATATTGGCCAGGCTGGTCTCAAACTCCTGACCTCAAGCAATCTGCCTGCCTCAGCCTCCCAAAAGGCTGGGATTACAGGCATGAGCCACTGCACCCAGCCAATAATTATATTTTTATATTCTTTATTCTTGTAGTTTTCCTTCTCATGGTAAGATTTTGTCATGAGGAAAAAATTTTAAGATGTAGCAAAGTACAGAGAATAAAATAACAGATACATCCACTTAACCATCAACAAGATTTAACATATTTGCTTTGTCATATTTGCTTCAAATTTCTCTCTCTCTACTTTTTTTTTTAATTAACGAATTTATTGAGCACAGTGGAGTTAACTTCTTTCCATGGGTGGTGAACTCAAATTCTGTCCTTTTTTTTTTTTTTTTTTTTTTTGAGATGGCCTCACTGTTGCCCAGGCTGGAATGCAGTGGCACAATCTCAACTCACTGCAACCTCCACCTCCCGGGTTCAGGCGATGCTCCCACCTTAGCTTCCCAAGTAGTTGGGACTACAGGCACGCACCACCATGCCCAGCTGATTTTTGTATTTTTAGTAGAGACCATGCTGCCCCCAGGCTGGTCTCGAACTCCTGACCTCAAGTGATTCCCCCACTTTGGCCTCCCAAAGTGCTGGGATCAAATTTCTCTCTTTTTTAAAGAAATAAAATAAGGATATAGTTAATGGTTGAGGGCCTCTGTGTAACCCTTTCCCAAGCCAATCCCTTTCCTCCTTCCTCAGCTGTAATCCTACTCTGTAGTCTGTAAGTGCCTTACCTCTTAAAGAGAATTTTAAAAATTCACTGGTTCTCCCTCCTCTGACTGACTGCCCCTTAGTTCAGCTGTAGTCTGCCTACTGTTGCATAGGAATCACCTGGGGTGCTTGTAAAGAAAATAGAGATCCCAGGTCCCAGCTGTTTTTTTCTTGTTTTTTGTTTTTGTTTTTGTTTTTGTTTTTTCTTGAGTCAGTGTCTTGCTCTGTCACCCAGGTTGGAGTGCAGTGGCGCGATCTCTGCTCACTGCAAGCTCTGCCTCCCAGGTTCACGCCATTCTCCTGCCTCAGCCTCCCGAGTAGCTGAGACTGCAGGCACCCACCACCACGCCTGGCTAATTTTTTGTATTTTTAGTACCGTGTTAGCCAGGATGGTCTTGATCTCCTGACCTCATGATCCACCCACCTCGGCCTCCCAAAGTGCTGGGATTACAGGTGTGAGCCACCGCGCCTGGCCTTCTTGTTTTTGTTTTTGAAGCAGAAGTCTAACTCTGTCACCCAGGCTGGAGTGCAGTGGTGTGATTATAGTTCACTGAGCCTTGAACTCCTAGGCTCAAAGGATCCGCCCACCTCAGCCTCCTGAGTAGCTAGTACTACAGGCAAGTGCCACCACGCCTAGCTAATTTTTTTTTTTTTTTTTTAAGAGAGGGGTCTCCACTATGTTGCCCAGGCTGGTCTCGAACTCCTGGCCTCAAGTGATCTTCATACCTTGGTTTCTCACAGCACTGGGATTACAGGCATGAGCCACCGTGCACAGCCACCAGATTTTAACTCTTGAGATTCTGTTTCATGAAGCCCAGGGTAGGGCTTAGGCATCTTTGCTTTAAAAAGCATGCAAAGTGCAAATCAAAACCACAGTGAAATAGCATTTCACATCCACTAGAATGGCTAAAATAAAAAATAACAATAACAATTCTTACTGTGTTCCGTGTAGCAGAAAGGAGAGAACTTGCCATTTCCTTAGGAAGACTTTGTGGAAGCTGGACTTTACATCCCGCTTACATCTCTTTGACTAGAGTTTAATCACATGGTCAAAATAAGCTTCAAAGGATATTAAAATATGTTATCAGTTAAAATAAGCAAGAAGTGTTTCTTTTTTTCAGAAGTCAAGCACATTGTCCATACACTGCTATTATACTGGTCTTGCCCATCCTATAGTTGTATAATTGATTCTTTTGAACCTAAAGTATAAGACTTCACGATTAGAAAAAAATTATCCAAAGACTAATGTAATTAAGTGAGGAAAAGGTGCTGGAGGAACTGGATAACCACATGGAAATGTATGAACCATGACCTCTATGTCACATACTATATATAAAACTTAATTTGAGGTGTATCACAGAGCTAACTGTGGGGGCTAAAACGTTGAAGCCTTTGGATGGCCGCACAAGAGATGTCTGCATTCATAACCTTGGGGAGGGTATGAACATTTCTTGGTAACATGCAAAAAGCACTAACTGTAAAAGAGAACAGTTGGTCAGTTGAATTTCATGAAACATTGTAAACTTCTGCTAAACAACTGACACCATTAAGAATGTGGAAAAAGGCTGGGCACAGTGGCTCATGCCTATAATCCCAGCATTTTGGGAGGCCGGGGCGGGAGAATCACTTGAGGCCAGGAGTTTGAAACCAGCCTGGGCAACATGGCAAGACCCCGACTCTACAAAAATATTTTTAAAAATTAGTTGGGTGTGGTGATGCACTCCTGTAGTCCTAGCTGCCCAGGAGGCTAAGGTGGAAGGATCACTTAAGCCCTGGAGGTTGAGGCTGCAATGAGCTATGATCACGCCACTGCACTCCAGCCTGGGTGACAGAACAAGACCTTGACTCTAAAAAAAATCAAATAAGAATATGGAAAACTATAGATTGGGAAAAAACATTTGCAATACATCTTTTTTTGTGGGGGGGATAGAGTCTCGCTCTGTCACCCAGGCTGAAGTGCAGTGGCCCAATCTCGGCTCACTGCGAGCTCCACCTCCCGGGTTCACTTCATTCTCCTGCCTCACTGCCTCAGCCTCTGAGTAGCTGGGACTACAGGCGCCCACCACCACGCCCCGCTAATTTTTTGTATTTTTAGTAGAGACAGGGTTTCACCGTGTTAGCCAGGATGGTCTCGATCTCCTGACCTCGTGATCCGCCCGCCTTGGCCACCCAAAGTGTTGGGATTACAGGCGTGAGCCACTGTGCCCGGCCTGGAATACATCTTTCTAATAAAAGTCTGCAATACATCTTTCTAATAAAAGTCTCATGTCCAGAGTATGTAAAGAATTACCAAAAATCAGTTAGAAAAGGTCAAACAACTCAAAAATGTACAAAAGACTAGGCATTTCACAAAATAAGGCATCCAAATGGTTATGAAAACACAGATGTTCAACATTATTCATGAGCAAAATACAAATTAAAACTGTAATGTAATGCCATTATACACTCACCAAAATGACTACAGTTCAAAAGACTAATAATACCAGGTGTTGGCAAGAATGTGGAGCAACTGGAACTTTTAGACATTGTTGGAAGGAGTGTAAAATGGTACAGCCACTTAAAGAACTGTTTCATAAGCTTCTAAATAATGTTAAACGAACTTCCACCCTATAAGGCAGACATTCTCTTAGGTGTATACTCCATAGAAATGACTGCATAGATTTGCAAAAACACATTATATGAAAATGCTCATGGCAGTTTTATTTATAGCAGCTCCAAACTGGAAATAGCTAGCTGTCTATCTAATGAATAAACAAATTATAGTTTGTCTGTGCAGTGGAACACTACTAAGTTTAAAAATTGAACTCTTGGCTGGGCGCAGTGGCTCCCGCCTGTAATCCCAGCACTTTGGGAGGCCGAGGCGGGCGGATCACGAGGTCAGGAGATCGAGACCATCCTGGCTAACATGGTGAAACCCTGTCTCTACTAAAAATACCAAAAATTAGCCGGGCGTGGTGGCGGGCACCTGTAGTCCCAGCTACTTGGTAGGCTGAGGCAGGAGAATGGCGTGAACCGAGGAGGCAGAACTTGCAGTGAGCCGAGATTGTGCCACTGTACTCCAGCCTGGGCGACAGAGCAAGACTCCGTCTCGGAAAAAAAAAAAAAAAAAAATGAACTCTTGATCAGTGTAACAACATGGATAAATCTCAGAAACATTATACCGAGTGAAAAAATGTAGATATAAAAGTGGTACATACTGTCAGATCCCAGTGATATTAAGCTTTCGAACATGTCAATCCCATTTATAGTTAATAGGGCGATCTTCAAGGGAAGGGGCATGTAGAAGTTTTCTGGGGAGATGGAAATTTTCTGTCTCAATCTATATGTTGCTTGAAGGTACAACCATATCTAAAATTAATCATTAAGGCTAGGCTCAGTAGCTCATGCCTGTAATCCCAGCACTTTGGGAGGCCAAGACTGGAGGATCACTTCAGCCCAGGAATTTCAGACCAGCCTGGGCAGAGAGACCCTATCTAGCTCCACAAAAAAAAAAAAAAAAAAAATTTTTTTAATTAGCTGGGTGTGCTGGCACAGGCCTGTGGTCCCAGCTATTCGGGAGGCTAAGGTGGGAGAATCACTTGAATTCGGGATGTCAAGGCTTCAGTGAGTCATAATTGTGCCGTTGCACTGCAGCCTGGGTGACAGAGTGAGACCCTGTCTCAAAAGTAGAGAGAAATGAGATAAAAATAAAATTCATTGAGCCTACACTTAAAGTGTGTGTATTTTTCTGCTTGTGAATTATACTTCAATTTAAAAAAAAAATTGAGGAGCTTCCACCCATCTCCTTAGTCTGTTGAGACCATGTTAAATATTGATTCTTTTATCCACTATATCAGCTGACTTCTCAGCTTTCAAAAAATATATACATTTTCTTTTTAACTGCAGTACCTGCAGTAGAGGGTGTGGTTGGAGATATTTATAAAATGGGTAGGATTTAGCAATTTATTCGATGTTGAGGAAAGAGAAAACGATAAATCGGCTGGGCATGGTGGTTCACGCCTGTAATCCCAGCACTTTGGGAGGCTAAGGCAGGCGGATCACAAGGTCAAGAGATTGAGACCATCCTGGCCAACACGGTGAAACCCCGTCTCTACTAAAAATACAAAAATTAGCTGGGTGTGGTGGCGCCCTCCTGTAGTCCCAGCTACTTGGGAGGCTGAGGCAGGAGAATTGCTTGAACCCAGGAGGCAGAGGTTGCAGTGAGCCAAGATCACATCACTATGCTCCAGCCTGGTGACAGAGCGAGACTTTGTCTCAAAAAAAAAAGCAGGTTTGGGAGTGAATAGGATGCAGTCTGTATGGAGCACAGAGTTTGAAATGCTGGCATATAATCTGCATGGCAACGTCAGCCTGATGAAACTGTGGGGCTGGAAACGTGATAGGTTAGGATGGAAACAGAATTGGGATCACTCAAATTTAATAGTGGAAACTGTGAGATTAGATGAAATGGCTGTGGCAGAATGAGAAGAAAGAGGTCCAAGGGCAGAACCTAGGGAAATAAATGCTTAGGGAGTAGTAGGAGAAAGGGAAAGTCGGCACATCCTGGTCAAACAACTTTGTTGTGCCAGGCTTCTGGTGAATAAGACATTCAAAGTCTCTGCCTCAAGAAGTTTGCATTCGTGGTTGGGGAGACAGACAATAAGACACATGAACAAATAAGCCTTTCAGGTAGTGATATGTGTGATGCTGGGGAGTGACTGGAAGTATTTCAGCTGGGCTGGTAGGGGAAGATCACCCTGGATCAAAGAGATGGCCCTAGAGCTGATGACTGAATGATGTGAAGGAAGCTTTCATGTAATAATATGTGAGAAATGCTGTCTTTTTTTTTGAGACGGAGTTTCTCTCTTGTTGCCCAGGCTGGAGACCAATGGCATGATTTTGGCTCACTGCAACCTCTGCCTCCTGAATTCAAGCATTGTCCTACATCAGCCTCCCAAGTAGCTGGGATTACAGGCATGTGCCACCACGCCCGGCTAATTTTTTTTTTTTTTTTTTTTTTTGAGATGGAGTCTCGCTCTGTCGCCCAGGCTGGAGTGCAGTGGCGCAATCTCAGCTTACTGCAACCTCCTCCCCCTAGCAGTTCTCCTACCTCAGCCTCCTGAATAACTGGGATTACAGGCGCCCGCCGCCATGCCTGGCTAATTTTTTGTGTGTGTTTGTAGTAGAGACAGGGTTTCGCCATGTTGGCTAGGCTGGCCTTGAACTCCTGACCTCACATAATCCACCTGCCTTGGCCTCCCAAAGGGCTGGGATTACAGGCATAAGCCACCGTGCCCGAACAAGAAACGTTTTCTAAGTCAAAGGAATAAATCCAAAGCCTCTAAGATTGGGTGAGAGAGAGGAAAAGAAATGACGGAAGATGGTCCAGTACAAGGCAGAGATTTTCAAAAGGGTGGACATGGCTACTGTATTAAATATTACTTAGAGGTATTCACAATAGCGAAAAGGTGGAAGTGATCCAAGTGTCCATGGAAGGGTGAATGGATAAACAAAATGTGGTATATACATACAATGGAATATTATTTAGCCTTACAAAGGGAAGGAAACTCTGACACATGCTACAACATAGATGAATATTGAAGACATATGCTAAGTGAAACAAACTAGTGACAAAAAGACAAATACCGTATGATTCTACTTATATAAGGTAACTGGAGGAGTCAGAGTCATAGAGACAGAAAGTGGAATGGTGCTTGTTAGGGACTGGGGGGAGCAGGGACTGGGGAGTTACTGTTTAAGGGGTACAGAGTTTCAGATGGAAAAGATGGAAGAATTGTGGAGATGGATGGTTGATGGTTCCACAGTATCTCAGTTTGTTTATGCTGCTATAACAAAATACCACAGACTAGGTACTTTATAAAGAACAGAAATTTATTTTCTGATAGTTCTAGAGGCCGCGAATAACAAGATCAAGGCACCAGTAGATCTGTTGTCAGGGGAGGCCCCAATCCCTGCTTCTAAGAGGGAGGAATACTGCGTCCCCACGTGGCAAAAGGTGGAAGGGCAAAAAGCGACAGTGCGTCCCTGACAAGCCCTTTTATAACAGCGTGAATTTATGCAGGCAGAACTCTTATGACCTAAACACCTTCCAGAAGGCCCCACCTCCCAACACTATTGCACTGGGGATTAGGTTTTCAACACAAATTTTGGGGGACACATTCAGACCATAGCAAAGACAGACACAAAACACCACATATTATGTCACTCCAATTATATATGAGAAGTCAAAAGAGGCAAATCTGTAGAGATAGAAGGTAGATTCGTGGTTGTCTGGGCCTCAGAAGGAGGATGAAAGGGAGGCAAAATGGAGAGTGACTGCTGTTACGTAAGTAGTTTCTTTTGGAATGATGAAAAAGTTCTAAGATTGGATTGTGGTAGTGGTTGCACAATTCTGTAAATACAATAAAAGCCACTGAATTGTGTACTTTAAACAGGTGAACTTTATGGCATATAGGTTATATCTCAATAAAACGATTTTTTAAATGGCCAAAAGACTTGAAGACACTACCAGAGAACAGATAGCAAAGGAGCTCATAGAAAGATGTTCAACATGAGTGCAGTTAAAACCATGATTAGAATTGGCTAAAATTAAAAAGTCCACACAAAGTACTGCTATTGATGAGACATGGGACAAATAGAACTCTCATACGCTGCTGGAAGGAAGGTAAAATGGCTACAACCACGTTGGAAAACAGTTTCTTTTTTTTTTTTTTTTTTTGAGACAGAGTCTTGCTCTGTTGCCAGGCTGCAGTGCAGTGGCACAATCTCGGCTCACTGCAACCTCCGCCTCCCGGGTTCAAGCAATTCTCCTGCCTTAGCCTCCTGAGTAGCTGGGATTACAGGCGCCTGCCACCACGCCCAGCTAATTTTTGTATTTTTAGTAGAGATGGAGTTTCACCATGTTGGCCAGGATGATCTCAATCTCTTGACCTTGTGATCTGCCCGCCTTGCCCCCCACAAAGTGCTGAGATTACAGGTGTGGGCCACCGCGCCGGGCCAGAAAACAGCTTCTTAAAAAGTTAAAACATGTAACTACCATGTGATCCAACTGTTCTACTCTGTTATGAGTTGAATTATGTTGAAATACGAACTCCCAGAACCTTAGAATGTCGTCTTACTTGGGGATAGGACTTTGACAGAGGTAATTAAGTTAAAATGGGATTATTAGGATAGGCCCTAATCCAGTATGACTGGTGTTCATATTAAAAGGGGGGAACTTTGGACATAGAAACACACAAATAGGAAAAATACCATGTGAAACTGAAGACAGCCATCTGTAAGCCAAGGAGAGCAGACTGGAACACATCCTTCCCTCACAGCTCTCAGAGGGAACCAACCCTGCCAATACCTTGATTTTGGACTTCTAGCCTCTAGAACAGTGAGACAAAAAATTTGTTTGTTAAGCCACCAGATTTGAAATACTTCATTACAGCAGCCCTAGCAAACTAATACACCCTCCTAGGTATTTACTCAATAAAAAAGAATACATATGTGAGTGTTCATAGCAGCTTTATTTGCAGTAGCAAAAATCGAAACAACTCAAACACCCATCAAATTGTGATACATTCTGAACAATGGAATACTACTCAGCTGTGAAAGGAAAATGAACTATTGACACTTGAAACCACATGGATGAATTTCAGAATGATTATGCTGAGTAAAAGAAGCCAGACAGAAAAAGAGTACATACTGTTTGATTCCACTTATGGAAGCTCCAGAAAATGCAGCTGCATCTATAGTGATAGAAAGTTCATCAGTGGTTGCCTAGGCAGGGTCACAGGAGAGGAAGCTTAAAGAGGGATGACTGGGTGCGGTGGCTCACACTTGTAATCCCAGCACTTCGGGAGGCCAAGGCGGGCAAATCACGAGGTCAGGAGTTTGAGACCAGCCTGGCCAATATGGTGAAACCTCGTCTCTACTAAAAATACAAAAAAAATTCGCCAGGCGTGGTGGCACACACCTGTAATCCCAGCTACTCAGGAGGCGGAGGCAGGAGAATCTCTTGAACCCAGGAGGCGGAGGTTGCAGTGAGCCGAGATCGCGCCATTGCACTACAGCCTGGCAACAGAGCGAGACTCCGTCTCCCTCCCCCGCCAAAAAAAAAAAAAAAAAAAAAAAGATTAAAGAGGGGCATGATGAAACTTTTAGGGTGGTATGTTCATTGTCTTGCTTGTGGTGATGATTTCATGTGTATGTATGTGTCAAAACTAAAAATTGTACTTTTTTTTTTAAGAGACAGGGTCTCACTTTGTCACCCAGGCTGAAGTACAGTGGTGCCATCATAGCTCACTGCAGCCTTGAAATCTTAGGCTTAAGCCATCCTCCTGCCTTGGCCTCCCAAAGTGTTGGAATTACAGGCATGAGCTACTGCACCTGGTATAAAATAATTTTTTTTAAAATGAAAGCCAACAAAAAATTGAAAATAGTTTCGGTGGGGTGGAAAAAGTAGAGTCAAAAAGGTTTTAAGAATAAGTCTTGACATGGTAAACTAAGGCAGGTTATTAATGTCTGCTGCTCCCTTCTAAAGTGCCACTAAAATTATTTTTACTTTGGGAGGCCAAGGCGGGCAGATCACGAGGTCAGGAGATCAAGACCATCCTGGCTAACACGGTGAAACCCCGTCTCTACTAAAAAATACAAAAAATTAGCCAGGCGTGGTCGTGGGCGCCTGTAGTCCCAGCTACTTGGGAGGCTGAGGCAGGAGAATGGCGTGAACCCGGAAGGCAGAGCTTGCAGTGGGCCAAGATCGTGCCACTGCACCCCAGCCTGGGTGACAGAGCGAGACTCCATCTCAAAAAAATATATATTTTTACGAAATGATTTCAGCAAGCATAAATCCACCAGAAAACAAAGTGAATAGAAGAAGAGATGAAGAGGATAAGAGATGCCCGACAAAGTTTTGGAAGCTGGGAAGCTTTTGGAATAACACTAAAAACAGCAAGATGGGTTGAAGAGGCGATGAGAAGCAAGGCCCCAGATACGCTTTCCTCATATCCACAGACCACTACCCTTGCCCACCTGGCAGAAGACTGGAAAGGCTGAACCTCAGGAAAAGCTGAGGGTGGGTGTGAGGTACCTAATTAAAAACAGAACTTACATAAAAGGCTACATGCTGACATATGAGACTTTACCAGCTCTTCCCAAATTCATTCCCAGAACACTGAAAGCCTGACTTATATCTGTCAGGTTGAGGATTGAAGGATGTCTTTTTGGGGTAATTAAATAGCCCAAGGAGGGGGAAATAGATGAGGATGTATAGCTGTAGGCATCTGAAGGTCCTAATTAAATGGGCAGGTCCCTTCCTGATCACCCTCCAGAAAGCTAACCCCTGGATAAGGAAACTCTCCCTTACCCCTCCCCTCCTACACACACATACACCCAAAATCAAGCTCTTTAGGGTCTCGCTCTTAAATATCAGTGGATAGACAAGAATGATCAGACATTTGATAAAAATCTATGAATGAAAGATGGTGACCAAAGACAAAAGAGGAACTTGGAGGAAACAGAGACAATGTAGGGAGCAGAAGAAAACTAAAACAGGCTGGGTGTGGTGGCTCACGCCTGTAATCCCAGCTACTCAGGAGGCTGAGGCATGAGAATCGCTTGAACCAGAGAGGTGGAAGTTGCAGTGAGCCGAGATCACGCCACTGCACTCCAGCTTGGGCAACAGAGTGAGACTCTGTCTCAAAAATAAATAGGCCAGGCACCGTGGCTCACACCTGTAATCCCAGCTCTTTGGGAGGCTGAGGCGGGCAGATCACTTGAGGTCAGGAGTTTGAGACCAGCCTGGCCAACATGGCGAAACCCCATCTCTACTAAAAATGCACGCCTGTAATCCCAGCTACTCGGGAAGCTGAAGCAGGGAGAATCTCTTGAAGCGGAGAAGCAGAGGTTGCAATGAGCTGAGATCATGCTACTACACTTCAGCCTGGGCGACAGTGAGACTGCATCTCAAAAAAAAAAAAAAAGAAAAAAGAAAAAAACTAAAACAAAAACTCTCTAGAATATCCTCAGAGATGAGAGAAGATATTGTTATAATGGAACAAGAACAGGAGACTGGAAAAAGGAATATTCAAAGAACGAGGAAGAGCTCTTAAAAATTCAATTAAAATAGCAGAAATTGTACATATGTTAAAAGTTTTAGAAAATAAAGTTGAGAGAACCTCCCAGAAATTAAAATAAAAAAATCAAAGACACAAAAATGGAGAAAGAAAGAAAGAAGAAAATCAATCTCAGAGATTCATTCAGACACAAAAATGAAGAAAGAGAAAGAAAAGAAAGAAGAAAGAAAGAAAGAAGAAAGAAAGCAAATCAGTTAATCTGAGAGATTCAACACTGAATAACAGGAATTCCAGAAGGAGAGAACAGAAGTTGGAAGGGAGGAAACTGTCAAATAAGTAGAGAAAATGTCCCAAACCTGAAAAACAAGAGATTCTAGATTATAAGTACTTACCTAGCACCAGTTCAATAAATAAAAAAAGAACCTTGCTTAGTGGTTTGCATTTTTAAAAACTAAGGATAAATGAAAGCTCCTAAAAGGGTTTTTTGTTTTTGGTTTTGTTTTTCTTTCTTTCTTACCACTATAAAAATAAGGACTTAAATGTTTCTAGAGAAGACACATGCAATACACTAGGACTTAGAATGATACTGAGCTTCTGTGTAGCAGCTATGGGAGCTAGAAGACAACGGAGCATCACCCTCAAAATTTTGGACGGAAAAGTTTACTGACTTCAACGTTTTTGTTTGTTTGTTTTTGTTTTTGTGATGGAGTCTTGCTCTGTTGCCAGACTGGAGTGCAGTGGCACGATCTCGGCTCACTGCAAGCTCCGCCTCCCGGGTTCATGCCATTCTTCTGCCTCAGCCTCCTGCGTAGCTTGGACTACAGGTGCCCACCACCACGCCCGGCTAATTTTTTTTGTATTTTTAGTAGAGACGGGGTTTCACCATGTTAGCCAGGATGGTCTCGATCTCCTGACCTTGTGATCCGCCCGCCTTGGCCTCCCAAAATGCTGGGATTACAGGCGTGAGCCATCGCACCCGGCCACACCCGGCTAATTTTTGTATTTTTAGTAGAGATGGGGTTTCACCATGTTGGCCAGGATGACCTTGATCTCTGGACCTTGTGATCCGCCTGCCTCAGCCTCCCAAACTGCTGGGATTACAGGTGTGAGCCACCGTGCCTGGCTTTAACTTTTATATTTAATTAAATATGTGGGTAAAAAAAATGTTTTTATGGCCGGGTGTGGTGGCTCACACCTATAATCCCAGCACTTTGGGAGGCTGAGGCAGATGGGTCACCTGAGGTCAGGAGTTCGAGACCAGCCTGGCCAACATGGTGAACCCCTGTCTGTACTAAAAATACAAAAAATTAGCCAGGTGTAGTGGCACACATCTGTAGTCCCAACTACTCGGGAGGCTGAGACAGGAGAACCGCTTGAACCCAGGAGGGGAGGCTGCAATGAGCCAAGATCACACCACTTCTCTCCAGCCTGGGCAACAGAACGAGACTCCATCTCAAAAAAAATAAAAATAAATAAAACATTTTTATGTGTCAGTTATATGTGTGGATAAAACAAGGACGTTTCAGTCATTCAAGGTCTCAAAAAAATTCACCTTCTATATACCTTTTATCAGGAAATCACTGGAATATATACTCCACCTGAATCAGTGAGTAAACTGTAAAAGAGACAGAGGATCTGGGAAACAGATGCTCCAGCTTAGGAGAAAGAGGAGGGCATTCCAGAGATGAAGAGGAGGAGACATCCCTAGCGAGATGTCAGCGATTCAGTGGCCTAGAAAGCAATCAATCCAGTTCGGAGCAGGAGAAACCCCTGAGGGTGTCTCCAAGGCGGAGTGAAACTGATAGATTACCTGAAGTGTTTGAACTGATTAAGAGGAGATTTACAGTTCTGTTGGAGAGTTTGAGGATGAATTAATGAAAAATACATAACAAATACTAAGCTAGAAAAAAAAAAACAAAAAGAATAAGAAGAGGAAGTGGTAATTATTAGTTCCAGGGAAACCAAAATTATACAAGAAAGGAAATTTAATTATAGCATTCCATATGATTCAGCTGTATATATTTACTACATAATAGCACTGTTAGCACTGAATATTGAGTTGAACAAAAACGGTAACTTACATTGTGAGGAAGGGAGGATGGAGGCTTATGTTGTGAGGGTGGGGCAGGGGTGGAAAGTACTGTTTTTGTTTGTCAGCCGGTAGTATTAATGTTATTTGACTTTTTAAATAATGTATATGTATTTAATATAAATTTTAATTTTTAAATAAAATTAGTAATTTAAATTATAATAAATCATTAAAGAAAGGGAATAATTCCATTTATGAAATTATATTAATTAATATTAATATTAAGAAATTATTGGCTTTCTTTATTTTTTTTTAAGACTTAGGGTCTCGCTGTGTTGCCCAGACTGGAGTGCAGTGGCTATTCACAGGTGTGATCATAGAGCGCTACAGTCTTGAACTCCTAGGCTCAATTGATTCTCCTGCCTCTGTCCCCCGAAGTAGCTGGGACTTACAGGGTCATGCCATAGCCCTCAGCCTTTTCTTTATATCTTTAAATATAAAAGCATGGGCTGGGCGCATTGGCTCACTGCTGTAATCCCAGCACTTTGGGAGGCCAAGACGGGTGGATCACGAGGTCAGGAGATCGAGACCATCCTGGCCAACATGGTGAAACCCTGTCTCTACTAAAAAAATACAAAAATCAGCTGGGCGTGGTGGCAGGCGCCTGTAATCCCAGCTACTCGGGAGGCTGAGGCAGGAGAATCATTTGAACCTGGGAGGTGGAGGTTGCAGTGAGCCAAGATCACGTCATTGCACTCCAACCTGGGTGACAGGGCGAGACTCCATCTCAAAAATAAATAAATAAATAAATAATAAAATAAAAGCATGTATATACGTATGTATGCCTATATGTACATACATATGGTTAAAAATACATATTTTCTGGCTGGGCGTGGTGGCTCACGCCTGTAATCCTAGCACTTTGGGAGGCCGAGGCAGGTGGATCACGAGATCAGGAGATCGAGACTATCCCGGCTGACACGGTGAAACCCCATCTCTACTAAAAATACAAAAAAATTAGCTGAGCATAGTGGCGGGTACCTGTAGTCCCAGCTGCTGGGGAAGCTGAGGCAGGAGAATGGTGTGAACCTGGGAGGCAGAGCTTGCAGTGAGCCGAGATCGCACCACTGCACTCCAGCCTGGGCAACAGAGCAAGACTCTATCTCAAAAAAAAAAAAAAAAAAAAATATATATATATATATATATATATATATATATATACATATATATATATATTCTGCTTCAATTTGCTCTAAAATATATATATATTTGGACTTGATATTTATAGAATCATACTACATATGCATTCTTTTGTGACTTGCTTCCTTCACTTGATTACCTTTTTGTAACTCACCCAGATTGAGGTGTGTAGCTGTAGTTCATTCATTTTCATGCAATATAGTATTCTATTTTCTGAAAACACCATAGCCTATTTATCTGTTTTACTGTTGACAGATGTTTATTCTTCTATTTTTTTCTGTTAAAAATAATTCCACTATAAATACTTTTGTATATGTGCAAAAGCTTCTCTAGGTATATACCTATAAGTAAGTGCAGTTACTAATGTGTACAGTAAATGCATCTTCAAATGTAATAGATAATGCAAACTTTTTGTTGTTGTTGTTGTTGGGGGAGACGGAGTCTTGCTCTGTCGCCCAGGCTGGAGTACAGTGGCGTGATCTCGGCTCACTGCCACCTCTGCCTCCCAGGTTCAAGCAATTCTTCTGTCTCAGCCTCCTGAGTAGCTGGGACTAAAGGCGCACACCACCACATCCAGCTAATTTTTGTATTTTTAGTAGAGACGGAGTTTCACCATGTTGGCCAGGATGGTCTTGATCTCCTGACCTCATGATCTGCCCGCTTTGGCCTCCCAAAGTGCTGGGATTACAGGCGTGAGCCACCCTGCCTGGCTGACAAAACTGCTTTTCAAAGTAGCTATACCAGTTTTCCCTCCCACTAGGAGTGGATAAGAGTTGCTATTGCTGCATACCCTTGTCAACACTTGGTATTACCTGACTTTAATTTTAGCCAACCTAGTAGTTGTGAAATGGTTTTAATTTGCATTTTCTTGACTGACATAAGATTGAACATCTTTTCATATGTTTAGAAACTGTTTATGTGTTCTCTTCAGTGAAATTCCTGCTTGGTTATTTGCAGATTTTTCTAGTAGGTTGTCTTTGTCTCATTGATTCATCACCGTTCTTTTATATTCTAGATGCTAATCCTTTGTCAGAGTTATGTGTTTTGCCGATCAACATGTTTCCTTTTTTCTGCAGATCTAATCACTCAAGGAGAAGTTTGAAAACCATTGGCCCAGGCTTCTGTTCTGTGCACCACAGTGAAACGGCCCTGTGGTTCTGCACAGGGCAGGTGTGGGTTCTTGGAGTGAGTCGCATTGTAGTTACTGACTGCTGCTGACCTGTGGTGCTTGCCTTTGCAGGTGGAACAGGAGGATTTTGTAATGGAAGGGCATGGCAAGACTCCACCTCCTGGTGAAGAAAGCAAACAGTGAGTCACAGTTTATTTAAAAAGAGTCCTATTACAGATCCTCGGAAACACTTTGGTTCAACATGCTGATAAGCGTGTTTGTCAGAGATGTATACGTTGGAGACATTGGGGAACTCACCAGTTGCTTTGGTGGCTGTTAATGCATTGCTTCTATTTATAGACCAACTAACTAGAAGGACAAGAAAGTTAGCGTTACAGTTTTTCACACTCGCCTAATCAAAATTTATGTTATGTTGTAGCAAAGGCTTTAAGGCTCAGTATGTTCCAAATTGAACTAATTCTGTTTGGTTGATTTCCAAAGAAAGTATAAAATGGTACATCCTTTTCTCAGTATTGTCTTTCTGAAGTGAACTAAACTAATAGACCATTTCCCTGCAATCTAAGTGTGAATTTATTTGAATGGTACTTTCTGAAATTCTATTCCATTTGGTTATTTACACTGCTGATCTTTGTTTAAATAACAAATTGTTTCTCTAAAGGAACAGGAATTATAAATAATATAACTTAGCCAACATTCCAAATAATTCAGGATCTCTCCCCTAACTCCTTAAGGGGTAATTGGTTTGTTGTTGGTTTTTTTTTTTTTTTTTTCTTGAGACGGAGTATCACTCTTGTCACCCAGGCTGGAGTGCAGTGGTGCAATCTGGGCTCACTGCAACTTCCGCCTCCTGGGTTCAAGCAATTCTCCTTCCTCAGCCTCCTAAATAGGACTAGGTGTGGTGGCGGGGACTACAGTTGCCCGCCACCACACCTAGCTAATTTTTCTATTTTTAGTAGAGATGGGGTTTCACCATGTTAGTCAGGCTGCTCTTGAACTCCTGACCTCAGGTGGTCTGCCTGCCTCGGCCTCCCAAAGTGCTGGGATTGCAGGTGTGAGGCATCGTGCCCAGCCAGGGGTGATTGGTTTTAAACCTGAAGTTGGGAGTCTGTTGGGTAGCTTTTTGATAGCAGTGAGTGAATTTTTTTCCTCTCTCCGTCATAGAATGTGAAAAATTGTGTTGCAGAGCAGACTGGTTTTTCATATGCCCTTTTAAAGGAAAAACAGTTAAGACTGCTTAAAGTACTGACATAACTACTATTTTTTATTCAGACATTAGTCTCCTAAATTGAATGGGCCAGTGATTATGGAATTTACCAAAAATCTATACAGAGAAACTTCTCTCATTCATATTTTTTTTCCTAGAAAATAGTTTAATTTTGGTCTGTCTTAAGAAAATTATGTCTTTAAAACCCTTAGGAATAAATTATGCAGAATGGACTATGCTGCCACGAGGCCAGATTCATTAAAGGAAAATGGCTCGTCTTGTATTTGTTGTGAATGGAAACCAGGATATTTTCACAGCTGGTTTAATTTGCTAACCAGGCAATTTTAAAAATAGCTCACAATATAAATCCTAGCTTTGCTGTATTCTATCAAATGCACTTACATTTTGCATGGGCTGATGGAATCAATTCATCTTTAGCAAATTAGAATGCCAGACATCTAGTCCCAGTAGAATGACAAGAGAAACACTTCAGGTGCTTTTCTCCGTGTCCACTGCACAGCCCTCCACCCCCACACTCTGGTCAAAGGTCTGTCATATAAAAATTATAACTCCATTTGTCGAGGGTTTTCTGTGCACAAGGTACTTTGCTTAAATATGTTTTACTCTGTCATTTCCACTCATTACACCATTTCATCTCCATTTCACTCAGAGATCAGGGTAGGTAACTTGCCCATGGTAATGCAGCTTGAAATGCAATTTAGATTTGAACCCAGATCTTACCGACTCTCTCACACCCTTTGCCATCCTTGGAAGCTATGCTCTTGAAAAATACTGTTGTTAGTAAAACTGCAGTTGTCAAAATCAAAGTCTCATGAATAAGAGGGAGTAGGCCAGGCGTGGTGTGGCTCACTGTAATCCCAGCACTTTGGGAGGCCAAGGCGAGTGGATCACTTGAGGTTGGGAGTTCAAGACCAGCCTGACCAACGTGGTGAAACCCTGTCTCTAGTAAAAAAATACAAAATTAGCCAGGCGTGGTGGCACACGCCTGTAATCCCAGCTACTTAGGAGGCTGAGGCAGGAGAATTGCTTGAACCCAGGAGGCAGAGGTTGCAGTGAGCTGAGATCACACCATTGCACTCCAGCCTGGGCAACAAGAGCGAAACTCCATCTTCAATAAATAAATAAATAAATAAATAAATAAATAAATAAATAAATAAATAAAGAGGGAGTTGAGGGAGACAATGAAAATGGCATAAGCCTATTTTTAAAAAAACAGGTGGAAGTTCTGTACTATAAAGGATATCCATTTCTCAAACAAACCAGTCTTTATCTTTAAAAACCTCTCTAGTAACCCTTATCCTGAATCAGCTTATTTAGGTATTCAGGAAATGTTGCTGGGCAGATTCTCCTACAAGTTTTATGTTATACAAACTGTACTTCTTTGAGAGTTTCAAACAGCCCCAGCAAGTTGGAATGCCATGTGTCGTATCCTTACCATTCTCCCTTGTTTTGTTTTCACAAGTCTCATACTGCCTGGCCTTTTCACAGATGAATTCTGTTCTATTTCTGTTTTCTTCTGGGCCTGGTCAGCTATTACATACTGAAGTGATAAAGCAGAAATCAGTCGTCTCACAAGGTGCTGTGAGCAAAGGTGCTGTGTTCTTTTGTTTGAGGCAACAACAATAAAAATATTTACAAAACAAATTTTTTTTAAATCTCAGAACTGCAGTTGGCAAATGATTATTACTATACTTTGTAAATATGATTCAGTCTGGATAGGGAATCTAGGAACTGAGTAATTTTTTTGCGTGTGTGACAGAGTCTCGCTCTGTCGCCCAGGCTGGAGTGCAGTGGCACAGTCTCGGCTCACTGCAAGCTCCGCCTCCCGGGTTCACGCCATTCTCCTGCCTCAGCCTCCCGAGTAGCTGGGACTACAGGCGCCCACCATCACACCCGGCTGATTTTTCTGTATTTTTAGTAGAGATGGGGTTTCACCGTGTTAGCCAGGATGGTCTCGATCTCCTGACCTTGTGATCTGCCCGCCTCGGCCTCCCAAAGTGCTGGGATTACAGGCGTGAGCCACCGCACCTGGCCGGAACTGAGTAATTTTTTAATAAAAGTAATGTAATATAAGCTTGTCAGAAAACATTCAAACAGCAATTGTGACTGTAGAAATAAAGGTGAGACCTGGCCAGGCGCGGTGGCTCACGCCTGTAATCCCAGCACTTTGGGAGGCTGAGGCGGGCAGATCACGAGGTCAGGAGATCGAGACCATCCTGGTTAACATGGTGAAACCCCGCCTCTAGTAAAAATACAAAAAATTAGCCATGCATGGTGGCGGGCGCCTGTAGTCCCAGCAACTCGGGAGGCTGAGGCAGGAGAATGGCGTGAACCCAGAAGGCGGAGCTTGCAGTGAGCCAAGATTGTGCCACTGCACTGCAGCCTGGGTGACAGAGCAAGACTCCATCTTAAAACATTAAAAAAAAAATTTAAAAATTTAAAAAAAAAGAAAGGTGAAACCCTTCCCTTCCTAATCTTCCTAAACATTTTCTGTACATTTTTAAACAACAATTAAATTGATTTTTCTCCCAATATCATTCTTCTAAGACTTAACTTTTGTAATTTGAGATATTTTCAGTCTATTTCTTTTTCTTTTTTTTTGAGACAAGGTCTCACTCTGTCACCTAGGCTAGGGTGCAATGGTACGATCATAGCTCACTGTAATCTTGAATTCCTGGGCTCATGGGATCTTTTTGCCTCAGCTTCCTGAGTGCCTGGGACTACAGGTACATACCACCGTACCCAGCTAATTAAAAAAAATTTTTTTTGTAGAAATGAGGTCTCACGTTGTTGCCCAGGCTGGTCTCCAGCTCCTGGGCCCAAGCAGTCCTCCTGCCTCAGCCTTCCAAAGTGTTGGGATTACAGGCATGAACCTCCTTGAGCGGCCTATTTCATTCTTTTAAACGTCTGTCAAACATTCTGTTGAATGGATATACTACAGTCATTCTTCTCTAAGAGATATTTTGGGCCAGGCGCGGTGACTCACGCCTGTAATCCCAGCACTTTGGGAGGCTGAGGCAGGCGGATCACCTGAGGTCGGGAGTTCAAAACCAGCCTGACCAACATGGAGAAACCCCGTCTCTACTAAAAATACAAAATTAGCTGGGCGTGGTGGTACATGCCTATAATCCCAGCTACTAGGGAGGCTGAGGCAGGAGAATGGCTTGCACCTGGGAGGCGGAGGTTGCAGTGAGCCGAGATTGTGCCATTGCACTCCAGCCTGGGCAACAAGAGTGAAACTCCGTCTCAAAAAAAAAAAAAAAGAGATATTTTGGTGGCCCTCACTTCCTTGATTACTACAAATAATATTTTATTAAACATTCTTATTCTTATATCTTTATTTTTATTGGTTGATTGATTGACTGATTGACAGGCTAGACAACACAGTAGTACCTGCAGCGAGGTAAGTCACTGCAACCTCAAACTCCAGGGCACCAGCAATCTTCCACCTTAGCCTTCTGAGTAGCTGTACTACAGGCACGCACTACCAAGCCCAGATACTTTTTTTTGCTTTGAGTAGAAACAGGGCCTCACTATGTTGCCGAGGCTGGTCTCAAACTCTTGGGCTCAGGCTCAAGCAATCCTCCCACCTCAGCCTCCCAAAGTCCTGGGATTACAGGCATGCACTATCATCCCTGGCCTCTTGTTTTAATTTATGTTCTTATGCTTACTAATGAGTTGAAATATCTTTTGTTAGTTTATTGGCCATTTATTTTTATTTTGTGTATCACCTATTTATATATATTTTCCTTTTTTATTGGATTGTTTTTATAGCTTTGTAGGAGCCCTTTATACATTTTAGATATTATTAACCTTTGTTGAGATGTTTTAAATATTTTCTCTCAGTCCTTATTGTTTAACATTAGATATCTTTCATGCCAACAAACTTTTTAAATTTTTATATAGCAAAATCAGCCTTTCTGGCTTTCATGTTTTATGCTTGCCTTGAGAAGTCTTTCCTATCCTAACCTGATAAAATATCTTTAGGTTTTCTATTTTAGTTTTTACATTTAGATGTTTAATTGATTCACTACTCAGTTTTGTATATGGTGTGAGGCAGAGATCTAACTTAATTTTTTTCCAAATGGTTCTCATTCATTGGTATTAGCCTGTACAAACAGCCCATTTCACTTACAGAGGCTGGTAGAGCACATGACTAATGTAACTTACTCAAGGTCACAGAGCAGATTCTTGTAATGATTAGGACTAAAATTATGTAATTAGCTGATCTGTGCCACTTTCTTTATCTCCCCATTTAACGTTTTGACCATAGGTTCCCAAAACCTCAAAAAATTATTTTCTGTGATGTTTATTTCAATAGAACTAAGTTCTATTAAGAGGCAGATTAGGTAGCTGTATATGTAGAAAGCTCTTGAAAAATAATTGACTTGTGATATTGAGAAATATCTGTGCTAAACTATTAATATTCTAGATCAGTTGTGCTGAATTCTGGTATTTGTATGTGAATAAGATTTATAATGTATATAGCTGTAAACACTTTATGTGTATTGTTTCCATGGGGTTTATTTACTATTAGTCTATCTAATGTAATCATTTTTCTGGGATATTGTCTTTGAGAATTATATTAGCAAATCAGACAAGCAAAGTTTATTGCCATATAATTACTACATTAAAATTACACAGCTTTAATTGCATGACGTGTTTACTGCAGGAGTAAATATTAAAACTATGACAGCTTTTAAAAAAGCAGCTAAGCAGGTACTTGCTCATAGATTGTGTTTGACCATGCTTTTTGAGAGGTCATTATAGATAAAATGCAGACGGGCTTTTGATTTGGTCTTATTTATATTTGTGATGGTCTAAAGGTTTGTGGGAAGATCACTTGTTCTAATTTTGAAGCCAAATACCAATTTTTATTTTTTTTGAGACAGAGTTTCGCTCTTGTTGCCCAAACTGGAGTGCAATGGCGCAATCTCGGCTCACTGCAACCTCAACCTCCCAGGTTCAAGCCATTCTGCCCCAGCCTCCCAAGTAGCTGGGATTATAGGTACACGCCACCACGCCTGGCTAATTTTTTCTATTTTTTAGTAGAGACGGGGTTTCACCGTGTTAGCCAGGATGGTTTCAATCTCCTGACCTCGTGATCCGCCTGCCTCGGTGTCCCAAAGTGCTGGGATTACAGGCGTGAGCCACCGCACCCGGTTTTATTAGCATATTTCTTGTTTCATATTTGACTACCCAATTAGGCACTAAACTTTCTGGGAACCATTCTTTTGGGTGTTTATTTAAAAACCCTGGGCAGCTCTATAGCATTTCCTAAACACAGGGCAAAGTAAAAATATTTCCAAATCATAGATTTTATAGATAATCATCTTCAGAACACAAATGTTGGTATTTGGCCATAGGAAAGTTGTTGTTGTTAACGTTTTAATTTTGTGTATTACACCATAAGGTTTTCTCCAGTTTTTCCCCCTTTAAACCATTATAATATGTACATGTTGAAATAAATTTATTAAGAAGTAGCAAGTTGAACTCTCTGTAAACTCAATCATTATTACACAGTAGTAAGCTAGACATCAGAAGAATAGTTGGCTTTTCTGTATAATCTTGAACAGCTTTTGGGGGAAATGAGTTTTCTTTTCAAGTTAATTGGTACTTTGAAAATGCCACAAAGAGGTTCAGTAGATGATAGTTTATACTCATGGAATTTTTGCTGCTGGGAGTTTTTGTAAAACCATCAACATTTTTTTGTACTAGATCTTTGGGGAACTTTCAGTTGCTAATAAATTTTGTAATTTGCATTGACATTACTTTAAAAAAATTCTCTAACAAAGTCTTTTTTTCCCAGAAGTCTCAGAATCGTAATAAATTCTGAATTCTATTTTGTTTGATTTTTCTTGGATGCCTGGACCATGGATTAATTACAGTAAGAGTAACTTCAAGGTCGGGCATGGTGGCTCACGCCTGTAATCTCAACACTTGGGGAGGGAGAGATGGGAGGATTGCTTGAGCTCAGGAATTAGAGAACAGCCTGGGCAACATGGCCAAACCTCATCTCTATAAAAAATGGAAAAATTAGCTGAGCGTGTTGTTGTGTGCCGGTAGTTCCAGCTTCTCAAGATCACCTGAGCCTGAGAGGTAGTGGTGGCAGTGAGCCAAGATCACACCACTGCACTCTACCCTGGGTGACAGAACAAGACCCTGTCTCAAAAAAAAAAAAAAAAAAAAAAAGTAATTTTAATAGATGACAGAATGAGACCCTGTCTCAAAAAAAAAAAAAAAAAAAAAAAAGGCCAGGCACGGTGGCTCACGCCTGTAATCCCAGCACTTTGGGAGGCCGAGGCGGGCAGATCACCTGAGGTCAGGAGTTCAAGACCAGCCTGGCCAACATGGAGAAACCCGTCTATACTAAAACTACAAAATTAGCCAGGTGTGGTGGCGCATGCCTGTAATCTCAGCTACTCGGGAGGCTGAGGCAGGAGAATCACTTGAACCCGGGAGGTGGAGGTTGCAGTGAGCCAAGATGGCATCATTGCAATCCAGCCTGGGCAACAAGAGCGAAACTCTGTCTCAAAAACAAAAAGAAAGAAAAGAAAAGGGTAACTTTAATAGATAATGTGTTTCACAATTTTATTTTATTTTTTTATTTTATTTAATTTTATAAATAAAATAAGGGGAGGGGAGGCTCAAGGCAGAAAAGATCAGGTTAAAGCTTTATGCTAGATCTTCGGCTCTATGAGGATGGATTTCTGTTGTCTTGGTCACTGCCTAGAGAGGTGCCTGGCACAAAAAGCATCTATAAATATATGTTGAATGAATAAGTTCCCATCGACTGTTAAGAATCCCTCTTCTACACACTCACTTTGAAATCTGAGGTGGTGTTATTATAAAGCCTAATTCCAGAATATTTTATCTGTTATCAGCAGAAGAAAGGTACATTGAAGCACTTTGGGAGGCCGAGGCAGGTGGATCACTTGAGGTTAGGAGTTCAAGACCAGCCTGACCAGCATGGTGAAAACCCATCTCTACTAAAAAGAAAAAAAAAAAAATTAGCCAGGTGTGGTGGTGGGCTCCTGTAATCCCAGCTACTCGGGAGGCTGAGGCAGGAGAATCACTTGAACCTGGGAGGCGGAGGTTGCAGTGAGCAAACATCACACCACTGCAGTCCAGCCTGGGCGACAGAGTGAGACTCTGCCTTTAAAAAAAAAAAAAAAAAAAGGGCATTGTTAACATGTTAACATGTCATGTTCCACTTTATTTTTTTTTAATTAATTTTTTTTAATTTTATTTTGACCAGGCACAGTGGCTCAATGCCTATAATCCAGCATATTGGGAGGCCAAGGCGGGTGGATCACCTGAGGTCAGGAGTCCAAGACCAGCCTGACCAACATGGAGAAACCTGGTCTGTACTACAAATACAAAATTAGCCCAGGCATGGTGGTGCATGCCTGTAATCCAAGCTACTAGGAGGCTGAGGCAGGAGAATCGCTTGAACCTGGGAGGCAGAGGTTGTGGTGAGCCGAGATCGCGCCATTACACTCCAGCCTGAGCAACGAGTAAAATTCTGTCTCAAAAAAAAAAAAAAAAAAGTTTTTTTTTTTTTTTCCCTGAAATAGCGTCTCACTCTGCCCAGGCTGGAGTGCAGTGACACGATCTTGGCTCACTCACTGCAACCTCCGCCTCCAGGGTTCAAGCTGTTCTCCTGCCTCAGCTTCCCAAGTAGCTGGGATTACACATACCCACCACCACGCCTGGCTAATTTTTGTATTTTTAGTAGAGACACGGTTTCAGCATGTTGGCCAGGCTGGTCTCAAACTCCTGACCTCAGATGATCCGCCTGCCTCAGCCTCCCAAAGTGCTGGGATTACAGGTGTGAGCCACCGCACCCACCCCTCCCCCCGGCTCTTTTTTTTTTTTTTTTTGAGACAGGGTCTTACTTTGTCACCCAAGCAGTGCAATGGTGCAATTTGGGCTCACTCAAGCCTCAACCAAAAAAATTCTTTTTGAGACAGGGTCTCTCGCTGTCACCCAGGTTGGAGTGCAGTGGCATGGTCATGGCTTATTGCAGCCTCCACCTCCTGGACTCAAGCAATCCTCCCACTTTAGCCTCTGGAGTAGCTAGTACTACAGGCACGCACTACCATGCCTGGCTAATTTTTTTGTTTTTAGTAGCGACAAAGCCTGACTATGTTGCCAGGCTGGTTTTGAACTCCTGGACTCAAGCAGTCCTCCCACCTCAACCGCCCAAAGTACTTGGATTACAGGCATGAGCCACCATGCCCAGTCATCAACTTTAGATTCAGTCCTTTCTTGAATATGTTCCAACAGACCTGATTTTATCTTCGTTCTCCTTAAGCATCCTACCTATAGGCCAGTGTATTAGTCCATTCTCATGCTGCTAATAAAGAACTTCCTGAGACTGGGTAATTTATAAAGGAAAGAAGTTTAATTGACTCACACATCCACATGGCTGAGGAGGCCTCAGGGAACTTACAACCATGGCGTAAGGGAAAGCAAACATGTCCTTCTTCACTTGGCGGCAGAAAGGAGAAGTGCTGAGCAATGGGGGGGAAAGCTCCTTATATAACCATCACATCTCATGAGAACTCACTATCACAAGAACAGCATGAGAGTAACCACCCCCATGATTCAGTTACCTCCCACTGGGTCCCTCCCACAACACATGGAGATTATGGGAACTACAGTTCAAGATGAGATTTGTGTGGGGACACAGCCAAACTGTATCAGCCAGTTATCAGTTATTGGGTGGTTTTTTTTGTTGTTGTTTTGTTTTGTTTTGTTTTTGGGCAGAAAATGCCTTTCTAGCCAAGTCTGAACCTTTTCTTCTAAGGACCTCCCTAAGATGCTATTAGCCTGTCTATGCATATTTTCAAAAGAACTTCTGCTCCTGCCAGGGGCTCTCCTGAAGGTCTTCCATGCAAGTCTGGTTTCCTTCTCCCTTACATCTCTGGGCAGGCAAAGAAATCTTTCTTTCTGACTAGCTGCAAATCCGGCTTTTGTGGGAATACTCTTCAAGAAAAAGCAAACTAATTTCAAAGACAAAACTAGGTTCAAAAGTGAATATTTATTTACAAAGAGGAGATAAATCACAAAAATGGCAACTTAAAAAAATTAACAAATACCACAAAATTCAGAAAAACAATGTAATATTTGTATTAATTGGTTGCCTAACACATGGCTGTGAAATGTTTTCCCCTACATTTTTTGGCCATGCTATACTCTTTTTTTTTTTTTTCGTGCTATACTCTTTGATCATCCCTCCCTATTCTGTGATATTTTCTAAAATAGGTAAATAATTCAGTGCTTCCTATAGCATGGTAGACCAAAATATGTTTTTTGTTATTAAGTTCCTTTCTGCCTCACAACTTGTTATTGGTAACATCATATAAATTTGTAAAAGTGTTGGCAGGGCATGGTGGCTCATGCCTGTAATCCTAGCACTCTGGGAGACCAAAGTGGGCAGATCACGAGGTCAGGAGTTTGAGACCAGCCTGGCCAACATGGTGAAACCCCGTCTCTACTGAAAGTCCAAAAATTAGCTAAGCGTGGTGGCACACATCTGTAATCCCAGCTACTCAGGAGGCTAAGGCAGGAGATTCGCTTGAACCAGGGAGGTGGAGGTTGTAGTGAGCCGAGGTCGTGTCACCACACTCCAGCCTGGGTGACGGAGTGAGACTTTGTCTCAAAAAAAAAAAAAAGAAAAAATTGTTAGCAATTTTGGGAAAACCTCTATTGAATATCTTTTATATATGCACTATGAAATTGCCAGGCTTCACTGTTTCTTGTACATTGGCTAATCTGAAATGGCCTTTGAATTGACATATGTATATCATAACATAATTTGGCCCCGCATATTTCAGTCATGATAGAGTGCCGCATATTTCAGTCATGATAGAGTGAGTTGACCTAGTAACAGCTCTTTGTACATTGATGGTTAACATTATCTCAACCATACACAGTTTTATGAAAACCACATAAATTTAGTTTATTCCATTGAACCCGAAACAAAAGTATCCTCAACTTAAGGTTTCCTTAGGGGGATCTCCAGAATGGCCGAAGTCACTCATAAGTCCATTGACACAAGGGGAACCATAATGGCAAGAAAGTTGGTATGGAAGGACAGATACTATTAATATATAATTCCATTTATCCAAGGTACTTAGAGCAGTCAGTTTAGAGACAGAAAGTAGAATGGTGGTTGCCAGGGGCTGAGGAAAGGGGAAAAGAATGAAGTTGTTGTTTAATGTGTGCAGAATTTCAGATGTGCAAGATGAAAAAGTTCTGGAGATCTGTTGCACAGCAGAGTGAATATACATAATGCTACTGAACTATACACTTAAAAATGGTTAAGATGATCAGTTTTTTGTGTTTTTTTAACCACAATAAAAATTTTCAGACCAGGTGCCGTGGCTCAATCCTAGCACTTTGGGAGACCAAAGTGGGAGGGTTGTTTGAACCCAAAAATTGAGACCAGCATAGATTCCCATCGCTACCAAAAAAAAAAAAAAAAAAAAAAAAAAGCTGGCCATGGTGGCACATGCCTGTAGTCCTAGCTACTTGGGAGGCTGAGTTTGAGACAGGAGGATTGCTTGAATCTGGCAGTTTGAGGCTGCAGTGAGCCATGATTGTAGCCGGGGCAACAGAGCGAGACCTTGTCTCCAAAAACAAAAAACAGTAACCAAAAAATACGGGATAATTGGGCACTTTGTTAGGATCCCTCCTAGAGCTTTAGGAGGGGCCCATGAAAGTGAGGGGGCCTGCAGGTTTAAATTAGCTTCAGAGCAAAGCAAATCTGTTTCAACCATTCTGGTCCTATCTATCTGTTGAAACCCAACTGATCTAAGCCGTAGTGCCTCCATTTTCAAACTGGTCTCTCTTAGAGCATAACCATACAGTTAATAATTTATCTTACACTTTTTTGTTGATTGCCTCATGCATATGTCTTATCTCTGAACTGTAGGATAAGTGTTGTCTTCTTTTACAGCCTAAAAGTACCTAGGTTCATAGTATTCATCCATTCATTCCTTTGCTTATTTGTTCATTCATTCCACAATATTAATTGAATTTCTCTTCTGTGCTAGACCCAGAAATAAAAGCTACATACTCTGCCCTCTTAAGGGTCCATTGTTTAGAGGGGGAAACGCCAATTAAGTGGTTAATCATAACAGGCTATGAAGGCGCTGCTTTAGAGGTATGTACGAGGTGCCTTGGAACACAGATGGGGGTACTGGACTCAGCCTGGAGTGTCAAGAAAGGCTTCCTCCAAACGCAGATTTAACTTTTGAGGTTCAATTCTAAGGAATTTGAGAAAAACTGTTCCCTAAAAGGCCTGCTAGCATTCTAACTTAAATAGTATAAATGTTAACATTCTAATTTGTAACTGAATCCAGAGATTGTTGGATTTAGGTTGCATTGGAGATCTAACATAGTTTTGGCTATTATTTCTATCTTCTGACTTTGTTGGGAGTAAGAATAGCAGAAATGCTTAGCTCTCCCATTGACATTTTTTCTTGTCAGCCTACCTCCTTGCCATGATTTGGTAGTACCGAAGTTGGTAAAACTTGGAAAAGCCTTTGCCTTTCCCAGGTTCTCTCCGTGGCAAACTCCTACTCATTCTTTGAGACTCAGTTCAAACTCTCACCTCCTCCCCTGTGAAATCTTTTCTTATTCTCCCAGCAGTTACCCTTTTTATTCCCATAGCACAGCCATGTTATATCTCTATTTATACTTTCATTTTGATACTTTGCTATATTTTAATTATGGATTTACATGCCTGTCTTTCCTTTGAGGTGTTATTAATCGTTTTTGTATGCCCCTGGGCCTAGTCCTAGCATAGTACCTACTACATAGTAGGTGCTGTGCAACAAATAATGGTTGTTGACTGCATGAATGAATGGTGAGTCCAGAGTTTGGAATCTTCTTTTTTTTTTTTTTTTTTTTGAGACGGAGTCTTGCTCTGTTGCCAGGCTGGAGTGCAGTGGCATGATCTCGGGTTACTGCAATCTCTGCCTCCCGGGTTCAAGCTATTCTCCTCCCTCAGCCTCCCGAGTAGCTGGGATCACAGGTGCGCACCACCACAACCAACTAATTTTTGTATTTTTAGTAGAGACGGGGTTTCACCATGTTGACCAGGATGGTATCAATCTTCTGACCTCATGATCCACCCACCTCGGCCTTCCAAAGTGCTGGGATCACAGGTGTGAGTCACCACACCTGGTCTGGAGTCCTATTTTTGAATGAATTGATTGGCCTTACGATATTTCATTGTCACAAGATTACATACTTAACAAGTACCAATTATCTTACAATAGAATCACTTCTACCTTCAAAATATACTGCGTACTTACATACTTTTCTCCACCTCCACTGCCCAGCTGTCTCTAGCCACCCTCTCTCACTTAGATGGCCACAGTGGCTTTCCGACTTTTCTTCCTGCTTCTCTTGATCCTTGGTAGTGTATTCTCCATACAGAAACCAGGAAGAGCTTCTAGAAATACAAATCTGATTGTATCTCTACCAGAGTGGTTTTAAGACTTCCAAGGGTCCTTGGCATACTCACGTTAGGAGGTTTTGAAGGCTTCATCCCGTGTTTATAGGAAAAATTAAAAGGTACTCACATATCATATTAAATACGTAGACATATCCCATATTAAATATGTGGATTTATCTATTTATTTTTGCTGTCACATTTTAAAAGAATTTTTCATAATTCTCCTTCTGAAATTCTTTGGCTACAAGTAACTAATTCATAAGTATCTCAGACTTCTTAACAGGTAACATATTTAGGGGCTGGGCATGGTGACTTAAGCCTATAATCGTGGCACTTTGGGAGTCTGAGGCAGGAAGATTGCTTGAGCCCGGGAGTTGGAGGTCAGTCTGAGCAACATGGTGAAACCCCATCTATAAAAAATTGAAAAAGTAGCTGTGCATGGTGGCACACACCTCTGGTCTCAGCTACTTGGGAGGCTGAGGCAGGAGAATCACTTGAGCCTGAAAGGTTGAGGCTGTGGTGAGCCATGTTCGTGTTGCTGCATTCTAGTCTGGGCAACAGGGCGAAACCCTATCTCAAGGGGGAAAAAAATATATATATATAATATATATTTTATATATATTATATATATTATATATAGTTTATATATATATTATGTATATAGTTTATATATATATTATATATATAGTTTATATATATATTATATATATAGTTTATATATATATTATATATATAGTTTATATATATATTATATATATAGTTTATATATATATTATATATATAGTTTATATATATATTATATATATAGTTTATATATATATTATATATATAGTTTATATATATATTATATATATAGTTTATATATATTATATATATAGTTTATATATATATTATATATAGTTTATATATATCCTATACATACATATATGAACATACATACATATATGTATATAAAATGTTCATCACATTTGAAAACAATTCTCACTTTGCAAAAATTCCTATACATACATATATAAACATACATATATAGGTGTATATATCTATATATGTACATATATGTGTGTATATATACATATATGTACATATATGTGTGTATATATACATATATGTACATATATGTGTGTGTATATACATATATGTACATATATGTGTGTATATATACATATATGTACATATATGTGTGTATACATATATACCTATATATGTGCATATATGTGTGTATATATACACCCATATATGTACATATAGGTGTATATATACACACATATACCTGTATATGTACATATATGTGTATATATATACACATATACCTATATATGACATATACACCTATATAGGTGTATATATATATACACATACATGTATCTATATATGTATGTTTATATATATGTATGTATAGGAATTTTTGCAAGGTGAGAATTGTTTTCAAATGTGATGAACATTTTATAAATGCTAATTTTTTTTTTTTTTTTTTTTTTTGAGACAGAGTCTCGCTCTGTCACCCAGGCTGGAGTGCAGTGGCGCAATCTCGGCTCACTGCAACCTCCGCTTCCCGGATTCAAGCGATTCTCCTGCCTCAGCCTCCCGAGTAGCTGAGACTGTAGGTGCATGCTACCACACCCGGCTAATTTTTTGTATTCTTAGTAGAGATGGGGTTTCACTGTGTTAGCCAGCATAGTCTCGATCTCCTGACCTTGTGATCCGCCTGCCTCGGCCTCCCAAAGTGCTGGGATTACAGGCGTGAGCCACCGCACCCGGCCATAAATGCTAAATTTAACAATGAATGGGACTGCTGAGTGGTTATAAAGGACATTTAAGCATTTATTAATTTTTGTGGTCAAAATTTTTTGTTTGTATTTTGAACTTGTATTTTTTTTTAGATCCCAAACATTTTTCTAAGTCTCTGAAAAGCTTATGGACCCTAGGCATTCAGTGGAAAGCAACTAATGGATAAAATGGCGCTGTTTTCTTTTCCTGCTGAAAACTCTTTTGTGACTTTCCACTATTCCAAAAGTGAAATATTTACTGTGGACTGAAGAACTTAGTATGATCTAGCTCTTCCTACCTCTTGAGATTCATTTCATGCCTCTATCCCCTGCTCCCAGGTCCTAGCCTCCTGATCATTTCTCTTGTTTATTGACCACTCAAACATTTGCTTTTCTTTCTCTTTTCTTTTTTTTGATGGAGTACCTCTCTGTTGCCCAGGCTGGAGTGCAGTAGCACCATTTCAGCTCACTGCAGCCTCCGCCTCCTGGGTTCAGGTGATTCTCGCACCTCAGCCTTCCAAGTAGCTGGGATTACAGGCACACCACCATGCCCAGCTAATTTTTTTTTAATTTTTATTTTTTTGGTATTTTTAGTAGAGATGGGGGTTTCACCATGTTGGCCAGGCTGGCCTCGAACTCCTGACCTCAAGAGATCCGCCTGCCTTAGCCTCCCAAAGTTCTGGGATTACAGGCATGAGCCACCATGCCCGGCCTAAACATCTGCTTTTCAACTCAGCTTAAATGTTGCTCCTGAGAAAAGCCTTCCCTGTGCACCTTATCTAAAGTGAGCCTCTCTCAGTTATTCTATATCCTGTCAAACTGCTTATTCCCTTCTCAGTGAGTTCCTTCTCCTATGAGGATGTCAGCTCCATATAGACGAGAACCTTCTGCTTCACTGCTGCATCCCTAGCACTTAGCACAGAGTCTGATAGGGAAAGTACTTAGTACATATTTATTGAACAAATGAAGATTAATGTTAGTAGCTAGTTTAACTGTCCCTGTATCGTTGTAATTTAACCATCCTTGTATTGTTGGTGTAGTGTTGTTGGTGTAAAGCCTATGTGGTCATAATGAATTATTCTCTTAAAACTACTCAGTTCTGTCTGATAATATTTTACTTAGTATTTTTGCATCTGTCTTCACAAGTGAACATTAGTTTAGTTTTATTTTTTGTACCATCTTAGTCTAAATTCATATCAAGAATATGTTATCCTCATGGAAGAAAGTAGGAAGCTTTTCCTTTTATCCTTACACCTCCTGGAACAGTAAGGATAACGTGGAAATTATCTGTTCAATAAGAGTTAGATAGCATTCACCTAGAAAATTGGGCTTGCTGTTGTCTTAGTGGCTCATTCTTTGAAGATCTTAGAGATTTCTGCTCTGGGTTGTTGTTCCCCTAATTTTTCTTGAGTTGATTTTGGTAACTTCTGTTTTCTTTGACTATCATCCATCTTATTTAATCTTCAAGTTTATTTATGTAAAGTTACATATAATTCTAGCATGAGTTAAAAGATTTTCTCTAAATCTGCAGTTATGATATCCTCTTTCTCAGCCCTAATGTTTGTGACTTCTCTCTTTCAATTGATCAGATTTTTGACAGAATTATCTACATTTATTTAGTGTTTTAAAACAAAATATAGTTTTTGGTTTTGTTTTTTGGTTTTTTTTTGAGATGGAGTCTCGCTCTACTGGTGATCTCCGCTCACTGCAACCTCCACCTCGCGGATTCAAGCAATTCTCCTGCCTCAGGTTCCCGAGTAGCTGGGACTACAGGTGCGTGCCACCACGCCCGGCTAATTTTTGTATTTGTAGTAGAGACGGGGTTTCACCATGTTGACCAGGATGGTCTTGATCACTTGACCTCGTGATCCACCCTCGGCCTCCCAAAGTACTGGAATTACAGGTGTGAGCCATCACGCCTGGCCTAGTTTTTGTTTTTATTAATTCAGTTTACTCTTTTTTTTTTTTTTTGGCTGTTACTTTATATCTGTGCCAAAAACAACAAAACAGATATATATATAATCTGTCACCAAGGCTGGAGTACAGTGGCGTGATCTCAGCTCAGCCTCCGGAGTAGCTAGGACCACAGGCATACCCCACCAAGCCTGGCTGACTTTTTTTATTTTTTTGTAGAGGCGAGATCTCACTATGTTTGTTGCCCAGTCTCAAACTCTTGGGCTCAAGTAAACCTCTAACTTTGGCCTCCCAAAGTGCTGGGATTACAGGCATGAGTCAACACCATGGCCAGCCTTGCTTTTATATTTATTCATTTTTGGGGTTTATTAACTCTTTTTCTAGATTTTTGAACATATATATATATATATATATTTTTTTTTTTTTTTTTTTTTTTTTTTTGAGACAGAATCTCATTCTGTTGTCCAGGCTGGGGTGCAGTGGCATGATCTTAGCTCACTGCAACCACCATCTCCCAGGTTCAAGTAATTGTCCTGCCTTAGCCTCCCAAGTAGCTGGGATTACCAGCAGGTACCACCATGCCCAGCTAAATTTTGTATTTTGAGTTGGGTTTTCACCATGTTGGCCAGGCTGGTCTTGAACTCCTGACCTCAGGTGATCTGCCTGGCTCAGTCTCCCAGAGTGCTGTGATTACAGGCGTGAGCCACCACGCCCAGCCTTTTTCTAGATTTTTGAGTTAAATACTCAGTTCAGTTATTTTTCAATCTTGTTTTCTTCTTTTTCTTTTTCTTTTTTTTTTTAGAGACAGAGTTTTGCTCTATTGCCCCAGCTGGAGGGTAGTGGCACGACCTTGCTCACTGCAGCTCACTGCAACCTGCAGCCTCCACCTTCTGGCTTCAAGTGATTCTTGAGCCTCAGCCTGCTGAGTAGTTGGGACTACAGGCGTGTGCCACCATGCCCAGCTAATTTTTGTTATTTTTAGTAGAAACGGGATTTTGCCATGTTGGCCAAGCTGGTCTCGAACTCCTGGCCTCAAGTGATCCACCCACCTCGGCGTCCCAAAGTGCTGGGATTACAGGTATAAGCCACCATGCCTGGCCAATCATGTTTTCTGATAAAAATATTTTGAGGAATGGTATGTAACCTCCAAAGGTGCCAGCTTTGAAAGATAACAGTCATTTGAATGTTCTTGTTTTTAGTTTTAGAAAATAATTTTTATGGCTGAGGCCGGCAGATCACGAGGTGATCACGAGGTGATTTAGTGAAACCCCGTCTCTACTACAAATACAAAAAAATTAGCCGAGCGTGGTGGCAGGCACCTATAGTCCCAGCTATTCGGGAGGCTGAGGCAGGAGAATGGCGTGAACCCGGGAGGCGGAGCTTGCAGTAAGCCGAGATAGCACCACTGCACTCTAGCCTGGGCGACAAAGCGAGACTCCATCTCAAAAAAAAAAAAAAAAATTTATTTCTTTGTGTCCTTACCTTACAATAATATAATTTTAAAATATTGTCTAATTGTTAATATGAAAAAAGTATAATAAATCTATCACAGAATCTATTATGTCTGGAAACACAAGGGAGAAATAATGTATTTATTGCACTTGTTTGTTTTAGATAAACGATTAGACTAATTGTATTAAATTTAGAGGTATTGCATAGAAAAGATGATGTGGAGGTTAAGGAAAAAATATTCAGTGGCCGGGCGCAGTGCCTCATGCCTGTAATCTCAGCACTTTGGGAGGCTGACGTGGGCAGATCACGAGGTCAGGAGTTCGAGACCAGCCTGGCCAACATGGTGAAACCCTGTCTCTATTAAAAATACAAAAATTATCTGGGCATGGTGGCATGTGTCTGTAATCCCAGCTACTCAGGAGGCTGAGACAGGAGAATCGCTTGAACCCAGGAGGTGGAGGTTCCTGTGAGCCGATACCATGCCACTGCACTCCAGCCTGGGTGACAGAGCAAGACTCTGTCTCAAAATATATATATATATGTTTTCAGCATATTATTTGAAATTAGAACCAATATTTTATTTAAAATATGTTTGTTCTGTTTCCAAACTTTTCATGCAGTTTGCTATTTAACACTTACAAGGCAACACATATAAATATTTGTATACAATAATATTCTACACTGGGGAATGGAGACTTAGCAAAGTTCAGTTTCATAAAGAAAGCATGTCCATCACAAATTAAAACAAGGTGGATGTTCAGTCTCCACACATTTTTACAAATCGAGCCAGCTACAAGCAAGTAGGCTTTCAGTAACTCATCTGGAAGGTATTGGAAGGATAAAAATAGACTAAATAATCAGAATTTCCATTCTAGTAGTTTCCTGCTTTTTCCTGCATCTCAATTGTCAGTGCAGGGCCTGGCTATTTCACTCAGTGCTAGGCAAAGACAGTGGAAGCTTGTTAAGCCACAGCTATTCAGGCTACCAGATTGTCCAGGCATTGGCCTTTGCCTGCCATGAAACAGCTCCTTTCCTGTCGTCATATCTGAGTGGAAAGAGCAAAGGCGGGAGACTGTATAAAGACCCAGAAGCCAGGATGACAACAAGTGTTGTGGGATTTTACAAGCATTCGTAGGTTCCTTTTCAAGGAAAGCCGGGTTTCTAGAATCCATCAGTTGTCTGCTGGCTGGCATGGCAGCCTAGTTTATGGGAGAAGCACACTAGGGAATCCTCCCTTTTCTGGCTTATAGAGATAGGTGGAGTCGATAGTCACAGGGCATTCTCATGCACTTTTTTTTTTTTTTTTTTTGAGATGGAGTTTCACTCTTGCTGCCCAGTCTGGAGTGCAATGGCGCGATCTCGGCTCACCACAACCTCCGCCTCCCGGGTTCAAGCGATTCTCCTGCTAAGCTCAGCCTCCCTAGTAGCTGGGATTACAGGCATGTGCCACCACGCTGGCTAATTTTGTATTTTTAGTAGAGACGGGGTTTCTCCATGCTGGTCAGGCTGGTCTCGAACTCCCGACCTCAGGTGATCTGCCTGCCTCGGCCTCCCAAAGTGCTGGGATTACAGGTATGAGCCACCGCACCCGGCCTCATGCGCTTTTTACCATTTTAGTTACTTTCTTTCCTGAAGCCGTCCTTAAAACATAGATGAATGCGAGTTTCTGGGAACTATGTGACCCTCATTCCCCTACATTTTTTATATTCAGGTGGCAGATTTCCTCCTACTCAGCCCAGCCCTTCTGAATAGGGTCCAAGTCATTGATTTATTCATTTATTTACCTCCTATGTGGTGTTTGGTGTGGAGCCTCACAGAGCAGTGAAGACGTGGTGTTTTTCCTTATACAGTTTACAGTCTCCTGGGGAAGACTAATGTTAAGCACATTCTTTCATAAATTGCAATTATGACCATTGCTCTGAAGAAGTAGTAAAGGATATTATGGGAGTGTTAACAGGAGGGCCTGGTCTGGACTGCGAGGGTCAAGAAGCCTTCCCAGGGTGGAGGCGAACTTTTGAGATGGCCAGGAAAAGATGAACAGAACTACTCAAAGAAGCCAAGTGCAGAGTTTCAGAGGTGAAAGAAACCAAAGATACCATCTAGGGAAGCCCAATCTCCGCCGGCTACCAATGAGAAAACGGAGGCCAGGCAGGGTGGGAGGATGGGTAAGGGACTTACTTACTTGCTGTTAGCAGTGAAGTTACACGGCCTGTGAGCCGCGGGGGCTGGAGATGCAAACCGAGCTTGGGTTTCTTAAGTGGGTAGGAGTGGAGATGTATATGCGAAGGAGAAGGGATTAGGAGTGGTGGAAACCAGGTAGGTTTTAATTTAGTGCCTAGGCTCCCTCAGCTGCAGAGCTACCTCCTGCGGTGGGGGAGGGGATTAAAGATGACTCAGACCTGCCCTAGCCCAGAGAAACTCCGTTTGCAGTGCTGAAGCATAGTTTTTATTTGGGTTTGGGGGAGGAGGTACTGAACACACATACAGGCAAAACAATAAGTGTAGAGTTCAGAATTGGGAAACCAGTCCCTCTTCTGCAGCTGTTCAGCTGTGTGATTTGGGATAAGTCACTTAACCTTTCTGAATTGCAGTTCAGTTTATACTTTTGTGCGTTTCTTTCAGTCTTTTTCTATACATTTTAGGAGTTTCTTAGAGATCAGTCGTGCCCTGTATTTCACCTCATTCTTTCAAAGCTAAAGCCTCTTGTTTGGTAGAGCTGTGTTTCAGCCCCTTTTACAGAGCAGTTTGCCAGCCTGTGCTTGCCCAAACATCTAGAGAATAACTAGCAAGCGAGCCAGGAGAAGATCCAGGAGCTGTAAGAATCGTTAGCAACTGAGCATATTTCTATAAACCAATAAAGGTTTTTCTGTTTTGTTCATCTGTTACCCTTATGCTGTTGCCACTTTCACATGCAGTGTCTGTAGGCGGAGAGTATGAGATAACAGCATTTCACAAATGAAAGTGAGTGGAAAAGGGCTGCTTCCCCTTTAAGGCAGTCTCAGCTCCAGCTCCCTCCCCTTTCCTGATTGACAAACCTACCCGAAGTCACATGATCTGCCTCTATTTGAAGGTCACAAAAAGCTGCTTCCTTTAGAGACAGAGAGGGAGAGAGAGAGCAAGAGGGAGAGTGTGTGAGAGAGAGTTAGTTCAAGCCAAAATGGCCGACAGAGTCTCTGCTGGTTTCTGAATATTTAAAATACAAAAAAACAGATAGACAAAAAGAATTCATTTTTTGGACCTTTTTTCATTTCCATTTCTACCTTGTATGCCTCAATTTGCTGGATTTAAGCACTGCTGCACTTTATGAGGTTGGTAAATATTTTCAATTTTTTTTAACCAATTGATTTATATGGATCTTGTCTAACCGTTTTCACTGGTGGTGTTGCAAATCGACATTTGTCTAGCATGGAGACTGGCTTCAGACATTTCGTGGATCTGTGTAAATCAGACCCGTGATGTACTTTGGTTCGGCATTTTAGAAATGGAAAAGACGTGGTAAAATATTTAGATTTTGAAGTGATTTAATTGCACTTTTAATGTATATGCAGATTTTCATCATCGTTTCTATCTTGCAATAAATGAAGCTGCGAGTAATTGGAAATTTGCTATTTAGAAAGAGGTTTTTAAAAAACACAGACCTCCCCCTCCCCCCTTAAATCTGCTGCAAAAATTTGCATAAATATAAATGGGTTTGCATTCTTTCGGCTGCTAAGGCCGACAAAGGATCTGGGAGGGCAAGCCCTAGAACGGGAAAGCCTTTTTCTATCTTTTTATTTTTTAAACTGGGCCCTCCTTCCTAGAGAGATGTAAAACCTAAAGTAAGACCTAATACATTTTAAACATCAGGTTGGGGGCGGGTGAACACCAGGAGGTTTGGGGTTTGTAGATTCCCCTGCTTGAAAACCTCCCAAGCAATATGTGGCTCACCCCTCTCCTTTCTGCGCGCGCTCATTTGCACTGGGTCTCTGTGTGTGTTCTCAAATGTGCAGCCAGATGCGCTTTTATTTTGATCCTGGATTCAACCAAAGGGTAGGACTATGTTGTAAACATGGTGTTTTAAAGATATGAACAGCTATTCACCGCGATTAGAAATTATTTCTTTATCAGTTCTCCCTGTGTATTAGCCTTCTTCATTCCTCACGAAATAAAATTTTTGTTTAATTTTACACAGATGCAAAACTGAGTTTTTCAGCATAAATTCATCGTGTGAGTGTGTGGTTGCCTGTTTCGGCCATGTATCCACTGCGAAGTGGTCATTTAGGGTCACATGTATAAGTAGCAGTCTATGTGATTGTTAGTAACCCCTGAAGCTGTGCAGTGCCTGAAGTTAAATTCCATTACTCCTAATGCAGGATTCTGGAAGCCTGAGAGCAGGGAGGAAAGAAAGCTGAAAACTTGCTTTCTCAGAGCCTCCTCCCCCTATCATTGTGAGAGTGTGATGTAATGCTTCTCGGTCTGGTGGGCTGAAAGGATTGTAGTTTGTGATGTGGCGGGTAAATTGCCCCCACCCCTGGGTAAATTACTCCACCCCCCTGAGCACATCCCTGGCTCTGAGAGGCCTTGTTTTCTTTTCTCTTTTTTTCCTAATTTGTATCCTCCTGATTTATGCTGTGGCATATTGGCATGAGAAAGAGACTGTTCTTCTAAATCTGTTACAAAGTATAGTTTAGAAAAGGCATTTAAAATATGCAAATGGGTTGAATTGTCATATCCCCATCATTAAATATGTAGACGTGGATTAAAGCTAATTAAGCATAAATGGAATAATTTTGATCAGAAGGGAGCAGTGTTTTTTGTTGTTTCCTTTTTAATTAATCTAATTATGAGATGCTTACTGGGCCTGAAAGTGTTAAAAAAGATAAAGTGGAAAAAATGCTGGACCATTTTGAAAATTTGACAGTCTGGAAGAGGGTGTGTGGTGCTTTCAAAAGCTTTATTCACTCTTAAAATGGATTGGCCTCTTGTGCTGAAAATGGCCTGTTTCTTTGGGCCAATTGTGTGTAGATGAAGGGACTTTCACGCTAATTTAACAAAAAGACTTTCCATTTGAATACATAAGATAATTAAAGCCCTCTGTCTCTAACAAGCAAGGATTTTATTATTTTAAAAAATTAATGTTGTTATGTTAGTAATGGTAATAAATACAGAAGTGACTGTTTAGATTCACTGTAAATTTTTTGATGATATAAATTCAGCTTTTGTGTAAGAAGGATTGGAAACATTACATTAAAGAGGTAGTCTGGAACAAAGTTGTCTCTAAATTTTTTTACGGCTTGAATTTAAAGGGAAAAGATAGAGAAATTACCTTAGTGATAGAGAATGTTGCATTGTGGTAGACCTAAAGGAAAATCAGCTCTGATTTTTGTTGCTGTTTTTCTGAAAATGAAAGCACTTTTTTGGGGCTTTGCTTGTTATATGATTCATTTTACACCTATTTCCTAAAGTTGGTCTTACTGAAGAGGAGATAAAACCTAGGCTTTCCATGTTTTGCCATTATCTTGTTTTTGTGGCTGTGTAAACATATGAATGGCAGGTTAATTCAGTTTGCAGAGAGGAGGAACCAGAGCAGGGTACCTGCTGTCTTAGGCAGAACAGAGAATGATACAATGAATGCCATTTGATTCTTTGAAATGTTTTTTATAAATATTCTTTTCCCCTGGATAATTAAAAGGTGAGATAAATAAGACCTGGCTTCACGTATGGGAAGCATTATGGCTCTGGTGAGTTGATAGCTCGACTGCCATTTTGGATCTCAGATCCTGCAGAGCCAATCCTTCTGGCTCACCAACACGATGGTCATCCAGAAGGAAATGAAAATGAGTAATCAATTAAGTGTGCAGATGGATAGTATTTAATTTGTGCCTTCTGTTGAAGTTTTCTTTCTGTGAGTACTGTGAATTGAAGCTTTAAAAACTTTAAAGATGTGGCCGATGTTATGAAGAGCAATATCCAGGGGTGCTGGAACTTGCACGTTGTAGTTTTACTTTTTAAAAATGAGATGGCATATGCAGAGGAAGTTTCTTATTGGAGAAAGTGAATATAATCCCTATTAACTGCCACCCCCCCCACCAATCTATATTTCCTAATGCTGGATCAACTAGTGATAATATCACAACATTACTCTGTCTCAGAAAAAAATGTCACAGGTTCATGACTGAAAGATCACAAAAATTGGTAGCGTTCATCAGAAGTGGTATCTCAATTTTAAAGTGCTTTTCAGTCATTCCATCTGGTTCCCAGAAAGGAAGCTTTGGCATCTTTGATATATGGTGCAAACTCAGCTCTGTTCTTCAGCTGTGAATGGCCATTTGTTATTCTGTGTGGCCACTCGGATGGTCCTTTAAAAATAAACTTCCGAACATTGAAGCAGAGACTTCTAAGGCTTCTCCAGCTCTTCAGCTCTACAAGAGACACTAGAAGAGTGTTATGCGATGATGAGACCTTCAGGTTCTGCAGAGCAGGCTGAGCAGCTCTGGCTATTGAGGACCACCCTGAGGAATAAGGGTGGTCCTCACCCTACCCAGCTGCTCCTCACCCTACCCAGCTGCTCCATGACTGAAAAGTTTGGAAAGATTTTAATTTTTATAACTCAGATCATATAATCATTGATCATCTGCAGTTTAAGCTGGACACAGCCCTGAGGCAATGCAGATAGATGAATGTACTTTGTCCCTTTCCTCAAGGAGTACCAGGTCAGCATTATTGGTAAACAGATCGTCACAACTTGGCAGTTTATGTGCAATATTCAGAGCAAGTTCCTGGTTACAGAAGTATCTGAGTATCTGCATTAGGAGGGTCCTTGTTTTAAAATTTCTTAAAGAAGCCAAATAGGCCAGTCGTGGTGGCTCACGCCTGTGATCACTTTGGGAGTCCCAGGCAGGCTGATTGCTTGAGCTCAGGAGTTTGAGACCAGCCTGGGCAACATGGCAAAACCCTGTCCCTACAAGAAATTTTAAACAAAATTAGCTGGGCATGGTGGCTCACGCCTGTCATCTCAACTACTCAGGAGGCTGAGAGGTGAAAGGATAGTTTGAGCCAGTGATGTTGACACTGCAGTTAGCCAAGATCGTGCCACTGCATTCCAGCCTAGGAAACAGCTAGACCCTGTCTCGAGAGAAAAAAAAAAAAGCCAGCCGGGCGTGGTGGCTCACGCCTGTAATCCCAGCACTTTGGGAGGTCGAGGTGAGTGGATACGAGGTCAGGAGTTCGAGACCAGCCTGGACAATATGGTGAACCCTTGTCTCTACTAAAAATACAAAAAAACTAGCCAAGGGTGGTGGCGCCTGCCTGTAATCCCAGCTACTCGGGAGGCTGAGGCAGGAGAATCGTTTGAACCCAGGAGTCGGAGGTTGCAGTGAGCCGAGATTGTGCCACTGCACTCCATCCTGGGCAGTACAGGGAGACTCCGTCTCAAAAAAAAAAGAAAAGAAAAGAAAAAAAAGCCAAATAATTACCCCATTTAATAATTTTTAGTTATTTAGATATTAGACTTCTTTAAGTGGAACTTGTTTCTGTCTGGTGGCTGGGGAGAGGGACAGCATATGCTAATTGTTTCTCTGTACAGTATTGTTCGTGGATTTACTCTAATCCCACTTTCCTCACCTGCTTGTGATTAAGACGGGTGTCAGGGGTAGGGTGGAGTGAATTGAAGCCACTTGGCCAGAAAAGGGATTTATTTAACTCATGGCAGTGACATCTTAACATTGTTTTCTTCTTTCCGTCATATATTTGTTCAGCAGTAATTTATTAAGCACTGATGTAGGTGCTGGGGCATCTAAGAATTAATTTGGTTGGCCCATTGCCTTCAATAGTTTGGTTCATGTGGAAATACTTGCCATCTGGTGACTAACTATATAACTTACTGCTTTAGGTTATGACTGAGATAACTCCTTAGTTATCTTTTCTGATAATCAGGGAATGAGTGGTAATTTTTTGCTTCTGGTAGTTTTGGAGACTTCATTGAAGGTTTGACTTGATAGTCACTTTATTAAACATTGTCTTTAGCTCTGTGCACTATCTCTTCAAAATTATCTTTTGCATTACCTCTGAGAACTTTGCAACCTGGAATTGCCTTCCTAGTTATTTTATCACATCCTTCAATTTTACTTTTTTAACACTCCTAAATTGTATCACCATCTGAAATTATTTGTGTATGGTACGTCTCCACAATACTATCCGGTTTCCTGAAAGCAGAGACCTTATCTGTTTTCCTCACTGTTGTATCCCCAACATCTAGAACGGCTTGGCAGGAGTGGATGTTGAGTGAAAATGTGTGAGTATAAGGTCACCAGGACTCACTGTGTGACGATGGTAGGCTCGTTTCCTCACCAGCAAAATGGGGATAATATATTGTTGCGACGCATAAAGGAAATGCTATATGTGAGGGCTGGGCACCTAGTCTTGTTGCTTAGTAAGTGTTTCCTTCCCCTTTGCTGTATCTCCCTTTGTTGAATGAACCAGAAAGGCTTTTATGGCCCCGCAGAATGGCTCTGTTCTTTCTCATGGCTACCAGGATCATGAAGCCTGTACAGTGATTGCACAGAGCTTTAGCCTGCACAAGGACAGGAGCAGCACGGAGCCTTTTCTCTTTATTCAAGTCCCTACATTCCTGTGGTCTGATGTCGTCTCTTCATAACTCTCCAGTTTCCTTCAGGCTGTGCCTCTGTGTTGTATCCACGTTTACTTGGCTGTTTTTCATACATTCTGTGCTTTGCATCAGAAGGTTCTCAGCAATTTCAAATGAATTGGTCTTAGAGTTTACAAGGCAAAGGAGAACATTGAATACAGCGTTTTCTCCCTCATTGTGATTATTCTGGGCCCACACATGTAAATTCTGTTTATTTGACTAAATTATTACTAGGTTGTTTTTTTTTTTTTAATATGAGATGGAGTCACTCTGTCGCCCGGGCTGGAGTGCAGTGGCGTGATCTTTGCTCACTGCAACCTCCGCCTCCTGGGTTCAAGCGATGCTTTTGCGTCAGCCTCCCGAGTAGCTGGGATTACAGGCGCCTGCCACTACACCCAGCTAATTTTTTGTATATTTTAGTAGATACAGTGTTTCGGCATGTTGGCCAGGCTGATCTCGAACTCCTGACCTTGTGATTCACCTGCCTCGGCCTCCCAAAGTTCTGGGATTACAGGCATGAGCCACCGTGCACAACAGCCAGTTTTGACTCAATGGGCAAAATGAAAATTTAGGTCCATTGCCCACTTTATACAATGCTGTTGAATTAATATGGGTGACAGAAAAATGGCTTTCATTCATTGACGTTGGAATTTGTTTTTTAAAAAACTTAGAAAATGATCTGTTTACTCATTCATTCTGCAAATAATTACTGAGTGCTTTTCACATGCCAGGTGTTGATAAGTACAAGTACAAGCCTAGCAGTAGTGTGAAGATTTTCTCCAGACACGACTGCTGAAGTTAGAGAATAGATGCAAGGGGCTGGCTGGTGCTCAGGGTGTTGGGGGGTTAAAAAGGGTGGACACCTAGAGAGATAACAGCTTCTGCAAAGACCACGGGGCACTAGTGGACATTGGCATATTTGGGGAACAGCATAGAGAGTACTTTGACATGGTTGGAGTGTCGTGTGCTTAAGGGAAGAAATAATCTGAGAAATGAGAGGTAAGCTGAAAAACTAAGCCTTGACCAGATGCAGAAGAGTGTATAAGCCACGTTTGAAAGTCTTTTTCCTGAGAACAGTTGAAGGGTTTTAAGTGGGAAAGTCACTTGTTCAGATTGGATTTTTGAAAGACGATTCTGGTGTGTTGTGGAAACTGGCTGGGACATTGCACGTCAGACCAGATGATACTGTAGTAATCTCAGGTCATAGTGGCCTGAACTGACAACAGAGTTGGGGACAAATGAATGAGTTCCAGAGGCATTTAGGAAGATTTTGGAGGAGTTGGTCATTGGGTATGAGAAGATGGGGTTGGAGAAATGTAAAATAACACCTGTGTCTCTGCCTGGCTTCTTGTGGGAATGGTGCCACCATTCGTTGAGTTAGGGTGCATTTAGATGAGGCACAGGTGTGGGGTTGAGATTATGAGTTCAGTTTTGGAATCATTGAATCCTGAGATATCCAGGTGAAAGGCTGGAGTAATTACAGGTCCGGTCTGGAGATAAAGACTTAAGAGTTACCAGTAGTTCCAAATTTACCAAATTTTTTTTTGTTCTTTTTGAGACGGAGTCTTGCTCGCCAGGCTGGAGTGCAGTGGCACAATCTTGGCTCACTGAAACCTCTGCCTCCCGGGTTCAAGCGATTCTCCTGTCTCAGCCTCCCGAGTAGCTGGGATTACAGGCATGTGCCACCACGGCCAGCTAATTTTTGTATTTTTAGTAGAGACGAGGTTTCACCATGTTGGCCAAAATGGTCTTGTTCTCTTTACCTTGTGATCCACCCACCTCGGCCTCCCAAAGTGCTGGGATTACAGGTGTGAGCCACCACACCTGGCAAGATTTTCCTTTTTAAGTTGATTTCTTTGGTAAGGTGTCCAAAGATGGCATACCTGTACTATGCAGTGCAAGGTGCTGTTCAGTGCTATTAAGGGAATACTGTACTATTTTATAAAGATAAGGCCATATACTCTCATTACCATAATGATTATTAGAAGTACCAAAGGAGTTTGAGGGAGGAGAGACACTGATTTTAACTGTGTTGATCAGAGAAAGCTTTGTTGAGGACTTTGTATTTGAGTGGAACCCTACAGATTGGGCAGAATGGTGGTGAGTAGACTCATGGCAGGCTGTATTAGCTAGAGTAAGGTGGAGGAGGACTAGGTGTGTCCAGGGAGGATTGAGGGGAGGTTGCACACGTGTACAGGAGCTGAGTGCCTGCTGAGTAGTTTGTATTGCTATGGTAGACGGTGGGGACCTGTTGAAAATTTGATGGCAGTGCAGTGAGAATTTTGATATGGCAGTGGTGCAGAGGAGGACTTGGTGGGGGGGCACTGATTAAAGGAAGAATTGAGAGACAGGCAGGCCAATTAGGGGATAAAAGGACTGTTATGAAAGGTCCTGCTATAAGGCTATGGCCATGCAACTAGGGACCAGGTTTTTAAGGTGAATGATGGGAATCTTCAACCAAAAGGAAGATGACGCATTCCAGGTCAGACTTACTGAATTGGAGAATTTGGTGGGACTTGGCAATGGAACTGGTTAGCAGGCAGCTGGCAGTGTGGATCTGCAGCTTGAGAAAGAGGTCAGAAGTGGAGATAAAGACTTGGAAGGCTTCCACGTGGAAGTGATAGTCGAAGGTAAGGGAGAGGATGAGGTCACCATGGGACTGTAAAGAATAGAAAAAAGAACTGAGAATGAGACCTTGGGGACGGGAAGAGAAAGAGGACCTGGGAAAGGATAAAAAGAACGGTGGCTCTGAAGGACAGTCATTCCTCATCACAGAAGATGAGGGAAGAACTGTTCGATCACAGGTGTGGGCAGCAGTTCAAATGCTGCACAGGAAGAAAAGTATTTGGTTATGGCAACATTCCCGAACCTGGTGTTGGGAGGTGTTCCAGTGTTGGTATGGGAATCATTCGATGGCGCCAGCACCGCCCAGTAGGAACAGAATGCAAGCCACGTGTGTTATTTTAAATTTTCCAGGAGTCACATTAAAAAAGTAAACAGTCCAGGCACGGTGGCTCACACCTGTAATCCCAGCACTTTGGGAGGCCGAGGTGAGCGGATCACAAGGTCAGGAGATCGAGACCATCCTGGCCAACATGGTGAAACCCCGTCTCTACTAAAAATACAAAAATTAGCCGGGCGTGGTGGCGGATGCCTGTAATCCCAACTACTTGGGAGGCTGATGCAGGAGAATTGCTTGAACCTGGGAGGCTGAGGTTGCAGTGAGCCGAGATCACGCCACTGAACTCCAGCCTGGGTGACAGAACAAGACTCCATCTCAAAAAAAAAAAAAAGTTAAAAATAAAAAGAAATAAGTGAAATTAATTTCAGTAATATCGACTTTATTTATGTAAAATATTGTTAATTCAACATATTATTGATTTTAAAATGTTAACGCAACATTTTACGTTTTTTTTGTACCAAGACTTTGAAACCTGGTGTGTATCTTAGGCTTACAACACATTTCAGTTCAAACATAAAATTTTCATTGGAAATACTTGATTTGCTTTTAGATTTCATAAAACTTACTACTTTTTCATGGAAAAGTAGGTTCACATACCCACGTTTTTCCAAACATAAAAAAGTTTTCCAGCAATGGAAATGTCAGTTTTTAAATTTAAATTAATTAAAATACAGTTAAAAATTCAGTTTGAGTGGCACTAGTCTCATTGCAAGTGCACAGTAGCCACGTGCGGCTACTCTGTTGGACAGCACAGGGAGGGTTATGCGAAGTAAAATAGGCTACTGTACAGCGGATGTGCACTCTGAAAATACCCAAAATGGTTTAGCACCATCGCAAAGCATTTCACAGGATTAGTGTTTCTTAGAATACATGTTGGCTTATCCTAGTGGAATTTTTAGAATTTAGAAGGGTCAAATCTCTAATTTTGAATGTGAGGAGACAAACTTTTTATGAAAATACACAGATTCCAAAATTTGAAATAGTGTTTGGGCTACAGTCAGCAGAATGGTACATTGGTAGAAGTTCCTAAACATACCGGTTTGTGCCATGTTTCTGAAATGCTTGGTGCAGAGGCTTACACTTAAAAACAGATCCAGCAGGAGGGGTGGGAGCGTTCCTGTTACTGTTTGTGAGTTTCTTTTGCACTCCCTGGAGTCAGTGAGGTGGTGGCTTCAGGTGGGGGGATGAAGTTAGGATTGCTTTAAGTCAGTGTCCCAGCGTCCCTGTGTGGTGGAGGTGTGAGGTGGGAGAGGGTGCCACCAGGCTAATTATGTTGTGCTTGTCTCTCACTTTTCTTATCTCACTTTTCTCCGTTTAGCCCCGTTTAGTCATTGTGTACTTTTTGCCGACCTGGGCCAATTGAACGCATATTTACTAAATATGGGTGGGTTTTTTCAGTTTATAAAAAGCAGGTTCAAAGATTTTCATTTAATTATCTCATTGATTGAGACTGCTTTGCAGCTGTTAACTAGACCATCTAAGTGATAACCAGTAAAGATAGAAAGGATCTTGAATCTGGCCGGGTACGGTGGCTCACGCCTGTAGTCCCAGCACTTTGGGAGGCTGAGGCGGGTGGATCACCTGAGGTCAGGAGTTTGAGACCAGCCTGGCCAACATGGTGAAACCTCGTCTCTACTAAAAATACAAAAAATTAGCTGGGCGCCTGTAATCCCAGCCACTTGGGAGACTGAGGTAAGAGAATCGCTTGAACCTGGGAGGCGGAGGTTGCAGTGAGCTGAGATCACACCATTGCACTCCAGCCTGGGCGACAGAGCAACACTGTGTCTCAAAAAAAAATAAAACAAAATAAAGAAATGATCTTGAATCCTGCTTGGAATCAAACCTTGTTCACACTGGAGAGAGTAAGTGCTGGTTTTTGGTTACTACATGATTTCATTTCAGTTGACATAGAGAAGCTTATTTTTCTGTGAAGTGCCCTGTCAGAGTTTGGGATATCAGCTATTCAGTCTTGTTTTTTGTTTGTTTAATCAGTATGACTTCTTACATTTTTGTTTTTCTTTAGAAGTGCATTTTGGTTATTCATTTATGCTTTTATAAAAACCAGACTGTATAGTGGTGAGCAGAAATAATGCCCTTTAATGCCTTAGTAAGGTCAGAGACCTAGCAGGTGATCGCGTGTGCTCCCCTCCAGGATCCCAGGGCAGCGAAGCTTGTGATCAGTTGCTGCCTCTTCTTGCCGTTGTTTCCTTTACCCCTCTGCTTACCGAAAATAATTGCTGTTCTTTTAATGCCAAGAAGTTCCCATTTATAAACTGAAGTTAGTTAGATAATTAGGTAGCTTAGAACAGTGGCTTTTAAACTTTTTGATTGGCTCTACTATAAAAAATTCAATTTGTATTGAAACCCATAGACATGTGAATGTTTATGCTGAAACAGAAGTATTTACTTTCTGATAATAAGTGTATGTAGTCAGATACAGTCTTTTAAGTCCACTTTGTATGGTACAGAACAAATCCCTAACAAGCTAATTCCAACCCACTAAATTGATTTAATGATCACTGAGGGTTGTCTTACCATGGTTTCAAAACATTTAGAAGGCACTACTCATGAGTTGCCCCATTTCAGCATATGATCCCCACTTTTGCTGGTCTAAGAATCATTTATCAGTCCCACTCAGTTATCATATCAACCAGATTTGTTAGTGACTTTAAAAAAACGTTAATTTGTTACTTCAGCAAGTAGAAGATGGATATTTTTGATGCCCAGAGTGTTGTCTTCCCCGTCCAGGGTATCTCATTCTGATCAAACCGAATTGGCCATCCATACTGAGAAGTGGCTATTGATATATTTATATTGAGAAATGAATATGTGTTTATACTTTCTCCCCCAGATATTAGAGAAACTGAAGTGGGAAACACCTTTGTAGCTACCAGATTATGTATTCTCTTTTGGAAAAGCCTCATGGAAAACACTGCTGTGCTGTCTTCCAGCTTCCAGGTTTCACGAAGGCACATCTCTCAACTAGTAATATGTTCTGTTTTCAGAACACACTTCAGTACATTTGATTAGTTCAGCATTTCCCGCTGTTTGTTGGGGTACTAATAGATTTGTCTGCCCAAAAAAAAAAAAAAAAAGAGGTTTCTTTCCTAATTAAAGTGAATTAAACTGGCCTTTCCTTGCTACAGGATTTCTTAACGTCTTTAGGGTGGGAATGTGCATTGGAAATCTTAGTGATGTGTATATAAAATCTTCAAAGTGCCAGGTTTTTGTTTTTTAGTGTCCACTTGGGGAAATGCTTGATTAGCTTTCCATTTCAATTATCCCTTTCTAAAACTGGGTCTTAAGCAAACTGGAATTGAGTGTTTCCCAGGTCTCTTCAAACACTTTAATATGTTGGTTCCCAGACTTCGGTTTCAGGGAACTGTAAGGTTGAAAAAGACACATTGGGGTCCATCATGAGTTGAAATTTGCCAAGTAAAGGCATTTTTGAAACTTACCATTTGTTACCATCATTTCAAAGAAAAAAAAATTTTAACAAAAAAGTAGAATGAACAGTCTCAGAATAAGAGCCGTCTCATTAAATTGAATAAAGCTTTATGAAAATGATTACATTGTTTCCTTTTTCCCACAGATCATCACAGGTGCTAAAGTTTGGCATTTGGGAACCACATCCTAATTATAGACCATCTCTTAGTATGTATTACAATAAGTATGTGCTGGCTGGTTTTATTAGCCTCACTCATAGGAATAAACCTTATTTCAAGTCTGGGACTACCTTCCTTCATTCTTATTTATTGACTACCAAGATAATGATTTCATGACTCATCCTTTTAAAAAATTACTTTGTTCCATCTGAATATGCTGTGAGCAGATAACCATTCTACATTCGTGTCTGAAAAAAGAAAAACCAAGCCCACTCCATTAGGTGCTGAGCAGTTGTAGCATCTAGAATAGTACTCAAAACTTACAGCAAAATTTATCTGATTCAGTCTTGGAGGTTATGTAAAATGGCAAGTAGGTTATAAAACTTACATATCTGTGTTACTTGTATACATTTTAACCTGTTGGCTCTTCATGAGTTATGAAAATGGCCATGGCAGATTTTCTGTCATATTATGTACATTTTAATTTTTATGTCCATCATCTGCTGTTGCATTTTAAATGACAAAGACCTTAAATCTGGCAACCCCACATCAAATGTCCCTTCTGTCCCTGTCTCAGGGAGAGAAGGTGCTTCTTGGATGCACTTTACTCCTGTAATCAGGAGGGCCATGGCCAGCAGCTCTCTGGCCTGCCCTGGTGTGATAATGCTATCAGCTGGTTGTGGGAGTGGCTGCCCCAGCAAGGCCTGCTCCTTCTCCTTTTCGAAGAGTGCTGGGGCAGAGAGGGGAGGAGAGGAGAGGTTATGGTTAGCTGTGTCGGGTGTTTGGAAGCATTGGCATGCTGGGTAGACTTGAATTGGAGCTTGGTATAATCTAGGTCCTGTGTGATTGGAAAGATGTGTTTACTGCATCAGTATTTATTGAACAAATCTAATGTGTCGAGCACTGTATAGTGCTGGAAACAAGAAGGTAAGAAGACCTAGTTTTTATCTTTGGAACTCAACCAGTAATGCAAACAGACAGACACACAATGAGGCTGCCCATAATAAAGACGACGCTTCGGAATCCTTGAGGATAGAGAAGAGGAAGGGAATGGGAAAGTCTCCCCCAAGGAGGAAACATCTGAGCTGGGTCTTAATGGGCAGATGGGAGTCGCTTGGTGTGGTGGAGTGGTTTAGAACTGAGGTTCTGAAGTCAGGACAGCTGTGTGGTCAGATCAGCCCAGTGTTGAGCAGCTGTGCCATCTTGTGTGCCCCAGTTTTCTCATTGGTAAAGGGATAGTAATAGTACCCACCTTGAAGAGTGATCGTGAAGATTCAGTGAGAACTTGTTTCAGGTGTTTAACATGTTGCTTGGGTCAGTGTTAGCTACTGTTTTCATTATTGTTATTACTGGAATTGGATGTTTCCCAGGTCTCTTCCCTGCTCTGTTTCAGGCAGAAGAAATAGAATAAACAAGGACAAAGAGTTAGGGAGTGAGTGGGAGAGTGGGAAATGGTGAGATATTAGTGGAGCACAAGGGTTAACTCTTTGGAGGAGAGCAGAAGGGTAGCTTGGAGTTGTAGTTTGATTGGTTTTGTATTCTAAGAAATTTGTTTTATTTTTATTTTTTTAAACAAGACAGGTTCTCACTCTGTCATCCAGGCTGGAGTGCAATAGTGTGATCATAGCTCACTGTGACCTTGAACTCCTGGGCTCAAGTGATCCTCCTGCCTCAGCCTCCTGAGTAGCTAAGACTGCAAATGTGTGCCATCATGGCCAGCTTATTTATTTATTTAATTATTTAGAGACAGAGTCTCATTCTGTTGCCCAGGCTGGAGTGCAGTGGCACGATCTCAGCTCACTGCAACCTCCACCTCCTGGGTTCAAGCAATTCTTTTGCCTCAGCCTCCCCAGTAGCTGGGATTACAGGCATGCACCACCATGCCCAGCTAATTTTTGTATTTTTAGTAGAGACGGGGTTTCGCCATGTTGGCCAGGCTGGTCTCAAACTCCTGACCTCAAGTGATCCACCTGCCTTACAGACGTGAGCCACCGCGCCCAGCCTATTTTTATTTTTTAGAGATAGGATCTTGCTTTTTTGCCTAGCCTGCTCCCGAACTCCTGACCTCAAGTGATTTTCCCACCTTGCCCTCCCAAAGTGCTGAGATAAGATCCAGCTGTGATTATAGGTGTGAGCAACTATGCCTGGCCCAGAAATTTGGATTTTATCCCGTAGAAAGCAGTTTTAAAAACTAAACTTGCCTCCACTGATTTTCATGTTAAGGATCCGGTGGAAGGGACAGGCAGTCAAAGCAAGAGGGACAAGTGGAGAACATAAATTAAGGTAGTGACCATAAAGATGGAAAGACCAGGCTGGGTGTGGTGGTTCATGCCTGTAATCCCAGCACTTTGGGAGGCTAAGGCGGGTGGATCACCTGAGGTCGGGAGTTGGAGACAGCCTAGCCAACGTGGTGAAACCCCGTCTCTACTAAAAATACAAAAATTAGCCAAGCATGGTAGTGCACACCTGTAGTCCCAGCTACTTTGGAGTCTGAGGCATGAGAATTGCTTGAATCCAGGAGACGGAGGCTGCAGTGAGCCGAGATCGAGCCACTGCATTCCTGCATAGGCAACTGAGCGAGACTCTGCCTCAAAAAAAAAAAGTAAAGACCAGATTTTCGAGCTCCTTCCGAAGTGGGATGAGTCCATCAGCTATGGTGAGAAAGAGGGAGGGATCCTAGATCAGCCCCAGGCTGGGGGAAGGGATGATGCCACAAATTGGGGTAGGCGGTCAGTGGGTAGAGCAGGGGTTTGGGCTATGTGGTGGGATGAACAGCAGGGGTAGAAGGCAATGTGTTTGGCTTTGGACATGTTTAGATTTGCCAGACATTTAATATAACTTGGCAGGCAGAAATAAGGGTCTGGAGCTCAAGGCAGAAGCTTGGAAGCCATTTACTTACATGCAGAGGTGGTCCTTTAGGCCATGGGAGTGACAGTGCTCCCTTAGGAGTTGCTCAGAGGAGCAGGGTGAGAACAGGAAAAAGGATGGTGCAAGAGAAACCCGAAAAGGAAGGATTTTAGGGCCGGCGCCCCAGCGGTCAGCTTGGGAAGCCCTGAATGAGGGCAGTTAGATTTGGCCTTGAGGAGCACTGGCATCCATCAGGCTGCAGTGAGTCCCAGCAGCCGAGCGCATTGTTCATCCTGCTTCTTGTTGTCGCGTGGCAAAGTCTCCTCAAGGGTTTTTGGGTCTCTCCCTGGCAATACATTGAGCAGTTCTCCAGGAGGAACTCACAGTGTTCATCAGCGTCACCCCAGGACTTGCACAGCTTCTGACAGAGGGTGCTCAGTGACCATTTGTTGAATGAATAAGTGAATCAAAGATGACTTGAAACAACTCAGCAAATAATTAGGAGTGCCTCATATGCTCCAGGAGCTATGCTGGTCTCTGGGGATAAAGCAGTGAGCAAAAATAGATTGAAAAATGCTGCCCTGGTTGGGCTTCCCTTCTGAAGCACAAATAGGAAGGAGCTAGCAGAGAGGTAAGCATTGAAGGCGTGAGGATGAGCTCTACCTCCATCATCTGTGGACTGCAGCCTGGCACTCCGTAGGCACTTCATAAAGTTAGTTGACTTGTACCTGGAAGAGAGGATGTCCTGGGGAGAAAAATCTCCCCGCAGAGAAGAGACCTGAGGCATGGGGAGAGATTTGCTGCCTAGAAGACAGGTTAGCCTCAGAGAAGGAAAAGTAAATATGGAAATGGAGGGAAGGGTGTTTGAGGGAGTTCTCCTGGGAAGCATTCACTGTTTCTGTAAAGTAGGAATAGGAGGTGAAGTCTGAGTGGGAAAAAGAACTTGAAGTAAGATAAAACATGTGGAACAGCGCCACCCACCCTCCAAAAAAAAAAGAAAGACTGCAAAGAGAACCGGCTGCCAGCCCTAAGAGCTTCACTGAGAGAGGAGATGCGTTATATGTAATTGCAGTGATCTGTGGCTGTGCAGGGGTTTTTTTTCCCCAGCAAGGGAAGGTGAAGAACACAGTTAGTTGGGGTTGGGGTTTGTCTGAGGTTGCGTGAGGATAGGCTTAGAAAGGTAGTGTGGGATAACCAGGGGGCAAGGTCTTTGGAGAATGCTGGTGAATATGCATGACAGTGCGTGTTAGGTTGAGAATAAAAGAACCAGGGGCAGGCAAATGGTCTGAAGAAAAGGAAAAGAAGAAGGAGTCTGGGTTGGAGGAGGTGGGAATTTACATCTTGGAAGGGCTTAAGATAGCACTTCCTGGGGTAAACCCCGGGCAGAGCATTCCTGTGTGCTTTACCTGTGCTAACTCATTTCATCTTCATGAAGACCCTGTGAGCTGGTGCGGAGAGACTGTGTTGCCCGAGGCTACACAGGTAGGAAGTGACCCCGATGGCCTCGGCTGCTGAGCTTCTGTGCTTGGGCATTATGGTATTCTGCCCTAGGAAGAAACCAGACAAAATACTTCTCCCAGGCCAGGTAGCATTGCAGTAGCTTCCTGAAGTTGCTGGGCCAGCTTTCCTTCCAGAAGAAATATTTGGCGTGGTGTGGAAGGGGGCTGTGAACTGTCTCCTCCCTTTTAGAAGAAATATCTGTATTTCAGGTAGCAGTGTCCTTGATACAGAACTCTTAGTTTTCCCCACCTGCTTTGCACATGCTTGAATGTCCTTTAATAGGAAACAAAGATGCCTAACATCTCACAATTGGGAAAGGCTTTAAATGCAATCAGCCTGTGAATTCTCTGAGCTGTAGCAGCTTCTGTGTTTACTTGTCCTCCCCCCACCAATAGAGAAGAAAAGCCAGAGTGGCTGGTCCCTCCACCAGCTTGGGGAAGGGGAGGGGGAGACTTTTAGGCACTGTGGTCCCTAAAAGGAGGCGAACTGGTGTTTCCTGCTACAGAACACTGGTGCATCTGCAGTGGTTTGGGGAGGACGTCTGAGTCCTGTGATGTATCACTCAGGGTCTAGGCCCTTTGTAAACCCAGGGGAGACCTGCTTTAAATTTTGCTGGGAGCCCTCCTTTAAATTTTGCTTGGAGGCCTTTTGGAAGCGCAGAGGCTTTGCAAATGACACATGCAGACAGCTTTATCCTTCTGTGTGAAGAAGAATTATTTGCAGAGACAACAATGTATGTTCATGGTACCTTTTTTGTTTGCATTTTTTAAATGTCTGGCTTTGCTCTTGAGGCAATTTGGAAGGATTGCCACTATATTTTCTTGGATGTAAACAAATTATAATGGTTTTAAAAGAAACAACACACCAAAACCACATCATCTTACATGCCAAGGAAGTTTAGATATTTCAGATATTGAAAATATAGAGCAAATAGATCATCTGGCATTATTTACTGATAATTCTTAGATTAATTCCTGATCCCAGTGTTTTCTTTTGAGGCCACGTGTTTGAAATGTCTAACCTGCTGGGACCTTTCCAGCTCTGCTTGATTCACTATTAGGGACTAGCTTTTTTGCCTTTGTCGTCTTCTCTTTTTTTTAATTTATTAGAGACAGGGCTTTGCTCTGTCACCCAGGCTGGAGTGCAATGGCACGATCTTAGCTCACTACAGCCTCAAACTGGAGCCAAACAATACTCCTGGGTTAGCCTCCCAAGTAGTTAGGACTACAGGTGCACACCACCACACCTGGCTAAATTTTTCTGTAGAGACGGGGCCTTGATATGTTGCCCAGGCTGGTCTCAAACTGCTGACCTCAGGCAATCCTCCTGCCTTTGCCTCCCAAGGTGCTGGGATTATAGGCATGAGCCACCATCCTCAGCTTTATTTTGTTTTGTTTTGTTTTGTTTTGTTTTTTGAGACGGAGTCTCGCTCTGTCGCCCAGGCTGGAGTGCAGTGGCGCAATATCAGCTCACTGCAAGCTCCACCTCCCAGGTTCACACCATTCTCCTGCCTCAGCCTCCCCAGCAGCTGGGACTACAGGCGCCCGCCACCACGCCCAGCTAATTTTTTTTGTTTGTTTGTATTTTTAGTAGACGGGGTTTCACCGTGTTAGCCAGTATGGTCTCAATCTCCTGACCTCGTGATCCGTCTGCCTCAGCCTCCCAAAGTCCTGGGATTACAGGTGTGAGCCACCGCGTCCAGCCTTTTTTTTTTTTCTTTTTAATACACTGCTAGGTTGGCCCATAGTGCATCATATTGTTAACACCTTTGATTTTAAAAATTGCTTACCTCTAATGGATTTTTTTCTTTTTTTGAGACAGGGTCTCAGTCTGTTGGAGTGCAATGTCACAATCTCAGCCTCAACCTACCGGGCTCAAGCAGTCCTTCCATCTCAGCTACCAGAGTAGCTGGGGCTACAGGCTCCACCACCATGCCTGGCTAATTTTTTTGTAGAGGTGGGGCTTTCTAATGGATTTTTAATAATGTGATCTTCTTCTATCACATGTTAAATCCTAATAGTTACTGGTACTTAATAGATCTAGAGGTAAAAACCAGATAACCCACCACTGAATAAATGAGTGCCTCAGTGGTCCAGGACCCTAAAACTGGGCCTCGTTGGAGTCTCTAGGACTTGTTGGCACCTTTATTTGGAAGTCAGGGTAGAAAAAACAGCTTATTTGTTCATTTCTTTCTCCTAGAATATTTCTATTCTCCTGAGGCAGGGATGAGTTGGTTGCTCATTTTTAGATTATGGAACTCTTGCTGATGTTTTTTTCTGGAACTCTTGCTGATGTTTTTTTCTGGTTTCCCTTTGTTTGGGTCGGGGCAGTGATAGGGCAGATGTGGTTCAGGCTCGCAGTTATGACCTGTACTCTGCAGTAGCTTCTCTCTGAGGTTCTGTGTAACCAAATTTTAAAACATTGCTCTGAGTCATGCTGAGTTTTTCCATAAGGCTCTGGTCGGGGGGAAGGGACATGAACTGATTCATTAAGTGCCTATTATGCTGCACACACTTCCATTACCTCATTTAGTCCTCCCAACAACCTGATGTGGAGGATGGTTTTATCTTCATAAGAAAAAAGGAGTGCTGACAGCTCAGTGACCAGGCTGCAGCCATGTACACATGAGGAGGTGGAGGAACTGGGTGCTGTAACTCCACCAAAATTTTCTTCTCTTCCCAAGCTGCCTTAAACACAGTGCAGAGTGATTTGCTAATTGATTGGTTGAATCCCTGTATTATAAAGTGGAGTGTCTTAAAATATGGATGCAGATGACGGGAACAGCTTGCTGGCTTTATGGTGTCCTCAGCACTGCATTCATGATAAACAACAGGAGAATGAGACTGTGCTGATCGTGTGCAGAATAGGAGGTCTTTGGGAGCATCCCTGGCTGGCTGCTGAAAGGTGTTTTTCTTGTTTTTTTTTGAGACAGAGTCTCACACTGTTGCCCCTCGCTGGAGCGCAGCACATGGCTTGATCTCAGCTCACTGCAACCTCCACCTCCCGGGTTCAAGCGATTCTCCTGCTTTTCAGCCTCCCAAGTAGCTGGGATTACAGGTGCCTGCTACCACACCCAGGCTGATTTTTTGTATTTTTAGTAGAGACGGGGTTTCACTATGTTGGCCAGGCTGTTCTCAAACTCCTGACCTCATGATCTACCCCCCTCGGCCTCCCAAAGTGCTGAGATTACAAGCATGAGCCACCGCACCCAGCCGAAAGGCGTTTTTCTTTTTCTTTTTTTTTTTTTTTGAGACAAGTCTTGTTCTGTTGCCCAGGTTGGAGTGCAGTGGTGCGATTCATAGTTCAGTGCAGCCTCGACCTTCTGGGCTCAAGCTGAGATCCTCCTGTCTCAGCCACGCAAGTAATTGGGACTACAGGCATGAGCCACCGTGCCTGGCTAATTAAAAAAAACTTCTTTTAACAGAGACAGGGTCTCCCTGTGCTGCTCAGGCTGGTCTTGAACTCCTGGGCTCAAGTGATTCTCCCACCTCAGCCTCCCAAAGCGCTGGGATTACAAACATGAGCCACCATGCCTGGCCCATTTTTTCTTTTTAAGCAACATGACAGATTAACTAAAAAAGAAAAATCACTGAATGGTTAAAAAGTTTACTTCAGGTGATTAATTGAAAAACCAATTGATTAATAAAGACATTTTTAAAGGATCTAAACTGTATTGAGTTTAAGTTGTAATTCTTAAAGCATAATCAGAAGGCTTATCAAAGCTATAACGAAGAAAATAGAAGTCATTTGTAATTAGACAATAATTAAAGGCAAGTACATGCCCAGTGATTTTAAAGTGCTTGAAAACAATTAGTTTTCTTAAGTAGGTTAAATATCTGGGTTACAAGCTTGTTTACACTATTAATTTACTTAGCAAACCTGTTCTTCATAGATGATGCAAAGTTGAATTTTAGTTTGGCCGTCTGAATTATTACAAGTTCTAACTTAACAGATATTCTTTAAAAAATACATTTTTACATTAATTCTTTTTAATTTTAAAAGCATTCTTCTTTTCTCTCTCTTTTCCTTCCTGAACAGTTCAGTCCTAGAGGCTATTAAGTGGGCTCAGCAAGGTGTTGGCCTGGCCAGGGGTATCAGAGCCTGAGTAGGATGAGGAGGGAGGGTCTGGTGTGCTGTGTCAGAGCCCAGGAGAGGTGAGAAGGGCATCCATTGCTTCTGGGATGCCCTTCCTGTATTGATTGGTTGAATATAGGAGGATTGATGAAATAAGTATGTTCAGGATAATGGCCCCCAGCAGCTCTCACTGTTGAAGAACATTACAGATATTGGAAAGGAGACAGCTAGAATTAACCCTGTGATGCTAGATCGGAATCAGAAGTATTGGTGTGAATGCCTGGATTTTAATAAGGACCGATAAAAATAGCAATAAAATCTTTGCAAAAGGCATGCATGCATGTGTATTTATATGCATATGTGTGTGCACATACATACGCACATCTGTTTCCTAGTTCTGTTGGTAGTAGAGGGGGAGGGTGCCTGGGAACAGCAGTATTCCAATAGCAGTGAGTGTATCAGGTTTCTAGATCTTGGCTTCTATATCCCATTTTCCACTAAAAGGAACCCCAGCTGCTTGGAGAAATGGCTGATTATAGGATTGGAGCAGGAATGTTTAACATGAGCCTGGAACATCTTGGGTTAGAAAGCAAAGAAGTCTTCAAAGAGTGATGAAAACATGCCAAAAGGACCCAGAGTCAGTTTGAAGCGGTTCCCACTGGCCAAATCTGAGTTTATTTCAAAATTTAAGAAGTGATAGTCATGGATTAGAACCTGCTGAGTAAAAAAGAAAACTAAGAGTTCTCACACAGCTTCACCTACTTTGTAAGAAAACCTATGTACGGACTTATCAGTAAATTCAGCATTTGAAGAATGGGTTCTCTAAATTTCAAAGTACTTCTTCAAAAATACTTAATGATTACAAAGGAGAAAAAGAGCAACTTTCCAATGGAGAGGCCTGGCAGATGCCACCTTAACCAGGTAATCCCAGCAGTGGAACAAATTGAAATCATGCCACCTGCTAGGATGCAAAGAGAACACACCATTCCCTCTGCAGTGTTCCTGCCAAGGCACATGACCTCAATCTAATTATGAGGAAATGATAGGCAAACCTGGTTGGAGTGACATTCTACAAAATAACTGGCCTGTAATCCTCAAAAATTTCAGGGTCATGAAAGTCAAAGCAAGACCAAAGAATGATTCTAAACCGAAGGAGACTAAAGAGACATGTCAACTAAATGCAATATGTGATTCTGACCTCGATCTTTTTACTATAAAGGCTATTGCTGGGACAGGTGACGAAGCTTACATGGGGCTTGAGGATTTAATGATAGAAATGTATCAGCGTTAATGTTCTGATTTTGATGGTTGTATTATGGTTATGTAGGACTGTGGTTTGGTTTTTGTTGTTGTTGTTTTTCTTTTGAGACAGAGTCTGGCTCTGTCGCCCAGGCTGGAGTGCTGCAGTGGCACGATCTCAGCTCACTGCAACCTCCGCCTTCTGGGTTCAAACGATTCTCATGATGCCTCATCCTCCCTACTAGCTGGGATTAAGGCATGTGCCACCATACCCGACTAATTTTTGTATTTTTAATAGAGATTGGGTTTCACCATGTTGGCCAGGCTGGTCTTGAACTCCTGACTTCAAGTGATCCGCCCGACTCGGCCTCTCAAAGTGCTGGGTTTACAGGTGTGAGCCACAGTCCCTGGCCTAGTGATTTGGTTTTGTTTTTTGGGAAAACACATACTAAAGTATTCAGGGTGACAGGGCCTCAAGTTGACAACTTCCCCTCAATGGTTCTGGGGAGAGACAGTTCTTGGTACTATTCTTGCAAATTTACATAAGTTTGAGATTGTTTCAAAATTTTAAAATAATTTAAAAAGTAATATTCTTTTTTTTTTTTTTTTTTTTTTTTGAGACAAGAGCTTCACTCTTGTTGCTCAAGCTGAAGTACAGTGGCATGATCTCGGCTCACTACAACCTCTGCCTGCCGGGTTCAAGCGTTTCTCCTGCCTCAGCCTCCCGAGTAGCTGGGATTACAGGCGTGCACCCCCACGCCCAGCTAATTTTTTGTATTTTTAGTAGAGACGGGGTGTCATCATGTTAGCCAGGCTGGTCTCTAACTCCTGACCTCAGGTGATCTGCCCGCCTCGGCCTCCCAAAGTGCTGGGATTACAGGCGTGAGCCACCGCGCCCGGCTAAAAAGTAATATTCTTGCCTAAAATTTAAATCATGAGAAGTACATAAAATTAAATGTTCCCTATTTCTTATTTTAGCCTCCCCTTTTAAGCATTTTATTTATGTATGTATGAATGTATATGTAATATATGTTGTAGGTCATATTGAGTATTTATGATATGCTAGGCACAGGCACACTGTATTCCTGGGAATTACAATGGTCATCAGTCAAAACCCCTGCCACTAGAGCTGCATGGCCTTGTGTTATTTGGAGAAGCCATCATTTCTTTAAGTTCCCTCTCATGAGAGGCAGTGGAATGTGATGGTGGTGGGAGCTCAAGCTCTATATTCGTATCCCAGCCCTGCCAGCAACTGTGCTGAAATCTTACTCAACTTCACTGTGCCTCCGCCTCCTTATCTGCAGGCTGGAGATGTGTCTCATCCCCATTTAACAGAGCTGTTGTGAGCATCACACGTGGTGATACACGTAGGGTGCTATACTTGTGGGTGGCACATGGCAAGCACCTGGTAAATGGTAGCTCCCACTGAGGGACGTTTAGGTTATCATTCGTACTTTTATAAATCTAAAAATTGCCTTGTATACATTTTTGCACACTTACACTTTAGAATCTTTAAAAAAAATTTGGCTACCTTTCTGTTGTGAAGTTTTGCTTTTAGTGGCTTTGTTAGAGTGCTGTGAAAAACTAGATGGAGAATAGGGAACATGTCTCTGAAAGTCTGTGCCATATAGGGCTGGAACTTGAGCAGTATGAGATAAATACTGGCTTATTTTCAGATTTTTCTCTGCTCAAGGGTTGGCCTACTAAAGTTGTTTTTATGTGGTGTTTGGTGCATTTTCTTTTTCTTTTTCTTTTTTGTTTTTTTTTTGAGACAGGGTCTCACTCTGTCACCCAGGCTGTAGTGCAGTGGCATGATCATGGCTCACTGCAGCCTCGACCTCCTGGACTCAAGTGATCTTCCCACTTCAGCCTCCTGAGTAGCTGGGACTACAGGCGTACTCTACTACACCTGGCTAATTTTTTATTTTTTGAAGAGACAGGGTCTCGCTGTGTTGCCCAGGCTGGTGGGACTCAAGCGATCCTCCCACCTCGGCCTCTTGAGTAGCTGGGATTAGAGTTGTGAGCCACCACACCCAGCCTCCATTTTCAAATACAGGTTGAGAATCCCGAATCTGAAAATCCAAAATGCTCTACAACCCAAAATGCTCCAAAATCTGAAACTTTTTGAGCACCAGCACGATACTGAGAGTGCTCATTGGAGTATTTCGGATTTCAGATTTTCAGATTCAGGATGCTCAACCAGTAAATTTCATGCAACTATTTCAGAATCCGAAAAAGTTTGAAACACTTCTGTTCCCAGACATTTCAATAAGGAATACTCAATTTGTAATACCATTTTAGAATAGTTAGGCGAGCTTTGCTCAGGTTTGAAAGGGTCACGTAATGTTAATCACTAGGAAATACTTTTGTCTCAAGTAGTGTAAGCCAAGAAAATACTGTCTTGAGAACTTTGCCTGATGAGCTTTGAATGTCAGAGAAAGGAATAATATTAATTCCTACTTCTAGTTGAGTTAAAGTCATTTAATTTGATGTTTTGTTTCTGTATACCCTGCTTGAAAAACCAGAATAGGCTTTTAAAACCTCTAAATGTGTATGTGTTGTTGTTGTTTTTTTGTTTTTTTTTTTTTTGCCTTTGGCAGACCTGTTTTGCAAATGACCAACTTTCTATATGAGTTTTTAACAAGAATGTTGCCACTTGTTACTTTTCACATTTGAAAGAATCAAATAACTTATTTTTAGGGTATTATAATTACAAATAGATTGTGGTTTTCTGCAGTCAGTGGAGGAATGTAAATAAACCATTGCTGCTGTAACTATATATAAACGCATGTAGGACAGGAGATGTGCTTGAAAACTGTGAAGCAAAAAGGAGTCCATCTTTCAGAAAGAGACAACCCTTTTCTTTAAGATAAATCCGATTTATGTGTTGTCTTAAGATAACGAATGACTTGTTTCTCAGTTTTGAAATACATAGCCCACAGTGTTGGATCAACACCTTCATAGCTTCACGAAGACCAAAATATTTCCTCTGTGTCCCTGGCCACAGGGATCCCTAGTCCTTGAAGGTGTATCAGAGGAGTCCATGTGTCGAGTGCCTGCTGGAAGAGGGCCAGGAGTAGACTGCGTGGAGGGGATAACTGCAGGTGGAAGGAGCTCTGCTCTTGACCGTTTACCTCAGAGTCTGCACTACTGGGTATCTCCAAAGTTACAGCTTGTCAGCATTGCTTCCATCCGTCTTATTTCCACACATTTTGTCTTTTCTTGCTAGCCCTTTCCTTCTCGCCCAGGTTTTCACTAATGTTTGATCTAACACACTGAATTTAGTGAGGAGGACTTCAGGCCATTGTCTTAGACTATGATAAGGCCAAGTTCTGTGTTGAATGGGCTTCAGCCTTGCAGGTTGCATTAGCTCAGTAGCAGGTTTCAAAAAATGCTGGCCACTGATCATCAGCCTGTCTTGTTGAGTATAGTAGAGAGAAGTAGTTATTGGTGATCACATGTTGGTGAGCAAACTTAACTGGTAGCTCAAAACATATTTTTGGTTCTAAGCTATGGGTGCTTCCCAGCCAGGTGTCAGGACACTCTGCAAAGACCTAATATGTCACAGCATGCCAGGCTTACCCCTGTCCAGGGTCTGGCCCACCCCCTTAATGGATTCCCACCAGGGTTGTTTCTGGTTCTATGACCCACTTTGCTCTTTCCATCATTTCATGTCCTGCCATTTGCCCTTCCGTAACAAAAGTCACCTTCATGAGAGTACTCCTTGCGTCTGCTTTAATCTCTTCCAGGTATGTCATAAAAATGCAAAAATGTACAAATTTTGTACATTTGGGTGCTATTTGGGTGGGGAGATGGAGAGAAGGAAAACTGAAGAAGGTAAAATAGAATTGGGAAAACAGCCTAAAAAACTCTTTGATTACTTTGATAGATACCACTTATGGTAATTCTTTAGTTATAATAAGCTCTGTATTTAAAATGAAGTTTTGAGACCAAGTGTTTTCTTTCCTTATACAGCCTGAGGTTCAGTCATCAGAACAGAATCGTGTGGTGAGGCCTTCTGCTTCTGCCAATTTTGTTTTGTTTTGTTTTCATTTCCTGCCACATGGCAGGTGCTGCTGAGAAGTACCTTCAGGAACCACTGAATATTCTAGCCCCATCTTTCTAAGGGTTCGGTGATGTAGAATGCTAAAAGGGTTCGGGCTGTTAGTCAGAGAGGGAGGAGGGTGTCCAGCATCGGCGTGGGCCTCTAGTTGTTCTTTTATTGCCCTTTATGATGTGTCTATTTTGCTTTTTCTTTCCTCCTTCAGTTTTCCTTCTCTCCATCTCCCCACCCAAATAGCATCACCTTCCTCAGCCCTCTACTTTTCATCCCTATTCGCTTCTTAATAAATAAAAGCGAATCAAAAAGACAGCAAAGAGAAAGGAGAAACATTTTATAATGCAGAGTTTTGAGCAAAATACTTAACTCTGTGTCTTTATATGCCACCACATCTCTTTAATTTTTAGAGGATATGAATATTTTGTCGTTTGTATTTCATAAGCCATCTGTACTGTGTTCAGACTCTGTGGGTTCTTTGTTGTTTAATTATAGGAAAAGGAGGTATAGGGCAGGAACTTTTTACATACTTGTGAATTTTGGTCAGTCCTGTGAAATGTAAGCCTCTGGCATTTATTCACGGACCATTGGGATAAACCAGGCATGTAGGTTCAATTTTTTTTGCCTTTGTTGGGATGCTGTGGCCAGTAGCCAGGGCCAGTCATTCCAGATTCATCCCCTGCCACTCTAGTCCCCAGGGACTAACAGAGTCCAGACAGTGTACATTTTCCTGGCTACGGGCTTGACCTTCTGCTTCCTCTGTCCCACTGCATTCCAAAAATGCTAACAAGTGACTAGCGAGCGTAAATTTTATGTGTTGCAAAAGCAGTTGTGGAACTTGGGTTTCAATGTTTGCACCACTATTTGTAAGCAGGATGTTATCTCTAAATGATACATGTGTAACTGACCCAGGGGGGCTGCCTGGCCTCCTTGATGCTCTTCTGTGAGAATAATTGACTCTGGTAGTGACAGAGCTGCCTGCGGCTACTAAGAAGCTCTGCTGTACTTAGGCCACCTGCCATTGTTCTGTCTCTGCTGCTGCTGCTGCTTTTTCTATTTTTAATAAGTTGCCAATTACTTGGTTTTTATAGTGATACCAACAGTTCACTAAAATGGGCATAGGAAAAATGTAGTTGGTTTCTAACCTTCAATTTCACTTATCCAGTGAAATTAATGACATTAAACACTTTCATCAGTTATTATTGTGAAAGTACAGGTACATTTTTATCTTACTGAACATCATGGTTTAGTTTTTCCATTTTGAAGACAGTATACAACTATGTAGCTAAGAGCAGTTTGCCTAACATATGTTAATTTTCACAATGATAATCTCAGGTGTGTTCCACAGATGTGATCTAATAAATTGATCAACTGTTCCTGACCACTACTGGGCCACACTGGAGTGTGCTGAGTTCCCACCTCATAGTGAAAATTGTCAGGATCTTTTGTCTGTTGCATTCACTGATTACCTCAAGCACTTAGTAGAAGTTTAATAAATATTTGTAGCATTGTAGTAAGCAAACAAATGTAATTAAGTAGATGGTGTTCACAGATTATCCATTAATATAAGGTGAGACCAAAGTTTTGTGCACCAGTACTGAAAAGGGATTACTTGGTATTGGCTAAGGTCAGAAGATTACTGGTATTCTAGATATGCTGATTCTGTGGCTTATAGATTAAGAAAGAATTTAGATATATATTAATGTAATTACTGAAAATCACTAGAATGGTTCACTGTTGGTTTGTCCATAGAAACACTAATCATCATCAACCTAGAAGCTTTGGGATCTAGGTGAAGTCCATTACTGAATCTTGAAAATGAGTCATTAATCTGAAAATTGACAGTTAAGCATTGAGCATTTTTAAGAAAGTAATTGAAAAAATATCTGGAAACTACCACTGCCTAACAGTAATACTAGTTTTATGACATTCTTGGTTTACTGTATTATCTAATTACTTTAAAAATGTAATTGAAAGTGTTGAGTGTTTATCATCTGGAGAGCATTTTATTATAAATTAATCAGAACAGTAGTTTTGAATCCACAAGTGCAGTAAGTTTCAATGCTACTTTGATTGGCAGAACCCACCAAGTGAATTTAGGCAGCCAGAAGGGATTTTGATTATTGGGAAAGTCTTTTTGGGTTCTGAGGTTAAGGTGGATTTTATTCTTCTCATCTGTCATGACGAAGGGGTGATCCACGCAATAGTACTTAAGAAATAATGCAGTAGAGCCACATGCTGGCTTCCGTTTCCAGAGCTGCCTCCTGGGCCTTTACCTCTTTAAGCCTCAGTTTTCTCAACTGTACAGTGAGCTTCATAGAATTTTCCTCAGGAAAGTGAGGTTTACACATTTAGGGAAATGTCCAACACATAATGAGCCCAGAAATATATTTTTTTAATTTTTTATTTTTTGTTTTTTTGAGCATGGACATATTAGATATTAATATAGTTACTAAAATATCTGATTTCTGTATGAGATGCTCATTAAAGAACTTATTGGTGTAAGTATATGATTGGGTACTGTTTCTAAAGATCAGCAAAGTTTTGTCTTTTTTATTTAAACGATTCCCTGCTTAAGAATATAATTTTTAAAAGTATACCATTATAGTACCAAGAGAAAATACTAGAAATGTGGGACCAGACCTGACAAGACCTTCATGGGAGAAAATGTAAAATTATATCAGAAGACATTAAACTAACATCTAAATAGACAGAGCTTTGTCATGTTCATGGTTAAGAAGGCTCAATTATTTTTAAAAATGTCAATTCTTCTTGAATTGGTATATAAATTCAAAGTAATTCCCATAAAAACGCCATGCTTTTTTTCTGAAACTTGATAAGATGATTTTAAAATTTATATGGAAAAGAGAAATGACAGGAACAACAAGTGGGAGGATTTAACCTGCTAGATCCCTTGCCGTAAAGCTGTAGTAACGAAGAGCAGTGTGGTGTAGATGCAGGGGCTGAGGTGGGTCAGCGCGTAAGTGGGAAGCCTAGACAAGACCGCCACGCGTACATGGAATCTTGCTCTGTGGCGGAACTGGCCTGACAGTAGGGAGAGGCGACAGGTGACACTGCAGTTTAGTTGGGGAAATAATGGACTTTTCGACAAGTGCTCTGGGATACTTCATATGGATTGCGTTAGTCTCTTAGGGCCGCCGTAACAAAATACCACAAACTGAATGGCTTAAAACATCGGACGTTTATTCTCTCACAGTTCTGGAGGCTAAAAGTCCAAAATTACTCGACCTCCGAAGGCTCTAGGAAGAATTGCTCCCCATCTCTTCCTAGCCTCTGGTTGCTGGCAGTCCTTCACGTTCATGCCTTAGAGCTGCATCACTTCAGTTTCTGCCTCTGTCTTCACATGAATGTCTTTGCCTTGTAAGGATCAAGTCATACACCACATACAAAAATAAATACCAAATGGATTCAGATAAATATGAAAAAAATTATTTCTAGAAACAAATATGGAAGAATATTTATGACCTTGGAGCAGGGATGATTAAACAGGATAACATGGCTGGGCGCTGTGGCTCACGCCTATAGTTCCAGCACTTTGGGAGGCTGAGGCAGGAGGACTGCCTGAGCTCAGAAGTTCGTGGGCACCTCTACTGTGGTCACACCACTGCACCCCAGCCTGGGCGATGGAGTGAGACCCTGCCTCAAAAAAAAAAAAATATATATATATATATATATATATATGTATAATAAAATAAACGTAACAAGAATGAAAAAGTTGATACATGTTCATTATATCATGATAAGAACTTAAAGTCACCAAATGACATTATGGCCAAAGTGAGAGACAAGCTAGGAGAAGATATTTTCAGTACCTGTGATCAACAGAGGATTTATATCCAGAATACAATGCAGAACTCCTACTAATCAATAAGAAAAAGACCTAGTAGAAGAAAAAAATGCTCAAAAGAAACATAGAAATTTCACAGTAGAGAAAATCCAAATGGCCAATAAATGTGGAGGGGGAAATACAACTTAATTAGTAATCAAGGAAATGCTAGTTAAACCACAATGAGGTCCCATTTTATACTCATAAAATTGGCAAAAATTAAAAGAATTAAGAAAATACCGGCCAGGAGCAGTAGCTCACACCTGTAATCCCAGCACTTTGGGAGGCTGAGGTGGGCAGATCACGAGGTCAGGAGATAGAGACCATCCTGGCTAACACGGTGAAACCCCATCTCTACTAGAAAAATACAAAAAATTAGCCGGGCATGGTGGCGGGCGCCTGTAGTCCCAGCTACTCGGGAGGCTGAGGCAGGAGAATGGCGGGAACCCGGGAGGCGGAGCTTGCAGTGAGCTGAGATGCGCCCGTCTCTCCAGCCTGGGCAATAGAGTGGGACTCCATCTCAAAAAAAAAAAAAAAAAAAAACAAAAAAACAAGAAAAAAACAAGTTTTGGTGTGGTTATGGAATAGCAGGAGCTTTTACTTTTCTGGTGGGAGTGTAAATTGTTGAAACCACTTTGGAAAAGAGTGTAGCAATGTCTAGTAAAGTTGGAAAACATGGACACTCTATGAGCCAGCAGTTTCAGTTGTGGGCTGGTAACCTACCCCACAGAAGAGCTGTATGCATGTACAGGAGGCATGCCCTAAGATGTCTGCAGCAATGTGGCTTGTCCTGGCAAAAATTGGAAACCTTAATGCCCATCAGTAGGCAAATGTATAAATACAGCGTGGTACTCTTTACATTTACATGAATTTTAGGGACATAGCATTGTGTGAGAAAAACAAGTTGCAGAAGAATAAAGTAATAAAATTCCACTTAAGAAACTCAGAAATACAACTGAAATGTTGTTTAGGTTACCAAGCATGGTGTGGTCAATCAAGGGAGTGCTAAGTTAAGGGGAAGTTAACGCTTGTGGAGTAGGGAAAGGTGGGATTATACAGGGGGCTTCTGAGTACCGGAAAGGTTATTCCTTAAGCTGAGTGGAGGGTATATAAAAGTTATTTTGTATGTATTAAATATGTAATAAAAATTTTTCTCCAGAAGTTTTATTATTTTTTAAGAGTGGAAAAATAACACAAATGTCATCTCCATCCAAAAAGTAATTCAGGCACTGAGTACTTATTTTTAAATGCGTTTTGAATTCTTTGCCAATGAGAGATGCCTGAAACACGGAAAGGAAAGACCTAGTGATCCTTGTTTGTCCCATGACATTGGCATTGAGAGGCGTCTGCCTCTGTAGACATGACAGTGTATCTCAAGAGCAGCCTGAAGGAGGTTTTAGTGGCATGTGAAAGCACCGTCAACATTTTTATCAGAGCAACAATATGCCTATCCCCTGTTCATTTTATTATTATTATTATTTTTTGGCAACTAAGTAATTGAGCCAGATGGAAAATGTTTCCCACATTAGGTTCTCTTTCAGCTTTCATGCATGTCAGCCATTTAATTTTGCTGTTCCTAATCTCCTAATGATAAGACTTCAAAATGTGAATAATTGGCTAAGAGAGTCCAATTTATTCTCTAGAACAGAAACTTCTAAAGATAGCTTATACCTGCCCCCTTTCTACCAATATCCATTTAGTTAATGGATAGTAAGAACAAAATAATAAAACCAGCTTTTATTTCTTCCTAGCCTGTCTGAACATGCAGTCATCTGGTTGGTTAGCAGTTGAAAAGGCCCAAACCTTTATCTCACCATAAGAACATGGGCTTGGAAATCAGACAAACAAACCTAGATTCACGCCTCATCTCTGCACTTACTATGAGTAAAAACTCTGTAATTTACTTAAAGGCTCTGAACCTCGGTTCAGGACATGGTGGTAGTTCTGCCCCTGGCTTCCCAGAATGGTGGCATTCTTACGCTAACCTGCCATGGCATGCATAAGAAGCATACCCCCAGTGAGAGGATCCCCTGCTGCAGTCACTAGTTGTGTATCTCAAGAGATTTTCACTTGAATACTCTGAGCCTCGGTTTCCTCATTTGCAAAGTGGGAAGAAAGACTTCCACCTCTCTGGGATAAAGAGAATGCAGGCCAGGCGCAGTGGCTCACGCCTGTAATCCCAGCACTTTGGGAGGCTGAGGTGGGTGGATCACGAGGTCAGCAGTTCAACACCAGCCTGGCCAAGATGGTAAAACCCAGTCTCTACTAAAAATACAAAAATGAACCGGACATGGTGACAGTTGCCTGTAATCCCAGCTACTCTGGAGGCTGAGGCAGAGAATTGCTTGAACCCAGGAAGCGGAGGTTGCAGTGAGCTGAGATTGCATCGCTGCACTCTAGCCTGGGTAACAGAGTGAGACTCTGTCTCAAAAAAAAAAAAAAAGAGAGAATGCAGATGTGAACACATGCATACTTGGTGACCTGCAAACTGCAGGCCTGCATCACCACTGTTGGAGACCTTGTACCCTTGCTTGTGGGATGCCCGCCTTGTGCCTTCCCCCCAACCCCCAGGCTGCTAGAGACCTCGCTTCCTTCCCCCACCTGAAAGGGTTTAACTATAAAACAGAGATAGAAATATCTGTGGTACAAGTTCACTACACAGATCAAGTAGTCAAGTGAGATGAGACAGACAGTGAGTAAGAAAAAGCTGTTGTCTCTCAGATTCTGTGGGAATATAGGCACAGATGATGCTCATCCTAACACCAGGCATTGGCCCCCTCACTGAGCAAGCCTGGTAATGTTATTTGTTCAACATGCAAAATTTGATCTTTAAAAAACAGCTTTGAAAGTAACATGGCTTGGACAGTCTTTTTCTTAAAATTGGTAAGGGAGTTTGTATATCAGTTTCTGCTTCTCTATTCATTGAAAACTGTTAACACTTTGGTAAAAATTATTTTCTTTACCATTTTATACGCACAGCTTTCAGTTGTTAACACTGGTGTAGAATCTAAACTCATTTACACTATTTAAGTTTGCCCCTTTGACTGCAGTGGAGACGGTGTTAGGGCTTAAATAAAGACTGGCTTCAGAAACTATTAACATATTGTTGGTAGCAAACATTCATTGATAACCGTCTTTCCTAGAACTTAATTAAATTGTAAGGAAAATATTCTTTACCTGTCACCTTAGTCCAGGAACCTGGAAATATGCTTGACCAGAGTTTCAAAACCTTGGAAATGACATTTGGGGCTGGGTAATTCTTTGTTGTGGGGGCCATCCAGTGCCTTGTAAGGTGTTTAGCAGCCTCCTAAGCCTTCTACCCACTAGATGCTATTAGCACCCTGCCACCTCAGTCATGACAAACAAATGTCTCTATATATTGTCAGATGTCTCCTGAAGGGCAGAATCATCCTTGCTGAAAACCACTGTCTTACACTCTTCTTTTTCACTTCCCTCCCACATTTAGTCAGTTACCAGCCCTTTTAATACTGCTTCCTGAATATCTTAGTGAGATTTCTTCTTCATCTTCTTCTTCTTTTTTGAGACAGGATCTTGCTTTGTCATCCAGGCTGGAGTGTAGTGGCATGCTCCTGGCTCACTGCAGCCTCAGCCTCCTACGTAGCTGGGACTACAGGTGTGTGCCGCCACGCCAGCTAATTTTTTTATTTTTTGTAGAAAGGAGGTCTTGCCATGTTGGCCAGGCTGGTCTCTAACTCCTGGACTCAAGCGATTCTCCACCTTGGCCTCCCAGAGTATTGGGATTACAGGCATGAGCCACCATGCCCGGCCTGTTCTTTTTTTTCTTTTATTCTCATCGTTCATGTGTTAGTTTGAGTGCTTTTCCCATGCCTGAACTATTCTAGTAGTTCAGGAACACCACCTGTATTGAGTAGCTGATACGTGGTGCTTTACGTATATCATTTGTCGTCCTTGCCACAAACTTACTGTGGCTCTCTGGGTTGTAAGCAACCTAAACCCAGCTCACACTTTTAAACCCAAAGAGGATCTTAGAGGCCTAAGTTACTAGGAAGCCTCGGACTCCTCCCTTCTCTATATTTTGCGGACGTGCTTGCATGTGCTTTGCTTCCTTGTCCTTAGAGCCAGCCGTCCCAGAACGGGACAGCAGAAGGGTGTCTCCAGGAGAACTCCGGCAGCAGTCCTTGGATGGGCCAGTTCTTCAACAAAACTGTTAGGGAGATATCTCCATTTTATATGTCAGGAAATTGAGGCTCTGGGAGGGGGAACCCTGTGCCCCAGGCTACATTGTGGCTAATGCTGGCAGACTGACTGCAAAGCCTGAACTCTTCGTATTACTGTGTGCTGCTTCCTAACTCCTCTTTCCTTTCGTCTGTCTCTTCTCCTGCTGGATAGTCTTTCTTATTTCAAATGTTCGCTTTTGCAATTACAAATGTGGTTGTCTAATTACTTTGCTTAGTAGGTGCCTTCCATGGTTCCTCACCAAGATGAAGTTCAAATTTAGCCTGAAAGACAAAGCCCTTTATATTTGACCTTGCTTATCTTGGAGTTATAGATTTATCTCCTCTCATTTACTTAGTTGTACTTAAGGCTTCAGCTACCCACTGCTTCACAACTTAATGCTTTTGCTTCTGCAGTTTCCTCAACATTGGGGAGTGGTCAAGATCACAGGCCCTAGGGAACAGACTTGGCTCTACCACCTACCACATCTGTGACCTTGGACCCTGTCAGACATGCCCTGCCCACTGCATCCCTTTAGCTGACGCCTGTTCAGGATGCAACGTGGCCCTCACTGGAAAGCCTAGCCTCTTAACCATTTCATTCTTAGCCTCTGTACATAGTGCTGTTAGCACTCTCCTTAGTGAGTATCCTTATTGCCAGGATTTATTATTTTTTAAATGCATACCTTTGGGAACAGATTAGTTTGGGATTTTTGTGGCCTTTGGGTATGGACACAGTTTAAGGTTGTGATCTCTTGTGTACTGAGTTTCTACATACTTCCAGCATGCATAGTGTCCTCTGTGGCTGGGCAGCTTTGCTCCTGCCTCTTGCCCTTCAACAGCTGGGTATTTCTTTTTTGTTTGTTTGTTTTTAATTATTTTTATTTTTATTTTTTATTTTTTGAGACACAGTCTCACTCTGTTGCCCAGGCTGGAGTGCAGTGGTGTGATCTCCTGGGTTCAAGCGATTCTCGTGCCTCAGCCTTCCGAGTACCTGGGATTAATAGGCACGTGCCACCACACCCAGCTAATTTTTGTATTTTTAGTAGAGACGGAGTTTCACCATGTTGGCCAGGCTGGTCTCAAACTCCTGACCTCAAGTGATCTGCCTGCCTCAGCCTCCCAAAGTGCTGGGATTACAGGCGTGAGCCACCGCCGCGCCTGGCCCTAATTTTTAAATTGAATTTCAGTTGCCACATGTGGCTAGTGGCTACCATATTAAACAGGCTAGGTCTCAACTGTTAGTGATAGCTTAACCTTCCTGTTAAATGAGATTTTATGTCTTCTCGTGTATAACTTCTGATATTCTCCTTCCTTTCTTTTATGGAAAACTTTTCTGTATTAAGACTTAAACTCCTGCCACACCTGGAGTAATAAACTTGTGGGAAAACTGAATAAAGTACTAATGCCACTGAACTGTACAGTTAAACACAGTTAAAATGGTAAGTTTTATGTTATATATATTTTACCATAATGGAAAGTCAAAGAGCACATGGTGAAGGGACACAAAGCCTGCAGTGAGAGGCCATCAGGGAGGCTTTCCCAGAGGAGGCGGCACCCTCAGTCTGAGAAGTATTGATACGAGCAGTGACCCCGGGAAAAGAGATGACAAGTGGGTTCTAACTTGGACCTGAAGGGGCTGGAGAACAAGTGGGGTCAGGCCCTGGTGTGGCAGACCGAGGAGATGAGACTTGGCCCATCCAGTCACGGGAAGCCACTGAGGGATTTTAAGCAAGCAAATGACAAGTTTGGATTCCATTTCAAGAAAGATCACTCTGGCTGCTCTGTAGAAAATGTATCAGAGGGTGGCAGAACTGCATCAAGGGAGACATAATCAGGCTAATAACAATCACAGTGATAATAATAGCAGCTAGCATCCCGTGGTGCAGTGGTTCAGGAGGAAATGATGAGTGCCTGGGAGGCTGCATAGAGTGCAGTGATCGCACAGCTAGTAAATGATGGGCTTTGGAAAGATGCCAAGATTTCTGCTTTTGGGGGAAGTCTTTACTCATTTTGCAGTGCACTACTGTATAGGAATAGCTAATCCAAAGTCAACTGATAACTCTTCAAATATGGAAAAAGAACTCGGGTTCATATGACAAATAATGAGAGAATAATATGTAAGCTCTCTTCCTTAAAAAAATAATGTAGACAGGTACCGAGGAGAAAGATGCCTGTGGCTATAAATAAAGGGGTAGCAGGCTGGGCACGGTGGCTCACGCTTGTAATCCCAGCACTTTGGGAGGCCAAGGCAGGCGGATCACGAGGTCAGGAGTTTGAAGCCAGCCTGGCCAACATGGTGAAACCCCATCTCTACTAAAAAATATAAAAACTAGCCGGGCGTGGTGGTGCGCACCTGTAGCCCCAGCTACTCGGGAGGCTGAGGCAGGAGAATCACTTGAACCCAGGGGGCAGAGGTTGCAGTGAGCAGAGATTGCACCACTGCACTCTGGCCTGGGGACTAGAGGGAGACTCCATCTCAAAAAATAAAACATTAAAAAAAAAAGGGTAACATGAGGGATCCTTGTGATGGAACCGTTCTCTCTCTTGACTGGGGTGTTGGTTATAAGTTGTATAGAACTAAATACACACATAAACGAGAGCCTGTCAAACTGGTGAAATCTGAATAAGGTTGGTAGATTTTATCAATGTCAGTTTCTTCGTTGGGATATTATAGTTATGTAAGATATTACCATTAGGGGAAACTGGGTAATGGGCATACAGAATCTCTGTGTGGTATTCCTTGCCTTCTTTCTTTCTGTGGTTTTTTTTTTTATTTTGGACAGAGTTTTTTGACAGAGTTTTGCTCTGTTGCCCAGGCTGGAGTGCAGTGGCATGATCATAGCTCACTTGAACTTCTGGGCTCAGATGATTTTCTGGTCTCAACCTCTTAAGTAGCTAGAACTACAGGCACACACCACCATGCCCAACTAATTATTTTTTATTTTTGTGGAGATAGAGTCTTGCTATATTGCCCAGATTGGTCTCAAACTCTTGGCCTCAAGCGATCCTCCCACCTTGGCCTCCCAAAGTGCTGAGATTACAGGCATGAACCACCACACCCAGCCTTGTGTTGTATTTCTTACAACTGCATGTGTATCTACAATTATCTCAAAAAGTTAAAAGCAAACAAAAAAATTGAATAAAGCAGGTCTCCCTTGGTGCTCCTAGTTTTCAATATTTTTTACTTACCCAGATGTTTCTTCTGTAATAATTTTCTGTGCAATGATTTGTTTTGATCAAGTTTGACACCTTACTAAAGAATACTTAGCTTTCTTTTTTTTTTAACCTTTTAACATCTTTCAAATAAGGATGTATCTTAACAATTCATGGAGACTTAGCATTGAATCACTTTAATTGGTGTCACTTTTTCTTAGTGGCACATGAAATATTGATGTATCTTACAATCACTGGTGTCCTAGATCCGATACATATGATTAGTGAGTCATTCAGCCATGTTGGAAAAGCACAGTAGCTGGTGACAGTTTTGCTAGCTACATTTTTCATGTGTGATTTATCAGTTAAGTGTGTGTTTCTCAGCCCCAAGCCCCCATTCTCTGTGTGTGCTTTTAAAGCTGGGATCCTGCCAGCCACATTTCTCATTGCCATCTGGCTCTTCCTTAGGCAGTGCCAACGGGGCAGGAGAGGGTGACTGCATGGCCGGAGAAGGAAGAAGGAACTTGCTGCTTCCTGTTCCCATGAGGGCACTTGAGCAATGCTTTTTTGCCCCACAGCAGCAGCAGTTCCTTCCTGTAGATGCACCTGAATCCATTTTGCAGTTTTCCCAATACTTGGAGGTCCATCTTCGCTGCATCCTCAGGGGTGTTGACACTGGCCCAAAGCTCCATGGAAGCCTCTTCCCTTTGTTCCCCCAGCCCTGGGGCAGCTCCCACCTCTATAGTACCTTAGTGTTCTCTCTCTCCCCTTTTCAGTGACTAGTTAATAACTTTATGTCTAGTTAACAATTTTTTATATTCTTTGTATGACAATCTGTATGTTAAGATGATGAGTGTGATTTCTGTCTCCTATGTGGACCTCGACTAATACCTCGTGAACAGAGCCACCAGCTCAGCATGGGCTGCATCTCAGCTTCTCCTTCATACATGCTCTGTTCTCTGTAGCCAGTGACCTTTTGAAATGTAAATCTGATATTCCTCCCCTTCAGATCCATCAGTGGATTCCTATGCTCTCAGGTAAAAGAAGAAAATTCTTGCAGGGACGTGAGTGGTCTGGCTCATTTACAAGCCTGGTCTCATCTCACACTTCGCTTCCCTTCATCTTTGTGATGCAGCCACACAGGTCTTATTTTAGCTCCTCAACAGCCACATTGCTTTCTGCTGCATAGCCTTGGCCCATGCCGTTCCCCCTAGTTAGATGCCCCGTCTGCTTCTTACCTAGTCAGCTTTTTCTTTCTTGGGCCTCAGTTTAATTGTAACTTCCTGGGGAACACCCTTTTGGCCTCCCTGGCAAGGTCTGTTCCCCGACCGCATGCACTCCCAGCCCCTCATTTCCCTTATGGCACCCACAGTCTCCGTGAGCATTTGTATGTGCTACTCTCTACAGCAGGCCTCTTTCCCCACCTGCACTATTTAGTTTCATGAGTGCAGGAACTAAGTCAGTGTTTTTTTTCTTGCTGCTGTGCCCCAGAGCTTGGCACATTATATATGCTCGATAAATATTTGTTGAACTAAAAGTAGGAAGAGACCATTTGGTGAATCAGTTTTTACCATAAGCGTGAATCCCATGAACCCAGGACGCAGAGGTTGTAGTGAGTCTAGATGGCGTCACTGCACTCCAGCCTGGGTGACAGAGTGAAACTCTGTCTCAAAAATAAAAAAACAGAAACAAAAACGCAACACCTCTATATTAAGTGGTTCTTTCTAATTTTTTAGAAAGTCTCTCTTGCTGTGCATTTAACTACTTCAGTAAAAATACTGACAAGGAGCCAAACCAGGAGAAAAAATCTACTTATTAAACTGGAAATAATGTATGTTAGGTTGCTGCCTTCTCTAGTATTCATCGGGAAAGATAATATTGAAAACGTACATACTCAGTTGAAACCTAATTCTCATAGTGGTTTCTGTATTACCACCCCTCCTTAAAAGACAAACATGAATTATCCTACTTCGTTTCCTTGAGTTGCCATCAGTCCCAAATTGGAGGTTTTGATACCACGAACCCACAGCGCACAGGTATTTGCCCTCCTAAAACTTCCTATATTCCAGTACAGCCCCTTCTGTCTGACCAATGCAGCTGTACCTTTGTCTTCCTTTCCTCTAAGTCATCTGCTCTGGCTAGGTGTACCGTATATCCTTCCAGGAGCCCATTTCCATACTCTGAAAATTCCTCCTAACCTTGGAAGCATTTCCCTCATTGTTCCTTGTCTTCATTACTGCATCATTAGCATCAACCTTTTTTGTAGTGAATAAAAAAGTAGAGACTACTTCTTAACACATGTCCTACGTAGCAGTTCCCAAATTATTGTTTTGTTGAAGTTGGATTTTTACTAATTCTCTAAAAGCACCATAAAATGTAGTGCTGAAAGGAACCTGACATTGTGTAGCCCAGTTTCTTTTCCCATAAGTATGACCCCAAGCAAGTGAGTGGCCTGCCCAGGTCTCGTGGGGTGTCAGAGGCAGAACTTGGGCTCCTGGCACCCTGCTCATTATTTTGGTCACAGTGAGGACCATAAACCTACTACTACGTGTAAGGCAGTGTTGGGAAGGGACAAACAATGTGACTGTGTACATTAATTTCTTTTTAAACTAGTCTTCTAGAATTTACACATCCAAATCCATGTTGCTTTTAAAAAGTAGACTATGCAGATGCTGAAAAAGATGCCTCAGCACTGGTTTAGTCTGTCTGAAAATAGTTTCAAAACAGTTTGAACCAAGAAAATATTACTGAGGCCTGGTGCGGTGGCTCACACCTGTAATCCCAGCACTTTGGGAGGCCGAGGTGGGTGGATCACCTGAGGTCAGGAGTTCAAGACCAGCCTGACCAACATGGCAAAACCCTGTCTCTACTAAAAATACAAAAATTAGCCGGGCCTGGTTTCGTGTGCCTGTGGTCCCAGCTACTCAGGAGGCTGAGGCAGGAGAATCACTTGAACCTGGAGCAGAGGTTGCAGTGAGCCGAGGTCACGCTACTGCACCCCAACCTGGGCGACAGAGTAAGACTCCATCTCAAAAAAAAAAAAAAAAAATTACTGAAATAAGCACAGAACCCTCCAAGGTAACTGCTTTAAAGAGGACAAAACCTATTTGTCTCAGTGAATTCTACTGTGATTGTTACAATGGCTGACATTTCTTTATACTGTCCTTTACAGACTATGGCTACTAATATCAAAGTGCTTGTAATATTCTTAGAGATGATGACCCAATTTGATAATATTAGGAATGATTTTTAAAATTTTTTTATATAATAACTCATTGATTACCAAGTGATAGCAAGAACTAGGCATTCTGAACAGGAAAAGGAAGTGCTACCTGGAGAGCTTTTGTGGGCAAGAGATGATTTTTTTTTTCTTTTTTCTTTTCTTTTTTTTTTTTTTTTTTTTGAGACAGGGTGTTACTCTGTCACTCAGGCTGGAGTGCAGTGGCATGATCGTGGCTCTCTGCAGCCTCGACCTCCTGGGCTCAGGCAATCTTCCTACCTCAGCCTCTTGAGTAGCTGGGAGTAAAGGCATGCTCCCCAATGCCTGGCTAATATTTGTATTTTTTTATAGAGACATGGTTTCGTCATGTTTCCCAGGCTAGTCTCGAACTGCTGGGCTCAAATGATCCACTCGCCTTGGCTTCCCAAAGTGCTGGGACTACAGATAGGAGCCACTGCACCGGGCTGAGGCAAAAGACTCAAGTTAGCTGCTGGTAAAGACTGACAGACATTCTTTTTATTTCTTTGTTTAACAAGCATTTATTTAAGTGCCTTTCTTGGACCAAGCATGGGCGGCACAAGATGACCAAAGAAAGGCAGAAGGTGACAGATTACAGTTGGATTCTGGTAACAGCGAGTACAAGTCTCTTCAGGGAGACATAGAGGAGATGGGGATAAAAGTTGAGGCCACGTGAATGTCGAGCTTTTAAGAGCCAGCCAAGAATGTTGGCTTGATCCTGATGGGAAGGATGGAGTCATTGGCAACAGTGGGACACTTTTGAGGAAAAGCAGGCATAAATTAGAACTTCCTGGGCATTCTGAGAAGCAGGTTCACTTGCCTCTTGAGTTTTCAGGCTGAGCTAGGCAGATGACATCATACACACAAGCACAAAAGTATTAAGTTGCTGTCAAAGGCTGTTACCTAATGAAAAGTCAAATGGACTTTGTTACAGTCACCCATTGTATAGGATTTGTTTACCTACCAGTTCCTCTCCCTGGGAGACCGGGCTGAGCCCCTTGAAGACAGGCTATGTCTGGTTCACCTCTGTATCTATACCCAGGACCAATAGCACTTAGTACATGGGCAGTAAATACTTGCTTTAAAGAACGAGTAAGTGCTCCATGCTTTCAGGACTACACTGTGGAAAAGGAGAGCTTGGAGTAGGAAGGTATATGAAGGAGCAAGAAAGTCATTTATGGAGGTGGGAATGACCTAAGCAAAGGTCTAGGCTTGGGAATGAAGACAGGAGGCCAGCAGGAGGGTGGACAGGAGGCCAGCAGGAGGGTGGAAGTTCTTTGATTGCAGCCCAAGGAAAGGATGAGTTCTGGAAAGGATAGCAGGGGCCCTCCCTCCCGGTCTGTATGGTTCAGGCATTCACCGTGCCCCTCACGCCACATCTGTTCCATCTTCCCTGCTGCCTTTGGCTGAGGAAATTGGTGTCCGTGGTGGCCACCCAGACCTCCTTCCTGCGCTTCACACTCAAACAAGGCTGTTCCCCATGTCTTGGGTCTGTCTTTCCTCTACCTGGATCGTTCTTCCCCATGGCCTGGTCTCAGCATTGAGTTCTCAAATGTCCCCCCTTCCCTCACCTTATCCGAAGGACCCATTCCCCGTCCTCTCTACATTCTGTCCTATTACCCTGTCTGGTTTATTTTCTTCCTAGTATTGATTACTACTGGAATCCTCATATTCATCAGTCTGCTGGTTTAATGCCTGTTCCCTTTACTGGAATGTAAGCATGATTTTGGTCTTTTTCTCCTCTGTCCTGAGTACCCAGAACAAAGCGTGGCCTATGGAGGACACTAAATGAACGCATGGGGGAAAAACGGGTTTTATTGCAGAGGGAGACCCTTTGTTTCATACAGATCGTTTGTAAACTTAGATATTTTATTAGCAACAAATTATGATAGAGCTTACAAACTCCTTGAGAATCGCTGCGGTAGTAGGTGGGGGTGGAGCTTCTCTAGGCAGCATTTCAGTGTGTCCTAGCTTGGATGCTGTGGCTTCCCGAGCTCTGAATCTATACTGCTTACTCTGGGCTTATGGAGTGTGTAGCAGGGAATCCTTGTTGAAGGATCCCCAAACCCTTGATAGCCATGGACAGCCCACAGTGGTCATGGAGCCGGAGCCAGAATGTAATTCCCAGTGTGACCAGGAGCTAGAGTTTAAGTCAAGGCAGCAGGTATACTCAGGTGCATTTTCCATTCCCTTTGAGGGAGGGGTGGAGGTTTGAGCCCCCTCCACATCCCACCCCATTGGGGTGCCTTTGTCACTCTTGACAGCTTTAGAGTGACTTAGATGGGAGATTGGTGGGGAGGAGGGGGGGAGGGGCACTGTTTGAATCTACCCTGCTGGAGGCACTGAATAGTTTTATAAGTATGTGTACACTCTATTGTTCAAGTGTTTGCTTAAATCACTGTATCTTCTTAGAAATTTTTGTAACCTTTTGGTTAGCACTGTTACAGTTTAGTTTTGATGCTCGGTGTTTCATTTCCCATCTCCTTTCACCTTTGTTTTTTAAAAAAGCAAAAGATGCACGTAAAACAGTGGAAAGCTTAACTATAGAAACCCCGAGTTGGCCAGGAGAATTGGCAGGCGCTTGCTTTCTTCACTTTCCCTTCCCTTTTAAAGCCTTTGTTTTAGGAAAAAGGAAATTGGTGTGTTTGGAGAGCAGTTGTTAGCTTTTCAAGACTGGACTCGTTGGTCTAATTTGGTAAGGGCCCAGAACACGTCCCATGAAGTAAGGGAAAAATGTGAAGCTGAAGCCGGCATGTGGGGGAGAGCTAACAACTGGACATTTTCACCCAAAGCCCCGCCTCACATGCCTTTAGCCAGAAGGCTTGGCTATTTATTTCTGGGAAGCTTTAGGTTTCCTACTGATGATGGCATCCCCCCTGGTGTCTGGGATGTTCCCTGCCCCTCCCTCCCAACTCTGTCGATACCTGTAGCATTCCTTCTTGGGTCTGGGCACTGAGTCCAGGCCATGTGTGGAAGATTCCAGTTCTTTCACCATTCCATGTGACACAGCATGGCGGGTAGTTTCTTTTTTGTCAGGACAACTGTTTCCTTCTTTGAGGTGTATGAATGGTTTGTAGTACGTACCTGGGTTCCTAAGATAGATCTCGACTGTCTAGCCTGAGTGTCTAGCTATTTCAGGAACAATGTTGCTACACCAGTTGAGTGCTCAGGAACTAGATAAATGCAGATACGTTTAGTTGTTAATTTTCTCTCTCAGATAATTCATCTAGCTGAAGATTTTTGGCTACCTCTGTTTTCTGTTTATTTTTTATCTTTTTGAGACAAGATCTTGCTTGGTTCTCCCGGCTGGAGTGTGGTGGCACAATCACTGCTCACTGCAGCCTCAACCTCCCTGGCTCAAGTGGTCCTCCCACCTCAGCTTCCTGAGTAGCTGGGACCACAGGTGTGTGCCACCATGCCCAGCTAATTTAATTTTTTGTAGAGATGGGGGTTCCGGTATGTTGGCCAAGCTGGTCTTGAACTCCTGGGCTCAAAGTGATCCTCCTGCCTTGGCCTCTCAAAGTGCGGGGATTACAGGTGTGAGCCACCACACCTGGCCCACCTTCTTATTGCCCCCCCCCCTTTTTTTTTTTTGACTCCTGTCTACTTTCCTGCTGCCGCTTGCTCCAAGGCTCCCACTGGACATTCTGCCCAAATACCTGTCCTTACCCAGGTGTTCTGTGTAGGAGAATGAGATGGTCACTTGGTGAGCAAGGAGTCCATATGTGGGGGGCTTGAATGGAAGGATCTTAATGCTTCCTGTCCTGAAGTGATGTTGTCCTGGCCCACCCATCTCATTTTTTACTTTAAAATGTACCAGAAGGTAGGATGACTTACATCTAACTCACTTTAAGCCCCGGGAAAAGTGGAGACCAACTAAGTCTTGCTGTCTGGAGACCTCTCTGACCCATCTCTGTTGGGCAGTATTTTGTCTTCACGCCGTCTCGTAGTCCCTTCCTAAAAGTAAAAATAGGGAGTCCCTGGAACCTCTTACTTACCCATTTGCGGTCTATTGCTGAGGAGGGTTTAATTGATGGCCACTCTAGGCAACCCACATCTACATGTTTGGGGAATCTTAAGTCGCCTCTGCGTACCGCTCTACAGAATGCTGAGGTGTCAGGAATAAAAGGGGCTTAAAGGGGATGCATAGATGAAAGGGAAGTTTTGTGGCTATTTGAAGGCCTTACTAGGACCAGAAGAAAGGAGGAATGCAGTCCAGGCAGGGAAGTGCGTGAGCCAGAGGGCCAAGGAGGAATGGGGCTTGTGTGAGGAAATGGGGAGTTCTCAAGGAGGAATCCTAGGGTCCCTGTGGCAAAGCCTAAGGTGGCCTTTCTTCTGAACTCAGGACAGCATTCCAGTCTTGACCACTCGTTTGACTTCCAGATCCGTATCTTGTTCAAATACAGTGGATTATCTTCTTTTTACTTAAAGTTTTTATTTAAATTCGAGATAATTATATATTCAAATGCAGTTGTAAGAAATAATCTCTTTTATCCTTTTATGCAGTTTCCCCCATTGGTAACATCTTGCTGTATTCTCTCTCTCTCTCTTTTTTTTTTTTTTTTTTTTTTTTTTTTTTTTTGAGACGGAGTTTTGCTCTTTTGCCCAGGCTGGAGTGCGGTGGCATATCAGCTCACTGCACCCTTACCTTTGCCTCCCAGGCTCAGGCAATCCGCCTGCCTCAGCCTTGTGAGTAGCTGGGACTACAGGCGTGCACCACCACTTCCAGCTAATATTTATATTTTATTGTAGAGTTGGGGTTTCACCACGTCACCCAGGCTGGTCTCAAACTTTGGGACTTGAGCAGGCCACCCGCCTTGTCCTCCCAAAGTGCTGGGATTATAGGCATGAGCCACCACACCCAACCTGTATTATATTTTTAAAAATTGAATGCCTCTAGTTTAAAAAGGTATATAGTTGTGTTACAGCCAATAGCATTTCCTTCTCTGACTCAGTAGTAATACTAGGTTTTTTTTTTTGAAACGGAGTTTTGCTCTGTTGCCCAGGCTGGAGTGCAATGGCGCAATCTCGACTCACCGCAAACTCTGCCTCCTGTGTTCAAGCAATTCTCCTGCCTCAGCCTGCTGAGTAGCTGGGATTATAGGCGTGTGCCACCACACCTGGCTAATTTTTGTATTTTTAGTGGAGACGGGGTTTCACCTTATTGGTCAGGCTGGACTTGAACTCTTGACCTCGTGATCCGCCTGCCTTGACCTCCCAAAGTGCTGGGATTACAGGCGTGAGCCACTGTGCCCGGCCAGTTTTTTGTTTTGTTTCAAGGAATCTCTGTTCACATATAAAAAATTGCGTAAAAGCCCCCCTTTTCTTACGTACATGATATCATCAAGTACACATTTTTTGCATCTTGCTTTTAAAACTTAACACCTTATCTTGAAGACTTATCTTCCTTAGTACAAAAAGAACTGCTTGTTATAATTGCATAGTATTCTCTTGTGTGGATAAGGTATAATAACGTATTTAACCAGTCCCCTAATTGATGGACTGTTTCTGATCTTTTGCCGTTACAAACATATTTTGCAGTGAATATCCTTTGCATATATAATTTGCCACATGTGTAATTCTTTTCCTGTGATACATACTTAAAAATAGGATAGCTGGGTCAAAGACTGTACACTTTCATTTTGATAGGTAGCTGCCAAATTGTCCCGTACAGAGATTGCACCCGTTTATATTCTCATCAGCAATGGTATATGTGAATGCCTTTTTCTGTGTTACCTTGGACACAAGGTAACTGTGTGTTACCACCAAATTTTGTCTTTGCCAGTTTGGTCAGTGAAAAGCGGTATCTTGGTGTACTTTGGTGTTGTTTTGTTTTGTTTTTTTTGAGACCGAGTCTTACTCTGTTGCCCAGGCTGGAGTGCAGTGGTGTGAACTCAGCTTACTGCAGCCTCCACCTCCCAGGTTCAAGTGATTCTCGTGCCTCAGCCTCTCGTAGCTGGGACTACAGGCATGAGCCACCATGCCCGGCTAATTTTTGTATTTTTAATAGAGACGGGGTTTCAACATGTTGGCCAGGCTGGTCTCGAACTCCTGACCTCAGGTAATGTGCCTGTCTCAGCCTCCCAAAGTGTTGGGATTATAGGCGTGAACCACCATGCCTAGCCTGTCTTCGTATACTTTGAATACTCTATTCCCTTATAGAGAATGCAGTTGATCTATATCTTAGGAGGCTATCTTTCCTTTTCTGTGAACTGTCTGTTCATTTCCTTCACCCATTTTTCTTTTGTATTGTTGGTCTTTTCCTTGTTGATTTGTAGGAGTTCTTTATGTATTATGAAACCTAGCTCTTTGAGATATAAATGCTGATTTTTTTCCCCCAGCAACAATGACCTTGGTGGATTCTATCATAATACTTGTTTTGAAGCATTTCTGTAGTCAGATGTAGCTGTCATTTGTTTATGGCTTCTGAGTTTGTATCATAGTTAGAAAGTCTTTGTTCGTTCTGCATTATGAAAAGAAAAATCAGCCACAGGTTTTTCAAATGCTTTAATGGTTGCCTTCCCAGCTTTCTTCTTTCTCTCCTTTCCCTTCCTTCCTCTCTTCCTCCCGTTTAAATACTTTATCCATCTGGAGTTTATTTTCACGCAAGGTATGAGGTATGGGTCTGATCTTATGAAGTCGTGTGTGGTTCTTGAGTGCCTTCTCCGGGCGCCGTGTGCCTCATCCCTCTGTTACTCATCACCTTCTTTGCTGATGCAGAGTAGGTGCTTGATGTGGAGGAGGAGGTGGACCCTGCTGCCAGAAGCAGTAGCAGCTCATGTGCTTTGTATTGTTAGGTGCTTTCCATCCATTATTTCTAATCAACACAGCCTCTCTTCAAGATAAGTAGTATATAGCTCCCATTTTACAGATGACAAACTTAGATGCCAGATAATTTGCCCAAGCTCCTACCATTGTAGTGTCCAAGATACATAAAATTTGATTTTAAAGTGTCAGACTCCAAAGGCTGTGCTTTTTCTCTTGGCCTGGCTGCAGTGTAGCAGGGGAGCACCTTGGAAGAGGCATGTGCTTATTGCAGTTGACCATGCTTGAGTACAGGATTTTGAGAGATGGAGGCAAAAGAACTTTGAAGAAGGTGTTGGAGGGGTCCGGAGACACAAAGAAATACAAAAATACTGTATGCACTCACTAATACAGTCCCTAGATCAATGATGTGTAGAAAGCATAATGCTCAACTGAAAGGAGAAAAAAATCCTTCTCATAGCTTAAGAGAACCTGAAGTGTCCTCTCAGAAAAACATATTTGAGGCCGGGTGCAGTGGCTCACGCCAGTAATCCCAGCACTTCGGGAGGCTGAGGTGGGCAGACCACTTGAGGTCAGGAGTTCACGACCAGGCTAGCCAACATGGTGAAAACCCATCTCTGCTAAAAAAATTTTTAAAATAAAATAAAACTTAGCCAGGTGTGGCGGCGTGTGCCTGTAACCCCAGCTACGCGGGAGGCTGAGGCAGGAGAATCGCTTGAACTTGGGAGGCAGAGGTTGCAGTGAGCCAAAATCGTGCCACTCCACTCCAGCCTGAGCGACAGAGTGAGACTCCGTCTCAAAAAAAAAAAAAAAAAAAAAAAAAGAAGGAGAAGAACATAGTTGGGATAGCTGTTACTCAGATTGTCTATTAAAGATTACAGGGGTAGATCATTCACAGAACATTTCCCCTGGGTTACCTAAGTAGAAATTAGGTGTTGAACTGTGTGTATAGAGACTTGGATGTCATTTTAAATGGAACTGGGCATCCTGTAACTGATCCTGAAGAGTTAAACACAGGTAAATGTTGGCTTAGTTGTTATCAAAATGCTGTATGTAAATCACTTTTTAGATTTGAAGTCATTTTCTCACTGGTGTATAATTTTAGTTGAAGAATTGGGTCATGTAAGTTCACAAGTCAGCTTTACTCTATAGTTTTTGATTACTATTAAACATGCTTATCTTTCAGAAATATACATTTTCGTCAAGGTAATTCAATTATTCAGCTTGCTAAATTTAAATGACAACTGCTGGCACACAAGAACACGACTTTCCATTTTTACTATTCTGAAAATAGAGCACAAATTAAGAGCATTGAGAAGTAGGGTACGACTGTCACCTGTGGAGTCTTGAATTCAGAGTTGATTTTCTTGTCTGCCGATTTTTTTCAATACCAAGATAAGTGTCACAAATAGCACCCTTTCTCAGAGGATTTCCAGGATTCGAATAACAGACACAAACTTAATAAAATGACAGTAGTGCAGCATAATCAGGAAGCCCACCTGCCGTCAGATCACTTGTTTGCAGTAGATACCGTGTGATCTCAGGAGCAGAGTCCACATCTCTTCCATTTATTTTCTAACATAAAATTCTTGGTTTTTTCTTAAAGCGTAGATCTGGAAAGGTGTGCAAAAATCACCTTCCTTGATGGACTGCATTACAAGTCTCCTCCAATCTTGTTAACTGGATATGCATCCTCCTAGAGTTGAGAACACATGGTCAGAGGAAAATCAAATGTATCATTGTTTGAATTCACTTATTTTTTGATTCCTTGCCTGTGATTAATGCTTTTTAAAGATCTTCATGCACACTATTTAGCTCCATTTCTTCTGTGTGCATATGCAGCCCTGACAGAGACTTGGTCATTGGTCAGTGAGAGAGGAGGGCCCAGAGCCTGAGGGGAGGGGCTCTTAGTTGAGTGCTCACCTTCCTGGTGTTGAGAGGCAGGAGGCCTCCTAGAACCACTAGTTTTTGTTTTTGTTTTTTGAGACAGAGTCTTACTCTATCACCTAGGCTGTAGTGCAGTGGCACAATCTCAGCTCATTGCAGCCTCCACCTCCTGGGTTCAAGCCATTCTCCTGCCTCAGCCTCCCAAGTAGCTGAGACTACAGGCATGTGTCGCCACACCCAGCTAATTATTATTATTATTATTATTATTATTATTATTATTATTATTTGTATTTTATTAGAGATGGGGTTTTGCCATGTTGGCCAGGCTGGTCTCAAACTCCTGACCTCAAGTGATCCACTTGCCTCAGCCTCCGAAAGTGCTGGGATTACAGGCTAATTTTTTGTATTTTTAGTATAGATCAGGTTTTGCCATGTTGCCCAGGCTGGGTGCAAACAATCTGCCCACCTCAGCCTCCCAAAGTACTGGGGTTATAGGCGTGAGCTACCACACCTAGCCTGAAATTACCTTTTTTTTTTTTTTTTTTTTTTTTTGAGACAGAGTCTGGCTCTGTTGCCCAGGCTGGAGTGCAGTGGTGCCATCTTGGCCTCCCAGGTTCAAGCAATTCTGCTGCCTCAGCCTCCCAAGTAGCTGGGATTACAGGTGCATGCCACCACACTGACTAATTTTTGTATTTTTGTAATAGAGGTGAGGTTTCACCATGTTGGCCAGGCTGGTCTTGAACTCCTTACCTCAAGTGATCTGCCCAGCTCGGCCTCCCAAAGTGTTGGGATTACAGGTGTGAGCCACTGCACCTGGTCCTAAAATTACCTTTTAATGGAATTTCAATTTACTGTGATTTTGATGTTGAACTGCTAGCAATCTGATTTCAAAGGTCAGTTATTATTTATTCTTTCAATAGAAAAGAAAAACTGTGTCGAACCATATGTGGAGGAAAGCAGATAAAAAAAATGCAACATGAAAAGGAAAACACCTGAATGTTTAGAAGAGCTGTCCCACCAGTTACTGTTATAAGTTCTCAGTTTTTCTCCTGAATAATATGTGCCTCAGAGCTGTGGATTCTGGTTGATAAACTTATTTTCTCTCCTGTTTAGGAGCCATATTTCATCACTTTTCTGTAGAGAATAGTTCTTTCCAAGGCCATAGCTAAGACCGCTATTCCTCATCTTCTTTTTAGTTTCTTCGCTGTCAAGTGCTGACGGTAGAGTGCTGCTCTGGCTTTTGTGGGTTGGTCTGGCCCTTAAGGTGTAAACATAGTTTTTAGCAGTTCCAGATTATAAATATTAGAGTATGTGAGCCAGGAGTGGTGGCTCATGCCTGTAATCCTAGCACTTTGGGAGGCCGAGGCAGGCGGATCGCCTGATGTTAGGAGATTGAGACCAGCCTGGCCAACATGGTGAAACCCCGTCTCTACTAAAAATACTAAAAAATTAGCCAGGTGTGGTGCTGGGCACCTGTAATCCCAGCTACTCAGGAGGCTGAGGCAGGAGAATCGCTTGAACCCGGGAGGCGGAGGTTGCAGTGAGCCGAGATTGTGCCATCGCACTCCAGCCTGGGCAACAAGAGCAAAATTCCGTCTCAAAAATAAAATAAAACAAAAATAAATAAATAAACAAATAGATAAATGTATGTATGTTAGAGTATGTGGTATAAGCCCTCGTTGAGAAGCTGTTTCTTTTTTTTTTTTGAGACAGAGTCTTGCTGTGTCGCCCAGGCTGGAGTGCAGCGGCGTGATCTCGGCTCACTGCAACCTCCGCCTCCCAGGTTCAAGCGATTCTCCTGCCTCAGCCTCCCGAGTAGCTGGGACTACAGGAGCCCGCCACCATGCCTGGCTAATTTTTTGTATTTTTTTTTTAGTAGGGACGGCGTTTCACCATGTTAGCCAGGATGGTCTCGATCTCCTGACCTCGTGATCCACCCACCTCGGCCTCCCAAAGTGCTGGGATTACAGACATGAGCCACCGCGCCCAGCCCCAGGAGGCTGTTTCTTAGCCTGTTTGGATATTTGTAAAACCACTCCTAATTTCAGGCTGTTGTTAGAAGCATGGCATATTAATTGTAATGTATAGGAAAGTACTTTCAGGAGTAAAATGTGAGGTGTGAGGTGATGTTAAAGATTTATTCACTAAATCTTACATTAAGACCTAAGGTGTCCTTTGAACCTAAGGTGTCCTTTGAAGTCAAGCAAAACCGTAAGAATGGTTAAAAAATTAACAGCTTTGGTTCAATTGCCTTATAAACACATAATATAGGTATTACTGATCGAAGGAAAGTTCAGTGAAGATGCTGGTAGTTTACAGCACTCCGGAGAATTAAAACAATGAGATGTAAAGGTAACAGCTCTAAAAATTCAGACATTTGCCTTATTAAGCTCTTTTCTACAAGAGACTTCATTACATTGAAAAATGAAACCTGGCACCCATCCTAGGAGAATTATCTGTGCAGAAGTTCTGATTTACAGATTTGTGATCTTAGGGAACAGTGTGCACACCCAGGGTGAAATTTCAACTGATAAAGGGATCTCACTTACGGGGCTGTGTCATTCAGGGTTCTGCCAGGGAAATGGGCCATTCCAGGTATCCCTGTAGGAAAGGCTTTTTTTTTTTTCTCTCTCTTCTTTGTTTTTCCTTTTACCTCCTTATTGAGGTATTATTGACATTTACAATGCGGTAAGTTTCAAACGATGTATGCAAAAGATAGTTAATATGTCCTTCACCACCCTCTGTCTCCTCTTGCCCATTTATCACCCCTCTCTGCCACCCTTCTCTGCCCCTTCTCCACCCCAGATAACCATTGATGTGCTTTCTGTCACCATAGATTAGTTGACATTTTCTAGAATTTTATACAAGTGGAATTGTTCAGTAGGTACTCTTTTTTGTGTGGCTTCTTTTACTCAACATAGTTATTTTTAGGTTCATCCATGTTGTGTTTAACAATAGTCCATTATTTTTATTGCTGAGTAAGTAGCATTCTGTTGTATATTCCACCTTAATTTGTTTATCCATTCACCTATTGATGTGCATTTGGGCATTTGCTCGTTTTCAGCTCTTATCAATAAAGCTATGAATATTCATCTACAAGTCTTTGTTGGACATACGCTTTCTTTTCTCTAGAGTCAATAACCTAGGCAATGAATGGCTGGGTCATATAGTAGGTGTATGTTTAGCTTTTTAAGAAACTGCCAAAGTGTTTTCCAAAGTGATTGTACCATTTTACATTCCCATCATGAGAGAGTTCCATTTGTTAATTCTTGGAATGGTGAGTCTTTTTAATTTTGCACATTCTACAAGTACATGTGTGTTGACATCTCATTGTGGCTTTAATTTGTTTTTTTCATAATCACTAAAGAAGTTGAATATCTTTTTATGTGTTTATTTGCCACATGTATGTCTTCTCTGGCAAAGTGTCTGTTCAAATCTTTTGCCCATCTTCTTTTTTTTTTTTTTTTTTTTTTTTAAAGACAGGTTCTCACTCTGTCGCCCAGACTGGAGTGCAGTGGCACCATCTTGGTTCACCACAACCTCCGCCTCCCAGGCTCAAGCAATTTCTCCTGCCTCAGCCTCCCTAGTAGCTGGGACTACAGGCATGCACCACTACCATTCGGCTAATTTTTGTTTTTTTAGTAACAATGGGATTTCACCATGTTGGCCAGACTGATCTCGAACTCCTGACCTCAAGTGATCCACTCACATCGGCCTCCAAGAGTGCTGGGATTACAAGTGTGAGCCACCATGCCCGGCCTCTTTTGCCCGGTTTTAAGATGGGGTTCTTTATATACTGTGTATATAAATTCTTTGTCAGATAAGTGATTTGCAGATAACTTTTTCTCAGTCTGTGGCTTAATCTTTTTATTCTCTTAAATGTCTTTTGAAGAGCAGAAGTTTTTAACTTTGAGTCCAATATATCAGGGTTTTTTCTTTTATGAATCATGTTTTTTGGTGTTGTGTCAAAAAAATAATTTTTCTAACATAGGGTCACAAAGATTTTCTTGTATGTTTTCTTCTAGAAGTTTTATAGTTTTAGATTTTACATCTAGTTCTATGATTCATTGAATTAATTTTTATATATTGCCAAGGTACAAATTGAGGTTCATTTTTAAAGATATTCCTACTAGTTATTCTAACATCATTTGTTGAAAACACTCTCTTTTCTCAGCTAAATTACCTTTGCAGCTTTTTTGAAAATTGGTTGTCTCTCTCTCTCTATATATATATATATCAGTGTATTTGTGGATTCTGTTCTATCCCATTGAACTTTTTGTCTATAGAAAAATAAGACAGTACCATACTGTGTTAATCACTTTAACTTTATAATAAGTCTTCACGTCAGGTTGTGTAAGTCCTCCAACTTGGTTCTTTTTATAGTTGCTGACTATTCTGAATCCTTTGCTTTTCCATATGAATTTTAGAAGGTACTTGTCAATTTCTACAAAAAAATTCTGCTGGGATTTTAATATAAAGATTTCGTTGAATCTAAATTAATTGGAGGATGATTGACATCTTAATATTAAGTCTTTTCATTCATGAGCATGGTACATCTCTTCACTTACGTAGGTTTTTAAAAATTTCTATCCGCAATGTTTTGTAGTTTTCAGTGTACATATTCAGGACTTGCATATTTTTGTCAGATTTATTCTTATGTGTTCACAGTTTTTGAAACTTATATATATGGAATCTTTTTTTAAAATTTCTATTTCTGATTGTTCCTAGTATGTAAAAATGTAATTAGTTTTTTTATATTGATCTTGTATTTTGCAGCCTTGTTAAACTCACTTATTAATTTTGGTAACCTTTTTGGTAGGCTCCATTTGATTTTCCAAATAGGAAAGATTTTAATATAGGGAATCGAAGGTTCACACAACCGCTGGAAAGTCTAATGAAAGAAGTTCAGGAAGGCTCCTATTATTGTTGATGAAATTAGAGTGCATATTCCTAGAGGAGCAGTCATGTCAGCTGCATGCAGCTATGGCTTTAGATGATCTGGAAGCTGCTGCAGAATAGGAAAGTCCTGCCTGTTGTTGCCTATGTGTCTTTTTGCAACTGTTTCTAGAGAATATTGACTTCTTTTCTGCTTTCCAGATCTAAGAAGGGTACCTCTCCTTGGTGGCAGCTAACCTGGAACCCTACAGGGAATGGGATTCTGGAAAATATAGTTCCAGGCCATTTCCTGAAGTGCAGGGAAGATCAGGAGAGGTGGTGATGGCAGTTTGACAGTCTGGCACTGACGGTATTAATAGAGATACATAATTACTCAGTCATGGAAAAGTGACTTAGCAGTATTGTGAAAAAACAGGAGTGTTAGGTGGCTGTAACTCAGTAAGATGTGATTTCCAAGAAAGCAAATGACCTCTTTAACAGTATTAGCAGCGGCATATCATACGGGACAAGTAAGTGGCAGGCCCACCCTATTTGGTTGCCTTGCCCGGTAATTGGATGAGGGTAGACAAACTGGAACATGTTTAAGGGATAATGATCCCAGTGGTAAGGGGATAGAAAACCAGGTCGTGAGTGGAATGTGTGAAGGAACTAAAAGTGTTTCAGGGATGCATCATGGATAACTGCACATATTTGGAGAATTTATTCCATGTGTTCTGAAAAGGAAGTTTTAGGACCAGGGAGTCGAAGCTATCAGGAGACATTTCTCAAGGCACTATGAAGAACTTCCTTCCCAGCTGCACTAAGTTTGAGTAGGAAGCCACATCTCTCCTTGTTCGAGTTTGCTGAGCTGCCCAGCTCTAGAGTATGTAAAGCATGAGACAAATGTTCTTCAGGCACCATTCTAACCCTGAAATTTTTTGCGGGGAAAAAGCTTTCAAATTGTTGGTTATAGCTTTTGCCACATAGAATTTTGGAAAGTAAAAACAAGTTTTTAAAAATAGCTGGCTGGGTGCAGTGGTGCACGCCTCTAATCCCAGCACTCTAGGAGGCCAAGGCAGGCGGATCACTTGATAACAGGAATTCGAGACCAGCCTGGCCAACATGGCGAAACCCTGTCGCTACTACAAAAATTAGCCGGGCGTGGCTGGGCGCGATGGCTCACGCCTGTAATCCCAGCACTTTAGGAGGCTGAGGCGGGCAGAACACGAGATCAGGAGATCAAGACCATCCTGGCCAATGGTGAAACCCTGTCTCTACTAAAATACAAAAAATTAGCCAGGTGTAGTGGTGCGCGCCTATAGTCCCAGCTACTCAGGAGGCTGAGGCAGGAGAATCGCTTGCACCCAGGAGGTGGAGGTTACAGTGAGCTGAGATCTGCTGCACTCCAGCCTAGCAACAGAGTAAGATTCCGTCTCAAAAAAAAAGAAAAAAAGAAAAGAAAAGAAATTAGCCAGGTGTGGTGCCTCGTTCCTGTAGTCCCAGTTACTTGGGAGGCTGAGGTAGGAGAATTGCTAAACCCTGGGGCCGGAGGTTGCAGTGAGCCAAGATCGCGCCACTGCACTCCAGCCTGGGCGACAAAGCAAGACTCGTCACAAAAAAGAAAAAAAAATTATCAGCCGGTCGCGGTGGCTCATGTCTGTAATCCCAGCACTTTGGGAGGCCGAGGAGGGTGGATCACAAGGTCAAGAGATCAAGACCATCCTGGCCAACATGGCAAAACCCCGTCTCTACTAAAAATACAAAAATTAGCCCAGCGTGGTTTCATGTGCCTGTGGTCCCAGCTACTCAGGAGGCTGAGGCAGGAGAATCGCTTGAACTCAGGAGGCGGAGGTTGCAGTGAGCTGAGATCGCACCACTGCACTCCAGCCTGGCAGCAGAGCAAGACTCCGTCTCAAAAAAAAAAAAAATTATCTTACTTTATTTGGTTTGAGTAATTCCAGACAAGCCAATTCCTTGCATATGCCTTAAAATACGTAAACTGGGAAATTCATGAAAAGCTTGGAGTCAGAGGGCTATGTCGGCAAAAGTCTATTGCCATATTTCATGGATTCTGAGCCTCACGTTCTTTTACTCACTTGACATCTCTGAAGTCTGCATTCACCCTACAGTGGATGCCACCCTTGGATGGCTGGTGCCTTTCATTTGCTGTCATCCAGCTGGCAGTTGTTCTTGCCTGCACATGCACAGATTGGTCCTAGCTATTCCTAATGTCATCGTTTCAGTAGAGTTTCACAAAGGCTACGCTACACGAGTTGTTTAATCTAAAATACCTTCCCAGGCCGAGTGCGGTGCTCACACCTGTAATCCCAACAGTTTGAGAGGCCGATGCAGGAGTATTGCTTGAGTCCAGATATTCAAGACTAGCCTGGGCAACATAGCAAGACCCCATCTGTACAAAAAATTAAAAAATTAGCTGCACATGGTGGTGCATGTCTGTAGTCCCAGCCACTTGGAAGGCCAAGGCAGGAGGATCACTCAAGCCCAGGAGTTTGAGGCTGCAGCGAACCATGATCACACCATTGCATTCCTGCGTGATAGAGCAAGACCCTGTCTCAAAACAAACAAACAAAAACTTCACTAAGGTTATACTGTAATTACACATTGAAACACAGATACAAATAATGAGGCGAATGCTTGATATTAATGAGATTTTAACTAAGAAATGACTACAATTCTATATTTTCTTGAAAAGAAACAACCAAGTGCATACTCGTGTGCTGCTCAAAGATCTAGGGACCAGCAGCTTATTAGAAATGGAAAATTGTAGGCCCTGTCCCACAGCATTCTAAATAAGAATCTGCGTTTAACAAGATACCCATTAAAGTTTGAGAAGCATTGCTTTACACAGCCTCAGAAAGGAAGGTAACACAATGTAGAAGGAACTGTGTTACATTTTGTTACCAACATATAAAAGTGTTACCTATCACATGTCACATAATAAAATTGAAGGCAGGAGAAATTTCTTTATCCCTTAAAATTAATTAAAAATGCATTTACCTTAATCTTTCTAGTTTTAATGTTGTTTTCTTCTTATAAGCCACTTAGAATGATTTTTATGCCCTAGTGCTATTTGGCCTTGTCTGCTAATTTAATATGTGCAAATTACATTAGCATCCCATTAAATTCCCTCAGATCCAGCAAATGAAAAAAATGTTAAGAACAAATCCAATATACATATTTGGAGTACCCTACTATGTAATTTCCTCTGCCTGAATGGATATGTTCCAACATGCTTTTTGTGTGTGTGCATTTTTAATTAAAAACATTTTAAGTGGATACTTTGAGCACTTGGCTTAACTCTCTTCATTGTACTCCTTTGTTAATTTTTCTTACCCCAAATTTGCGTGTGGTGTCATTAATCCTTAATTAGTTATAATTGGCAATGGTTTTGTGGCTAGTTATTTTCTTACTGTTTTATAAGTTGCCAAGATTACCTTTTATTTTCTAAGGAAATAATGTTCATACAAGTCACATGTCTTAGGTGCATTTTGAAAACCCCTATTTAAATCTGTATTGGGCAGAGTCCTTAGTATGTAGATAGTAGAATTCATTCTCACTGGTGTGTGGGTTTATTAAATGGTACTTGAGAGGCTGAGGGTCAGGTGACGCCCAGCACCACACCATGGAACTGGGGGTCCCGTGGGAGCTTTTTTCTTTTCCTGCACATTCAGGAAATTGCTGTTACAGGGGTAGGCTCCAGGACCACGTCATCCCTACAACGCTCTCTGAGAAGATGGGTGCCCTGTGTGTCCTCTGGTAAAGTCACACATGCACCTTATTGGCATAGCATAAATCACATCCCCATCTCTAATTGTGAAGGAGTCTTGGAAATAGGCCAGAGGGGCTTGGAATTGGTGTTGACTGAGCTGATGAAGATACTACCACGAAGTGAGATAATAGCTCAGTGACTAGTACACCACTAAAATTCCTGGGAAAAGAATTGTATTGTGAATTATGTGTCAGAGGAGCATTTTAAATACCCTTGTGGCTATCTGTCTATTCCTGCTATACTTAAGGAATACTTGATCGATTAAACTAACAATTTGAGCATGTTAAGATGAAGTGTAGATTCTAGAGTATTTTTGGAAATCTATTTCTGTAATGTGGGGACTAAATGATTTCTCAAATTCCTTTTGACTCTTAACGTGACTTTCATAAAGAAAATGATTTAAAGTAGGAGTCCTTGACAAAATTTCAAACAGGAGACCAAAAGATGAGTCAATGTTTGAAGCTCTCTTTTTTTAATTGAAATTTTTGAGATAATTGTAGGTTCACATGCCAGAAGCAAGGCAGAGAGATTCTGTATGCCATTCCAACAATGGTAACTTCTTGCAGAACTATAGTACAATGTCGCAACCCAGATTTTGATACGATCTGCCAAATTTTGATTTCCCCAGTTTTACTTGTATTTAATTGCCTATGTGTTTAGTTCTATACAATTTTATCACATGTGGGTTCATGTATCCACCACCATCAAATACAGGACAGTTCTGTCACCACAAGGGTCACTAGTGTCACCATTTTTTATAACCACTCCTGCCTCACCCTACCCCCCTTTGTATCCTCTGGCGCCCAACCACCTGTCATCTCAGAAATATTATCTAAATGGAATCTACAGTATGACACTTTTGGGAGTGGCTTTTCTCATTCAGCATAATTCCATGGAGATTCATCCAAGTTGGTGTATTATTAATGGTTTGTTCCTTTTTATTGTGGAGTTCTTTTTAATCTTTTACAGTATTAGTTTACTTCTGGCATAGTTCCCGTGTTGGGTGGCTCTCTTCCTGTTCCGGTCTGTCTGCCTTGATTTTGTGGAGTTGGAACTAGGACCGAAGGTGCTGCCACACTTACTGATCACAGGGTGTCAGGGATAGGTTTTGATGCTGTTACAGCCAGTCATCCAGACCTTAATGGAAGGGAAGATGCTTCTGGGAATGTGGAGCCATTTCCTGTCAAGATGAACCCTGGCTGTTCTTCTGAATTAAGGTTCTTATCATCCTTTCATTCCCATCAGCCTACAGGTGGAGATTAATATGTTCAAGTGTGAAATTGTCAGCCCTGCCTCTCCTGCATGTTTGAGGCACGATGGGCTCAGAGACATGCATACAGCAACCATTGGTCATGACTCTAGTTTGTGGAAAGAAGTTTATCTCTTGGCCGGGCATGGTGGCTCATACCTATAATCCCAACATTTTGGGAGGTCGAGGCGGGCGGATTATCTGAGGCCAGGAGTTCGAGACCAGCCTGACCAACATGGTGAAACCCCATCTCTACTAAAAATACAAAAATTAGCTGGGCGTGGTGGTGCATGCCTGTAATCCCAGCTACTCGGGAGGCTGAGACAGGAGAATCACTTGAACCTGGGAGGCGGAGGCTGCAGTGAGCTGAGATTGTGCCACTGCACTCGGGAGATGGCGTGAGACTCTGTCACAAAAACAAAAGTTGATCTCTAACCTGGATTATCACAAGCTTGAATTCACACATCCAAGATCCTGGTACTTTCAAAACAGCAAAGGCACTGCAGGCTGTCTTCAGAGTATTCCAAAGTGTGGTAGAGACAGGGAACAGAGCAAGGAGAGCACATTTTCTGCCCTGAAGGTGCTGTCTGGGTTGTGAGGTGAGGTAGGACTATTTAAAAAGTGGAACTGAGAGCCCCAGGAAAGCAGGCAGCACTGCATCTTGTTTGCTGCTGAATTCTCAGCCTCAGCCTGGTGCCTGGCATCAAGTGAGCACTGAAATACTGAGGGAACTGATGCGGCGGAAGGGAAACTTGCAGCCACGGTGCCCAGTTCTTCTGGTGTAGATGAGGGTGACTACCAAGTAAGCCAGAAAACCAGAGAAGGTGTGGGTGTGTGTCTGGGGAGGCTTGCTGCCGAGAGAAGGAAGAAGTGGGGGTAGCCATCTCCCTTCCCCCAAACTCACACCCAGCACTTACTTTCCCATCTTAGGCCCTGGGACTTACTCTTCTCTTGGCCTGGTCACTCATCTCCCAGATGGCTTTCTTTATGGAGGAGTCTGGATGTCCCTGTCTCACAGATGCCCGCTACGGACGCCTCATGGAAGGCAGCCCCCTCTTCCCATCTCTTCCCTCTTAGACACTCTGGCCCCTTTCCAGCTTTTTGTCTTCATGGCATTGCCTGGCGTTGTGTGTGTGTGTTTTCTGTCTCCCATCTAGAATGTCAGCTCCCTGAGGGCAGGGACCATCCTTCTTTTGCCCAGTCTTATATCCTGATTGTGTCACAGGTCAGTGCGTGGCATATCATAGACACTCAGCATGTTTATTAGATGATGTAGTTCGTTGTTTTGAGGCTGTTCTTTAAACGCATCTCCCCCGGGAGGGTAGAAAGTGTTGCTCACTCTTTAATGATGCATTTTGGTAGCATTTACTTGGAGGCCCTACTGTGTTTCTGGTGTTTGTGCCACGGACATAGGGCAGGGAGAAAAGGAAGGTTCATTCCCCTTCCCTTGTGCTCAGAGGCTTCAGCTGTGGCAAACGCACACACACTCGACTCGCCGTTCTCTAGTGTGGTGGGTGCTCTGGTGCAGCAGGCCAGCCCCCCGATAGCAAGGTTGACAGCTGAGGAGAGAGGCGGGCCTCCTGACTGAAACTGAGAATGAGAGGTTTTGGAAGTTTTGCATTTAGGTGCTTGTGTTCACCAGTCGCAATTTGATTCCTTATTCAATTACCAGAAAATATGTGCTGGTTAATTTAAAAAATGCATTCCCTGTAAGGAGATCCCCCCGCCCCCAACCACCGAATCCTGCTTCTGGTCTCATCCCTGCCACCTTCTCCCTTACACCCTGTACTGCATTCTGGTTGCCATTCCTCAGATACACCAATCTCACTGATTGACATTTGCCACTCCCTCTGTCTGGAATGTTCACCCCCAGATACCCACATGGCCCCATCCCTCACCTCAGTGAGTCTCCATTCTCATGCAACTGTATCAGAGGCCTTTTCTAACTATTATATGGAAGGTGTTGCCCTCTCCCCACCTCTCTCCTTCTCTGTCAGGTGAACTGTCTTCTCCTGAGCACTGTTGTTGCCTGAACTGTGTATTTTATACATGCATCTTGTTGTATATCTTGTTCATTTGTTGCCTTTCTCCCCCACTGGGATGTAAGTCACATGAGAGCCAAAGCTCGGTTTTGTTTCTGCCAGATCTCCAGTGCTTAGAAAAAGTGCCTGGCTCGGCTGGGCGCAGTGGCTCACGCCTGTAATCCTAGCACTTTGGGAGGCCAAGGTGGGCGGATCACTTGAGGTCAGGAGTTCAAGACCAGGCCAGCCAACATAGTGAGACCCCGTCTCTACTAAAAATACAAAAGTTAGCTGGGCGTGGTGGCAGGCGCCTGTAATCTCAGCAACTCAGGAGGCTGAGGCGTGAGAATCACTTGAACCTGGGAGGCGGAGGTTGCAGTGTGCTGAGATTGCGCCACGGCACTGCAGCGTGGGTGACAGAGCAAGACTCCATCTCAAAAAGAAAAGAAAAGTGCCTGGCTCATATTAGACAATAAATGTTTGTTAAAGGAATGAGTCAGTTCCTGGACATCCTAGTAGAAGAGAGCCAAGTCAGTCTGTGCCTTCCGGTCTGTGCCTGTTACCACCCTGGTAAAAGCAGCCATGCCGCAGAAAGTCACTTCAGGTGCTCTGATGCTGCCAGTACCGGTGTCATCTGCCTTGAGACCTTGAGGGCCAAACAAGAGACGGGGCAATAGTTGTGGGGTCTGCAGAAGAAGGCAAGTTTCTCTAGAGTTGGAGTTACTGGGGATGGTGCTGTTGAAGCAAGTGGATATTGAGCTAGGACTTGCCACTAGGGTAAGGTGTGATGGGCATTAAAGAGGATGGTTTTTGTCAGGCGTGCAGAATGAGGAAAATGTAAAAGCTAGAACTGTACTATGAATGGCTTTGAATGCCAATTACAGATGCTTCAAGCTCTTAGCTTTCCCTTTGCATGGTCTCGGACCATTGGAGGGTTCAGTTCTGGGATGTAGCCGGTTCCTAGGGATCTCAGCATCGTTGCTTTTTGGTGTTCTGAACTTGCATGCGGGGCAGTCTTGTTATGCCTCAGCTTAAGTGAATATTGTGAATATTGGGTATTTTCTTTTTTTGTTTTTCTTTCTTTTTTTTGAGACCGAGTCTCGCTTTGTCTCCCAGGCTGGAGTGCAGTGGCGCGATCTCAGCTCACTGCAACTTCTGCCTCCCAGGTTCAAATGACTCTCCTGCCTCAGCCTCCCAAGCAGCTGGGTAGCCCGCCACCATGCCCAGCTAATTTTTTTGTATTTTTAGTAGAGATGGGGTTTCGCCATGTTGGCTAGGCTGATCTCAAACTCCTGACCTCATGATTTGCCCGCCTCAGCCTCCGAAAGTGCTGGGATTACAGGCATGAGCAACTGTGCCCGGCCGAATATTGGGTATTTTCTATTCAGGTACAAGTCACTTCTACTTTTCTCTACTATTATTGTAAAAAATTAAGAAGAAAACACTGTTGTATTCGCTCTTCACCTGAGAGGTTCTCAAGAGTAGTTTGGCTTTTTACCATTCAGGATTTATTCTAGATTATGGTGTTTGCACTTGCTTTATCTTTTGCCTGCCTGCACAGTACCTCCCACACATTCGTCCCCTGCAGAGGCAATATTAAACCCCCAGCTCCCCTAGACAATGCTTCGTAACCTTTTCAGGTCAAGACACACAGAGAAAAGATTAGTACAGCACACTGGGGTAAGTAGATGAGGTTGGACTGGGCTAGCAGCAGTCCCAGGCTGGGCTGTAAGGAGTTTGAGGGGCTTTGTATTCCATATGTACCTGGAAGCTGGGTGCACCTATAAACTATTCTTGGCACAAAGTTAGGGAATTGGAGGTGCCCATAGTATTGCTTTGGAAGCCATAGTAGAGACTCAGTAAATACTTAACTGAATTTGTTGAATGAATTAAATAATTTGAAAGTGATGAGTTTTACATCTGGCTGTATATTTAGAGATGAGAGAAAATATGAATGATTTCTCTTGCCCTTCATACTTAGAAGCAATTGATGATCAAGTAGGACCCACCTAGTCACCTGGCATTTGCATTTGTTGCTGTATGGGAGGGTTTTTTATTGTTGTTGTTTGTTTTGGAGACAGGGTCTCACTCTGTTGCCCACACTGGAGTGCAGTGGCATGATTATGACTCACTGCAGCCTCAGCTTCCTGGGCTCAGGTGATGGGAGGTTTGATTTTTGAGACATAAATCAGGTAATAATGTTTTCAAGTGTAGGTATAAACAAGAATTTAGAGCAGTTTCTCAACCCTAGCTACATGTTAGAACCACTTGGAGGGACTTCTGAAAATCCCTGGAGATTTCTATGTAATTGACCTGGGGTACTGCCTGAGCAATAGTTTTGTGTTTGTTGTTTATATTTTCTTTTGTTTTTGGAAACAATCTCGAACTTACAGAGTTTGAATCTGTATGATTTTAAAAAGCCTCTTTTTCCCCTGAGTCATTTGAGAATTAACTGCTGATCCAATGCTGTCACCTGTAGCCCTTTCACCAATACTATAGTCTGTTTCTAACAAAAAGAACATTCTGGTGTAAAACCACAATATAACCATCAAAGGGAAAAAATTAACACACCGATTCATGACCACCACTTACTCTTCAGCTCCATTCAAGGTGTGAGATTTGCCGCACATTGCATTTGGTTGTTAGGTCTTTGCAGTCTCCTTTCATTTGGAACAATTCCTCAATCTTTCCTTGACTGTCACAGCCTTAAAACTTTTGAAGATTGCAGGCCAGTATATTTTGTAGAATGCCTCTGAATGTGGAGTTGTCTGATGGTTCCTTTGATGGTATTCAGGTTAAACACATTTAAAAGGACTCATAGAATCAATGCTGTGTTCTTCTTACAGCATCCTGTCATGTAACTCACAGTTTGAATTTGTCCCATAGCTGATGATGTTCACATGGATTACTTGATTAAGGTGGTATCTTGACAGGCTTCTCCTTGACGTAATTACTCTTCTCAACCCTTTATGACAAGTATTTTATGGGGAGGTGTTTTGAAACTATGTGACTATTCCATTCCTCATTTCAATTTATTCATTTGCTTATTTCTCTCTGTATGAACTTGTGTTTTCCTATTTTATACAATGGCTTATAGTCTCTTACTATAATTACTTATTTTGATGTTGATGTTGTTCCAGATTTAGCTTGTAGGAGCACTTCAAACTGTCGTCTGTGGTCATTTGACGGATCCCATCATTCTTTGAGCACTCTTTTGCTTCTTGGCAAATGTACATTCCAGGTTCATCTTGTACTTTCCTTATGCTACCCCCAGAATTAGCTCTTGTTCCAGAGAACTCTGGTTTTATTTAGTGAAGAATAGAAGCCACAAAACTGGGTGCTAAGTGTGTTCATTGTTATTTGGATATTGCTTGTTCTCCAGCCCTCAGAGTGACAGAGCTAAGGGAATAAGAGTGTGTGTGTGTGTGTGTGTGTGTGTGTGTGCATGCGCACGTGCGTGTGTGAAGGAATATATACTCACATATGTACACAAACTTACAGCTAATATTTATTGTGTCTATATATATTGGAAACCATGAGTTCACGTCAATAACTAATTTAGATCCAACCCCACAGAGTTCATTTGAGTTTTCTCCATTTTCTTCCATTTGTGTAACTTATTTTCTCAACAGTGAGAAACATGGCTGTCATTATTCTTTTTTTTCTTTTCTTTTTTTTTTTGAGACGGAATTTCGCTCTTGTTGCCCAGGCTGGAGTGCAGTGGCACGATTTCGGCCCACCGCAACCTCCGCCTCCCAGGTTCAAGCGATTGTCCTGCCTCAGCCTCCTGAATAGCTGAGATTACAGGCATGTGCCACCACGCCCACCTAATTTTGTATTTTAAACCTCTGTGGGGTTTCTCCATGTTGGTCAGGCTGGTCTTGAACTCCTGACCTCAGGTGATCCACCCGCCTTGGCCTCCCAAAGTGCTGGAATTACAGGCGTGAGCCACCGCGCCCGTCCCTATTATTCTTAATATACTTAAATAGTCCATCAGTCTCCTGTATGTAACCCATCTCCATCACCACCCCCATGGACGCCTTCTCCACATAGATGTCCATTGCTCTTTGCTTGGGCTCTCACTCAGAACAGGGATTTATTTTATTTTATTTTACTTTTTGGAGACAGAGTCTCGCTCTGTCACCCAGGCTGGAGTGCAGTGGCGTAATCTTGGCTAACTGCAACTTCTGCCTCTGGGTTCAAGCAATTCTCCTGCCTCAGCCTCTCGAGTAGCTGAGACTACAGGCGTGTGCCACCACGCCCAGCTAATTTTTTTGTATTTTTAGTAGAGATGGGGTTTCACTGTGTTAGCCAGGATGGTCTAGATCTCCTGCCCTCGCAATCCACCCGTCTCGGCCTCCCAAAGTGCTGGGATTACAGGCGTGAGCCACCGCAACCGGCCTGGATTTTTTTAAAGCTCCCCAAATGGTGCTAATGTGCAGCCTAGATAGAGAACAGTACTGAATTAGAAAAAAGGTGAGACTCACACTATTTGATTTATTGTTATAAATTTTTGATTTAAAAGTGGCAGGTTTTTAAGCCAGATTTGGCAAAGTAGATTCTTCCTAAGGAAGTGAAATTTAAAAAGAAGACTAACTCCTACCAAAACAAAACAAAACAAAAAACAGGGTGAAAGTATAGCTTGTCACCTGCAAAGCTTTGAAATATATCTGTTTTAGAAATGAATTTACTTCTATTGAGCATGAATTTCAATCTATTTCCCTTAATTGCCTGTTTATAGGGACAATATTTGAAAAGGTTTGTTTTTGAAGAACGTGTTTGATTAAAACTTACCCCTTTTTTTACATTTTATTTTATTAATTTATTATTCATTCATTTATTTATTTTGCTCTTGTTGCCCAGGCTGGAGTACAATGGTGTGATCTTGGTTGACTACAACCTCCGCCTCCCAGGTTCAAGCGATTTTCCCGCCTCCGCCTCCCAAGTAGCTGGGATTACAGGTGCATGCCACCACGCCCAGCTAATTTGTGTGTTTTTAGTAGAGATGGGGTTTCACCATGTCGGCCAGGCCAGTCTCGAGCTCCTGACCTCAGGTGATCCACCCACCTTGGCCTCCCAAAGTGCTGGGATTACAGGTGTGAGTCACTGCGCCCAGCTAACATTGCATTTTTTAAAGTAAACTTTTAATTTTAGAATAATTTTAGATTTAGAAAAAAATGACAACCTAATACCTTTTTTTTTTTTGTAAACACCAAATCTTTAAACAGGAAATACTCAGGCTGTGGTTGCTACTTTCCTGTAGTTGGTTTCACTGTAAAATGTGGAAGCCAAGTTACAGCAACATGGGCATGAGGAACCCCATCCACTCCTTCCACTTGCAGCCAGAGGAAGCAAAAGGCTTTAAGAGCCAAATATAACAGGATCTGTGGCCAGCCTGCCTGAGATGATCAACATCCATCTTACCAGTGTTTGTAAATCCATTTTCTTAAAGGAGGGCACTGCTGCTGCAGGTGGATTTTCTCCGCGTGTTTCACACCTAGACAGAGGCACACAGTCTGACTCCAAAGAAATCCAGCATAAGACCTAAGGAAATTTCAGTAAAATCTCCTCCTTGGTTGTGTGGATTTTGCATATTAGGCTTTTATATCTTTATACCCAGAGGTGCAGAAGGAGAAAGGCTAATATTTGAATGCAGACAAAGTCAGTGACAACATGTAGGTAAAAAAGTTTTTTAAGTCTTTTTTTTTTTTTCTATAAATAAGACATTATGTATTCACGAGAGCCCACCTCAGTTTTCATCCATGGTTCCTTTTGTATAGTTTCAGTATGTTAAACTAGATCTCCGCTTCCCAAACTTGAGTCCTTCGGGAACCATCTTTATGATTTTGCCATGTTTGCAAACCTGTTATTCACTTAAGCTTTAATTTGACTCACTTGTAACTCAGCCTTATGCTAGGTGATATCTGTGAAACCATGGATTTGTTATCTGTTCGGTATTCTGAGGCCCTGGGAACTAGATCTTTAAGTCTCCTTCCAGCGATGAAATTCCATAAGCATAGAGTCTGGGGTTTCCCACTGTGAGCTTTGAAGTTACTGCAGTTGGTTGAGTGTATGTTTTTTCCCAGTTGATACATAGAGTGAAAGTTGACAGCATTCCAATAAATGTTACTTTTCAAATGTGTGCTGTAAATTAGAGTCTCTTAATTTCTTCAGATTCAGCACATTTCTCCAACTAGAATGTTTATGATTGTATACCATTTTTATTCTAATTCAGTGGAGCAAAACCTGGTTGTCTTAATTCATGTGTACGGGAAGATACAGTAGTGAATTCACCCAATAGGACATACATTTATTTATTTATTTATTTATTTATTTATTTTTGAGGCGGAGTCTGGCTCTGTTGACTGGGCTGGAGTGCAGTGGCACTATCTTGGCTCACTCCAACCTCCTCTTCCCGGGTTCCAGTGATTCTCCTGCCTCAGCCTCCCGAGTAGCTGGGACTACAGGAGCATGCCACCATGCCCGGCTAATTTTTGTATTTTTAGTAGAGACGGGGTTTCACTATGTTGACCAGGCTGGTCTCGAACTCCTGACCTCAAGTGATCTGTCTGCCTCAGCCTCCCAGAGTGCTGGGATTACAGGCGTAAGCTACCACGCCTATCCTGGAATACATTGATTTATAGGACACTCAGTGCCTGCCTTAAAAATAGAAAATAGAAATAGAAATAGAAAATATATAAAACAAATAGAAAATATATAAAACATATAGTATTAATACATATAGAGAAAAAATTTAGAATACAGAACATAGAGCTTTATGTTCACCACTCTGAAGATGAAATGGGAAAACACCTAATTTATGATAAATACATATGTACCATAATTGAGTTAATATATTCTGCATTATCTGTGAGGAATACTGCCCAGAAGCCATCTGGATATTGTCGTATTCAAATCAGGTCCTTTGCTGAGTGGAAATTAATCGTGTGTGTGTGTGTGTGTGTTTGTGTGTGTATTCTTTTAGGTAGATATTATAAAAGCTTACCTTAATAGGCTTCTTTGAAACGAAACTTAATGTCATGTTTTACAAAAGAGGTGACAAACCAAGATGTGGGAATAATTAAATGTGAGTTTTATGGATCCTTTTGATTTAAATGAAATACTGTGTTCTATTCAGTCACAGAGATGAAATGTCGTCTTGCCCACCACTTACAAGCATTCAATTTGCTGCGGAAATGGATTGTGAATGTAGATGTATAACCTTCTGTTATGATGTTACTTTAATAGAGAGAAGGAGCAAGAAAGGGAAGAACAGTTAATGGAAGACAAGAAAAGGAAGAAAGAGGATAAAAAGAAAAAAGAAGCCACTCAGAAGGTAGGTTTAATCAGTTAAGTCTGTCTTTTTATCTGCTAGGCATCCAGCATCCAGAACAAGAAACTGTCTTGGCTTGAATATCCGATATCTTTTATTTTTTTTCCTGAGATGGAGTCTTGCTCTGTCACCTAGGCTGGAGTGCAGTGGCGTGATCTTGGCTCACTACAACCTCCGCTTCCCAGGTTTAAGCGATGCTCCTCTCTCAGCCTCCTGAGTAGCTGGGATTACAGGTGCACGCCACCACGCCTGGCTAATTTTTGTGTTTTTAGTAGAGATGGGGTTTCTCCATGTTGGTCAGGCTGGTCTCAAACTCCTGTCCTCGTGATCCCCCACCTTGGCCCCCCAGAGTGCTGAGATTACAGGTGTGAGCCACTGCACCTGGCCTGAATACCTGATATCCCAATAATGGTACTTGAGACATTTGTTTACTTAAAAGTTTTTATATTTGGAAGTGGGAGAAAGTTCAAGGTCTGCATTTGTTACCATAAAGTAGATGTTAAATAATGCTATGGCTGAGTTTTTGAAAACAACAGTAAACAGTATTACAAAGGCAAGAGAGTTTTCAAACTCTCAACTCTTGTCGTATTTCCTTATTTGTATATTAATTTAATCTATATTTTCTTAAGCAAGCCTATAGAATAGCTTTTAAAAACTGGCTGGAGGTTTGCCCCGGTGTTCTTTTGTTCCACCCACGGTGCTGTTGTCTAGATGAGTCTACCTTGGGAGAATTACAAGTAGAAACCCCTCTCGGAAAGGATCTAGTGAGCCCACGTAGTGCTTTGGAGGATATGGCATTGTGTGGCTTTGAGGAATTGCTTAGAGAAAACAAGAGATGCTAAAAGAAAAAAGGCAAAGGGCCAACGGCTGTCACCTGTCAGGTCTCAGGTGAGCGGTTTGTCCGGCAGAGTTGTCCAAGGCAGAGTGGTTAGAATGTACCTTACCTCCCTGTTTGCCTCAGAGCATGCCCCTCTGCCCTGTCTGTTGTCTGATCTTACCTGTTTCCCCACCTTACCATTCTTTTTGCATCTCTTAACTTGGGCTCTGGCTCAGCAGGGTTGCTTTGGTACCTTTTTTGGAGGTAAGGTGATTTTCTGTCAGGTATTGTTACTGCTATGTAAAGCATTTGGGAAGCAGGGCCTACTGTGGGAAAGGTTCGAGGGTCCCTGCCCTGGTGCTAGTTAATTGAAGCTAAGTTTAGGGAGAAAGAAACTGTGATAAGGTTCAGAGGAAACTCTAGATTTAGAAGACAGTCAAGGCAGTCACACACAAGCCAGTGTAACACTGCACGTTTTTCCAGCATTATTGGATATAGCGTTTCTCATAACTCAATTTTTTGAATTATTGAAATAATAATTTGTGAGTATCAGCATAAGAAAAATTCTGAAAATAGTTTCTGAATTGGATTGCATATGTCCCTGCTATGTTAAATATATGAAATGTAATTTTATCTTTTCTTCATGACTTAATTAAAAGGAACATTCATTATTATTTGGTGCTATAATAGACCGCTGTGCTCTTTAAGATTTTGTCTGCTTTTAATTGTGTTTGTCTCTATTAATAGTGGTATATTCTCCATCACATCTTCATGCAGTCAGGGTACCTGCTTCTAATGTGTTGCTTCTCACCTGAGTTTGTTAGAATTGCCTAAAATTCTGGAGTGAAAAGTCTAAATAAATAAGCCAGATTGCCTGGTGTGGTGGCTCATGCCTGTAATCCCAACACTTTGGGAGGCCAAGGCAGGAGGGATCACTTGAGTCCAGGAGTTCGAGACCAGCCTTGCCAACATGAAAACCCCGTCTCTACCAACAAAAATACAAAAAAAATTAGCCGAGTGTGGTGGTGCACACCTGTGGTCCCAGCTACTTTGGAAGCTGAGGTAGCAGGATCACTTGAGCCCAGGAGGGGGAGGTTGCATTGAGTGGAGATTGCACCACTGCACCCCAGCCTGGGTGACAGAGTGAGATCTTGTGTCTAGAAAAAAAAAAAAAAACCATAGAAGTCAGATAACCCAGAGATGTTTTTGTACTTTCCTTTGCGTCCGTGGCCACATGCCCTGTCACTGAGGTTGCAGTATGCAGGTCCACCAGCTGTGGGTGTTTGTAGCATTGCCCCTGTGGTTTCTGGGTTCTTGTCGCCGTGCCTCGCACACATTGCACCCTCCACCTCCAACTGGAGGGATGTGAGATTAAACCTCAGTGAAAGTTTTCTTTCCTTAGGACACTCACACATTTCCTCTACTAAGTTGATACAAAAATCGGATTTTGCAGTCTATGGAGATGAGTGATTAATAGGCTGGGTACCAAGGTACTTGAGCAAAGGCTGTTAACAAGAGGATGCCAAACAGAGTGATTTAGAGAGTATATATTCCTCTTCATTTTTAACATACATAACAGTGTTTTCTTAAACTACAAATATCAATACCTAAAATGATTAATAAAATATGCCTCTGTAATATGCCTTTGATTGGATTCCACAAAGAAAAATGATTTAAAATAAAGATGGTGTGAATGTACTTGAGAGTGAATGAGATTATTTATGCAGAGAATGTAGTTTATGTAGCTGGACAGTCTCTCCTATGTGCCTTCATCTGCATTAAGAACTGATGAAGAAGTGATAGCAAAGGGGAAAATTACCGTAAATAAAATTTTTAAGTGATTAATTTTATGAACAATAAAAATTCTATCGTTTTTGCTCAAAAATGTTCCAGATCAGCTTGACATAGAATCTAGGCTGACGCAGGCTGATGCGTGGCCTTTGATCTTGTTTTATTATACTGAACCATTGCATAATTTCAGAATTAAATTCTGATTTAGCAGTTTTAAGGAGAGCACAAAGCTTACCATGTGATTATCTTCGTGGTTTCCAACCTTATTGTAGAGACATCACCTCAGCTAGGAGCCATAAAATGTGCTATGATGCAAAGAATCGTGGAGAACGTGCCAGAGATCTATCATGTGGTCAGTGGTTCATTCATTCGGTCCGCAAACATTTGTGGTGCCTCTTCTAAGGGCTTCCACATCTCTCATGCTGCTTTCCCCAGTGCTTTTTGACCACCTCTTTGTGTCCATCTTCACTGTTAGACTGACTGTAAGTTTCTTGGTTTTATTCGTATTTGTATGGCCAGTAACTAGGGCAGTGCCTGGTGCAGGATAATCACTCAGAAATTGTTTAATAAGTGAATGGTCAAGAATGAAGGTGGAAACATAATTTTCTTGAAGAATTGACACTTACTTAAAGCTAAAACTAAATTACCTCCACACAGAAATTAAGCATGAGCCTTTTCCAGTGTTCATTGGTTGTAGCAGTTGGCTCTTCCTGGAGCCATCACTGAGTAAACTGGTAGATACCCATTCATGAGAGAGGTGTCAAAGAAGGGTTCCATTCACATTCATTTAGGCTGATGCTGCTAAAGGAGCATTGTTTAGCGTTGGCAGAACACATGCTTTGATCATCCAGCTTCTCGCCGTCTGGGGGACAGCTTTTAACAGAACCCACATGATAAAACATATTTGACATTATTTGGGCTTGTTGCTTACAATGGGAAGGCACTGACTTCCTGTATAACTGATCTTCAAAATGGCATTCTAAGAAATAGTTACAATGATATAAAACCTAAATTGCCTTCGGGAATTGGTATGTGGCTGCATTGTCATTCATTCTTGGATAAGTAAAGATGTAGAAAAATTACACAAGAATATTTTCAGTAGAATTGAGCTCTGTAACAGTACTGGGAAACATTCATTTTTAAGATGCTGGATTCCACAAATTCACTGTAATAGAATTAGCTTGTCATTTAACACAGGAATGTAGGAAACACACCAGGAAGTTCTACAGGCGGATCCTTTAACTCTTATTTAGAGTCTGATGGTGTGCTGGGATCCATTGCGAGGTGGGCTGGTCAGCTACAGGACCTTCCTTCCAGGGATGATTGTGTTTTTGTGAACCCCCATGGCCGTAATCCAGTACGATTACCAGCCACAAATCATCAGACTTCTTCTTTGCTATATGAATATTTTTATTACAAAAGTCAGATAACCAAGTAAAAATGCTTTAAAAGATTAACAGTTGGGAAAATGGGTCAGAATCACCCACAATCTCAAAAATTTAGTGTAACCACTATTGGAACAATGGCTTAGTTCCTTTTGGATGTTTTGCTTGTGCATCACCTTTGTGGTTTTATTGTTATAAATTAGATGCCCTCCTTTATTTTCCCCTCTTAAAAATATCAGAAGCAGTTTTCTGTAAGGCTCCTAATCATCATTTCCAAACTCTCTGAAGTCCATTACTATGTTCAGCCTGTCCAGCCTTCTAGGTTAATCATTTCCATAGACGTATTAGTTACTATATAAAGAAATACTTTCTTTTTTTTTTAACAAAGCACCCTTGATTTGTCCAAAATTTACATATTTCAATCTTACTGCTGTACTTCATGCTATTTTATATAAGTGTTGATAATAACAGCAAACATTTATTGAGCACTGCATAGCATATCTGATTTAATCCTTACAGCAGTCCTTTGCAGGGTTTATACTATTATTATCTCCATTCAATAGATAATAGAAAACTGGGGGTCTCATAGCCAGAAAGTGACAAGGTTTGGTTTTGAATCCTGCTTTCCGACCATGACGTCTGATGCCTCTGATGATGAGTCCCTGAGGTTTTGCTTTTAGATTTCAGATCAAGTGTTTGTGTCTATACTCATAGGGGAATCTTTTTGTGTCTATGGCTAATTTAGTTTCTGGGCCACATTCATGTGATTTTTCTCTAGTCATAGCATTCAAAATGCAAGTAGCATTCTCAGTGGGACCTCATCGTATAATGAGTGGAATGCTTTTTTTTTTTTTTTTTTAAGTTTTACTATTCTTCCTAATGGTGGTCATGTAAATTATAGCTGGACATATGGCCACAGTCTCTGGAAGGATGTCTGAACTGACTCCCAGCTCCTTTTTCTGGATTTCAGCTATGCCTGTGTGCCTGACAGCTTGGATTACTTGAGTTATCAGACTAAAGTAGTCTGAAAATACAGTACTGAATTAAAAAGCAAATCTCATTTACTTTTATCTGTTTATTTTGCAGGTCACGGAACAAAAAACCAAAGGTAAGATCTTTTTTTTCTTTTTAAATTATTTAGAACCTTTTGTGTTTAGCTTTTACACTGTTGCTGACTCAGCCTCCAATCCACTGAAAAGAGAGTGGGCGTAGAGTAATTAAGGTGGGTTGTTTGCAGTCACTGAGGAGCAGTAATGACAAATTGAAAATACTTGTATTGGTGTTTCTAGTTGGCCTTAAATTTTTTAGGAGTCAAAAGAGTAAATACCTTGTTTTAAAAAGTATATGGGTCATGGCTGGGCACGGTGGCTTACGCCTGTAATCCCAGCACTTTGGGAGGCTGGATCACCTGAGGTCGGGAGTTTGAGACCAACCTGGCCAATATGACTGAGACCCCATCTCTACTAAAAATAAAAAATTAGCCAGACATGGAGGCTCATGCCTGTAATCCCAGCTCCTTGGGAGGCTGAGGCATGAGAATCGCTTGAACCTGGGAGGCAGAGGTTGCAGTGAGCCGAGATCATGCCACTACACTCCAGCCTGGGCAACAAAGTGAGACTCCGTCTCAAAAAAAAAAAAAAGTATATGGGTCATGATTGTGAACTGAACCTTTTCAAAACTTTTTTTAAAGAATAATAGCAAAAAACAAACAACAGCTTTTAATTTACAGATGGGAATTACAGCAGTTTGTCCACCACCTTGACCCATGGCATGCATTGAGTCTGATAATGGAATATTGCACCTAGGATGTTTACTCTGCCTTCTAAGCTAAAACTTAGAATATGCTTTTTTAAAAGATAATACATTTTGAGTAGCTTAACTCTGCTAAAAAATAGTGACATGTTGTAAACAGAAGCAGGTGCCCCTTGGGTCATTCTCAATCTAATAGTCCATGTTGTTTTGGCTTCTTGCTCGCCTGTTAATTTTGATCATGTAGTTTTGTCTGGTGATTGTCACATTTTTGTTCATTTCCCCTTCAGAATGAGAGAATTAATTCTTTGAGATAGCTCCTCTCCTTGCCCACTTAAATATGTGTTTCTCAATTAGGTATGCATAAGAATCATTTGCATAAAATCGTCAAAATATGCAGTCCCAGGCCATGGCCCTAGCAGATGTATTTTGAAAAGCTCTGCAGGTGACCCCAGTACATGTCCCTAGTTGAGAATCACTGCCTTAGATGAAGGGAATTAGATGTGACTGTGATGACTTGGAGGAGGACAGGGGTGACAGGGAGGTCAAGGCTTGATGGGAAGCCCTGTAATGATTGGTTTCTTCATTGTTTTGTTTTGTTTTGTTGGACTACCAGACCAAAGCCTGTCACACAATGATGAAAGAGTAATAAGACAGTGCTAATTTCTTAGGAAACTTAGTTATGGAAAATAAATTCTCGTATGACTAGGCGTTACTATAATAAATTTCTAACCAAAAGACATTTCAAAGGAGAATGTAGTCCGGGAGTTTGTAGTGATGTGTAAAAGAAACCATAATTATTAGTTATAATTAATTGGTTACAGAGAATAGTATCTGCCCTTGTACATTTCCTCAGTTTCAGCCCAGAAGTAGGCTTTATTTTGGAAGGATCTTTGTAAATTACTTGCTTGAAATATAAATGATACTTTACCATAGAAATAGTGTTATGCATACTGGTACAGTGCCCATACTTTCTAAACCAACATACTTTCTAGAAAAGGATTTGGGCACTTAAGTATTTATATTTGTAGGGCTTTTTGATGATTTATGGGGACAGCAGATGAGAAAACTGGCATTTTTTCCTGGATAGTCTAGACTCTGGTTGCTGCAACATGGTGGTTGGGTTCCTAGGCCTGGCCACAAGACTGATGCTTGCAAAGCCAAGTGTTAGTTGTGCTGTAGAACTGAGCTCCTCTGTATGGTAAGTGGTGTTGGGAAACAGAAAATCTGTTAGGCATCTTTTCTTTTTTTTCTTTTTTTCTTTTTTTTTTTTTGAGGCAGAGTCTCGCTCTGTCACCCAGGCGATCTCGGCTCACTGCAAGCTCCGCCTCCCGGGTTCACGCCATTCTCCTGCATCAGCCTCCTGAGTAGCTGGGACTACAGGCACCCGCCACCATGCCCGGCTAATTTTTTTTTTTTTTTGTATTTTTAGTAGAGACGGGGTTTCACCATGTTAGCCAGGATGGTCTTGGTGTCCTGACCTCGTGATCCGCCTGCCTCGGCCTCCCAAAGTGCTGGGATTACAGGTGTGAGCCGCTGCACCCAGCCTAGGCATCTTTTCTTATAGAAAAAATTTGGGAGGGGTACCAGACCTATTCTCAAACACACTCTTCTTTCCTCTACCAGTCTTAAAAATCAAACTTTCCTTTCTACTCACCACCAAATTTTTTTTTTTCCAATTGGGGGCTTTCTCATACCTACTATATAATGAAATACAGTTTCACAGTCTCCCTACTCTCCCTACCTCCCACCACTCCAATCAAAAGATAACATAAAATAATCCTAAAGGGAGGTGAGAGGCCATTTCAGTCTCCTAAGGGATTTAATTGTTAGACAGCAAGTAAAAATACCAGTTGTCCCTGGGGTATGTTAAGACTGTAAACAGAGGGAGGGCCTGACCTTTCTATTGTTGGGTCTAGGTTTACAGCCACATCTTCATCTTTATTCCCAGTAAGCCCACCTTGGTACTGTAAATCTCCTTCTTCTTCTCTTACCTCAGCTGACATGTCTGGGGAACGTGTTCCTTTCCCCAAAGATGGTGTCTTCCTCAGGCAATCTGCCCTTCACTCTGAATCTACCCATCTTTCCCCAACAGTTGCTAGAAGCACAAAGAAAAGACTGTTGGTGCCAAGTCTCTGGTTGTGTAGAGGACTGAAGTGAGATTTTTCTGTATTTCAGAGTAGTAGTGTATTCATTATATATTCTTCCTGTATTCTCCACCATTAAAAAAAACTGTGAGAATTCTGTGAGGAATAGGGTAGAGATTTCAAGTGGAGGTTATGTGAAGACATAGGCTAGAGCTGGCTTGCTACCAGGTATCAAATAATAGAAAGCACTTAAGGTAGAAGCTAATATCCTCCTTCGTTGGATTTTAGAGTAGAACTAAAAGAGTTTGATGGATTGATGTAATCGTTCAGATTTAACAGGGATGAAGTTTAGGATTAAGTTTAGGATTAAAAAGCCCAATTGCGTAGACTATGTAATGGAGGAAGTTGGACATAGATATTGAGCCTTGTTAAAAAGATGTTAGGGGCCAGGCACCGTGGCACAGGCGTGTAATCCCAGCTACTTGGGAGGCTGAGACAGGAGGGTTGCTTGAGCCCAGGAGTTCAAGGCTGCAGTGAGCCATAATTATGCCACTGTACTCCAGCCTGGGCAATGGAGCAAGACCTTGTCTCAAAAACAAAACAAAAAAAGATGTTAGAGTGATGGCTGGCTTTAATGAGAGTTTATCAGCATAAGATGATCTTAAACTGCATTAATAGGCCGAGCGCGGTGGCTCACGCCTGTAATGCCAACACTTTGGGAGGCCGAGGTGGGCAGATCACAAGGTCAGGAGATCGAGACCTTCCTGGCTAACACAGTGAAACTCTGTCTCTACTAAAAATACAAAAAATTAGCCAGGCGTGGTGGCATGTGCCTGTAGTCCCAACTACTCAGGAGGCTGAGGCAGGAGAATCGCTTGAACCTGGGAGGCAGAGGTTGCAGTGAGCCAAGATCATGCCATTGCACTCCAGCTGGGACAACAGAGCGAGACTCTGTCTCAAAAAAAACAAAAACAAACAAACCTGCATTAATAGACATACAGTATCCAGGAAGGGATTTACACTTCCTGCACCACACTATGAAAAGGAACAGAGAGCAACCTCCATGGACCTTGTGGAGTTCGGGCCAGATTGGGCAAGGAATTTGTCAACTCAGGAAGGTTTAAACACCTGGGTTCGTTGAGCTCCCAGGGAAGGGCTTCCTGCTTGGGGAACCTCAGGTAACTGTCTTCAAAAATTTGAAGGGCTCTAGTGTCTGACACTTAACAGTTCCTTGGTAATTATCTGTCAGATATTTTGTTCAGTGAAACTTACTCTTCAGATAGCACCAATGGTGAGTCAAAGCCAACAGGGAAAAGCTTCTAGCTCAGTAGAAGTTAAATTTTTTAGGTGTTGTCCTTTGCCACTGGGACACAGCTGAGAGCAGCACCTTCTCCATCAGCATAGCTGGGGTTATGGGCCATCGCAGGACGTTGGCTACCACTCTTTGTTTTGAGCCTATTTCAGAAGGCATAGTACAGTGAGTACAGGGTAACCTTGAGTCTACTCTCATTTATTAATATTGGAGGGGTCCCCTCCATTAAATAATTTATAAACTACTTACAGCACCCCTCACACCTTGTAGAAACACTGTGTGTTCTAACACAGTGGTGGGGAGCCACTTGTTCAGAGGTGGAACTGGCTGCCCCTAAGAGAGTGAATGAACGTGAGGTATTACAAGACATGTGGCTCCAATAAATTGGCATGAAAATAGTCCAAATAGGAGGTAATGAGGACTTGAACCCGATTAGGAGGCCAGGTGTTTAAACCTTCCTGAGTTGACAAATTCCTTGCCCAATCTGGCCCGAACTACACAAGGTCCATGGAGGTTGCTCTCTGTTCCTTTTCACAGTGTGGTGCAGGAAGTGTAAATCCCTTCCTGGATACTGTATGTCTATTAATGCAGGTGTTTGTTTGCTTGTTTGTTTGTTTGTTTGTTTGTTTTGAGACAGAGTCTTGCTCTGTTGCCCCAGCTGGAGTGCAATGGCATGATCTTGGCTCACTGCAACCTCCGCCTCCCAGGTTCAAGCGATTCTCCTGCCTCAGCCTCCTGAGTAGTTGGGACTACAGGCACATGCCACCACGCCTGGCTAATTTTTTGTATTTTTAGTAGAGACGGGGTTTCACTGTGTTAGCCAGGAATTGAGAGAGGCTTTAGTTTAACTTAATATTGATTGGATAATGATATGTGGGTGGGGGAACATTGAGAAGTCTAAGATACCAAGCAGGTTTCTGACTTGAGCAGCTGGTTCGGTGATAAGTTCATTCTTTGAGGGTGAAGAAATGAGATTGGGGCTAGGAAACAAGTTTGAGAGGAAGGGAAAGATGATAAGTGGTAGTTAAAGCCAGAGCATGGAAGAGTTTGTACTCAAGGAACTGAAATGTGGAAAGGGTGCAGACCCTATTGTCACATTGATTTTGTTTTGTTTTGTTTTGTTTTTAAGCCACTACTTATGGCCAAATTCATTTGCCATTCTCCAGTCAAAAGCCAGGATTGCCATTATGGCCGTGGACAAAGTTGGCCTCACTGCCAACTTTTTTGTACTGCCCATGAGCTAAGAATATTTTCTACGTTTTTTAATTTATTGGAGAAAAAATGGGGACAATATTTCAAGACGTGAAAATGACAGGAAATTCATATTTCACTGTCCGTAAATAAAGTTTTATGGGAGCACAGCCACACTCATATGTTTACACATTGTCTATGGTGCTTTGGCCCCACAAGTGCAGAGTTGAGTTGTTGTGATGAAGACCATATGGCCAGTAAACCCTAAAATATTTACTATCTGGCCCTTTACAGAAAGTTTGCTGATCCCCCCTGATCAAGAGTAGGAGAAGCCCACACAGGAAGAGGAAAGGAAGAGCTGAAGCACTAGCTGGAGCACGTCTCACAGAAATGGGAGGGAGGGAATGACGAGTGGTGTCAGAAGCTGCAGAAAAACCAAAGAAGGAAAGGTCCAAGATGGGCTGGTTAGACTGGCAACAAAGATCACTAGTGACTTATGAGGAAAGAAACTTCCAGGGAGATGTTCAAGGCAAAAGCCAGTGTGTGTTGGGTTGAGGAGGGAGTGGAAGGTAAAGAAATAGAGGCAGTGCTGAGAGGTTACTGAAAATTGTTCAGTACACATTGACCGCTCACTGCATGTCATCAGATTTAAAATGTTCAGCCTAGAATATCTTTTCTAGGCCTTGTTTGTATTTTAACTACTACTTTAAAAACATTTCTAGGTCATTCTTTTTTATGTTTGATACCATTGAGATAGTTAAAGGAAATAATAGTTTGTACTAGTTCTGTGCAGCTGCTGTGTTCAGAACCCTGCCTGGTTTGGAAGTTTCTTAAAGAGCACTTTTATCTGAAAAAGTAGCATCTAATTGGAGTTTTCAGAAATAGGGGCAATTGGAAGTTTAAACTGTGAGATACAAGAATGGAATAAGAAAAATGGGATGAGGAAGGGGAGGAGATTCAATTATTAGAGCACGTAAATGGTTCTTAAAAGAAAATGAATGGAGGACGGGCACGGTAGCTCATGCCTTTTATCCCAGCACTTTGGGAGGCTGAGGCAGGTGGATCACCTGAGGTCAGTAGTTCGAGGCCAGCCTGGCCAACATGGTGAAACCCCGTCTCTACTAAAAATACAAAATTAGCCGGGTATGGTGGTGCACACCTGTAATCCCAGCTACTTGAGAGACTGAGGCAGGAGAATCGCTTGATCCTGGGAGGCGGAGGTTGCAGAGAGCCGAGATCACGCCACTGTACTCCAGCCTGGGCAACAAGAGCGAAACTCCGCCTCAAAAAAAAAAGTAAATGAATGGACGGCCAGGTGCGGTGGCTCACGCCTATAATCCCAGCACTTTGGGAGGCTGAGGCGGGCAGATCACCTGAAGTCAGGAGTTCGAGACTAGCCTGGCCAAGATGATGAAACTCCGTCTCTGTTAAACATACAAAAATTAGTGAGGCGTGGTGGTGCACGCCAGCTACTCGGGAGGCTGAGGCAGGAGAATCACTTGAACCTGGAAGGTGGAGGTTGCAGGAAGCTGAGATCCTGCTACTCCACTCTAGCCTGGGCAACAGAGCAAGACTCAGTCTCAAAAAACAAACAAAAAAAGAAGTAAATGAATGGAAATCAGAAAATAGGATACACAGCCTTTTTTTTTTTTTTTTTTTTTTTTTTTTTTACCCCACAATGTTTTTATTTCCCTATAGTACTGAGATCATGTTTAAGCCACAAACCTTTCCTCTGGAAGATAAGAAACTATGCACTTACTTTGAACAGCTCATCTTTAGAAAAACTTGCACAACTTACAAATCCTTAAGATTCAGAAAAGAGACAGCCTGAAAAGTAACATATTCAGACTTTTAATGATAGCTTCTCTTGCCCTTTATCGTCTAACATTCTGGACCATGATGATGGGTGATGCACACTGATTCTGATGTCTTAAGTTTGGACTTTGGGAGTCAATTTGGATCAGACATCCTGCCTGAAAAGCTGTGTTGCTCTCCAATTAGTGCCGGCAATTCTGGTTGGCCTTTAAAAGCTTAACATTCTTGGATTCACAGAAAGGTGTGATTTAAAAAATAGAGTAAGAATTCATTCAGGTGCTGAAACACAGTTTGCTATGACTAAGGTGGTGTCTTGGGCGTTTTCTGACTGTTTCCTGGAGGTTTTGTTTTTTTCTTTTTATACTTTGACCTATTTGTACATGATGTCCTGGAGTTTGAATGACTAATCTCCTGGGCCAGAGCACACTGTATTGGGAGGAAAGTGGTTGAGGTGTGTTCCCATTTTATAATGACTTTATCATTTACAATCCATTCTGTCTCTGATGTGGTGGGAAAGTGCCCTGAGGAACTTTTGCAAGGAATCTTACATGATACGTGATACCTACCAAATTTCTTCAGTTGAAACAGTGCTGTGAATGTTTTAAAGTGAGTCAAACTGGTGTTCAGCCCTCAGTCCTGCAGGTCACTCTGTCATGTCTTGTTGTTTTTCTGGATTGAGTTAAAAGTATGTAGTAGACCTGGGTAACTTATAATGAAGATTCTTGACCTTTATAGCAGGGCAGCCTTACAGAAACATAGCTCTTTCTGTCCTAAAAACCAGTTGGGATGAATTTCTCCAGTCTCTGCCAACTTCTTGTTTATTCTCATAATAAGATAAAAGGGGATTGCGAATGCCCTGTGCTATAGAATCCTCCAGTAACAGATAGAAAATTAATATTAAATAATCTTCATTCATTCATTTACCAGTTATGTATCCATCTGTTGTTATAGGTCATGAATATTAGATAATGACTAATTTTCTTTTCTTTTTTTTTTGAGACAGAGTCTTGCTCTGTGGCCCAGGCTGGAGGGCAGTGGCACGATCTCGGCTCACTGCAACCCCCGCTTCCCAGGTTCAAGCAATTCTCGTCCTCAGCCTCCTGAGTAGCTGGGAATACAGGCGCATGCCACCACGCCCAGCTAATTTTTGTATTTTTAGTAGAGACTAGGTTTCACAATGTCGGCCAGGATGGTCTCGATCTCCTGACCCTGTGATCTACCCACCTCGGCCTCCCAAAGTGCTGGGATTACAGGCGTGAGCCATCGCGCCTGGCCGACTAATTTTATTTTCTTAAGTCACACATTTATTCTGCTCATCAGATTTTGGATCCTCTGACCTCCACTCCCCCTCCCCTTACTGGGAGGCCTGGTGCTGCCTTGTGATTAGCTGAGGTTAGACATGGGGTTACCTGGAAATTGCTGCAGGCACCTGCTCTTTTCTCCTGTCACCCACAGTATGTTAATGTCCAGTAGTGGCATAGATTGGGCCGCCTGATTTCTGATGATGTATCTCTCTCATAAAGGAGCCAGTTCAGCAAGCAACATGCTGGCCCCGCATCATTTTAGCAGTCAAAGCAGTACTACCCCCAGAGTTGGCCCTGACGTTACCCTGGGAGGCAGGGATTTGGGCCTCAGAATCATCCGAACTGTCAGGCTTGATGATTATTTCTGTACGACTTCCAGCCTCTATTTGCCAGGTAGATTTTTATGGAGAGGGTAGTGATCTTCTGGCAGCATGCAGCGAGGGAGGTACAGATCTAAGAGAGCCTTCTCTGTATGTTCGACGGGAAGAGCCAGAGGGTCCGGCAGAGTGCGGTTTCACGGTTGCCCCGACATTCCCACGCTGTGTGCGGGCCATTTTTAAAATTAAGTTTAAAAAAATCAAATGATTTAAAGTAAACAGAAAAAGTATTTACATTTTGAAATTTCTATTTTAAAGAATTGGGAAGAAACACTTTTTTTTTTTTTTAAAGAAAAGCAAAAAGATTTGTAACATTTCTAGTATTTACACAGAGAGCGGTGCAAGTCTTTGAGTCCAGGTAGCTGTAGAAACCAGAACCAAGCTGAGTTTGTGATTTTCTAGGCCTGGAGTTTCTTGTAAGAGTCCACTCTGTGCCATGCCCTAAGGAAGAAAGAAAAGATGAAAGATGGGTCCTTGCCCTCAGGAAGTCATGGCCTGGTGAGGGAGAAGGACTTGTAAATGGAGAATTTCTGTGATAGAGAGAGATGGGACTTGTAGATGGAGAATTTCGGTGGTAGAGATAGATGGATTTTTGAATGGAGAATTTTCATGGTAGAGAGAGATGGATGATGTGTTCCAGGAGCACTTAGGAAGAATGTTTAGCCCATCTAGGCCAGGGGCTTCAATAAAGTTTACTCAGGGGTAGATCTTTTAAGAATGTGGATGAAGGGAAGGGACCCTTGGACTGAGGCTTGAAACCTTTCCCAAGGACTTTGCCATGGACATTTAACTCTTCTAGGCAGCACTTCAGGGAATTAATTCCACTGTTGATTTAGGGGAGTGAATGTTGATTGCTTCCCTCTCCGCCTTAATTAATGGAATGTATTCCATGACCTTGCTGTGTTTAAATTCTTGTCACTGTCAGCCGCCACCTTCATCCTACCTTCAGCAAACTGGAGAGATTGTGGAGAATTTGGAAAAACTGTTTCCCTTGAGAGTAGAGTAAAAGGAGAAGTTACTTTGTTAGAATTGGTACCATGTAAGCTTTCTTACAAATAATCTTAGCCAGGGTCTGGGTGTGGTGGCTCACACCTGTAATCCCAGCACTTTGGGAGGCCGAGGTGGGTAAATAGCTTGAGTTCAGGAGTTCGAGACCAGTCTAGGTAGGCAACATGGCAAAACCCTGTCTCTAGAGGAGGAAAAAAAAATTAGTTGGGCATAGTGGTGTATGCATTGTAGTCCCAGCTACTCAAGAGGCTGAGGTGGGAGGATCACTTGAGCCCTGGAGGTAGAAGTTGCAGCAAGCCAAGATCACTGCACTCCAGCCCGAGTTATACAGCAAGACCTCATCTCAAAAAAATAAAAAATAGGCTGGGTGCAGTGGCTCATGCCTGTAATCTCAACACTTTGGGAGGCCAAGGCAGGCGGATCATGAGGTCAGGAGTTCAAGACCAGCCTGGTCAACATAGTGAAAACCTGTCTGTACTAAAAATACAAAAAATTAGCTGGTTTTGGTGGTGGGCGCCTGTAATCCGAGCTACTTGGGAGGCTGAGGCAGGAGAATTGCTTGAACCTGGGAGGCGGAGGTTGCAGTGAGCGGAGATTGCACCACTGCACTCCAGCCTGGGCGACACTCACACTGGGTGACAGTGTGAGACTCCGTCTCAAAAATAAATAAATAAATAAATAAATAATAATCTTGGCCAGGCACAGTGGCTCACTCTTGTAATTCTAGCACTTTGGAAAGCCAAGGTGGGAGAGTCCCTTGAGCCCGAGTTCAAGACCAGCATGGGCAACATGGCAAGACCCCATCTCTAAATAAAATAATAAAATTATTTTTAAAATTTTTAGAAAAAATGTATTTGATGTATTTCAAAGACTGTTTCCCAACCCCTCTCTTTTAGTGCCCGAAGTGACGAAACCAAGTTTAAGCCAACCAACGGCCGCCAGCCCAATTGGCAGCTCTCCATCGCCACCAGTCAATGGTGGCAACAATGCCAAAAGGGTGGCAGTGCCGAACGGACAACCGCCAAGCGCCGCCCGCTACATGCCTCGGGAGGTGCCGCCGCGATTCCGTTGCCAGCAGGACCACAAAGTGTTACTAAAACGTGGGCAGCCCCCTCCACCGTCCTGCATGCTCCTTGGGGGTGGGGCAGGGCCTCCTCCCTGCACAGCACCTGGAGCAAACCCAAACAACGCACAAGTGACAGGAGCGCTGCTGCAGAGTGAGAGTGGGACTGCGCCAGGTAAGGCACCCTGTGAATCGAATGCATGGCAGCTTGACAGAGAGAGAGCACTTTGTTTGCATTGCTTGATGTAAAGTCCAGGAAAGCCATTCATTATATAAACCACTGGGATTAGTCAAAAGATGAGAGAGGATCCTAGTATGCGATGTGTATTGGTGATTCTTGGAACTGAGGTTTAGTGTTCCGTAAGTGTGTGCTCTTGGCATAAGGGCTAACTTAACTGCTGTTGCTTATTATTTTGGGGGCCTTTTTTCCTTCTCAGACTAGAGTGTTACAAATTTGAGCCTCCATAGTTCCACCGTCATATGTGTTCAGGGCATAATTGGACATGGGGCTTGTGCGAAGGCGAATCTTTAGATGCCTGTGTTATGTTTCCAGAATGCTAGGAGGATAGAGAAAATGATTTGCTACATTGCAATATAGAATCTTCGGAGGATTCTAAAATAATACTATAGTTTTTAAATTAGATTTTTAAACTCAGTATTTCTTTTTGTGGGCCCTGGATTTTGAGCTTTGTTAAAAACTGTATGTAGAAATAAGGGATATTTAGCTGAAAGGTTCTACTAGAAGTTTTGAGAGTTTTTGGCCGGGCACGGTGGCTCACGCCTGTAATCCCAGCACTTTGGGAGGCCGAGGCGGGTGGATCACCAGGTCAGGAGATCGAGACCACCCTGGCTAACATGGTGAAACCCTGTCTCTACTAAAAATATAAAAAAATTAGCCAGGCATGGTGGCGGGCTCCTGTAGTCCCAGCTACTCGGGAGGCTGAGGCAGGAGAATGGCGTCAACCCAGGAGGCGGAGCTTGCAGTGAGCCGAGGTCGCGCCATTGCACTCCAGCCTGGGTGACAGAGCCAGACTCCGTCTTAAAAAAAAAAAAAAAAAAGTTGTGAGAGTTTTTAATAGATGAATACTAAGTCAACTAACAGCTAAGAAATTCTAAATATCTTTTAAAGTTTATTAACAGATTTCAACTTAAAATGTCTTTTGGGGTGATATTAAAATTCAGAGCTTGAATACCATTAGGCATTGGCAAAGATAATGAATTGATGGTTGTCACCAGTAGGATGCTTTATTTGAGTTCTGAGTTTAAACAAATAATTGCCTAGAAAATTTGGTCACCATCTTGCTGTGTGCAGAGTAAGGATGGAAAGAAACCTCGTGGTGACACAGACTTCCTGCAGAGATAAGCCCTACCCATGGCCTTTCCTTCCTGGCTCTCCAAACCAGCTGCAAAAGGAAGCATGTGAAGGGGCAGGCCCTGTCAGGCGGAGTTTCTGCAGCCGAGTGTAGCCAGGCCTAGGTGGAGACTGGGGTCCAGTGTGAGTCAGAGTCCACATTATTAAAACGGAGGAGGCCCCTAAATCTCGAGTTTCGGTTTCTATGCTTTTTATTTTTCTATGCCTCCGTATAATACTTTTTGAAACTTCAAATTGATTAAAAGCTGCCTGGTTAAAGAAGCCAAAATAAATTTAGAAGAAATGATCTCATTAAAAACATGTTTTTCCCACCAAATATGGTAAATTCCACCAAAATATATGGTGAGCCAGACTCATTTAACAGATTAAGTTCCTTGGGGTTGTGAACTCTGCCTAATTCATACTCATGTGACACCCCTGCCACCCTGGGCACCTAGCTCAGTGGCTCAGTGGGTATTCATCATTCAGCAGATGCTTACTCCGCAGCATTGTGCTGGCTGCTGTGTGGAATTCTAACGTTAGCAAGTTAGGGTCTCTGCCTAAAAGACGCTAACATGGGGAAGGAAAGTTGTGAACATGGTGCCACAGCACTGAGCAAAATGGCTCTAGACAGGGAAAGATTATTTTCAGGTGATGAGCTTGAAAACAGCTTCGCAGATGAAATGACACTTGAATTGGGCCCAGAAGGATGAGTAAATTTCACTGTGTGAATTCAGCAGGAAAACACAGTAGGTGCCAACGTGAAATGGTGCCAGAGTGAGAAGGCACAAGTTGTGGAATGTCAAGTAGTATCGAATATTGACATCTACATAGGAGGTAGTAGAAGATAAGACTAGAAAAGTTGGTTGGTCCCAGGTCATGGAACATCTTGATGACATTCGAGGCCAAGGAGTTCAGCTTTATTCTTGTGCACTAAGGAACTGTTGAAGGTTCTCCATACAGCAGTGATATAATCAAAAGTGTGCTTTAGAAAGATTGCTCCAGCCAGGGGTGTTTAGAGTAGGTTGAAGATACAGAGCAAGTTTAGAGTGCCATTGCTATTGCCTTGTCCCAAGATACAAGAAGGCCCTTCTCTGTCAATAGGAATGGCAAAGGACGTAGCTTTGAGAGAGATGAAGTTAGACTTAACCGGTGTAACACAAGGCAAATGAAAAAAAAGAGATGACTAAGACAGTTGTGATACAAGCAACTGGGTTGAGAGAAACTGGCATGTGATCAGCTCTCCTAAGGGCAGAGCTCAAAGGAGAGCCCCTTTGAGGGATTAATGGGTAATGAATGCATTTGAAGCTGTGATTAATAAGATGATCTGTTCCCCAGACTCAACCCTTGGAGGTGCTGCTGCTTCAAATTATGCAAATTCCACTTGGGGCTCGGGAGCCTCCTCCAACAACGGCACCTCCCCCAACCCAATTCACATCTGGGACAAGGTGATTGTAGACGGGTCTGACATGGAAGAGTGGCCTTGTATTGCCAGCAAAGACACTGAATCTTCTTCCGAAAACACCACCGATAACAACAGTGCCTCGAACCCTGGCTCTGAGAAGAGCACTCTGCCAGGAAGCACCACTAGTAACAAAGGAAAAGGGAGCCAGTGCCAGTCTGCAAGTTCTGGGAACGAATGTAATCTTGGGGTCTGGAAATCTGACCCTAAGGCTAAATCTGTTCAATCTTCCAACTCTACTACAGAGAACAACAATGGACTAGGAAATTGGAGGAATGTGAGTGGTCAGGATAGAATTGGACCTGGCTCTGGCTTCAGCAACTTTAACCCAAATAGCAACCCATCTGCCTGGCCAGCACTGGTCCAAGAAGGAACTTCTAGGAAAGGGGCATTGGAAACAGATAATAGTAATTCCAGTGCACAGGTTAGCACAGTAGGTCAGACATCCAGGGAACAGCAGTCAAAGATGGAAAATGCGGGTGTTAATTTTGTTGTCTCTGGCAGAGAACAGGCTCAAATTCATAACACTGATGGACCAAAAAATGGAAACACTAACTCCTTGAACTTAAGTTCACCAAACCCCATGGAGAATAAGGGAATGCCCTTTGGAATGGGCTTGGGGAACACCTCCAGGAGCACTGATGCCCCTTCACAAAGCACTGGAGATCGAAAGACTGGGAGTGTTGGATCTTGGGGTGCAGCTAGGGGGCCTTCTGGAACTGACACAGTCTCTGGACAAAGCAATTCTGGAAACAATGGGAACAATGGAAAAGAGAGAGAGGACTCCTGGAAAGGAGCTTCTGTTCAGAAATCAACTGGGTCAAAAAATGACTCTTGGGACAACAATAACAGGTCTACGGGTGGGTCCTGGAACTTTGGCCCCCAGGACTCTAATGACAACAAATGGGGTGAAGGGAACAAAATGACATCTGGGGTCTCTCAGGGAGAATGGAAACAGCCGACTGGGTCTGATGAGTTGAAAATTGGAGAATGGAGTGGTCCAAACCAACCAAATTCTAGCACTGGAGCATGGGACAATCAAAAGGGCCACCCCCTCCCTGAAAACCAAGGCAATGCCCAGGCTCCCTGTTGGGGAAGATCTTCCAGCTCCACAGGAAGTGAAGTTGGAGGTCAAAGCACTGGAAGCAACCACAAAGCAGGAAGTAGTGACAGTCATAACTCTGGCCGTCGGTCGTACAGGCCCACACATCCTGATTGTCAGGCTGTCTTGCAGACTCTTTTGAGCCGAACTGATTTGGACCCCAGGGTGCTCTCAAACACTGGCTGGGGCCAAACTCAAATTAAGCAGGACACAGTGTGGGACATTGAAGAGGTGCCAAGGCCTGAGGGGAAATCTGACAAAGGAACTGAGGGGTGGGAGAGCGCTGCCACACAGACCAAGAACTCAGGGGGCTGGGGAGATGCACCCAGCCAAAGCAATCAAATGAAGTCTGGATGGGGGGAGCTCTCAGCCTCTACAGAGTGGAAAGACCCCAAGAACACAGGAGGCTGGAATGACTACAAGAACAACAACTCTTCCAACTGGGGAGGAGGACGACCTGATGAAAAGACACCTTCCTCTTGGAATGAGAATCCCAGCAAGGATCAGGGGTGGGGAGGTGGACGCCAGCCCAATCAAGGATGGTCTTCTGGAAAGAATGGTTGGGGGGAGGAAGTCGATCAGACAAAAAACAGCAATTGGGAAAGTTCTGCAAGTAAACCTGTGTCTGGGTGGGGTGAAGGAGGGCAGAATGAAATCGGGACTTGGGGTAATGGTGGCAATGCAAGCCTAGCTTCAAAAGGTGGGTGGGAGGATTGCAAAAGATCCCCAGCATGGAATGAGACGGGCCGACAGCCCAATTCCTGGAATAAACAACACCAACAGCAGCAGCCCCCACAGCAGCCGCCGCCACCACAACCAGAGGCTTCTGGTTCGTGGGGAGGCCCACCCCCACCACCTCCAGGCAACGTTCGACCTTCCAATTCCAGCTGGAGCAGCGGGCCACAGCCTGCAACACCTAAGGATGAGGAACCCAGTGGTTGGGAAGAGCCATCCCCACAGTCAATTAGTCGGAAAATGGACATTGATGATGGCACTTCAGCATGGGGAGACCCTAACAGTTATAACTACAAGAATGTGAATCTGTGGGATAAGAATTCCCAAGGGGGCCCAGCACCTCGAGAACCAAACCTGCCCACCCCAATGACCAGTAAATCGGCATCAGGTAAGCAGTGGCTTTCTCTTGCAGCTTTTGATGAAGAAAAGGAATCCTAGACCAAGGCATTTTTATTAGGTGAATTTATTCAACTTAGTTTTGTTCTGAGATGCTTTCCTACAGTTTCTACTCTGTTGCTAACAGAACCTCTTTTTATGAAATGCTAGTGATGGCAGATGCTGGTAGTACATTTTAATGTTCTTTCTTGGCAAAAGGAAAAGATGACAACCCTGTGTTAGTCCCCAAAATTATTTTTCTGTAATTGTATTGGTCTGCAGAATCCAAAAGACATATCTTGCCAAACAAACTATGTTCTAGATTTTAAAATAAAGAATTAAAGTAGTAGCAGAAATAGACCTGATTTCCATTCTGGTTCTACCCATGGACATGTCTCTGCTTCTGTTTCCCCAGCAAAGGGAAATAATTCTGTGTTTTTCCAAAGGCCATGATGATGCTGAAGCAAAGCTGGATCTGGAAGGTTTCAGTCTCTTTCTGGATGATTTTTAATGATTACCTCTGGAATGGGAGTACTTTGTATAAGAGATTGTTATCTCAGTCCTAGTGAGATGGCTCACACCTGTAATCCCAGCACTATGGGAGACTAGGGCAGGAGGATCCCTTGAGCCCAGGAGTTTGAGACCAGCCTGGGCAACCTAGAGAGACTTCAGTCTCTACAAAAATATTTTTTAAAAATCAGACGGGTGTGGTGCATGTGCATATAGTCCCACCTACTCTAGAGGCTGAGGTAAGAGGATCGCCTAAGCCCTGGAGATGGGAGGCTGTAGGGAGCTATGATCTCACCACTGCACTCCAGTTTGGGAGACAGAGCGAGACCCTGTTGCCAAAAAAAAAAGAGCGATTGTTAGGATAGTCAGTTGCCCAGAATTAAACTTTCTTCCGTCACTATTTGAATAGGAAACATCATACCTGGTAAAAGTAGCAATGGTAATGCCATTCTTAGTTTGTCATTGTCAACTTGAATGTCCCTATAGAGCATATAGTTCAACAAATTAAGGGGGATGCACCTTTCAGTCTTTTTTTAGTTAAAATTAATATTAAGAACCAGTTTTCTTTTTTTGAGACAGAGTCTCACTCTGTTGCCCAGGCTGGAGTGCAGTGGCACGATCTCGGCTCGCTATAACCTCCGTGCCAAGTTCAAGTGATTCTCTTGCCTCAGCCTCCTGAGTAGTTGGGATTACAGGCACCCACTGCCATGCCCAGCTAATGTTTGTATTTTTAGTAGAGACAGGATTTCACCATGTTGGCCAGGGTGGTCTCAGACTCCTGACCTCAGGTGATCCACCCGCCTCAGTCTACCAAAGTGCTGGGATTACAGGCATGAGCCACTGTGCCCAGCCAAGAATCAGTTTTCTCCGAGTACACCTCTAGTGTTCAGCTAATCCATTTGTGGCCTCTTAGAAAAATGATTACTTTTAACTCATTCTTTTTTCAAGTATTGAAAAGAATGAGGAAGGAAATGAAGATTTCTCACTGGCTCCCCATGCAGAATAAAACCTGCTAAAATTTTAAAAAGCTACATCCACATAGCAAAAACCTTCAAACTGTGTGGAAAAGCAAAAGATAGTCAATAAAATAATCTTTGGCCAGGCGCGGTGGCTCACGCCTGTAATCCCAGCACTTTGGGAGGCCGAGGCGGACAGATCATGAGGTCAGGAGATCGAGACCATCTTGGCTAACACGGTGAAACCCCGCCTCTACTAAAAAATCGAAAAAATTAGCCAGGCGTGGTGGCGGGCACCTGTAGTCCCAGCTACTCGGGAGGCTGAGGCAGGAGAATGGGGTGAACCCAGGAGATGGAGCTTGCAAGTGAGCTGAGATCACGCCACTGCACTCCAGCCTGGGCGACAGAGCAAGACTCCGTCTCAAAAAATAATAATAATAATAATAATAATAATAATCTTAACCCCTAGGGTCTCTTCCCAAAGGTAATCTCTTAGAAGTTTGTGTCCCATTCAAAAATTTTACAGAGAAGGGATTGTACTTCGTATACTGTTCTTCACCTTGCTTTTCTCATTATACTTATAGCTTCCAATTTTAGCACATAGTCTGCTGCTTAATTGCTTCATATACAGTATTTCTTTTTTTTTTTTTTTTTTTTTTTTTTTGAGAGGGAGTCTCACTGTCTCCCAGGCTGGAGTGCAGTGGCGCAATCTTGGCTCACTGCAACCTCCACCTCCCGGGTTCAAGTGAGCCTCCTTCTCAGCCTCCCGAATAGCTGGGATTACAGGCATGCGTCGTCACGCCCAGCTAATTTTTGTATTTTTTGCTGGAGATGGGGTTTTGCCATGTGGGTCTGGCTAGTCTTGAACTCCTGACCTCAGGAGATCCACCCGCCTTGGCTCCTAAAGTGCTGGGATAACAGGCGTGAGCCATTGTGCCTGGCCTTTACACAGTACTTCTTTTATGGGTGACCCACAATTGGTCTAACCAGTCCCCTTGTGGTGGATATTTAGGTTGTTTCCAAATTTTTTCTATCAGTGATGCGGTGAGTATTGTTATACATGTAATTTCACCTATTTTTACAAGTATATTTATGGTATAATTTTCTGGCAGCCTGGGCATGATGGCTCATGCCTGTAATCCCAGCACTTTGGGAGGCTGAGCCAGGCAGATCACAAGGTCAGGAGTTTGAAGCCAGCCTGGCCAATGTGGTGAAACCCTGTCTCTACTTAAAAAAAAAAATACAAAAGTTAGCTGGGTATGGTGGCACACGCCTGTAATCTCAGCTGCTCGGGAGGCTGAGGCAGGAGAATCGCTTGAACCTGGGAGGTGGAGGTTGCCATGAGCCAAGACCACGGCATTGCACTCCAGCCTTGGGGATGGAGCAAGACTCTGTCTCAAAAAAAAAAAAAAAAAAAAAATTCCTGGCAGTTGAGTTACTGGGTGAAAAGTTTAATGTGCATCGGATTTTTTAAAAAGTAGCATTGCCAAATACCCCTCACATGAAAGTTGAATCTATTTACATTTCTACCAACAGAATATAGGCATGCCTGTTCCTTCCACCTTCACCCCACTGGATATTATGGCATTTCATTTAACAAATGATTCTTAGAGACATTTCCTTTCTTTATAGTCTGGAGCAAAAGCACACCACCTGCTCCAGATAATGGTACTTCCGCTTGGGGTGAGCCAAATGAAAGCAGTCCTGGGTGGGGCGAGATGGATGATACAGGAGCATCGACCACAGGCTGGGGGAACACGCCCGCCAACGCTCCCAATGCCATGAAGCCTAGTAAGTGTGAAGCTTTTCATTTTTGAGGGATCCTTTTTTTTTTTTTTTTTTAATTGAGACGGAGTTTCACTCTTGTCCACCCAGGCTGGAGTGCAGTGGTGCAATTTCGGCTCACTGCAACCTCTGCTTTCCAGCTTCAAGCGATTCTCCTGCCTCAGCCTCCCGAGTAGCTGGGATTACAGGCGCCCGCCACCACGCCCGGCTAATTTTTGTATTTTTATTAGAGATGGGGTTTCTCCATGTTGGTCAGGCTGGTCTTGAACTCCTGTCCTTGTGATCCACCCGCCTTGGCCTCCCAAAGTCCTGGGACTACAGGCGTGAGCCACCGTGCCCGGCCGGGATTCTTTGTTAAATGTTTGTCAAATGTCAGATTTGAGAATCTGACATTTTGGTGAGGGCTGTTTAGTTTTAAGCTGTTGATTCAATGAGATTCAGGACCTTGAGTGTTAAATAATTAGTTAATAGCAAACGGTTGTGGCTTGGCTTGGCGTTTCTTAAAATGTTTAAGGTGAATTAAAAATCATAAGTTAATTTTGTTTTAAATTTAGTATCTGGACAGAATTATAATTTTGATGTGATGCTCTTTTAGCCCAGTGACTATGTGCTCACCATATCTAGCTTGCATTTCTACTTGTTAGTATAATTTAAAACAAGAGTTCCTGGCTTTTAATGTGGAACACGATCTGTGCTGCCCAGTGACTTCATCCTTCTGCACCTTCCTTTGCCGTTGTCTCTCTTCCACATAAGAGCATTTCAGATTTTTTAAACCTGGCATAAATTTCACTTCAATTTTTTAAATGAAGAACGTCACACTTATTCAGAATCATTGAAAATCTAAAATCTAAGCTGTACTTGATCCAGCTGGTGATGTGTGGTCACAGTAATGAGCAGAACTCTGTGGACTGAGGCTATGGAATGTCTCATTGACTGTTGCTAAATTCAGGTGCCTGTTTACACTTACTTTTGTAACTTTCTTTAAAATGTTCCAACATCTCTTTTCTACCATATAGAAGCAGATTTAAGGGATTATCTTTTGATTAAATAATGAACATTTCTGGAATGACCAAAATTCAAACAAGAAGATAAATTCTGTTAAGTTTATCACATTATATTCAGTACTCTTACAGTGCCACATAAGGGAATGTGATATTAGCTCTATTCTGGAAATTCACATGTGTGTATATGTAGTAATTTGACTACATTTTAAAAATCATGAATCTCCTCGACCTCATTAAAATAGTTAGCTTTATGAAAATTTTGTTTTTATCATTATTTCTATTGTGAAATCAGTCGTATCATCATGGGAAATGTAATCTAGTAGACTTGAAATAGACCCAAAATGCTGCAAGAAGATGTTAATCAGACCCTGGGCACAAAGAGATCCTTTAGCAGTATATTCAGGATTTTCATGTGTCTTTCCCAACCTCAGGATCACCTCTCTTCTATCACAAAACCACTTTTCCTCAGATTCTAAAAATGTCTTCTACTCTTCAGGATCATCTGTAGTTATAGCACACATCCTTTCTGTGGGTAAGTTAAATGTGTAATGTGCGGAAGAAAGGGCTAAACCATCATAGTCTACCAGTTGATGGAGACAGTTACCCTGTGATCTTCTGTAGCCTGTCTTAAATTTGATGTTATGAATCCTATGATTAAAAATTAGACCTCTCTTATCTTTTCTGTAAGAAACATTTGTTAGAAGTTTAGCTTTATCTCTCTAAAAGAAAGGTTCACTTGCATGTCTTCATTTTTCTAAAGGGGTCAGTGTGTTATTTATATTGGGTTTTTAGCTCGTGTTGCTTGTCAGTGGATGCTATAAAGCCTATGCTTGTATAATATAAATCATAAATATGGTATTATATAAATATATAATCCTATATACAGAGGCAGCAGTCCTGGTTATCAGCAGCACTTCCAGCAGCAGGAAGAGGAGCATCCCAACCCTCCCCCTTGTGCACAGACAGCCCCTTCCTGTGGCTACAATGAACCCCACTGGGAGACTGTCAGATTCACCTGGGCCTTGCTAGGGGATGAGATGCTACAGTTAGAAGAAATTAATTGCCCTGTGCCTTATGTACTTGGCCCAAACCTACTTGTCTATCATAGGCCTGATCCTACAGGGTGACAGCTGTCCTTCAAGGAAAGGCCTGGAAGAGCCAATTTTCTGCCCTTAAACTCTTCATATAAAGCTATGTACAAATCAGAAGACTTTCATAAATGTCCTGTCATGTGGGAGAGTAGAGGTGCAGATGGAAGTTTCCAGGCAAGAGAATGTGTTTCCTTTTCTTTCATCATTTTATACAGTATTTTTACTGCAAAGTATGTTTTGATTCTGTACAGTATTTTCGGAGGGAATTAAGGACTTATTCCAGTCTTCAAATTAAAGATCTTTGTTTAGAATGGGATACTGATGTCCCACTTCCTCAAACATTAAAGCCTCTTGGATTTCTCTCTGCTTTCCTTTCTCCTTTCCTCACATTTTTTCCTTCTGTCTTTTCAAAACCACTACGTATAAATTCTTTGCCTCTTTAGTATCTAATACATTTCAAGTGTGTAGTTCTAATACATTTTAGATTTCCATGGCTATATGTGAATTTTTCTTCTTTCACCATAATTCTAATATTCAAAAATGTTATAAAAAATTTTCCCCCTTTTCATGTTCTGTTCGTCTCTGCTTCACCCCAAGCAAGCTAGACAGTTGTCCTTTATCATACCTCGTATTTATAGTGTCCATTGTATATAAAGTACATACTGAATGGAGGATAAAACCAGGGCTACAGTAAACCATGTTCATTAAGAGGAACAGATTTATCTTAATTGAGATGTGAAATTTCTTGCCAGGAATGTTGTGATAAGTTCTTTTCAGTTTTGAAATTCCTGTCCAACTTTGTGCAAGGGAAAAAGCATTGATCCATAAATCAGGAGGCCTTGATTCTATGGTTTGTTAACTTTCTGTGTATCATTGAAGCTTTATGGATTTTAGTTTCCTGCTCTCTAAAAAATGAGTAATAATATTTGTCTTGCCATGGAGATGGAGTAGATAAAATTACAAAGACACGTAAATGCTGCATCTGCAAGGAATTATTATTCTGATGATTGTTTTATATAGCTGTTGCAAAGAGTTAATTCATTCTTTCCTTAAAGATTCCAAATCTATGCAAGACGGCTGGGGGGAGAGTGACGGGCCAGTCACAGGAGCTCGCCATCCCAGCTGGGAAGAGGAGGAGGATGGAGGAGTCTGGAACACCACTGGCTCTCAGGGCAGTGCTTCCTCCCACAACTCAGCAAGCTGGGGACAAGGAGGAAAGAAACAAATGAAGGTAGCCTGCTTAGAAATGTTCGCACTTGCTCATTCGCTCTGAGAAGGCAGAACTGAGGTTTTGTTTTGTTTGTTTTTGTTTTGAGACAAGTTCTCCCTCTGTCACCCAGACTGGAGTGCAGTGGGACAGTCACGACTCGCTGAGCAACCTCCTGGGCTCAAGCAGTCCTCCCACCTCAGCCTTCTTAGTAGCCGGAACTATCACCATGCCTGGCTAAATTTTGTATTTTTTAATAGAGACAGGGTTTCGCCCTGTTGCCAGGATGGTCTCAAACTCCTGGGCTCAATCCTCCTGCCTTGTCCTTCCAAAGTGCTGGGATTACAGGTGGGAGCTACCATGCCTAGCCAGAACTGAGGATTTTTAAATGAAAGGTGTGAGGCAACTGGGGTCCTCAAGGTCCTAAGTAAGGGGAAAAATATTTTCTTGGAAACAAATAACTACTTCCCTTTTACCCTTCGTCTTGCTTTCCCATGACCTTGAAACCTTGAACTATAAAACTGTTGCTGTGGGTAAAATGAAGTTTTCAAAGATACGAGATATTTTTCATTTTTAGTTTCCACATTATAATAATCTTTTGGAGGCTCTCAAGGCATACTTTATAAATGCTTTTGCATTCTAAAGCCAGAGAAGTCCTTCCAGTAAATCCCCATAGATATGTAGGAGGGAATCCAGAGGAAGATAATGCTGGCTTCTCCCGCGGCAATCAGCACGTCTTGATTTTATCTGATTTGGGAAATTCCAAGACCCAGAACCCTTCTCCCGACAAATGAAATACCAGTGAGTACTTGTGTGCTATAGCAGCTAAATGATTAATGATATCTCTTTTTTTTTTTTTTTTGAGACGGAGTCTTGCTCTGTCGCCCAGGCTGGACTGCAGTGGTGCAGTCTCAGCTCACTGCAAGCTCTGCCTCCCAGGTTCACACCATTCTCCTGCCTCAGCCTCCCGAGTAGCTGGGACTACAGGCAGCTGCCACCACGCCCGGCTAATTTTTTGTATTTTTAGTAGAGATGGGGTTTCACCATGTTAGCCAGGATGGTCTCGATCTCCTGACCTCGTGATCCCGTCCACCTCGGCCTCCCAAAGTGCTGGGATTACAGGCGTGAGCCTCTGCGCCCAGCCTAGCAGCTAGATGATTTCTCTACATCATGTACCAGGTTGTGTACTAAACTTTTCACCTTCTGTGTGAAAGTCCTCATCACAGTTTGATGAGGACTTTGGTTTTCAATCTAGAACAGTAGTCTTTGAGCCTGAACCAGTGTCTTCGCAGACCCTCTCTTTTTTCAATTCCAGATTTTCGTTTGACAAATAAAATAGTGGAAATACGAAATGGGCATCCAATACTTAACTTCAACATGAGAGTCTTGGCACCCTATGAAACGGTTCACAGCTAATATTCTCCCACGTTTCAAATACCAGATGCCATCTTAGAGGCCTTCCCATGTCTGAGGATTGGGCCTTCATCCCCTTTGCCCTTTGCCTATAGGACACTAATTTTGTAGATGACTCTTTCTTTTATAGCATAAGAATACAGTCTGTTTCTGTTTAGAGATGTTTTGCTTAAGCAGTCACTTACGGGTTTTCTTCTATTAAGAGCTTTTATTTCTTCAGTCACAGAAGGAATTATTCAGCAAACTTTTCAGCATTCCTTGCACTCTTAGGTTGTCTAGTGTGATTTTGGCTTTCTTTTGGTTATTTACAAATTAACAATGAGACTAAATTAACTGATTGAAAGGGACTAATAAATACCTCTCTAGGTTGACAACCAAGATTTAATTAAGTTAATTGGGAATTGACTCTTTCAGCCCCAGTACCAGTGATTCTGACTTTATATACCGAGGGCGTTTTTTTTAAAAATTGTGATAAAATACATATAACATATAATTTACCATAGCGTACATTTTTAAGTGTACAGTTCAGTGGCAATAAGTATATTCACATACTTATGTTGCCATTTACCACCATCTATCCGCAGAACTCTTTCTATCTTACAAAACTGAACTCTGTACCTATTAAACAGTAACTCCCCATTCCCCCCTCCCTCTAGTGAGGGCTTTTTTGACCTTAAAACCTGTACTAGCTGGCTGCGGTGGCTCATGCCTGTAATCCCAACACTTTGGGAGGCTGAGGCAGGTGAATCACCTGAGGTCAAGAGTTCAAGACCAGCCTGGCCAACATGGCAAAACCCCGTCTCTACTAAACCTACAAAAATTAGCTGGGTGTGGTGGCAGGCAGCTGCAATCCCAGCTACTTGGGAGGATGAGGCAGGAGAATTGCTTGAACCCAGGAGGTAGAGGTTGCAGTGAGCCGAGATCGCGCCATTGCACTCCAGCCTGGGTGACAAGAGCGAAACTCAGTCTCAAAAAAAAAAACCGCCCCCCACACACACACCAAAAAAACCTGTACTAAACTTAAGTACTTCGTCACTTTCAAGGATAATAAAATTGATTTGATGACTACCATCACGGGCTGGGCACGGTGGCTCACACCTGTAATCCCAGCACTTTGGGAGACCGAGGCAAGCGGATCACGAGGTGAGGAGATGGAGACCATCCTGGCTAGCATGGTTAAACCCCATCTCTACTAAAAATACAAAAAATTAACCGGGCATGGTGGCGGGTGCCTGTAGTCCCAGCTACTCGGGAGGCTGAGGCAGGAGAATGGCGTGAGCCCGGGAGGCAAAGCTTGCAGTGAGTTGGGATGGCACCACTGCACTCTAGCCTGGGTGACAGAGAAAAAAAAAAAAAAAGATAGCTATCATCACAACATAGAGAATTTTCACCTGTGAAATACACAACTGCACAAAGCCCCAGCCCACCCAGTCCTCTTCATAGTTCCCCCTGCTTCCCTCACAGAAGTGAAAGTGGAGCTCATGGTCAGTGCCTTGTTCAGGGGAGAAACTAGTTTGTCCCATTAAAAAATTAAAACCTACCTCTGCCCTACTTTGCCCAGGAGATCAGCAATGGTGTCTTCCACTAGGTCTCTTTACCACCAGGACCAATGTCTTTTATGCTGTGAAACAAACAGAGGAAGCACTATGAGTTCCTTATAATGCCCAGTTTAAATAGGCTCCTTTCCAAATGACACGCACTGACATCAAACTGTTTTCTCCTAACATAAACCAGTTTGGGTTACGAGGAGAGCAGCCTAATGAAAGTGAAAGTAGTCGTGTGCAAAACTTCTATTTTAGAAAATCATATCAGACTTCTTTCTATTTGAAAAGCAAAAGTACCAGCTGAGCATGTATTTTTCCAGTTACTTCTGGTTCAGTGTGGTGAATTTTATAAAAATGAAAACATAGATATAACTAGGGCTTATTAATCATTTAAACTAACATAAAATATCAACATAATTTTAGTTAAAGAGAAATAGGACTTAAAAAGGTAAACTCAAGTCTACATTTTCAGTCTGTATTAATAAAACTCAGGAGGCTGAAATAAATTATTTGGTTCTGAGGTTCCGTGTTTCATTTCTGTAGTGCTCACTCAAAGGAGGAAACAATGATTCATGGATGAATCCTCTTGCCAAACAGTTTTCAAATATGGGATTGCTGGTAAGTTTTATTTTTTTCAAATGTATAACGTATCCCAACTTTTAGGTTTAATATTAATACCAATTTTAAGACAACTGCCACATATAGTACAAAATTAAAGATTTAAAAACTAGTTAAGCAATGTTCTTGACCTTTTGAGTTAAGTAATATTTCTCTTCTATTCTTATTAATGACATACTCCAACATTTAAAGGTTATGGCTTTTAAATGTGTAGTCATTTTGTCCTTTTCCTTAGGAGGATAGAGAAGAAAGAGGCATTAAAAATTTATACAATTGTTTCCAACCGCATTACTGTACTAGTTTTCATATTATGATTTTTTAAAAAGGCAACGATAACGAAACTAGAAAAACTATACTGGGACTAATTACATAGGGAATTCTTGTAGAATTTCTGATTTCTTTATCTCTCGGCAACGTTGTGGGGACACCCTGTCCCTGGTTGCCAAAAGACAAATGACTTGACTTGGCTGCACAGTTGAAGGTTTGATGACTTGACAAGTCACGAGAAGAAGTTGTCATTATTTGGCGGTCACTCATGGAATTTGATCCTGGGCTGACTAGAACTTAAGGACGGGGGTTTATTTCTTCAGGCAGCTGTTTATCTATTGCTCTCTTTGTAGACTTATTGAGACTAATTGTATGTGAAAACTGAATTGTAGGAATATAGGCCCAAACAGCAATCAAGCTAGCATATTAAAAATGTTAATGTCTTCAGTACCATCAAGTTCATTTCAGAGAACCTTCTATGGTGCCAGTAGTAAGACGTGGCTCTCAGGTGAATAATGCCACTTCTTTGATTCAAAGATGTGCATCCTTAATTCTCTCTCATCTGTTCTTTATTTTCCAGAGTCAGACTGAAGATAATCCAAGCAGCAAAATGGATTTGTCTGTAGGTGTGTATCACTCCGCTGAAAAGAATGGAGTATATCAGTGTTACAGTGTCCTTTTGGCATCTCCTGCCCAATTTGATTAGGGATAGGTGCAGTTCAGTAGACATTGATTGAGCACTTACTCTTTGTAAGGTACTGTGCTAGACACTGGGCAGGGATAGAAAACTCACATGACTACAGGAGTCAGCAAAGAATGTAAATAAGTGATGTGTGCCGGGTATAAGAACCTGGGACGAGGCCGGGCATGGTGGCTCATGCCTGTAATCCCAGCACTTTGGGAGACCGAGGTGGGTGGATTACGAGGTCAAGAGATCGAGACCATCCTGGCCTACATGGTGAAACCCCATCTCTACTAAAAATACAAAAATTAGCTGGGCATGGTGTGGCGCACCTGTAGTCCCAGCAACTCTGGAGGCTGAGGCAGGAGAATGGCGTGAACCCAGGAGGCAGAGGTTGCACTGAGCCGAGATTGTGCCACTGCACTCCAGCCTGGCAACATAGCGAGACTCAGTCTCAAAAAAAAAAAAAAAAAACCTGGGACGAGGTGGCCACAGGTTAACTGTGGAGCGTCCACCTAGAAGAATCAGCCTTGCATTGCTCCTAGCAGTTGCTGCTCTGGAGGAATCCAGGCTGAGCTATGACAAGTCTTTCAGCAGAGGCCAGAAATTCAGATATATACTGGCATTATGATTTTTGTATTTATTTATTGATTTTTTGAGACGGAGTCTTGCTCTGTCACCCTGGCTGGAGTGCAGCAGCTTGATCTCTGCTCACTGCAACCTCTGCCTCCCAGGTTCAAGCGATTTTTCCCGCCTGAGTCTCCTGAGTAGCTGGGATCACAGGCGTGTGCCGCCACGCACAGCTAATTTTTGTATTTTTAGTAGGGACGGGATTTCGCCATTTTGGCCAGGCTGGTCTCGAACTCCTGACCTCCAGTGATCCACCTTCCTCGCCTTCCCAAAGTGCTGGGATTGCAGGTGTGAACCACTGTGCCCAGCCCTGATTTTTATATGTCAGAACTAATTCGGGTCTCTTAAAATGCTCTATGGGGCCAAACAAATTGTGTGCCAGATGTGGCCCTCAAGTTGCCAGTCCTGTCTGTACCAGGATGCTTCGTTATTGACAAACTCTCACATTGCAACTGGAGTGGAAACGGTGTTAGCCACTAGTCTGTGGGGTTTTCATAGTAATGCTCTTGATCACCCTGAGGAACTTGAAAAGAATCAAACTAAGAAGAAATGAAAATAATTCTGGGTAGTAAAGGAAGTAGGTAGTCTTTGATCTATGATATTTCTAAATATGAGAATAATTAAAACATAAGTTTCCTGGGGCAGCACTGGTTATATCAGCAGACGACAGCACATTTATAGAGTTGTGAAAGAAAAGTGGTATAGTTATGGCACCTGGGAAATTGCACCGTGTAGGTAATGTGGACACATCTTCTGTGTTCAGCTCTTAAGTTCTAAATTTTAGGGCAACCACTGTGCCTCTTTGATCTTTTTATTCCTTGTAACTATGTTTCACCCAGACCATTTATCTAGATGATGCTAAAATAGCAAAAACAGACAACTTCTCTCCCTGAGGACATTTGAATTTATGAGCAAGATGTGTTCATCAGACACATCAGTATCCAGTCTAAATGTTTTCTTAGCGAGATTTTTGCCAGGTTATCCCTAAGGCTCTTTCAGTCTTCCATGGAAAACAAACTACAACAGATACATGTTTTGTTTTGTTTTTTAAAATAAATAAATAAATAAAAAGGACCCATGTGTGTTCCAGGGACAAACACCAGCAGCCTGGACCAATGAGAGTTTGTCTCGTCTTATCCCCAGAAATAGAAATATTAATAGCTTATACCCAGCACCCCCATGAGGATAGTGGGGCAGGTCACTCTTGGTTCATGGGGGAAACATTGATTCTGGAAATTTTCACTCTGTGTATGCTACTTTTCAGGAAGCCTTTCAGATAAAAAATTTGATGTGGACAAGCGAGCGATGAATCTCGGGGATTTTAATGATATCATGAGGAAGGATCGATCTGGGTTCCGTCCACCTAATTCCAAAGACATGGGAACCACAGATAGTGGGCCTTATTTTGAGAAGGTGAGTTGAATCCTTTGTTTAAGATAATAATTCATGAGAACCGCTTTGGTTCCCATTTGTCTTTTGATAACTGATTCTAGAGGAAGCATAGAATTACTGAACTAGATGAGCAAAACACAAACATCACCTGCATTAACGTGGTGACCTGAAAACCATTGATGTCAACAGGTGATCAGGCAAGAGCAAGAACCATCTGTCTTTAGCATGTGTGTATTAGAAAATCTGAGTTTTGAGAAATTCATGAAGTGTGGAAATTTTAGAGATAAACTTACTCTGCATTCTTTTTTCCGCTGCTGTGCAGCTACAAAATAAATTTTGGGATTTTGTGCAAATATTCCATGTCTCCTAAGGCCTTGCCTTCTTCTAGTTTTGAGATAACTCTGTTGTTATCTTTCCCCAGTTCCTAGCGATCTGTGTTTAGTTACAATGGTATACTTTTCAAATTCTCATCTACCTAATTTAACCAAGCAGTTTCTACCTATTGGTTTTGATGTTTAACATTTCTAATGGTGGGAATTATATCTTGATCCAGAATACCAATTTGCTGTGTTCCTGATCTTCAGAAAGCAGTTAAAACCAAAATTTTTAAATCTGGCACGTTTTGACACTGTTGTTGCTGGTCCAGACAGCAACATATTCACAAGATTGGCCTGGCTTCTGTTTCAGCAGCCACATTGCTAGAGTAATCAATATTAGATGCGTAAAAATAAAGTGTCTGGCAATTTTTATTGTAATGCAATGGACAGAACGTGTTACTAACTTAGAGGAAAAGAAAAATCTATATCAAAGAAGATGACAGATGGTGTCTGTTGGGCCAAGTGTAAAGATTATTATCAGATCCAAATTCCATCCTTGGTTATTGCTAATACACTCTAACTTTGTTTATTGCTAGTGTTTCTCTCTTTTCCCTTCTTGCATTCTGTTGCTTCACTAACCAACACTCGTTGTGATTGGCTAACTCCTACTACTTTTCAGCTGACTTTGCCTTTCTCCAATCAAGATGGGTGCCTTGGGGATGAGGCTCCCTGCTCTCCCTTCTCCCCTTCTCCCAGCTACAAGCTGTCTCCCTCTGGTTCCACACTACCCAACGTCAGCCTTGGAGCAATCGGCACAGGGCTCAACCCCCAAAACTTCGCTGCTAGACAAGTAAGGAGGCCTCTCAAATTTATAACTGCTTGGCTATGGCCTCGCCTTGGTCCTGGTCTGCAGTTTATTGCATCATTTGTCTGTCTTGGGAAATTTGTTGATTACTGAATGCACAGAATGATATTAAGTGTAGGTTCTAGATCTTTCAGCCCATAGAACCCATCTCTCTTCATGTTTTTCAACACGGATTTTATTTTAAACCTGTATTTTTTTTTTTGTCTCCTCATTTTTGATCATAAGTTCATATTTAATAAGTAATAACTGACTAAGGAAAATGTTAAAGAGGCTACGTAAGTACCTTAGACAATCTAACTTAATGCATTTGCCATTTTAAACATTAGATTGGATATGTAATACTTTGGAGATCTTTTCAATTTAATAAACCTGCTAATTTAAAAATAGGAAAACTAGTATGATTAAGTATTTGTGGGTTATGGCATCTTGAAATCTAGTGTCTTTAAGTGTAAAATATAGTAATTACCCGGAGAAGGGTAACTTTAAATAGTAAACGGTGAAGCTTTGGGAAGAATGGGTATTGCTGAGACACAGCAGTGTTTCATTGCACCTGGGGTTGGATCTGGCAACCCTCCAGGGAAGGGCTGTGCAGTAGAAACAAGACAGGCAGGCCTGGGAGGATCATGCCTCCTCACCTTGCCAGGCCTGAGGGTGCACAGCATGACCCTGCCTGCCTTCCCACAATAGCTCTGTTGTAGTTTTTGTGGAGAAAACCAGGACTTTGGAGTCACAATTCCTTTGCAACAATAACCCCAGCAGTGATAGCCATACTTCTGTGACCACTTACTTGTCACTGTGACCTTCACCTCAGGACGTTGTGGGAGGACGTTAATTATACAACTTGTAATTATTAGTTGCATCCACATGATGCATACATGATGATGTTCTGTCTCCATATGATAACTTCCACATACACGTTACAGGGTGATGTGAAGCAATACCTCTGACACCAGTTAAGTTGCACATAGGTCTCTTATATGCTTTCTAATTGCTGCCTTAGCACATTTTAAAAAATGGATTATACTATATCCATGTGTTCAGTTGGTTATTTCTGGATTGGGAGTTACAACTGATTTTTTATTTTCTTCCTTTATATTTCATCATTTTCCTTACTGCTTCCACAGAGGACATGGATATATACTGTTTATATAAATGGAAGAAATTATTATATTGATGTTTTGGGGGTTCTTTTATTTTGAATCGAGGTATAGAAAACATGAAATAGGCATAACATTCACAGTTAATGGTGATTGTAAATGTGGTGGATCACATGATTATCAAATGCTGTTAGTACATAAATTAGTATAGTAGACCAGCCAAACTAGCCGAGCATTAGGCTCTAAAAAAAGGTCATTCTTCTTATTTTTTTTGATCTGTAGATTGCTACAAAGTCCATTGTTAACCAGGTTTGTGGACATATTCTATCTAAATATGGACATGGTTTTTAAAGACTATTTTCTTACAGAATTATTTTAATATACTTCATATTAATAAAATTTAAGATTTCGATTTTCCAAATCACAGATTTTGGTTAGCTTGGTAATTTTGTTTTTAATTTGTATGCTTTTTTGAGTTAAACAGTATAGTTGAAGCAAATACCACCAGACTCAGGTAATTGTAAAAGCCTCTTGTACAACAGTAGAGCTTTAGTAATAGCCACACAAACCTGCATTAGCACATATACAAGTGCCTTTTTTCTCCCGTTTATTTTTCATTTTTTATTTTTTATTTATTTATTTATTTATTTTGAGATGGAGTCTTGCCTCTGTCGCCCAGGCTGGAATGCAGTGGCGTGATCTCTGCTCACTGCAAGCTCAGCCTCCCAGGTTCACGCCATTCTCCTGCCTCAGCCTCCTGAGTAGCTGTTGGGACCACAGGCTCCCGCAACCACGCCCGGCTAATTTTTTGTATTTTTAGTAGAGATGGAGTTTCACCATGTTAGCCGGGATGGTCTCAATCTCCTGACCTCGTGATCCGCCCGCCTTGGCCTCCCAAAGTGCTGGGATTACAGGCGTGAGCCACCGTGCCCAGCCTTTCTCCTGTTTATTTTTTACAGATGGGGTCTTGCTTATGTTGCCTAGGTTGGTCTCGAACTCCTAGCCTCAGCCTCCCAAAATGGTAGGATTACAGGTGTGAATCACTGTACCTGGCCTTTATAAGTTTTTGATTACCCTTTTCCTAATTTCTAAATATTTTTAAAGACCAAATCTGTATGATTGCCCCTGAATACATCACTGTGCAAAAATAGCTATATTGGGGCCAAGAAAATGAGCAGCTTGTGATGCCCAGCTTCCATATTAAGTTACAGACGAGGCATTTTTTGATCAACTACTGTGGACTTACCTATATTATTGTCCATTCCAGATATATCATAGTGCTTTGTGTGGCTGTAGGGTCACTTGATAATGAAAAGCCTAAAACCTATGGTGGGGGAGGGTGGAAATTGTCTACTGGGAAGAGGAAAGTAGGAATTGATTTTACAGGAGATTAAAAAGTAAATTCTTTTCAATGCTTGTTATTAAAGGAGAGGTTGAAATTTAGAATGACCCTCAGGAAGCAATTTTGTATTTGCCAAAAAATGGATTCTGGCAGGAACTTTAGTTACCAGTAACCCCACCGTCCAAGGACCAGTCGTGAATAATTGACATCTAATAACTAAGTCATTACTTTGATGATAAAGTGAGAAAGATCGTAGCAGAATATCCTTGGTGAAATAAATGTTTCCTGTTTTCTTGGAGGTGATCAGGGTGGCGAAGCTACTGACTACCACGATCTGAGGAAAGTTAGGGCTGTGTGTTGGTAAGACAGCAGCAGCAGAGATTTAGAGTTTCTAGAATTAAAGGTCTTCTCATGTTTCAACAACCCTTGGGGAGACATAAAATTCGTGATGAATCTTTGATTTATGAGATACACAGATTTTAATTGCCATTTCGACTTTATGTTTAGAATCATTTTTATTTTCAATGCTTTTAAGTTCACTAATTTCCCTACAGCAGTCCCTTAATCTATTTTTTAATCATTAAGCCATCACAGTATTTTTAGTGTTGTAGGTTTTAATGAAGCCATTACAAAATTCTTTAAAATTACCTTAATCCATGTGATTCCAGGGTTATGATAATGGTGGTGATTTCAATTCAGGGTATATGTATAATACTCAGTATAAGCAGTGATGCAGCTGTCTTTGCTGAAGGTATTCAGTGGGACATTTTCCGGTGTGTGGAATTGGTGGGTCATGGATATTTACAGATGATATATTCATCCTACAGACTGGGGATTTATTGAGTTCTGGGAATACGAAGAGGGAAAGATTTAACAGTAGAAAGACAGAATGGAAAATAACTATAGTGTGGTTTGATGAGTTTTAAAGCGTTTTGAGATTGGAGAGGTGGGCCCAGTTAATCTGAATGTGAAATCAGGAAGATGTTTTGGGGAAGACTTCCTTGATGAGGATGACCTCCAAGCTGGGCCTTGAAGAGGTCAAGTGAAGATGGTATCAGAAAGAACCTCAGGCAGAGAGAACACAGTGTTGCATTATTATCAAATATGGTTTCTTCGCTGAAGGACTTTTCTCAGCTAGAAACCAGTCAGAAAGGAAGGGCCACCATATAACCCAACTCTCTTAGTTATCTCATTGGAATAGTGTAGAAGTGCTCCAGTGAGTTGGGCCTCCAGAAAGGAGGGAGTTCCGCTTATTTTTAACTAGACTGATATGTGTTTGAATGAGAAGTTACAGGTGAGTAATGTTTATTTTGGTGTCCCTGTAATGGTTTTTACTTTCTCCCTTTCTTCCTTTTCTATCTCACTGGGTAATTGAGTCACATTTCCTCATCTGTCAAAGAAAGGATTGAGCAGATCCAGGACAAGGAAGGGTGCTAGGCTCACTCTTGGACGGCAGAGAAATCACATCATAATGTTTTATAAATACAACTGATAACTATTCATAAGGCTGCATTTTTACTCAGGTGCCTTTCAAGATGGAGCTCAGATTATAAAGTTTGAGAATAAATTTGGTAAACCCAATCGCAAAGAAGAGTACTTGAAATAAATGTTATGTTGCCTATATCTTTGGTTCACAAAAAAGAATGTAGGACTTTTCCTAATATTTGATGACATTGAACCCTTTCCGTTTATAGAGTTCTTCAAACTGTACAGGTGCCCATGAGTCAATCTGAGTAATTGCCCCAAGCCTTCTAAGATAAGGAACTTCTCAGTTACAAAATTCTGTTATTCCATCGAACACAGCCTGTGATTCTTCTGAGGGATCTAAAAGACCAGAACTGTTTCTTACTTGCATTTTCTTATGTTAACAAAAAGCCTTACTGCTGCTTTTCTGTTTACAGGGCGGTAGTCATGGTTTGTTTGGAAACAGCACAGCACAATCGAGAGGTCTGCACACACCCGTGCAGCCACTAAATTCTTCTCCCAGTCTCCGGGCGCAAGTGCCTCCCCAGTTTATTTCCCCCCAGGTAAGCAATTTTACGTTCCTGTGATTCAAAATGAAAGACCATTTCACATCATTACCAGTTGTTAACTGATTTTTGTGGGCATAAAAAGAATGATAGTAAGTAGCATAAAATATGAAAAAGCCATCTTTTCTTGACCTTTTGGCTAAGATCAAGTAGAGTAAAATATGAAATATCTAGCTGCCAAAGATGAAGACTTTTAGAACAAAATCTCAAATCTCATTTTTTATTTCATCATGCATACCAACAAAGTAGATATTTTTGCATGAAAAGCTTATTATTCTATTCCTTTTAGATCTCCTATTTTTCTAACTATATTTTTTGAAACTGCATATAATTAAAACTGCTTTATAAGTTCTGATGTGTCAATGTTCAGAGGCTGGTTGCCCTCAAGGATTCACCCAAAGATAAAAAGAGAATTCAGCCTGGCACAGTGGCTCATGCCTGTAATCCCAGCACTTTGGGAGGCCAAGGTGCTTGAGGCCAGGATCACTTGAGTCCCGGAGTTTGAGACCAGCCTGGCCAACATGGCGAAACCCTGTTTCTGCCAAAAAACACAAATTAGCCAGGCATAAAGAACAAAACAAAAATTAGCTGGGCATGGTGGCACATGCCTGTAATCCTAGCTACTCAAGAGGCTGAGACAGTAGAATCGCTTGTACCCAGGAGGCAGAGGTTACAGTGAACCGAGATGATGCCACTGCACTCCAGCCTGGGTTATAGAGCGAGACTCCATTTCAAAAAAAAAAATAGAAAATGAGAATTGCCAGATTCTGGATTATTCTGAAAATGTTGAGGAGCTGTATGCCAACATAGCAATTAGGTGCTCTAGGGGGAGTTTTAGAACTAATGAAGTAGCAGAGACTCCTGGATTCAACTCTTATTCATGAGCAGCTCTGTGTACGACATAGTCCATTGGATACCATGGGAACCATTTAGGTCTGTCCCTTAGTAGGAGATGTGCAAAGAGATGGTGCTTTGTTTTGGGGATAAAGGTGAGAGATTTGTGTTAGTCTACCACATACTTTCCCTGTTCCCCTTTGTGAGAAAGCAGGCGTGAGGATAGAGTAATAGCTGATAAGCTCATGCAAGGATTCAGTGTGTGGCCTTAGTCCCTCCTTAGAATGTTATTTTAATAAACCAAGCTTTGAGTCTGTTTCATCCTTAAAAGAAGATGGGAGCGCTTATTAGATCCAACCAGCAGGTTGTAAAGGTTCAGTTTTTGTTGTTTTTGTGTTTTTATTTATTTTTATTTTTTGGAGGTAGAGTCTCACTCTGTCACCCAGGCTGGAGTGCAGTGGTGTGATCCATAGCTCATGGCAAGCTCAAACTCTTGGGCTCAAGCAGTCCTCCCTCCTCAGCCTCCAAGTAGCTGGGGACTACAGATGCACACCACCAAGCTTGGCTGGTTTTAAGTATTGTGTAGAGGTGGAGTCATGCTATGTTGCCCAGGCTGGTCTCAAGCTCCTTGACTCCAGCAGTCCTTCCACCTCAGCCTCCCAAAGCACTGGGATGACAGGCATGAACCACCGTGCCCAGCCTGTTTTGTTTTTTGAAATGCCCTTTAAGACCAGGGCTTAAAATATTTATTTGAAAAGATCAACTATAGATTTCAAATTCTAGTTTTAATGTTCTGAGTCTGTATCTTTCTTAGTGGGGGAGGTCAGGTTTCTCCACACCCCTTCCTTGCCTCCCCGTCATCACCACCAACTGCCTCTCCAAGGTCTTGCCTGGGAGTCTGGGACTGTGTCCCCTTGGCACCTCTCCTCTTCTTTCCCTCTAAGTTCCAGTCATCCTTCAAGCCCCAGGTAGAGGTTTGTCCTTTAGACAGAGCCATTTCTGACTTCCCTGGCACTCTACAATGGCAGTGTCTTCTTAAGTCTTGGAGCATACACATACTTTACAGTATCCTTTGGTATCAGGCTGACAGTCATCCATGGTTATCAAATATCTGTAGCATGTTAGATAATGTCTTCATCGTGCACAGATGGAGAAAATGCCATCTCTCTCTCTGCAGCCTCTTGGAGTTGGTGGCAGAGGGGTGGGTTGAGGTGAGGAGGAGGTGATAGCAGAATTCCCAGCAGATAGTGTGATAAATGTATAGAAATGTTTAACAGAGTTTGGGTAATCGGCTGAGCCTTCACACTAGCAGTGACGTCTGAGTCTTAAAGAATGAGTCAGAATTTTCTGAGCACACCAGATTAAAAGTGCCTTCTAAGCAGCAGGAGCCTCATGTGCAAGGGGCAATAATATCTAGAAGAACATAGCATTTGGGGGAAAGGCAGTTACTCTGAATAATTAGTTAGAGCTTGTTGAAACGTACACACAAATGCACACACACTGTCTTAGAATAGAAAAGAAAGGAACTAGACAAGAAGTATGGGACCAAATTTGGAAAAGGTGTTTGCTTTGCTTAGGATTTGGGACTTGGCCCTATGGGCCAATCCTTTTCAACGTGGTTTACAACCATTATTTGGGTTGCTACTTAAAGACACAGTTCCCAGGTCTCCAGTCTTCTGTGACAGGTGGCTTTGGGACTTAGTCACCCCCGTGTGATCTTTATGTGCACTTACAGTTTGGCCACTGCTGTAGACAATATACTATTAAAGATTTTTCAGCTGAGTAGTGATGTAGGAAAATTTAAGGTTTAGAAGATGCTGGGTGCAGTGGCTCACACCTGCAATCCCAGCCCTTTGGGAGGCTGAGGCAGGCAGATTGCTTCAGCCCAGGAGTTTGAGACCAGCCTGGACCACATAGTAAAACCCCATCTCTACAAATTTTTTTTTTTTTTTTGAGTTGGAGTCTCACTCTGTTGCCCAGGCTGGAGTGCAGTGGCACAATCTCTGCTCACTGCAACCTCCGCCTCCCAAGTTCAAGTGATTCTCCTGCCTCAGCCTCCCGAGTAGCTGGGACTACAGGAGTGTGCCACTATGCCTGGCTAATTTTTGTATTTTTAGTAGAGACGGCATTTCACTATGTTGGCCAGGCTGGTCTCGAACTCCTGACCTCCTGATCCACCCGCCCTGGCCTCCCAAAATGCTGGGATTACAGGCGTGAGCCACTGTGCCCAGCTTTTTTTTTTTTTTTTTTTTGAGGCAGAGTCTCTCTCTCACTCAGCTCACTGCAACCTCCACCTCCTGGGTTCAAGTGATTCTTGTGCCTCAGCCTCCTGAGTAGCTAGGATTACAAGCATGCGCCACCACGCCTGGCTAATTTTTGTATTTTTAGTAGAGATGGGGTTTCACCATGTTGGCCAAGCTGGTCTGGGACTCTTGACCTCAAGTGATCCACCCCACCTTGACCTCCCAAAGTGCTGGGATTACAGGCGTGAGCCACCGCGCCCAGCCTACAAAAAATTTTTTTTAATGATCCAGGCATGGTGGTGTGTACCTTTAGTCCCAGCTGCTCAGGAGGCTGAGGTGGGAGGATAGATTGAGTCTGGGAGGCGAGGCTGCAGTGAACCACGATCAAGCCACTGCACTCCAGCCTGGGCAACAGAGCAAGACCCCGTCTCAAAAAAGAAAAAAAGAGGAAGGGAGGGAGGGAACAAACAAACACTGGAAGTAATATAGAGGACATGTTTGAATGGCAGGAGTACTAGAGCAAAAGAGTGCAGTTGCAGGACTAGTACAGGAGTCTAGGTAAGGCAGCGACAGTGGGAATTAACCTTCTTGTGGAAGTCACCTCTGATCTTTTCCTTGCATAATATGATGATCTGTTCTCTAGTCTCTTCTTACTCAGTGTATCAGCAGCATTTGACAGAGTTCCCCTCCTTTCTGAAGCACTTCCTGTGTTTGGCTTTTGGACACCTACTACACTGGTTCTCCATCTGCCTCTCCTTCTCCATCTCCTTTACGAGTTCCTCCTCAAGTTCTCAATACATATTCAGCAGAATGTCCCAGATCTCAACCTTCGAACCTCTCCTCACCATCTGTAGTCAGTGCCAGGTGATCTTACCAAGTGGAATGACTTTAAGCACTGAATTCCAAAATTGTGTCTTCAGCCCACATCATTTTTCCTCAACTCCACAGACTACTCATAGGTTGCCTTACAGGTTAACATGTTCAAAACACAGCTTCTGATCTCACCCCACACTGCCCTCAAAAACATCCCCTTAACTCCCAGCAAATGGCACTCTCATCCTATAGGAGTTCAGGCCAAAAACCTTGGAGCTCGTGACCATGTTCATTGCATCAGTAAGACTGCCCTTCAAACCTTTATCCAAAAGCGGATCCTTTTTTACCACTTTCAACAGCACAGGCCCTGGCCAAGCCACCGCCGTTTCTGTCTAGGTTATTGCAGTGACTTCCTGCCTGTTCCCCACCCTGCCTCGGCTCAACATTTGCCTGTCTCACGTCTGAGTCAGACTGATTCTCTGACACCGCACTGTCCAGTGTGATAGCCGTCAGCCACATCAGCCCTTGAAATGTGGCCGCTGGACTGGAAGCACTGAATTTTAAATTTTATTTTAATTAACTTAAATAGCCACGTCTGGTTCATAGTCACTGTGCAGACAGCACAGACGTAGAACGTGTCGGCGTTGCAGGAAGTTCTGCACAGCACTGTGCTAAAACAAAAGGCAGGTTGTGTTACTCTTTCAGCGGGAATCCCCTCGTGGCTGGTTCTCTCGCTGAGAATGCAAGGCAAAAGCAAAGTCTTTACTCTGGTCTTTGAGGTTCCTGGTGATCCCACCTCCCCACAAGTACAGGTCACTGTCCCATACCTTCATGCTGCTCCAGCCAAGTGGCCCCCACACACCAAGCATACGCTTAGAACATCCTTCCCAGATGGCAGCATGGCTCAGTCTTTATCTCCTTCAGCTCTCTGCTTCTCTGCCACCTTCCCTAGGAGCTTTCTCAGGGCAGCTACGTACAGTGTGCAGCCTGCCCTGTCACTCCCCCACCCCCCGACCCGCTTGCTCCTTGTCTTTTCTCCCTCTCTGCCCCGCGCCTAGGAGTATAATAAGCTTCACAGTGGCAGGGTCTGGGCCTGCTGTGTTCACTGCTGGAGCCTGAGCAGGGCATGTATTTTGAGCTCGGTGACTATATATCAAGTCATGGGAAGATGCATATCAGAGTGATTTCAAAAGTGGAATTGTTGGGAAAGTTGCAGTTAACTTTGTGTGAGAGACTTGGGTACTACAGATCTCTTTATGACCAAAGTGTCTGCTCTACCCAAAAAAGAAAATTACTTGTGTTCCCTCCATTTTTGAATTTTGTTTTATTTATTTAATGCATACTGGGAGCAGAATATTAAATATTGGATTATTCTGTCTTTTCCCAACATTTCTGTATTTCTAAAAAATGAAGCAGTTGGGTAACTCTGAAGAAAGAAAAGGCCAGGCACGGTGGTTTACTCCTATAATCCCAGCACTTTGGGAGACCAAGATGGGCAGATTGCTTGAGCCCAGGAGTTCAAGACCAGCCTGGGCAATATGGCAAAACCTGTCTCTAACAGAAATACAAAAAATTAGCCGGGCATGGTGGTGCATGCTGTAGTCCCAGCTACTTGGGAGGCTGAGGTGAGAGGATGACCTGAGCCCAGGAGGTTGAGGCTGCAGTGAGCCATGGTGACACCGCTGCAATCCAGCCTGGGTGACAGTGATATCCTGTCTTAAAAAAAAAAATGAAAAAGACAAGATAACCACACACAGTTTGGATAGCGGAGAAACAAATTCTTAAAGAAACCTCCAACCCAAATACAATGACAGGAATTATTTTTACTAATTCCCTATTCAGACACTATTCATATACAGGGATGCTTTTCACATTATTGCACTCAGGGTCACTAGAACCTGATGTTAACATTGTGTCCTTGAATTTTCTGCTGTTGCTATGTAGCATTCACGGTGATCATAATGATGTTTCATCAGGTAGATTTACCTTGATTTACTTAACATTCCCTTCCCCCACTGTTGAGTATTAAATTGTTTTTAATTTTTCCCTGTTACAAATAATGCTGCAGAGAAATCCTTATACATAAACCCTTGCCCACATTTTTTCTAAATTTAGTTGCCCAAAATGAAATTTCTGGGTCAAAGCACATTAATATTTTAAAAGGTTTTGATAAATACCAGATTTTATATTCCTTTTGACCACATTATAGGGGCAATCAGTAGTTAATGTAAACATAGAAGATACTGAGGCCGGGCTCAGTGGCCCATGCCTGTAATCCCAGCACTTTGGGAGGCCAAGGCAGGTGGATCACCTGAGATCAGGAGTTTGGGACCAGCCTGGCCAACATGCTGAAACCCCATTTCTACTAAAAATACAAAAACTTAACTGGGTGTGGTGGCAGGCGTCTGTAGTCCCAGCTGCTCAGGAGGCTGAGGTAGGAGAATGGCATGAACCCTGGAGGCGGAGCTTGCAGTGAGCCGAGATCGTGCCACTGCGCTCCAGCTTGGGCGACAGAGCAAGACTCCGTCTCAAAAAAAAAGCCAGGCATGGTGGCGCACACCCGTCTGTCGTCCCAACTGCTCAGGAGGCTGAGGCAGGAGAATCGCTTGAACCCAGGAGGTGGAGGTTGCAGTGAGCTGAGATTGTGCCACTGCACTCTAGCCTGGGCGACAGAGTGAGACTCCATCTCAAAAAAAAAAAAAAAAAGGATGACACTGAAACTTCTAAGATTTGTTACAAATATTCCGGGCCTTGGGTTTCTACCATGCCTGTTTCCTCCAGTTACTCAAATACAATATTGAGAAAGTAACATATTCCAGCAGGCTTTTGTCCTGACTTTAAATTGCTGTCATTTTGCACCTGCAGTGCTTTGTTAAATGCCATATCGATTGCAACAAGATCTTTACTTTCTCCAATCCAGCAGGAGATTGAAGGGCTTTTAAACCAGAATAATTAACTCCCTGAAATGGAGAATGTGCAGACCTGCACCACCGTGATTCCTCTGCAGCCCAGGCGGGCGTGAGCAGGTGTTTGCCTGGAGCCTAGTGGCGCTTTTCCCTGGTCCTTCTGTATTCTTTGGAGAGGGGCAGTACATTTGCAATCCTAAGAAAGGAGAAGTTGAGCACGGCTGGGATAGGAATTTCTCAAAAATTACACTTTTATTGTCTCTAAAATTGTCAGTTTATGGAACATACGAGCTGGTGGCTTCTAAAGATCACTTTCCTATGCTTTTCTTTATATTCTTTCTGCATGTGTCTCTCTGTCTTTAAACAATCTGTTGTTTTCATTTTGCCTTTTTTGCACTTAACCCATATAGTATAGAGCCTCCTTCTTTTGTTGTGCTATTTTTACTTGTATTATTTCAAATATATTCCCATGTGGATTTGGGCAGCTATGGTTCATATGATATTCCATTATATGACTATACCATAATTTACCTATTCTACTACCAGGTCTACTGTTCATAGACATTTGGATTGCTTCTAGATGTTTGTTGTTATGAGCAGTGCTGCTATAATATCCTTTTCTTTTTTTTTTTTTTTTTTTTTTTGAGGCAGAGTCTCCCTCTGTTGCCCAGGCTGGAATGCAGTGGCGTGATCGCAGCTTACTGCAACTCTGCCCCCGGGTTCAAGCAATTCTCCTGCCTCAGCCTCCTAAGTAGTTGGAACTACAGCTGCCAGCCACCATGCCTGGCTAATTTTTGTATTTTTAGTAGAGACAGGATTTCACATGTTGGCCAGTCTGGTCTCGAACTCCTGGCCTCACGTGATCTGCCCACCTTGGCCTCCCAAAATGCTGGAGTTACAGGCATGAGCCACCGTGCCTGGCCTGCTATAATATTCTCATGTTTGTCTCCCAGGATGAATTTCTCGATGGTACTGCTGGGTCACGGGCAGGTTTTACTTTGGTGGTTTCTTTAGCTAATTTTGAGTAGTAGGAATGCCTGAGGGCGGGGGCGGAGGGGGGTAGGGGAATGGTGGGGAATAATGGGTTCTTGCCCTGTTACTGTGTCTCCCATGCTTGCTCCTTGTCTGCCCTGCCCCTAGGAGTGTAATAAGCTTCACAGCAGCAGGGTCTGGGCCTGCTGTGTTCACTGCTGGAGCCTGAGCATCAATAGCTGTGCCGCACATGTATTTTGAGCGCAGTTAATATATATTAAGTCATGGGAAGATGCATATCAGAATGATTTCAAAGGTAGAATTGTTGGGAAAGTGCAGTTAACTTTGTGTGAGAGACTTGGGTGCTGCAGATCTCTTTATGACCAAAGTGTCTGCTCTACCTAGAAAAAAAAAAAAAGGCCAGGCACAGTGGCTCACACTTGTACTTCCAGCACTTTGGGAGGCTGAGACAGGCACTTGAGCCTAGGAGTTCGAGACAAGCCTGGGCAAAATGGCAAAACCCCATCTCTACAAAAAAAAAAAAAAAAAAAAAATACAAAAATTAGCCAGGCATGGTGGTGCATGCCTGTAGTCTCAGTTATTTGGGAGGCTGAGTTGGGAAAATCACTTGAGCCCAAGAAGCCGAAACTGCAGTGAGCCATGATCGTGCCACTGCACTCCAGTCTGGACAATAGAGTGAGACCCTGTCTCAAAAAATCAATCAGTCAATCAGTCAATCAATCAATCAATCAACCTGAGCTCAGTTCTGGAGGCTTTTCAGTCTGAAATCACCACTGTCTGCCTCCATCATCATCCGATGTTCTCCCGTATGTGTCTCTATCTTCACATGGCTTTTTCTTCTCTGTCTCAAAATTTCCCTCTTCATATGAGGACACCAGTTAATGGATTAGGGCCCACCCTAATTCAGTATGACTTCGTCTTAAACTTGAGTGCATCTACAAAGACTCTATTTCCAAATGAGATCACCTTCTGAGGTTCCCAGTGGGCATGAATTTATGGGCAACACTATGTTACCAAATACAGTCGCTAACTGAGATGAATTTAGGATTCACACTGAAGGTGGTACATAAGATTTTATGGATCCTTGAGGTATGGTGGGATAAGAATCCGGTTTGGAACATGGTTTCAATAGCACAGAATATATCTATACTCACCCTCCTTTCCCCCAGACTCAAATTATAGTGAGTTTGAAATTATTATATCAGAGACAGTAAGTTAAGTCACACTGGTGACATTTTGTGTGAATTCAGAGCAGAGATGAAGAGGAGTTGTTATCTGGGGGAAATTGTGGAGGACGTGTTCCTCATGCTCGCCCTAAAACTGGTGCAGAGGCAGCATGCCCTGTAGTGGTGTGCTCACTTGGTGCTCACGTGTGCTTGGAGTACACCTATTAAAATAGAAAGTCAAACAGATTTTTAAATTGGTTGGTAACACTCAGCATCTCTTAGAGGATAGAGAGGAAGCAGCTGGGGGGAACTATTACTTGAAATTAGAGTACTTTCCAAAATGACAGAGTTGATGGGTGGAGTGAAAGTGACAGATCTTGAGAGAAAATGAGCTGATGAGCCTAGTACAGGAAACCTGAACTTGGTCAAATGTTTATAGACTAGAAGAGTGTCAAAGAAAAGATGGGCCAAGCATGGTGGCTCACGCCTGTAATCCTAGCATTTCGGGAGTCCGAGGTGGGTGGATCACTTGAGGTCAGGAGTTCAAGACCAGCCTGACCAACATGGTGAAACCCCGTCTCTATTAAAAAATACAAAAAGGTAAGCGTGGTGGCGGGCACCCGTAATCCCAGTTACTCAGGAGGCTGAGGCAGGAGAATCGCTTGAGCCCGAGAGGTGGAGATTGCAGTGAGCTGAGGTCATGCCATTGCACTCCAGCCTGGGCAACAGAGTGAGACTCCATTTCCAAAAAAAAAAAAAAAAAGAAAGAAAGAAAAGATAGGCATGTAGTCTTGAGAATGTAGCAGAGATGGTGGTTCAAAAGTATTAGGAAACTGAGGAATTTAACTCTGACCGTGATGCCAAAGAATGATGAAATGAGAAGATGCAATGGAGATGGGGAAGCTTTCTGATTAACTTAGTTTATAATGGGACATTTTCAGAAGATGGATAGTAAGGGTAAAAGCAAGCATGAATAAAACACAGAGAAAGCTGAGACTTGCAAAAAAAAATGAGGTAGATTAAAAGAACCTTTAGAGTTTGGTTTGATGCAGTTTGGTGACTAGGAAAGGAATCATTGCCTTGGACTAGTTGTGTAATGCCCAGGGTTTACAGAGTGGAGGTAAAAATTTTTGTTGCTTTTGTTTTTTATATTAAGAAGAAGGACGTTCAAACCAAAAGACAGATCCTAGAGCAGAGAAAGAATTTGTGAAGAGAATTGTGGAGCCCTCCCTGTCTGTGATTTTTGAGGAGTGCTGGGAGTCTTCGAGGGGAGTTTAATGACACCCATCTTTCCTGCCCGCATTCTGAATGTTTAAGGCAAAAGAGGAAAACATATTGGGGCCACAGTACCCTCTTTACTACCAACAAAGCAGATAATGGAGAACGTGCGTACTTCCTAATACCGAATTCCAGCCTTAACCCAGAGTCACCGTAATGGGGCAGTCCTCTCTCCAGGTTTGCTTCCAAGAAGGAGAAAGAGGCCTTAAGGGCCTTAAGTTCTATGATAAAATAAAGGTGGATGTCCTCTGTGTGGAGCCTCAGATCAGAAATGGGAAAGAAGCACCCCTCCACTATAAGAAATTGAGGAGAATGGTGAATTTTTTTTTTTTTTTTTTTTTTTGAGACAGAGTTTCGCTCTGTCGCCCAGGCTAGAGTGCAGTGGCGTGATCTTGGCTCACTGCAAGCTCCGCCTCCCGGGTTCATGCCATTCTCCTGCCTCAGTCTCCCGAGTAGCTGGGACTACAGGCGCCCGCCATCACTCCCGGCTAATTTTTTTGTATTTTTAGTAGAGACGGGGTTTCACCGTGTTAGCCAGGATGGTTGCGATCTCCTCACCTCGTGACCCACCTGCCTCGGCTTCCCAAAGTGCTGGGATTACAGGCGTGAGCCACCGCGCCCGGCCTTTTTTTTTTTTTCCTTATGGTGTTTCTCTCTGGTGTCCAGGCTGGAGTGCAGTGGCACGATCTTTGCTTGCTGCAACCTCCGCCACCTGGGTTCAAGCGATTCTCGTGCCTCAGCTTCCTGAGTAGCTGGGATTACAGGCGCTTGCCACCATGCCTAGCTAATTTTTGTATTTTTAGTAGAGAGAGGGTTTTGCCATGTTGGCCAAGCTGGTCTCAAACTCCTGGCCTCAAGTGATCTCCGCCCGACTTGGCCTCCCAAAGTGCTTGGGATTACAGGTGTCAGCCACCATGTCCAGCCTGGGGAAATTTTTAAAATGATTTCTGAAAGGAGAAATAAGGAAAAAGTAGCTAGAAGACTAATGAACTTGGTCCCAATTCCAGGAAAGAATCTAGATTATCAAGAAGATTGCTTTTGAGTACGTATGGCAGTAATCAATAATCATAGTTTGCTAACAAGTTTTCATACATTCCCTTCATTGATTGGTAGAAATACTGGCATAGAAGAACAATATAGTTGTTGTACTCTACTTTAACAGGCCGTTTGACAACTTCTCTCTTTTGGATGAGATGGAAATATATTGGCTAAACATTAAAACAGTTGTGTGGATTAGTAACTGACGATTCCTAGGCTGATCGTTTCATATTGAAAGGAAGCTTTAGCGGCATATGACTAGATTATCCTCAGCTCTATCAAGTTCAGCATTCCCATCCGTGACGGGATGGGGGAACACAAACTGGGAATAAGTAGAATAATAGGATCAACAAGAACTTGGTGGGGTGACTGTGAAGTTAAATATGATAGAGGTTCATTCATTTAATAGATATTTATGGAGCATCTTCTATATGCCATGCTCATAAAGATATACGTAAGGTCTTAAGCTCAAATTAAAAAATCAATAAAAATTTAAAGGCCAGGCACGGTGGCTCACGCCTGTAATCCCAATACTTCGGGAGGCCAAGGCGGGTGGATCACGAGGTCAGGAGTTCGAGATCAGCCTGGCCAATATGGTAAAACCCCGTCTCTACTAAAAATACAAAAATTAGCTGGGTGTGGTGGTGCGTGCCTGTAGTCCCAGCTACTCAGGAGGCTGAGGCAGAAGAATTGCTTGAACCCAGGAGGTGGAGCTTGCAGTGAGGCGAGATCACACCACTGCACTCCAGCCTGGGCGACAGAGTGAAACTCTATCTAAAAATAATAATAATAAATAGGCCGGGTGCAGTGGTTCACGCCTGTAATCCCAGCACTTTGGGAGACCGAGGCAGGTGGATCACAAGGTCAGGAGATTGAGACCATCCTGGCTAACATGGTGAAACCCCGTCTCTACTAAAAAAAATACAAAAAATTAGCCGGGCATGGTGGCAGGCACCTGTAGTCCCAGCTATTCGGGAGGCTAAGGCAGGAGAATGGCGTGAACCCAGGAGGTGGAGCTTGCAGTGAGCCGAGATTGCGCCACTGCACTCCAGCCTGAGCAACAGAGCGAGACTCCATCTCAAAAAATAAAAATAAAAATAAAAATAAATTTAAAAAATCATTAAAAAAAACCCAGCTACATGGGTTAAATATTACATGAGGGAACAAAAGCATGTTTTTAAATATTATAGATTTTAACTAACATTAAGCTTAGTGTGTGAATCAGGAGTTACAATCACCAGAGAAATTGACATCTTAGGCATTGTTCATGAAAGCACAGCTTTTAACAGAATGCTTAGGGTCTACTTGGTGTTAGACTACTCTAGAAAATACCTTTCTGTTCTTGGCTCTTCACCAAGAAATGGAAGGAGATACAGGTGAAAGAACTGATCATATTGAGCCTGAAGATGAGATGCAAGGGAACTGTAATCATTGTCTGAAGACATTTGAAGAATCAGCCTGTGGAATAATGTGAACATTTATGGAGGACATCTCTAAGCATTTGACATTGATTAACTCATAAAATCTAATAATGACTGAAGTTAATATTGTTGTCATTCCAGTTGGAGATCAGGAAAGTAAGGGTCAGAAAGGCTAAATGAGTAACTTGCTCTGAGTCAGCTTAGAAATGGCAGAGCTGGGGCCGGGCGCGGTGGCTCACGCCTGTAATCTCAGCACTTTGGGAGGCCGAGGCGGGCGGATCATGAGGTCAGGAGATTGAGACCATCCTGGCTAACACGGTGAAACCCCGTCTCTACTAAAAATACCAAAAATTAGCCGGGCGCAGTGGCGGGCGCCTGTAGTCCCAGCTACTCGGGAGGCTGAGGCAGGAGAATGGCGTGAACCCAGGAGGTGGAGCTTGCAGTGAGCCAAGATAGCGCCACTGCACTCCAGCCTGGGTGAAAGAGCGAGACTCCGTCTCAAAAAAAAAAAAGAAATGGCAGAGCTGGGTTGGGAGCGGTGGCTCATACTTGTAATCACAACACTTTGAGAGGATGGCTTGAGCCCAGGAGTTTGAGACCAGCCGGGAGGTCAAGGCTGCAGTGAGCCATGATCACGCCACTGCATTCCAGCCTGGGTGACAGAGTGAGACCCTGTCTCAAAAAAAAAAAAACAAAAAAAAAAAAAAAACAAAACTGGGGAGGCAGGCAGAGCTGGGATTACAAACCCAGGCAGTCTGCCTCTAGAACTAAAGTCTTTTTTTTTTTTTTTTGAGATGGAATTTCACTCTTGTTGCCCATGCTGGAGTGCAATGGCACCATCTTGGCTCACCACAACCTCCGCCTCCCAGCTTGAGGCAATTCTCCTGCCTCAGCCTCCCTAGTAGCTGGGATTACAGGCATGCGCCATCACACCCAGCTAATTTTGTATTTTTAGTAGAGACGGGGTTTCTGCATGTTGGTCAGGCTGGTCTTGAACTCTTGACCTCAGGTAATCCACCCACCTCAGCCTCCTGAAGTGCTGGGATTACAGGCGTGAGCCACCACACCCAGCTCTAAAGTCTTTTTTTAACCTTTTTATTTTTTTAAAGAGATGATAGCTCGCTATGTTGCCCAGGTGTTCTCAATCTCCTAGGCACAAGCTAGTCCCCCAAACTGCTGGGATTACAGGTGTGAGCCACTGTGCCCAGCCTCTAGGACTAAATTCTTGGCCATTGTGCTACACTACTTGGCACTCACGGACACGTTCTTAAGCTTGTTCTCCATGGCCCCAACTAGTCCAGTGGGTTCAGTAGATGAGGGTGCAGGGAAACTCACTTCTTCTTACTTAAATCATCTTAGAGGAGCAAACCAAAGATAGGAGGGAATCCTCTGTCGCCAGAGCTTCCTGCAGCCTCGCCTAGCTCACTCCTGAGAACAGGGAGAAGGACCCTGCCGGGTCAGTGACCTTCCAGGCTCTTTGATGCTGGCTCTTTTTTTACACTGCCACTCTGTGGGTGTTTGCTATCAGAAGCCATGCATTGAAACTCATGTCTTCTATTTACAAGTTAATATATTTGTCTTACTTGTAGCACAGAAATACTTTCACGTAAGTATTATTTATTAGCTTTATGCAATGTAGCATGTTTTGTTTTATGGCACATTTCCAGTAATAATTTCTTGGTTGGATAAAAGCCATATTGTCATCAATTTTTTTTTCTTGAAGATGTTTTCCTGAATATAAAATTTATACTTTTTATTGTAGAAAATTGGAAAGTCTAAGAAGAAAATTTAAAAACTGTTGTAATCTCACTGCTCCAAGATAATCATTGTTAACCCTTGAGTGTATTTTTCCTGTTATATATTTTTCACAGAAAAGTTTGACAACTCTTGCTTTAGATTCATCAAGATTCTTTTCACAGAAAAACAGTTTTATTTTGATAAATTCTGAAGATTCCTTTTCTTTTCTTTCTTTTTTATTTTTTTGGCTAGGTTTCTGCCTCAATGCTCAAGCAGTTTCCCAACAGTGGCCTGAGTCCAGGTCTTTTCAATGTGGGGCCCCAGTTATCTCCTCAACAAATTGCCATGCTGAGCCAGCTTCCACAAATTCCCCAGTTTCAGTTGGTAAGTAGAAGATTTTCTTCCTGTGGCTAAAAAGGTCATTTGCTTTTTTTTTTTCTTTAGCTTTGATTTGCTTCCCACATCTTTGCCACTTTCTATGTTCAAAGGGTGCTAGTCCACACTTCTTTGCAAACTATGGAGTGTGCTTAAGGGTTGTCAGCTCAACTGGAGGAAAATGTAACCAAGAGACCGGGAATTTGGTGTTACTTCCCTCCTGGATACTTTTGATTGTGTGACCTGTACTTCAGTGCACAGACCCTTTAGGTGTCCTCAGTAAATCAATCTCAGGAAACTTTGGTTTTCTGTCTTTCCCCCTTGTTTTGTAGGCATGTCAGCTTCTCTTGCAGCAGCAGCAACAGCAGCAGTTGTTACAGAACCAGAGAAAGATTTCTCAAGCTGTACGCCAACAGCAAGAGCAGCAGGTACGTGGGTAGGCAGGGTCCCTCCAGTGCTGTGTTGGAGGAGTACATCCCGGCTTAGCCTCTGATGGCAAAGAACCGGGCACAGTCTTTTCCTGGGAAGTTCGGGGCCGTGCTTATCACGTGTCTGTCTCTCTTGGCCCTCAGCTGGCTCGAATGGTGAGTGCACTGCAGCAGCAGCAGCAGCAGCAGCAGAGGCAGCCAGGCATGAAGCACTCGCCCTCTCATCCTGTTGGGCCCAAGCCGCATCTGGACAACATGGTACCCAACGCATTGAATGTGGGGCTCCCAGACCTTCAAACCAAAGGGCCAATACCTGGATATGGTTCTGGTAAGTTGTTGGTAGAGAAAATTACCTTTTTAGAAATCTACCTCTCTAGGCCTGTGGTAGGGGTTGCACCTGCATTACCCTCCTTTTTTATGTCAGCTGTACAAGGTAGGTAAATATTCTTATCCCTGGTTTACAGATGAGACATCTGAGGCTTCTTGAGTTTCAGTGGGTTTCCAGAGCTCACCACATGGTTACTAAATAGCAGAGCCAGGCCTCTAACTTCTCTGGCTCCAAAGCAGTCTTCCTTTTTTTTGTGTGTGTGTGTGTGTCTGGTTTATTTTATTTAACACAGTAAAGGCTCATACATGCTATAGCACATATCAGAATTCATCCCTTTCTAAGGCTGGGTAATACTCCATTGTGCAGATATACCACAGTGTGTTTACCCACTTTTCTGCTGAAATGGATAAACTTGGATTGTTTCCACCTTTTAACTACAAGTTGAGCATCCCCTAATCTAAAAATCCAAAATGCCCCAAAATCTGAAACTTTTTGATCACCAGCATGAAGCCAGCAGTCTTTCAATACGTGTGTATGAATGGCAAACTGCTCTCCTACCGCCGGGAATTTTTAAAACCCTATTTAAATGCTTGTGCATGCTGTGAGTGGTACACATGGCTGAGGTTATGATCTGTTAAAATATGTACTAGTTTGAAATGTTTTAGTGTACTCATATTAATAAAATTGCCTTCTATAGAAAAAATGAACTAAAATTATAGTGCAGATTGATAAAAATTCATTTGATATTAGTATTTCATCTGATTTAAATAGAATTAGAACAAGTAAGGTTATGCCTTTAACATTCTTCAAGAATTTTTTGGCAGGCAAATCATAGCTCTTTCAGAACTGGAAAACATGCTGTAAGCAGAATCTAATTGGTGAGGAAACAGTGATTTCAAAACAAAATTTTAAAATGGAAAAGATACCACACACCATCATAGTTTCATCTCAAACTGACAACATTTAGAATTTATCTTCTAAAGAAGATACTGTTCTACGCACACTCAAAAAACGAGTTGGGCCGCGCGCGGTGACTCACACCTGTAATCCCAGCCCCTTGGGAGGCTGAGGCAGGCAGATCACGAGGTCAGGAGATCGAGACCAGCCTGGCCAATGTAGTGAAACCCTGTCCCTACTAAAAATACAAAAATTAGCCGGACGTTGTGGCATGCGCCTCTAATCCCAGCTACTGGGGAGGCTGAGGCAGGAGAATCACTTGAACCCGGGAGACGGAGGTTGCAGTGAGCTGAGATTGTGCCCCTGCACTCCCACCTGGGTGATAGAGCAAGACCCCATCTCAAAAAAAAAAAAAAAAAAAGAGTTGGGAAGACATGAAATTGCTGGTTCTAGGTGACAGTGTGACCCTGGACAAATGGCAGCGGCTGACTGTGCGCCAACCCCGTGATCCTCCTACTGCACGTGCAGGGGGTGAGCAAAGACTTCAAGGTGTTCTTGATCTTGATCTGGATATTTTAACGGAATTACTTTGTAGATCCTTAGCTTCCACCAACTGTTTTCATTCTTAAAGATGATCTGCCTGATAACTGACTTAAATTCGAAATAACTTTTCTTGCACTTGATATAGAAGAAGGTCAGCTCTGTGCTCATCTGGGCTGCAAAACACCAGGGTACCAAACATGGCGGGGCCTCCCTTGATTACTAACAAAGGTGTCCTTATGCTGTATTTCCTTCTTCTTCTTCTTCTTCTTCTTCTTTTTTTTTTTTTTTTTTTTTGAGGCGGAGTCTCACTCTGTCGCCCAACCTCCACCTCCCACAACCTCCACCTCCCAGGTTCAAGCGATTCTCCTGCCTCAGCCTCCTGAGTAGATGGGATTACAGGCACATGCCACCACTCCCAGCTAATTTTTGTATAGTAGAGATGGGGTTTCACCATGTTGATCAGGCTGGTCTTGAACTCCTGACCTCAGGTGATCTGCCCACCGTGGCCTCCCAAAGTGCTGGGGTTACAGGCGTGAGCCACTGCACCTGGCCGATTCTTTCTTACTTCTAATGGCTAAAGGATCAGAGTTAAGCATACACATATATACGTATTTACTGAAGAAATTTTATTATTTTTGTCATACTCCTGTTTCATAAGTAACTTGTAAATTTAGCTATGCATTATATTATTCCATATTAAAGAGAAATATTGACTTATTAGCTTGTTTCTATATTTGTTAACTTATTAAATAATAGATAAACATTATTAGGTCTCATTTTAATTGTGACCTGACCATTTATAATCTGCCTTATAAGATAGATGTGTTTTGTCATTTATTTCACTTACAATTTTCCTGTCTGGGCACAGTGGCTCACACCTGTAATCCCAGCACTTTGGGAGGCGGAGGAGGGCAGATCACTTGAGGTCAGGAGTTCAAGACCAGCCTCCAACATGGTGAAACCCCGTCTCTACTAAAAATACAAAAAATTAATTGGACGTGGTGGTGTGCACCTGTAATCCCAGTTACTGGAGTGGCTGAAGCAGGAAAATAGCTTGAACCCAGGCGGCAGAGGTTGCAGTGAGCTGAGATCATGCCACTGCACTCCAGCCTGGCGACAGAGCAAGACTCCGTCTCAAAAATAATTTTTTTTCCTTAGTTAGCATTATTATATTTGTTTGAATTGAAGAATACATTTTAGGTCTGAAAGTTAGATTTGGCTGCCTGTTTTGAATAGATTATTTGATGAAAATATATTTAAAGCATATATAGAAATTAAAAAATTTTTTCTAATAAATTAAATGCCGAAGATGTAATGAAATGAACAGTCTTTCAGTTTTCCTGATGCTAAGTATGTTGAACTAAAAAGGATACCTCTAAGTGAAAGAGTAGCAAGAATAATTGAAAGTTTCTTAATATGTCTTGATAAAGCCTCTTTGTTACATTATCTCAAAATTAAGAATTTGAATGACTAATGACTGCTTAACTAATCCTTACTGATTCTTTTGTAAAACAGATGGTTTCTAATTCTGTCCTTTTAGCAAAATTGAAAATATACCTAATTGAGGTTGAGTGCGTGGCTCATGCCTGGTAATCCCAGCACTTTGGGAGGCCAAGGTGAAGAGTGAGAGGGAGAGGGAGACAGAGAGAAAGAATACCTAATTGAATTGTTAGGTGATAATGACCTATCTAAAAATTATATTTTAGTATCTGTGTTACTGGGCTAGGGGAAGGAACATATACTTTAAAAGAAATTCGAGAAGTAAGTTATAACAAGACTCCTTCTGTTCCCATCTACTTATTTATATGAGTCAAATTTCTTAGTGCTTTATGTCAACAAAGAAATTTAAAATAAGATGGTAGCGAAAATTCTCATTATAGTAAGGAGTGTTGGTTACCGTGGATATCTGAACTCATTTAGAAACAAAGTAATTCATCTTCTTAGAAAATGCATTTCTGATAAAATTTCACTTTTTATGTTTAAAATTTATCAAAATTTGTAATATTTATTTGGTATATCCCTGTGAAAAGTAAAGCTGAATAAATATTGGAGATTATAAAAATGACAGAAGAGTAATTGTATCTATGCTGCAATTATGATTGTGTCGATACCAAGTGTACATGTGGACACGGACTTAGAACAGTTGTGTTAGGATGGCCAATTATGGGTGATTTTTTAAAAATAATTATAGAAACTAGTTTGTTTTTTAATGTATAGCAAAAAGAGGAGCAGAAAACAGAACTGTAAACAGAGAGAGTGAAGGCAGGATCAGTGTAAGGACAAGTTAATTTAAGAGCATTTCCTCAAGGATGTAAGAATGGAGCCAAAAGTCGTGAACAGACCATGAATTAGGGTGTGTGGAGAATGAGAGAGAGTAATTCTAGCAAAGACGCATGAGGCAGGCAAAGGGTTGTCCTTGCATGAATGATAAAAGCAGGTGACAGGCAAGGGGCATGTCTTACCTCTACTTGTACCTCAGCTCCTAACACAGGGCCTGGCACAGATTACACTGTCCATAAATATTCATTGAACTGAACTAAATGGCTTAATTTGAGCTAAAGCTCTGTGTTGGTGAGAAATTTCAGGGAAACCACTTGGTGGACTAAGGAAATTTTGTTTTGCTGTAGTGGAAAGTACAATACAGTCAGTATTTTCTTGGGTTTAGAGATACGACAGCTTGTAAATAGCCGAAGGTCACTAGCGAAGCACCATCTCTTCTTTGTTAGTGCACCCACTAGAGCACAGTGTCCCAGAATTCCTTCCATCAAAATGCATCAGACACATTCCATATCCTAGCGTCAGGCTGGTTACTACGTGACATCAAAGAAAATTATGTCCGTCTTCGCCTGATTTTTCCTCTCATACTTTGGGGTTTGTAGATTGAACCTTTCAAGGCAATTTTCTCACCTATTCTTTCTCTTACCCCTTGGATTATTTTTCCTGACCAAACCTTGTGAGGCAGCGCTGGGACTGCCCTACTGTGGTGGCATTTGATCCCCAAGTCTCTAATGAGAAAAGTGCCCGCTTTCTCTAAGGTTCTTGCCTTTCCTTGCTTGCTTACTTTTTCTTTCTCTTTCTCTTTCTTTCTCTCATTCATTTTCTTTCCTTCTTTCCTCTTATGTTTCTCTTTTTTCGCTTTTTTCTTTCTTTGCCCTTTTGCTATAACTTTAATTTTCTGCATTTCATTTGTCACCAAAAAAGCTCTAAGCAGCTGAAATTAAAGAAATTTAATTCACTGGCTGGGCGCGGTGGCTCACACCTGTAATCCCAGCACTTTGAGAGACCGAGGCGGGCGGCTCACAAGGTCAGGAGATTGAGACCATCCTGGCTAACACGATGAAACCCCGTCTCTACTAAAAATACAAAAAAAATCAGCGAGTGTGGTGGCAGGCACCTGTAGTCCCAGCTGCTCGGGAGGCTAAGGCAGGAAAATCGCTTGAACCCAGAGGCGAAGGTTGCAGTGAGCCAAGATTGTGCCGCTGCACTCCAGCCTGGGCGACAGAGCGAGACTCCGTCTCAAAAAAAGAAAAGAAAGAAAAAAAGAAATTTAATTCACTATGGGTTTTATAGAAATTTTAGAGTAACTTCAAAGAAAATTAATGTGTAAGGAATGGTTCCTCCTCTTCTTAGTAATGCTAGTATTCTTTTTAATCTTTGCCAGAATCCTAGGTTATTTCCAAAAACTCTTTCTCAATGATTAGAACTGAGCTTTCAGGTGGCCTGGAATCCAAGCACCTTGGCCTGGTTTTCTCAAAGGCAGAAGTGTAATTTACTCAAGGAGCAACCTGCTTAGGCCATTAAGGCTATGTCAGAGAAAACCTTTGTTCCTTGCAACCTTCCTGCCCTGCAATCTAATTTCATTTCTGCTACCCAGGATGAAAGAAATTTAAAAATGCCTCAAACTCTTCTTTAAAAAAAATAAATAAATAAGGCCAGGCACGGTGGCTCATGCCTGTAATCCCAGCACTTTGGGAGGCAGAGGTGGGCAGATTGCCTGAGCTCAGGAGTTCTAGACCAGCCTTGGCAATAGGGTGAAACCCCGTCTCTACTAAAAATACAAAAAATTAGCTGGGCATGGCTGTGGTGTGCCTGTAGTCCCAGCTACTCAGGAGGCTGAGGCAGGAGAATTGCTTGAACCCAGGAGGCGGAGGTTGCTGTGAGCCAGGATTGTGCCACTGCACTCCAGCCTGGGTGACAGAGACTCCATCTCCAAAATAATAATAATTTCATTTGAAATATTTTCATCTCATTCTAAAGATTTCTGCTCCCCACCCCCACCCTCCACTCTCCAATCATTTTGAACTAGTAAATTCGGTTACAGAGTGTGAAAGAACACTGTTCTTTATATAAATAGCAACATTTTGAACATGGGTCAGGAAGGTGTTAGACTTTTACTTGATTTATTATGTGTTTATCAAACTATCCCAGACAACTAGGATAAGCACAGGGGAGGAAAAACACAACCTGATCCCTTAGTGGGATTTGGAGAGATGAAAATTGAGGACCCTTTATGGGTATAGTGTGCAGTCTGGCCTGGCTGGAGTTGCACATCTTGGGGCAGAGAAGCTTGGCTCTGCCGTGGTGGGAGGCTTGCTCGCCTCCCTGGGATGCCTGCGCTCGTGCTGCCGCTCTGCGCTCCCTGTGGCTCATTCTCATTTTTCTATGGTCATTTATTATTCTCCCCCTCCCCTGTTTCATCATTTTAGTCCTTTATTTTACTTTTTTGAGAGTTTTTATGAACAGGTGTCACACACATTCTGACCCAAATGGATGACGGACCCTGTTAGACTCCGTCATCCAGATTCTGCTGTGTGGCTTCCAGCTCTCCAGCTCTGTGCAGTGGGAACACATTACCCACCAAGACTCTTCCCCTGAAGCTTACCTGGGGCTCTTGGCAAAGTGAGCTCAGAATCTCGAACTACCCACCTACTCAAGCTTTGGTGTCTTCCTCATTGCTTAAAGACTACTTTCAAATTTATCTTTCAGATTCTGCCCTGACCTCCACCCACCCCACACTCAGGCTGCCAATTCTCTTCCTAAAATACATACTAGTTATCCTCTTACATGCTTAAAATGTTCACTATCTTCTTATCCTAGAGAAAAAAAGATCCGAACTCCTTGGCCTAATATATAAAGACCCTACATGACACAACTTCATTTCTCCTCATCCCCCACCACTCTCCGCCTCACTTCATCCCAGAGTTAGCTAACCATTGGAGTCATTTGAATGTCTCACCATTCCCTAAACACACTTGATTATCAAGAGTCAGAGCTCTGTACTTGGTTTGCTTGACTTCCCCAAATACCTCCCTGAGGCCCTAGATCACATCTTCCTTCTGCAAACCCTTTCCTCCCCCAAGATACCCTGACTACAGCTTTGTTGCTGCTGTTGCGCTACATTGGCTGGATGTCGTCTTCTCCATCTCAGTTTGAGAGTGGCTGGCCCCAGCCTCCTGTCTGGCACAAATGTCAGCTAAATGAAAAAGGGCGTGCAGGAATGCACTGAGACAGACCTGATCGATGGCAGTCATACACATCTTCACGCCTTCACAGAGAGACATCACTTATTTAGCGAGCAAGAGCCAAGATCAAAGCTTGGAATCAAAAATACCTGTTTCTGAGTGGAGAAACTCTGTGAATTAGTCTTTGAATGACACTTGAAGGCATTCCTGGACTCTGCTTCAGAACTCTTGATACTGATGCTGGAGACTTATAAAATGTGGTCTTCTCCTTTTTAGGCTTCAGCTCTGGCGGCATGGACTATGGCATGGTTGGTGGGAAGGAGGCTGGAACCGAGTCTCGCTTTAAACAGTGGACCTCCATGATGGAGGGGCTGCCCTCTGTAGCCACACAGGAAGCCAATATGCACAAAAATGGTAAGAGAAGCACTGAAAGCTAGAGCCCCCAACCCACAGCAGGTCTTGATGAAACATCTTATAAGACTATTTTGAAGTACAGAACTTGGTATTCATTTTCCTTGTGAATCCTATGATTGCCTGTGGAGGAAGGTCAGAGTCATGTGTATGTTGAATTACAAGAAATATAAAGTACTAGTTCTAATTAAAGGGAGCAGAATTTTTCAGCCACCATGATTGAGGGTGGTAGCAGTGAACTTGGGCACCCACCAAGGTGAAACCCTAATAAGTTGGCTGAGGGAACAGAGTCAGCTTGTTGAGTTTGTTTTGCGGAGCAAGGGATCATAACAATACCTATCTTGTTGGTTGTTTGAACCATAATAAATTTATCGGCTTTAAAAAATTTTCCTGCCTTTTAATCTCCAAAAGAGGACTAATAGATCATAATACATGAGATTTGAACTTTTCACAAAGCTTTCTTATTCTATGTGAATTAGAGTGTCTGCAAGACAGCATTTAAGGGCATTGCAGGCTTTGGTCGTGATGTTGGTCGGCTTTTCCTCTCAGTTTCTCTCTATAAGGGCTTCTCCATTTCCTGTAAAACAGATAAAAGGTCTCAGAACCTTCCTTCAGCCTTTGTTTCAGTGTTTGTTTCATTTGACAGTAATTCACTTGGACTTAACTGTATCCATGAGAACCAAGTATAAATAGGTGTCCGGCTGTTCCTGCTGCAGCGCCCTGGCAGGCCCCAGCCCCAGCCAGGTCATTCAGTCTGAAGCCTTTCAGGTTTCCTTTATAAACCACTCTTTAATAAGCCCATCCAGGAGGCTGGTGAAATGCCCACGTGGAGCTCTCTGCCTGCCATCCCTAAGCATTATCATTTGGTTTCATGGCATGAAGTCAAAAATGATTTATTGAAATTGTAAAATCTGTTTGTGGACTGAATAATCTAAGCCCACTGATATCTACAGCTTTGGGCACTTTCAATGCTTCCTTAGGCTGATGATTCACCAGGTCCCCTTGTCCCCAAAGACATGATAGGTGCATGATAATAAATCTGAAATGGCATGTGAGAGGATATCTCAAAGGCAAAATCTCTACTTGCCTTTTTAGAGCTTATAGATCATGTTTTCCCATTTCCTTAGCAATCCCCAAAGTAATTGAGCTTGTCATTTTCCACTGCTTCACCATAATGTGCCTCTGAGCCAGATTTGTCAGTGGCTCCAGAAAAGTAAATGCCCTCTTAGCCTGAGTATGGAGGTAGTTTTGATAATATTCCCATTAGGCTGCATCACCCTGGAAATAATTTTATCCCTTCACAAGCAGCATCCTAAGAATAGATCAAGTGACCCAATATAGTATGTAAAATTCATTTGAGAAATAAGTAGACTGGTATCTCACTGATACCTAAAATTTTATTCAAAGTGCATGTTCTGTTAGTTCAAGGTAATTTTAAGCTTTTAATTATTTTCCTGCCCCATAGCATATAAAATGCATGATGGGGGCAGCGACAAAACCACTGAAGTGCTCTCAGGAAACCAGTTACAAAGGATTTGCTGTTCTTCATGTGTGAGGCCACGGATCCCAGAGCTGCAGAGTTCATTGCTGGTCTTGTGCTGGCAAAGACCCTAGGCGGGAATTCCATCTCATTGCGTTGGAATTTAAAGCAATTGCAGATGCTTTTCCCTCCAATGGACTCTCTGTTTACACTGCTGCTTCCAGCTAATCTAAGCCTGATCAGCCAGCCCTTAAGAACCTGGGTGGATAGCATCAGTAGAAATTTAGTTAAAACCTTCTTATGTGCTACAAATGGTTAGAATTTTCCCCATTTCTCACTCTTGAGTCGTTAGCATAGAAACTAGGGATAATGGTCAGATTCCTAGTATGTGAACGTTTCATTAATTTCATAAGACCATGGAATTTTAAAACTGAAAGGAACATTCAAGCATGAGAACAATCCTGTGTGCCTAAGTGAGGAACTGAGAGGCTCAGAGAGGCGAAATGACTTGTTGTTGGTCATGCTGCTTAGTAATTCTGTGCTGAGTCTCGAATGCAACCTCTTATTCCAGTGCTGTTTGTATATACTCCATCAGCTTCAGAAGACTGTTTGCATTCCAGCGAATAAAAAATAGACAAGTTCTATTCATAGGAGTTATTCTGGATGATTTAATTTCCTCTCTTTTCTCAGGCGCTATAGTGGCCCCTGGTAAAACCCGGGGAGGGTCACCGTACAACCAGTTTGATATCATCCCTGGTGACACACTGGGTGGCCATACGGGTCCTGCTGGTGATAGCTGGTTACCTGCCAAATCTCCACCAACAAATAAAATCGGAAGTAAATCCAGCAATGCCAGTTGGCCTCCAGGTATTGTCTAGGAAATGCTTTTCCCAGGATAGCATTTGTTTTGTAATTGTCAGTTTCAGGTTCAGAATACATTGCTTTTGTGATTCATGTTACTAAGGTACTTGCTTTTATTTTTTTCATTCAATAATTGTCTGTTAGAAGCAAGGCATGTGCTGTGGGAAGATAGAAAATTTTCATTAGATGGGGAATCTGGGGATAAGTGACATTGTAGGTGGGACTTTGCATTCGTCCCATGCATAGGATGCCTTGTAACATGGGTTCTTTTGAAGTGTCTGTTGAATTGATTTGTTAGTTCTTAGGCAAGTGTGTATTACCAGTTAGCTTCTAGGTATGCAGTAGCGATTGCAATGAGATTATTTGTTAATTCTTTTCTTTCTGTCCCTCCCTTTTGTTGGATATAGTAATCTATTCTCATGATAGAAAAATGAGAACATTTAATAAAGCAAAAATTAAAATCAGTAATTCCATAAATATATATCCTCCTAGACCTCTTTCTGTGCATGCGTATTTGTGACATGAATATGTATAGTTTCGTTTTATTAAGGTAGAATTTTTTTTTTTTTTTGAAAGGGAGTTTTGCTCTTATTACCCAGGCTGGAGTGCAGTGGTGCGATCTTGGTTCACTGCAAGCTCTGCCTCCCAGGTTCAAGCGATTCTCCTGCCTCAGCCTCCCAAGTACCTGGGATTACAGGCGCCTGCTACCACGCCTGGCTAATTTTTTGTATGTTTAGTAGAGACAGGGTTTCGCCATGTTGGACAGGCTGTTCTCAAACTCCTGACCTCAGGTGATCTGCCCGCCTCGGCCTCCCAAAGTGCCGGGATTACAGGCGTGAGCCACCACGCCCGGCCAAAGTAGAACTGTATAATGCAGATCGTTCATATATAATACACATTGCTCTTTCTCATCACGATTTGGAAAATAAAAGTTTATTGTGTCACATAGCCTTAAAATTTTAAAATGATTTAAATTGACCAATAAAAAAATTCCGAGCCCTTATGTATATTCTAGGCTTTCTTTTGCTAAGCTAAATTATCCCTGCTGGTTATCCCTGGACATTCTGTGTAGCAGTATCATTTGTATTACATTTTTTGCATTTTGGCCAACATCTCGTAAGGAAAATGAGAAAGAGCACTGATCTCTAGCCCATATTTTCACCGGTTCTTGGCCTAGATGCTGGGATGATTCTTGTGAACACCAGAGTCCTTACTCCTGCTTTCCCTGCCTTCAGCCCTGAAGTCTCCTGGGAGCAGGAGGATCAGGTTACTGGGGACAGGCTCTGATGAGCTGTGGCTTCCAGTTGACTGCCACAGACAGTGTGATAAAACAAAGGTGCTGTTGGCAAGAGTATGTTCATGGTGATTTTTTTTTCCTTAATTTTGTGATGAAAATCTAAGAGACAATAAATTCAGTATTTATACTTTTCACAGACCCATTTCTTATGTCAAAAAAAGTACTATATCATTTTTTTTTAACGACCTTCCTTCTCTAATATTTGTTTTCCTTGTCTCAGAATTCCAACCAGGAGTGCCATGGAAAGGTATCCAAAACATTGACCCTGAATCTGACCCCTATGTCACCCCAGGAAGTGTGCTGGGGGGTACAGCCACATCTCCCATTGTAGATACTGACCACCAACTGCTGCGGGATAACACCACAGGTACTTGAGCAAAGCATCTCTTATATGTTCAACACCCAGCATTTTCATAGTTGTCAGTTTGTGACTTCATTTGTACTTGCTGGTACCTAAAAGTTTAACCAAAAAATGTAAAAAGATTGCTTTTCACTTTTATTTGTTAGACATATTTTGTCCTCCATTCTATTGAAGTTTAAACAAAATACTCTCAAGGTTTCACTGGTTATACTGACATTTATCTTCAGTATTTTCTTCTTGTTCTTTGTTACCCAAGGGTCTAATTCTTCCCTCAACACCTCGCTGCCTTCACCTGGTGCCTGGCCCTACAGTGCCTCTGACAACTCCTTTACCAACGTTCATAGCACTTCAGGTATGAGTGTGAATTTTTTGTTTCCCTTTGGTTAGCACTTTTTCATCAGGTTCCCTTTTATAAAGGAAACTGGCATGTATTTCATAAGATATACTCTTACAGAAGTTCAGTAGCATAGGTCAGTATAGATGGAAGCACATCTTTTCTGTTTGCTATGTCTTTGAGGAACTTCTAGTCTCAGGAAGGATGAGCCAGATACAGCTTTGGGATGAGGCCGGTAGTGACATAACTGCAGGGAGCTGGCATATCCAGAGGGCTGGAGTCACGTCCTAATGACACACATGCTTCTCTTTTAACAAGGCTGCCAAGAAGTCAAGGGTCATGAGAAGAACCAGTGAAGGCCAGGTTATTATTCCTAAGATAGCCAATAATAGCTAGCTTTTCTCTAAAAATCCTCCCACTTATAGACAAAGGCTAAGGGCAGATGGCCAAAGGAAAAAAAAAAAAGGACCTTGATTCATTTTACCATCATTTGGTAAGTTCCTCATGGTTTTTTAAAAGATATTAGGAAATGGAAAAGTTGGTGGATATAATAAAGGCTTTGAAGTCACTCACTGAGCATAGTGCCTTACTGATTGGTAGACATATTAGTAATTGGCACCTTTAGTTTGCACAAGTCGGACCTTAAGCTGTTAAAGTCATTATGACTTACGTGCTTTGCCCAGGCAAAAGCAAATAAAGTAGACCTTTGTCCAACTACGAAGACGCTGCAGGTTAGTGGGCTAAACATTGTCTTGTTCTCCTTCCCACCTCTCTGTCATATCAGCAGTGCAACAATAACCTACCACTCACTGAATGATCCCACAGGCCAGGCATCATGCTAAACCTTCCACGTTAATTTTTATTTTACCTTCACCAAAGGCTATGAGTAAGTCCTGTTGTTACCCCTATTTTGTGGATAAAGAAACTAAGTGAGGTTCTGAGAGCAGATATAACTTGCCTCAGTTCTGAGCAAGTATGTAAAGGAGACATCTCAATATTCCGGGTTTTGAACCACCACCCTACATTACACTTTTGTAGGATTTCTTTTACATGTAAAAACTTAACTCTGGTTACCCAACTCTTTTACACCTATAAATGCCCATATCTCAGATTGAACTATGTGTCTTTTTCCAACAGTTGAAAATTCATCTGAGAGATGGCCCAAGAATCACCTCAGACTTGTCTAAAACTGAACCTATACTTCCCCACCCCCAAAAGTGTCTTTCCTTCTCAACTCAGTTATGTTTCTTAATAATGATCTCATGCATCATTTAGTTACAAAACCTCAGTATTTTCTTCCTCTTTCCTCTCTCTCTCAATCCCTGGATCCAGGCAGTTATGATTTCTCTTTAGTGATTTATTCTGCAATCATATTTCAAATATCCATTCCTTCTGTTCCATTCTATTTACTATCACAGTAGTTTAAACACTCCATGCTGAATCAGTTGCAAAAACTCCTGATATGTAACCTCCTTTACCTCTCTGCCCCTGTGAACTGTTCAACCAAAATTGGGGGGGAACATATTCCATACACAGAGAGTTTATGTTGAACCTTGGTTTACACATTCCTGTTTCTTTGTGCCCATCCATTTATGTAAATCCTTCAAGAGCTGTCTTTATAAAGCCTTTGCTGCAAGCCCAGCGTTCTTGATCCCCTCTGCATATTGAGCTTACGTGATGATGTTGGGGTCACCACTTCTGTTGCTCATCTGTTCTGTGTTCCCATCTGAGCTTGAGGTTCTCAGGGATAATTGTTTCTATTCCTCACAGCACTGATTTCGTGCCGTATGCATAGTAAGCCCTTAGTGAATATTTCTTGATTGTTTTTAAAGAATCTATGTGAACATCAATATCTAATAGACTGGATCAAGGCACAAGAAAAGTGTAATTTACTAATTACTTTCTATTCAGTCAATGATTATTTATAGAATACTTTATTCTGCTAATGTTCACATTCTCACTGTTACCCAGAAGCTGGTATCTTTAGGAAGACTTTCTCCTTGAATGTGTCCTCCTTTTCAAGTCATTTTTAGCTAAGAAAGCAGTAGAGAATTGGTTATCTTATTAAATCTTTAATTCATATGATAATTCTATCAATTCAGAGTAGTAGTCACTGAAAATTTTATGTTCGTTATGCTCTAAGAACAGTGTTATTTTGTATTGCTGTGCTTAAAATGTGTACTATTACTTTTTAGAATATAAATGTGCATGTATTTATGTGTATGTAGATAAAACTCATGTGTATTTGTCAACAAAAGTGAACCGTCTAACCTTATTCCTTCCTTAATTTTCTCTTCTTACAGCAAAGTTCCCTGATTACAAATCAACATGGTCCCCAGATCCCATAGGACACAACCCCACTCATCTCTCCAACAAGATGTGGAAAAACCATATTTCCTCCAGGAACACTACACCGCTGCCCCGCCCACCTCCTGGTCTGACCAACCCCAAACCATCATCTCCCTGGAGCAGCACAGCACCCCGATCAGTCAGGGGGTGGGGGACACAGGACTCACGGCTCGCCTCGGGTGAGGAGGATCTGCCTAAAGGAACACCATTGTTCATCCACAAGGGGCTTATGTTAACACAGATGGTGAAGACACAAAGAGGTCTTCCCAAGAGAGGAAGTCATGGTTGTCTGCTTTTTCTTCTGGTAGAGGAAAAGGTACCTCTTGAGTGAGTGAAAGTCGCAGTCAGTATAAGGCAAAGGGACAGATGGAGTAAAATGAGTAAAAATGGCAGAGTGAGAACACTGGGAGGAAAATACTGTCTTGCAAATCAGGCATAAAAGTGCATAGGAGTCAGGGACCAGTAGAAGAGAAAAAGAAGGTCAGAGTCCAGTGGAAAAGAGAATTTATAAAAGCAGAGAAGAAATGTGAGCTACATGAAAATCTTTCTCCCTCATGGCTTTTCTTGTTTTTGTTTTATTTCTCTTCCTAACCATTTTTCTGGTTGCTCATAGCCTCTACCTGGAGTGATGGTGGCTCAGTTCGTCCTAGTTACTGGCTGGTTCTTCACAATCTCACCCCACAGGTAATTATGCTTTCTCGCAGTTTTCTAGATAGGACTTGATTGTATTAAGAGAGAGGGAAAGGTTGGGCATGGTGGCTCATGCCTGTAATCCAAGCACTTTGGGAGGCCGAGGCGGGTGCATCACGAGGTCAGGAGATCAAGACCATCCTGGCTAACATGGTGAAACCCCGTCTCTACTAAAAATACAAAAAATTAGCTGAGCATGGTGGCGGGCGCCTGTAGTCCCAGCTACTCGGGAGGCTGAGGCAGGATAACGGCGTGAACCCGGGAGGCGGAGCTTGCAGTGAGCCAAGATTGCGCTAGTGCACTCCAGCCTGGGCGACAGAGTGAGACTCCATCTCAAAAAAAAAAACAAAAAAAAAAGAGGTAAAGATGGGGGTTGGTTTCTCACACCTGTAATCCCAGCACCTTGGGAGGCCAAGGCGAGAGGATTGCTTGAAGCCAGGAGTCTGAAATCAGTCCAAGCAATATGAGACCCTGTTTCTACAAAAAATTAAAAATTAGCCAGGCATGGTGGCACACAGCTGCTCAGGAGGCTGAGGTGGGAGGATCACTTGAGCCCAGAATTGCATTGCATTGCACTCCAGGTTGGGCAATAGTGCAAGACCCTTTCTCAAAAAGGAGAGAGAGGGAAATAGATGTGGGAGGCTGGCAGATATGAAAGTTCATCTCCTGATCACTGCAAAGAGGTCTTGACTACAGGAGTGGGTGTCCCCTCCCCACCCAAGGTTCACAGTCTACTTCTGGAGAAGGGTTGATGCTGGCCACTAGGCTTCATGCCTGCCTTCAAGATGATGATAACACATACAGTTTACAAAAGTGAAAGTTAGTTTTATAAGCTAGTTCATAAAACTAGGTAAAACCCACTAGAGAGTGGGTTTCTGCAGATCTTACGGGGCAGAGAAAGAGAAAAAAACAAACAGAGTAGGGTGGTATTTTCTGGTGATTTCTGTGTAGTAGACACGATTTGCTATACAAATGTGCATGTTAGTATCTGGAACCTAGTGGAAAAGGGAGTATTTTAAGGACACCCAAAAGCTACCTGTTTCTGTGTTAATCCTCCAAGAAGACCTGAACCTATACTTCCTATCCCTGAAAGTGTCTTCCCTTCTCAACTAAGTTCTTTGTTTCTTAATATGGATCTCATGCATCATTTAGTTACAAAACCTCAGTATTTTCTCCCTCTTAAAACATATTAACCATTTTTGTGCTCTGTAAATAATTAACCATCCATCTCTCCAGTGGAAGAGATCATTTGACTTCATAGTTTATAAATGCTACATGGGGCCAGTCGCAGTGGCTCACGCCTGTAATCCCAGCACTTTGGGAGGCCAAGGTGGATGGATCACGAGGTCAAGAGGTCGAGACCATCCTGGCCAACATGGTGAAACCCCGTCTTTACTGAAAATACACAAATTAGCTGGGCGTAGTGGCACACGCCTGTAGTCCCAGCTACTCGGGAGGCTGAGGCAGGAGAATCACTTGAACCTAGGAGGCAGAGGTTGCAGTGAGCTGAGATTGCACCACTGCACTCCAGCCTGGCGACAGAGCGAGACTCCATCTGAAAAAATAAAAAAAAGCTACATGGGTGTGTTTAACTCTCCGTCTATTATCCTCTTCACGTGTAGATGGCATTACTATAATTTGCTCTCATCAGACCATATCCGCTAGGTGGTTTTCTATTGGAGGAGCTTCATTTGCACCAAGCCACTCTGCCTTTCACCTTGGTTGCTAGATAACTGAGGTATTTGCAGAAGCATTATGTTGAGCACCTGAACGAGGTTAAATGGGCTCATCAAAACTGAGTCCATCACAACCTTTACAACACCTTGTTAAAAGGAGTCTGTTATGCCTCCTGTTTTTGACATACAAAATGCATTCTCTGGCATTTAATTCATATATGGATTCATGCACACTTTATTAAGCCAACATTTTCCAGAGTGTTGTCATGAGATATGATTAGGTCTCTGGCCTAATATGTTTGACATGTATACTTGGTTAAACAAAACTAAGCAGATTTTTTCACTTTGAGACTTCTTAGGCCTTTTAATACGCTAACACATATTATGATTCTCTGTGGGGAAATACATCTCCTAAATACATTTGCCCATTTGTAGGGAGTAAATCACAGGACTCGTATTTCAAGATGCACATTGAGGTAAACAATTTCCTAAATACAGTTAACATGAGGGAGAGTGTGGGTCAGCTCTTAATCTCTGTATCTAATCAACTCAGCTCAAAGTTCCAAGTTACGGCCGGGCACGGTGGCTCACACCTGTAATCCCAGCACTTTGGGAGGCCGAGGCGGGCAGATCACAAGGTCAGGCAATCGAGACCATCCTGGCTAACATGGTGAAACCCCATCTTTACTAAAAATACAAAAAATTAGCCGGGTGTGGTGGTGAGCACCTGTAGTCCCAGCTACTTGGGAGGCTGTGGCGGGAGAATGGCATGAATCTGGGAGGCGGAGCTTGGAGTGAGCCGAGATTGCGCCACTGCACTCCAGCCTGGGAGACAGAGCGAGACTTCATCTCAGAGAAAAAAAAATTTTTTTTTTAAGTTCCAAGTTATTTCTTTAGCAAATAGTTGACTGAAATATGAAGAATCTTGTATGACCATCCTCAAAACTATGTATACCTCCTATTTTCTAAGAGTTGTCACACAATGTGATTATGTTATGATGAGATTGAGAGAAGCAGTAAGAGATGCACTGTTTTGAAAGAAGCCTGGGCAGGCCAATCGGCTGTTCACTTGTTCTATCTTATGAAAAATGCTGGCCAGATGTGGTGGCTCATGCCTGTAATCCCAACACTTTTGGGAGGCTGAGGCAGGTGGATCACCTGAGGTCAGGAGTTCCAGACCAGCCTGGCCAACATGGCGAAACCCCATCTCTACTAAAAAGACAAAAATTAGCCGGGTATGGTGGTGGGTGTCTGTAGTCCCACCTCAGTCGGGAAGCTGAGGCAGGAGAATCGCTTGAACCCGGGGGTGAAGGCTGCAGTGAGCTGAGATCGCACCACTGCACTCCAGCCTGGGTAACAGAGCGAGACGCTGTTTCAAAGAAAAAAATGTTAATTATACACATACATCCATATAAAATGAATATGGGGGTGGCCGTGTTTGGGTTAGAACTAATTTTAAAATGAAAGCTTCCTAAAAGCAGACTAATCTCTATCATAGCTTAAAAGGTTATAAGAGCAAGTCACCTGCTCTCCAGCCTGGGTGACAGAAGAGTGAGACCCCCCCCATCTCTGAATTTAAAAAAAAAAAAGCAAATCTTGATACAATTGTCACCCCCTTACCCATGATTTCTTACCCTTGGTCAAACCATAGTCAAAAAATATTAAGATGTTTTTAGAGAAAGACCACATTCACATAACTTACAGTATGTTGTTATAACTTTTCTTTTCTTTTTTTTTTTTTTTTTTTGAGACAGAGTCTTGTTCTGTCGCTCAGACTGGAGTGTGCAGTGGCGCGATCTCCGCTCACTGCAAGCTCCGCCTCCCGGGTTAATGCGGTTCTCATGTCTCAGCCTCCAAGTAGCTGGGACTACAGGCGCCAGCCACAATGCCTGGCTAATTTTTTTGTGTTTTTAGTAGAGATGGGTTTCACCATGTTAGCCAGGATGGTCTTGATCTCCTGACCTCGTGATCTGCCCACCTCAGTCTTCCAAAGTGCTGGGATTACAGGCGTGAGCCACCGCACCTGGCAACTTTTCTATTTTAGTCTCTTACTGTGCCTAATTTGTAAATTAAACTTTGTCTTAGGTATGTATGTATAGGAAAAACATAGTATACTTAGAGTTCGGTACTATTGGTGGTTTCAGGCCTCCACTGGGGGGCCTTGGAAGGTGTTCCCCTCAGATAAAAGGGGACTACTTTATCTGGATAATGTTTCTTTCATCACCTAAAATTTATCTAGAGAGCATCTATCCTAAAAAGTCTGTTGTGGCATATGCTGACATGCTTGTGTAATCTATTGTTACTTATAAAACAATGCTAAGAGCATTTCTGTGATCATTTTCTGCAAAGAACTACAGAGAAACTGCCTGTTTTCATCCTGCAGGGTGTCTACCACTGCCACCAGTAGTACAGCTTTTTAATCTATTCAATAGTAATCTGTTTATCTTCCAAAGAAATGAACTGAAATGGTGGACTGATCTTAAATACCTATTTAAGATCTTGATGGGACAGGCGCGGTGGCTCATGCCTGTAATCCCAGCACTTTGGGAGGCTGAGGCGAGTGGATCACAAGGTCAGGAGATCAAGACCATCCTGGCCAACATGGTGAAACCCTGTCTCTATTAAAAATACAAAAATTAGCCGGGAGTTGTGGTGTGCGCCTGTAATTCCACCTACTCAGGATGCTGAGGCAGGAGAATCGCTTGAACCTGGGAGGTGGAGGTTGCAGTGAGTCGAGATTGTGCCACTGCACTCCAGCCTGGGCAACAGAGCAAGGCTCTGTCTCAAAACTAAATAAGTAAAAAGATCTTGATGCAAAATAAGTTAATCAGAGTGAATAAGTTTGTTCATCCAACTCATAGGTTAGGAAAATTGTCCCTAATCGCTGAAGATCTTAAGTGGTGAAAGTCTAACTGGGGTGAGGGGTACAGCCTTTGGTCAAAATGCCTGATGTCAGCACAGGACATAGAGAAGTAGGCAGAAATAGTCTCACCTTGAGATGGGCAAAGTAGGGGTAAGACAGTGTTAGAATAGGCTATGAACCAGGTCAGCCATCAGCATTTTAAATAATCAGATGTTTAGTAGTGCTTTTCTTGTCTGTGTCTTTCTCTTTACAGAGGAATACATGAGCAGTGATGCTAAGAATGTTAACTTACATTCTTACATGGATACCATCTCATTTTTGTCCTTTTTTGACTCTACAAGTTAACACTCCCACCTGTTTATCTCTTAAAACAGACCATAGGCTGAATCATATGCTTTTGTTTTGAGCTGCATTTATGGAAACTATTTGCAAAATGGGCACACTAGGTCTCAGCCAGTGCTTTGAATATCTTAAAATGTACCTTTTCCACCCCACCTCCAGTCTTTATCTCATGAATGTCATTACTCCTTAGATTGATGGGTCAACCTTGAGAACGATCTGCATGCAGCATGGCCCACTGCTGACATTCCATCTGAATCTAACCCAGGGCACTGCCCTGATCCGATACAGCACCAAACAGGAGGCGGCCAAGGCCCAAACTGCACTGCACATGTGAGTATTCGGTCCTACACCCACGTAGACAAACATGCATGAAGATGCACCCGTGAGTATTCTGGCAGCTGCTGAATTAAAGATGCACCAGAACATATACGAAGAATGGCACCGTCACACGTGCATCTGCAAGTCTCGAGTGTGGAGAGTGTGGAGGTGCCGGGTCTTTTCCACCAAAGCTTGGATTGTCCTGTATATATCAGAGGCCAGTCGTCAGAATTCCAAACGTAAATAATTTGTGAAGTAGTGAGTAAATTCTAAGTAACATAAAGCTAGGGCCGGGCACAGTGGCCCATGCCTGTAATCCCAGCACTTTGGGAGGCCAAGGCGGGCAGATCACAAGGTCAGGAGATGGAGACCATCTTGGCCAACATGGTAAAACCCTGTCTCTACTAAAACACAAAAAATCAGCCAGGCGTGGGGGCGCATGCCTGTAGTCCCAGCTACTGGGAAGGTTGAGGCAGGGGAATCGCTTGAACCTGGGAAGCAGAGGTTGCAGTGAGCTGAGATCATGCCACTGCCCTCCAGCCTGGTGACAGAGCAAGATTCCATCTCAAAAAAGAAAAAAAACACACAGCTAATAGAATTGCCATTGTTTTTCATAATAGAATCTAGCTGCTTACTCCAGCCTCTTTGCAGATGATGAAATATTGTGGTCTTGGGGGGTAGCAGGGTCTTTGCTTAAATTAGGTGGCGCTAGATCAGACTTTGCCCATCCCCTTCCCTGCCACTGTCAAACTGGTGGACGGAGAAGACCTGACTGCCCTTGGCTGCAGATGCCATGACAGAAAGCCAGACACACTGCAAGCCAGGGATGAGGGGGCTCAGGCAGCGAGGAGCCCCTGAGAAAGAGCAGCACTTCCGGGGACTGAAGCCAGGTTGCTTCGATGCTTTGGGTATGGTCTCTTGCCTCATAACTCACATGGGGAAAGAAAGAGACCATATTTTTCTTTCCTTTTTATCTAAGGCTTTATTTATTTTGTTTTAGAGCAGTTTTAGGATCACAGCCAAATCGAGAGGAAGATACAAAGATTTCTGTCATATCTCCTGCTGCCACACATGAATAGCCTCCACTATTATCAACATCCTCCACCAGAGTGGTGCATTTGTCAAGATTGCTGAACCCCTCCTTATCACCAAAAGTCTGTAGTTTACATTAGAGTTCACTCGGCCTTGTACAGTATATGGTTTTGGACAAATGTATAATGACGGGTATCTACCATTACAGTATCAGAGTCCTCTGCCAGTTCAGTCATCCCTCTTAGCCCCCCACAGACACACACGTTTTTCTTGATAGCTAAGTTGTCTAGAATATATAAATTCCATACACCAAGAAATATCAGAATATAGTATTCTCTAGTAGTCCTTGGTTATCCTGAGTTTTGGTGATGCCTTGTTGGTTTACATCATTACTTCTTAATTACCTGGCGGTCTGGTTGAAATACAAGTTCTGGACCCAGAGGTCTTGGGTGGAGCTTGGACTTTGCATTCTAAAAAGCGTTCATGGATATGGCAGCTTCTAGTCAAAGGACTGCACATTGAATGTCAAGGACTGCAGTCGCTCCCTCCGTATGCTTTAGGATTTTCCTGAGATCCATAGCTCTCTTTCCCTCCCTTCTTCCAGGTGTGTGTTGGGAAACACTACCATCCTTGCTGAGTTTGCCACTGATGATGAAGTCAGCCGCTTTCTGGCACAAGCTCAGCCCCCTACACCTGCAGCAACCCCAAGTGCGCCAGCTGCGGGGTGGCAGTCGCTGGAGACCGGCCAGAACCAGTCAGATCCCGTGGGACCTGCTCTGAATCTTTTTGGTGGGTCCACTGGGCTCGGGCAGTGGAGCAGCAGCGCTGGTGGCAGCAGCGGGGCCGATCTTGCTGGCGCTTCATTGTGGGGGCCCCCAAACTATTCTTCTAGCTTATGGGGAGTCCCAACGGTGGAAGATCCCCATAGGATGGGCAGCCCTGCTCCTTTACTACCTGGTGACCTTCTGGGAGGAGGGTCGGATTCAATCTGAACTTAGAACTTTCAACTCTGACCTCGTGACCTTTTTTGGAACAGCAGCAGCACTAACTTGACCTTTTCGTTTTTTTTTTCAACTTGCAATAAATACATTTTTAAAAGGAAAAAAGAAAACGGAGAGAAAAAAAGGTGGGTCATTGACAGACTGTCTGAGCACATAGTTGCCTCCCTTATAACTTCAGTTTTTTCGTTTGGAATATGAATCCAAAAAGAGAACATATCACTCTTGAAATACTTGAATCATGAACGCCAACCTAGAAAGACAATGTGAAGCAAGTACACATACCATTTAAATTTAAACACAAAAAAATTAAAAAAATTAGTTTCTAGTTTTTCACTTTTTTCATGTTATATGGAAGTTGTTGCTAAGAAACATATATACTGAAAAAAAATAGCTTTTTAACTTTGTTTGCACTGGGTGTGTTTCCGTCCTTAGGTCTACCATGTTTGGGAGGGAGGGAAATTCAAAAGAATTGTTGGGGGAGGGGGGAGGGAAGACTTGACGGAGCCTCACTTTAAAAACAAAAACACAAAAAACCTAAAAAAAAAAAAAAGGAAAAAATTTGTGATTGGCTGGTTGATAAATACCAGTGTGTTCTGGCACATGTAACTGCCCAGGCATGCTCGTTCTGGTGTGTGTGTGCACGTGTGTTCATGTGCATTCGCGTGCATCCTTCTCTGTCTCTGTGTGTGTGCCTGTGTTCTTCCCTTCTCCCCTGCCCCACCCTGACTTCTCAGAAAGCTGCATCGCTGACAGTCTGCAGGCTGGCTGGCCGGCCCATCTGCTTTTTATTTTATTTTTTTAACTATGAGAACACACAGGCCCGGAGAGCCACTGCTACTAAAGCAACTCCATTGGGCTGCATTAAGATGAACAGAGTGCTTTTTAATGATGAAAGCAGGGAGCTCCTTTCCATTTGCAACTTAGCCTGAATGTGGGGTTTCTCTGGCTGTTCTTTTGACCTAGCAGTAGAGTGGAGCACTGCCAAGTCCAAAAAACTAGAGCAGGAGGTACCTCTTGGAGCAACGGTGTGTTTATTTCTGTTTTTTTTTTTTTTTAAGTGAATGGCCACCAGGCACATCTGAGTATCTGTTAAGTTTCATGCAGGCCTTTTCGTTAGTTTGAAATGGGAACGGAAGATAACTTTTGATGATGCGATGTCTCAAAAACAGAGAAACTTTGTTCCCTCTTTCCTTATGATCAGGTTTGAGAAATTCTTCAAAAAATTAGGTGAAGTTGAGTTACATATTTCTGTTGGTTGGTTCTCTTTTTCATTTTATGAAAACAGAAAAGAATAAGTGGTGAGCAGCCTCCTGAAAGCATCTGCAGCTACTCCCTCTGCTCCTTTCTCGCCGAGCGTTACCTGTGCCAGGCCGTGGCGCGTTACAGCACCAGGCCATCACTGACAGAAACGTTTACTTAACGAATGTTCTTAAACCAGTGTGTACTTCAAGCGTTTCCTTTTGTTTCTCTGTGTTGTGTATTTCCTGTGTATGTGGTTTTGCTTAGGCAGGTATAACTTAGCGAAGACTTTTAAGTATTGCACCTTTTTTTGATTTTTGACCTCTTCCCCCCACCTTGTAATTTTGCTTTTTTAATTTCGGTATTTAAATACTTTTTTTTTTTTTTAAGCATCAATGTAGTAGTACTCTGGGCCGAACAGGGGTCAACGTTTAATCTACAGTTATCACCAACATGTATGTACTTATGTCGGAATCAAAATGTATCAAACTGCTTATTGTGAAGAGAATTATAGCAGACCTGAAGGGGGCGAAAAACCAGATAGGGTGGGGGGATGGATGCCGGTGACGTGCTAGCACTTGTGTGGACATCCCAGTCTGCATTATGCTGTTTAACATAAAGTGCCGACATTTTGTACCAGCAAATACCTGCCCATTCCAACCCTTGGTGGGAGCAGACCTCTACTGTCCTCTGTAACTTGCTGCTATTGAGGACAAGGGAGTTTTTCTTTCTTTAGCGTCTTCAGTGAAGGATACAATACAACAATGCCTAATGTATTTGACTTTTTAGCTTGTGTCTGTGTGTAGGTGGGTGGGTGGGTGTGTATAGGAAAAGCCTAAAACAAGTTATTTGCATTTCAGTGGTTTTGTGAGACAAAGAATGGGAAATTCTGTAGCCCTTCTGGCTTACCCTGTTGATTATAAACCTAGCCTCAAAAGAGATTGACAGGCATGACTCAAGTGAGTGTTCACATATACAAGCCTGCATGAGCCCTCTGTGGGTAGGTGGTCACACTTGGCATCTGCAGCATTGACGTGGCCCCGCTGGGTGCCTTGAGCATGCCCTCTTCCTGCTCTGCAATTTGAATCACCACCGTGCCCCTTCCACCACTGTTCCCCATGCAAAAGCTCTGCTTCCAGCAGCCCCCACTGACCGCTCTCTGTGTGGAGCAAAGTGCTGTCGTGCGGTGACCACCAGGTGAAGAGCAGCTTGTATTCAGACATCTAGAGAAGGTTAAATCTTAGTGTCCCTGGGCCAGGAGCATATCCCAAGGCTCCTGCGAGCCAGTGGCGACCCTGTCCACTGCCGCTCTTGGTTCACTGCTGTGTCCTGCCCCACCCTCCTCTCCTCCTGCCTGTTGGTTCCTTGACCTGCACTATGGGTTAGTTGAGTTCCTTACGATACTACGGTGAAAGCCGGGTGCTAGAGCCCCTCTTGTTTACAAGACATAATGAGGGATTTGAAATATGTAAAAATAAACATGAGAAGCTAAAATGTTCTTCCATCATAAGCTTAAAGGGAAAAAAACTAAAAACTTTAAAAAAAAAAGACCAAAAAGTGCGTATATATATACATATAAATATATATTTTAGATGAAGACTAACTCTGGGAGCATTTAACAGTGTTTTTTGTTTCTGTTTTTAACATTTGTTTTCCTGCTTTAAAATTTGCAAGCATTCTCAGGAATTCTAGGGTAGGAAGCCAGTTTTTTGAAGATGGTTTATTTAACCATATCTTATCCTAGAGAGATGGCTGTTTCTTTCCTGTTAATAAACTTTTACAAGTTCCTGAAACTTCAGAAAGTTTAAACAATTTTTACTTAAAAAAATGTAAAAAGAAAAGTCTCCAAACATTATTGTCATACTGGGGATCACACATTTTAAAACACATAGAAATATTTTTTAAAAATTATCAATTTAGCAGCAACAGGTAAATTCATTATCTTAAAAATATGGGAGAAGGATTAAGCTTTGTAAGAGCTCGATCATGGATTCTTTTGAAATTGTGTGTAGTTTAATGGGAGAGTGTTTGGTGTATATAGATGAGAATGCCATCACTTTGTTCCTTTCCATTTGAGACTGAACTGAAATCTCCCCTAGTAATTTTTATTTTTTTAAAGGAACCCTTCTCCTTGTCCCCACAACCCCAGCAACAAAAGAAAGGAAGGAAGGAAGAAACAACAGCTTAAAAAAAAAAGTAATCTGTAAAATAGTACAGTTGGATTGCTGAGAATCTATGTAAAGAGTTAGGAAATATAGGTTAATAATTTTTGGAACAAATTTTAAATATAGGCATTACTAGAGGAAAATTATCTATGGACTGTCCTATTAATGAAGAATGTCTGTCTTACCTCCGTTTGTTTTGGGAGGAGGAGAAAATATAGAAGAATCTAATAAGGAACAAGTGATTTTACTTTTTTAGCTCCCAGCTACTGTTGTGCTCGTTTTAATTGCTGTTTTGAAGATCTGCTGCTTAATTATCCCCATCCCTTAGCCGGAGATGTGGAGTGTTTCCTTTCAGTTTTTGGTGATGTTGAATTCTTTTGTATTCCCTCCTGGGGCCAGGGGTCAGAATTCCCAAGCATGACCACAGCTTCTTTTAAACATTAAGCTTCCCAGTGGGAAGGAAACTCCAGCTCGACAGGTAAAGGGAGTGGGTGGGGTTGCTGCCTGCAATTTCTCTAAAACCGCTTTAGTGCCTTCGTACATACACCCAGACATCCTGAGCAAGGGGGACGCACATGTGTGTGTGTGTGGTCCAGTCACTCCACAGATGTAAGATACTCACCCATAAAGGAAATTGGAGTGGTTCTGGACAGGCCCCAAAGGCAGTGGGCTGAATTTAAAATAAATAAACAAACGTCAAGCAAGTTAATATGCTTATGTCTCAGTAATGTAGAATGCCAAGTTCCTTCCTGTGTCGTGTGCCCTCCATTACTGTGCATTGATTCCTCCAGGTGTGTAATTGTGACAACTGCAGTGATTTGGAAAGTCTCTTTGTCTTGGGCAAATAGAAGGGGTTCCTGTTGTTCTGCTCTTGTCCTTCGTCTCCTCCCCTTTTCCCCCAGACCTCCCCCTTCTTTTTGTCAACTTGCTGGGAGCTTTGCTTTATTGGTTGGCAGTGACCTAAGAACAGGATATGGTGAGGATGTCATGGAAGAGAAGAGCTCTTTCCGTGGTATTCTTTGGCAAGAGCCATGTCTACTAAGAGGTTAGATGACTTCAGTATACTTATAAAATTCAGTGAGAGTGCCTTCTTCTCTTCTACCACACTCTGGCATAGATACAGGCTTGCTGGTCACCTCTCATTACATAGATTTATTTTAAAAACATTTTGATTATGTTAATTTGAGCTTTCCCTTTTTTTTTTTTAACTACTTTTTAAAACACTTGATTACTAGTGGCTTAGAGGTGTGTACATCTCCTGAACATCACAAACTTGGTTTCTACCTACCACACGAGTAGCCAAAAGAAAAGAAGCACTAATAGAGAAAGGGGTGTCTCACACCAGACAGAGGACCTCTGCTGTCAATTAGATCCAGTATCATGACCTAACTTTAAGTGTGGAAAAGAGTTCAGATCTCTGAGACACTGTGAAGAAATGGATGGCTCATGTAACATCTCTGATCCCTCAGTCCCCAACCCTGGACGTGTTTCATTTACAACATTCATAGGAGTTAACTTAGCAGTGTTGCAAGTTAAGGTTCCAAACCAAATTATTTAATCAGTGTCCCCCCAATAAATCACTTATCCATTTATTGCTAGTTAGTTTTATTTATAGCAACTTGATTTCCTATGAGTATGGCTCCTGTTGTAAGAATTTTCCCACCTCTTCTGACATGAATGTAGCATAAGTTAGCAATCGGTTCTTCCAAACTCCTGTGGGTTGAATATGGTATAGAAGGTATGCAAGAGGAAAAAGAAAGGAAAAGATAAAACTCCTGCCTGAGAATTTGGAAGCACCTTTATTAACACATATATCTCGCAGAAACTAGAAGCTCATAGGCTGTTAACTTTTTGCAACTATTCACTCATTTTTACCACTTTTTTTTTTGGGTGAGGGGGTGATTTTTGTAAGGTTAACAGCCAGATTCCATTTTGACCTCAGATGCTGTGTACTTTTTAATTTCATTTTTTATATTCTGCCATCTTGACTCTTCTCTAAAACAGAATGAAAATGTCTGCATGCTGAGCAAAATGCTTACGCCAAGCCTGTTTTTCTCTGCAGAGTAAACAGGATGTTTTCAGCAGACTTGGCTCTAATAGCCATCTCTAAGATTAGGGAACAATTGAGTCTTTATGTAGAAAAGATCCATTTTTTCCCCATCCTCAGAGTTAAAATTCAACATTTAAAGCTTTATCGGTTATTGTTTTAGATTTGAGATTTTTGTTTTTAAGTATCTATAAGATCTTTAGAAGTGAGATAAATTTTTCGCTGGTTAAAAAAAATCAAACTTTCCTCTGCAGTGTTTTTGCCAAGTTTTGTCACACTTCATGTGTATGCATTAACTATACTTCTTAGTGTTACTGCAAAAAAAAAAAACAAAAACAAAACAAAAAAAAGCCTTGTTCTTTAATTGTGTTTTTCCTCCTGTGAGTGGACAACTAAAGCCGCGTGATGATGCGGATGAAAATATTCTGGTCTGTGTGTATACAATGAATTGTCAGTCTTCAGACCTCATGGTCGTTAAGAAAATAGGGAACTCACAAACCCTGCTGCGCACTACATTTACTTCTTTATCTGCAAGTACAGGGAGTCCATACAGTCAAGAAACACACAGATACACATAATGCTATTGAGGACATTGTCATTCTGTAAGAAAACAGAATATTATCTAGATTTCCAGAGTTAGTGCAGACCCTGTGATAACAGTCTGTGGGTTTGTGGCCAGCGCCAAAGGTGTGTGTATTTTCAGAAATGGTCCCTATTTGTCAGTGATAGTGTTTTTTTTTTCTTAAGTTTGACAAAGGGGGTGGTAATATCACATTCTTTAGATTTGAAATAATTATCAGCTCCAAGAATCTGTGAACATAGTAATAACAATAAAAATTCAACATCGACCCTCCCTAACCTGCTCACCATACCTCCCCACCCCATGCCTCTGAAGAAAGAGGCCATGAACCTACGAGGTGGTAAAGGGGGACACAGGTCAGGGAGTGGAGAGCTACTCCTCCAGCAGCTCAGCACCCACACTGCCCGCATGCGTGTGGCCACCGGGACCAGATCCCGAGTGATTGTGGCATACCCCTAATATTTGAGTAGTTTTTAAGCTGTCAGTCTCTTGTCATAACCTCCTACCGCCACCCAAAAAAGTAACGAAAGTTGCAGTAACTGCCAGTGTTTGCCTCACCAAATTTAAATCGTTCCCTTTTCAGTTAGCTATATACCTGAATTTGTTTTTAACAAGAAACTGTACATGGCCAGGAAAAATGGTACTACCTTGGCCAAAGGGTCTTTGCAAAAAGCTCAGTCTTCAGTTCTTCACTGTGACAAATGCTTATCTTGTTCATGGGAGGGGAAAGATCAGATAAATAGGCAAGAAGTACTCTGTTTTAAATAAAGAATAAATAGTGTCCGTTTAAAGCACTTTGTGCCTCAACTTCATTTTTAAACTGTAAATCATTGCTTTGGAAATAAATTCCCAATTATAATTGACCCATATCTAGCCAATATCAACAAGTTGGGATGGTTTTTGTTTTTTTCTTTTTTTTCAAAAAGGGAAATTCCTCTTTACTGCTCACAGTAAGCTGCAAAAGAAAGTTGTCAAGGTGGCTTATGATGCTGTTGTAGCAGAGCTGTGAAAGGAAGTGCTTTGCTTTCTCTCCCGCCTTCCGGAATCTGGCGTTCCTTCCCCTTCGGCTACTGAAAGGTGTGTACAACTCCCAGAGGGGTGGCTGTAAAAGTTGACTGGAGGCAAAGTGGAGTGGCCTTATTGCCAGGACTAGCCCTACAGAAGAGCTTTACAGAGAGGAGGACAGTACATCCTATGTGTGTTCGCCAAAAATGGGAAAGGTGGGTATTTAGGCAAAACAAAATAAAAACCTTTGGAACCCTTTAAGAAGTTACATACCTTTTAAAGGTAGTATAGTTTCTCACCAAGTGATGCATTTTAGCATGACACTTCTTGCCAGAAATTTTGGGATAAGTTGGAATAAATGTGTTTAAAACATCATCCACCGCCCTTTTTAAATTTTGTCTAAGGAATTACTTAAGTATAGTATTTCTGAATGTGCCTTTGTGAGTACAGAGACCGTCCGTTCTAGGAAGAAGCTATCCGTTGGATACAAACAAACAGACGGTCAGCTTTAGTCATTAGGGAAGTCAAAGTTCCTCCTGGAAGTCCCAGGAGCAGCTGTTGAGATTTCATTAGCATCAATATTGCACAGTGTAGAGTTGAGTGGAAGAGATTCTGGGACTTGGGAGAGGAGACAGGGGAAGGTACCCAGGCGACGCAGACCCACGTTAGTCCAAGAGCGCAGGTTTACACATCTGCATTCCCTAGTTTTCTCCGTCTGTATGTTTGTGCTCATGTGGCTTTGGCTGTTTTGTTTTTTGTTTTTCTGTAAGCACTGGAGAATTGGAATATGGTGATACTTGTGACACATTCATGCATGTAAACAAGGCATTTTCCAGCTTCTGCCGTGTGCAGAGCGGGCAGCACGCTTTTACCCTTTGAGTCTGTGTCCTGAGGCGGCCATTACATTCCCACATGGGCGTCACATCACGTTGCTGTTGATGCAAACAGGGTATTACACACAAGGAAAAGGGGTTTTGAAGAGTTAAGATTGAAGTGTTTGAGAAAGAAAAGAGAAAAATCTGAAATCATATTTTATTTCTTCAGAGCTATTATAGTTGAACACAGAAATCTGCAGTGTCTTTATTTGTTTTTATGTTTTAAACAATTTCACCTCTTCTCCCCACTCCTATCTTCTAAAGAAATATCAAGCAAATGCTAAGGGCCATTTCCATGATTCCTCAGAGCTCCCCCAAAGAGGAGAACAGTCCCTCCCACTCGATTCCTTCAGCTTCATTCAGGAAGACACAGGGAGGAGAGATGCTGCTTCTGCGCTTTGCTCTCATTCCTCTCTCATGGCCTTGAAATGTATTATTATGCAAATGTGAATTTTGATACTGAATTTAAGAAGAGGTTGTTGGATTTTTTTTTTTTTTTTTTTTTTTTTCAAAAAAAAAAGTCCCACATGTGGTCATCGTCGCTTCTTTATGTTGTAAGGTGAATTGTAACTATGCATTCTGCAAAGGGGGTGGGGAGGAGAGGGCAGAAAGGGGAAGGGAGTAGCGTTGCATCCTTGTTCTTCAGTTTCTGTGTCCATGGTGTCCCCGTGTCCTGGAGGGGAAGGGGAGTGAGAGACGAATGTGGTAAGGTCAGCACAGTGAGATAGAGACCTCTGAGTCCTCTTGCCACTGTTGCTGGCAGGTCTGATGGCCAGGTAAATTCCAGGGGGCCTGCAGTTCCTGTCAACCAATGTGGTTCAGGATTCTTGATCCTAGCCGTGCAGTGTTAATCCAGTGCAGCAATGGAACTCCACAGGCTCCAGTGTTCTCTGGAAAAAGTACTCATCCTTTCCTGAATTCAGAGCCCTTCAAGCTCAGGAAACCACGCTTCACTCGTGCTGACCTGAAAGTTAATCTTTAGGTCGATTTTGAAAAACTCCGCCTCCTCTCTCCTTTTTAATATTTCTTTCTTCCTTTTTAATCATGTTTAAGTGAACTTACTCTTAGTTATAAGGAACTGTCCTGCTTTGTGGGGAAGAGGGCTGTTGCTTGTCAGGCAAAAAAGTTTTCTCTTCCTACCCACCATCCCTCTCTCTGCTTCCCTTGCATTTGGCAGGCTGTATGAAGCCAATGAGCTGCGAGGTGTTTTGACAGGGGAGGTCTGCATGCAGCCTCTTCTTTGTCCTAACAATTCCTTTGTTGATCTTGCCTGTGATGAATCATAGCGCCTGCATTGCTCTGGTCTAGGCATTATTTGCAACACACAGTATCGTAAGCGAGAGATTGTTCTGCCTATATTCAGTGTTTTCCATGCAGCAATTCTTCTTGTTGACGTTCACAGTACTGTAACGAGTAACAGACTTGATCACAGTCTCCTCGTGCCTGTGCAGGGCTGCACAGGCATGATCTTATCAGGGTTCCAATCTGTTAGATTGCCTTTAAACAAAAAAAACAACAAAAAAATAAAATCCTGACGTTTCAACTGTCTCACACAAAATAATACCTCGAGGTACATTTCCCCCTGCAATGTAAACCCTTAACTCCTCTCTCCTTTCTGACATCAGTGGATTATCCTTTTTAAAATATGAACATGTAAATAGCAGGATAACTTTAAAAAACATTTTCTTTGCTGTGAAAGTAACCCTAAAATATGTTTTCTTCTTTTGTATTTTTTTGGTTTTTGTTTTTAAGCCATCAGAAGTTTCAGATCTTTACTCTTTCATGTTTAAGAAGAAAGAGCAGAGGAGGTCGGGGGAGCCGGTTTGCATTTGTGTTGGAGGGGTGTTATCTCCATTGCCTCCCACACAGTGACAGCAGACCAGTATGTAAACCCTGTCTTGGCTGGGCGCGGTGGCTCACACCAGTAATCCCAGCACTTTGGGAGGCTGAGGCAGGCAGATCATCTGAGGTCAGGAGTTTAAGACCAGCCTGGCCAACATGGTGAAACCCCGTCTCTACTAAAAAATTAGCCGGACGCAGTGGCGCGCGCCTGTGGTCCCAGCTGCTCGGGAGGCTAAGGCAGGAGAATTGCTTGAACCCGGGAGACGGAGGTTGCGGTGAGCCGAGATTGCACCACTGCACTCCAGTGTGGGCAACAGAGCAAGACTTCGACTCAAAAACATAAAATAAACAAAAGACACACACACACACAAAAACCCTGTCTTAAATAGCTGCCATCTCTTCCAGCAATCTAGTGCCAGGGTAAGAAGTGTCTGAATTTCTCTCTTCCAGCAGATCCATCCCCTGCAGGGACTCCAGAATGTTCTCCACACAATACCTGGAGCTCTCAACCTTTCTTGGTTCAGACACACACATACACACCCCTTGAGTAACTCAGTATCATTTTGTAGTTCACAGAAGGATGTAGTCCCTGGCATTTTGGTTTGCACTGTAGAATCCATAGCCTTGTCACTTTGTTATGCTCTGGAAATGTACTGATTTCTTACTTGGGAGGAAACTTGTGTAAGGAGATGTGCAAACCACCCTGAAAGCCATGTGCATCCTCACCTCTTCCATTACCCCCTCCATGAGCTCGAAGCGACATTAAGTAGAGGGAAATGCTTTTAACAAATGCTGCTCATGTGGATCTGTCAGCTATTGCTTGCCTAGATTTGGGCACCCATGAAGCAGGGTTGGAATGGATCATTTTGAATTGCTTCTTTGCAGACACCCCCTTCGCCCCCATCTTTAAGATAAACCCTTTACTAGTCAAGAAGCCCTTTTCAGTTGGATCTCACTGATCTTGTATAGTGACGACTTCCTTTGAAGGAAGAAGCTTGATTATAAGTGCATGCATATTATCCACCCACCTTCTGATTTGGGCACTGTTCACCTTGGAATTTTATTTATTTTGTTTATCTGGAGGCCCTTTTTCTATCAGTCTCTGATCCCTCATGGGTTCTGCCTGCCCTTGTATCTCTTGTACAATGCTCCCAAAGGGCTTTGCTGATCTCTGCACTTCTTTCCTGGGACACTCCCCCCACCACCACCCTTTGCACACACCAGTGACCAAAGTGTATGCAGTGATCTCACAGAAGACATCAAAAATGGTGCATGCACCGTGAATGTGCTCACAGAGACACGTGCACAAGATTCTGCACCCTTGGCCTTAATCTCAGTATGACTTAAGGTGCAGGAACATTTTTAACAGGTTTTAAAAAAACAAAAAACCCTTCTGGGAGGAAAAAAATAAAAAGCAGATACAACAGCTCAACTGTTCCCACTCCTAACTCTCCACTATGTGCTTATAACTTCACATTCTATGCCCTCCCCGCCACCCACCTCATCCCTGTTCTGCGTAACCAAAAAACAGACAACAAAAGCAACCTGAGGAGAGGTTTCTGGACTATTTTATCTGTCTCCATTTAGATGGAGATATAAATGCTGCTTTGGGTTCCATAATCCTAGGGGGCTATGTTTACATAGTAAAATACATCCTACCAAATCAGGAAACAGTGAATAATGGGAGTCACTTCACAGAGACGCAGGAGGACCTGGGGGGCGTAGCAGAGGAGGATAGGTAGAGAAGTACCATTTTAATTATTTGTGACTTGTGGCTTCCTTCCTCCTCTCCTCCTCCCTCCACGTCTCTCTTTGCCCCCTTTAGACAGAAGGTGCAGAAAAGGGCATCAAAAAGAGGCTGGATTTTTTAAAAGGCAGCTTTCCAACTTTGCACACAAACAGGTAACAGGAAGGTACAGCAAAAATCCTCTCATCTGAAACACTGTCAGCAGAAACAAAACCTGTAAAAATGACTAATCAGCTGCACATATTGATGCTCTCTGCAAGTTACCTTTAAGTGTTTTTTTTTTCTTATACTTGAAGTTGCTTTTACGATATTATTTTGGTGGCTTTCTTTTCTCTCTTTGATGGGCAATAGAGGAAGTAGATAATGGGATTTAAGGACGCCTGGGGGAGAAAAGGGAGGATGTGGCATTGTCTTTTTTTTTTTTTTTTTTTTTTTTTTTAGCATAGAGGTTTAATCAAACTCCCATATGTTGAAATTGCTCCTCATATTACTGGTTTTACATGGACACAGAAACTAGGCACTTTAGAGGTGCACTTGCATGGCAGGCTGGGCCCCCTTTTCTATATTTTATTTTCCTTTTTAGTATAGTGGTACTTAAAATCACTGGTTCACTTAAAAAAACAAACAATAAAATGTTAAACTCTACTAATGTACAAATAAGCTGAAAAGTTGCATTTTATGTGTATTTTTTGCCATAGCAGGTACTGTATTTCTCATGCTGGATTTCAAAAAAAAAAAAAAAAGTATCAAAAACAAAAAAAACTAAAGGGTGGTGTTTTATTGGATTGTGACAGGTTGAGTAATAAGGAATTAAGTCGTCGTCATTTCATTAAAACTGAGAGATGATGTAATGCATATATAAGAGTTTTCTGAAGGGTTTTTTTTGGGCTTTTAAACAGCTTATTTTTGTTTTTGTTTAGTTTTTTTATTTTATTTTATTTTGGAAAGATATGATTGTATTATGTGCAACTCAGTTGCTTACATTATAACTACAAAATATTTTTGGGTTCCTGGAAAAAAAAGAAAAAAGACTAATAAATGTGTTTGGCTGCTAAGCATTTACTATTGTGGTTTCCTGTTTTATTCTGCCAGTTTAATTTGCTCATTTGTTGAATGTTTATATATTTTTTCTTATTCTTCTCTCCCTGCTCCACATGTAAAAGCTGTCAGAAATTCAACATTTGAATTTGGGCCGCAACTCTGTCTACCTTGTCTTGTCATGTTTTTGTTAGGGTTGTTGGGTTGGCTGGTTGGTTTGTGCTGCTCACCGCCTGCCCCAATGCTGAACATGGTCTGCCACAGTGCAGGGTTCAAATTCTCTAAGAGAAATTAATGTTCTCCTTCTACCTTTGGCTGTTGTCTTGTTTAATCATAATTTGCACTTGGAATGAGAACACGAGAAGAGAGAAGAGGCCTGCCTAGAGTTCTGCTGCCACAGTGCAGGGTTCAAATTCTCTAAGAGAAATTAATGTTCTCCTTCTACCTTTGGCTGTTGCCTTGTTTAATCATAATTTGCACTTGGAATGAGAACACGAGAAGAGAGAAGAGGCCTGCCTAGAGTTCTGCTGCATCCCACTGCTGCAGTGCCCAGGGATGATAACCAGCGAGTTAGCTTTGTCCAGAAAATGCCATGCTGAGTGCCCGTCTGCCCTGCTTCGGGTGCCGCAACACTGCTGAGGAGCATGATAACCGCAACCATTAGGCTAGATTTTCCCCATCTCCGATGTATTTATGGTTAGCTGCTAAAATAGAGACTTGTGAGATATGTAATTGTGAAACACCTCTAGAATGGTAAAGAGGAAGAATGGACAGGAACTAATACTTACTCATTTCCAGATGCTTTTGTATCTGATTTTATTCTCAGAATGCTGTGAGAAAGATCATTAGGAAGCTGAGGCTCAGAATTTCTTATTTTTATTTTTATTTTTATTTATTTTTGTTTTTGTTTTTTTGAGACGGAGTCTCACTCTGTCGCCCAGGCTGGAGTGCAGTGGCGTGATCTCAGCTTACCACAACCTCTGCCTCTGGGTTCAAGCGATTCTCCTGCCTCAGCCTCCTGAGTAGCTGGGACTACAGACACGCGCCACCACACCCGGCTAATTTTTGTATTTTTAGTAGAGACAGGGTTTCACCATGTTGGCCAAGCTGGTTTCGAACTCCTGATCTCAGGTGATCCGCTCACCTCAGCCTCCCAAAGTGCTGGGATTACAGGCATGAGCCACTGTGCCCATCCGGCTCAGAATAATTTAAGTAGCCAATAGAAGTTTGCATTGATTGAGTGCTTACTATAAGCTGAGCACTATTCTAAGCATGTGATGTATATGCATTCTGTTAACTGAAACTCATTGTCACGGGTGAAACCAAAATAGGAGACCAGATTGGATTCAAAAGTTATACCAAGGCCGGGCGCAGTGGCTCATGCCTGTAATCCTAGTATTTTGGGAGGCCAAGGTGGGCAGATCACTGGAGGTCCGGAGTTCGAGACCAGACAGGCCAACATGGTGAAAACCCATCTCCACTAAAAATACAAAAATTAGCCGAGTGTGGTGGTGCGTGCCTGTAATCCCAGATACTTGGGAGCCTGAGACAGGAGAATCACTTGAACCCGGGAGGCAGAGATTGCAGTTAGGTGAGATCGCACCATTGCACTTCAGCCTGGGCAACAAAGCGAGACTCCGTCTAAAAAAATAAAGTGACACCCAATTGCGTCTGCTGAAAAATCCCTGGATTTCTGAGAAAAAGATCTTAAGGCCTGTTGTACAAAGTGGTAGAGCCATCCCGTCTGTCACCACAAAAGAAGTAAACCTTGAAAAACGGGTAAGAAGAGACGCACCAGATGTTCAAAAACACGGAGGGCCTGCCTGTCACAGGTAGGTGCTCTTATTGAGGAATACAGATCACTGCAGAGACTGTAAAGACCTTTGTTACCAAAGGCTTTGTTTTAAATTTGAATTATTTTAAAAATGTGTAAATGGCTAAGGAGTAATATATTGTAGAATTAAAGGTGATTGTTTAGACCTTAACGTCTGACCCAGTTTTCCTCACCAGAGATGTGTCCTTCCATCACCTTGGGTGAGTTTAGTGTCCACATGGAAAATCCACCTATAACCTGGGCTTCTCAACCCTTCCTCCAGCCCACCCCAGTCACACATACCCATGCTCACCCAAAACTGCTCCCCACCAGAGTCACTAATTTTAGCATCCTGGACCATGACCTCCTCTCCTTCCAACTGGATCCCACTCCTCTGGCTATGTTGACTTCATCAACCATACCCGCCTAATCCGGTTTAGATTCTGTAGCCTGTAATTTCAGTAACACGCTTGCTAATACCCATACTTTACCTGCCGCTCTGTTTTCTTGACACCTGTCTGACCACATTCCCACTTTGGAAAAACTCTGTCCCCCAGCACCCAAAAGCAGCCCAGCATTGCTGGAAAAAAAAGTCACTACAGGGCATATGAGGACTCCTGTAAATCCACTGTAACGTACCCCCTAGTGAGACCTTGACACTGTCCAGCAGGCTACCTGTGTTCCTCTAATCAGCTCACTCTACCACTTCTTTCCCAATTATGTGGTTTTTTTAGAGGCAAGGTCTGTGTTGCCCACGCTAGAGTGTAGTGGTGTGATCATAGCTCACTGTAACCTCGACCTTCTGGGTTCAAGTGATCCTCCTGCCTCAACCCCTGGAGTAGCTAGGATTACAGGTGTGTGCCACCACACCTGACTAATTTTTTGTAGAGATGAGGTCTCACTGTGTTGCCCAGGCTGGCCTTATCCTCCTGCCTAAGCCTCCCAAAGTGCTGGGATTACAAAAGTGAGCCACCATGTGCAGCTACCCTTCCCAATTTAAGACCTTTTCTGATTTCAAATCTTAACCCCCTTTCTCTCTCAACTGAAGACTTTGCCTACTAGTACACAGATAAAATTAGAGATATCAGAAAAATGCCCTCAAATTCCTGCTTCCACACTATGAGAAAGATCTGTCTCCCTTCTTTTTCTGGTTCCTTCGTTGCTCAGGATCCTTCCTTTCTTGCTTTCTGGTAACTTTTACCTCCGTTACCCATTCTCTCTCCATGTGTTCACTGGGGCCCTCGCTCCCTCCACATGCTCAAGTCCATCCCATGATAAAGATCATATTCCAGCTGCTGCCTTACCAACTGCTGCCACATTTTTACTCTCCAGAAATGTTCTCCCTTCCCCTTACAGTCTTCCAATCTGGTTTCTACCCCTATCATTTCACTAAAAGAGCTTTCTTGAAGGTCACTAACAATCTCCCTAAGTCCAGTGGACATGACCATTTGCCTGTTGAGACCACAAATCCTAGATTTCCTTCTGTCTTCTGATGCGTTCCTCTGTCTCCTGTATCTCTCATACTTTCATCCTCTTACCTAGCCAGGAAATGTTGGGTTGCATCAGTGCTCAAACCCAGGCCCTCCTTTGTTTGCTGTATACTAGGGTCTTACTCTGTTGTCCAGGCTGGAGTGCAGTGGCACAGTCATAGCTCATAGCAGCCCCCAAGTCCTGGGCTCAAGTGATCCTCCTGTCCCAGCCTCCCAAGTAGCTGGGACTACAGGCATGCACCACCATGACCGGCTAATTAAAAAAGAATTTTTTTTTTTTTTTTTGTAGAGACAGGATCTTGCAGTTTTGCTTAGGCTGGTCTCAAACTCCTGGCCTCCAGCGATCCTCCCACTTTGGCCTCCCCCTAAGTGCTGGATTACAGTCATGAGCCATCACGCCAGCCCGTTCCTTTTTCTTAGTTACACCAAGCTCATGCCCCCTCAAGGCTGTTAACACTTGTTTCTTGTGCCTGGAATGCTCTTTCCCCTGGATCTTTGCCTAGTCTCTGACCAAATGTGAGACCTTACCCGATTATCCTATCCAAAAATGGTTGTCACAACTCTCAAACCCACCCTGTTTCTCTCTATGCTCGTCTTGCTATATTTTCTTCATAAAACTTAACCACTCCGTAAAATTGTCTTATTTCTTCATTTTCCATCTCCCTTATTGGAATATAAGCACCAAAAAGGGCAGGTTCACCTCCTCCAGGGCCTAAAGCCTCTGGCTTTAACCATCTATGTGTGAATGACTCCTAAATTCATATCCAACCCTTACCATTGAGCTCCAGACCTGTATATGTAATTGTCTACTCAACATTTCCAAGCACTTGGCTATCTTTTTTTTTTTTTTTCTTTTTGAGACGGGAGTCTCACTCAGTCACCCAGGCTGGAGCGCAGTGGCACGATCTCAGCTCATTGCAACCTCCGCATCCCGGGTTCAAGCGATTCTCCTGCCTCAGCCTCCCAGTGGCTGGGATTACAGGCGCCCGCCACCATGCCCGGCTAATTTTTTTGAATTGTTAGTAGAGACTGGGTTTCACCATTTTGGCCAGGCTGGTCTCGAACCCCTGACCTCAAATGATTCGCCTGCCTTGGCCTCCCAAAGTGCTGGGAGCACTTAGCTTATCTTAATGATACTGCAAACTCAATAAATCCAAAGCAGAATTTGACCTGTCTGCATGCCCCACCCCCAACCCTGTAGTAACTGACATCATCATCCACCCAACAATAAAACCTAAAAACCTAGGAGGATTCTTGGACTCTGCTGCTTCCTTTCCTTCCTTAACTAATTCTTCACCAAGCTGGGTTGATTGTACCTCTTCATCTCTTTTCCTCCTTTCTTTGGCCACTTCCTTTGTCCACGCTAGATCACCTACGCCATTAGGTCTTAACCAGTTCACTGCATTAGCCTGGCTGGTTTCTCACTTGATATTCAGTACCCCCATCTCCAATACATTCTGTATGTAATTGCAGGGATGATACATTTCAAAGCATAAACCTGATGAAGCCTGGTGCAGTGGCTCACACCTAAAATCCTAGCACTTCAAGAGGCTGAGGCAGGAGGATTGCTTGAACCCAGGAGTTCAAGACCAGTCTGGCAACATGGTGAGACCCTCTTTACAAAATTAAAAAAGTAGCCAGGTGTAGTGGTGTGCACCTGTAGGCCCAGCTACTCGGGAGGCTGAGGTGGGAGGATCACTTAAACCCAGGCAAAGGCTGCAGTGAGCCATGGTTGTGCCACTGCACTCCAGCCTGGGGGACAGAGCAAGACGCTGTCTCAGAGAAAAAATGATGAATTTAAAAAATTTTTATAGAGATGGGGGTCTCACTTTCTTGCCCAGGATGGTCTTAAACTCCTGGGCTCACGGGATCCTCCCACCTCAGCCTCCCAAAGTGCTGGGATTACAGGCGTGAGCCACTGCACCTGGGCGAGAAATTCGGTTTTTAAAAGCTTGAAATAAAAACAAAACACTCAGAAGACGTGTTCATTGAATTAGGGCTCAAGAAACAAAAAAAAATTTCTATTTAGAGATGTTGCTTTAGGTAACAGTGAAAGCCAGCTGGAAGTGTCTACGCAGCGGCCTTTAAAGATCAAGAATCAAAACTGGAGAACCTGTGGACTCAGAAGGTAAGTCTTGCAGATGTGCAAGGCGTGTCCAAGGGAGGAAAGGTGAATCAATTTTTTTTTTTTTTTTTTGAGACAGAGTCTCACTCTGTCACCCAGGCTGGGGTGCAGTGGTGCGATCTCGGCTCACTGCAACCTCCACCTCGCAGGTTCAAGCAATGTTCCTGCCTCAGCCTCCTGAGTAGCTGGGATTACAGGTGCCTGCCACCACGCCCAGCTAATTTTTTTTTTTTTTTTTTTTTGTATTTTCTGTAAAGGCAGAGTTTTACCATGTTGGCCAGGCTGGTTTTGAACTCCTGACCTCAAGTCATCCGCCCACCTCAGCCTCCCAAATGGATCAAATCTTGAGGAAACCTCCCCTACTTCTTTTCCAGGAGTGAGAGGAGAAGCCTCTTCAAAAGTTTACTAAGAGGCCGGGCATGTTGGCTCATGCCTGTAATCCCATCACTTTAGGTGGCTGAGGTGGGCTGATCACTTCAGCTCAGGAGTTCAAGACCAGCCTGTGCAACACAGCAAGACCCTATCTCTGCCAAAAATAGCTGGGCATGGTGGTGTGTGCCTATAGTCTCAGGTACCTGGGAGGCTGAGACAAGAGGATTGCTTGAGCCCAGGAGGTTGAGGATGCAGTGAGCCGTGATCATGGCACTGCACTCCAGCCTGAGCAACACAGCAAGACCCTGTCTCAAAACAAAACAAAACAAAAAAAACGACCAAGAGCAGTCGGGGTAAAATCAGTACAGTTTAGTTTTCAAAGCAGACAGGAAGGAAATTGTCAAAAATGCTAAATACTTAAATCAGCCAGGAGGGACGAATGAGAAAAAAAAAAAAAAACCTATTTGATTCAAAAGTCAAAATGACATAAAGATGTACATTGGGAAATTTTGCTACCAGTACTGTCCTTGTCTATTCCATTCCCTGCATGATACCCCACACCTTTAATGAGGCAAACAAGTACATATTATGGAAAAGGACATTTTGATTGGTCTGTTAGAGAAGGTTATTGGTAATTAATAATAGTTTGATTTGGAAGAAGGGGAGAGAGCAGAAGTTGCACCTCAGTGCTAAAGAATAAAGTGGGGAGGGGAACGATTTGTTGAGCACAGGAGTCCCAGACAGTGAGCTAGGGAGCCAGCATCTATTTTTGCTCTTGCACCTAACACCTGGGATCATCAGTCACATTTTATAGGTGGGAAGACTTATGTGCTGAAAGATAAGTAACTTCCCCAAGTAACACAGCTAATAAGTGGTAGCGCCAGGAATGGTCGGTGAAAAGGCAGACAGAAAATGAGGACTCCATGTTAAGGAGTTACCACGGCAAGTGAAGACGTTCCTATAGTGGAAGAGACCTAGGCATTTAAAAACAAAACCCTCAGAGGAGCTGACTGCAGTGGCTCATGTCTGTAATCCCATCCGTTCGGGAGGCTGAGGTGGGAAGATCACTTGAGGCCAGAAGTTTGAGACCAACTGGGCAACATAACAAGACCCCGTCTCTAAGTTAATAAGTAAACAAAAGTAGACGAAGGCGATGGCACGTGCCTGTAGTCCTAGCTACTCGGGAAGCTGAAGTGGGAGGATTGCTTGTGGACAGAAGTTCAAGGCAGCAGTGAGCTATGATCATGCCACTGTCTTCTAGCCTGGGTGACAGACCCCATTTCTAAAAAACTAAACAGCCTGAGACAAGGTCTTGAAAAATAAAAAATCAGAGGAGAAGGGAAACAGAACTGGGGTGATGAAAGATATAAGACAAAATGATCAAGCAAGATCTTTTCCTGAATGAGGAAGAAGACTCAGGTAGAAACTTGTTTGGAGGAGGAAAAGTAACAGCAAAGTGAAGCAGAGGAAGAACAGAGGCCTAGAAGACTGAGGAGATCACTGAGTTTACAATGGGCATGGGTACGTGCTCTGGTTTCTCTTCAGATTATATAAATCTTTCCACCTTTTACAAGAGGCATGGGTAGAAAATGAGAAAAGTAAATTTATCACAGTGTATCAAAGCAATGAGTGCCAGGAAGCACTCTGCAAAGAGTGGGGAGTTTGATGGAGCAAATTCTTCATCTTTCCAGAACTGTGACTGCCCTCACCCCCAAAACCAGTCCTCTGCAGTTCAAGAGGGGAGGTGGAAGAAGACTTCAGTGACGAGCCCAGGTGACTGACAGGCTTCTCTGATGGCCTGAATATTCTGAAATTGGCACTCTAGTCAATTCTGACAGCTAACTCTGGAGTTCAGGTGGAGGCATGAACAAGCCAGGGAATGAGGACACCGAGGAAGTGTGGAGGAAGAGGAAGTATAGTGGCAGAATCTAACTTGTATCATGGCTATTGTGGGCGTTATTTCTCTTACTGGGCTAGGCTCCTTTGGGGCAGCATTTATGCATCCAGCAAACATTTACTGAGCACCTATGCTATGCCAGGTTTGGGGCTCAGTGCCAGGAACACAGACATGATCTCTTGCCCCACTGAGTTTGCCATCAATGAGCAAGGCAAGCAACACTGAATTCTGGTAAGAGTTTTGAAAGAGATGCCAGGAGGTCTCAGCATCCAGCCGGGCGTGGTGGCTCACGCCTGAAATCCCAGCACTTTGGGAGGCCAAGGTGGGTGGATCACCTGAGGTCAGGAGTTCAAGACCAGCCTGACCAACATGGAGAAACCCCGTCTCTAAAAAAAAAAAAAAAAAAAAAACAACGAAAAAACAAAATTAGCCAGGTGTGGTGGCGCATGCCTGTAATCCCAGCTACTCAGGAGGCTGAGGAGGGAGAATCGCTTGAACCCGGGAGGTGGAGGTTGCGGTGAACAGAGATCACACCATTGCACTCCAGCCTGGTCAACAAGAGTGAAACTCTGTCTTAAAAAAAAATAAATAAATAAATAAAAGAAAAAGAGGCCGGGCACGGTGGCTCATGCCTGTAATCCCAGCACTTAGGGAGGCCGAGAAGGGCAGATCAGAAGGTCGAGACCATCCTGGCCAACACGGTGAAACCCCATCTCTACTAAAAAAAATACAGAAAATTAGCCGGGTGTGGTGGTGGGCGCCTGCAGTCCCAGCTACTAGGGAGGCTGAGGCAGGAGAATGGCGTGAACCCGGGACGGGGAGCTTGCAGTGAGCCGAGATCATGTCACTGAACTCCAGGCTGGGCGACAGAGCGAGACTCTGTCTCAAAAAAAAAAAAAAAAAAAAAAAAAAAAGAAGCCGGGAGGTCACTCAGCATCTAAGAAAGCCCAGAGGTGTGGAGGGAGAACACTGTCATGGGTGCTCCATAGGTTTTTGAGTGAATCTGTGAATGAAAGCAGGAATGGGAAGGTGACTGGAAAAGAAGTTATTGTCAAAGAAAAGATCTTGAAGCCTTGAGATCTAATCATGTACTTTTTTTTTTTTTTTCTTGAGTTGGAGTCACACTTTGTTGCCCAGGCTGGAGTGCAGTGGCACGATCTCGGCTCACTGCAACCTCCACCTCCTGGGTTCAAGTGATTCTCCTGCCTCAGCCTCCTAAGTAGCTGAGATTACAGACACCTGCCACCACGACCTGGCTAATTTTTGTATTTTGAGTAGAGATGGGGTTTCACCATGTTGGCCAGGCTGGTCTCCAACTCCTGACCTCAGGTGATCCACCTGCCTCAGCGTCCCAAAATGCTGGGATTACAGGTGTGAGCCACCGTGCCTGGCCCTTAATCATGTACTTGTAATAGTCTAGAAATATTATGGTTATTGGAAAAGTGAAGTTAACTCTCAGCAAATAAACTGGGAGTTAAAATTGGAATTCCTCCACAGGTCTCATTTTAGTAAGGCACTCAGAAACAAGTAATTTCAAAGCAGCATAGTACTGGGCTCAAGCGATCTTCCCGCCTCGGCCTCTCAAAGTGTTGGGATTACAGGCGTGAGCCACCACACCTGGCTTGAGTGTCTTTAGATTCCTCACGTAAAAGGCAGAGAGCTAGGAGTTAAGTGCAGGTGGAGAGGGTGCAGGCACCCGGCTCTTTTCGTTTGTTTTGTTTTTGAGACAGGGTCTCACTGTTGCCTAAGCTGTAGTGGCAAAATCATGGCTTACTGCAGCCTCAACATCCTGGGCTCAAGTGATTCTCCCACCTCAGCCTCCCAAGTAGCTGGGACTACAGGTGCACACCACCATACCCAGTTAATTTTTGTATTTTTTGTAGAGACAGTGTTTCATCATGTTGCTCAGGCTGGTCTCCAACTCCTGGACTCAAGCGATCTGCCCAGCTCAGCCTCCAAAGTGCTGAGATTATAGGCGTGAGTCACCGTGCCCAGCTGAGACACCTGGCTCTTACAGCTCCAGATGAACCCTTTCCTGTGTGATCACCCCACTGGCACTCCAGACTGAACAACATAGCAAGACCCTGTCAAAAAAAAAAAAAAGGGGGGGGGCCACTTGAGTGTTTCTATTTCTATTTATTTATTTAATTCTTTTATTTTTTGGAGACGGAGTCTCGCTCTGTCGCCCAGGCTGGAGTGCAGTGGCGCGATCTTGGCTCACTGCAACCTCCGCCTTCCGGGTTCAAGAAATTCTCCTGTCTCAGCCTCACAAGTAGCTGAGACTACAGGTACAGGCCGCCATGCCCGACTAATTTTTTGTATTTTAGTAGAGACAGGGTTTCACGTGTTGCCCAGGCTGGTCTCAAACTCCTAAGCTCAGGAAATCTGCCTGCCTCGACCTCCCGAAGTGCTGGGATTACAGGCGTAGGCCACCGCAGCCGGCTCACTGGGGGCGCAGTAAATGCCGATTTCCCTTGGGTATCTTCATTTCTCCTTAGAGCCGAGCTCGGTGCGCCGCGGGCAGGAGTGGGTGGGGCGACAGTAATAAGAGTAACAGCAAGCGTACACACGGCCTTCCAAGTGTGCCAGACACCGCTCTAACACTGAATCCGCACAACCCGAAAGGCAGGCCTTTTTTTTTTTTTTTTTTTTTGCTTTTTGTTTTTTAGAGACGGGAGGGTCTCCCTGTGTTGCCCAGGCTGGTCTCGATCTGTCGGCCTCAAGCGATCCTCCGGTCTGGGGCCCCCACAGTGCTGGGATTACAAGCGTGAGCCACCGCGCCCGGCCAAGGAAGTCTTAATGTACCTCTTTTCAGACAGGAAAACTAAAGTGTAGCGCGGCTAAGTAACGTAGGAAGCATCAATCATGTTTCTGGTCAAAGAAGCGAACCAAGTCAATTCTCAGGCAGAAGCAGCGGAGATTCTCCGCAGCCGGCAGCGCCCAGGGCGCCCGGAACCCAGAGAGCGAGACCGCGTGAAGGAAGTCCCGCCCCGCCCCGTCCTGCCCTGGCCTCCAGGTTTCCGCTTCCGCTCTTCCCTGGTCCAGTCCACCCTGGCGGGGTCGCAGGGTTGGGATGGCGGCTGGAGGCGATCATGGTTCGCCCGACAGCTACCGCTCACCTCTTGCCTCCCGCTATGCCAGCCCGGAGATGTGCTTCGTGTTTAGCGACAGGTATAAATTCCGGACATGGCGGCAGCTGTGGCTGTGGCTGGCGGAGGCCGAGCAGGTAACGGATCCCGGGCTGAGGGGCTGGGCCGGGAGGGACGGGCCCGCCCCAGCACGTGCCGGGCTCTGTTCCGGGCTGGGCTTAGCCACCCCGGAGCTGCGGCCCGGCTATTTTCAGCTGGGTGTTCCCTGTCCTGAGGAGCTGCGGCCCCAGGAAAGCAAGGGCAGGAGATCCGGGAGCCGCCACCTGTTGCCTCACGTGTTCTCAGTCCGAGAGGGTTCGAGACGCGGAGGAGGCTGGGAGAAATTCAGCCTGTAGTTTCAGGGAATTCATTTTGGCCATCCCCGCAGGAGTACGCTGCTAACCACAGACACCGAGCGCTTGTTTCGTACTGTTGTGCTCATTATTTCACTAATCTTTTCTTGTGTAATCCATGAAGATCTTGCAGGCTTGATGGTGTTTTTCCCACATTGCAGGGGAGAACAAAGCCCGGACAGCTTGTTGTTTGCCCTAGCCCATCCAGCTATTAAGAACGGAACTGGGATTTGAACCTGGGTGCACTCCAGAGCCTGAGCTGAGCACGTAGCCCCTTGGTTTTCCACAGTGCCTGTGTAGTTAGTGACAGGACTGGAATGCTTGTTTTCTAGGCCACCGTTTCTGCCTCACTGGCCTCCGCTTTGCCTCTTAGGAGAAGACTCCGGGTAGGGGTTTATTAAACGGGGTTTATAATTTCTTTTCTAAGGGCTGCATAGAGAACTTCTTAGCCCAGCGGTTTCAGAAATAGCTCCAGAAGAGTTGAAGCAAACTGAAGGTGATCCAGAGAGCGATAATGTTTCTCCTCAAGTTTCAGAGGAAAGTGCCACAACGAGCAAGTTGGCAATGCCCTCTCAAACGGCACAGTAAACATGGAAACAATTTGACTTCGGGCCTAGGACCTGTACCATGGAACTCTCCAAACAGGAAACTTTCATTCTAGATTCCCTCCCTCCCCTTATCACTGCCCTCCAAAATATTGGGCGATACACTACAATAATAGCAGACATTCAGATAGTGCCTTCTGAGACCCAGGTCTTAACCCTTTACACATGGTTGCTTATTAATCCTCCAAACAACCCTGAAGAGTAGGTATGAAATACTATGACTGTACCTGTTTTACAGATGGAAGAATGAAGCATCAACTTAATAAACTCTTGGCGTAGATAGCGATAGTAGTAGACCTTAATCATGTGTTGTGGTTTGTGATGTACTAGTGTGTACTCTTTCTATTTCATCTGATATTCTATTCTGTAGATGAGGGTAGTGGTACTCAAGACTTTGCCAGGGTCGCCAAAGCTAGTAAATGGCTTCAAGCTGGAATTGGAATGTAGAGTCTGAGTATGTGTTCTTTGTGTTGGCCTAAAATGCATACAATTTTGGCTTTGGATTATCTGTTAGGGTGTCAAAATTACCATAAATTGCATAATAACTTAGTAGCTAAGAAAAAACTTGGAGAATAAGAGATTAGGAGGAATGCAGAAAATTTGTAGTAAGGAAAGTATGAATTTTGAAAAGATAAATTGCTTGAGGGGAGGAAGCAGTATGGCCGTGCTGCCCTCTGCTGCTTTGCTTTGGAAGGAGCCCAGAGGTGTCATGTCTTCTGTGACTGTAAAGGTTCCAGGCAGTTCTGCCACATGTGGCTGCCGAGTACTTGAAATGCAGCTAGTGTGACTGAGAAACTGACTTTTTACTTTTATTTATATATTTAGGTTTTGAGACTGGGTCTGGCTCTGTCGCCTAGGCTGGAGTGCAGTGGCACAATCTTGGCTCGTTACAACCTCTGCATCCTGGGCTCAAGCTGTCCTCTCACCTCAGCCTCCCAAGCTGGAACTAGAGGTGCACGCCACCACGCCCGGCAAATTTTTGTGTTGTTTTGTAGAGATGGGTCTCACTGTGTTTTCCAGTGCGGTCTAGAACTTCTGGACTCAAGCGATCCACCGACCTTGGCCTCCCAAAGATGTGAGCCACCATACCTGGCCTGACTTTTTACTTATAAATATTTTCCAATACTTTTTAATTAATCAATTTAAATTTAAATAGCCATATCTGGCTAGTAGCTCCTTTCTTGGATAAAAAAGATCTAAGATGCAAGATCCTTCCCGGAGTCACTGTTTGCAAGTTTCAAGTGAGGTTTAAATCAGTTTCACCACTGTTTGTATTCAGCCCTTGGATCTAAGTTCCGAGCTGCCTGTGGGCTGCCAGCTATTTTTTGCAGCCTAATTTTTCCAGTGATGGATGAATGTAAGACATCAATGTGTTTATTTTCTCATCAATATCTCCTGGAATTGCTTTCAGTTGCACTCATTTGCTGTATATAATTTCCTGGCAAAACTACTTACAGAATTTCTAAATTTGGTTTCTGTAAATCCATCTAAGTAAAATGGCCACCATCATGCCAAGCACTAAGGATTAAGCAATAAATAAAACAAAGCTCCTCAAGAAGTATTCATTCTAGAGGGAAATGACAGGTTAATAAATATGTAAAAATGTCATGTGGTGATAAGTGCTGTAAATAAAACCAAGTGACACAGAGTGTGTTTTACATTGAAGTCAGGGAAGACCTCTTTGAGAAGATGACATTTGATTCCAGAGAGCAGAATGTGTGAGGGAGTGAACCAAGCAGAGGTCTCAGGCAGAAGGAACAGTCAAGAGCAGGATTATGTTGTTGTTTTATTTATTGGAGCTTTCTTTTTTTTTTTTTTTTGGAGACAGAGGCTTACTCTGTTGCCCAGGCTGGAGTGCAGTGCCGCAATCTTGGCTCACTGCAAGCTCTGCCTCCTGGGTTCAAGCGATTCTCCAACCTCAGCCTCCTGAGTAGCTAGGACTACAGGTGCACGCCACCATGCCTGGCTAATTTTTTGTATTTTAGTAGAGACAGGGTTTCACCGTTGTTGCCCAGGCTGGTCTGTTGGAGCTTTGTTATAGTATACTTTACCATGATTCATTGAGAAGTTCTCTCCCACCCCACCTCGACCCCACTACCCCTGGCCAGTGTACTTTCAACTTGGTTGCCTCAAATTTTAATTTAAGGGTTGGGAGATAGGGTAGTGCTGCTAACATGAATCAGTTTTTTTTCCTTGGTGTCACTTCATTCAAATAACTGTGACACTGAGACTATTTTATTTTATTTTGCCTATTCTGCAGACATTGGGTTTGCCTATCACAGATGAACAAATCCAGGAGATGAAATCAAACCTGGAGAACATCGACTTCAAGATGGCAGCTGAGGAAGAGAAACGTTTACGACATGATGTGATGGCTCACGTGCACACATTTGGCCACTGCTGTCCAAAAGCTGCAGGCATTATTCACCTTGGTGCTACTTCTTGCTATGTTGGAGACAATACTGTAGGCGCCTGTGTTGTTTATACTTAAAACTCAGTCTCTAGAATCTATTTGTCAATTTTATTTGATGTTGTCCAGTTGAGGAAGTGACACTATAGATCTTTTTTTTTTTTTTGAGGCAGAGTCTCCCTCTGTCTCCCAGACTGGAGTGCAGTGGCACGGCTCACTGCAAGCTCCGCCTCCTGGGTTCACACCATTCTCCTGCCTCAGCCTCCCGAGTAGCTGGGATTACAGGTGCCCACCACCACACTCGGCTAATTTTTTTGTATTTTTTTAGTAGAGATGGGGTTTCACCATGTTAGCCAGGATGGTCTCTATCTCCTGACCTCGTGATCCACCCCCCTCAGCCTCCCAAAGTGTTGGGATTACAGGCGTGAGCCACCACGCCCAGCCAGATCTTTATTTTTAAAGGTATCTTGGTTGAAAACGCTGAGGAATTTTTTCAGCTTTTAGTGTGCTTCCAATCTAAACTGTAAGCACCAAATGACCTCTATAAAATAAGACCTACAGATCCTGCTTATGCATTGGTTTGCTGGATGTAAGCCAAGGCCTTAGCATTTTAATGGCTGAGGTAATTTTTCAAAGGAATTTTTTTTTTTTCTTTGAGATGGAGTCTTGCTCTGTCACCCAGGCGGGAGTGCAGTGGCATGATCTTGGCTCACTGCAACCTCTGCCTCCCAGGTTCAATTGATTCCTGTGTCTCGGCCTCCCCAGTAGCTGGGATTCCACGCGCCTGCCACCACGCCGCCTGGCTAATTTTTGTATTTTTAGTAGAGAGGGGTTTTGCCATGTTGGTCAGGCTGGTCTTGAACTCCTAGCCTCAGGTTATCTGCCCACCTTGGCCTCCCAAAGTGCTGAGAGTGCTGAGATTACAGGCATGAGCCACTGTGCCTGGCCTTCAAAGGACTTGTGAAATCCTTTGAAGACCTTTGAAGGACTCTGAAGTCCTTCAAAGACCCTGTCTCAAAAAAAATACTTTGAGACAGGGTCTCGCTTCTGTCACCTAGGCTGGAGTGCAGTGACACGAACATGGCTCACTGCAGCCTTGACCTTCTGGGCTCAAGTGATTCTCCCACCTCGGGCTCCTGAGTAGCTGGGACCACAGGCATGTGCCACTGCACCAGGCTAATTAAAAAAAAATTTTTTTTTTTTTTGGAGACAGAGTTTTGCTCTTGTTGCCCAGGCTGGAGTGCAATGGCGCAATCTCAGCTCACTGCAACCTCTGCCTCCCGAGTTCAAGCGATTCTCCTGCCTCAGCCTCCCTAGTAGCTGGGATTATAGGCGCCTGCCGCCACGCCCAGCTAATTTTTTTTATTTTTAGTAGAGACAGGGTTTCACTATGTTGGCCAGCCTGGTCTCGAACTCCTGACCTCAGACGATCTACCCTCCTCAGCCCCCCAAAGTGCTGGGATTACAGGCGTTAGCCACCACGCCTGGCAAATTTTTAAAATATTTATAGGGACAGTGTTTCACCATGCTGCCCAGAATGGCCTTGAACTCCTGTGTTCAAACAGTCCTCCTGCCTTAGCCTCCCAAAGTCCTGGGATTACAGGAGTGAGCCAGCGTACCTGGCCTAGCTTGTGCTCTTAATCAGAGTATACCCATGGAGGTTGAAGTTAGATTCCAGATAAACGTCCAATTTGAGAATAAGCCAGTAATTTTTAAGTTGCCTCAAATGCTTTCTTATTTTTTTGAGACGGAGTCTCGCTCTGTCTCCCAGGCTGGAGTCTCCTGCCTCAGCCTTCCAAGTAGCTAGGACTACAGGCGCCCGCCACCACACCCGGCTAATTTTTTGTATTTTTAGTAGAGACGGGGTTTCACTGTGTTAACCAGGATGGTCTCGATCTCCTGACCTCGTGATCCACCCACCTCGGCCTCCCAAAGTGCTGGGATTACAGGTGTGAGCCACTGCCCCTGGCCTCCAAATGCTTTCTTTAGTCTTAAATGAAACATAATTAAAGGCATCTTTGTGTAACTGGCGAGTCAGATAGTGGGAGAAGAACAGTCTTCTTACTTGGAAAATCCTTTAAAAAAGTACCCAGTTGTGTGGATGGGCTCAACAATTACCGTTTCATATCGACATGTGTTGGAGCTAACTGAAATATGTACATCTGGAGATTACCTTCCTCACGAGCAGCTTTATGTTTCCTAAACCTTGATATTCTGGGTCATTCCTTTCCTTGTTAGCAACTGTAGGCAAGAAAAATGGGGGAGGCTGGGCACGGTGGCTCACACCTGTAATCCCAGCACTTTGGGAGGCCGAGGTGGGCGGATCATGAGGTCAGGTGATTGAGACCATCCTGGCTAACACAGGTGAAACCCTGTCTCTACTAAAAATACAAAAAATTAGCTGGGCGTGGTGGCGGGTGCCTGTAGTCCCAGCTACTCAGGAGGCTGAGGCAGGAGAATGGCGTGAACCCGGGAGGTGGAGCTCGCAGTGAGCTGAGATCGCGCCACTGCACTACAGCCTGGGCGACAGAGCGAGACTCCCATCTTAAAAAGAAAAAAAAAGAAAACGGGAGGAAAGTAATGGAATGTGCCATATGGAAGCTTCTCAGAAGCTCAAGCCCTCCTCTCTGGGAAAATAGAAACCTTGTTGACTTGCACATTTTCCAGTCATTTTTTCTTAATTGAGAATTTTTTTAATATTGGAGAGACAGTCTTGCTGTGTTACACAGACTGATGTTGAACTCCTGGCCTAAGCAGTCCACCTGCTTCAGCCTCCCAAAATCCTGAGAATACAGGCATGCGCCACCATGCCCAACCTTCAGTCATCTTAGATACCATGTACCTTGGGCTTTATAAGTATAAAGGTTTTGTTCCTTACAGATCTCAGTAGTACTGTTAAGCTGGTGTGCTTTTCAAACAGTAATCAGGAAAGAACAACTTGTGTTAGTATTTTCTGGCGTGCTTAGTGGGTTGGTAGTGGTGATATAGGCTGGTAGCTGAGCAACCCAGCCTTTCTGGCCAAAAAGTGTTATGTAATAATATTGTTTGAGCAAAGCTGCTAAATATAAGATCATTGCATTTTCTTTCGTAGGACTTGATTATTCTTAGAAATGCACTTGACCTGCTTTTGCCAAAGGTAAGGAGTTGGCAGATGTTTCCTACCAACCCTAGATTCCCTATGTTAGGAGATAGGCACCAGTTACAACTAAATCAACACAGTGTAAATTTTTACATAGACTATCATTTTTTCAGGTGAATGACAACCCTATGTTTAATCTGTAGAACTAATTGTTTCTTCTTCTCCTTTCTTCTTCTCTTCCTCCTTCTCCTTTCTTCTTCTTCTTGAGCCAGAGTCTCATTCTGTCAAGGGGCGTGATCAAGGCTTATTGCAACCTCCGCCTCCCAGGCTCAGACAGCTCTCCTGTCTCAGTCTCCCAAGTAGGTGGGAGTACAGGTGCATGCCACCTCACCTGGCTAATTTTCTGTAGAAATGGTTTTTGCCATGTTGCCCAGGCTGGTCTCAAACTCCTGAGCTCAAGGGATCCACCCGTCTTGGCCTTTCAAAGTGTTGGGATTACAGGTGTGAGCCACCGCACCCAGCTGTCTCTTTAAAAGACTAAATGGTTTTTAAAGCATAGCCTTTTTTTTTTTTTTTTTTTTTTGAGATGGAGTCTCGCTCAGTTACCCAGGCTGGAGTGCAGTGGCACAGTCTCAGCTCACTGCAAGCTCCACCTCCCAGGTTCATGCCATTCTCCTGCCTCAGCCTCCCGAACAGCTGGGACTACTGGCACCCGCCACTACGCCCAGCTATTTTTTTTGTATTTTTAGTAGAGACGGGGTTTCACCGTGTTAGCCAGGATGATCTGGATCTTCTGACCTCGTGATCCGCCCGTCTTGGCCTCACAAAGTGCTGGGATTACAGGCATGAGCCACCGCGCCCGGCCCAAGCATAGGCTTTTAAACGAAGAGAGTGCAACCAAAGGCATGTTGCTGGGATATGTGGGTCAGGATTATGATTTTGTTCTGTTTTTCTGCCGTGGTCTTAAAATAGTTCATGACATTTTAGGTAGTCAACTCAGTTTTCAAATTTTGGTTACTGTGAACTCTTCCAGGCACTTTAGGGTACAAAGATGGAAGGATATGGCTGCTGCCTTTCATGAGTTAGCGGTCTAATTTTATACAAAATTATCTGAAAGTTTTGTTCCTAATTATGTAATGAACACAACCTGAATTCAACCTCTTTCTATCACATGATCTTTCTTGTAGCTTGCCAGAGTGATCTCTCGGCTTGCCGACTTTGCTAAGGAACGAGCCAGTCTACCCACATTAGGTTTCACACATTTCCAGTAAGTGATAAGATTACTTCTTGTTTATGTGCATATGGCTTTCAGCTGCTTCTTGAGTTCTCTGTTTTCCACAGTAACCTTGAGGTGAAGAATCTGAAAACATGATTTAAATATAAGTAATTTGGGATGCTTATAAGGAATGAGCCTGATATCCACTGAGAGAGTAAATCTAACAGTTCATTTGGGAAACATTGGGAAATACATATCAAGAGCCTTGAAAAATATTCTTTATGATAGTAAACATTAGAAACAATCTAAATGGGCCGGGTGTGGTGGCTCATGCCTGTAAACCCACCATTTTGGGAGGTCAAGGTGGGCAGATCCCTTGAGGTTAGGAGTTCACCACCAGCCTGGCCAATGTGGTGAAACGCTGTCTCTACTAAAAATACAAACATTAGCCAGATTTGGTAGCATGCCTGTAATCCCAGCTACTCAGGAGGCTGAGGCAGGAGAATCACTTGAACCCGGGACGCGGAGGTTGCAGTGAGCCAAGATCGCACCACTGCATTCCAGTTTGGGTGACAGAGCAAGACTCCGTCTCAAAAAAAAAAAAAAAGAAAAAAATCTAAATGTTCAATAATAAGAGAATAAGTAAGGCATAGTATTCATACATCCATAGGTTGGAATAACATGCAACCATTTAAATGATGCTTACAAGATCTAATGTGCAAATGCACTTAGGTTTGTGTTATGGTAACAAAGACAGTTTATAAATTGCACAAAAATTGGTTGAAAGTACACCATGATGTAAATGTTGATTACTCTGGTTTATGAGATAATAGGAAAATTAAATTTCTTTCTACTTTTTGAGTTTTGTTTTGTTTTTGGAGAGGGAGTCTTGCTCTGTTGCCCAGGCTGGAGTGCAGTGGTGTGATTTTGGCTCACTCTCACTACAACCTCTACGTCCTGGGTTCAAATGATTCTCCCGCCTCAGCCTTCCTAGTAGCTGGGACTACAGGCGCCTACCACCATGCCCGGCTAATTTTTTTATTGTTTGGAGAGATAGGGTTTCGCCATGTTAGCCAGGCTGGTCTCAAACTCCTGACCTCAAGTGATCTGCCCACTTGAGATCCGCCCACCTCGGCCTCCCAAAGTGCTGGGATTACAGGCGTGAGCCACCGCGCCCGGCCTAGACATTTCATATAAACAGAATCGCATACAATATGTGACCTTTTGTGTCTGGCTTCTGTTGCTGTTTTCAATATCCATGTTGAATCAGAACTTCGGTTCTTTTTATGACTGAAAAGCGTTCCATTGGTTGTACCATGTTTCATTTACCCAATTGTCAACAACTGATGGACATTTGGGTAATTTCTACTTTTTGGCTACTATGAATAATGCTGCCATGAACAAGTCCATGCTAATTTACTTCTTTCTTTGCTTACACCAATAATCTGTTAGCAGTTAACAAGGAAAACAGTAAGATTAATTTTGGGGATATACTATAGCTTGTGATGTGCCTCCTATGGACATTCCTAGTGTTACGCCTTGATGTTCCTAGCTGTCAGTGTCATTAGCCTAAGAGGAAAGAAATTCCATTTGGAATAGGTTAGGTTATCTATTAGAAATTAGGCTGGGTCCAGGTGCAGTGGCTCATGCCTGTAATCCCAGCACTTTGGGAGGCCAAGGTGGGTGGATCACCTGAGGTCAGGAGTTCAAGACCAGCCTGGCTCACATGGTGAAACCCTGTCTCTACTAAAAATACAAAAAAAAAAAAAAAAAAAATTAGCCGGACGCAGTGGCGCATGCCTATAGTCCCAGCTACTTGGGAGGCTGAGGCAGGAGAATTGTTTGAACCTGGGAGGCGGAGGTTGTAGTGAGCCAAGATTGCACCATTGCACTCCAGCCTAGGTGACAGAGCGAGACTCCACCTCAAAAAAAAAAAAGAAAAGAAAGAAAGAAATTAGGCTGGGCGGTTAGGCTGGGCAGCCGGGCGCAGTGGATCGTGCCTGTAATCTCAGCACTTTGGGAGGCCGAGGCAGGTGGATCACGAGGTCAGGAAATCAAGACCAGCTTGGCCAACATGGTGAAACTCCATGTGTGCTAAAAATAACACAAATAGCTGGGTGTGGTGGCAGATGCCTGTAATCCCAGCTACTCAGGAGGCTGAGGCAGGAGAATCACTTGAACCCCGGAGGCAGAGGTTGCAGTGAGCCAAGATCGCGCCGCTGCACTCCAGCCTGGGCGACAGAGTGAAATTCCGTCTCCAAAAAAAAAAAAAAAAGAAAGAAATTAGGCTGGTCATAGTGACTTATGGCTGTAATCTCGGCACTTTGCGGGGCCAAGGCAGGACGATAGCTTGAGGCATGGAGTTCGAGACCAGCCTGGGCAACATAGGGAGACCATGGCTCTTAAAAAAAATAAAGTTAGCCAGGTGTGGTGGCTTGTGCCTGTAGTTCCAGCCACTCAGGAGGCTGAGGCAGGAGGTTGGCTTGAGCCCAGGAGATTGAGGCTACAGTGAGCTGTGATTATACCAGCGTGTGCCAGCCTGGGGTGACAGAGTGAGACCCTGTCTCAAAAAAGAAAGAAATTGGACATTAGGGCAACTTATTCATAATTATATATTTTGTTTTTTTGTTTTGTTTTGAGACAGAGTCTCACTCTGTCACCTAGATTGGGGTACAGTGGTGTGATCTCAGCTCACTGCAGCCTCAGCTTCCCGGATTCAAGTGATTCTCCCACCTCAGCCTCCCAAGTACCTGGGATTACAGGTGTGCACCACCACACTTGGCCAGTTTTTGTATTTTTTGTAGAAACAGGGTTTTACCATGTTGGCCAGGCTGGTCTCAAACTCCTGGCTTCAAGTGATCCACCTGCCTCGGCCTCCCAAAGTGCTGGGATTACAAGCGTGAGACACCGCACCTGGCCTCGTAATTATGTTTTATGTTCAGAAACAGACCTTCAGTGGCTTGATTTGGGCTTTTTTTTTTTTTTTTTTTTTTTGACATGGAGTTTCGCTTTTGTCATCCAGGCTGGAGTGCAGTGGCACAATCTTGGCTCACCGCAGCCTCCGCCTCCTGGGTTCAAGTGATTCTCCTGCCTCAGCTTCCCGAGTAGCTAGGATTACAGGCATGCACCACCACGCCTGGCTAATTTTGTATTTTTAGTAGAGACGGGGTTTCTCTGTGTTGGTCAGGCTGGTCTCAAACTCCCGATCTCAGGTGATCCGCCCTCCTTGGCCTCCCAAAGTGCTGGAATTACAGGCATGAGCCATGGCACCCTACTTTGATTTAGGCTTAATGCTGGAAACAAAGCCATTAGCTGCTGTGTTTGAGTCCTCTGGTTATGTGTGTTGTGTAGCTGTTCTCCATAGCATGACTATTCCTCACTGGATCTTGACTCCTCACAAAGGCTTTCCTCTACTTCCAATCTAGAGCAGCCATCACCATTACCTTCATCGTTCTTTTATTCTTTTAGCACTTAAAATCTCAATAATTAATCTTGTTTCTTTTTTTTCATTTGTTTTTTTGAGACAGAATCTGGCTGTGTCGCCCAGTGCGGTGTCACAGTCTCGGCTCATTGCAACCTCTGCCTCTCAGGTTCGAGTGATTCTCCTGCCTCAGCCTCCCAAGTAGCTGGGATTACAAACACCCGCCACCACGCCCAGTTAATTTTTTGTATTTTTAGTAGAGACAGGGTTTTACCTGTCTCTGTTGGCCACGCTGGTCTCGAACTCCTGACCTCAAGTGATCCCCCCGTCTCAGCCTCCCAAAGTGCTGGGATTATAGGCATGAGCCACCGCGCCTGGCCTAATCTTGTTTTGTTTTCTTTTTTTACTCGTTTACAATGTAAGCAAGTGCCACTGGACAAGGACCCTGTCTGTGTTATTCCTTGTTGTATTTCCAATAGTAAGAGTACATCAGATACTTGGCAAATATTACACGAGTATCTAATGTATTTCTTACCAATGTCTGTGGATATAGCCATGAACAAAAGGGACATTGTCCCTGCCCTTATAATAAATTGTCTCTTGCCGTGCATCACAGTGGTTCATGCCTGTAATCCCAACACTTTGGAAGGCTGAAGTAGGTGGATCGCTTGAGACATAGAGTTTGAGACCAGCCTGAGCAACAAAGTGAGACCCCGTCACTACAAAAAATTTAAAAATTAGCCAGGCATGGTATTGCATGCCTGTGGTCCCAGCTACATGGAAGGCTGAGGCAGAAGGATCACTTGAGCTCCAGAGGTCGAGGCTACAGTCAGCTATGTTCATGCCACTGCACTTCAGCTTGGGCAACAGAGCAAGACCCAGTCTAGAAATAATAATAATTTAAAAATTGCCTCTTGATGAAGAAAGTACTATGCTAATCGCCTTTTAGTTTCATACTCCTTGACTATTTGTAAATGACATTGAATCTCCGTAACGATTATTTGGTTAAACATTTTATCTCTTGTTTTATCTTTACCAGTTACTCCCTCTCTTACTTAAATTGTTCTCCCTCCAAGGGGTAATGGTGGTTATTAAAAGAAGCAATGAAACCTTGATGATTTAAGGTCTCGGTCTGAGACTTTCGTGTGTTCTCTTTGGGTTTTCAGGCCTGCACAGCTGACCACAGTTGGGAAACGTTGCTGTCTTTGGATTCAGGATCTTTGCATGGATCTCCAGAACTTGAAGCGTGTCCGAGATGACCTGCGCTTCCGGGGAGTAAAGGGTACCACTGGCACTCAGGCCAGTTTCCTGCAGCTCTTTGAGGGAGATGACCATAAGGTATTCTGAAAGTGACCTGCAGGACACAGAAACTCAATGGTGGAGCCTAAGAGACAAGGCTGCCTTTGAGGATGATAGGAGAGATTGACTGTGGGATGGGTGGGGTCTTTCGACTAGAAGGAAGTTGTGGGGGTTAGGGAGCGAGACCTGGGTAGGATGACAGGTTGAGGCATTCTCACACTGGACACATGGATTATTATAAGGATGTGTCTTTTCTTTCCAAGGTAGAGCAGCTTGACAAGATGGTGACAGAAAAGGCAGGATTTAAGAGGTAGGTAAATGGGAATGTGTTGGCCTCCCTGTTAAGTTGATGGAAGTCCTATATTCAGTATACCTGCAGATTTGACCTTACAATTTTTGCCTTTTTCTTCCTTTGTTCTTCTACCCATTTTTTTTTTTCCTGTCTCTATCCTGGGTTTTACTTTCTTACTATCTGGATTCTTTTTTTTTTTTTTTTTTTTTCGCCTAATCGTCTTGCTGACATATTTTCTGGATTTCATTTTATTTTATTATTGTTTTTGAGACAGGGTCTTACTCTGTCACCCAGGCTGGAGTGCAGCGGTGTGATCTCGGCTCACGGCAGCCTCCGCCTCCCAGTTTCAAGCAGTCCTTCCACCTAAGCCCCCTGTGACTACAGGCATGCCTGGCTAATTTTTGTATTGTTTTTGTATAATTTTTGTATTGTTTTGTAGAGACCATGTTGCCCAGGCTGGTCTCCAACTCCTGAGATCAAGCGATCCACCTGCCTCAGCCTCAAAGTGCTAGGATTATAGGCATGAGCCACCATGCCTGACCTGCATTCTCTTTTTGTATAATCTATAGGAAAAAAGAAAATGATTTACTTCTGGTTTCTTTAGAATACCTTTATCCATGTTGTTACCATTTTTGTTTCTTTACTTAGGGCCCCCAACAGGTTAGGCTAAATCTGACCATTTCCATTGAGGTCCACCAGGTTCCACCATGGCTCCTTCTCCCAGGCATTTCTATTGGGCTGTGGCCAGACATGGGCACGTTGCACCATGTATCCTTCTTGAGTCAGGCCATTGTCCTGAGTATTAGTGAAAAGGGTGGAAGAATAGTTTATTCCAGGAGCAAGTTACCACTCAGGTCCACTGGTTGAGTATAACTTAGCATACCAATAAGACCAAGCTTTTCTTTAGGATGTGTTTTTCCTTGTTTGACAGAGTCATGTTTTGAATTATTATTATTTTATAAGAGTCTCCCAGTGATGCTTAGGCTGGCCTTAACCTCCTGAGTTAAAGCAGTCCTCCTCCGTTAGCCTCCTAAGTAGCTGGGACTACAGTCATGCACCACTGCAATGGCTTTAAAATATTTTAACCTAAGTCTCTCTTGTACTTATTCCTAGAGCTTTCATCATCACAGGGCAGACATATACACGAAAAGTGGATATTGAAGTACTGTCTGTGCTGGCTAGCTTGGGGGCATCAGTGCACAAGGTGAGTGGTGGCAGCATGTGGGGTGGGGACAGGAGCTTTGGGCACCACAGACAGACTGAATTAACCTCAGACTTTTACTTAACCATCTCTCTCAAGCAATATTTTACATTAGTTTTAATAATTTGTGGTCTGTAAATGAAACCCTTAAGGGGAAGACTCGTTTTGGCATTTTCTTTAAAGTTATCTCAAGCACTGCAAAACATCCATCTTGTTCAGTGGTATATTAAATTAATCTTTTTTTTTTTTCGAGATGGAGTTTCGCTCTTGTTGCCCAGGCTGGAGTGCAATGGTATGATCTCGGCTCACTGCAACCTCCACCTCCTGGGTTCGAGCGAGCCTCCCAAGTAGCTGGGATTACAGGCATGCACCACAATGTCTGGCTAATTTTAGTAGAGGCAGGGTTTCACCATGTTGGCCAGGCTGGTCTCGAACTCCTGACCTCAGGTGATCCACCCACCTCAGCCTCCCAAAATGCTGGGATTACAGGTGTGAGCCACCGCGCCCATCCTGAATTAATCTTGTGATTTTCTTTCCATGATGCCTTAAGCAGTGTTTCACAAAAGCGTTTTCATGCTCCTTGAATTTGTCATCCCAGTCCTTCGGGAACAGAGAGGAGTCGGAGTAAGATACTCTGCAGGAGCTCTTTGGGAGGATGCGCTGGTCTTCAGCTCAGCCACAGCACACCTAAGAGCTCATCTCCTTCATCAGCCTAGTCACAGCTCCCAGACTCTACTGCACACTGACAGTGTGGGGTGATGCTTATTCCCCTACCTCCCCCAGATTTGCACCGACATACGCCTCCTGGCAAACCTCAAGGAGATGGAGGAACCCTTTGAAAAACAGCAGATTGGTGAGTGCTGTGTAGAGACCTGTGAGCACACATTGCTGCTGGAAGGCTGTGGATGGGGGCTGAGAGCTCATTCAGCATGCTTGCCTACTCACTATCCTCTGAAGTCTCTCTGCCTTTGCATCTTGTCCTTTTTTTACATGGGCAGGCTCAAGTGCGATGCCATATAAGCGGAATCCCATGCGTTCAGAACGTTGCTGCAGTCTTGCCCGCCACCTGATGACCCTTGTCATGGACCCGCTACAGACAGCATCTGTCCAGTGGTTTGAACGCACACTGGATGATAGTGCCAACCGGTCAGTGGCACAGGGACATCACATACACCAAGTTGAGTGGAGGTCTGAAGGAGGGACCTAGAAGTAAAAGGACATATTTGAGCATCTCTACAGTCTCCTTATCCCCAAGGATCCCAGAGTCTAGCAGGGAGGCAAAAACATAAAAAGGACAGTGTGATAAGTGTTACAATTGGAGTGTGTACTGGGTACTGTGGAGCAAAGAGGAAGGAATAGTGTTTGAGGAGTCAGAAAGCTTCACAGTAGAGGTGATGCCTTAAGACTTAAGAAATACATGCATCTTTTAAAGACAAGATCGGGAGCATTATAAAGGCACAAAGCAGGAGAAAACACACTTGAGGGAGTTACTACTACTTGAGTAGCCCTGGGGAATGAAGTCAACATGTGCCAGGAGGTGGGGCAGGACATGGTCACAGATAGCCAGTTTATGAAAGGTCTTCTGGGTCTTTTCTGAAGGCAGATAGATGTCAGTTGTGGTGTCTAGGCACAATGACATCTTGATTAGTTATGAGATGAGTCAGAAATAATTTGTAACTACTGTTGAGGTGCCAACATGCGCATCATTTTCTGTTTTATGTATATACTCACTTAAAGCAGATTGGCATTACTCTCGCCTGCTCGCATTTTGCTGGAATTTCTTGAGTGGATACGGATGTATAGTTAAACCTAGCTTTCTGGGATCTGTGCATAATCCACGATTTATCTCTGGAAATAAGTCATGTGAACTCATTCAGAAGTCAGCCATTGAATACTTTTTAGCAAGGTGTGACCCTGTAGGTCTGCTGATTTGCCTGCTAAAAGACCCTAGCAACAGTTTGGAGAGTTGGCTGTAAGGAGACAGGGATCATGTCAGAACAAGTTAGGGGCTACTTTAAAAGTCTGAGGCCACATTGGTGCAGTGGCCATGTAAATGGAGAGGAAGGATATAGATCCAGAGTCGAAGGCAGACTGGCCAGCCCAGCCCTGGTGGTTGACCGGAGTGAGTATAAAGAGCTTGGTGAGTGGGGCGCTACTGCCATTTACTGAGGCAGGAGCTACAAGGGAGGAATGGCAGGTATGTAATGGTGAGTAGGAGGAATGAGAAAGTGGCTGAGTTCAGTTTGGGGATTGAGGTACCCATAGATCAACCAGGTGGACGTCTCACTCAGTAGGTATGAGGTCTGGCACTTGAGCAAGTGGTCTGGCCTAGAGGTGACAGATTTGAGGGTCGTGAGGTTATTGGGGTAATCATAAGATTGAAGGAGATTATCCAGAGAGTACAGTCAGTAGGGCAACTTGTTGGGACACACACTGCATTTCACTGAAATTATTTGTTTAAAGACATACTGAATGGCTATTTGTTTTCTAGACGGATCTGTTTGGCCGAGGCATTTCTTACCGCAGATACTATATTGAATACGCTGCAGAACATTTCTGAAGGATTGGTCGTGTACCCCAAAGTAAGAAGCCTCAATTCAAAAGTAAAGTACTAGGGAGGGGTTAGAATGTGGGAGGGAGGGTGCTCTGGGGTGTGTTGAGGGAGCTGTATTCTGATCCGATAGGCATTCTTCCCACCCGAGCTCATCCTTCAGTTCATAAGCTCTAGGGAACTAGCTCTGTGGAATTCATAGACACATTATAGAAACAGAAAAAGAAGTATTTTAAATTGCCTTAAACTATCTAGCAGCATGAATCATCAGCTCTGGTGTGACTAGGCAGAGTAGATGTCTCCATTTGCCTGTTTTTAAGTACTTGAGGCAGATGGGTTCATTTCTCTCCTATACTTAGCTCTTGAGGCTGAGCACTGATATGTAACAAATAGGGGTTTTAAGAATTCTTTCAGGCCAGGCGTGGTGGCTCACGCCTGTAATTCCAGCACTTTGGGAGGCCGAGGCGGGCAGATCACCTGAGGTCAGGAGTTCAAGACTAGCCTGGCCAACATGGTAAAACCCTGTCTCTACTAAAAATACAAAAATTAGCTGGGCGTGTTGGCGGGTGCCTGTAATCCGAGCTACTCGGGAGACTGAGGCAGGAAAATTGCTTGAACCCAGGAGGTGGAAGTTGCGGTGAGCCGAGATCGTGTCATTGTACTCCATCCTGGGCAACAAGAACGAAACTCCATCTCAAAAAAAAAAAAAAAACCTCTTCCTATGTGGCAACTTTTTTTAAGTTAATATTTCCTTTTTAAAAATCAAAAGTCTGACAGGGCGCGGTGGCTTACGCCTGTAATCCCAGCACTTTGGGATCACGAGGCCAGGAGATCAAGACCATCCTGGCTAACACAGTGAAACCCTGTCTCTACTAAAAATACAAAAATTATCTGGACGTGGTGGCGGGCGCCTGTAGTCCCAGCTACTCGGGAGGCTGAGGCAGGAGAATGGCGTGAGCCCAGGAGACGGAGCTTGCAGTGAGCTGAGATCACGCCACTGCACTCCAGCCTGGGCGACAGAGTGAGACTCTGTCTCAAAAAAAAAAGAAAAAAAAAATCCGAAGTCTGAGTTAGTAAGAAAACTGAAAAAACATCATATAGAATAAAACAACTTGTTACTCTCCATAATGTGGTAGTTAGTGTCTGTGCTGTGCATTTTGTTTGACATCCTGCTGTGTTTATGACTTTAACCTTGAGGCACCTTTCTTGGTCATTCACCGTATCTTTTCCTATAGGTAATTGAACGGCGCATTCGGCAAGAGCTGCCTTTCATGGCCACAGAGAACATCATCATGGCCATGGTCAAAGCTGGAGGTAGCCGCCAGGTTTGTAACCCCTCATGTTCCTGGATAAGTTGAGAGTGCACGTTTGGTCCTGCTCTCTTCTCCGTGAAGGAGAGCAGATGAAGGTGTTTATGTCATTACCTTCAGTCACAGTAATGGTACAGAGCAGTGGCCATAATCTGCCATCTATGGAGGGTGATTTTGGTGAACTGAATTTGTTAAAGTGAATTACTTAATCACTTGTAGGAAAAGTCCACTCCTAGTGAAGGAATGAGGTCTGACATTCTGTAGGAAATGAGCAGGAAACGAGCAAATGATTCATGAGGCTTTACAGAAGAGGGCCAGAGCAAGGTGGGCATCCATTTCAGGCTTGTCCTAAGATGTGGGCAGAGAGTTGAGAAGACCCTGGTACAGATAGACACAGGAACCACCTCAGCCTAGAGGGGTTTTGTGTAGAGCTGTGTAGACTGCATGGATGGGAAGTATCTGATGACTTTTTAAAAGTGTTCAAACGCCCTGTTAGTAGGGAACTGACAATACTTCACTGTCTTCCCAGGATTGCCATGAGAAAATCAGAGTGCTTTCTCAGCAGGCAGCTTCTGTGGTTAAGCAGGAAGGGGGTGACAATGACCTCATAGAGCGTATCCAGGTTGATGCCTACTTCAGTCCCATTCACTCCCAGTTGGATCATTTACTGGATCCTTCTTCTTTCACTGGTCGTGCCTCCCAGCAGGTAAGCTTCCAAGAAGCCTCTTTTCTGCTGGGCTGCAGAACCTGGGGTACTCTCTTTGATGTTTTTGCTTTATAGGAGGTATGGTGGGAATGGGCTAGTTAGAAGAAAATCAGAGCAGGTTGCTGGCTAAAACTTAGATATTTCGGTTTTGTTTCTGTTTTGTTTTGTTTTTTTGAGACAGAGTCTCTCATCCAGGCTGGAGTGCAGTGGTGCTGAGTGCAGTGGTGCTGGGATTATAGGCATGAGCCCCCACAACTGACCAAGATACCGCTGTTTTGAGCTGCCTTTATTTCTTTGTGTAGATTTTTTGGAATTATCTTTTGGTCTTGAGAATGTGGTATAATGGACAAAGAATTAGGTTTTATTGTCAGGTGGATCTGGGTTAAATCGTAACCTCTGGCATTTACTGGCTGAGAAGGTAAAAGTAAATATCTCAGTGTTGTAATGATTGAAATGCCTGAGTATATACTAGGTGCTCAGTATGTGTTCAGGTACTGTATTTAATTCTGGGGATTTTAAAATGAATAGATAGGCTGGGCGCAGTGGCTCACACCAGTAATCCTAGCATTTTGGGAGGCCGAGGCAGGAGGATTGCTTGAGCTCAGGAGTTCAAGAACATCCTGGGCAACATGGTGAAACCTTGTCTCTACAAAAAAATACAAAAATTAGCCAGGTGTGGTGGTGTGCGCCTGTAGTCTCTGCTACTCAGGGCTGAGGCGGGAGGATAGCTTGAGCCTAGGAGGTCAAGGCTGCAGTGAGCCATATTCATTCCCTTGCCCTCTGGCTTGGGTGACAAAATGAGATCCTGTCTTAAAAAAAATACAAAGATGAATAGATAATCCTCATCTTCAGAGAGCTCAAAACTTAGTGGTGAATACTTGTAAATAGGTCATTATGATACCAAGCAGTACGTGCAAGGACTGAGGGCTAAAAGACTAAAACTGGAGGTAGGAGACCAATAAGGAGGCTACTGCAACGGGCCAAGCAGTAGATGATGAGAGCTTGAGTGAAGGCAGTGGTGAGAGACACAGACCGGGGAGGGAGAGGAGGTTAAGCTCTTGGTGGCTACTTGAAGAGGGCTGGGAAGCAGGAGGAAAGAAGCTGTGGTGATTTTTAGGTTGGATGGAAATGGTGAAACCACCTGAGAGAACACAGGCTGGGCCAGTTTGCGGGAAAGGTTGGTGAGCATGTGGGCATGGTGGTTGAATCATCTGTGTCTAGGCAGAAATTCCTGATAGGCAGTTGAGGAAAACAAGCTCAGTGTTGGAGTAAAAGCTTCATCAAATTAGGTTTCAGTGGTATCCCCTGACATTGGAAAAGGTATTATCTGCTAATATCTTAACATTTTCTTTTGTCTTGTATTTGCTTTCCTCTGGCAGGTGCAGAGATTCTTAGAAGAGGAGGTGTATCCCCTGTTAAAACCATATGAAAGCGTGATGAAGGTGAAAGCAGAATTATGTCTGTAGAGTTGGAAGAGAATTAAACGAAAATCATTGTTAATTGCTGAGGCATGAAAATTGTGTTACTATAATGCCTTATTTTACCTCGAGAATTGTTACCTTAAATTAGTACAGCACTTTCTTCTTCCCATGGTGCTTTCCTGTTTCTCAGTCTCACATTTCTCAACAAGGCAAAAACAAAGAGCGTTGAAGTTGACTCTGCTCTTGCATAGTAAATGTAGTTCATACTTGATCTCTGTTCTTTCAAGGCATATTTTCCAGCTGCCTCAAGTTTAGTCCTTTTCACGTGTTCATTTGCTTGTAAAGTAGCAAGAAATTTCTGGTCCTGTCTTCTAAAAGTGAATTTGATCTAGGTCTAGCAAAATAACCTGGACTCAGTGATTGAGTCAATGGTCAGATACCTTTTATTTCGGTTATTTTTGGCTAGTATAAGTGATGAAGTTTGGAACTACAGTAAATACTTAAAAAAAAAAAAAAAAAGAACCAAACCCTGATGTGACCATCAGGCTGATTGAGCTGAAGTTGTGCCCAAGCTCATTTCATCTTTTGATAAGGCTTATACAGCAGGGAAATGCTAATTGAGTATATTGATTTCATCAGGGCCGCTGACAGTCTTTATTCCTTGTTGCATGGATTTTGTTGTTGAGGCTTGCTCTGTCACCCAGACTAGAGTGCAGTAGCACAATCTTGGCTCACTGCAACCTCCGCCTCTCAGGTTCAAGCGATTCTCCAGCCTCAGCCTCCCAAGTAGCTGGGATTACAGGCGCCTGCCGCCATGCCTGGCTAATTTTTGTATTTTTAGACGGGATGGAGTTTTGCCATGTTGGGCGGGCTGGTCTTGAACTCCTGACCTCAAGTGATCCGCCCATCTCAGCCTCCCAAAGTTCTGGGATTATAGACATGAGCCACCACACCCAGCCTAATCTTGTTTTCTTTTTTTACTTGTTTACAGTGTAAGCAAGTGCCATTGGACAAGAACGTTGTCTGTGTCATTCCTTGTTGTATTTCCAATAGCAAGAGCACATCAGATACTTGGCAACTAGGCAGTCTTCCAGCTTCTGCCACTGCGCCCGACTTCCTTGTTGCATGGATTTATAGCTGATTGAAGCAACTGTAGCCAAAGATTGAGTTAATTACCTACCTGCCAGGAGAGCACTAGTGTTATTTAGCCCATTCTCATCCTACATATTTTTCGGCATAGATGAAAATGAAAGCTTTTGTTTATCAGATTTGCAGATGACACAAAACTGGGAGAATTAACAAGTATGTTTATTTGGTAAAATAAGTTTTCATCTCTAACCTAAATCGGCTGAAATGATGTGTCCTAAACTAGAGGAAAAAGTTAATAAAGATCAATGTAAATAAGTTAATCTTAAACTCAGTATGCACCAGAACTGAGAGAAGACTGTTTTAGGAGGTGTTAATGGTTGTCCAGTGCCCAAAAAGCCACCAGAGGCTTACTGCTCCGCACTCTTGGCATTACATTCAATTTTGGATACCCAGTCTGAGGAATAGAGATGAACTGGAGAGCCAACCTCCAAAAAGATCTTGTGGTGGAGGAATGTTAGGGCTCTTTATCCTATACAGAAGAAAACTCCTCGGCACTTCAAATATTGCCAGGTGCAGGAAGAGTGACTTGATTGTGTGTTGCCCCAAGAGACACACTGAGCTCAATACCCATTACTGAGACTGGCTTGGGGCCAGACATTGGAACCACTGAGATTAGCAACCTACACTCAATCCCCCAGGTCAGGCAGAAGCTGGAAGACTGCCTCGTTAGGAATGTTGTGAGGGAGAGGAGGCTGAATCGGTTCCAGTTTTATTTAAAAGTAGCCAGGAAATCAGGTTGCGATGATGCGCATTTACAGTCCCAGCTACTTGGGAAGCTGAGGCGATAGGGTCACTTGAGCCCAAGAGTTTAGTCCAGGCTGGGTGACAGCGAGCCCTTGTCACTTAAAGCCAACCTAAGAGAAGAGCTTATCCTTTTGGAAAAACAATAGAAGACAATTCTGAAAACCAAATTCTGAACATAGGCTAGTATAGCAAGCAAGCAGGGATAGCATAGAGCCATTTGCTCAACTTCCAGAAAGAGTTACTCTGTTCATCTCTAAAAAATCTTGAAAAGGGCCGGGTGCGGTGGTGGCTCACGCCTGTAATCCCAACACTTTGGGAGGCCGAGGCAGGTGGATCACCTGAGGTCAGGAGTTCGAGACCAGCTTGACCGACAAGGTGAAACTCCGTCTCTACTAAAAATACAATCAACCGGGCGTGGTGGCAGGCGCCTATAGTCCCAGCTACTTGGGAGGCTGAGACAGGAGAATTGCTTGAACCTGGGAGGCAGAAGTTGCAGTGAGCCAAGATCATGCCACTGTACTCCAGCCTGGGCAACGGAGCGAGACTCCATCTGAAAAAACAAAACAGAAAAAATCTTGAAAGGATACTAAGTCTGACACAAGGAAATTAAGTCATGGGACTCTGACCAGATATTCTGTCTACTTCCTTCTCTGCTATGGGCAACTTGGAGGCAGCAACTACTATCAGTTTATCTGTAATGTGAGAATTTATATTACATAACAGATACTGGGGATATAGGATACCATGGATTTTAGTTAATACATTTCCTCATAGAAAATAAGGAAATAACAGTCTTGTTCCTGTCCTAACAATTCTGTTAGACTAATGATCTCCAGTGATTGGCGATTTGACCTGGTTTCTTCCTGGACTATTTGAATGGGTGGATTTGTTGGTGCATCTCTTGTCTTCTTTCCTTTTCCATTCTCCTTTATTTTTGTATTTACATACTTGTATGCAACTTTGTAATCTGATTTTCCCATGTAACATTTTAATTTGATGGGTGGTCTGCGTGTTCACTGGAAAACATATATATATTAAATGTACATTTATGTATATATATAAAATATACATTCATATATATTATATATAATATACATTCATATATATTATATATAATATACATTCATATATCTATCTTTTATATATATATATAGACAAGATCTTGCTCTGTCGCCCAAGCTGGAGTGCAGTGGCATGACCACAGTTCACTGCAGCCTTGATTTCCTGGGCTCAAGCGATCCTCTCACCTCAGCCTCTTGAGTAGCTGGGACTATGGCACACACAACCACACGTGGTTCATTTTTTGTTGTTTTTTGTAGAGACAGGGTCTCACTCTGTTAACCCAGGCTGTTGTATTTTCTTTAAGATTGGTTTAAATTCACACGGACTCCAGCATCAGAACTACCCAGATGTCAGGTTCTGGGCAGAACTTGGGGCAACTGATGAAATGTCTGCTCAGCTGAAGTCAGACACCTGGACACTTAATGCCCTCTTTCCCTGGCTGATGCTCAGTTTCATTTAAGAACCAGGAGAGCCTGATGTTTGTAAACACAGCTTTAGTGGAAGCACGAGGGTTAGGAGTCCCTAGAAAGGTGATATGAAGCCTAGGTGGATGTGAGGGTTGGTGAGATGGGAATTGCACAGCATAGAATCTGACACAGAAGGTACTCAGAAAATTTCGTTTTCCGGCCTGGCGCGGTGGCTCACGCCTGTAATCCCAGCACTTTGGGAGGCTGAAGCGGGCAGATCATCTGAGGTCAGGAGTTCGAGACCAGCCTGGCCAACATGGTGAAACCCCGTCTCTACTAAAAATACTGTACTAAAAATACAAAAAAATTAGCTGGGCGTGGTGGCGGGCGCCTGTAATCCCAGCTACTCGGGAGGCTGAGGCAGAGAACTGATTGAACCTGGGAGGTGGAGGTTGCAGTGAGCCGAGATCACGCCACTGCACTTCAGCCTGGGTGACAGAGCGAGACTCCATCTCAAAAAAAAAAAAAAAAAAAAATTAGCAAGTTATTTGCAGCGTCTATCTCCCACCACCCTGACTGCTGGTCCACACCATACTGTCCCAAGCTTCTCAGGCTGCGGTGCAGACGAAGAAATCATCGCTATGCATGCTGGCCTTGGGATGGGGGCGCAAAGCCCCTGGACGCGCCCCGCCTAGTGGGCGGGAACGACTACAGCCCCCAGCATGACCCGCGGCCGCCCATGCCACGCCCCGCCACGCGTGCGCTTAGGCGCCGCTGAGCGCTGACTGGGTGCGAGTGGGGAAGCTGCTAACCCGACCCGGATTGGCGCTGAGGTGGCCCGTGGGGCAGGTGAGTGCGGGGCGGGAGTCAGCGGAGACCCACCGGCGCCTACAAGTTCCCCTCAGGCGGGGGCTGCGGGGCGGCTGTGGTCGGACTGTCCGACCGAGGGTCGTATGGGCCGAAGGCGCCCACGAGAGAAGCACCGCCTCGGGCCGGAGAGCCGCCGGGCCGACCTTGCTCGCGTCGCCGTTGGAATGGGGGCCGGGGACGCGGCGGGGCGGGGAGGTCGGCTGCGTCCTCCGGTGCGGCCGCCCCTAGACGGCCGAGGCCACCTCAGGTGTTCGGGGCGCCAGCCGGAATCCACCGCGCTGGCAGCCGGGAGCGGTTTTACGAAAACCGCGCCTGAGGCGGGGGGCTTTCTAAAAAGAGCCTGGCTGGCTCTGGCACCGGGACAGCTGCAGACTCCTCCTCAGGTTTAACTTGCGGTTTTCCCTTTAAGATTCAGATCCAGGTGCAGAACCCGGGCTCGGATCCAGGCCCGAGACTCGGAACACCGGTGTGTTTGCATTTTAGCACGGGGGAAACTGAGGCATACGTTAGCCAGAATCATCCGGTGTGGTTAGGACTGGAATTTTGAAAATTATTCTCATACTTAGTTTACTGACCTAGGCTCTTTTTTATTTGGAAAGAAAAATAAAGATGTTTCAAAGGTTGTTTTCAGTGACTGGGTGACTAGTGTATCTTCCAGTCTCACGCTGCACGTTTGTGGTGGGTTGATGGCTCTTTTTTGTTTTGCGGTGGGATAGAGATGTCCTGGAATGTTCTACACCTTTCTTATTCTTTCTTAGTAAATTCAAGTCAAATCAGACTCTGATTCACAAAAACTCATTTTCAACTTCGACTCGTTTACTCGTAGTTTTTGTGACAGGTTTGTGATTAGGTTTATAGGTACATATGTTTCCCGCTTTTCTTGCTCTTTTAGTTCCAATTATCTCTGCACTCTAAACAGTTGAATTACATCTTTGTTTTTACACTATTTCTGTTCTTGGTGATTAATTTGTAATTCTTCTTTTCTTTTCTTTTCTATTTTTTTTTTAAGACGGGAGTTTCGCTCTTGCCCGGGCTGGAGTGCAATGACATGATCTCGGCTCACTGCAAGCTCCGCCTCCCGGATTCAAGTGATTCTCCTGCCTCAGCCTACCGAGTAGCTGGGATTACAGGCGCCCGCCACCACGCCCGGCTAATTTGTGTATTTTTAATAGAGACGGGGTTTTTCGCCATGTTGGCCAGGCTGGTCTCGAACTCCTGACCACAGGTGATCCGCCCGTCTCGGGCCTCCCAAAGTGCTGGGATTACAGGCGTGAGCCACTGCGCCAGGCCCGATTAATTTGTAATTCTATAGATATCTTTCCTGGCTTTTGATAATCCTAAGTGAATGTAGCTTTTTCATCCCTAATTATCATAGTAGCCTGAGCTTTAGTTCTTCTCCCTGTCCCCCCCCCCTTTTTTTTTTTTTTTTTTTTTTGAGACGGAGTCTCGCTCTGTTGCCCAGGCTGGAGTGCAGTGGCGCGATCTCGGCTCACTGCAAGCTCTGCCTCCCGGGTTCACGCCATTCTCCTGCCTCAGCCTCCCGAGTAGCTGGGACTATAGGTGCCCGCCACCACACCCGGATAATTTTTTGTATTTTTAGTAGAGACGGGGTTTCACCGTGTTAGCCAGATGGTCTCGATCTCCTGACCTCGTGATCTGCCCGCCTCGGCCTCCCAAAGTGCTGGGATTACAGGCGTGAGCCACCGTGCCTGGCCCTCCCTGTCCCTTTTTAAGCGTGGAGGTGTGTGGTCTGGGAGGGGAGAGGGTGAGGTGTCTATTGATCAGATATGGGTAATAGGTTAACATAACCCATGACCAGAACATTAAAAGGCTGTAAACAAACAATTGCTTCAATATAAAAACGCATACCTCGTGAATTTGGAAACATGTCAGGTTGATAGAAAAGTGAACTCGGGTAGAACCTCACAGAAATGAACCCGACATTAGGGTGAAATATTGAGAAGGGAAGGGAGGAGATAATCATCTCTTTTATTTTACAGCCATCTTTCTATGCCTGGAGTGGATGTAGGAACAGCCTGCTGGCTCAGAAGCTTAAAAAAAGCTCTGTGTGTTTTCAGTTTTTCTCTTCTTAGTTCTCAATGAAGGTTTTGGCAGGAGCCCAAAATCTTGTACATTTGATAATTTAACATCAGTTTCATCTGCTTACTCTCCAGATAGCCTGTTATTCAGCTGGTGACGTCAGTAATTTTCCACAGCAGCCATTCATGAGCTCATGCAGACTGTCACAAGGAAATGGGAATAGCACAATGAGTGTTACAGAAGAAAAAAAGATCCTGTTTCTTTGCCATCACATATTATACACAGACTTAGGGAATCTAGACTGGAGCACAAGATATGTGGGAGGGGTTAGAACACCACTCCTACCTGTAGTAATAATCATTGAAACCACTTATTGGATGCCTTCTGCTTACCAGACACTAGTTGTCACAGGTCACTGTAAGTGACAGGGCCAGAATTTAAGTCTACCTGACTCTAAACTCTGCTCTTTTGTCTGTGCTGTACTACCTTATCAACAACTGTGTTCAAGTCTTTCTCATTCTTAAAAATATATGAAACTTTCCTGTGATCATATTTCCCTTCAAATTACTACCATTTCTCCTGCTTTTCCTTTCTAGACTTGTCCTTAAGAAGCAGACTCTACATTCTTCTCTTCCATTTACTCCTTCATTCATTGCAGTCTGACTTCTACCCTCAACTCTGTTGAAACTACTCTCATGAATTCCTCTCAACGATTTATTGAATATCTACTGTGTATATCATCTTCTAGACTTATAAAGACGGCTAAGACATGGATCTTGCCCTCAGGTAGTTTAGAGATTAATGAGAGAGGGTAGTTTATACATGTCAATGTATGTTTCCCACTGATAGGGCAGTTGTGTTTTTTGTTTTTGTTTTTGTTTTTTTGAGACATAGTCTCACTCTGTCACCAGGCTAGAGTGCAGTGGGGCAATCTCGGCTCACTGCAATCTCTGCCTCCCGAGTTCAAGCAGTTCTCCTGCCTCAGCCTCCCGAGTAGCTGAGACTGCAGGCGTGCACCACCACACCCAGCTAATTTTTGTATTTTTAGTAGAGACGAGGTTTCACCATGTTGGCCAGGATGGTCTCCATCTCTTGACCTCGTGATCCGCCCTCCTAGGCCTTCCAAAGTGCTGGGATTACAGGCGTGAGCCACCACACCTGGCCTGATAGGGTGGTTTATTTATTTTTATTTTTATTTATTTTATTTATTTATTTTTGAGACGGAGTCTCCCTCTGTCGCCCAGGCTTGAGTGCAGTGGCGTGATCTCGGCTCACTGCAAGCTCTGCCTCCCGGGTTTATTTACGCCATTCTCCTGCCTCAGCCTCCTGAGTAGCTGGGACTACAGGCGCCTGCCACCATGCCCGGCTAATTTTTTGTATTTTTTTTAGTAGAGACGGGGCTTCACCGTGTTAGCCAGAATGGTCTTGATCTGACCTCGTGATCCGCCTGCCTCGGCCTCCCAAAGTGCTGGGATTACAGGTGTGAGCCACCGTGCCCAGCCAATAGGGCGGTTTTTATAGTTTGAGAGTTGGGGAAGGAACACTTTATTGTGAAGATGTCACTGGACTGCCACCAGAGAGAAAGCTTAAATTGGTCTAGACTGTAGTGTCAAGACTGCGTGCTTAGGTATATACTTTTAGGGAAAAGCTGTATCCACTGAGAGATGACATGGTTGAAAGATACAGTATAGGCTTTAGAGTCTGACAGATCTGGTAACTGAGCTACAATTTCTTCTTTGTAATACTTGCCTGCAATGTAAGCTCTATGAAAGTAGGGGCTTTGTGTTGTTCACCACCTCACCCCCATCTCCTAGAACAGTGGTAGGTGAGCAATAAATATCTGTTGAATGGGGCCCAGTACGGCGGCTCACGCCTGTAATCCCAGCACTTTGGGAGGCCAAGGTAGAGGATTGCTTGAGCCCAGGAGTTCAAGACTGGTCTGGGCAACATGGCGAAATGCCATCTCGACCAAAAACATAAAATTGCCAGTCATGGTGATGTGCGCCTGTGGTCCCAGCTACTCGGGAGGCTGAGGCAGGAGGATTGCTTGGGCTCAGCTCAGGAGGTCGAAGTTGCAGCCAGCCATGTTTGTACCACTGCACTCCAGCCTGGGGAAGAGAATGAGACCTTGCCTCAAACAAACACATTGTACCAGTACTATCAGTAGTAGCATATGACTGAAATAACAAGGCTAGATTTTCAGTGTGGCTTATGAACTGATTTTGACAGCACCATTGTTTGAATGCTACATATATAATCACCTCCCCTTTTTGAAAATTTAGGCTTACTAATTTATGCTCACCATTTATACATGAGGAGAGATACATTCACCTCTTTTCAGTAGGCACAGTTAACTATTAACTGTCTCTTCTAATATATGCCTCTTTTGCAGTGATAAACATATTTCTGCTTTTTCTAAGTGTGATACATGTTTTGTATTTGTTTTTCTCTCTACTAATGATGTAAATTGTTTTGGGAGGTTAACTGCTTTGGAATAATTAAACAGCTTTATCAACAAGAGTAACTGATATCAGAAATTAGATTGATAGGCCGGTTGTGGTGGCTCACGCCTGTAATCCCAGTGCTTTGGGAGGCCGAGGTAGGCGGATCACCTAAGGTCAGGAGTTTGAGACTAGCCTGGACAACATGGTAAAACCCTGCCTCTACTAAAAATACAAAAATTAGCTGGGTGTGGTGGCAGGCGCCTGTAATCCCAGCTATTCGGGAGGCTGAGGCAGGAGAATCACTTGAACCTGGGAGGCATAGGTTGCAGTGAGCCGAGATCATGTCATTGCACTCCAGCCTGGGTGACAAGAGTGAAACTCTGTCTCAAAAAAAAAAAAAGAGATTGACACCCCCAATTCAGTGTCAAAAGTCTTATCTTGGAAAGGGTATAATTTCCAATTAAGACAGAGAATTTTTTTTTTTTCACTACAACAAAATTATGTGACTTTTCTCACCCTTCTCTAGATATCTAATTAGCCTGCAAGCTAACACTCTAAAGACATGAAACAGGCTGGGCTTATGTCTGTAATCCCAGCACTTTGGGAGGCTGAGGTGGAAGGATCACTGAAGCCCAGGAGGTCAAGACCAGCCTGGGCAACATGGTGAGACCCTGCCTCTACAAAAAAATTTCTAAAAATTAACCAGATATGGTGGCGTGTGCTTGTGGTCCCACCTACTCAGGATGCTGAGGCAAGAGGATCACTTGAGCTCAGGAGATTGAAGCTGTAGTGAGCTGTGATCACACCACACACCACACACTCCAGCCTGGGTGACAAAGGGAGACCCTGTCTCAAAAAACTGGAAAAAAAAAAACAAGATATGAAAGAACAGATCATTTCCCTTTTCCCTCTCTTGTGTTTGAGTTTCGTTTGTAAATATCCTTAATTATGTGACTTGAGGATAGGGTTAAAGTCAAATTACCACTTTTTTTTTTTTTTTTTTTTTTTTTTTTTTTTGTCTTTTGGAAACAGTACGGTAGTCGGAGCACCAACAATGAAGTTCAACTTACGGCTCTGCTGCTTGCTTCCTTGCTTGTCTGCTTGCTTGATTGATTGACAGGGTTTTGCTCTGTTGCCCAGGTTGGAGTGCAGTGGCATGATCATAGCTCACTGAAACCTCAAACTCCTGGGCTCAAGAGGTCCTCCTGCTTTAATCTCATGAGTTGCTGTGATTACAGGTGCATGCCACTGCACCCGGCCTGGCTTTACCATTGTAAACTTCGAGAACTTACAAGTTATCTGTCATGCCTCATTTCTCTCACCTGCAAAAATGGAATAATTAGTGCTACTCATAGTAATAGCTAATATGTATTAGGTGTTTGCTATATATACCAGTCACAGTTCTAAGAATTTTATTTGTATTAACTCACAATCCTCACATCAACCCTATGTATTGCTAGTATTATGCCCATTTACAGGTGAGACAACAGTGACAGAAACAGTAATTTGCTAAAGATTGGTGGAGTCAGGATTAGAACTTAGTCTGACTCTAGAGTTTATGCTCATAATCTCCACCTTCATAGTTTTTTGTTTTTTTTAATTTAGCATATAATCAAGAAATAGAGTAGTTTTGAAGATTAAATAAAATCTATATAAAATGGCTGTGACAAGCATTTACGGTATTAAGTACTACAGTTAGCTTCGAGTTTACAAAGCATTTTGCACACATTTTCTTTGATTGTCATAGGAATAACCAAATATGCTTGTGACCATCACTGTCCGGCAGGAAACAGGCACACATTTGGTCACTTTCCCAGTCATGCAGCATGTGTGCAGACAGTGCCCTGGTGTTGCTCCTCCATATCTAGATCATGTGGAATTTGAAGCATCACATTTTGAGAAAATTTAGTAGACATAAGTTGTTTTGGCCTGTCCAGCATCCAATCCAGGTTCTTCTGGGGATAACAGCTCAATTTTGCTTTGGAGAACAGTTCATCCCTGACCAACTAGGTGGTAGGCACATGGCCCAGGTCAGGCCAACAGATGTTAGGCAAATAGATGCTTTCCTCCTTTAATTTGAATCTTAGGTTGAATGACACAGTAACAAAAGTTCAATAAACAGTTGCAGCTCCTTCATCACAACCACAGGCTAATTCCTAATATCTGGGCACTAGAGCTGCTGTTGTTTTCAACGAGCTGAGTCTTCAGCTTTTCCTTGGTTTTATGTCCTACTACATATCCTTCCAATACATTCCTGTCTTTCATAACTTAAGTTACCCAAAGTCAGTTTTGGTGGCTTGCAGCTGAGACACCTTTAACTTTTACATGGCATGAGGTCATGTCATGTAAGAGTTAAAATAGGCCTGGTGTCGTGGCTCACGCCTGTAATCCCAGCCCTCTGGGAGGCCAAGGCAGGCGGATCCATTGGGCTAAGGAGTTTGAGACCCGCCTGGGCAACATAATGGGAACCTGTCTCTACAAAAAAAAACTTTAAAAATTATAAATAGCTGGGCATGGTGGCATGTGCCTGTAGTCCCAGCTACTTGGGAGGCTGAGGTGGGAAGATTACTTGAGCTTGGGAGGTCAAGGCTGCAGTGAGCTGTGATCGTGCCACTGTACGCCAGCCTGGGTGACAGAGCAAGACCCTGTCTCAAAAAAAAAAAAAAAAAAGTTAAAATAATCAGCTAACTTTAACCTGAAGAGGAGAGAAATCTTGGAGAAGATGTGGGTATCTTCAAATGTCTGAAGTATGTAGAATACAAAGTACCCCTAAAAAGACCAAAGAGTAGATATTACTAGCAAACAGATTTCTGCCCACGTTAAAGCCTAAGGCAGGGCTATCCACAGGTGACAGACTGTCTTGGTATGTGGAAATAGATACATCCACTAAATTGTTCAAGCCAAGACAAGATGGTCACCTGGGAGGAGTAATATGGGTTTAGTAATCTAATGGGGACTGGGTGTGGTGGCTCATGCCTGTAATTCCACTGCTTTGGGAGGCTGAGGCAGGATGATCGCTTGAGGCCAAGAGTTTGAGACTACCCTGGGCAACATAGCAAGACCAGCATCTCTACAAAAAAATAAGAAAAATTAGCCAGGCATGATGGTGTGTGCCTGTAGTCCTAGCTACTTGGGAGACTGGGGTGAGAGGATTGAGCCCAACAGTTTGAGGTTATAGTGAGCTGGAATAGTGCCACTGCATTCCAGCCTGGGTGACACAGCAAGACCCTGTGTATATTAAAAATAATAATATGGCCGGGCACGGTGGCTGATGCCTGTCATCCTAGCACTTTGGGAGGCTAAGGCGGGCAGATCACTTGAAGGTGGGAGTTCGAGACCAACCTGGCCTACATGGCGAAACCCCATCTCTACTACCAAAAATACAAAAAATTAGCCGGGTGTGGTGGCGCATGCCTGTAATCCCATCTACCAGGAAGCTGAGGCAGAAGAGGAACCCAGGAGGCGGAGGTTGCAGTGAGCTGAGATCACACACTGCACTCCAGCCTGGGTGACAGAGCGAGACTCTGTCTCAAAAAAAAACAGAACAAAACCAATAATAATAATCTAATGGGTTGTTGTACTGAATGAACTGTAAAGTTCTCTCCAATTCTGAGATCGTGATTCTCTGATTGAAATCTAAATCTGCAGACTCCGAGACCTAGAGTTCTTTTTAGAAGATTTACCTGCTTTTCCTCACTTTTCCAACCTAGTCTCTTATATTCCCGCTTCACCACCTATGTGCTGCTCTTTGTTTCGGACCTCTGCTTCCATCAGCTCCTCACCTTCTTCAGGTGTTTGCTCAGATTTTTCTTACTGAGCCTTCCCTGACTACCTAATTTAGAATAGCAGCTCCTGAAAGTGCCTATGGTTCTTCCTGCCTCATTTTACTCTGTAGCACTATTCATCTGACATACAGTGTGGTCTCTTATTAATTTTTTAAGTTACTTCTTTCCCCTCTAGAATGCTGGGACTTTCAAAGAAGGGATTTCTATCTATTTTGAGCACTTCTGTGTTCCCGACACTTAAAACAGTGCCTGGTACATAATAGGCACTCAATAAACATATGTTGATTGAATGAGTATTTCCTCAACACAAAGTCACCATTGGGTCTGCTTTGTGTTCTAGGAGAATATCTAGCTCATGCTGTCCACTTCGTACCTTTTCTCTGTTGCTTCCCTTACTCGCTGGTGCCTTTCTCTTTTCCTCTTCTCTTTGGATCACAGCATTTCAAGACTAGAAGTCTGAGATCACCTCTTCATAAGGACCAGAGTCCCTGTGTAACACAGCTAGTTAATGAAAGATGTGGGGTGGAGGGTGACTGACTGTTGGATTGTTTATCTCTGTTAAACTGTGGTCTCCCTAAGTCTTGCTCAGTTCAGGCCCGTGCAGTGCCTGCTGCAGCATATGCATATCCCTCAGTGAGTTATTAAGTAAATATCTTCCTCCTTCATGAAGGCTTTTCCATATCAACCTGTAGTTATCTCTTTATTTCTTTGAACTTTGGTAGTATTTGTGGTCTCTGTTCTTATTATTAAGGCAGGGTCTCACTTTGTCACCCAGGCTGGAATGCAGTGGCACAATCTCCACTCACTGCAACCTCCACCTCCCAGGCCCAAGCAATCCTCCCACCTCAGCTTCCTGAGTAATCTGGGACTACAGATTTGCACCACCACGCCCAGCTAATTTTTGTATTTTTTTGTAGAGATTGGGTTTCGTCATGTTGCCCAGGGTGGTCTCAAACTCCTGGGCTCAAGTGATCCACCCTCCTCGGCCTCCTAAAGTGCTGGGATTATAGGTGTGAGCCATCGTGCTCGGCCTGGTTTCTCTTATTAACTGGCCTTGGGTTGTTTGCCATTTTATGTGTCTGTCTGGTCAATGAAATTATAATCCCATGGACAAAGACTAAATGTACCTACTACAGAACCTAGTCCTGAGAGGCAGTATAAAGTAGTGAAGTGCTGTCCAAGAGAACTTTATACAGTGCTGGAAATGTTCTTGTATGACTATTAACATTTTTTTAATGCTGTGTGTGTATTTGTATGTGTGTGTGATTAAGTAATTACACTTATCTGCACCACCCAGGAATAATCAGTAAACATTCTGGCATTTATTTCTTTATTCATCTATTAATTGTACATTTTCTAGCTTTTTTTAACCATGAATATCTATAATTTTTTTTTTTTTTTTTCCTGAGACAGGGTCTCACTCTGTCACCCAGGCTGGAGTGCAGTGGCACTATCTCAGCTCACTGTAACCTCCGCCTCCCGGGTTCAAGCAATTCTCCCACCTCAGCATCCCGAGTAGTTGGGATTAGAGGCATGCCCCATGACACCTGGCTAATTCTTGTATTTCTAATAGAGATGGGTTTTCACCATGTTGGCCAGGCTGGTCTCGAACTCCTGACCTCAAGTGATCATTACAGGCGTGAGTCACTGTGCCCAGCCTATAACTTTATAATCATAAAAACAGGCCTGGCTCACACCTGTAATCCCAGCACTTTGGGAGGCCAAGGTAGGATGACTGATTGAGCCCAGGAATTTAAGACCAGCCTGGGCAACATAGTAAGACCCTCTCTACAACAGTAACAAAAAATTAGCAGGGCGTGGTGGTGTGTGCCTGTAGTCCTAACTCCTTGGGAGGCTGAGGTGGGAGGATTGCTTGAGCCTGGGAGGTCGAGGCTGCAGTGAGCTGTGATCACACCACTTCCCTCCAGCCTGGACAACAGAGCAAGACCCTGCTCAAAAATAAATTAATAAATTAAAAATACAAGTTGCTGCAGCTTCTATTTTTGTAAATTGTATTTTCCCCCATTGATTCACATAATATAAGCAATGTTTTAGCATGATAATGGTTTAGCATGATATTGGGAAGAACGAAGTAATTAGGAAAGGTTATAGAAACATTTTACTAGTCTATATAAGCCATCAGAAAAGAGGTACACGCTTTTCTTTTTTTTTCTTTTTCTTTTTTTTGAGACAGGGCCTCATTCTGTTGCCCAGGTTGGAGTGAAGTGGTATGATTTTGGCTCATTGCAACCTCCACCTCCAGGGCTCAGGCAGTCCTCCCACCTGAGCCTCCCAAGTAGCTGGGACTACAGGTGTGCACCACCACACTCAGCTAATTTTTTAAATTTTTTGTAGTGATGAAGCCTCACTATGTTGCCGAGGCTGGTCTCAAACTCTTGGGCTCAAGTGATCCTTCTGCCTTGGCCTTCCAAAGTGCTGGGATAAGAGGAATGAGCCACCATGCCCGGCTACAAGGCATTTTAACGATGCAAGATAGTGCATTTAGGAACTGGAAATACAAACTGAAGTATTATATTATTACTCCAAATTTAAAAGGTAAATCTAGAAGCTAAATAACTGGAGTCCTTTAGTTTCTGGAAAAGAACAAATGATAAATAAGCATGAGAGCCCTTTATTACTCCCCAACATGTATGTAAACTATTGTGCAATTTGTTGTAAGTTAATAATTCTTGGGGCCGGGCGTAGTGGTTCACACCAGTAATACCAGCACTTTGGGAGGCCAAGGTGGGAGGATTCCTTGAGGCCAAGAGTTCAAGACTGGCCTGAGCAACATGGCAAAACCCTGTCTTTACCAAAAATATATACAAAAAACTAGCCAGGCATGGTGGTATATGCCTTAGTCCCAGCTACTCAGGAGGCTGGGGTGGAAGGATGGTTTGAGCCCAGGAGGCAGAAGTTGCAGTGAGCCAAGATTCGCGCCACTGCACTCCAGCCTGGCAGACAAAGTCAGACGCTGTCTCAAATAATAATTCTTATTTTATATTACAGATTTGTCTTTCTATCAGATCAGAATAAAAGCTCCACAGAGACAGGATTTTGTTTTGTTCACTGTCCTGTCTAGGATCTAGCCTAGGGTGTGACACAGAGTAAGCACTCATGATGTGAAATGAGAGAATAAGAGTGGTGCCTGCCATGTGAGGTCAGGATAAGTTTAGGACTCATCAATCTGAAAAAGTAAGAGTTGAGAGGAGACTGAAATTTAAAATGGCATTATGTTAACAGCTACAACATAGCACCAGTTCTTCCATTTATCTATTGCTGTTTACTGATCACTCCAGAATTTAGCAGCTTAAAGCAACAATAATCATTTTATTACTATCTCTTGCTGGGGGATTGGTTGTTGGTAGGTAGTTTTTCCTGGGGTATCTCAAGCAGTTGCAGCTAGGTGGGACTGGAGTCATGTCTAAAGTTTCCTTAGATGTCTTGGGGTTGATGGTGGCTGTCAGCTGGGTCCCACCTGGGACTGTTGGCCGGAGCACCTATATGTGACCTCTCCATGTTACCTTACCTACCTCACAGCATGGCAGGTGTGTTCTAAGAGCTAACCTCCCAAGGGAACAAGGTGAAAATGCATGACATTTTTATGACATAACCTCAGAAGCTACACAATATCACCATATTCTCTTGGTTAAGGGAGTCACAGAGGTTTGCCTGGGTTCACGGGGAGTGGATGGGACGTAGACCCCACCATTCAATGGGAGAAGTTTCGTCACATTTGAAGAAGAGCATGTGTGAGATACGTTATATTGTGTTAGCCCATTTTTGGAAAATAGGATCTCCATGCCAAGCATGTGATAGGGGTTTTAAGAACTTTTTCACTTATTCTGCAGGTACCTATTATCCTAATTTTACTGATAGGGAAGCTGAGGTTAGGGAAGATGAATTGGCCACACAGCCAAGTGGCAGAACAAGTTGTCAGGCCCAGGCCTTCTTGCTTCCACAGTAACACTGTATAAAGGTGAAGGTAGATTTCTTCAGAAAGTCCTGAAATACTATGGAAGGTTTATTTGTGTAGGTCATAAAACAGGTAATTAAATATCTCATGAAACAGGCGATTACTACTTCAAACATTTATTAAATCCCTAAGTACTGTAGTAGGTGCTAATGAGGATTCAGCCCTTGAAGAGCTTTCAGTTTATAGATAAGGCACCTACACTAGTAAAGTGAGATAGAAGTCAGTAGGAACGGCCGGGTGCAGTGGCTCACACCTGTAATCCCAGCACTTTGGGAGGCCGAGGCGGGCAGATCACGAGGTCAGGAGATCAAGACCATCCTGGCCAACACGGTGAAACCCCATCTCTACTAAAAATATAAAAAATTAGCCCGGCGTGGTGGCAGGTGCCTGTATTCCCAGCTACTCGGGAGGCTAAGGCAGGAGAATGGCGTGAACCTGGGAGGTGGAGCTCGCAGTGAGCCGAGATCACGCCACTGCACTCCACCCTTGGCGACAGAGCGAGACTCTGTCTCAAAAAAAAAAAAAAAAAGTCAGTAGGAACAAGTAAATGTTGAGAGGAAGTACTAAGGAAAGCTTCACAGAAGTGGTGTTTCAGAGCTAAGCACTGAAAGAGGGATGGAATCTGGATATTTGGAAATGGAAGGTGGCCTTCTTAGCAGAGGACACAATATAAATAAAGGCACAGAGGCATGTTGAGACAGTAGTGAGGGGCCCAGTTGGCTAAAGCTTAGGGTACATGAAGGGAAAATAAGAGCTGACTCAAAAAGAGATTGGGGTCTATGGAATCAGAGCTGTGCTTCAGGGGATATTAACCTACTCTTTGTTTAACATAAACGGAATGATAATCTGGAGACACAGAAATCTTTAGGAGATTTTGACAGTGGCCCAGAAAAGTGGCAGGGAGGGTCTGGATTAAGGCAGTGGAAATGGAGATGGAGATGCTAGAGGTATTTTAGAGGTAAAATCAGTAGACTTGCAACTGATTTGATATGAGAGTAAAAGCAGGAGCCAAGGCCAGGCATCATGGCTCATGCCTGTAATCCTAACACTTTGGGAGGCCAAAGTGGGAGGATTGCTTGAGTGCAGGAGTTCAAGACCTTCCTGGGCAAGATAGTAGGACCTTGTCTCTAAAAATAAAAATTAGCAAGTCATGATGGCATGCGCCCGTAGTCCTAGCTACTCAGGAGGCTGAGGAGAGATGATTGCTTGAGCCTGGGAAGTCAAGGCTGCAGTGAGTCATGATCCCACCACTGCACTCAATTTGGGCAACAGAACAAAACCCTGTCTCTAACAACAACAACAACGACAAAAAAAAAGGAGCCAAAAATTACCCTAAACCTTAGGATCTGAATGTCTTGGGAGAAGAAACAGGAATATTAAAAAGAATCATCTGAGATAGAATAAAAATAGATTTATTCAGGAAACACAGATTTTAAGCCAGGCACAGTGGTGTGCAGCTGTATTCCAGTCTGGATAACATAGGGAGACCCCCATCTCCAATAAATAAACAAAAATTAAAAAAAAATTAAAAAGAAATACATATTGGCCAGGTGCGGTGGCTCACGCCTGTAATCCCAGCACTTTGGAAGGCCAAGGTGGGCGGATCACGAGGTCAGGAGATCGAGACCATCCTGGCTAACACGGTGAAACCCTGTCTCTACTAAAAATACAAAAAATTAGCTGGGCATGGTGGCGGGCGCCTGTAGTCCCAGCTACTCAGGAGGCTAAGGCGGGAGAATGGGCATGGATCTGGGAGGCGGAGTTTGCAGTAAGCTGAGATAGCGCCATTGCACTCCAGCCTGGGCGACAGAGCAAGACTCCACCTCAAAAAAAAAGAAATACATATTTTAATGTGTTGTGGTATATAGTCAAATGAAGCTATCCAACAATAAGTTGGAAATAATCTATGTTGTCATGGCTAGAGATAGAGATTTGTAATTTATATGACAGTAATAGCTAAATCCCCATTCAGAATAGGGATGGACTCCCCATTTGGAATCCATTAGGAATGGACTAAAAGAAAGAAGACTGATGTGGGGAATGTCTTTTTTGGGGGTCTGGAGAAAGAAGAGGCAGTAAAGAAGCAGTTAAATAGAGAAGAAAAAACAATATGGTCTGTGCCCTCAGAGTCATTGAACAGTTCAAGAAACCAAAGTAAGTCAGCAGAGTCTGATGCTTCAGGGAGTTTCAGGAAATGAAGCCATAGGAACTGGATTCCAAATAATGACTAGGAAATCACTGGAGACCTTAGAAACCAGTTTAGGTGGTGACAGAAGCTAGGGTGAAAAGCTTAAGGAGTGAGTTGATTGATGAAGCATGGGCGCTTTTAAAAAGTATGGCAGTGAGGCAGAGGGATAAGAGCTAGAAAGGTAACAGCTTGAGTGGGTACAGGGATAGTTGCTTTGTTTTGTTTTGTTTAATTCAGGGTTCAGGAGATCTAAGTATTTGCAGTGGACACGAAGCCATTGGAGAAGAAAAGACTGAAGATGCACAAAGGAAAAGAGTATAAAGGAAATGGGTTGAAAGGTTCTCGTGGGTGGAGAATTTAACGTAGGAAGGAAGAAAACCACTTTCTCTTCTGAGAGGGCGGGCAGAAAGAGCAAACAGGTGAAAAGCCGTTTTGACACGGAGAATAAGGAAGTTGAGGAAGCTTAAGTCTAATAAGCTGAGCTTCGTTAAAGCTGGAGTACAGTCCCTCAGCTGGGGGTGAGTGGCAGCAGAGAGTAGTTGGGTTTCAGAAGAATTATGAGAATGATTTGAAAGTATCGCTGAAGGAAATATGATGAAAAGTCAACTAGAGATGAATGAAGGTTGCTGAGCAACCGTGAAGATAAATAGCATGTGGCTTGTTCCCTAACTTTGTCCAGGAGGAACATGAGCAGAAAGAGCAGAGGAACAACTTTTTTTTTTCTTGAAGACCGGGTCTCACTCTGGTTGCCCAGGCTGGAGTGCAGTGGTGCAACCTCAGCCCACTGCAGCGTCGACCTCCCGGGCCCAGGCGATTCTCCTATCTCAACTTCCCAGGTAGCTGGGACTACAGGCGCACGCCACCATGCCCGGCTAATTTTTTGTTTTTTTTTTTGTTTTTTTTGTTTTTCTATTTTTAGTAGAGACAGGGTTTTGCCATGTTGCCCAGGCTGGTCTTGAACTCCTGCACTCAAGCAATCCATCTGCCTTGGCCTCCCAGAGTGCTGGGATCACAAATGTGAGCCACCACCTCTCCCAGCCAAGAGGAACTTAAATGGGGCTAGATGAGGCAAAAAGTTGTCATTAATTCATGGTTAGTTCAGATGGTTGTCTAACTTTTACAACATGGGAGTGAAGTGTATGGACCTGATTGTTGAAATCAGCATTATTAAGTGTGAAATAATATAAAGATATGGACTGCTTAACCCTAAGGTTCACAACAGTAAGAGGACAACCTCGTGACGTATCTTCTGGGATTTCTGTTGGTAATGATGCTGATCTGAATGTAATCCAATGGGCCTGTCTCTAGCTGTTTCCAAGTTTTTGATTCAGTTTCAGATTAAAGTAGTAGAAATCAGAGACTTCTGGTCTGGCTATGCTGCTTTAAATCAGTCTTTTGACCTCTAGTCCAATTTTCTTACTTTTTTTTTTTTTTTTTTTTTTTTTTTAATAAAAAGACAACTAGAGATCAGGTCTCGCTATGTTGCCCAGGCTGGTCTTGAACTCCTGGCCTCAAGCAGTCCTCTTGTCTCAATCTCCCAAAGTGTTCGGGTTACATATGTGAGCCAGTGTGCCTGGCCCCTAGTTTCTTTTTTCAAAAAGTATGAGAGATGAACCCAAAGGATCCTTCTAACTCTATAATTCATGACTTTGTGTGAGTCCCTTTGCCCTGCACCCCAGTACTAAAGAAGTTAATGGTCTCTAAATATAGGTGCAGATCTGTTAGAGAAGTTGGTTTGCTCTTATGAGAATTCTCTCCTAATTTATCTGTTTAATTTTGAATTTTCACACACAAAAAATTTTTTTTAGTTGCTTTGTGTCTTAAATCTGGCTGGCTCCCACTAGATATGTCATCCCAAGTCAAGATATTTTGTTCCCGCACATGCACAGATAGTTCCATGATCTTTTCTGGAAACTGTCTGCAAAGTTGATAACTAGAGTTGTGCTAGTCAGTATGGTATAGTGAGACTGCTGAGGGGTCAGTCCTTTGCTGAGGTGTAAAATGGGGATAATGCCTGTGAGTGTGCTTAGCAGTGTGATGAATGCTTAACACATATTATTTTTCCTTCTTTCATAGGTTTCCTTCTGATACCTCCGTCTACTCACTGCCACAGAGTATAATAGCATATATACTCTATAATACTGTATATAGTGTAGTATAATTACCATTCTTTAGGGTAATGTTATGTAGGTATGTTCATATCTGCAAATGAAACATTTCCGGTAATTATATAGATGGTAATGGCAAATAAATGATGTAAAGATGAGATAGTTTGTTGACCTGTGTAGTTTAATTATATGAAAAATAGCAACTGTGTAAACTATATTTATGATCTCCTCTTAGGTGCCCTAATCTCCTATGTTAATATAAAACTTTCAATATAAATGTCTCAGTGGCCTTCTTTGCCAGTCAGCCCTTAAGGAGCTTTATTTTCCTCAAAAACTCTTGTCTGCTATTTTTCAGAGCTACCTGAAAGCTGAGTTGCAGTTAGCTAACTAGTATTTATTTCACTTCTACTTCTGGGGGAGGTGGTTATCCCCCACCCCTGGTAGTGGGAATGACAGAAGGTCCATGAAGTTGCTTTCCTTATCCTTTCCGGAAACTGCCAGGCCATAAATATTAGAGGAATGATCGAGGGAGGGACTCAGGTAAGTAACCAGATTACTGTGGATGATTGATTATTTGATATGAGGAACTAGAGGAGCCTGGCACAGTTATGAGTGTGAGCAAGTCCGCGTAGGGCAGCTGAGTTTAACTGGTACTCCTGTGCAGGAAGGGGACACGCATACCTTGTGTGCTGAATTCTAGGGTGAGGTTCCTGTTTCCCTGATATATGTTTCCAGTCTGTGTTCTCCCTTACACAGTCACACCTCAGTCTCGCCTAAAGGAACACTCTATCTCTGTCACAAAGAAAATATTGACTCAGGGAAGGGTAAGCAGACCCAGCTGCAAACCTTGTAGCAGGAGTGGAGTTCAAGGTAGAGTGTGATTCTTAGACTTACTTTGCTCTTCTGCTGATGCCAGTTTTGGAGGAGGCAGCTGAGAAATTTGTATGATACTATGGATGTTCACCTCAGATGTCCTTGTCATAAAGGGTGATATAAATGATCAACAAAAATTACTAGGGTAACCGGAGGGGGAGTCAGTTCTAGAAGTTCTGTGCCACTAGCTCCTTCATCGTGGAGTTTGGTAGGGTCCAGGTTTCAAGGCTGTCTTTACATATTGCTGAGTAATTGCTGTATTTAGCAGCATTCTGAGAGAACACAGGTGGGTTCCAAGATAACGTTGCCAAAGCATAAAGTGCATTGGAGGCAAGTGCGAGGCAGGTGTTCAGAGATGAGGCTGCAGGGAGTAGCAGGGGCTGCTAGGTCATGCAGGGTCTTATAAATCAAGTTAACAAATTTGGACTTTAAAGCAAAGGGAAGGTTTTAAAGATGGGAGGGAAATGATCAGTTGTATTTTGAAAGAATTTCTGTGGCTGCAGGGTAGAGAGTGGTTGGAGGGAGGGGCCGAGAGTGGAGGCAGAGATTCCAGTTGAGAGATGTATAATAATCATGATGGTGAAAAGCGACGGCAGCCTCAACTAGAAAGTAGCAACAGGTTGTAAGAGAAAGGGGAGGTTTCAAAAACTTTAGGAAAGGCCGAATAGTTGAGGGGTGAAGATGGAAAGGTGAAGAATCCATTAAACATCATCCCCAAGTCCTGCCTGGAGAGAGTGGGTAGGTAGGTCGTAATGGCAACGGGACCACTGAAGGGGAGGACCAGGTTCATGAGGAAAGGTGATGAGTTAACTTGGAGCGTGGCAAATTCGAAGAATATGGAGGAGCTGCCCACCAGCTGGATGTGCTGGTCTGAGGTTGAGAGAGAAATGCATCTTGGAGCTAGAAATCAGTTATCTGCTTGTAGATGTTAATTGAAGTTGTGAGAGTCATCCAGGAGTTCCAGGAGAGTGCAGAGAGCTAGAGGAGAGTCGAAGGCGCAACATTAAGGCATCTGAAGAACAGGCATATAGGAGGAGGAACTGGAAAAGGAGACTAAGAAGGAGCCAGAAAGCCAGGAGGAAAACCAAAGGATCATGACACATAGACACCCAGAGAGACTGTGTGTTAAGGAGGGGAAGTGATTACACAGCTAAATGCTACTGAGTGGTCAGGTGTGGTAAGAACTGCAGTGCAGGCCGGGCGCGGTGGCTCACGCCTGTAATCCCAGCGCTTTGGGAGGCCGAGGCGGGCGGATCACGAGGTCAGGAGATCCCGACCATCCCGGCTAACACGGTGAAACCCCGTCTCTACTAAAAATACAAAAAATTAGCCGGGCGTGGTGGCGGGCGCCTGTAGTCCCAGCTACTCCGGAGGCTGAGGCAGGAGAATGGCGTGAACCTGGGAGGCGGGGCTTGCAGTGAGCTGAGATCGGGCCACTGCACTCCAGCCTGGGCCACAGTGCAAGACTCCGTCTCAGAAAAAAAAAAAAAAAAAAAAAAAAGGGCCGGGCGCGGTGGCTCACGCCTGTAATCCCAGCACTTTGGGAGGCCGAGGTGGGCGGATCACCTGAGGTCAGGAGTTCGAGACCAGCCTCAACATGGAGAAACCCCGTCTCTACTAAAAATACAAAATTAGCTGGATGTGGTGCTGCATGCCTGTAATTCCAGCTACTCGGGAGGCTGAGGCAGGAGAATTGCCTGAACCTGGGAGGCGGAAGTTGCAGTGAGCCAGGATCGCGCCATTGCACTCCAGCCTGGGCAACAAGAGGGAAACTCCGTCTCAAAAAAAAAAAGAAAAAAAAAAAAAAAAGAACTGCAGTGTAGTCATTAGATTTAATGAACTTCATCTGTGCTAGATTGACTCTTTAGACCCAGCACACACTGAGGACACTAATAAAGCAGATATGTGAAATAAAGAGAAAACAGAACTCATTGGCCATTTCACAGATACGGAACAAGTCATCTAGGGAAAAAAATCTAAACTTTGTAGAAGTTCCTCATACTCATTTCATTTTTATGTTGAATTAAATGTGGGGCACCCTAATGTCTCTTGCTCTGTGATTCTCTAAAGGTCTTTAAAATTGTTTTCATGTTTTTGTTTGCATAGGTGGTAACACGGTTCAAAATGAAAAAGGTACAGAACGAGTATGAAGTAAAAGTCTCCCTGCCACCTAGTTCCCCCAACATGTAGCCTTTATTTTATATGAAAATTTCTCCCCTTTTTAACAAGTATTTTCACATTCTTCTCACTCTCCTTTTTTTACTTAGCCCCTGTCAGTGACAGCTGCACACCATTTTATTCTATAGATATACTGTAATTAAACAGTCCTGTATCAGTGGGTATTGAGGTTTCCTAATATTTTGCCATCTGGTATTTTGTTCTCAAAACCAGTGCTATAGGGAGTTACGTTGTATATAGGTCATTTTGCTGGCATGTAGGATAAATTTCCAGAAGCGGGAATTGCTGGGCCAAAGAACCTCTGAAGGATTTAATTCAGTTCTGTTTATTTGAGTCCCTGGCACTTAGCATGCAATGAATGGTAGCTATTAGTAAGATATGTATAGATGGGTTTGTTGGGGGCCCAGAGGAATAGGGGCACCTAACACAAACTAAAGGCAGAGAGAGTATCAAATAAGGCTTCTTAGAGGAGGCAATGCTTCAGCTGTGCCTTGAAGAATAAGTCAGGTAAAGAGGAGGGCATTATGAGCAGGGGGAGCAGTAGAGAGCCAAGGCACAGGAAAAGAGCGTGTTGTACATCGGGACCTTCTAAGAGTTTGCTGTGCTTATTCATCAAACAGTCAGCCCCTGCCACATGTCAGGCACTGGGCTAGGTACCGGACATAGGACAGATACACATGTACATAAATTATAGTATCACATGAAATCAACAGCAGCATGTACAATGATTAATTCTGTTGGGGAAGGAGGTAGGGGACATGGAAGTTGGAAAGAAAGGCTTGTTAGAGGAGGCCACATCTGAGCTAGAATTTGAAAGAATAATGGTCAAAGAGGAATTCAGGTCAGTGGTTCTCAAAGTGTGTTCCCTGGACCAAAAGCATCCGCATCACCTGGGAGAGGCAGAGTCTCAGGTCCTACTCACACCTGCTGAGTCAGAAATTCGGGGGCTGGGCCTCAGCTGTCTGGGTTTTAGGAAGCCCTCCAGGTGATTCTGATACACTCTGTATTTTGAGAACCACTGATCAACTGGGTGTGTTGACTCACGTCTATAATCCCAGCACTTTGGGAGGCTAAGGCAGGAGGATGCCTTGAGCCCAGGAGTTTGAGACCAGCCTAGGCAACATAGTGAGACCCGGTCTCTACAAAAAAATAAAAGAAAATTAGCCTGGTGTGGTGGTGCACACCTGTAGTCCCAGCTACTCAGGAGGCTGAGATGGGAGGATTGCTTGAGCCTGGGAGTTCAAGGCTGCAGTGAGCTCTGATCATTCCTCTGCACTCCAGCCTGGGCAACAGAGTGAAACCCTATCTCAAAACACACCACAAAAAGTTGTGTTCGTGTAATTACAAGACTCAAAAGAAGAGTCCAGAGCTTCCTTTGCCATGATTAGCCTATTGACTATGTTTATAATCCAGAGATTTCCTTTGCCCTGAAATTTATCCTGCTAGAACTTAAGTTTGTCATTTTGTTTGCATCTTACTGTATTCTCAGTAGAAAAGAATGGTCCTGTGAGCATTTGTGCAGAGTGCCCAGAAGTGCTTCTGAGCCTTGGGCTCTGACAGCCAGTGTCTCACCCAAACCCAGCTCTGGCTGGGCCTGGGAACCAAATGCCTGGGCTGTGGCGAAAACTCAGGAGACGTGGGGGTATATCTGTAAAAGCAGATTCGTAAATAGCTTTTTTCCCCCTTAGAGCCTGTTTTGCAAATTGCTGCACTTTTCCTTGTTTGTAAGTATCTCTTTTCCTTTAAACTGCTTTTAGTGGCTTTTGCTTTTGGAAAAGTATTTTATTAATACTTCATTATAATAGGGAGCAACTGCAACCCATGTGAAGAGGGACACCTGGGGATTTTATTTCGCCTTAAAAACAATCAACCAAAACCAGTGGGTTGGAAACCTGAGTTTCAAAGTATTGTCAGTTTTTTTTTTTCCAGTGATTATTCCAGTAATTACTTAGACTATGGCAGGGGAAGGGGGCTTGTTAGAGGAACTTGAAAAATTACAGGCTTTTTTTTTTTTTCAGCAGCTTAGGAAGTTCCTGACTTCACAGGTTGCTAAGATGTCAAACTCATGCAGAGCTGTGTTAGGAAATTGTTAGTTACAAATGAGAGAGAAGGGGATCCTTTTCACAGTTATGGATAAGCTATTTCTAATTGTTTATACTTTCTTTTCTTTCCTTGGTTTTGTATAAGCATTAAATCTCAGCAGAGGTGGATATTTAAGGTGGTGAGTAGTAGCAGCTCTGCAGGGGAAGAGAAAGGCAAGATGGGGAGAAGCTAATTCACTGTTCTCAGTACTCAGCTTCACTGGTGGTCCTCAGAAAAAAGTCAACCTTCTTACTCTAATGTTCTAATACTTAAACTGTAATTATTTTTAAAATTGAGATATAATTCATATACCATAAAATTTACCCTTTTAAAGTGTATAATTTACCAGTTTTTCGTACATTCACTATGTTGTGCAACCATCATCAGTATCTAATTCCAGAACATCTACATTAGCCCAAAAGAAAACTCCGTTACTCATTAGCAGTCATTTCCTATCTGCCCTTCCCTCAGCCCCTGGCAACCATTCATCTACTTTCAGTCTTTATGGATTTGCCTATGTTGGACATTTCATATAAATGGAATCATACAGTATGCAGCCCCTTGTGACTGGCTTCTTTCACTGAGCATAATATTTTCAAGGTTCATTCATGTTGTAGCACATATCAGTATTTCATTCCTTTTATGGATGAATAATATAGTTCATTGTCTGCGTAAGCTACATTTTGTTTATCCATCAATTGATGGACTTTGGATTCTTCTCACCTTTTGACTATTTTACTTTTTTCTTTTTTGAGACAGAGTCTCACTTTGTTGCCAGGCTGGAGTGCAGTGGCGCGATCGTGGCTCACTGCAACCTCCGCCTCCCAGATTCAAGCAATTCTCCCGCCTCGGCCTCCCAAATAGCTGGGACTAAGAGGCGCGTGCCACCACGCCCAGCTAATTTTTGTATTTTTAGTAGAGATGGGGTTTCACCACGTTGGCCAGGCTGGTCGCAAACTCCTGACCTCAGGTGATCCGCCTGCCTTGGGTCACCCAAAGAGCTGGGATTATAGGCGTGAGCCACTGTGCCAGGCCTATACATTTTTAAATGGTTGAAGTCATATACTGTCTTCATGCTGATGATTCCACTTTTCTTCTGTTCCTTCTTCAACCCACTCCAGTTGGACCTTCACCTTGACCATTAAAATTAAAAGCTCTTTTCAGGATCACAAACAACCTTCAGCTTGCTAAGCCAAGGACCAGTTCTCTGTCCTCACATTGAGTGACACGGATGATCACCCACTCCTTGTCTTAGTTTGTTTTGTGCTGCTGTAACAGAATATGCTGGGTCATTTTTAAAGAACAGAAGTTTATTTCTCACAGTTTGGGAGGCTCGGAAGTCCAAGCGTTTGTTGAGGGCCTTCTTGCTGCATCCTAATATGGCAGAAGGGCAAGAGAGCCAACTCCTTCCGTCAAGCCCCTTTAGGAGGGGACCTAATCCCATTGATGTGGGAGGAGGCTTCATGGCCTCATCATCTCTTAAAGGTTCCAGCTCTTAATACTATCACATTGGCAACACCTGAATTTTGGAGGGGACACATTAAAACCAAAGCACTCTTTCTAGAAATACTCACTTCTGTTGGTTTCCACAACACAACACACTATTCGTTTTCCTTCTGTTTCATTGGCCAGTTCCCAAATTTTGTTTCCTGCCTCCTTTTCTGCCTAACTTCTAAATGTTGGAGTGTTTTAGGATTTGGTCCTAGGCTCCCTGCTCTGCATTCCCTCCTTGGCAATGACATCTAGTTCTGCGCTATGCTGATGTTTCCAACGTTTACATTTCTAGTTCTGACATCTGTGAACTCCGTGCTTGTAAGGTGCAAACTTGACATCTCCACTTAGGAGTCTGATCGGCCTCCCAGTGTAACATGGCCAAAGCAGAACTCTTGATTTCTAACCCCAAAATCTGCTCTTTCAGCAGGCTTCCCTTGTCTTAGTTGATGGGACCTGCACAGTTGCTCAGGTCCAAGAACTTGGAGACTGGCCAGGCATGATGGCTCACGCCTATAATCCCAGCCCTTTGGGAGGCTGAGGCGGGTGGATCACGAGGTCAGGAGTTCGAGACCAGCCTGGCCAACATAGTGAAACCCCATCTCTACTAAAAATACAAAAATTAGCCGGGTGCGGTGGTGGGCACCTGTAATCCCAGCTACTTGGGAGGCTGAGGCAGGAAAATCGCTTGAACCCGGGAGGTGGAGGTTGCAGTGAGTGAGATTGTGCCACTGCACTCTAGCCTGGGTGACAGAGTAAGACTCCTGTCTCAAAAAAAAAAAAAAAAAAAAAATTCCAGTTTTTGCCATGGCTAGAAGGGCCATCTGTCAGCTAGTTCCTGCCTCCTTTTCCAACGTTATCTGCTACTTTCCCCCTCATCACTACTCTTCTAGATCTTCACAGACCTGATCGTTATTCTCATGTGAGCTGAAAAGTCATTTCCTGAGAGAGGCCTTCCCCAACCACCAATTAAAAATAACCCCTCCACTCCTACCTGCCACTTTGTAACCTATTGTTCTGTTTTCTTCATGGCATGTATTATTATTCTGAAATTATTTACATATTTATTGTCTGTTTTCTGTAACTAATAATAACTGGCATTTATTAAGCACATGCCACGTGCTGAATATTGTTACAAGTACTACATTTTCTCACTTAACCTCATAAGTAGTATAGGTATTATTTCCATTTTACAGAAGAAATTGCAGGTTCATGAAAGCAAGAACTTTGTCCATCTTGTTTTACTGCTATATCTCTAACACATGGAACAGTGTTTGGGATATAGTAGTTGCAAAAAATTTTTTTTGTTGGTTGGATAGATGAATGAAAAACTCCCAAATTGACGTTTCTACCTCTGACATCTCCCCATAAACATAGATTTATAGATGTAATCACCTACTTAACAGCTCCACTTGGATTTCTAAATAAGCATTTAAATTACCCCATAACTCTTTTTTTTTTTTTTTAGACAGGATCTCACTCTGTCGCCCAGGCTGGAGTGCAGTGGCACGATCTCAGCTCACCGCAACCTCCACCTCCCAGGCTGAACCAATTCTCCTGCTTCAGCCTCCCAAGTAGCTGGGATTATAGGTGCCTGCCACCACGCCCAGCTAATTTTTGTAATTTTAGTGGAGACGGGGTTTCACCATGTTGGCCAGGTTGGTCTCGAACTCCTGACCTCAGGTGATCTGCCCATCTCGGGCTCCCAAACTGCTGGGATTACAGGTATGAGCCACTGTGCCCAGCCCCTGCCCCGTAACTCTTAACTTCTTAACTTCCCCCCTCCCCAAACCTGTTTTGTTCCCATTTCTCTCATATTAGGAAATGGCATCATCATAAGCCCAGGAGTACAGACTGGAAACCTAGGCCTTGCCTGTGGCCACTCCCATTCTCATTCCCCACATCCAACTCTGCGGCAAGGCCTGTTGATTCTACCTCTGATTGTGTCTTGAATCTGTTGCTTCTCTTTTTCTCCACTGTCACTTCAGCCTCATTCTCCGTAATCTTTCCTCTGCACGCCACACTTGCCTGCAAGCATCCACTCTTGTCTCTCTACAAGCTATTTGCCCACGTAGCAGCCAGATTGGAGCCACGTACATTTTAGAGGTGTGCTGAAGAATAGGCGCCAAGGAGAAAAACCAGGAAGAAAACCAGTATTTGGTACCCTTACCTTGAAAAAGGTATTCATATATTTTTTCCTTTTCTAAAAAATGTTCATGTTTCTTTGAGCATTTATTGTCTGATTTTACCCCTTTTTAGCATCTATAGAAGCCACATTAATCTTTTTTTACTCCAGCCTTTCTTGGACTTTCCCGGCTTTGTGCTTCTCTATCTAGGTGAGTTTTTATCGATAGCTTCAAGTGTCCTCTTCCCCTCCTCACAGAGGAAATGCAGTCTTCAGCATCTGAGAGGCCTCTTAGAAGTATTTTTGCTCAGGCCGGGTGCGGTGGCTCACACCTGTAATCCCAGCACTTTGGGAGGCCGAGGCGGGTGGCTCACTTGAGGTCAGAAGTTTGAGACCAGCCTGGCCAACACGGCGAAACCCCAACTCTACTAAAAATACAAAAAATTAGCCAGGCGTGGTGGCACATGCCTGTGATCCCAGCTACCTGGGAGGCTGAGGCAGGAGAATCGCTTGAACCTGGGAGGTGGAGGTTGCAGTGAGCTGAGATTGCGCCACTGCACTCCAGCCTGGGCGACAGAGTGAGACTCTGTCTCAAAAAAAAAAAAAAAAAAAAAAAAGAAGTATTTTTGCTTATGTTGCTTACAGCTTTCATGTTCCATGGTAAATGTCTGTAGAAAACCATCTCTGTAGTAGTAGCAACTATGCTGTGTTGTTAAGAAAATAGGACACAGGACAGGACAGGAGGACCAGAGTGAATGGGGGGCCATATCCCTCTGATCTATATGAAGAGACCACAGGAAATGGACAGAACCTTTTCTGCCCCTCCCCATAGATGGGGGAAAACAGGGTGTATAGTAAGATCTGACCTTCTGTGCTTTTTAAACAAAATTTGCCTTATAGGAAATTGTAAGATTAGCAAACTAGGGAGTATGTACATTTAATTTTGAAAAATTCTTTCTAGAGCTCCTCAAAGGTTCCTAAATCAATCCTGTTTTTCAACTTTCTGCCTCTCAGTACTCCTGTGACAACAGGAGGGCAGCCACCCTGACGTGGCTAACTCTCTGGGCTGTTCCTGCCAACTCCCAGATGGCTGCTTTCAGGAAGGTTTCCATAGCGACCAGAGGCAGGAAAAACCTGCCCACCCAGCTTAACAATTCACATCCGGCTGGGCTTTATAGCCAGTGGGAGAAGTGGCGTGTTTATATATACTTATATACATTACATACATTTATATGTGTGTGTAGCATTAAAGAGCTCAACCCTGCAGACTCTATATCCAGAATCTGGCTGGGTGTGGTGGCTCACACCTGTAATCACAGCACTTTGGGAGGCTGAGGCAGGAGGATCACTTAAGCTCAGGAATTCAAGACCAGCCTGGGCAACATAGAGGGACCTTGTCTCTAAAAAAAAAAATATGATAAAATATATCCATAATCTGACCATTTCTCAGTGTTCCCACCATAGGAAAGTCAACATACCTTTCACCCTGACTAATCCAACAGCCTCCTCTATGTCCACCACCACCTCTGCAAGACAGCCAGAGAGGGCTCAGAGCCCTCCCCTACTTTCCCAGCTCACTGAGAATGAAGCCCAGAATCCACCACACTGTGAGGCCTCGTAGTCCCCTGCTGTGTCTTCTCCCACCATTCAGGCTGTTTCCTCCCACTCTTTCCTTCTCATTCCCCAGCCCCTCCAGCCTGCTGGCTGCCTTGCAGCTGTTTCAGCATGCCCAGTGTGCTCCCAACTTGGGGCTGCTTCTCCCTGGATCTCCTTTCCCTCAGGTAGCCATGAGCCCTCAGTTCCTTTTGGTCTTTGCTCAGGTGTCCCTAACCCATATTCTAAAGAGCTTCTCCTGAACACTTGATATAAATCCCCTCTCTTCTGATAGTCTCCACACCTTGACCTTTATTTTTCCTCACAGCATTGTAGTTATCACAATCTATTTCTGTGTTTATCATCCAATTCTGTCTTTTTTTTTTTTTTTTTTTTTTGAGATGGAGTCTCTGTCACCAGGCTGGAATGCAGTGGCGCCATCTCAACTCACTGCAACCTCTGCCTCCTGGGTTCAAGTGATTCTCCTGCCTCGGCCTCCCGAGTAGCTGGGACTACAGGCACACGCCACCACGCCCAGCTAATTTTTGTATTTTTAGTAGGACAGGGTTTCACCATGTTGGCCAGGATGGTCTCAATCTCCCGACCTCAGGTGATCCACCCACCTCGGCCTCCCAAAGTGCTGGGATTACAGGCGTGAGCCACCGGGCCCAGCCTGTCATCTGATTCTCTAATGTAAGGGTCAGGACTTTTTCCCCCACTGTTGTGTCCCAGCTCTTAGAAGCTGCCTGGCTCTTAGGGGTGCTCAGTCCCCATTTGCTGATGAATGAATGAGTGGGAGGACAGCCAAGATCAGGAAAGGGGAGGGACTCCTGAGTGGGCCTTCCCAGCCCCTTCAGGCCTCCACAGCCAGATGTAGCTGATTTCTCTGCTACAAGCAGCCTGCAGGTGCTCTGTCACACTTTTACTCTGCCCTTTCAGAACCACCAACCAAACCCCTGCCTCTGGGGCCGATGGTGATGAGGAGTCTTTCTCATGCTCTCAACTGGGACATGTTATGTGGAACCATACACAGTTGTCATTTTTCTAGGCTGTAATGGATGAATATCGGCAATTTAATATGGTTCAACATAGTTTTTAGTATACCTCAATGAGGAGGGTCCATATATTAACAATAACTTTCTAAAAATTTTTAGGACTACTAATTGCCTGATACTTATTGAGTACTTATATGTGTCAGGCAGTGTGCTAAAGGCCTTATTTGCATCAGCTCACGTAATCCTCATAACCACAGTAAGGCATAGGTATTATTATTCCATTCTATCGAAAAGAAAACTGATACAGACGTGAAGTAAACTTGCCCACGGTTATAACAAGTGGGCACAGGCCCACTCTGCTACACGAGTAGCAGAGCTAGGATTGGACTGGAGATGTCTTTACTTTTTTTTTTTGAGACAGAGTCTCACTCTGTCACCCAGGCTGGAGGGCAGTGGTGCGATCTTGGCTCACTGCAACCTCTGCCTCCCGGGTTCAAGCAATTCTTGTGCCTCAGCCTCTCAAGTAGCTGCGATTACAGGGATGCATCACCATGCCTGGCTAATTTTTTTGTATTTTTAGTAGAGACAGGGTTTCACCATGGTGGCCAAGCTGGTCTCAAACTCCTGGCCTCAAGTGATCCGCCCACCTCAGCCTCCCAAAGTGCTGGGATTACAGGCGTGAGCCACCGCGCCCAGCCAAGATGTCTTTACTTTTAATCATGGTGCAGAGGATGAGCGCTGAGCCCACTCCCTCCCAAAGCTGACACGTGGTTGTTCTGCCACAGCCATTTGCCATCTCAGGCTCCAAGCCAGCAGGAGGCGTAATAGAGCACTGGGTTCCATTCCCAGGGCCATCTAGCTGGTGGCCATGTGTCCGTCATTTCACAGGGTGGGGTTACATGGTGTGGCAGGGCAAAGTTTTGGGAGTCCATTTGGAAACTATCAGTCTCTCCTAGGCTTATTTTCTGTTGTGTAAGGAATGAATGTGTTGTAAGGATTGAATGATGACATGACATGCTTTTTAAAATTTCTAGCTCAGTCTCTTTAATGTAAAAATATGTAATCATCCAGCTCATAGTTCTGAGGGAAACCCTATATCACATATATTTTACACTGAAGGAAGACATTAAAATTCCATTCTCTTCACACAGAACCAACCAACCAGGATGGCTGGCCTGTTGGGGAAGCAGGTTCTGCCATCTGGTTCTCAGCAGGCATGTCTGGAAGCAGGAGGGAGCGTCTCTCCCATTTGGGTACCAAAGCCTCTGTAACAGTCAGGAATGTTCTGCTGTGGCCTTTATCCTAAACTTGGCTTGGCCAGTGTGTGTCTGGGGCAGGAGCAGAGGCCGGGACACAGCTGAGCTGCCCACAGGAGCTATTTTTGCCCCCACACTTGTATGTCTTTAAAGAGAACTGGGATTTTCTCACAGCTCCTTTGAAGTGGTGGTTTGATTTTCCTCTTTTTTGCTTCTCACTTACCTAATTCTTCCCGATTTATCTAGAATTCCCAACACCAGAATTCCATGGCAGATAGCATGGAGAATAGGTTCTGTTATGGACCAGGATAACAACTGTCATTTCTGAATTCTCATTGTGTGAAAAATGGCAAAAGTAAATTTTTCTTCAGTGCCAGGTTTAGGTAAATATGATTTCAAAAACCGGAATGTAACTTGTCTTGAAATCTTTCAACCACATCTCCTCGTTGTCACCTACTTCCTTTCGTAGAGTGAGAGCCTTTAATTCTGTGGTTAGAAGTAAAAGGAAGTAAAGGCTTGGCCGGGCGCGGTGGCTCATGCTTGTAATCCCAGCACTTTGGGAGGCCGAGGCCGGCGGGATCACGAGGTCAGGAGTTCGAGACCAGCCTGGCCAATATGGTGAAACCCCGTCTCTACTAAAAAGACAAAAATCAGCCGGGTGTGGTGGTGCAACCCTGTAGTCCCAGCTACTCGGGAGGCCGAGGCAGAAGAATCTCTTGAACCCAGGAGGCAGAGGTTGCAGTGAGCTGAGATTGCACCACTGCACTCCAGCCTGAGGTGACCAAGCGAGACTCTGTCTAAAAAAAAATAAAAATAAAAATAGAATGACTTTCCTCTTTTCTCTTCTAACAGGGCAGATGATTCTGGACCAGATGAAGCCTGAGGAGCCTTCCAGCTCTAAGATAGCAGGATAGGAGACTTCTAAGATTGGAGCTGCAGAAGACTTGCCAGCCCACCAGCACAATGTCAGGTAGAGGCAGGGGCTGGACTTGGAAACGGGGTTTGAAGCTCTCACAGAGGAGCCAGAGGGATGGAAGGTGGCTTGTTTTCCATAAAACACCATCCAGATAAGAGAGGTGGAGATGGTAGGGAAGGCTTCTGGCTGGCTGAGAAAGTTATTAAAACTTCCTTCTCAGCTCTGCTCTCTAGCTCTCCTCCTCCAGCTCTCCAACCCGCAGATCTGCAGTCCTCAGGTGGAGAAAGAGGCCGGAAGATGAAGTTTGGTCATGTTTTGTAATGTGCTGCTGTTTCTTTCCCCTCTTCTCCAGAAATTTGCTGATTTCTAGGAGGTTTCTTTCACTCTGCTCCTTCCCTACCCAGCACGCTTGAGATGGGCCAGTCCCTTTAATGCTGGTGCTCTTAGAGGGAGAGGGTATTTCCTGATTTGAATTTTGCCTCTGCATTTTCTATTTTTTTTTTATTTTTTTGAGGCAGAGTTTCGCTCTTGTTGCCCAGGCTGGAGCGCAATGGCACGATCCTTGCTCACTGCAACCTCCGCTTCTTGGGTTCAAGCTATTCTCCTGCCTCCCGAGTAGCTGGGATTACAGGCATGTGCCACCACGCCCAGCTAATTTTGTATTTTTAGTAGAGATGGGTTTCTCCATGTTGGCCAGGCTGGTCTCAAACTCCTGACCTCAGGTGATCTGCCCACCTCGGCCTCCCAAAGTACTGAGATTACAGGCGTGAGCCACTGCGCCTGGCCTGCCTCTGCATTTTCTTGATTGTTCTCCTGGTCCTCTTTGGTTTTAGGAAGCCATACACCTGCCTGTGGCCCTTTCTCAGCCCTGACTCCGAGCATATGGCCCCAGGAGATCTTGGCCAAGTACACGCAGGTATAGCAGTTAGCCAGGCACCAGCCTGCTGTGCTCCCACGCTGTGGTATGAAGGGGACCCAGCTCTGCAGGCTGCCCAGGAAGAGGTGGCCAACTCACACAGGGTTATGAGTTCCCCACCAGAGATGGTATCTTAGCCCCATGTTTCCTGTGTGAATCAACCACTGTGGCACTATGCTCTCAGTATTATAGGGACACAACTGCATAAAACATGTTTCTTGCCTTGATTTTATTATCTTTGACCTCTGAGAAGAACAAGGAAAATAGAAGGTTGAGAAATTGCTAGAAGAAGGTTCAGAGAAGGTTGCGTGGTAACCAGAGGCGGCTTTTGGAAGAGTAGCCTTTGATCTGAGCCCGAAGGCTGGGTGGGATTTTAGCAGGCAACCCTGTGGGTGGCATCTTTCAGACCTGAGGCCCCCAACTAGGGGACAGGCAACTGACTTCAACCTCATCCTGATTCTAGAAGGAAGAGTCAGCAGAGCAACCAGAGTTCTACTACGATGAGTTTGGTTTCCGTGTGTACAAGGAAGGTAAACTTGAGCCCCTTTTGTGTGTCATCTTGCTGATGTTCTTTGGGGAGGACTCCGCTCCCTTGACTGAATTACTCGGCCTGTGATGGCTGAGCTCTGATGCGTCAGGGTTCCAGATTTAAGGACAGAGTGTATCTGAGGGTGATACTCTCATAAGTATGGGAGACTTCTGCTTTTTTTGAGATAAATTTTACTGATCCTCACCTGACAGTAAAAGCAATCGTGTTCACTGTAGAGAAGTTGAAAAATTCAGGCTGGACGTGGTGGCTCACGCCTGTAATCCCAGCACTTTGGGAGGCTGAGGTGGATGGATCACTTGAGGCCAAGAGTTCAAGACCAACCTAGCTAACATGGTGAAACCCCATCTCTACTAAAAATACAAAATTTGCCAGGTGTGATGGTGTGCGACTGTAATCCCAGCTACTCAGAAGGCTGAGGCAGGAGAATCTCTTGAACCCAGGAGGTGGAGGTTGCAGTGAGCTGAGACTGCGCCACTGCACTCCAGCCTAGGCAACAAGAGCAAACCTCTGTCTCAAAAAAGAAAAAAGCATATTTTCAATGGCTGTATAATATCCTTTTATAGTGAATATACAGTATTTGGATAACTACTTTTCTATAACTGAGTCTCTAGTCCATTTCTGTTGTTTTCTACTATAAATGGACCTTTTGGTCCTGAGTGGGCTATTGGGAAGTCCATCTGCCAGGCCAGAACTGTGGCTAGGACATTTTAATTGACTGCAACTAATCACCTTCAGGTCACTCACGTTTCCAATTCTGACAAAAGTTTTCCTTGTTCTTCTGATTCGTAGGCAGGTATTTGCAGGTTAAAGGTTTGGGTTGAGAAGGACACAGGGAACTTGCTGGTATGATGGAAGTATCTGTGTTTGGCTGGGTCAGTGGAGTCAGAGTGTTCACTGTTACACCTTGGAACTGAGACTGCTTGATGCGGACAATGTTCAGACATTTGTTTATGCACCAAAATGTACACCTAACATTTGTGCATTTTACTGTAGGTAAAGTCATTAAAGTTGGTGTCTTTGAAAGCTGGGCTGAGGGATTGGCTTTTGGGTGAATAAGGACGAGGCTGTCTGTGGAGCTCACCCAGGGGTTGCTGGGCTGCCACAGGAGAGCTTGACCTCATTCATTCAACAGATATCTCATGGACCCAACTGTGGGTGGTGCAGTCTCCACAGCTGCATCCCTGCAGGCCCCCGAACAAAACTGAAGGTGGTCTCAGCTGCATGGAGTTCTCATTTTAGTGAGGGAGACAGGCAGTAAACAAGCATGTAATATTCTGGAGCAAGAAGGGCTGGAAAAATACTTCCAGGGATAGAGAAGAGGGGCAGTAAATCATATATAAAAAGGTCCTGAAGTGGCCCTTTCAGACCATGTCATTGGAGTGGAGAGAGCAAGAGGAAAATGGCAGGGGGTGAGGACAGAGTGGGCACGGCCCAGAGGAAGCAGCTGAGGGAGCGCTGGAAAGCCCTTGGCTTTAAGTCTCAGCTCTGAGCAGAGTGACATGATCTGACTTGCATTTTGGAAGGGTCACTGTGGCTGCTGAGGGGAACAGCCTTTGGGAGGTGAGGGTAGCAACAGGGAGGTCAGCAGGAGGGCCACTGCAGTGATCTGGATGAAGGACCATGGCTTGGACAAGGGCCATGGTCAGGGGTGGTGAGACGTAAAGGAATCCTGTGGGTTTGCTGATGGACTGAGTGTGGGGTCTGGGCGAGGGAGGAGCCAGAGGTGACTCCGAGGTTTAGGCTGAGCATCGGGAGAATGGAGGTGTCATTTCTGGATCCGGGTAGTACTATGGTAGGAGTGGCTTTGAGGAGAAGGTGAAGAGCTTTGCTCCTCATGGGGTACATGTTAGAGGCTCACCTGGAGCTGTCAGAAAGCCATTAGCTATGGGAATCTGGATATGGTGGGAGAGAGCTGGCCTAGAGCCATGAAGCTCAGACCCTCCTGAAGACGGAGGCTTGGCTGCTTGGAGAACACGTAGTAGAGAATGCTTTTTCTTTCCTCCTTGGCTCTCTCTTGGCAGAAGGTGATGAGCCTGGCTCCAGTCTGCTGGCGAACTCCCCTCTGATGGAGGATGCTCCACAGAGGCTGCGGTGGCAGGCCCACCTGGAGTTCACCCATAACCACGATGTGGGGGATCTCACCTGGGACAAGATTGCCGTCTCCCTACCCCGCTCTGAGAAGCTCCGCTCCCTGGTGCTGGCCGGCATCCCACATGGCATGAGGCCACAGGTAAGGTGGCCACAGGGACCCACAGGGTGTTGAGAGGGTCCTGGCCCCATGATCAGGTGTCACGAGAAAGACTGAGTGCCCTTGCGGCTCCCTTCCCTCAGCTGTGGATGCGGCTCTCTGGGGCCCTGCAGAAGAAGAGGAACTCTGAGCTGTCCTACCGCGAGATTGTGAAGAACAGCTCCAACGATGAGACCATCGCTGCCAAGCAGGTGAGGCCGGTGGCACTGTGCAGGAAGAGCTGGAGGCTGTGTGGGCTCGCAGGAGAGAGGGAGCCTGCCTGGGGTTCTTAGAGTGTGCCCTTGTTGTGGGGTAGGGGAGGATATTTGCTCCTTCCTTGGTCCTCTGCAGGCCAAAGAAAGAATTGTCCAAAAGGCCATCAGTGCTGTGGAAGGGCTTGGAGATGGGGTTCCCAAGCCCGGGTCCACTTCAGGAACAGATGGGGACTCTAAATATAGACTCCAGGCCTCGGGCCACACGTTTTCAGGTGGTCTGGCATGAAGTTTCCCAGCTGGATTTGATGTCCCGGCTCCACACTGGCTGGGAGCTGACCCTGAAGGGAGGAGGGTGACCTTGATCAGGAACACAAGGAATCCCCATTTCTGGGGGAGAAGCCCGCCTGGGGTCTGCCTCCCTCCCAGGGTGTCACAAGGTCTTGTTATTGTGGGTGCCGATGGCTGCCTGACAGATCGAGAAGGACCTGCTCCGCACCATGCCCAGCAACGCCTGCTTCGCCAGCATGGGTAGCATCGGGGTGCCCCGCCTGCGCAGGGTGCTCCGGGCCCTGGCCTGGCTCTACCCAGAGATCGGCTACTGCCAGGGCACCGGCATGGTGAGCACAGCCCCAGAAAGGGCAGTGGCAGCCCCAGGACCCCCTCCAGGACCCTAACAAGGAGTGGCCTCCCGCTACGGGGCAGTAGCCCCAGGGCCTCCTCCAGGACCCCTAACAAGGAGTGGCCTCCCACTCCGGGGCGTCCCCAAGGAGATCGGGGCAGCTGCACGTTATGCAAGCAGAGGCGCTCCCCAAGGGATGTGAAAGTGAGGCAGGCCAAGGAAAGCAGCCCAGGGAAGGCCTGGGTTCCAGCATGCGTGCCCCCCAAGAGGCTTTTGCTAATTGGTCTCCCTAGGGTAGGGGCACCTTTTCTAATCTGCACAAAGACCTGGGTAGAAGGCCCTTGTCCCTGTGCCCTGGCCAGGTGGCCGCCTGCCTCCTGCTGTTCCTGGAGGAGGAGGACGCCTTCTGGATGATGTCTGCCATCATCGAGGACCTGCTCCCCGCCTCCTACTTCAGCACCACCCTGCTGGGTGTCCAGACTGACCAGCGGGTCCTGCGCCACCTCATTGTCCAGTACCTGCCTCGCCTGGACAAGCTGCTCCAGGAGCATGACATTGGTAAGGCGCCCCTGAGCCACTGGCTCCCATTCTGCAGCTTGGAGGACTCAGGCGGGTGGCCGAGTGGGGATAGGGCACAGCCCCCCAACCATGGTCTTTGTCGCTCTTTTGTTCTCTGGTGTTCCCTGCCCCCTCCCCTCCTTTGCTCTTAAGCAGGGAGGACCTTGCTGCAGTTCCGGGGAGGGAGGTTTCCACCACCTCCTCCCCAGCGGCTTTGGCTCCTGTGTTTACAGAGCTGTCCCTGATCACACTGCACTGGTTCCTCACGGCCTTCGCCAGCGTGGTGGACATCAAGCTGCTCCTGCGCATCTGGGACCTGTTTTTCTACGAGGGCTCCCGGGTGCTGTTCCAGCTCACGCTGGGCATGCTGCACCTCAAGGTGCTCCACGGCCCCACTTCAGGCTGAGGAGTAGGCACCCGAGATGGGGGGCAGGGGAGCAAGAGACCTCCCTGGGCCAGGCAAGACCAGCCCCCTGGCCCCTGACAACTGTGCCAAGGCAAACGGGTCCCTGAGGATGGGGGTTGGGGTCAGCTCAGTGCCACGTCCCTGCAATGACAACCTTCTTCCCCCATCCTGCCCTGGCATGGCCCAGGAGGAAGAGCTGATCCAGTCAGAGAACTCGGCCTCCATCTTCAACACGCTATCGGATATCCCGTCGCAGATGGAGGACGCGGAGCTGCTTCTGGGGGTGGCCATGCGGCTGGCCGGCTCCCTCACCGATGTGGCCGTGGAGACTCAGCGCCGCAAGCACCTGGCCTATCTCATTGCAGACCAGGGCCAGCTCCTGGGGGCCGGCACCCTCACCAACCTCTCTCAGGTGGCCCAGGATGGGGGGCCGCACCTTGACCCACAGCACACGGGGAGGAGGGGTCACCTTGAAGTTCAGAGCGCGGGGGCTGCGGAAAACAAACCAGCCCTTCCTGCTCTGCCCCCCAGCCTGGCCCAGTCAGACCACAGCTGTGGGGTGATCCAGGCCTCCTCAGGCTTTGTGCACCTCAGGTTCTGATCCTGGCACGGTTTGGGAGGAAGGCAGACCCAGCTCTGATTATCTGTTTTCAATTCTTGGAGCCAGCGTCAGAGGCTATTTCAGATGAGACAGTATAAGCCAAGGGCTGGTGGGTTCTCTTCCTCCCGGGGCCAGGACCACCCTGACCCACTCCTCTTGGTGCAGGTTGTTCGCCGCAGGACCCAGCGGAGGAAGTCCACCATCACTGCTCTGCTCTTCGGTGAGAGCTCTGCGAGTGCCAGGCAGTGTGGGCATGCGGGAGTCTGTCCTCACGCTCATGTGGACGTGGAGCTTCCTCCTCGGGGGCCTGGAGTGGGCTGTGGTCACCATGGTTCTCTGGGCCTCCTAGGGGAGGATGACCTGGAGGCACTCAAGGCCAAGAACATCAAGCAGACGGAACTGGTGGCTGACCTCCGGGAAGCCATCCTGCGCGTGGCACGCCACTTCCAGTGCACAGACCCCAAAAACTGCAGCGTGGTGAGTCGCCAGCTCCCTGGGCTGCTACCAAACACGGCCCTAACTCCTCCAACCCCCTTGGTGGGCCTGTGTTCACTGTGGCAGGAGCTGACTCCAGACTATAGCATGGAGAGCCACCAGCGGGACCACGAGAACTACGTGGCGTGCTCACGCAGCCACCGGCGCCGAGCCAAGGCCCTGCTGGACTTTGAGCGGCACGACGACGACGAGCTGGGCTTCCGCAAGAACGACATCATCACAGTGCGTGGGGGCGCTGGACTACCAGGTCCTCAGGCTGTGGCGGGTTCCCCAGACTCCCTCCACCAAGCCCCACCCCAACCCCTTTCCCTGCCAAGAGCTTCTCTTGTGAAGATGTAGGGGTCTTGGCCTGGCCTAGTTGCTGAGGAGTCATATCGGGGGTGCAGGAGGCGCTGGCCCAGGGCACCCAGCTTTGGTTCCTGCTGTTTTTCCTCCTGTGCAGATCGTGTCTCAGAAGGACGAGCACTGCTGGGTGGGGGAGCTCAACGGCCTGCGAGGTGGGGTCCTTGGTCTGCTCTTGAGCTGGGAGAGGGAGGAGGGGGTGGGCACAGAAGACTTGGGTGACCCTGGCCGCCACCAAGCTGTTCTCCTCTATACACCTGCCTGGCTTGAGGTCCCTGAAGCAGCTGAGCCGGCTTCCCACTGCCTCAGCCTGCCTGCAGGCTGTGTCTGCTCTGTCCTCGGCCCTCGTGGTTGCTCCTTACAGGGCCTGTTTTTCCCACAGGCTGGTTTCCAGCCAAGTTCGTGGAAGTCCTGGATGAGCGCAGCAAAGAGGTGAGGGGGGTGGGCGGGCTAGGCACGGCTGGCACCCTTCTAGCCAGGGCCTGCGTGCCTAGCGAGTCCTGGCCTGTAGCATGGCAGAGAGGACAGAGGAGGGTGACTGGCTGCAGGCGTCAGGCAGGGCTTTCTCAGACCCATCCCTCCCATCAGTACTCCATCGCGGGGGATGACTCGGTGACGGAGGGGGTCACAGACCTCGTGCGAGGGACCCTCTGCCCGGCCCTTAAGGCCCTGTTCGAACATGGACTGAAGAAGCCATCCCTGCTTGGGGGCGCCTGCCACCCCTGGCTGTTTATCGAGGAGGTAAGTCAGTGGCTGGGCCCATGACCCCCACCCTGCACCAGCCCTGCTGTGCCCCCTAGTACCCATCTTAGGTCCTTCCTGCCCCACAGAGAGGATGGGAAGAGCTGGCAGCGTGGTGACAGGTGCCCAGTCGGCCCCAAGGGCTTTGAACCAGCATCTTCCTGTCCCTGCACTCACACCGTGTGCTGTCCCCACAGGCTGCAGGCCGGGAGGTCGAGAGAGACTTTGCCTCCGTGTATTCCCGTCTGGTGCTCTGTAAGACCTTCAGGTAACTCGGCCCGGGTTCTTCTGGTGGGGTCACCAGCAGTGGGAGGGCGGGGCCTGACCCAGCCCCGGCACCCCAGGAGCTTTGGTGTCCCCTCAGGTTGGATGAAGATGGCAAAGTCCTGACCCCGGAGGAGCTGCTCTACCGGGTAAGGGGGCCTCCTCTGCCAGACCCTAGAGACCTCTCTGGGGTTAGCCTGTGGGGGAGCCTGAGTGACAGCTGACGGTGCCGTTCCCAGGCTGTGCAGTCTGTGAACGTGACCCACGATGCAGTGCATGCACAAATGGATGTGAAGCTCCGCTCACTGATCTGCGTGGGGCTCAAGTGAGTGTGGAAAAGGGGTTGGAGGAGAGCCCTGGAGTGGGGGGACCCAGCCCAGCATCAGGGGGGGTCCTTACAGGGAACCCTAAAGGACAAAGAACCTCAGGGGCTCAGGTCCTTCCCCAAAGAGGGTGGTCTGGGAGCTGCTGAGAGACAGGTCAGAGGCTTCCACCGTGGCTGCAGCCAGAAGGGCCTGGAGCTGCCCCTGCTCCCCACTCCTGGCCATGTCCCCAGTGAGCAGGTGCTGCACCTGTGGCTGGAGGTGCTCTGCTCCAGCCTGCCCACCGTGGAGAAGTGGTACCAGCCCTGGTCCTTCCTGCGCAGCCCGGGCTGGGTCCAGATCAAGTGTGAGCTCCGGTGAGGACCTTACTGGGCTTGGGGGATGGAGGTGGGGTGGGAAGGGCTAGCTGGGGGTGACAAGAGCCTTACCACCCCTTCCTCACCTCTAGAGTCCTCTGCTGCTTTGCCTTCAGCCTCTCCCAGGACTGGGAGCTCCCTGCGAAGAGAGAGGTGGGTGGTGTGGGCCTCGTAGGGCCTGCACTGATGGAGCTGCCCAAACCGTTCGCGGGGTGGCTAAGGTGGGAACCCGAAGTGCTGGTGTCAGCGGTTAGGAACTACCCCAGCCATGCCCAAGGCCTGTGAGGTGAGGGGCTGCCCTGTTTGCAGGCGCAGCAGCCCCTGAAGGAGGGCGTCCGGGACATGCTGGTGAAGCACCACCTCTTCAGCTGGGATGTGGACGGGTGACCCCCTCCTCCCCAGCCCAACCTCGGGCCTGCGTCTGAGGTGGCCCAGGACCCCAAGCTGCAGAGCCCAGGGAAGAGCAGCTCCAGAGCCCTGGCCGGGGCCGCGGGATATCAATATCAGGCTGCCCCACTCCACGTTCCCCAGCACATCCCAGGTGGTGGGAGCAGAGGGTACCCTGCCCCACCAGGGTCCTTAGGGATGCTCTAGGCCAAACCACAGTTTGTACCAAAAACCTTGTGAGGAGGTGGGGGAGCCATGTCTGTGCTCAGGAAGAGGGAAGGGGATGGGGGTGGCTAGTAGGCTCCTGGCCTCTTTGGTTTATAAATAAACTGTGTCTGTCTTTGAGAAAGCACCTACCTGTCTTCTGTGCAGCTAGGGCTGCAGAGCTGTATTCAGGTCCAAGGTTCTGCCCTTCCTTGAGTGGTCTAGAAGGCACTGCGTGGCCCCTCAGATGCTGGGACACAACAGACCCGGGACCCAGCTGTGCTACCCACCCCTTCCATGGACTGAATAAGATGGACTAACAGGCCTGTGTTTTTGTGTTTATTTTAAAAAGTTCACACACCTTCCCCATCTTTGTCCCAGCACTGGTTTTGGTGACTCCACCCCTACTCCCCTATGAGTCAGCCCAGAATGTGAAGCCAGTGGCCCCAGGGCAGGAGATGGCCACCCCTCAGCCCCACCGCAGGGTGAAGCTGGGCCCGAAGCTCCTCCTGTCCTAGGGCCACGCTGGCTGCAGTGAGGCGGCGGGGACGGAATGTGAGTGGGTGGAGAGCTCCTGGCAGGAAGGCCAGGTAGCACCTCTGCCCTCATGGCACTGATAAGGAGCCAGGAAGCAGGGCAGGTGGGGCATAGGCCGTGGCAGGGTACCTACATGTCAATCACACGTGATGGGTGGGCCTGGGTAGCTGCATGCCAGACTGGGCACCAGACTGTGGCACACAGCTCAAGGGTAACCTTGCATCCAGGCCCTTCTGTGAGAGTAGGATGGGAGGGAGTTGCACCCATCTCCTGTCCGCCCCCCCCCAAAAATATATATGTATGTCGATATATAATATAGAGGTATATACACCTGTACATAAAATTGTTGCCACCAACCACTAAATGGTTACACTACACCAAGACACTAAAATGGCAGGGAGCCCTGGGATCCTGGGGTTGGCAGACACAGGGAATAGGGGGTAGAGGCCCAGGCTAATTTCTCCCTTCACAGCAAAGCAGGGAGAGAAAGGAAGGAGATTCACCCCTTAACCTGTCTCAGCCCTGGGTCAGAAGAGAAGCCTCCCGCCTGGCCAGGCTTCACCTACCTTAGCCAAATTGTAGCCAGACAGACAGTGCCCCCTGACCTCAAAAAAGGAGGTCAAGCTGAAATGGCCCTGACCCTGACCGTGTGTCCAAAACCCCAGCGTGAGAGCCAGGGCTGCTTCTTGACAGCTGCTCTCCTCTGCCCTGCGTGGCACTGAACCAGGAGTAAGGGCTTCTCTGTTCTAGCCTCCCAGGGAAGGGAAAAAGCAGGGGCTGTGATTGTCAAGACTCACAACCATGTGGAGAGGCCGAATCACGCAGGAGAGCCACGCATTGGAGTACCCTGGCTCCCAGCCCCTTCCCCACCCCGTCTTGAGCCAGAGAGCTACAAGCAGGAATCCCAGTGCAGCTGCAAATCATGGCCATCGAGGAAGTCTGTGGAGAAGAGGCTGGGGGCTGTGGTGCTGAGGGGGGCTAGGCTCAGCACGGGACCACCTGACGACAGCTCCAGCCAGTCCATGCTGTCCAGGTGGCCATCAGCCAGGTCCAGGCCCATGGTGCTGCTGGGCTCAGGAACAAAGTGCAATTCCGAGGTGTCCATGGGTGACGGGGGGTGGTCCAGGATGGCAGTGCTGCTCAGCATCTGGCTATGGAGGTCGTCAATGAGGGAAAGGGGCTCTGGCCCGTCATGCCCACTGGTCAGCAGGGGCAGCCCCGTGCTGCTCTCCAGGAAGTCCTCCAGGCGTCCAGGGAGGGAGGGTGAGCCTGGAGGAGGTGGGGCAGCCTGGGGGAGCTCAGCAGAAGGTGATGGCTGTGCTGCCAGGGGGGACCCACAGACTGTCTTCGGGGATGGCTTCTCCTTCCCTGGCAGGGATGGCGGCTCCTTGAAATCTGCTGAAATTTCTGCCAATCAATCAAGAGAGTAAATGGATATCAGAAGCCAAGCCTGTATATCTACATGCAAAAGAATGAAGGTGGACCCCCCAACGTCACACCATTTACAAAAATAAAACGGATCAAAGACTTACTTAAATGTAAGAGCTAAGACTATAAAACTCTTTAAAAATATTTGCAAATCACATATTTGATAAAGAAGTGATATCCGGAATACACAGAGAACTTCTAAAACTCAACAACAAAAAACCAAACTTGACTCAAGAATAGGTAAAAGAAAGATTTGAACAGACATTTTTCCAAAGATGATATACAAATGGCCAACAGCACATGAAAAGAGCTCAATATCACTAGTCATGAGGGAGACCACAGTGAGATACACCTCAAACCCACTGGAGTGGCTACTGTAAAATTAAATTTTTAAGAAAGTATTGGTGAGGATACAGAGAAACTGGAGCCCTTGTGCCCTGTGGTAGAAATGCAAAATGGTGCAGCTGCTATGAAAAACAGTATGGAGGTTCCTCCAACACTTACTTACTTAAAAATAGAATTACCATATGATCTAGCAATTCCACTGCTGGGCATATACCCAAAAGAATTGGAAGCAGGGTCTCAGGTATTTGTACACAGGTGTTGATAAGTGCATTCACAACAGTAGAATGTGGAAGCAACCTATGTCCATCAATGGATGAAGGAAGTGATACTATGCTTAGTGCAACAGCCTGTCACAAAAGACAATTCATGATTGCACTTAGTCAAAATCATAGAGACAGAAAGTAGAATGGCAGTTGCTACAGGCTGGCGGAAGGGCCAAATGGGAAGTTACTGTTTAATGGGGATAGTTTCAGTTTTACGAGATCAAAAGAAAGGGAGATGGATGGCAGTGATGGCTGTACACATTATGAATGTATTTAATACCACTGAACCATACACTTAAAAATGGTTAGTTACAATGGGCTGGGTGCAGTGGCTCACGTCTGTAATCCCAGCACTTTGGGAGGCCAAGTGGGGTGGATTACTTGAGGTCAGGAGTTCGAGACCAGCCAGGCTAACATGGTGAAACCCCGACCTCTACTAAAAATACAAAAATTAGCCGGGCACGGTGGTGCACGCCTGTAATCCCAGCTACTCAGGAGGCTGAGGTAGGAGAATGGCTTGAACCCGGGAGGCGGAGGTTGCAGTGAGCCAAGATTGCACCACTGCACTCCAACACTGGGAAACAGAGTGACACCCTGTCTCAAAAAAAAAAAAAAAAAAAAAAAAAAAGGTTATGATGGGTTGGGCACAGTGGCTCACACCTGTCATGCCAGCACTTGGGAGGCTGGGACAGGAGGATTGGCTTCAAGCCAGGAGTTTGAGAGCAGCCTGGGCAACAAGGCAAGACCCCATCTTTATCAAAAAACAACAACAAAAAAAGGTAAATTTTAGGTGTATTTTACCACAATTTTTTTTTTTTTTTTGAGACTTGAGTCTCACTGTTGCCCAGGCTGCAGTGCAGTGGGGCAATCTTGGCTCACTGCAACCTCCGCCTCCCGTTTTCAAGCAATTCTCCTGCCTCACCCTCCTGAGATTACAGGCACGTGCCACCATGCCTGGCTAATTTTTTCACCATGTTGGTCAGGCTGGTCTCGAACTCCTGACCTCGTGATCCGCCTGCCTTGGCCTCCCAAAGTGCTGGGACTACAGGTGCCCGCCACCATGCCCGGATAAATTTTTTGTATTTTTTAGTAAAGACGGGGTTTCACCATGTTAGCCAGGATGGTCTCGATCTCCTGACCTCGTGATTTGCCTGCCTCAGCCTCCCAAAGTGCTGGGATTACAGGCGTGAGCTACCACGCCCAGCCGATTTATCACAATTTTTAAAAAATCAAAAAAAATGTGCAAAGGACTTGGCCATTCTCCAATAGAAGATACACAAATGGTCAGGCAGCACATGAAAAGATGTTCCACGTCACTAAATGACAGAAATGCAAACTAAGATACCACTTCACACCCATTAGGATGGCTTGTATCAAAAAATTGAAAATAAGAAGTGCTGGTGAGGAGGTGAAGAAACTGGAACCCTTGTGCATTGCTAGTGTGAATGTAAAACGTTACAGCTGCAGTGGACACAGTTTAGTGATTCCTCAAAAAGTTAAACACAGAAGTTACCATATGAGGCGGGGTGCGTTGGCTCATGCGTGTAATCCTATCACTTTGGGAGGCCGAGGCGGGCAGACTGCCTGAGCTCAGGAGTTCAAAACCAGCCTGGGCAACACAGTGAAACCCCGTCTCTACTAAAAAACACACAAAAAATTGGCCGGGCGTGGCGGCGGGTGCCTGTAGTCCCGGCTACTCGAGAAGCTGAGGCAGGAGAATTGCTTGAACCCCAGAGGCAGAGGTTGCAGTGAGCCAAGATCGTGCTACTGCACTCCAATCTGGGCAACAGACTCCGTCTCCAAGGAAAAAAAAAGAAGAAATTACCATATGATCCGGCAATTCCAACCCTAGGTTTATGCCCAGAACTGAAAGCAGGGACTCAAGACAGACACTTGTACACTGACATTCACAACATCCAAAGGGTGGAAACAGCCCAGGTGTCCAGCCACAGATGAATGGATGAAGAGAATGTGGTGAATCCACACTACAGGGTATGATTCAGCCTTTAAAAAGAGTGAAATTCTGACACATGCTGCAACACAGATGGACCCTGAGGACATTATGCTGAGTGAAATAAGCCAGACACAGAAGGACAAACTGAGTCTACTTCTGTGAGGTCCCCACGACAGGCAAATCCATAGAGAAAGTGGGATGGGGACTGCCAAGGGCTGGAGTTGGGGAGAATGGGGAGTTACTGTCTAATGGGTACAGTTTCCTTATGGGGTGATGAAGTTCTGGAGCGGATAGGGGTGACAGTTGCACAACACTGTGAATGGACCTAATACCTCTGATTGTACATTTAAAAAATGATTAGAATGGCAAATTTTATTATCTCACCACAACTAAAAAAAGAATTATGCAAAAACCAGGCCTGCTCCCCAACCCTGTGGGTTCTGGCCCCCCCTGTCCTGGCAGAATGCACTCTTTGCCCTGCAGCCGCTCTCACCAGGCAAGGAGGTCGCTGCCTGCCCAGCTGCCACCACCTGCCCAGACCTCTCTCCTCAAACACCTGCTTCTGGCATCACTGCCACCTCTTGGGCCACTTTTCAGTGTCCCTTTGGCGGCAGGCAGCACCCACACCCACCATCTCCCTTTCTCTGCCATCCCTTAGAAGCTAGAGTTCAAAGCCTGTTCCCTTTTCCTTCTTGAACAATATCTCTGGGGTAGCACCTCCTTCCCTTGGAACCTCCTGAAGCTCACGCCAAGGCCTCGCTCCTGAGCGCCCAGCCCAGCCGTCCTCACAGCGGGTCCCATACCTGCCGCCTCAGTGCCACCTGCACTGGTGAGAGATGCGCCTCAGACCCCAGGGACCCAGGGATTCTCCCTAGGGCTTGAGAATTACAGACCTCACAGGAACACCAGTGACTGAGCTCTTGTCTTAAATTGAAATAAAATTCACACAACATCACATCTACTCTGGTAGAGCTGTGGTTCCAGGCTGAGCTCCCACTTTGCCTGCACCCCTCAGCCGCTCCTCCTCCTCCTGAAGCCACTGAGACACTCAAAGAGAAGTCCACGCTCACCACCCAGCATCGGCACCACAGGCCCAGACTTCTTGCCTGCTGCCGCCAGTGAGCTCCTCCCCAGGACCATCTCGGGGTCATCTGGGATCTTCTACTCCCAGCTGGGTCCCCTCACACAGACGCGCGCTATTTCCTGCCCAGCATCTGCCCTACCTCCTTCTTCCCCTCTGCAGGGGAACCTCCCAGAGAGCTCTCTACGGCCACCCCCACCCTGCTCCCAGGCCTCTCATGGACTTCCTGTTGTGCCCATGATGCCTACCTTCCGTGTCCAGGCCTCGGTCCTCAGCTCCCTTGGTCACGGCTGGATTCCAGGACACCGCACCCTGCCACTACTTGTCCTCCCGACCCCCAAGGCTGGGCTTAGCCCCAACCTCTGCTCCCCCACCTCACACCCTCGGCAGCCTCCCAGCTCCAACTGCCAATCTAGATGTGACAACACTCCAACTCCTACCTCCAGCCCAGACCTCTCTCACAAATGCCACTTGATGTCAACTGTCCCTGTGAACCCTCCATTCGGTCTCGTGACACACCCCATCAGGGACCGCGCAATGTGGTCCCACACGTGCCCCCTCCCCAGCTCACCCCATCAATGGCCACTCCACCCTGGCCCTTTAGGCCACAGCCCTTGAAGTCATCCTTGGCTGTTCCTTCCCTCTCCCCCCACTTCATCCATAAAGACACCAACCTGGCTCTCTCCAAATGGGGCTGATTCCAGCCGCTCCTCTGCCCGCCACTGCTGCCTGCTGGGCCAAAGCCCAGCTCTCCAGTCGCCCCCCAACCTGGGGCTCCCTGCTTCTGCCCTTGCACGGCTACTATCGCCTGGGTCCTGCATCAGACCAGGCCTTTTCTGCTCAAGGCTGTGCGATGGCTTCCCACACAATGGAGCCAAAGCCACCCTGCCCTGGTGCCCAGGAGGCCACGCATGATCTGGCCATGAAGGCCTTCTTCCCCTTTCCTCAACTCCACTCCAACCCGCCAGGTACTCCCGAGGCCGCACAGATGCACACAGCTGCCCCTGCTCACAGGAGACATCCTGGACCTTCCCCACCAGGCTCCCCAGACCTCTCCCTCTCCTCCATTTTTGTCCTAAGGCTCCTCTCGGATCTTCCATATGATCTGCTTATTTCTTATATTTGTTGTCCACCTCCCCAGGCTGCACTGTGAGCTCCACAAGGGCAAATGTCTCTTCTGTTCGTTGGGAGGCGAGGGCCTTGGGGCAGTGCTTCCAGCTGAAGGACGGCACCTTCCCTGGTCCTCTCGCCCAGGCCTTGGAGACGGGAGGGCTCACAGCCACCACTGCATCCACAGTGCTTGCCCAAGACTGGTCACGCACGGAAGCATTCAATAAAAACAAACCAACCCAGGGCTAGAGACACCTATGAACAGAGAAGGCCGTCAGGGAGGCAGCAGGGGACCTGGGGTTACCTCCGCTCTGAATGAGAATGTCAAACAGGTCGTCCATCTGCTGGCTTGAGGAACCATTTTCCTGTGGGACAAAGGAAAAAAAAAAAAGAGATAAAAATCTTGAATGGGGGCTCCCAGCCCGAACTACGAATGAGGCCCCTCCCTCTGCCCCAGAATAAGCAGCCAGATCCACAGGACCCATGGGCGTGCCCGGACTCCTGGAGCCCGTCCCCTAACAACCCACTCCCCAAGGCCTCTCTGACCCTGAAGCTGGGCTTCGCCTGCCCCCTATTCCTCCGGGTGGGGCTGTAGGAGCCTCAGCCCAGCAGCCTAGGGCAGCTGCCAACACTAGCCAGGCCTAGCCCGCCTTCCTCACCTGCTGTTTGGGCTGCTGGCTCATGGCTTCCTCATAGCCAGGTGGTTCCTTCTTCAGCAGAGAAGTGGGGGTCCCAAAGAGGGGCTGCAGTGGGTGCTCCAGGTCCATCTGGGCAGAGGGGGCAGGCGCTGGAGAGCCAGGCTGGGACGAGGGCTGGACAGGAGAGCAGGGAGAGGACCAGTGGCCAGGGGGCTGGGGGTGCAGACCTGCCTTGTAGGGGGCGGGGGGCGGGGATAGGGCCAGGGCCTCTCACACTCTAGGAGGGAAGATGGGAGGCACTGGCTTTTAGGGAGCTTTCATGAAAGCCACTAGGTAGGAAGGAATACAGGATGGGGGGCCCTCAACCCTGCAGGGGGTGCCTGGCCCCTTGAGGTTTGGGAGAGGTCTCTGGGCTGGGCTGGTCACCCCCTGAGATTTCTGCAGCTTCTTTCTCTGCTTGGGGCTGCTCAGGGACCCCTGTCTCCTATCCTGAGGTACCTGTTCCTGTCACTGTCTTCTCTACCCCCAAGTTCTGCAGGACCACGAGGCTACATAAAGCCTTAGGGCAGCCTCACCTGTGGCCTGGGCTGAGAGAGGGTCTGCTGAGGGAGCTTTCCGCTGCTGACACCTTGGTGGGGACAGCTAGCCTCTCTGAGGAGAGGACCCTGAGCTGGATCCTGGCCAGAGGACCCCACAGCCTCTCCCCGGGGCAGGCTACCTCTGACCTTCACTGGCCACTCCCCACAGAGCAGCACTAGGGCAGGCCCAGCCTGGGTACGGGCTGCTCAGGAGTCCTGCTGCTGAGGTGCCGAAATGTTCTAGTCTCAACAGCCAGAGAGGTGGGGAGCTCACCAATGGCTCCGCCCTACAGCTAGGGGGTCTGAGGCAGGTCCCTTAACTTTCCTAAGTCTCAGTACCCCCCTGGTGAAGGAAGATTAAATGAAGCAAACACAAAATGTCCAGCACGAGGGGTCCCCTGGCCCAAGAGGGCTGTAGCGAGACGCTCTTCCCACCCTCCTCTGGGCCCTGCCCGGTTCCTCCCATACCCAGGTACCTGCTGGGGGCTCCCACTGGACAGGCCAGGGCTGTCTGCATTCTTATTGGTCACGGTGAGGACAAGGTGGGTCCCTGTGGAGTCGGTGATGAGGGTGGGAGGTGCAACCCCCTTGATGAGGCTGGGGCCCTGAGGCCCCAGAAGCAACTGGGGGGCGGGGACCGGCTCGGGCTCAGGCTGCAAGGCTTCCTGCTTCACCACCACGGACGGGGGCCCCGGGGCCACAGCACAAGGGTCTATGTGGTTGGTGGCTGGGGCCGCCAGGCTGGGGTTGAATGGGTGAGCGGGGCCCAGGGGCTGCTGGCTCAGCTGGCAGCTGGAGAAGCTGTTCTCCTGCTTCACGGGGGTGCCGAGGGGGGCGGGGGCGGGGGCGGGCTGCTGGGCTCGCTTCTCCTGCTCCAGCTGCAGCTTGAGCCGCTCCACCAGCTGCTGCTTCTGCCGGAGCATGCGCGTCAGCGCCTCGATCTGCTTGTCTTTCTCCTGCAGCATCTGGTCCTTGTCGCGCCCCTCTAGCTCCGCCCGCCCCCCAGGGCTCAGGCAACAGGACCCGGCCCGGGGGCCCTCCTCCTTCACGAGGATCTGCAGTGGCGAGGCCTGCAGGGTCAGCTGCGTCAGAGGTGATGTCACCATCTCACCAAAGGTGTCCCCGGGGGTGGAGTTTTCATCGCCCGTGCTGAGCAGTGAGCGCTCCGAGGGGGTGGGAGACACGGGGGGCGTGGAGCCCGTGCTGCCAAACTTCACCACCCCACTGCTGGCCACCGTGGCCACCACCACCTCAGCTGGAGCCAGGCCTGCTGCCACCAGGGCTGGCCCCGTGCTCAGCCGGGCCGCTGGGAAGGCTACCACCACCTCGCCAGCCTTGTGCAGGATAGAGGTGGCGGCAGGGGCCTTGGGGGCTCCTGGCACAGGGCTGATTTGGTCTTGATAGGCTCGAAGGCGCTCAATCAGCTCAGTTTTGGTGCCCGAGACAGGCAGTGATCGCAACTTCAGCTCCTGCTTCAGCTCTGCCACCTGCAAGGCAGTCAAGAGTCAGGGAGGCCAGGGGCAGCTGGACACAGGGCACTGGGTCCAGGCAGAAGGGCAGTCTGGGCCCCATGGGCCACTGCAGATGCATCAACTACCCTAATCCTCCAGCAGCCTGGAGGGTGCAATGCCCCCCACCACCTGAGCCAACAGCATCCTCTCTTTCATTGTTCTCACTCTAGCAGGGGTCTGGTTAAAATGCTCCCCACCTATGCAGGCAACGGGGGCTGGTACATGGTGCCCACAGCTGTCCCCAGCCCCCAGCCCCCAGCATGGTGCATGGGCTCAATAAATATTCAATGGAACAGACTGTATTTTGCAAAGAGAAAACTGAGCTCATGAAAGTAGGGCCCAGCCTGGTTCAGAGAACAAGTTCTCAAGGGAGAGCTTGGTCCAATCCATCTTCTGATGGGGCAGAGAAAACACGCAAGGCACTGGGCATGACCCACTCCTCTCCAAGGCCCTAGGATGGAAGCCAAGTCTGTGGCCCTGATCACAGGCCGCTCTCTTCCCAGGCAGACACTGCACCTGAACGGCAGAGTGAGCTCTGCATTAACCGGCAAAGGGGAAAATGCGGGCAGGGTTGCTACTGGACAGTCCTGTCTACACTGACCAGGTCTGCGACTGTGGACAAGCTCCTCCTCCTGTCACTGCCTCAGCCTGACCATCCTCAAAGGGGCACCAATCCCCACTTCTCACACTGCATGCAACACGTAAGTCGAGGAAGATAAGAGACATGCGACTGCCTGGACAGATGCTGGCTGTGCTGCCAACAACAGGAACCACCACGAGGAAGCTGGTGTCATTCACCATGACCACCTCCAGGCAGCCTCAGAGCTGTGTCCAAGGTGCCCTGTCTGATGGGGACCAGAGCCTAAAGCCCTGCTCTGCTTTCCATGACGGTGGGTCCTAGGCTGGCTGCCTTCCCTGCCTAAAAACCAGCACCCAGACAGCCCCTGTGGGAAGGGCCAGGCTGGCAGTGGCTCAAGTTTTCCAGTGGCCATGTACCTTCATGTCGTCCAGGTTGGCCGGCAGGGCTCCCGGCTTGCCAGTCAGTGAGGTGCTGTTCTGACGTGCCAGCCCACAGGGCCCAGGGGCGCCCGAGCTGGAGCTGCTATTGGTAGTGGAGAGGCTGCGTACTGGGGGGGTCCCGCTGCTTCCCAGGGCCTCGCCTGCTGACCTGGGAAGAAAAGGCAGAAATTAGCCCCATCCAGCTTCGCCCGTGGCCTCTGCAGGTGGCAGCCCAAGCCTGGGCAGCAGGATTGGGTACAGATGGGCATGGGGCAAGGGCCCAGCAAAGGCTAGGGTGGCCCTGCCTGCAGACCACTCTGTAGCATCCAGACCAGCGGGTCCTTAAAGATGTGAGGTTCACCCCCACCAGACCTGGCACCTGCCTGGCTCAGGGTGGCTCGGGGAGGGCAGGGGCAGGCAGTGAGGAGCGGGTGCCTACTTTGGCGGGGCAGGCAGGATGGCCTGGTAGTTGTGGTGCTGCTGCTGCTGCTGGTTGAGGATCTGCAGCTGGAGGAAGAGCTGCTGCTGCTGCAGGATCTTGGCGTAGGATGAGTCCATGGGGGGTGCCCCCCTGTCCTGCTTCTGGTCCGGGGGGATGTACTGGTGGTACTTGAGCTTCTTCACCTTTGGCTTCAGCTCCTTGGCCTTCTTGCTGCGCTGTGACTTCTCACTGGCAGACTTGGGTTGGCTTTGCTGAGGGCACAGGAGACAGGGTGCCATTCAGGGGCAGCCTCAGGCTTCTCGGGGTGGGGCTGGCAACTCTCCCCACACCTGTGTGGCTTCTGAGAAGACATCCCCATCCACACTTTGCCCATTTCCACTCTTCCCTGTGGGACCGTACACCCCGTGAAAAGCAGAAATGTGCCCAGAAATGTGCCAGGAAAGGGGCTGGAGTGACAAAGAGGGCTATGCCTGACCCCCGACTTAAAAGCTTCTAGCTCAAGCAAAGACATCACCATGACCCCAAGCAGGGTGAACACAAGGAGGTAAAACCCAGCTGACTGATGGAGCTCGGGCTGCGCCAGACCAGGCACCTTCCAAAGACGGGGCCACACAAGCCTCTCCAGAATGCTGCTTGCTCTTCTCTTGCTCTTTTTGGGGCTGGGGGGAATTCTGCCAGGTAGGAACTGTCGTGTCTACTTGAAAATGGTGAACGGGCTCAAAGAAGTCACTTGCCCAAAGTCACAATGTGATCTTGTTCTTGTTCTAACACAGGACTCCAAAAGCTCCTATTCATGCCCCCAAAGACCTCCAGCTGGCACAGCCACTGGGCCAGGAGAGTCAGAAGACCCAAACTGACCAATAAGGGCCAGTAGGTGATATATGGGAGGTCTGTTCTTGGAGCAAGGAAGGGCGCAGTTGGACGAGGTGAGTTAGCAAGGGAGTGCCAGAGAGAGACCACGGAGAGCCGAGAAGTTTTGAGCAGAGAATGGCAGACAAAAGCGTACAAGGCTGGATGTAGGAACAGGTGGTGTCTAGACCTTGTGGCAATGAGGACTGAAAGGAAGGTTTGGGCAGGTGACCCACTAGTGGAAGAACAGACAAAGTGAACATGTGGCAGGTGAGAAGTGATCACAGAAGAGGTTCTGGTTTTGCTGGGAGCATGGGAAGGATGGAGAAAGGGCAGGGCTGCCGGGGCTGTGGGGCCAGGATTGCCCCAGAAGAAGGGAACAGAGCCACAGAGAGCCTGTGAGCACAGGCTGGGGAGCAGGAAGAAGTACAGGCAGAGGCAGAGGCAGAGGCAGAGGCAGAGAGGAGGCAGAGGGCAGAGCCTAAGGAGCACCCCCAATTAAAGGGAGGAGGAAGGGAGGCAGGGAAAGCACAACCAAGGAGAGGGAACCCCAACAGCTGGGCCAGGAGCACAGTGGTGGGGATGGGACTTGGATTGAGGCCCCTGAAGATAATGTTTCAGTACACTGGTGAGGTGACTGAAGAGATGTGTAGACAAAATACACAGACTCTTCTTCCAAACGTGGTAGGCAAAGGAAGGCAACAGGAGTGTGAGGAGAAGCACATTGGAGGAACTCTGGGGGAAAAGCAGGGACACCTGCTGACAGTGAGAAGAGAATGCAGGTGCAGGACAGGCACTAACTGATGAGGCAGCACCCGGGCAGGCAGTGCTGAAAGCAGGGGTAGGCTGGGAGGAGAGGCCACTCACTGCTCCCAAGGCCTGAAAGAGGAGACTGACATTCAGGAAGCCACAGTGACTTTCTGACATGGAGGAAGCAAGAGGCAGCAGAGATGACAGGGTCATGTGCAGAGGCGGGACTGGGGATGTCACCATGGGACAGAGCCAGGGAGTGCCACAAGAAGGGCGGGCAGCTCCCAGAGCTAGTGGGGCCTACTAAGGCCAGAGCACAAGCACCAGACAGCCCAGGCTGCAGACTGTCAGCCTCTCCTGAGGCTCAGATGGCCAGGGGTTGCCAAGCCAGGCACAGGGTCTGTGTGAGGAGAGAGCCTGGGGAATAAGAAAGGACAGAGCACAAAGGGTGCAGGTGGAGCAAGTCAGGGAGGCGTGGGCCAGGCAGAGGTGTGGGGCTGGGGTCCCCGAGATCCTGGTGAGATCCTGGTGGCCAGGCAGCTCTGTGGAGCAGGGAGGACTCTGCATGAGCTCTTGGTGCAGCTGAATTTAACAGCAGACACCTCAGTCCATGAGGCCAGCAATGCCCAGCACAGGTCCCCCACACCGACAGTGGTAACCCCCGCCTCCTGCAGGCATTTCAGGCCAGGCCTTGAAGGAGGGGAACACCACTCAGTGGCACCTCCTGCATGACTCTGGCCGCGTCACTTCACTTCTCAGCTCCTCTCTTGTAGCACAGGGCTCTATTTCTGCCTTGCGGAGTTGTTGAGTGAACAAGACATAATGTGTGGGAATGACTTCATGGATGAGAGCAGGAGTGAGGACCTGGAATGCCCAAGGCCAGCCCATAGCCACGAATAATTGGTGGCTATGATTGCAACAGCCAGTGTCATGATGGACAGCAGACAGAACGGGAAGAAACTCCCAGACCAATGGGAGAAGACACGCACCACACCCTCTACAGCTGTCCCCACAGCTGGAATGAAGTCACAGCAGGACTCCAAAGGGCACAGGGAAGGGGAGGGTACAATCACTGGCAGAAATGTACCTTAATGAGTGTGGGGGTGGACTTGGCAGTGGGGATAGTGGTTCCATTGGTGAGGCTGGGAGGCAGCAGAGGTGGGGGAGGCAGAGGAGGCTGCTCTGCCAGGAAAAGCATTTCTCTGGAATCCCGGCCCATCGGAAGTTGAGACACAACCTGAGAGGGAAAAAGGGAAGTGAGGACATGGCCACCTCCAGGTAGGGTGTGCCCAGCCTGCCCTGACCCTACACAGGGTCCTCAGACGCCACCATTGTCAGAGGGCAAATGGTGGGCAGAGACCGGAGGAGGAGAAGAGCAACCCCCAGGGTGGCAGGAGCAAGGAGGAGCTAGGAAAGAGAGAAGGCAATGAAAAGGTCACAGAACTGAATATACTCAAGAAAAACAGGCTGCTCCAAATAAATGAATACAGACTGGGCCAGTGACGTTTGCAATCCCACTGCAAGGCAGCCATGGCCAGCGTCGTCCTCCACCTGACCTCTGGCTGCTGGAGAGGGGCCACTGCCCACATCTCCCACCACCGGGGAGCTCAAGCAGCCAGCACCTAAGCAACTAGGGTAGCATCCCCCTGGCTTCCCTGTGCCAGAGCAGGAGGCATCCCGTGGCCCAGGAGAGAGACCTTACTCTGCGCAGCCCTAGCACCTTGGAGCTGGGGAAGCATCTGGAAGCACACACTCACCTGGGTGGGGGATGCAGAGGTGGCACTGAGCAGTGGTTCGCTGACTCGGGCCTCCAGGGGTGACGGCACAGAACCCTGGGACTCATGGCTGGCAGGCTGCTCGGGGGATAAGGCATCGCTGCTGTCCTCATCGAAGGAAGAGCTGTCTGCTACTTTGGGATAGTTCACCTGGCCCACTGAAACCCAAAGCTGGTGTGAGATTCCACTTCCAGCCCAGGGAACAGATGAGCAGGGACAGGCCTGGCTCGCAGGCCACAGGCAGAGTGCCTGGCCCACAGCCCACATGCCCCGTGAGGCAGGCAAGCCGAGGAGACTAGCAGCCAATCTGCTTTCTTGGTCCAAAAAAGCTCTGGTCATCATAATGACCCTGCAAGAGAGGCCAGAAAGGCCTCCTAGGCTATCAGAGTGACCTCATGGGCCGAGCAAACGCCTCCTTTAGCCTCTTGCTTGTAACTCTATACTGTGTTTAGTCTTCAATGTCAAGTTGTCCCTCCCTCCCTTGCTCCTCCCTGGGAGACCCGGGCTACCTTTCTACCTCAACCGTCTCCCTATTGTTAAAGGTACTCTGTATCTTCATCCCACACTGCACAAAACTCTCTTATTCCCCCATGATGCTTACAGATGGTGCAGTGAGGGCTCTGAACCAGCTAACGAGGGACCAGAAGAGCCTGGGTAACAGCCCTGTGAGTGTAGCTGAATTCCCCAGAGGCCAGGAACAGACTAAGGAGCCTGGCTCTGGGCTTCAGATGGAGGGTATCCCAGAAAGGGGATGTTTGCCTGCACAGGTGAAATGGAGGTGGTGTGGTGACCTCCTCTAGAGGCCAGTGGCTCACAGAGACCCAACACCTGGGCAGGTGGGGCACCAGAAGAAAACATCCTACTGGCTGTCACTGCCCTGGCCTGACCCACTGCCAAGCTCTGGATGACTGTGAATGCAAGTCCTTCTGAGGCCAACTGGAAGCAGAGGCAGGGGAGGAGGGCGTAGCACAGAGCTTCTGTTCCATGGGGTCCCAGTGGGAAGGAAAGATGGGAACAGAGGCAAGGAGGCTATTTCAAGAGTCACTGTCAGAGCCACCGGCTCAACACTGTCGTGGGAAGAGGTGGGGGTGGCAGGTTCTGAGCTGATCTGCCATCCATACAGAAGGAACTGAGGCAGTGGTGAAGGCAGGGGTGAGCTGCCGCCCAAGCCTGGGGAAGTATGCTGTGTGGGAAGACCCCAGATAAGGAAGAGGAACAAAGCGCAACAGCTCAGGCTGGGTTTGTCCTTGCAGTGGCTCTCCTAGGAGCTCTTGCCCTCCAGGGCCAGGGCCAGGACCTGAGGCTCTCTCCTCCCTCAGGACCTGGGAAGGATGCATCTGAGCTTCTTCCTTACTGGCGACTGTGGTGGTGGCTTGCTCCTCTGTCCCCTCATCTGTCCCAGCAGGGGCAAGTATGCAACACACAGAACAGGGCTTGCTGACCATGTGTACTTCATGCCAGACACACGGCTAGATTTCCCCCACAATCTCCTACTTCCGGCAACGGCATCTGATTTGGGACAGCAGCCCCATGGCAGCCAGTACTGACAACGGTGAGCAAGGGTGGAGGAACTGTAGCTTCCCCCAGATTAGTCCAACCCAAGGAAGCTGCTGGCCGTACTGTGGAAAACCCAGGGCTGGTACAGGCCAGGGTCACTACAGACTATTTCTCTCTCCACTCACAGTCACATCCTGGGAACAAAGATGGGGTCCCTGCCCTCCAGGAGTTTATGGTCCAGTTGCCTTGGAGCCCAGTGAATGCTCTGCTAGAGAGAAAACACAGAAGCTAAGGGCACACTGAGGAGAGACTCAGAGAAGTCTTCCTGGAGGACAGGACTTAAAGTGAACCTTGACGATAACTGAGGGGCCTGGAGGAAGGGTGGGATGGGGAGCTTAGATGTGTGGGGAAGACCCCAACCCCCATCAGCCCTTTTCTCAGGCCTCAGAACGGTCCGCTCCCCCTTCTCCCACTGCCCGCTTCCTTCCCACTCATCTGAGCCAAACTTCCTTCCCAGCTTTGCCTCTCCTGAGCCAAACCTCCACCTCAGCCAGGGTTCCATTTCCTCGTCCTCCTCCCTCCTCTTCCTCTGAAGGTGCCCATCCTCTCATCTCCTTGACTCTTTCCTCTCAGCCCAAAAACCTGCTCCATTGCATCCAGCCTGAAAATCCCTCCTTAAGCCAGCACCTGCCTCTGCTTTCCTTCTCCACAGAACTATTGAGCAAATGAGCTACATTTGCCATCACCACCTCCTTCTCTCCTACTCAACTGTACAATCTGGTTTTTGCTGGCAAATGCTCTGTGCTCCTTAAAGTCCCCAACAATCACCCCATTGCCAAATTCCTCAAACAAACAAGCTGTGTTCAGCCAGGCCTCCAAGCCACTGCCCATGCTGTTCCCTCTTGTACCTCTGTACCTTTTCCACTTGGCAAACTCTGACCCAGCCTCCAAGCTGCCCCCAGACGTGCTATAGTGTGGGTACTTCCCTGGCCACCAACACCTGTTCCCATCCCTGAGAGAAGTCCCTCTGCTGAGCTCCCACAGCACTGACACACACATATCCATTGTTACACTGTCCATTACAGCAGCTGCCAGCTGGTCTAGAATGAGTGTTATTGCTGACAACAGCAGCAACCATTGTGTGAGTCTCTCTAGGCGCCAAGGACCATCCATCATCGTGTGTGATCCTGCAAGCAGTCGCACAAGGCAGGTGACTCAGAGACAATGTCACAGGGCCATGGCCTTCCTACCAGGCAGCACTGGCATCTGACTGGGAACCAGACTCAGAAATCAGTTGTTTATACATTAGTCTTCTCACATCAGACCTACGTGAATTCTTTTAGCGCACAAGTCATATTTTATTCATCTTTGTGACATCAGGACTTCACATGGCCTGGCACACTGCTGAGTCTCAGCACACATTTATCAGACTGTGGCTGGCTGCAGCATCCAGAACTGGCTTGGCCCCTACACTGGCCTATAACTAGGGGCTGCTGAGGAATACACGGAGGAAACCACTGAGATGAGGCAGGATGAACGCCAGGGAAAATCTGTGAATTATAAGAGCTACTGTATCAACATGGGGAAAGGGCTCCTCCGGGCCCAGTGTGGGCCAGCCTCCAGTAGGGTGGCTACAATGCAGAGGAGGCCCTAGAAACTGCCAGTCACCTCTAATCAGGGCCCAAAGCCTAATTCAGCATGCGTTGGGGGTCTGCTGCAGTGTTTCCCCTCTGCCCAAAACTAAAACTCATGTTAGAGGAAACCCTGAGCCTCTTTCTCTGAAGGCACAGCTGCCTCAGGAGGGGCAGGCAGGTGCTGTCTTGTCAGGGATCGGATCTTGGGCCCACTGCAGCGAAGGAGACATGTCTGTACCAATTATCACCAAAATCTAAGAGTAGGATAATAAATATATTTGGTTTTTGTCCCCCAGTTCTCATCACAGAGCAGCTAAAACCCTTGGAATTTCCTTAAGGTCAGAAGTATCTTCAGTTATGTATAACAAGCCCCTTTCCACAACACCTGAGCTTATGCTAATGTGATAATCTGGGAGAGACTAAGGATTGGGCCAGTCACCAGAGACACCAAGTGATTAGAGGATTAGAGGACTGGAAATATCAGCGCCATCCACCAACCTCCAGGAAAGTGGGGGTGGGTATGTAGGACATAGAGTGGGGGCTCTGAGATCAAGCTCTATAAAAACTCTTGGATAACAGGATTTGATGAGTTTCTCTAGCTACTGGGAGGGTGAAGGCCAGGAGAGGGCAGGGAAGTTCCAATACCACCATTCCCCCTGGCACCCCACGACACTGTGCCATCCGTCCCTCCCTCTGACTGTTCCTCTGCATCCTTTACAATAAGCCAGGAAATGTTAAGTGAAGTGTTTCCCCAGGTTCTGTGAGCCATCCTAGCAAATTATCAAGCCCAAGGAGAGGGTATGGGAACCCCAATCTATAGCTAGTTGGTTAAAAGCAAATGTAAAATAACCTGGGGCTTGGGACCAGCATGGGAAGTGGGGCTAAGTCTTGTGGGACTGAGTCCTCAACCTGTGGGATCAGACGCTATCTGCAGGTAAATGGCATCTGAAAAGAAATGGAGGACACCCAGCTGGTGTCCACTGGAGAACTGCTTGGTATGTGGGGTAATACCATGCCAGAATACCAACACCAGAAGTATTCTGTATTGAGTGTAAATACAGAGAAAAACGGCTTTTTCCCTTTTACACTAAAGGAATCAAGTCCAAACTCCCAAGTGTGCCAAGAGGCCCTGCACGTCCTGAACTGTGCTTACTGCTCCCACCTCGTTTTTGTTTTTGAGACAGGGTCTCACTCTATCACCCAGGCTAGAGTGCAGTGGCACAATCATAGCTCACTACGGCCTTGAACTCTTGGACGCAAGCGATCTTCCCACCTCAGCCTCCTGAGCAGCTGGGATTACAGGTGTGTGTTACCACACCCAGCTAATTTTTTGATTTTTTTTGTAGAGATGAGTCTCCCTATGTTGCATGTTGCCCAGGCTGGTCTCAAACTCCTGGGCTCAAGTGATCCTCCCGCCTCAGACTACCAAATCACTGAGGACCTGGCCTCCCACCTCTCATCTTGACACCCTCCCTTCCAGTGCCTTCTCATCAGGTCCTAGGGTTGTTCTCCCTGCCTGGAGCACCGTCCTCTCCTCCCTCGTCCCACCCTCTCCCACACGCTTTCATGAATTCCTACTCATCCTTCAGCCCCAGGCTTGGCTGTCACCTCCTCTGACAGCTGCACCCTTCCTGATGCAACCAGGTTGGGTGACCCTCCTCTGTGTTTCCAAAGTACCCTGTGCTCCCTCCAGCACAGCTTCTCTATCCTGCCTATTCACCTGCCTGTTACCTGCTCCTAGGCGTGAGCTCCATAAGGACAAAGGAACTTGGTCTGCCCTGTGGGGCTGTGGCCTTAGCACCTAGCACACTGTTTGGGTCCATCAGTATTTGTTAAGTGAAATATCCGTGGAAAGGGCCAGTCTCCAAGAAGAGACTTCACTAATAAAGAGTATGACACAGATTTCTAATTCCTGGCATCTCCACATGTTCACACACACTGATCCTGACATCTATCTACTCTGTGAAAGAGGAAGCAACCCGAGTTTACAAAGATGGAAAGTGAACAGAGCAAGGCCTCTGTTATTATTTATTGTTGTATGTCCCTGTTTCTTAAAGCAACAGGCACTATCCCAAGTTCATACAACCTGTGCATGAGGCTCTCAAACTCTGTGCCTTGGTTCTCCCAAGGCTAAGCAGGAAGTCAAAGATTAAGAAGTCAAGAGCCTCAGCCCAATTCTGCTTCAGCCTGGCACTCCCTCCCCTCCTGCATCTCAGCTGCCTCTCACACAGGGTGGCTGGGTCCTCCTCACCAATGATGGCTTCCTTCAGGCTGGACTCAACAGGAAGGATGTTCTTCTCCACCAGCTCCATGGGGCCAGGCCTCTGTGCAATCTTCTCATTGAGGTCATCGGCTAGTCTGGCTCTCTTCAGCTTCAGCTGCTTGGCCTGGAGGGATGGCTCAGCCGAGGTCTCTGCCCATGGGAGAGAAAGGGGTGCAGGAAGATATATGAGTGGACGTGGTTCTGCCCCGGGAACTCCAGAGCAGCTCTCCTTCCTCCTGGGCAAGAGGAGTGACTGTCAGAACGGTAAGCATATTCCAAGCAGAGAAGAGTGGCCTGTCTTGAAGTTTCACAAAGACAAGAGAAGGGGTTCCCACTGTGACCAGGCAGTGCACAGTCACACACAATTATAACCAGGCAGAGGCAAACCCAGAAGACTTTCTGAGGTGGAGCTACAGAATGGAAGCAGCAACAGATGACAGAATGGTCTCCACTCTCCCTCAAACTTGCTGTGTTACTGAGGCAATTCACATCTCTGCTCTGGTTTTTAGTGCCTTTGTCTGCAAAATGTGAGACTCAGACTAGAAAAGTTCTCTTCCAGCCCCAAAAACAGCTCAAAACTAGACAAACGGCTGGGCGTGGTGGCTCACGCTTGTAATCCCAGCACTTTGGGAGGCCAAGGCATGTGGATCACCTGAGGTCAGGAGTTCGAGACCAGCCTGATCAATATGGTGAAACTCTGTCTGTACTAAAAATACAAAAATTAGCCAGGCGTGGTGGCATGTGCCTGTAGTCCCAGCGACTCGGAAGGCTGAGACAGGAGAATTGCTTGAGCCCAGGAGGTGGAGGCTGCAGTGAGCCGAGACTGTGCCACTGCACACTAGCCTGGTGACACAGCAAGACTCCATCTCAAAAAAAAAAGACTAGACAAACAATAAGTAAATATATTTATGCTGCTTCCAGGAGCCAAAACCTTTTCTTCACTAAAAATGTGGAAAGACAGCTATGCGCAGTGGCTCACATCTGTAACCACAGCACTTTGGGAGGCCGAGGTGGGTGGATCACCTGAGGTCAGGAGTTCGAGACCAGCCTGGCCAACATGGTGAAACCCCATCTCTACTAAAAATATAAAATATTAGCTGGGTGTGGTGGCGCTCGTCTGTAATCCCAGCTATTCAAGAGGCTGAGGCAGGAGAATCGCTTGAACCTGGAAGATAAGAGGTTGCAGTGAGCCATGATCACACTACTGCACTCCAGCCTGAGCAGCAGAGCAAGACTCCATCACAAAAAAAAAAAAAAAAAAAAAGCGGGGGAAGAAAAAAAAAAGGGAAAGACATGTGCAGCTGGGGCCAGGTGGGTACATCTAGAATAATATTGGATGGAGCACGGTATATCACAGACACTCAAGTGAATGCCAAGTGAATGACTGACCGAATGAATGAATATAAAAAACTAAGTAAGTGTATTTTAAAAACAGATTTTAGATCAGGCATGGTGGCTTGTGCCTACAATCACAATGACAGAGTCAGACTGTGTCTTAAACAAAACAAAACAGATTTTGGCAGAGAGAAGCGATCTCACACCAAGGGATGGTGAGACCCTGGAGAAGAGGCCAAGCCAAACTAACAGCATGTGACTGTGCTTTTTGAGAGTCCCTCAGACCAGTGGCAGCTACCATGGCACAGCTGTCGTACGGTGTTAAGGCTCTGGCTTACCCACTGCCAACAGAAATGGGAGAAGAAAGAGGCAGGAAGGAAATGGGTAGTGCAGTAGTGAGTACACACAGTGAGAACTGGATCTAGATGGAAAAGCAATTCCAATCTCCACACCTTCCAAAATGTGCATCCTGACCAGCTCCGATCTCTCCGGCCGGGAACGAATCTTCCGTTTGAGATAGTCCTCTGTCTACAGAAAAAACACACCAAGAAACTCTCAAATCCAGGTCACAGGCTTATGGCATGGACAGGATCACAACAGCAGCCTTGGCCATGGTAGCTGCTGACCACCTCTGCAGTTCCCACAACCTTAACTTGGTGACTGCAGGGTTCGGAGGCAAGAGTAGGCCTGGGGAGAGCACACCAAAATCCAACTGCACCTGCCAAGGAAGGGCACCATCCTTCAAGACCATCTGTGTCTCTGAGGCTGGACTGACAATATATCTATTAAAAAACTATTACTTCTACTACCATAAAAGTAATATATGTCCAGCAAAAAACATTTAGAAAACTAGAAAGAAAAATAAAATAAAATAAACTTTAATCAGCCACTCTTAGTATTCTGGGATATCTGTTTCTAGTTATTCTTCCATGCAGAAAATAGGCTTAACTTTGCAGCGCTGTAATCACACTGAATATGATTTTATATCCTGCTTTAAGAAATGTAACATTGGGCCAGGCACGGTGGCTCAAGCCTGTAATCCCAGCACTTTGGGAGGCCAAGGTGGGTGGATCACCTGAGGTCAGGAGTTTGAGACCAGCCTGGCCAATGTGGTGAAACCCTGTCTCTACTAAAAATACAAAAATTAGCCAGATGTGGTGGCTGGCGCCTGTAATCCCAGCTACTTGGGAGGCTGAAGCAGGAGAATCACTTGAACTCGTGAGGTGGAGGCTGCAGTGAGCCAAGACTGCGCCACTGCACTCCAGCCTGGGCAACAAGAGCGAAACTCCGTCTCAAAAAACAAACAAAAAAAACCAAAAACCAAAAAAAAACCCCAAAAACCTGTAACACTGCATGATCTCATGGGCATTTTCCATTCATTTTGAATGGCTGCCAAATGGAATATGAATTTTGACACATGGTAGCAAAGCTCTAGTTCCTCAAAGTCCAATGTCCTAATTTCTGCATTTATGAGACTCTGGGCAAACTAAACCAGTCCCTCAACAGTCACAGAGCCATCCCACCAAACGGGGCTAATTATAATATATATATATTCCCCTGGACCTGACTCTATAGAGTCTGTGCTCTTAACCTCTGCACCAACATTTTCAAACCACAGAACATTAGTGGATCAAGACCAGCATAGGATAAGACAAGCCAAAGGACACTAGGCAATGAAGCCTCAGAGGACATTATATATAGTAAAGGTAAAGACTGGAAAAAAATGAAGAAAAAGAAAAAAAAAAAAAGACTTGTCCTCACCTAGCCATCTGCTGCCTTGTTGTTCTGGCTGGGCAGCTCTGTGCCAGCCCAGGGGAGGCTGAGCAATCCAGGAGATGGTTTAAAGTGACTGTGGGCTCTGGCTCTATCACCCCACGTGCAGTGGGCAGAAGTACTGCCTCAGCTGCAGCAGAGATTGGTAGAGCAGGTGCCGCAAGTCTTCACAGATGACAGTGGAAGACTTATTCTCTAAGCCATCTGAAGCTCTGACCAGTGGCCATGACTGAGGTAGAATATAGTACTGATTAAGAAAATATATGGAGGAGCTTCTGGTTTGTTAAAGGCATGGAGGTGCTAGGAGGGTGACACACCCACCTGGAGAGAGCACAAAAGCTCCTCATCCCTTCCCACATACCTACACATCTCTTCCACCTGGCTGTTCCTGAGTTGTATCCTTTGTGACAAATAGTAAACATATTAATGATGTCAAATGGCTGAAACCTGACTACCTAGAGGCTACTCTGGACTGGTTTAGAGGGTATAAGGTCTCTGATGGAAAACCAGAGAACTTTCAGGGCCAAATTTAAAGATACGGATTTTGCAACTGATATCATTAAAGGCATTCATGACCACTGAAGCACATTTGTGTCGAAGAAAACTGAGGGAACAAAATCAGTTTGACAAGGTACAGTGGTAGATGCCTACACATCCCAGCTATTCAGGAGGTCAAAGGCAGAAGGATTGCTTAAGCCCAAGAGTTGGGATTCAGCCTGGGCAACATAGCAAAATCCCACCTCTAAAATTACAAAAAAAGGAAAACAAAGCAATCAGTTGTGTAAATACAACAGCATCTCAGAGCCCCTCAAGTGTGATCCTGACATAGCTGAAGCCATTGTGGATGCTTTCCCACCACCATGTATAGCTGCCTTATGTAGCACGCACAGATGTGAGCAGCTGGTTCCAACACCAGAAAAAGAAATGAAACTTCTCTTGAATACGAGCTGATATTGCTGTGTCTTATTCATCTGGAAGTATGAGATGCAAAAGTAGCAGCTTTTCAAAGCTTTAAGCTTTTAGAATTAAGTAAAGCAAATTCTGCTATAACCAATCCAATATATTCATGTTTCATATCTCAACTAAGATAATTTTTAGTACATGTGTAAATATGGAAGTAGTTATTGTAATGTGGAAGTCATTTGTGAATAGATGTGCATGGTAAGCAAATTGAACGTTATGGTTACCATGTGTTAGGAAATAAAATCATTTTGCTCAAAAAAAATCTAGAATCCACAAAGGTTTGACTCCCAGCTTTGCCACTTATTGGCTGGACAAGTGAGTTAACTTCTCTTAGCTGCATCTATAAAATGAGGATAATACCACCTAATTCATAAGAGTTGATGTGAGGATAAAAAAGAAACAGATACAACCTCTTACATAAAGGTGCTCAATAAAACAGTCTCTTCTAATCAGCTCTGCTGGTCCCTGCCTATTTGAGAAGCAGTCAAGTAAATGGTGCCCAGTCTTCTGACCGAATAGGCGCACAGGCAACGCCATCCTTTCCCCCAACACTGTACTCTCCAGTGCTCTCAGCAAACTAAACCACTGCTGCTTGTTACTCCTTTGGTTCCCAGGACCCATGACCTCATTCTTTCCACTTACTCTAAGAATTAATCATGATTTTCTGGGGAGAGGGGAATGAAAGAAAGTTTAAAAAAAAAAAAAAAAAGTCTTGGAGGTAAATATTTCTGAGACTCTAAAATAGCTGTGAGGCTGGGTGTGGTGGCTCATGCCTGTAATCCCAGGACTTTGGAAGGGCAAGGCAGGCAGATCACTTGAGGCCAAGAGTTTGAGACCAGGCTGGCCAACATGGTGAAACCCCATCTCTACTAAAAATACAAAAATTACCCAGGCGTGGTGGCGGGAGCCTGTAGGTCCAGTTACTTGGGAGGCTGAGGCAGGAGAATCGCTTGAATCTGGTAGGCGGAGGCTGCGGTGAACTGAGATCACGCCACTGCACTCCAGCCTGGGTGACAGAGTGAGACTCCGTCTCAAAAAATAAAGTAAAATAAAATAGCCGTGGGTCTTAAGGAGATGCAGCCCATGATCTGTCTAGGGGGATTATCTTCCCATGATTTTATGTGAAAGGAAAAAGTAAAGGGAGTGTGAGGGGGAAGCAAGTTCTGGTGACTTCCCCATCTCTACCCACACTGGGCAGCAGAATATTCCTCAGGGGCCCCTGGGGAACCGAAACAGAGTTGGGATGGGGACGCAAGTAAGGTGCTGTGGCAGAAAACTTGGGCTTGGAGTGTGGGCCAGTTTCTGCTTTCCACAAGAGTCAAGTGGATACCACCTACTCTGGGCAGATGGAGACCAAGAAGGTTTCCTGCCCCTTGGAATGCCCGTCCTGTGAGGTGTGGCCAGTGTAACCCCGGACTTGGGAAGCTTTTCCATTGGCTAATGTTTGTGTCCCAACATCTACAAAACGTTAAGTGGAATTAAAGATGGGGAAATACCAGTGGTCTCCAAAGCACTCCAAAATTCAGGCAAGGAGGATCGGGTGATCATTCCATATCCTTAAATGTACAAAAAGAGAAACCTCATTCCAATCATGTTCCATATAATCACCATGGGAGGTAAATGAGAGAAGGGATGAAGTAGGAGAAGCAGAGCTTTCCATTTAAAACCACAAGGCCAGGGCTGGCCCTAGAGTCTAGCAGGCTCTGGCCTCAGAGTTCTATGGAAAGCTCTAAATGGAAATATAACCAGCAATGCAATGAGCTCTGAAAATGCTCTTTGGGAGTTCTGAGGGGGAAAAAAGGTACCTTACCCTGGCCCGCTCCAAGCTCCTTCTCTGCTCATGAAATGCGGCTGGACTTTTCAAAGCTGTTGAGAGAAGAACCGTAAAGATTACCTTCAAGCGAAGCATCATGTCTAGTGCTACGATATTCAGTGGAGAAGGCATCTTAAATTCATGTTACTGGCTGGGCGTGGTGGCTCACGCCTGTAATCCCAACACTTTGGGAGGCTGAGGCAGGCAGATCACGAGGTCAGGAGATCGAGACCATCCTGGCTAACATGGTGAAACCCTGTCTCTACTAAAAATACAAAAAATTAGCCAGGCGTGGTGGTGGTGGGCGCCTGAAGTCCCAGCTACAAGGGAGGCTGAGGCAGGAGAATGGCGTGAACCTGGGAGGCAGAGCTTGCAGTAAGCCGAGATTGCGCCACTGCACTCTAGCCTGGGCAACAGAGCGAGAAACCGTCCCCCAAAAAAAAAAAAAAAAAATCACATTACTGTTAGTAGTACTATAAATATCAGTTGAAGTGAAGGCAATGACACCTGAGTAAGCATGTATCTTTATGGTTTAGCTACCCCATTCAAACAGTTTTGGTAGAAACCAAAATATGACTCCTAATGGGAACTGTCACTGCCTAAGCTTGGGCTATATAAAGTGCACCCATGGAATGTAACTTTAACAAACACCCTGGCCCATGACTGGACCGTCAGCCGCAAATCCCCCTTCAGCTAGGACTCCAAGAACGCCTGCTAGGCCTCACATTATTCTCAGGACACCTGCACACAGGAAGGGGCACAGATGCATGCCAAATTAACCTTACTTCCTCAACCTCACGAGGAATCATAAAGTGGCCAAACTGTTTCAATGGGACAGTTAAAACCAAAAAGATATATGTCCACTCGGCACTATTTCCTTCTTCACTGCACCTGTTATTTATAGTGCTGCTAAAATTAACTTGAATTTCATCTCTAAGGACTAAAAGAACCCCATGGCAATTGTATGTGAAGGAACACACACAACCGACAGCTGAGACGAAGGGCTCAGCTCTATTCTGGGGATACCACACAAAGACCACAAGTCTCGACTTCTGCAAACAACACTCAGGTGGCAAGACCAAACCAAGAGCCTCCAGAAAGGCTGCACCATGAATGGAAGGTCTGACTCCTTTTGTCAAAAACTTGGCTGTAAGGACAAATAGCAACTTAAGACACTCTGAGGATGAGAGGGAAAGGCCTGACTCACTTCAAGTAGGGAACAGAGGCAATAAGAGAGAAATTTATAAGACTGTGGTCAGTTTCACTTCTCCTGCCCTAGAATTTCCAAAGAGCTGTGAAACTGCGAGCAGAGATAACTTTTGCTAGGCTGCTGGCTGCGGTAGGAGTGCAGGGTTAAGGAGCTGCTAAAAGTAGCAAGAGAGCATAGATAGGACCCTATCCTGCCTGGGCCGTTGTGCTTCTTCCTCCTTCCTCTCCACCCCCAGCGGGGGGCTGGGCCTCAGCAACAGCAGTCCCAGAAGAAAGCTTCAATTGTCCCAGTGGTATTTATTTTTAAAAATTTTTTGTGAATCTTAAGATAAAAAAGAAACTACAGTCTTAAAAGTACTACTGAGATCCCATCTTCTAACAGAAGGGGGAGCTCTAGATTTAACAAATAACATCAAAGAAAAACCAGTACAAGTTACCTCCCCAACCTACCTGGGCACTATCCAGGATTCCCCACTTCTTACATGGGCAGGTCGTGGGCATTTCAGTGGGTAAATAGACACCCCCTGCACCTGCTTCTACTGTGTAACGCTAGCTCAACTCCAAACGTCCTGCTCTGCAGGAACCCGGGTGTGATGCATCACACGTAACCTTGGCTCTTGGAAAGCTTAGCACATGCATGAGACAGTAAGTACAAAGAATCAAGAGAAAACGGACACTGTCCACCCCACCCCAGCTTCCTTTTCTGCCTCATTTTTCTCCGCAGCACTCATCACTGTCTTGACAGTCTTTATATAAATACTACGTATCTGGCTGGGCATGGTGGCTCACGCCTGCAATCCCAGCACTTTGGGAAGCCGAGGTGGGCAGATCATGAGGTAAGGAGTTCGAGACGAGCCTGGCCAACATGGTGAAACCCCGTCTCTACTAAAAATACAAACATTTTTGTACAGGCATGGTAGAGGGTGCCTGTAATCCCAGCTACTCAGGAGACTGAGGCAGGAGAATCACTTGAACTCAGGAGGCAGAGGTTGCAGTGCGCCAAGATAGTGCCACTGCACTCCAGCCTGGGAGACAGAGCAAGACTCCGTCTCAAAAAAAAAAAAAAAAGGCGGAATACTACATACTTTTCTTGTTTACTCTCAGTCTCCCACGTTTACATTTACAACATGTCCCCATCAGAGCACAGCAAGGGTTTTGTCTATTTTTTTAGTCACTCACAGCATTCCCCAAGTGCCTAGAATACCAGGCACACAGTATACCCTCAATAATTATTCACTCGATGAATTAGTGAGTATTCTGTAAGAAACGGACACAAGGTGACTAGTGACAGGAGGACAGGAGGATTCTGCGGCAGAGCTCTAAACTTTCATCTAAACAGCCAGAATTCTGGTTCTCAACCGGGTTCGAAACCTCACAGAAGTTCTGGATAGACAGTCAAGGGATCTGTGTTCTAGTACTGAGTGCTACCAATTACTGCTGGGTGACATGGGTTTTGACTGCTTTCTGGGTCTAATTTTCTTCCAGAGTGAGAATCTGCCCACCTCTCAGAACCCTTGTAAGGAAGAAACACCAGTGAGAGTGCCCTGAACCAAATGGTATATGTGTCGATATATTCAGGTGTTGCTGTCACCAAATGCTGTAATTTGGTTGAATCACTGGCTTGATTCACTTACAGGCCAGCTAGTTTCTGTACCACAGCCAGAGATTCTCTGTCTAAAACCCTGGCTGACTTGCTGCCTCAACAACCCACACTGGCTATCCCCAAAGGGTAAGGCACAAACCCAAAGGCACAAACCCAACTTCTAGAAGAACAATTCACCAGAACATCTTGAGGACATCATCTTCATGTACAAAGGGTGGTGCACCACTAGTGGAGGACAGGTGATAGGTGAAATGGCTACAGCATACATAGTCCCCCTCATCTGCAGTTTCGCTTTCCATGGTTTCAGTTATTCTAGGCCAACCAAGGTCCAAAAATGTTACAGTATTTTGAGTGGGCCCATATTCACATAACTTTTATTACAGTGTATTGTTAAAATTGCTCTAATTTCTTACTATGTCAGATTTACACATCGAATTTTGTCATAGGTCACATGTATAGAAAAAAAAAACACAGTACGTATAGGATTTGGTACCATCTGCAGTTTCAGATATCCACTAGGGGGTCTTGGCACGTGTTCCTCAGGAATAAGGAAGGATTACTCTATATGAATTCCTATTTGGTCCTATTAAGGACATTTTCATGTAATGGCAAGAAAGGGATTAATATCTGTTGGATGCTTGTATGGAAAGCACTGTTCTAGATATTTTAAACCTGTTAGCTAATTTAATATTCCTAATCATTCTACATGGTAGGTAATATCCCATTTTATAGATAAGGACAGGGCCAAAAAGGAAAGGCAAGCAAATAGCAGGGATAAGATTATAACCTAATTTTTTTAAGTGTCCTGAATTGGAAGATATAACCTAATTCTGTAACACCCTCAACCTAGAGTTCTTTCCACTCCTCTGTGTTGATTTCTTAACTTCTTCAAAAGTTAGAGAAGAGAGGCTGGGCATGGTGGCTCAAGCCTGTAATCCTAGCACTTTGGGAGGCTGAGGCAGGTCTATCACCTGAGGTCAGGAGTTCAAGACCAGCCTGGCCAAAATGGCAAAACCATGTCTCTACTAAAATTACAGAAAAATTAGTCAGGCATGGTGGCAGGCACCTGTAATCCCAGCTACTTGGGAGGCTGAGGCAGGAGAATTACTTGAACCCAAGAGGCAGAAGTTGCAGTGAGCCAAAATTGCTCCATGGCACTCCAACCTGGGTGACAGAGCAAGACTCTGTCTCAAAAAAAAAAAAAAAAAAAAAAAAAAGAGACAGAAGAAAAGAAACTGTTGGGTAGGGGGACAAGGTAGCTTCAATGTTCAATGACACACACTGTTTAGATGCATATCTGAGTCCAGGCAACATACAAGAGTCAACTTGGCCACAGCACTAGGTAAAGACCAAGGCAAAGAAGGCTCAGAAGAGGGGTTCAGAGACCTGTCTGAGGGGCCCCAGGGCTCTCAAGCATTGAGAATCATCGTTCAAAACCTGGAGCTCACCACGTAACAGCCTTTGGCACTGATACTAGAAGACAAGTTGGAGAAGCTGAGACACAATAGCTGGTCAGAAGAACCAGAAACGAAGACCAAGAAAAGAATTCAAGATAGGGCCAGGTGCAGTGGATCATGCCTGTAATCCCAGCACTCTGGGAGGCTCAGGCAGGCAGATCACCTGAGGTCAGGAGTTCAGGACCAACCTGGCCAACATGACGAAAGCCCGTCTCTACTAAAAATACGAAAATTAGCTGGGTGTGGTGGCGGGCACCTGTAATGCCAACTACTCGGGAGGCTGAGGCACAACAATCGCTTGAAACTGGGAGGCGGAGGTTGCAGTGAACCAAGATTGCACCACTGCACTCCAGCCTGGGTGACAGAGTGAGACTCCGTCTCAAAAAAAAAAAAAAAAAAAAGAATTCAAGATCATAATGACCAATCCCAAAAGACTGTTTCATTTTATAGTAATAATAACATTATAATCTCACTGGATCCTCTTCATAGCCCATGAGGCAGGGACCGTTATTTCATGTGTGATGAAACTGACACTGGCTGAGATGCAGTAACCTGCCAGATCATTCATTCATCGAGTGGTGGACCCCAACCCAGGTCTAGTTCTGCCTTTCCTTTCTTCCCTTGTCTAAACCTTCTGACAAATGTGTCAGTTTCTCTCAGTCCCTGAGTAGGCCAGCTTAGTCTGTGCTCCTCTTTCCTCATTTTTAATTCTTCTCTCTGATAGCAGATTCAGCAATTTCAACAGCTACTTCTGCCAGGTGAAAGGAGGAGGGAGCACTGGCCCCTCTTCCTTCAGGTTTGTGTCAGGACTTCCTGCTGGGTGTCTCTCAGTTCATCTGGGGAGAGGCTGGAGTAGCCACAGCAAGTGCTCTTGGTGCACTGGGGTTTGAGGTGGAGAGGGCAACTCCTGTGTGTGTCCCGCCAGCTTTGTTAAAAGCCACCATGTGGAGGGTAGCCTAGTGAAGGGATGTAAGAGTGCTACAGGTTAAGCCCTGGGCTTTCTTGACTGTAGGAGCAAATGACAATGGGGAGTCAGATCACCTCAAGTTCCATGCCAAGGAGGTAAGACACGAGGAAGCAGAAAATAGGTTTCCAAGTTTAGGCCTCTGCCAATTGAAGAAAAAAAGGACTTAAAGTTACCCCATAAATGTGTGTCCAACTACGAGGGCTGCATTCATCTTAGACTCCATCTCCCCTCTCCCTGCTACCTTAATAGCTTTGCTAGGAGGAGCCAGCATATTACTCAAAACTGCATTTTCCCAGACACTCCAAGAAAGCAGTCTCTAGAAAGAGAAGCCCCCAAAGACCAATGCAAAGACAAGAGTCATGTGTGTTTATAAGAATATATATATTCAATATCAGAGGGTAGTTCTCGATCCTTTCCTGCTGCCCCAGGAGCTGGTTCCATTGGAGCTCTTGTGTGGCTTTGTGTGAACAAAGGAAGTGTGCAGAAAATCCTGAAAGGAAAAATAAGCAAGCTCCCCAGAGAAAACAAATGAACAGAAGTGGCCAAGAGGTGTGCCATTCTTAATCACAGTTTCAGTTCTAGATGTGGACCCCGCCCCTGGCTGGCTACAACTACCAATTAATATTTTGTTCCCTCTTTCCAGCACCCATTTTCTTTCTCTCCTAACTTGTTTGCTGCCTAAATTAAATGAGGTCATTTGTCAATTAAAGATATAAAAGGTGAAAAACTGTTTCCACTTAATTTTTAAATACATACTGGCATCCAGGCTGGGCGCAGTGGCTCACGCCCGTAATCCCAGCACTTTGGGAGGCCGAGGCAGGTGGATCACCTGAGGTCAGGAGTTCGAGACCAGCCTGGCCAACATGGTGAAACCACCCCCCACTACTAAAAATACAAAAATTAGCTGGGCGTGGTGGTGCGCGCCTATAATCCCAGCTACTCTGGAGGCTGAGGCAGGAGAAATGCTTAAACCTGGGAGGCGAAGGTTGCAGTGAGCCGAGACCGTGACACTGTACTCCAACCTGGGTGACAGAGCAAGACTCCATCTCGGGGGGAAAAAATATATACATGTATGTATGTGTATATATATATATACACACACACACACACACACACACTTTCACACAGGCATCCAATATATAGCAAAGGAGGAGCTCAGTGCTGTGCTCAGTGTGTCGACACAGATGTGTGATGACAGCGCAGGGGCCCCAGGGCCAGAATGGTCTTGATTTAATCTGGCACTGAAGAGTAAGTATGAAGACTCTTAAAAACCAACCTACCTTGGTAATTTAGGACATCAAGCCAACACTTTTCCCTTGCCAGCTCCAGATTTACTTAAACAAGTAGGTAAATGAGTCTTCTAGGATTCACAAGCAGTTCTAGAAATGCCTCTGAGCAAGGAATGACAACAATTCATTATGAAACCTCATTTCCTCATCACTATCATGAAGGAATATGTATTAAGTGTCTAGGTCTGAATGTTGCTTTATTAGGTGTTATCGTAATAAAAATGATGGTTCCTATCTCTGATAATACGCCAGAAGCTCACCAACAATTCTGTAACCAGAGGAACTCAAAGGCTATGAACATAATACACTTAATAGAGGTCACTGGAGTGCCACAGTCCAAGCAGCCCTTCTTTCAGGCAAGCCTGCTGGGTTTCTTTTTCCAGTGTGGAAGCAGGGAGCATATACACAGAACATCAATGAGGGCTACATGTGTGTATAGGAATAAACCCATTTAACAAACGAGGTAGAAACTAGAAATATTTCCATCCATCCATCCCTCCATCTGCCCGCCCACCCACCCATCCATCCATGTATCCAATAAGCAGCCCTTAAGTAAGCACTATGCCAGTCACTGAGGATAAGAATATACAGATGGGGTCCCAGTCCTCAAAAAGATGATGGTCTAGTGGGGAAAAGAGACAAATATAAGATGGAAGTAAAACAGTAGTGGTAATTTAAGGTGCTGTAAAGGACAAAAGAGGCAAAATTTAACCTGGGGGAACAGTGTGTAAATGAATTGAATAGGAACACCAAAGCCAGACAAGGAAGAGTGGGGAGATAGCTGAGGCTAAGGAAGAACTAGAACACAAACATGAAGGTATAAAAGAACAAGGCAAGCTCAAAGAACTACAAGTAGTTTGATATGGTTGAACCAAGGAATTCAAGTGAGGATAATGTGGCTAGAAGAATAAGCTGGGCCCACTCCATTAAGAACTTTAATGGGCTAGGCACAGTGGCTCACACCTGTAATCCCAGCACTTTGGGAGGCCGAGGTCGGGGGGGATCACTTGAGGTCAGGAGTTCGAAACCAGCCTGGCCAACATGGCAAAACCCCGTCTCTACTAAACAGACAAAAATTAGCCGGGTGTGGTTACGCACACCTGTAATCCCAACTCCTCAGGAGGCTGAGGCAGGAGAATTGCTTGAATCCAGGAGGCAGAGGTTGCAGTCAGCCAAGATCATGCCACTGCACTCTAGCCTGAGCGACACAGCAAGACTGTCTCAAAAAAAAACAAAAACAAAAACAAACAAAAAAAACTTAATGTACTACTGTAGAGGCTTCTGCTTCAGATGGGGTAGACATTTTTCTGTATTTTTGTCACTAAGTACTAGTTAAAACTCTGAACATTCTATATGAAACAAGCAAAAGTAGATACTGTAAGGTGGAGAGAACTAGCTAGGGACCATGGGACCCAAAAAAAGAGACATGGTGGTAAGTTCCCCACCCCCTCCCTTTTTTTTTCTGCTTCATATATCCAGGCTTAAAGCTGAAGATGTTGGCAACCCAAAAATGCCAATGGGTACAGACAAAAAAAAGCCCTAGCAAAATATGTTCTCTCTAGCCAAAGGATTAGGAAAGGGCAGCCCAGCACAACAGAAAACTTTTAGATACTTGTTCTACTCCAAATACCACAGAAAAAAATGGTGGTCTCATTCCCACCTCCCCCTAAAGGCCAAGTTAGGAATCTAGACTTCCATCCTTGCAAGGGTGTAATGAGATGCCCCAATACCCTTGGCTGGGGTGGTGTCAGAAAGGGCCAAGTAGGAAGCTGCTTTCATTCCCACCAGCCAGTAACAAACACCCCTCCCTATCTGGCATTCATAAGGCACCTCTCCCAGTCCCTGCTGGATGATGTCAGAGGAGGGCTGGTGGAGAGCCATGACTTTCGCCACTGCCCAGTGGTAACAGCATGCACCCCCACCATGGTGTGCATACAGACTACATTGGGAGCTGGAACTCTCGCCCCGAATGAGAAGTCCCTCTCCTACCACCAACTCAGATGTCAGTGGCTGCCAAATGAGGAACCTGAACTTCTATTTCCACCTGGTCATAACGAGATGGCACCATCCCCACCTTCCCTACTGAACCAGATTCAAAGGGTCAGCTAAAACAGGAAAGAACATACAGAGACTCCTAACATATTACAAACATATTACAGCAGAATAAAGGAGACAAAGGAAAGATTCGGTGAACCAGAATACAGAATAGAAATACCTAATCTGAACAACAGAAAGAAAAGAGACTGGAGAAGGGAAATAAAAGAACAGAGCCCCAGGAGCCTGTGAGACTTTAATAAAAAATCTAACATTGTGTCACAGAAGTGATGAAAGAGAGGAAAAAGAGGGTGGGGCTGAAACAGTTCTTACATTAATTGCCGAAAACTTCCCAAATTTGGCAAGATATGTAAGTCTACAGATTCAACAAGCCAAGTTAAACCCCAAATAAGATAACTGGAAAAAAATTTATAGTAACATAAGCCATAATTAAACTTTGGAAAACTAAAAGAAAAAATCTTTACAGTCAGAGAAAAACAATTTGAATGACAGCGTATTTCTCATCAGAAACCATGGAGCCCAAAGGAAATGGCACGATATTTCTCACGTGCTATTAAGGATTGCATCCTGAGATCGACGTGTAGCCACCACATTCATCAGAGAAGGGATATGTGGCAAGGGAAGGATATAATCAGAACTGCATGGAGGTGGGCAGGGGAGTTGCTTCTGACTTGATGTTTTATGTTTTAAAAAAAAAAAATGAGGGCCTGGTGCAGTGGCTCACACCTGTAACCCCAGCACCCTGGCAGGCCAAGGCCAGTGGATCACTTGAGGCCAGGAGTTTGGCACCAGCTTGGGCAATGTGGCGGCACCCACTCTACAGAAAAATTTAAAAACTAGTCAGGCATGGTGGCAATCACCTGTAGTCCCAGCTACTTGGGAGGCTGAGATGGAAGAATCGCCTGAGCTGGGGAGGTCCAGGCTGCAGTGAGCCGTGATCACACCACTACACTCCAGCCTGGGCAACAGAATAAGAGCCTGTCTCAAATAAATAAATAAAAATTATCAAGAATACACCTGGTGACTGCCATATATTAATTTCATTACCCCCAACATACACACTCTCACAACTCCCTTCCCTCCCTCAATTTTGCACTTTTCAAACCTACAGAAACACTGAAAGAACAAATAATGAACAGCTTTATAACTCTGACCTAGATTGACCAGTTATCTTTTAGCCATATTTATTCTCTTTCTCTCATATACCGTAATTTTCTTCACTTATGGAATCACTTGAAAGTTGCAGATATCAGTTATGACATTTTACCCCTAAATTCTTCAGTGTGCATTTCCTAAGAATAAGGACATTTTCTTACATAACTAAGATACTTTTATCGCACCTGAAAAAATTAATTCAATATAACCTACAGTCCATATCTGAATTTCCTCAATTGCCTCCAAAATGTTCTTTTATAGCTGTTTAGATTTTTCCCCCAAGCCAAGGGGTTTTTTTTTGTTTTGTTTTGTTTTTGAGACGGAGTCTTGCTCTGTTGCCCAGGCTGGAGTGCAATGGCACAATCTCGATGGCGCAATCTCGGCTCACTGCAACCTCCACCTCCTGGGATCAAGCCATTCTCCTGCCTCAGCCTCCTGAGTAGCTGGGATTACAGGTACCCACCACCATGCCCGGCTAATTTTCTGTATTTTTAGTAAAGACGGGGTTTCACCGTGTTGGTCAGGCTGGTCTTGAACTCCTCACCTCGTGATCCACCTGCCTTGGCCTCCCAAATTGCTGGGATTACAGGCGTGAGCCACCACACCTGGTCCCAAGATTTAATCAAGAATCATGCACTGCATTTGGTTGTTGTCAATTTGGTCACAATCTAGAACAGTACCCCTACCTTTTTCATTTTCATGACACTGACTTAAGTATCTAAGCTGTTTGTCTTGCACAATGTTCTGTATTCTAAATTTGCTTCCTCATGATTAGATTTAGGTTAAACATTTTTGGCAAGAAGAAAACATAGGTATATGTACTTCTTAACATCAAGGGGCATATGTTATCAGGCTGTATAACCAGTGATGGTGCTAAAAGTTTGAAAGGTGACACCAGATCTGTCTTTGTAATTAACACATAATCTATGGGGTATCATTTTGATGCCACGTGAAAATCCTGTTTTCCCACAACTAACTGCCTAATAACAGTTTTAGCATCTACTGATGATCCTTGTCTGAACTGATTTTTACAAAATTGATTTTTTCAATAAAATTGCAAAATAGCAAGGACTGCATTTTTATGATCACTCTAGTAATGTTCAAGAGGCCACTTAAAAGAACAAATTGGAGTGACTGGGTGAATGGTTGTGCTATTAACACTCCTGGACAGGTGATCCAGGGCGAGTAAACTTAGGGAAGTGGGGGAGAAACTGTGTTCTGTCTTGGAGAATCACAGAACTCAAGGACAGGCATGAAGAGAGCCCACCCAGCACAGGAATCTGAGGAGGGCCACAGAGGCAGGAGGGGAGGAGGCAAAGCTATTACCCCAAGTAAGCTTCAAGAAAAAGCCTGTAGACAGAAAGACAGAGAGACACTAACAGTGGGGAAGTCAGGCAAAATAAGGCTTATAAAGTTTCCAGAGAATCACTTATGCTTAGGACATAGCCAGTGGTCTCAGAGCTATGCCAGTGGATTGGTGGAAGCACAAACTTACTGCAACAGATTAAAGAGTGAATAAGAAGTGAGAAAGTGGAGTCAGAGGTATGTGTCCCCTAAGAGGTTACTTACAGATGTGCTAACAGTTCATTACTCATTCATTCTTCCAATAAATATCTGCGAGCCTACATGTGTCGGACCCTGTTTTAGTGTTGGGTTATTCATGTTTTCGTGGAGCTTATACTTAATTGAAGAAAGATATACATAAAACAAACATGTAACACAGTAGGAGGCAGTATATGCTATGAAGAACTATAAAGCAAGTTATAAGTGACAGTGATGGGGTGAGGTCATTTTATATGGAGTGGTCAGGGAAAGACTTTCTGATAAGGTGACATTTGGCTGGGGGTGGCAGCTCATGCCTGTAATCCTAGCACTTTGGGAGGCCAAGGCAAGCAGATCGCTTGAGGTCAGAAGTTCAAGACCAGCCTGGGCAATATAGTGAAACTCCGTCTCTATGAAAAATACAAAAATTAGGCATGGTGGCGCGCACCTGTAGTCCGATCTATTTGGGGGAGCCGAGGCAGGAGGACTGTTTGAGGCCAGGAGGTTGAGGCTGTGATGAGCTAAGACTGAGCCACTGCTCTCCAGCCTAAGTAACAGAGTCTTTGTTTCAAAAAAAAAAAAGAAAAAAGAAAAAAAAAGTGACATTGGAGGAGAGATGTAAAAAAAGGGAGTGAGCCCTGCAGTCCTCTGGGAGACAGCCCTCCAAGCAGAGAACAGCATGTGGAAAGGCTCTCAGTGGGATCCTGCCTGCATGGCATCAAGGAGGCCAGGGTGGCAGAAAACAAGAAGAGTGGGTGGAAACACAGGGAGACAAAGCCACACAGGACCCTGTAAAACTGTGAACTATAATGAGAAGAAATAAAGTAGAATGGTGCCTGCGAACCTTGACACTGACAAAAAGGCTTCTGAGGTAACATAAATAAACAGGTTTGCTGAAAATGGTCTCCTTGTTTTCCCCAATAACCTCCACAATGTGTTAGAAATTACCTCACTTCAGCTTCTCAGTACTTACTATTTTCCACATTTTACAGTTGGGAAATGACTTTCCTGAGATCACATCCTAATCAACTACAGAATGAACACTAGACTCTGGTTCTTTTGATTCCAAATCTTTTTATTTACATATATTTCATCAAGAGGTGGCAGAAGGTAAAGGAGTATAGAAAACGAAGTGTGTGATATGCCCGGTGTGGTTGTAATTCCAACACTTTGGGAGGCCAAGGAGGGCATATTGCTTGAGCCCAGGAGTTCAAGCTAGCGAGACCCCATCTCTACAAAAAAATTAGCTGGGGCTGGGCGTGGTGGCTCACGCCTGTAATCCCAACACTTTGGGAGTACGAGGTGGGCGGATCACGAGGTCAAGAGATCAAGAGCATCCTGGCCAACACGGTGAAACCCCATCTCTACTAAAAATACAAAAATCAGCTGGGTGTGACGGTGCACGCCTGTAATCCCAGCTGCTCGGGAGGCTGAGGCAGGAGAATCGCTTGAACCCGGGTAGCGGAGGTTGCAGCGAGCCAAGATCACACCACTGCACTCCAGCCTGGGCAACAGAGCGAGACTCTGTCTCAAAAAAATAAATAAATTAGCTGGGTGTGGTGGCACACCCCTGTGATCCCAGCTACTCGGGAGGCTGAGGTGGGAGGATCACTTGAGCCCGGGAGGCAAAGGTTGCTGTGAGCCAAGATCACACCACTGCACTCCAGCCTAGGCAACAGAACTAGACCTGTCTCTAAATAAAAAACCCCAAGATGAAACAAAATGCATGATGGGTTACCAAATAAATAACAGACAACAGTGATTTTAATCTAGTCTTTCACATTTGGCCATCTTTTCCTAGCTATTCCTTTGGAAATAAATGCTGCCTTGTCATTTTCTCTAATATTGGCAATGAGACAGCAGGGAAGGCTTCAGATCTAACCTCAGAAAATGTCAAAGGGGCACAAATTCTCCTATTTCTTTTCCCTTCAGCACAGCAGAAAAGAGAGTCACTGTATAATCAAACTCCATCCAAAGTTAACTGAGTCTTTTGCCACATCCTTTGGCCCTAGCATTAGTTTCTCATACAGCTTTAGGCAGTTAACTGACTTGCCAAAAATGACCAGCGATATGGTACAAAGCTATGAGAGAGGCAGGCAAGCCAGGCTTTTCCGAGCATTGGAGATGAACGCTCAGAATTTTTCTGTACCCAGTCATCTTATATGCAAAAGCGTCAGCTGTCTTAGAAATCTGCCATTAACTCTCAGCCGGGCGCAGTGGCTCACGCCTGTAATCCCAGGACTTTGGGAGGCCGAGGCGGGTGGATCATGAGGTCAGGACATTGAGACCATCCCGGCTAAAATAGTGAAACCCCGTCTCTACTAAAAATACAAAAACAATTAGCCGGGCGTGGTGGCGGGTGCCTGTAGTCCCAGCTACTCTGGAGGCTGAGGCAGGAGAATGGCGTGAACCCAGGAGGCGGAGCTTGTAGTGAGCCGAGATTGCGCCACTACACTCCAGCCTGGGTGACAGAACGAGACTCGGTCTCCAAACGAGAAAAAAAAAAAAAAAAAGAAAAGAAAAGAACGGAAATTTGCCATTAACTCTTGAATCATGGGGACAGGGCAATCTTCTACTTCAGAACTCTTGGGAAGAAGAGAATAAAAATATTCTGTGCCACACTAAAAATGAAAAGGGGAAAGAGGCCAGCAGTCCACAGCCCAGGGTTTCTCCAAGTGTAGTTCAAGAATCATTTGCATGAAAATGTCTGTGGTGTGCAAGAATCTCTTGGAATGCAGATTCCTAGGCCTTAAGAATAATCTTTAGTAAGCTCTTTGGGTAATGCTAAAGCCACTAAATTCGGAAAACATTGCTTCCCTAATCTAACAAAGGCAAAGAAGAGGTGAGAAAGTAAGAATTTTATTTGCTTATTCTCTAATACCAGGTGCTGATTAAAACTACACTTAGTAAAGAAGGACTTGCTGAATTTTCTCAATAGCTTGATTCAAAATGTCAATTCTGTTGGCTGTGTGGGTAAAGAGTTTTAATTTCCTGGACTCCTTTCAGGATCATTGCAATGCATATTTTTCTGGGAGTCAGAGAATCTGGGCTTTTTGCCATCTTCCTCACACCCTGGCTAGGGCTTAATTCAGATGGGATGGATTCCACACCCTGATATTTTTATCAGGGGCATGGTAGTCACCCAATGGAAAGCAGCTACAGAAATGTAGTCCTTGGTCTTAGCACCCAAAAGGTGAGGAGCACAGAGGTTCACTGGTAGTGCAGGGAATGGAGAGGGTCCCTCACACACTGAGTGACAGAAGAGGTTGGCTGTGTCACTGGTATGTAAGGGTTGACACTAGCATTAGATAGGATTTTTCTTAGGATTCCATATCCGGGTAGATCAGAATCTCTTAACCTAGAGCACACTGTACCCACTTTAGAGCAGCTATAGATCCCTGGAACTATGTGAATTTTAGGTGCTTGCTTAGACAACTCTGAGAGGATGTGGAAGATTCCCTATGAAGAATATATGGCACAAAAGAAATCAAGAACCTCTGATGTACCAAAGGGTTATTATGACAGAAGAAGAAAGATGCCCATGGCCTTCAAATGAACAGCAACCTGAAAGCACTTGTACTGAAGCGCTTACAAATGACACTTCCACCACCTGATCTCACCAACTATGGATCCTGCTTTGATGCTGTTTTCAATTTTCTTTTTTTTTTTAATAGTGTATTTATTTATTCATTTTTGAGATGGAGTCTAACTCTGTCGCCCAGCCTGGAGTGCAGTGGTGCAATCTGGGCTCACTGCAGCCTCCATCTCCCAGATTCAAGTGATTCTCCTGCCTCAGCCTCCCAAGTAGCTGGGATTACAGGCGCCTGCCACCACAGCTGGCTAATTTTTTTTTTTTTAAAGTAGAAACAGGGTTTCATCACATTGGCCAGGCTGGTCTCAACCACCTGACCTCAAGTGATCCACCCACCTCAATCTCCCAAAGTGCTGGGATTACAGGCTTGAGCCACCACACCCAGCCTCCTCAATTTTCAAAGATTTTTTAAAGTTGAAATTTTGGCGAAAGCATAGCAGGCTGTCATCACAAAAATTCCAATGTGGACAAGAACCAGTATAAACTGTGACTTTCAGGAATTAGCACAGGGTTTGTAGCCAGAAAACCCGGATTGGGTCTGCCTATCTTTCAGTGCCCGTGTAACCTACAGCAAGTCCCATGACCCCTCTGAGGCTCAGTAGCCTCATCTGCAAAATGGCAATTATACTAACTGCTGCACTGGGTAATTATTAGCATTAAAATGAAAGTGCTTTGCCATCTGCTAGAAGCTATGTTAAGTTTAAGGGCTGTTACTGATGTAGCTTTTTTCCTTTATTACCATTCTGGAAGAAACAGCAGGTATATGGAGTCAAATGCTGAGAGCTAATTGGACCGGGCTTGACTTCCATTTTTTGTCTTTCTGTTTTTAGCTGACACACTAAAAATGCCTACAAAAATCCTTTAACAAAGACCATCAACCAAAGAGTTGTCAACAGTTCGAGAGACTGACCATGATAAATGAGCACCAAAATTAAGTTCATGTGAATCAATGAAAGCATTTGGGTGGCGGGGTGTGGAGAAGGGACTGCATATTCTGGGGCAAGCAACGATCCAAACTAGCAGTCATAAAGGGTTCTTCATACACATCCTGTTTTGGTATGCACGCTTGCCACCACCCGTTTTGGCACCGGCTATCACCCCCACCCAAACCAGCAGGAAGACCAACTCCCAAGAATGAATGTAAGAAGTGGAGACGCAGGATGCTCAATCTTTTCCTTCCCAAGAGTGCAAACTGTTCCAGCGTCTCCTGCTCTTGACCCACTGATGGTCAAAGAGGCTCAAGACTGAGACAGGTGAGCACACAATCTCATTTAGCACGAGTATCGACACAGGGAATTCCAAAAGGTTAACATACCAGTGGTCAAATATTTTGAATCTGACCTTCTAGGCTTCTCTTTGACATAGGCCAGGCATGTTTATATCTAGCTTTCATACCACAGCCCAGTCTAAGACCCTGGATCAGTCTATTTTCACTCCAGTATACTTTTTGGCAAAGTGCAAACCAATTTTTTTAAAAAAGCTACTGCCTCTTTCTGAAGTCCCCATAATCAATACGTCTAAGTGATCTGTTTAGAATACAAATTCCAGGTCACCTGTGCCCTCCTGCAAATAACATCCCACCTGGCTGAAGTTTTTTTTTTTTGGTTTTTTTTTTTTTTTTTTTTTTTTTTGAGACAGAGTCTCACCCTGTAGCCAAGGCTGGAGTGCAGTGGTGTGATCTCGGCTCACTGCCACCTCTGCCTCCCAGGTTCAAGTGATTCTCCTGCCTCAGCCTCCCGAGTAGCTGGGACGACAGGCGCGTGCCATCACACCCAGCTAATTTTTTGTATTTTTAGTAGAGACAGAGGTTTCACCACGTTGGCCAGGATGGTCTTGATCTGTTGACCTCGTGATCCACCTGCCTCGGCCTCCCCAAGTGCTGGGATTACTGGCATAAGCTATCGCGCCTGGCCTGAAGACTTTTAAATCACCACCATCATCAGTTATCTATCAGGACTCCCCTTGGGCATGTGATTAAGATGTGTATTGTTCAGGTAAAATAGTTGAGTAGTACCTACAAGTGACGTTATAACCTTCTTTTACTCTTGATAAGAAGTTAGCCTTGGATATCTCAGATTCTTCAATAACCAATTATTAATGAAACTTAACACCTGCTGTACTTTTTAGACATCAAACTGTAACAAGAACTCATATCAAAAAGACTACTTTCAGCCAGGCACAATGGCTCATGACTGTAATCCCAGCACTTTGGGGAGGTCGAGGTGGACGGATCACCTGAGGTCAGGAGTTCGAGCATGGTGAAACCTCGTCTCTACTAAAAATACAAAAATTAGCCGGGCGTGGGTGGCAGGCGCCTGTAATCCCAGCTACCTAGGAGGCCGAGGCAATTGCTTGAACCCAGGAGGCAGAGGATTCAGTGAGCCAAGATTGCCCCACTGCACTCCTGCCTGGGCAACAGAGCAACACTCCGTCTCAAAAAAAAAAAAAAAAAAAAATGATGACGACTACTTTTTATGGCCTATTCAACACAGCTCATGGTTGGATTCTTCTTCGGACCGAACCATGAATACACTCAGAACATGAACACACCACTCACTGCAGAGTATTATTTAAGGATTTGTTGGCAACTGGCCAAGAAGGAGGTTCTATGCTAGTCACTGATCACTGAGGTAGAAACACACTCTACAACAGCAGAAGCGAGACAAGGATGTTGACACAAATGCAACGTAAAATGCCTGGGACTGATGTGCCTTCTCCTGTGATAAAAGAGAAGATTCCTGAAGCCACATACCTAACACAATTTTCTCTCAGCTTCAACTCTAGGGATCAGGTCAGCCTCACTTCTGGAAAACATGTTTCACTGTGATGTTTATCAAATGCAACTTAAACTAGGGATTCAACTACAATTACACAGTCACATTCCTGTAGTGAGGACACATCATCTCACTAGGTAGGGTTCTCTGCCTCTTAAAGAATGAAAAGATAAGGAAACGATCACCAAATGGGTTACACCACCATATCCTGCAACTGAGCTCTGACGGAAGCGGGAGTCCGAGGGCACTGACCGGACTGGGGCAGAGGGCCAACTGCAAGGTTTGGGGAAAGCCTTTTCTGGGCTCCTATTGGAAAGGGGCACTGGGTGGATCATAGCCAAACTTCTTTGACACACAGGGGCAGCAGTTGAGAGATGATCACACAGAGCTTTCAGTAACTCCCAAATGGACTAGAGCGTATGAGAGATGATAAAGGCCCAGAGAGAGAGGATTTGCCCTTGCCTTAGTCCCCACCCAAACTCACTCACTGATGAAGTATCCACTGAGACTTAATGTCTTTGATAGTGTAACACTCCACTTAAAAGCAAACAAGTGCTATTTTCTTGAAACCTACAATTTTAGTTAAAAAAAAAAATTGTTAAAAAAAATAGGAGTGGGGATGGAGGACAGATCACTCTCAAACCAGACCCTCATCTGCCCTGGAATCACTACTGCATTCCCACTGGTAAACATTTCTGTCTCTTGGTAAGTTGCCCAGAAATTTAAAAACATTTCTAACACAGCCACTTGTTTGTTTGCTTTCAAGAGAAAGAGGTTAAAAAGAAACATCTACTCCCAGGAAGAGGGCAAGCTCATAAAATGATAGTCCTGCTAATATATGACCAAAAGGAGAATGATCTTAACAGAGTAGTACCATGCTGACTAGTGGTTCTTTGATTTCTAACAATTTATAGCAATTGTCTTTTAATCCACTGATAGGAAAGAAAGTAAAATTAAGAACTGTATTTATTGGAAAACAGTTCCTATTCCTTTTGGGTGGGGGTGTGAGGGAGGCAGGGTCTCACTCTGTTGCCCAGGCTAGAGTGCAGTGGCACAATCTCAGCTCCCAGGCTAAGCGATCCTCTTGCCTCAGCCTCCTAAGCTGTGACTACAGGCACTTGCTACCACATCCAGCTAATTTCTGTATTTTTTGTAGAGATTAGATTTCGCCATGTTGTCCAGGCTGGTCTCAAACTCCTGAGCTCAAGCAATCCACTCACCTTGGCCTCCCAAAGTGCTGAAATTACAGGCATGAGCCACTACACCCAGCCCAGTTGCATTCCTAAATACTAGTTTTGACATAACTTAGAGGTAGGTGTGTGTGTGTGTGTATATTAAAGCTGCTTTCATAGTCACAACATCAAGATGGTGGATCCAAGCTCCTCCATTCTTAAATGAGAATATTACTTCCTACATTTCAAAAGCACGAACAATACATCATCTCATTTGATCTCCAAACTCACTCTGTGGGTAAGTTATCACTCCATGGGTAACTAATTCTGTGAGTAACCTTTAAGATGGGTTATTATCCCAACTATATGAAACTGGGAGTTCAGAAAAGTTACTGAGTTGCCCAAAGTCTTCTAACTCCTAAGTAACAGAGCAAGGTCTAAGACTCTCTTTCTTTTGTTCGTATGCATGTATGTATATATTTGTGTATTTATCTTGAGACAGGGTCTTGCTCTGTCATCCAGGCTGGAGTGCAGTGGCATGAACACAGCTCACTGCAACCTTGACCTTCTGGGTTTAAGGCTCAAGCCATCCTCCTGTCTCAGCCTACTAAGTTGCTAAGGCCACAAGCATGTGATATCATGCCTGGCTAATTTTTAAAAACTTTTTGGAGAGATGGGGGTCTATCTTGCCCCAGCTGGTTTCAAACTCCTGGGCTCAAGAGACCTTCCTGCCTTGGCCTCACCATGTGCTGGGACTGCAAATGTGAGCCACTGTGCCTGGCCTAAAACTCCACTTTCTAATACAGTAGCAACTAGCCAAATGTGACTATTTAATTAGAATAGCCACATGTGCCTATTTAAATCTAAATTAATTAAAATTAAATAAAAATTAAAATTCAGTTTTTCAACTCAAGTATGTTCAACAGCACATGCGGCTAATGGTTAGTCTTATAGAAATAGTTCTATCTTCACTTAACATACTATTGGACAGGGCTGGTCTAGCACCTAGTTCTTTTGAATTCATAACTTGGAGAAAAGATCCCATGGCGGCCGGGTGCGGTGGCTCACACCTGTAATCCCAGCACTTTGGGAGGCTGAGGCGGGCGGATCACGAGGTCAGGAGATTGAGACCATCCTGGCTAACACGGTGAAACCCCGTCTCTACTAAAAATACAAAAAACTTGCCAGGCATGGTGGCGGGTGCCCGTAGTCCCAGCTACTCAGGAGGCCGAGGCAGGAGAATGGTGTGAACCCGGGAGGCGGAGCTTGCAGTGAGCCGAGATCGCGCCACTGCACTCCAGCCTGGGTGACAGAGCCAGATGCAGTCTCAAAAAAAAAAAAAAAAAAACATATGGAGTGGAGGGTGAGGAGTGGGGTTAGTGGGAGTCAGCAGGATGACAGGGTGTCGGGGTGGCAGAGGATGTTGGAGATTACAACAGGAGTTGGGGGACACAACAACAACAACAAAAAGATCCCATGGTATCCCAGTATGTATGTATGTATGTATGTATGTATGTATGTATGTATGTATTTATGAGATGAAGTCTCACTCTGTCGCCCAGACTGGAGTGCAGTGGTGCAACCTCCACCTCCCAGGTTCAAGCAATTCCCCCTGCTTCAGCCTCCCAAGTAGCTGGGACTACAGGCATGCACCACCACGCCTGGTTAATTTTTGTGTGTGTGTATTTTTAGTAGAGACTGGGTTTCGCCATGGTAACCAGGCTGGCCTCGGCCTCCCAAAGTGCTGGGATTACAGGCATAAGCCACCAGGCTCAGCCCATCCAAGTATTTAATAAAGATAGCCTGATAGTGACAATGTCAAATCATAACCCCTTCCGGTCTTATTACGAGAAACACTGAAGATTTAGGAAGTTGGTTTATCTTTCCAGGGGCTATAAAAACTAAAAAATGAAAAATTACTTATAATTTTTAGCAGGGGGGTATATGAAAAATCTCCATATCTTCTGCTCAACTTTGCTGTGAAACTGAAACTTCTGTAAAAAAAAAAAATACTATTTTAAAAGATTCAGGGGAGCCTCTCTGCACCTATTCTGGTTCGGGGATTGTTCAATAAATAAAATTAAACTTAGGCCAGTTGCAGTGGCTCACGCCTGTGATCTCAGCACTTTGGGAGGCCGAGACAAGCAGATCATTTTGAGCCCAGAGTTTGAGACCAACCTGGGCAACATGGCAAAACCGCATTTCTACTAATAATACAAAAACTAGCTGGACGTGCTGGCCCGCACCTGTAGTCTCAGCTACTCAGAAGGCTGAGGTGGGAGGATGGTTTGGGCCAGGAGGCAGAGGTTGCAGTGAGCTGAGATTGCGCCACTGCACTCCAGCCTGGATAACAGAACCAGATCCTGTCTCAAAAATATATATAAACAAATTTTAAAAAGTTTTCTTTTGGCTCATTTTATATCTTTATTATCACCATTACTGTTACTGTATCGGCTCAGCCTATCATAAAATAAGTTGAAGTCTCTGTATCCTTTGATTTCTTTTGTCATCTCTGCACAAACTGGGCTAGCCTAAGGTCCTAGATTCTGTCTACTGGTTACTAAATCCTGAACATCTCATTAGTGAGTCACAATCTAATCCATTTTTTTAAAAAATTTAGTTTTAAAAGAGCTTTACCAAAATGTATTTGATTCACATGTACTCAGGAAAAAGAATGTTGAAACCTAGGTTGCATATTTGGTGAAGAATAATGTAAGTTAACGATTCCCAAGTTACAAATAACAAAAACATCATTAAGAATTGCAGGACCAGGCATAGTGGCTCACGCCTGTAATCCCAGCACTTTGGGAGGCTGAGGTGGGCAGATCACCTGAGGTCAGGAGTTCAAGACCAGCCTGGCCAACATGGCGAAACCACGTCTCTACTATAAATACAAAAATTAGCTGGGCGTGGTGGCCGGTCCCTGTAATCTGAGCTACTTGGGAGGCTGAGGCAAGAAAATCGCTTGAACCCAGGAGGCGGAGGTTGCAGTGAGCTTAGATGGCGCCACTGCACTCCAATCCAGCCTGGGAGAGCAAGTGAGATTTTGTCAAGAAAGAAAGGAAAGAAAAGAAAAAGAAAGAAAGAAAGAGAGAGAGAGACAGAATGAAAGAAAGAAAGAGAAAGAAAGAAAGAAAGAAAGAAAGAAAGAAAGAAAGAAAGAAAGAAAGAAGGAAAGAAAGAAAGAGAAAGAAAGAAAAAGAGAGAGAGATATGCAACTTCAGACAGAGAGAGACCGTAGTAATCAATCCTGGCACTTTTAAGAAGAAATTTTAACTCTGCTATGGGTGCACAGGAACATCATTAGAAATGAAAAAAACAAGCTCTGTCAAGAAGACAGAGCAAGGTCTTCGAAGATCTATACGACAAAAATAATTATTTCCTCACGTGTTATTCAAGGTTTTTCTACTACTGGCACATGGGAAAATAGTAAGTTGAGGGTTAACTGTAGCATTAGAAACATGGTACTATATGCTTTATTTCAAGGATTCTCAATTATAAAAGACTGACAAGAGACAAACAAGCTTCTCTCACATCCAGAAAGAATACAGGAGGAGACCCTTTTCTGATTTGTCTAGGTCAGAAAAACTTCCATGTTTTCCTTTGAAAGGTTATCCTCTGCAACAGCTCTCATGCCAGAACGTTTTTCTTAAATTTTCACCTTAACCTTATGACCTTGTACACCTTTAAACATCAAAGAGAAAGGCTTCAGGGGAAGCTTTGAGAACAAAGTGTACCAAATATGACCAGTTTCTTCTGTGAGTCTTCATCCTGGATACAGTGGCATTCCTGGTCTTAATCTTTGGATTTCAAGACCAGCTCCCTATCTCTGCCATCTGTCCTATCCCTCAAGATATGTGCGAGACATCATTAGTGAAAATTTAGGGCCTAGACCATACAAGCCTCTGCTATCTGGCACTCTGTATTTGGTAGAGTTAAGTGACGTTAAATTTGAAACTTATGTTTACATGATGAGAATAAAGAATACTGCAAAATGATTCTGTTTAATAGCACATCAGAAACCAACTTCTGTATCTCACAGTTGAGATGCTATGATCAGAGCATATCAAGCAGTACAGAGAGGTATATAGGAATTAGGGGATTCTTTAATCCCTTCAACTTTATGGAAAGGTCAGACCCCAACACTGAATGACATATAGAAACAGAACAACCCTGAAGGGAAGGGAACCACTGAAGCACACTGTGTCCTACAGATATGACGATGTCAGGACTGACAGCCAGTCCTACGTGGTAACTATGTGCAAGTGTTCTGGAAGATGAGGTAGATGGGTTTTTTTCCTTCCTGGAGGCAGCAAAATTCAAAGGAGAAGAATTTGATAAAAGATATCAACCAGAAATGATGAGACAAAATACAGCCATAACTAACGTGCCCATTCCCTCGGCTTGAGGGCTCTGCCTACCTCCTAAGTTGTACAACAAACTTAAATCTGAGAGCTGTTTTCAGAAACACCTCAGGCTGGCCGGGCGTGGAGGCTCATGCCTGTAATCTCAGCACTTTGGAAGGCCGAGGTGGGCAGATCACTTGAGGTCAGGAGTTCGAGACCACCCTGGCCAACATGGCGAAACTCCATCTCTAAAATACAAAAATTAGCTGGGTATGGTGGTGCACACCTATAGTCCCAGCTACTCGGGAAGGCTGAGGCGAGATAATTGCTTGAACCCAGGAGGCAGAGGCTGCAGTGAGCTGAGATCGCGCCACTGCACTCCAGCCTCGGCGACAGAGTGAGACTTTGTCTCAAAAAAAAAAAAAAAAGACATGGAGTGGAGGGTGAGGAGTGGGATTAGTGGGAGTCAGCAGGATGACGGGGTGTTGGGGCGGCAGAGGATGTTGGAGATTACAAAAGGAGTCGGGGGACACAGGGTAGTGGTGAGGGAGGGTTACTCACTAGGTAGGGGTCTGGCAAAAAAAAAAAAAAAAAAAAAAAAGAGCCTCGTTTTTGGGAACACCAGACCCTATCCATGTACCAACAGGGACGTAAATGAGGAGGAAATTCACACCTGAAACTATTCCCAGTCCTCAACATTCTCTCTCATAATCTAAGCATTTCTTACCTACTTCCTTCTCTAGAAAAGCTGATAACAAGACTATGTCCATAGCTGAAGGTGGATCTTGGTATATGGGAAAATGCAATATTCTCATAGAAGCAGGTCATTTCTATTCCCACAGGAAAGGCAATTATTCTCACTTCACAGACACAGAGAACAACCCAAAGTATACAATTAGATATTCAGGACAATTTTAGAATCCGGGCTCCTGACAGAATGGGAGTGTTGTTTCAAACTCCATGCCCAGAATTCCAACAGGTTTTCAATAGAGCGGTATCTATTTCAGTTTGTCAGACTCTCTCTCTCATATACACATGCACACACTGTACTTTACAACTGGCTGTCTTCATTCATTCCTTCATTCAGTGCCAGGCACTGGGGACGGGACTGATAAAATATACACACACACACACACACACACACACACACACACACACACATATATACATATATATATATATATATATATATATATATATACACACATGAATGATACTTTCTCAAGGAGATCATAGTCTAGCAGGAGATACAAGCATATAAGCAGATAACCGCAATAACCAAAGCATCATTTGTCTTTTTGAGACGGGGTCTCGCTGTTGCCTAGGCTGGAGTGCGGTGGTGCAAACTCGGCTTGCTGCAGCCTCCGCCTCCCAGGTTCAAGCAATACTCCTGCCTCAGCCTCTCAGGCGCGCCACCATGCCTGGCTAATTTTTGTATTTTTAGTAGAGACGGGGTTTCACCATGTTAGCCAGGCTGGTCTGGAATTCCTGACCTCAGGTGATCCACCCTCCTCGGCCTCCCAAAGTGCTGGGATTATAGGTGTGAGTCACCGCGCCTGGCCCATTTGTCTTAACAACATAGAATATTACAAGAAATGCTAAGTAAGGAGACTAATAGATAAATCCTATTAAACAATGATCTCCAGTAGCCCCTGCTACTACAGGAAAGACAGGAAAAAGAAAGCAGGGCACTCAATCTGTGCACTGCTTTTAGACCCTGAACATACTACAGGTCCTGAGAAGTAGCATTATGCTCTCAGAATTAGTGCTGTAATTACAGTTAGTAGCCCATGTGTCAGCACTGAATTGCTCTTTATTTTGTGTATGGGTACGTTTTGGCAGCCCAAATTTTGGCTGTTCAATGCCTTGAGGGCAGATACCATGCCTCTTACTTCTTTAATCTTGGTAGCATCTAGGACTACCCTAGGCACAAAGTAGACACTAAGTATATGATGTCCTTGGTGAAAGGGACAAGTAGATGAGAAACTGGGTAGCTATCTTGTTTCTCCACAGTATGGACTGGGAGGTTTGGAGTGTATTGTAAAGCACAGCATTGCCCTACCTGATCACATTGCTGATACAATGAACAAGCCACCTAACACTTTAAGAACTGGGGGTAGAGAGTCCTTCACTGGAGGGCCACAGAAGACAGCATAATGTAGGTAAATAGTCTGGCAGTGAACTGCAGTAAACAAAAAGATTAATTTGGGACTTAAGCTCCCTGGGCTGATGTTTAGGATAGAAATAGACCCCAAGCCGGGCAAGGTGGCTCACACCTGTAATCCCAGCACTTTGGGAGGGTTAGGCAGGAGGACCGCTTGAGCCCAGGAGTTCAAGACCAGTCTGAGCAACATAGGTAGACTCCATCTCTATAAAAAGTAAAAATAATTAGCCAGGCATGATGGCTCACACCTACAGTCCCAGGGCTATTCAGGAGGCTGAGGTGGGAAGATCTGCTTGAAAGCCAGAGAGGTGGACGCTGCAGTGAGCCATGATCATGCCATTGCACTTTAGCCTGGATGACAGAGCAAGAACTTGTCTCAAAAAAAAAAAAAAAAAAAAAAAAAAAGTTAAAAGAAATAGACCCCAGGCTTCTTACACTTGTTATAAGGTTCTCTTAGAAATGGACCCTATCACTATTGTGGTAGGTCCATTCTGACTTGCTTAAAAGCCTTCAATGGCTTCCCATTGCACTTAAAACCAAATCCAGCTGGGCATGGTGATGCACACCAGTAGTCCCTGCCACTAAGGAGCCTGAGGCAGAAGGATTGCTTGAGCCCAGGAGGTTGAGTTCAGCCTGGGCAACATAGCAAGACCCCATCTCTTAAAAATTAAAATGAAGGCCGGACACAGTGGCTCAGGCTGTAATCCCAGCACTTTGGGAGGCTGAGGCAGGAGGATCACGAGGCCAAGAGATCGAGACCAACCTGGCTCATACGGTGAAACCCCGTCTCTACTAAAAATACAAAAAAAAAAAAAAAAAAAAATTAGCCAGGCGCTGTGGTGGGCACCTGTAGTCCCAGCTATTTGGGAGGCTGAGGCAGGAGAATGGCGTGAACCCGGGAGGCGGAGCTTGCAGTGAGCCCAGATTATGCCACTGCACTCCAGCCTGGGCAACAGAGCAAGACTCCGTCTTAAAAAAAAAAATTAAAATTAAAAGCCAAATCCACCTCCTCCATGTGGGTGATAATGCCCTGGCTCTAGCCCTGCCCACCTTACCCATCTTCACTTGCCCCTTCTCTCTCTCCACCATGCCCCAGCCACACTGGCTTACTTGATGATCTCCAAACACACCAACTTCTGGCCTGCACCAGGCCCAGACACTTGCTTTTTCTTCTCTCTGAGCCCTCTTCCTGCTTTCTGAATGGCCAGCTTCATCTGATCCTTTAGATCTCAGCTCAAATCTTTCCTCTTCAGTGAGGCCTTTCTTGAACATCTTATTCGAAGTGACTCCATCTTATTCCTATTACTTATTAACACACCAATCAGTTAATTTACTTGATAGTACTTACCAGGCTCTGAACTTACCAACTGCATTTCAAGGTGATCCCTGCTCTGAAATTTCTTGTCTACTACTAGTCTTGCCCTTCTAAATATAAATCACCTGAGAGCAAGAGCTGGATTTATCTTGCTGCATCAACTATCACATATTAGGTACTCAAAGATTTTGAATGAATGAATGAATGAATGAATGAGAGCTAGGAAAATATGGTAGCAGTCAGCCAGCAGACAATGAGTTAAAGTGAAAAACATCAGTTCTCCCACCATGAAGCCAGAAGTTGTATGATTGTTTTTTGACTTACAGTGTATCCAAGTAGTGATAACATACAAACAGAAAAGAGAGCCTATGTTCTCTGCTGATGATTTAAAAAAGAAAGGTCCGAAAGATCAAAACCTCACCAGCTCCAGTTTCAGCTCCGTTTATAATGCTGTTGGTATTAAAGGCAAATTTCCTTACTTCTAACAGATTCCAAGGTTTGGTTTCATTTTTCCCCTAAGGGATGGACTTCTGCACCCACTGAGCCCGGTGCCGTGATAGCGCCATCAACGACTCTACTCAGCCATGCTCACGCCCAGGCCAGCCTTAGAGTATCTCAGGATCTCACTCTACATAAAACTGTGGTTGATTCAAAATACCAGAAAAGAGGTTTCTCTTCCTAAGAACCAGAACATGAAGGCAAAGCATATGGGAGAAGTGGTTCTTCCTCACAATACACCAGGCTCAAGATCTGCCCCTCCTATAAAGGGAAGTATAACAGAGTGAAAACTCTTTTAAAGGTGCAATTCCAAAGTAAAGGAAAATTCAGTGGCACCCTTTACACCTAATTTAAACCAGGTTTGACCCTTTAAACACAGTTTGTTTCACTGAACTTGATCAATTAGTTATCTTAACTATTTAGTGATTGAGCTCTAAACTTGGAAAGTCATGAGAAAGAAGAGAGTGGAAAATAAAACGCATCATCCTTGTTTTATGTTAGATGCTTCCCATGGCATACTCGGTGAACACAGCCATGTCCTAAAAGCAATCTACCAAATGCTGAGAGAGAGAGGCACTTACGCGGCATGATCCCTTGGCTCACCAGTTCTTCCCGGGTCCGGCGCTGCTGGAGTTTCAACTGTAGCACTGCAGGGCAGCAGAGAGAGAGGAGAGATGAGGGGTCAGTTGGGTATTCCACCTCAAAAAACACATTTTCAAACGCAAAAAAAGTCTAAAAACAGAAGGATGTAGTGTGAAAGAAGGGTCCCCTTGAAGTGCAACTGTCTGTAATTGCAGAAGTGGCCTGATACAGCAGAGTTTCCGTATTCTGCTGTGGGCGGTGAGAGGAAGTTGCGAAGGGTCTTGCAGGGCGATAACAATCCACAAAGCATCAGAGTCTTGCCTTTTGCTCAAAACCTCCAAAACACTGAGTCCTCCTCCTAAAACTTTTTTAAAAACACCTCTTCCAAACTCAAAATATCCTAACGAGGACCACCACCCAGCAAAAAAAGCTTTCCAGATGCTCTACGCTTAACAAATGTTTACCACCATAAGTATAGTGAATGAAAGAACTACTCACACAGATCAGGAAGTACTATTTGTAAACTCTTTTTCTTTTGTATCTAAAAATTATAGCCATTTCACCAAGCAATGCCTTTTTCTAGCCTAGAAAATATTTTACCGTTAATATGCCTCTGTTTTTCTTCTTTCTCTTCACTTAGAGCCTTTTCTGTTGAGGTGAAACAATTCAGCTAGATGACTCAAAGCACATCCGGGCTAGGGGAGACTGATGGGTGTTTCTCTTATTTTCACTCTGGCAATACTGCTTAATGAAAAAACTTAATAGGGATTTTTTTTAAGTTAAAAATCAACTATCAGCCAGGCACAGTGGCTCATGCCTACATGTAATCCCAGCACTTTGGAAGACCGAGGCGGGCGGATCACAAGGTCAGGAGTTCGAGACCAGCCTGGCCAAGACAGTGAAACCCCATCTATACTAAAAATACAAAAATTAGTCGGGTGTGGTGGTGCGCGCCTGTAGTCCCAGCTACTCAGGAGGCTGAGGCAGGAGAATTGCTTGAACCTGGGAGGCGGAGGTTGCAGTGAGCCGAGATCACACTACTCTCTCTCACTCCAGCCTGGGTAACGAGAGTGAGATGCTGTCTCAGGAAAAAAAAAAAAAAAAAAAAAAACAACTATCTTTCTTTCAAAAGCCAGTTAAACCTAAACGGTGTTACAACTACAAACTACACAGAATGACAATGGCACAGCTGTCATTCAGAGACTAAATGAGAAACTGCAGAGGTTGCAGTGAGCTGAGATCATGCCACTGCACTCCAGCCTGGGCAACAGAGCAAGACCCCGTCTAAAAAAAAAAAAGAAAGAAAAAAAAGAAAATGTTCAGAGGAGGAGGGTTAGGAGGATCCCACGGGCCAAGGAAAGCCTCCTTACATAATTAAGTCTTCAGGTGTAGGGGCCTTCCAAGTCACATCTGAGAGGAACCAGAATCTACTGGGAATCATCTTAATATCTGCCTTTTTCTATCCACAGAGTAGCTTTTAGGGAGGCGTCCAAGAATCGCAGAACCATAACCATGCGCCTGCCTACATCTCAAATTCAGTAGATCCAAAGCCAAACTTGTTTTCCTCCCAAAAACCTAATCCCCTTCCCATCCTTCTTACTTCTTTAATGATATCACTATCTTTCCCAGTATTTTTTAAATGTCTGGGCCAACTTCAACTCTACCTCCTCACACTCACACTCCCCTCTTATCAATTTTACCCTGCCATGTTTTCCCATGCTGCAGTGGTAGCTCCCTGGCTGTGTCCTTGCCTGTAGTGTCTCTCTCCCATTTCAAGTTATCTTAATCAAGCCTGGCCAGTTACTCTTCCTCAAGTACCGTGAATTTTTTCCTACCTCTTTTATTCACTTCACCTGGAAATGCCTACCCTGTTCATCTGAACTTCCCCACTCACTCCACAGCATTCAGTTACTCTAGGCCTCCTGTGAGCTACCTTTTATATGTTAGGGAAAAGTATAATATTTTGCCTTGTGTAATAGTAGCCCTTGAACATCTTACTTCTCCTACCAGTTTATAAGTTCCTGGAGAGAAGAGAATATCCCTTACTGATATATGTCCCCCATAGCACTTAATACATAGTAGGCATTCAACAATGGTTTCTTGTACTGAACTGGATCTCAAAAGGATGTTACAAACAGTCTGAGAAACTGAACCAAGAGGCTATTATTATTTTACAAATTACCATTGTTAAGAACAAAGCCTTGGAGAACTAAATCGATAAAAACAGCAGGAGCTACAATAATAGCTGACACTTATGACGCACGTACTCTGTGCCAGACACTGTTTTACATTCTTTTATATTTTAACTTACTCTTCCTAACAGCCATATGAAGATACATTTTGGTGTTTTATTTTTTGAGACAAGGTCTCACTCTGTCACCCAGGCTGGAGTGCAGTGGCATGATCTCAGCTCACCAAGGCCTTGACGTCCCTGGCTCAACAGATCCTCCCACCTCAGCCTCTGGAGTAGCTGGAACTATAGGTGCATGACACCATGCCCGGTAATTTTTTAATTTTTTTTTTTGTAGATACAGGGTTTCACCATGTTGCCCAGGTTGGTCTTGAACTCCTGGGCTGAAGTGATCTGTCCGTCTCAGCCTCCCAAAAGTGCTGAGATTACAGGTGTGAGGCACTATGCCTGGCCAAGATAGGTATTATTAATCCTATTTTACCGAGAAGCAAAGTGAGGCCCAGCAGGTTTAAGTAATACACCTAAGGCTATCCCACTAATAAGAGGTAGAACAGGATTTGGAGACAAGCATTCTGATTCCAAAACCTGGGCTCCTTACTTTGCCTCTCTAGGATCTTCTGAAAGCCTGCTCTACTGTGATAACAGGAGTGGAGTGTGATCACCTGGGTTTATTCTCTGGTGAGACAGACAAAGGGGCTAAAACAGATGGTTCGACCAGAGTGAAAGGAATTCAGGTGATCAACTTCAGTAAAACAAATTTACTCTAGGAAGTTGATTTCAGAAAAAAATTATAACCATAGATCAGCAACAATAATTGCATTAATAAAACACAAATAATAAATGAGTGTGCTACTATGTGTCAGACCCTGTGTTAAGTGACTGTCATGCTTTTAACTTATTTAATCCTTTAAAAAAGCCCTGTGAGGATGCTACAGTTATTATCTCCATTTTACAGATGAGGAAACTAAGAATCAGACCTTTAAAAGTTTGCCTTCTGTCACACAGCTCAAAGGTACTGGAACTAGGATTCGTACCCACATTTCTGTGACTCTAAAGTGGAGGCACCTGATCATATGCAATGTGCCTCTTTGTCAGAAAGAAAAAGGAGAGCCAAGCAGGATAAAATCTAAGAGGGATAAAAGGGCAAATAATTGTCATCTTTTAGAGTGTTTCTAAAGCCCAGTGTAAGATGAACTATTAGAAAATTATTAAATGTGACAAATTAATTTTATTTCAGAGAATAAGGGAACAATGCAATTCAGTAAGTCTGAACACTTCAAAGAAACAATAACATAAGCAATGGCTATTAATCCAAGAATAATTTTGAAATATTAACCACTAGCCTTCTTAAGTAAACCATATATGAATAGGGCCATAGGGATATTACATAAACTTCTTGATTGAAAAACTTCTTGCTTCATGAACGCAAAAATTTAAATTTATGAAAGCTAACACATTTAATAAATTTGATTCAAGTTTTCTGTGGAGATTACAGTAAAGGCATATTCAGCTTATATATACATACACATATACACAACCGTGTATATATTATGCATGTATATATATATATATATTTATACACACACATATACAGCTCCAGTACAAAGACGAAAGCTTATCTAATAAACCTTTTCCATCTCTAAAACTGAATGAAATTAAAGTTCAGTTATCTGAAAATTCCATCTTGTCCCTCCCAGGAGTTAACTTTGAACTCTGTGCTTATCTGACATCTGACAAAGTTCCCCACTCAAATAACAGAATTATCCTGTATCAGTATCATCTTGGGTACTGCAATAACCTGATTTAGGTATGTGTTGTTTTATGCACTGCATAACCTTCAATGGTTACAAAGAGGGGGAAAAAAGACTGAAGCAGTAAACTCAGAATTATGGCAGTCAACCTATAATTCATTTTGTTTTATAATTTATCTGCTTTATGTTTATCTGTGTAGACTAAAAATGATCCATCGTCTAAGACTTCCAACTACAAAGAAACAGCTGTTTATATGGAGTTTTTGTTTCCTTGGTCTATTAATTCCTCTTAATTCTAAGCATTCTAAACAAAATGACTTTACATTTCCAGACCTTAGGATTATTCATTTTAGAAGCAATTATTTAATAACCTACTTTCAGTAAATACCACAGAGCCATATGTTCTGTGTTCACTGCCAAAGTTACCAAAATCAGGAATAAATTTCAGAGGCCATAAATTTAATACACATCCACTCTCACCGAGAAATATCTGAAACAAATGATGATTTTTCACAGACAGTATAAGCCTATGGAGATTTAGGAGAGTAGGAATTTTGACATCTTTCTATGTCATTGTATATCACTACTTAGATTTGCTCATCATTCCCCAAGCCAATAAAGACTCAACAAAAATATTTATTTGTATACAAGCATAAGTCTTTAATCCTTTACTGTTACTGATTTCCACAAATTTAATATATCATGTTTCTAAATGGGCCTGTGTGAACAACCTATACATAGATGAACAGATGTCTTTAGAGCTGATGGGTGGTGAATCAACTGAGTTGCCTGCCAGAAAAGAATGGAATAAAAAGAAAAGAAACCCAACCATAAAGTGAAAAACCCTAGGTTCTCCACTCTCCATGGAAATAATCAAGTTTTTTACCTGCCTCAAACAAAGGCATCAATTGCTATTTGAATAACTAGCTACTTTGGGGGTGAGGGAAAAGCCAAGGAGTGACCTTAATATATCTCTGCCCTGTAAGACCATGGAAGGATGTTGATAGGATTCGAGGGGTAATACCCAAGAAATGAACACATCAAACAGCTGGGTCAATCAAGACTGGAACAAGAAAGGAGTAAGAAGTGGAGTTCTCAAGCCTAGCTCTTCCACCGGTCATTTGTCCTGGATTTCACTGGAAAGGAAACATGCAGTTGATAGCTGTTCCTACCTTATACATGTATTGATTCCACCAAGACTTCTACAATCAGAAGATAAAGTATAAATTATGAGGAAGTAGAAAAGAATAGGAAGGTGGGGTTAGTATGGGAAGAACAGGACAGTAAAAAAACAAGACCCCTCCCTCCACATAATCTTTTGCCCAGCTAAGTCCTCTCAAGGAAGATTCTCAGACTGTAGGGACATTTCATTAACTGAGCTGTAACTCAGGAATACTGACAAGTCTTTTTCTCATGAAACTTCTAATCAAATGACAATAAACTTGGCCACCACTTTTCAGAATATTTATGTTAGAAAAGGCTCCAAAACAAACTTGTTGATGAGTAAAGGAAATGCCCCTGGACTAGAAATTATATGCCAGCCAAAACAGTGCTGCATTTGAAAATTAATGAGGTGTATATGCTTGAGGAGACCAAAATGCAGACAAGCCTTCTCAAAAATCTTTTCTCTTCCCCCACTCAGATATTTGGCTTCCAACTCTGGAGGCTGTCATACTTCAGGGGGGAAACTGCTATCCAGAAACAATCAACTGAAAGACTGGTCTGGTTGGAGCCAAGTTTGAATGCATCAGTTTTCATGAGAATTAACAATGACCTTCACACTAAAAACATTAAAATAGCCCCAGTATACTAGAAAGTAAATTAATAGATGTCATTTCTGGCATTTGTAAGGTACAACTAATACTAGAGCATTTCTACATTTTAATAAATTGCATGGTGCTTATTTAACTAACTTTGAATAAGGAGTATTTGAGTTTATCTCCTCTAAAAATCGCAATCTACCTCACTCTCAACAATAGACAGAACAACTAGGTAGAAATTAGTAAGGATATTGAAACAGTTCAAATGTGTGCCCCCTCCAAACCTCATGCTGAGATATGATCCCCAATGTTGGAGGCGGGGCCTAGTGGGAAGTGTCTGGGTCATGGCGGCAGATGTCCTGGGAGTGGCTTGGTGCCCTCCCCGCAAGTAATGAGTTCTCACTCTTTTAGCTCATGTGCATGCTGGTTTAAAAGAGCATGGGATCTCTCTTGCTCCCTCTCTCGCCATGTGACACTCCTGCTCCCCATGTGCCTTCTGTCATAAGTAAAAGCTTCCTGAGGCCTCTCTAGAAGCTGAGCAGACGCTGGTGCAATGCTTGTACAGCCTGAAAAACCATGAGCCAAATAAACCTCTTTTCTTTATAAATTAACCAGCCTCATGTACCCCTTTTAGCAACCCAAAACAGACTAATGCAGACATATAGGATTTGAACTACACCATCAACCAAATAGAATTAACAAACATATAGAACACTCCACCTAACAATGGCAGAATATACACTCTTTTCAAGCACACATGGAACACTCCCCAGGTCACAACACATACCAAGCAATAAAACAAATTTCAGTACATTTAAAAGGATTAAAATCATTCTGTGATGACAATGGAATTAAATTAGAAATCAAAAACAGGCCAGGCATGGTGGCTCACACCTACAACCCCAGCACTTTGGGAGGCTGAAGCAGAAAAATCGCTTGAGGCCAGGAGTCAGAGACCAACCTGGGCAAAATAGCAAGACCCCCATCTCTATAAATATTATGTATATAAAGAATATATGGCTGGGCACAGTGGCTCACGCCTGTAATCCCAACACTTTGGGAGGCCAAGACAGGTGGATCACCTCAGGTCAGCAGTTCAAGACCAGCCTGGCCAACATGGTGAAACCCCGTCTCCACTAAAAATACACAAATTAGGCAAGCATGGCGGCGGGTGCCTATAATCCCAGCTACTCAGGAGGCTGAGGTAGTAGAATTGCTTGAACCCTGGAGGTGGATGTTGCAGTGAGCCGAGATTGTACCACTGCATTCTAGCCTGGGTGACACAGCAAGACCCCATCTCCAAAATTTTATATATATATATATATATATATATATATATATATATATATATATATATAAAGAAACATAATAAAGAGCAAAAGAAAATTTGGGAAATTCATAAATATGCAGAAATTAAAGAGCACACCCTTAAACAGCCAATGGGTCAAAAGAGAATGAGAGAAATTAGAAAGTACTTTGAACTAAACAATTTATCAAAATTTCTGGAATACAGCTGAAACAGTGCTTAGAGGGAAACTCATAGGTTTATATTAGAAAATTCACAGCCTACACTGGAAAAGAAGATCTGAAATACATGCGGTAAGCCTTTACCTTAAGAAACTAGATGAATATGAAATTCAGCTAATTTTAAAAAAGGAAACTAGGAAAAGAGCAAATTAAACCATGGTAAGTAGAAAAAAGGAAATTAAAGTGGTAAGCAATGATACAGAAAACAGAAAAACAGGCCAGGTGTGGTAGCTCACGCCTGTAATCCCAGCACTTTGGGACGCCGAGAAAGGCAGATCACCTGAGGTCAGGAGTTCGAGACCAGCCTCACCAATATGGTGAAACCCTGTCTCTACTAAAAATACAAAAATTAGCCAGGTGTGGCAACAGGCGCCTGTAGTCCCAGCTACTCGGGAGGCTGAGGCAGGAGAATCACTTGAACCCGGGAGGCGGAGGTTACAGTGAGCTGAGATTGTGCCACTGCACTCCAGCCTAGGTGAAAGAGCGAGATTCCGTCTCAAAAAACAAAACAAAACAAAAAACAAAAACAACAGAGAAAATCAATAGTCATAAAAGTTTGTTGTTTGAAAAGAACAAAATTGATAAACCTTTACCTAGACTGCCAAGAAAAAAACAGAAAATACATACAAAAATCAGAAATGCAAAAGGAGGCCGGGTGTGGTAGCTCACACCTGTGATCCCAGCACTTTGGGAAGCCAAGGAGGGTGGACCACCTGAGGTCAGGAGTTCAAGACCAGCCTGGCCAACATGACAAAGCCCTGTTTCTATTAAAAAAAAAAAAAAAAAAAAAAAAAAAACAAGAATTAGCCAGATGTGGTGGCACGCGCCTGTAATCCCAGCTACTTGGGAGGCTGAGGCAAGAGAATCGCTTGAACCTGGGAGGCAGAGGTTGCAGTGAGCCGAGATCATGCCACTGCACTCCAGCCTGAGCAACAGAGCAAGACTCCATCTCAAAAAAAGAAAAAGAAAAAGAAATGCAATGGTCAAATTCCTAGGAAGGCATAAATTATTGAAATTGAAGAAAGAAATAGAACATCGGAATAGATGTATAACAAGTAAGGAGACTGAAATAGTAATCTTCCCACAAAGAAAAGCCCAGGTCCAGAAAGCTTCGCTGATATATTTCTCCAAATACTTAAGAATTAATACTGGCTGGGCGCGGTAGCTCATGCTTGTAATTCCAGCACTTTGGGAGGCCCAGGTAGGCGGATTGCTTGAGCTCAGGAGTTCGAGACCAGCCTGGGCAACATGGCAAAACTGCCTCTACAAAAATGAGCCAGGCATGGTGGCAAGTGCCTGTTGTCCAAACTACTCGGGAGGCTGAGGCAGGAAAATCACTTGAATCTGGGAGGTCGAGGCTGTAGTGAGCTGAGACCACACCACTGCACTCCAACCTGGGTGCCAGAGCAAAACCATCTCAAAAAAATAAATTAAAAATTAAAAAGAATACCAATCATTCACAAACTCTTCCAGGAAACAGAGGAGAAAACACTTCCCCAACTCATTTAATGAAGCTGGTATTATTCTCTGATTCCAAAGCCAGAGAAAGACATCAAAACAAAACTACAGGTGAATATGCCTTATTAACATAGTCACAAAATTCCTCAACAAAATACTAGGAAATGAAGCCAGGACTGGAACCAAATATTCTGTATCCTTATCCCTGTAATCCTTCTCTCATTCCAGTGATTCTCAACCCTTACCCTTCACAATGAAATCATCTGGGAAGGTTTTTAATTGGTCTGGAATGGGGCCTAGACCTCATCTCTTTAAAAAGCTTAGCAGGTAATTCTAATGCAATGCCATGTCAAGAGCTACCCTATGTAATGCTAATTTGGCCTAATTTAAGCTTACTTTATATGGAGAAATTAAATATGCTCCACCCATGTTCGTGATGCCAATGATAGATCATGGCAAGTAAATAGTGCGAAGCAGGTTTAATCCACCTAATAAGCAGTAAGTAGCCTTTCCTCTGATACTGTTTTAAGGCACATCATCTTTTGCTGTGTTTTGAACAATGATTCAGTTTTTAAGTTAAAATTTTTTGACAATAAACATGTTATTATTTCCATGATCATTTTTAATATTTTTTCACATTGAAAAACTTAAGAATGAATAACAAATAATTTTTTTCTCAAATTCCTTTTTAACAAACGAATAATTTAATAAACAATCATGTGAACACTTCTAGGAGGTGTCAACTCCCATCTCATGAAGTTTAGCATTAAACTCAGACATCTAGAGAACAGGATACAGACCAGGGATATCCACTGTCACAAATTATCAACACATTTCCCAGCTTCCATGGTGTCTTGGCATCTTAGCTATGGACCTCCCAGGACCTGGAGGACACAGGGCAACAGAGACCACAACAAATTCACACATAGCTCCTGGAGCAGAGGACAAAGAGCAGTGAAAATGGACCCCCAAGCTCTGGCTAAAAATTGTTAATTTGTTCAAAAGTTTCCAACAGGAGAGAAATTTCATTTTCCAACATACTTCTTCCATAAAATGTATTTGTAGACTACCACTAAAGGTTTGTCAAGGGGAAGAAAATGGCTAAAGAACAACCCAATAAAGAGATAAAATCTGTTATCTCTAGATGCACTTCTGTGAATTTTCTATCTAAATTTAATGCATACGATATGATGCAGTATCTTCTAAGTTCTCTTTTATATACAGTGTAGTACATTTACTAATAAATATTAACTGGTTTTTATTTTATTTGAGACAGGTTCTCACTCTGTTGTCCAGGCTGAAGTGCAGTGGTATGATCACGGCTCACCGCAGCCTTGACCCACCAGGCTCAAACAATCCTCCCACCTCAGCCGCCTGAGTAGCTGGGATTATAGACTTGTACCACCACACCCAGCTAATTTTTAAATTTTTTTGTAGAGATGAGGTCTCACTGTTGCCCAGACTGGTATCGAACTCCTGGGCTCAGTTAATCCTCCCACTTCGGCCTCCCAAAGTGCTGGGATTACAGGTGTGAGCCACTGTACCCAGCCAATATTAACTGTTAAAAGTAGTTTCGGATGGTATTTCCTTACTCTAAGTTCATAGCCTCCTATAAATTCCTAAAGCTTGATCTGCTAATAATTGGTATATTTTTTCTCTAATTTTCAGGCACCAGTCCCAGAAAAAATAAGCAAATGCAACTTAATTCAGCAACAGACACCAATACTTTTAGCTTCAAACTAGGGAATGTGTTTTACCAGGAAGGTCAGAGAAGGAACAGGTTGGGTGCTAGCCTTAAGTGAAGCTCAGCATGCAGATAATTAGAATACCCATCTTTGCAACAGTGAATTATACCTATTTTACTGGTGTATTTTACATTATATTTATCCTATATGCCTGAAAAATCATTTAGTGGCATCCAAATTGTAAAACCACATGGCCTACCAATTAGAACCAAAGGCTGTTCAGAACACTCACCAGTTTCATTCTTAGAATGCATGATTAAAAGTAGGTGAAGGGTGTCCCCAGAAGCAGGTGCTACTCAAGTTCTGCTGCCTGGGTTACTTTCCAGCATCACTACCAATATAAGGATTGGGAATCAGGGTGTGGAGAGAGATCTTCTCTATTCACTCACCTAACAAGTATTTACTAAACAACTATAGGTTGGCACAAAAGTAATTGAGGCTTTTGTCATTGCTTTTAATGGCAAAAGCTGCAATTATTTTTGCACCAACATAATACTATTGTGTTAGGTCCTGTGCTAGGTACTAGATACACCTATGATCTCTGCTCACATAAAGCTTTCAGTCCAGTGGGACAACAGAGATCAAATCAATGACAACAAACAAATAAATTCAAGTTGTGATCAATATTTTACAGAAAAAGAAAAAAGGATATGAGAGAGCCCTGAACTCTCCAGTATTTCCTTCTTTAATGTTATATGATAATAAACTTTTCACATTGCTCTTTATATTAATATACAGTCAATTGTTTACGATGCTAAAACTCTTTGAAAAGTAGAGATTTCAGGGGAAGTCATAAAAACAAGTAAGTTAAGGCACACAGTGTCATTTACTCACTTTACTCTCACTTGCTTGGATGCTCTAGAGTTCATGTACTAGTTGGTCAGCACATATACTTACCTCACATCCATGCCTTATTCAGTTCTTCCTTAGCTCCTTGTCCCAACCTCTCTTTCCTTGCATTCATTCAAGAAATATGAGGGCCTACTGTATGCCAGATACTCTCTGTTTGTTGCTGGGGATACAGTAGTGACTGAAGGCCCCACCTTCAGTGAGTTTACAGTTTCATGAGGGAAACATACATAAAGTAAGTTCTAATTTGTGTGAAGAGTATTTCCAAAGAAAACAGACACTATATCTTAACTGATTTGATTGTTCCCATAATTCAATTCATGTATTCAAATGGCTTTTTTTTCTTTCTTTCCTGAGATGGAATCTTGCTCTGTCACCCAGGCTGGAGTGCAGTGGCATGATTTTGGCTCAATGCAGCCTCCGCCTCCCAGGTTCAAGCTATTCTCCTGCCTCAGCCATCCGAGTAGCTGGGACTACAGGTGTGTGCCACCACGCCTGACTAATTTTTGTATTTTTAGTAGAGACGAAGTTTCACCATGTTGGCCAGGCTGGTCTAGAACTCCTGATTTCAGGTGATCCGCCTGCCTTGGCCTCCCAACGTGCTGGGATTACAGGTGTGAGCCACTGCGCCCAGCCAACATTGTAATTATTCACTTTGAATCCATTAGAGCTAGGAGTTCTGTGAGAATGAGAACCATGTCTTACACAGATTTGTATCTCTAATAACTGGCCCTGTCTTTAAGATACAAAAGCCATCTAAGGTGGTGGTTCACGTCTGTAATCTCAGCATGCTGGGAGGCTGAGGTGGGCGGATCACCTGAGGTCAGGAGTTCGAGACCAGCCTGGCCAACATGGTGAAATCCCATCTCAATTAAAATAGAAAAATTAGCCAGGCATGGTGGTGCATGCTTGTAATCCCAGCTACCAGGGAGGCTGTGGCAGGAGAATGGCTTGAATCTGGGAGGCGGAGGTTGCAGTGAGCCGAAATTGTGCCCCTGCACTCCAGCCTGGGCAACAGTGCCAGACTCCGTCTGAAAAAAAAAAGTGAATAATTACAATGTTTTAAGAAAGACACTAACATCTAGACAAGTGTAACATTAGCTAGCACACATGCCAAGAGTGGGCATGCCCTACTACTGGCAAATTCAAGTCTTATGTGGCCTTTTGTGTGAGACACATGTGTACATTAAAAATAAAAAGAATTGCTTGTTTCTTTAAAACAACAATTAAAATAGTTATGTATTTTTCAGTTATCATAAGAGCAGAAAGATGGTACTGCCCAACACTGGAAGTCAGAGAAAAAGAGAAACAAGATCTTTTCTATGCAAGATAGCACTAGGGTACATAAAAATGGCGTCTCGGCCAGGCACGGTGGCTCACGCCTGTATTCCCAGCACTTCGGGAGGCCGAGGCGGGTGGATCACGAGGTCAGGAGATTGAGACCATCCTGGCTAATATGGTGAAACCCTGTCTCTACTAAAAATACAAAAAATGAGCCAGGCGTGGTGGCGGGTGCCTGTAGTCCCAGCTACTCGGGAGGCTGAGGCAGAAGAATGGCATGAACCCGGGAGGCGGAGCTTGCAGTGAGCTGAGATCGCGCCACTGCACTCCAACCTGGGCGACAGAGCAAGACTCCGTCTCAAAAAAAAAAAAGGGGGGGGGTCTTGAAAGTATTTTATCTTCATGATCAGTTGGTATTAAAGTTTCAAGCTATTTCCTGATAACATTCCCCAAAAGTAAGACTCCTCTGGGCCCCTACTAATATGCGCCCACGAGTCTGTCCTGATACAGCCTAAAAAGATACGAAAGAGAAGACAGATGTCTCTGTGTTCCCTAACTTGGTTTGATTACCTCTCTTGCTTTCTGGTTCTTGAGCCCTACCCTGTCCTACAGCATCCAATGGAATTGTTTCCTCTCCTGCTTCTTACATATAATGTTATTTCTAAACATGTTTCTTTTCTTTTTTGTTTTTTGAGATAGGATCTTGCTCTGTCACCCAGGCTGGAGAGCAGTGGTGCAATCTTGGCTCACTGCAGCCTCAACTTCCTGGGCTCAAGCAATTGATCCTCTTGCCTCAGCTTCTTCAGTAGCTGGGACCACAGGCACGCACCACCACAAATGGCTAATTTTTTGTACAGACAGGGTTTCGCCTGTTGCCCAGGCTAGTCTTGAACTCCTGGGCTCAAATGATCCACCCACCGCGGCCTCCCAAAGTGCTGGAGTACAGATATGAACCACCGCGCAGCCTAAACACTAAGTTTCTCTTGTCCTTTTCATGATAATTTTCTTCCTTCAACTTGTGAAACCAGCCTGAATGGGTAAGCACAGTGTACACTGTGCCAAAAACATCTCTCTGGCTTGTTTTTAATATAAACAAAAGCATTGTAAAGGCCCAATGTATTTTATAATTAGCCCTATCCTTAACCAGAAAGGGTTTACTGTCAACTCAACTGATTTCTGGGTAAAGGGTTAACAGCACTGAATGTGGGGTTGGTTTTATATATTAGTTCCAAATAAATGCAATACACCTACAGAAATGACCTCTGGCCAGGTGCGGTGGCTCATGCCTGTAATCCCAGCACTTTGGGAGGCCAAGGCAGGCAGATCACGTGAGGTCAGGAGGTCTAGGCCAGCCTGGCCAACATGGTGAAACCCTGTCTCTACTAAAAATACAAAAAAAAAAAAAAAAAAAAAAAAAATAGCCGGGCATGGTGGCGGGCACTTGTAATCCCAGCTACTCGGGAGGGTGAGGCAGGAGAATAGCTTGAACCCAGGAGGCAGAGGTTGCAGTGAGCCGAGATCACGCCACTGCCCTCCAGCCTGGGTGACAGAGTGAGACTCGGTCTCAAAATAAAAATAATAATAATAAAAAAAAGAAATGACCTCTAAGGGGAGACCAAAAGACATCAGAGAAAGAATCAGAACACAGAGGTCCCAATCCTAGCTCTGTTGCTACCTAATCAAGTAACTTTATCTTTTTTTCCTCAATTTTCTCACTATAATTCAATTTTGAAAACTAATCCATATACCCTTTGAAACTCAAAAGACCACAATGTACATGAAAAGTGATTTGTAAAATTATAATACAGATTACATATGTTTCATTAGAGGCTTTTACATCAGATTTTCCCTAGGGCAAAGTAAAAACTGTAAGTAATCTGGTACCACACCTCCAACAAGATAATTTATTCTGCAAGGTAAAATGATCTTATATCAAGCCACGCTTATTTAAATCACATCCCAAGTTGTTCTTGGTGGGGGTTGGGGGTGGGGGATGCGGAGAGATGAAAGGAAGGGTAAAGGAAAGGGGAAGGAGAGGAGGGAAAGGAATGAAAAAGGAAAGGGGAAACAAAAAGAAAGGGAACTATTTTTCTTTGGAAGGCAGTTTAGGAACATGTAGTCAGTGAAGCAGGCTCTGGTAATTATAAAGAGCAAGCTTCAGAGAGAGGCAGAAGAATCAGTACCCATTCATTATTAAAATCAAATATACAGTTGAGTGTTCAAAAAAAGCATGCTCCTGAAATTCTAAGCTATCAATACCAAAATAGTTGTTAAAGGATCCAGAAAGGTCCATTTATCTTTTGCCAGAGAAACGAGCTGCTGAAATTCTTGAGATTCAGATCCAAAGTTAAGATAAAAAGGAGGAAGTGGAGGTGAAGAAAGGAAAGTAAATTCTCCTTGGGAGTCTATTGACCAACCATCTACAAATCTTATGATTAAATGCAATGTGGTATCCTAGATTGGATCTGGGAACTGAAAAACGACATTAGTGGGAAAACGAATGAAATCCAAATGAAGTTTGGAGTTTACTTAACAGTAATGTACTAATGTTCATCTCTCAGTTTTGACAAATGTACCATAGTTATGTAAGATGCTAACATTAGGGGCAACTGGATCAAGGATACACAGGAACTCTCCGTACTATCTTTGTAACTTTCTTCTAAGTCTAAAATCATTCCAAATAAAGTTTATTTTCAAAACCCACGGAGGGCCTTTTCCTCTTGGAAGTCCCCTCTCTCTCACTAGAGAGCAAACTGTTTTCCTTTCTCTTTCCTTCTCTTTCTTTTGCCTATGAAACCTCCACTCCTAAACTCCTCGTACGTGTCCATGTCCTAAATTTTCTTGGCGTGAGACGACGAATCTCAAGTATTTACCCCAGACAACACAGCCACTTCATACTGGGGACCTCGTCTGGGATACCAAGGTACAACATTCATTGTTACAACATGCAACATCTGGTGGAGGCAAACCAGTGTTACAACCCATCGGAATGGCTCCGACAGCAATCAAACTCCAAATGGTGCTGTACACCGAACCACACATGGACACACCTTTCATCTGAAGACCCTTAGATTGACCCCAGGAGGAGCCCTAGCTGCTGTTCCACACACAATGCCCCTTTTCAGCAGGAAGGAGCCAGAAAGAGTTGTCCAACACCCCCTAACAGCAGTTAGCATTACCATTCCAGAGGAGTGAATGATACAGGAGTTAAGAAATTACTTAGGCAGATAGGGAGGGTATGGAAGTCCTCAGTAAGGTTTTCCTTTTTAATGAAAAGCAGCCCCAAATCATTTTCTAACAAAGAGCAGCCTGTAAAGTTGAGCTGCTGAAATAGATAAGCAAGCTGAGCGCTTGCACAGGTGAATGCCAGCAGGAAAGAACTACCTGGAACTAATCATGTTCAAAATGAAGCCTCCACCTTCCCTTCTCTGCCAGCCACATATACAGTAAGGAGCAGACAAGATGGCGCCAGCTAAGGGGAGAATGCATTTGCATAATAAGATTAGGGTGGGGCAACCAGCCTTCCCCACTCACTATGTAAACATCACACCTGATCAAATCAATCTGTGAGCCCTATGTAAATCAGACACCACCTCCTCACACCCAACTATAAAATCTGGGGCATCCGCTGCTGCTGGCCGGCCTTTCCTCTCGCAAGTCCCCTCTTTCTCACGAGAGAGAGCTGTTTTCCTTTCCCTTTCTTCTGCCTATTAAACCTCTGCTCCTAAAAAAATAAAATAAAATAAAAAACATGGATTTGCCCTAGCTTTAGAAAAATTGATGAATCAATTATGAAACACAACAAATGTCAGGTTTTTCAAACTGAAATGCTGCCATCTCTTGGAGAGAAAGAAATTATCAATTCCTATAAATGATTCCTGTAAATCAACATGGTGCTCAAAGGAAATGCTCAATGGAGCATGTCAGATTTCAGATATGGATGTTCAACCAGCAAATATATAATGCAAATATTCCAAAATCTGAAAGAAATCCAAAATGCAAAACACCTGTAGTCTCAAACATTTCTGATAAGGAATACTCTTATAATACCAAAATATAATAGATATCTTCTATTTAATCTGAATACTGTCAAGGATGAAGGCTCTTGATTAATGAAGTAGGTTCCTGGGCTGGTAAACCTGGGCAACTTACACATCTAACCAGGTAACTTTCAAAGAATAAGCTTATGAAAATCTAACTTAAGTTATTAAAATATGCAAGTGAAAGGTCTCTATATTGTGTAATAACTTATAAAATGGTGTAAACATGCATGCATCATCTTATTTCTCACAACAAAGCTATGCAGACGATACAACTGTCATACCATTTTGTAGATGAGGAAATTGAGGTTTAGACCGATTAAGCAACTTGCTCAAGGTCATAAAGTAAAAGGTAGAGCAGAAATTGGAACCCAGCTCTGTCTGAATGTATAGCCTGAATCTTCAATCACCTCTCTTTTCTCATAAAACACACCAGTTCTCTGTATGTTTATTTTTTTTTTTTTATGTTTTGTCAAGATGGGGTCCTGCATTGTTGCCCAGGCTGGCCTTGAATTCCTGGCCTCCAGTTATCCTCCTACCTTGGCCTCCCAAATTCCTGGGATTACAGTCATGATGAAACACTGCACCCCCACTCCTCTGTTTTAAAATGACACTATATTGATAGTGTTATCAGCATGACATGCTGATATGGATGGAAAAAAGTGATCTACATACTTACTAACTAGGGGAAAATCCAGGTGATTTCAGTGAATAGTATGGAACATGTAGAGTATATGACACAGTAGAACTCTGGAGACTGAAAACAATGCTTATGTTCTAATTCCAAAAGGAATCGAGATTTTAACAGGATAACGGTGGTCACATCTAAAGGTTATTCAGGCTGGGCATGATGGTTCGCACCTGTAATCCCTGCACTTTGGGAGGCCAAGGTGGGAGGATCACGCCCAGGAGTTCAAGACTTTTTTTTTTTTTTTTTTTTTTTTGAGACAGAATCTTGCTCTGTCACCAGGCTGGAGTGCAGTGGCGCGATCTCCGCTCACTGCAACCTCCGCCTCCCGGGTTCAAGCGATTCTCCTTCCTCAGCCTCCCGAGTATCTGGGATTACAGGCATGAGCCAACATGCCCGGCCAGAGTTCAAGACTTTTCTGAGCAACACAGGGAGACCCCCGTTTCTACAAAAAATAATTTTTTAAAAAAATTAGCCAGGTGTAGTAGTCCTTGCCTGTAGTCCTAGCTGCTCCGGAAGCTGAGGGGTTGAGGCTGCAGTGAGCCATGATTATGCCACTGCAGTCTAGCCTGGGCAACAGGGTGAGACCCTGTCTCAAAAAATAACAACAAATACTAAATAAAGGTCAAAGGGGCTCTTCCCAGACAGAGAGACAGGAAGAAGTCTAAAAGGATGTAAGAGGACGTCACAGGACTACTGCCTATCTGGCTCTCAGTGTGGGAACATCCACTCCACAAAAGCAGAGAGCATTTGCTTCCTGGTACAACTTCCTTCCTGCATTCGGCCACAGGTTCTTTTCGGGCACTAGGAAGATTGTCAGTTGGCTCGTTCATTCATTTATTGAACTAATATGTATAGGTGATACTTACAGGTGATAAAACAACATGAACAGATAAGGTCAATATTTATAGGCAATAAAACAACAACATGGACAGATGAGGTCCCTGCCCTCATAGAACATATGCTCTAGCAGGGAAAACATAATAAATAAGGTGTACGTATTATAATTTCAGGGAGTACATTATGTGAAGAAAAATATAGTGGAACAAGAGAACAGAGAGTGACAGGGGTGGTGATAATTTTAGATAGGGTACACAGAGAAGGCCCTTTTGAAGAGACCGATGACTCTTGGACAGAAACCTAAATAATATGACAAACCATAAAAATGATCTGGAGAGTATTCCAGACATAAGAAATTGCAAGTGCAAAGGCACTGAGAAAAGGCTTGCCTTGAAAAGAAAACTAAAATAGAAGAAATGAGGACTCTGACCAGGCGCGGTGGCTCACGCCTGTAATCCCAGCACTTTGGGAGGCCAAGACAGGCAGATCACAAGGTCAGGAGATCGAGACCATCCTGGCTAACACGGTGAAACCCCGTCTCTACTAAAAATACAAAAAGTTGGCTGGGCGTGGTGGTGGGCACCTGTAGTCCCAGCTACTCGGGAGGCTGAGGCAGGAGAGTCGCTGGAACCCGGGAGGCAGAGCGTGCAGTGAGCCGAGATCGCACCACTGCACTCCAGCCTGGGTGACACAGCAAGACTCCCATCTCAAAAAAAAAAAAAAAGAAATGAGGACTCTAATGTGTTTAGCTCTTACATTGTGTTGTCACTGGGTAGAAGTACTACTACGGTGACTCATTTCATCTCAATGGCTATTTGAGATATGTACTATCTCATAGATGAAGAAGCTGCACAAGTGGTAACAGGTAGAGCCAGAGTTCAAACACAGGTTGGCCTGATATCAAAGCTTGTGCTTTTTCTACTATATCACATTTATGCCACAGTCATAATAAAAATATTAATAACTATAAATAAATATTATTCCCCACATCCTCAAAAATCTGAAGCTCACCACTTCATTTTGGGTAGCTGCTCATCTCCCCCCTTGAGGTGACCTCCTATTCTAATGGTGGCAAACAGATCTCAAAGTGCCAATTACTTCAATGTCATCAGTCTCTTTCCTGAGGATCTATAAAGCAATGTGCAACCAACTCCATCATGTAAGATCTGGGCATAGCATGCACTTGCACCAGATGCCTGAACAGGGTGGAGATAAACTAGGAATGTGCTTCCTTTAGCACTTTTAGGTAGGGCCATCTGAACACTCCCTTCCAAAGTTAAAGGCACCAAGAACAGCATTTTCCTTATTGCATTAGTTCTGCCCATTCACTGAGAAAATATGGGCAGCCTTGAATCTCATTTGCTAATCCCTGCTGGTATCACTGATGCTGACATTCTGCACCCAACTTTGTTGTACAGATTCAAAACTTGGAATAGGGTAGTCATTCTAGAGCAAACCAAAAGTGACAAAAAATTGTTTTCCTTAAAATTAAATTAGGCCAGGGACAGTGGGTTGTGCCTATAATCCCAGCACTTTGTGGGGGTCAAGGTGGGAGGATTACTTGAGAGCTGGAGTTGGAGACCAACCTGGGCAACACAGGGAGACAACATCTGGTTGTGTGTGCCTGTAGTGTATGCCTGTTGACCCAGACTGCAGTGAGCCACCACTGTGCCACGGCACTCCAGCCTGAACAAGAGTGAGCCCGTCTCAAAAAAACAAAACACAGAGACAGGATCTCACTCTCTTGCCGAGGCTGGAATGCAGTGGTGCAGGATCACAGCTCACTGTAATCTCAAACTTCTGGGCTCAAGTGATTCTTCCACCTCAGCCTCCCAAATAGCTAGGACTGCAGGCGCTCTCCACCACGTCTGGCTAATTTTAAAAAAATTTTTTTGTAGAGATGGGGTCTCACTATATTGCCCAGGTTGGTTTCAAACTCCTGGTCTCAAGCAATCCTCCTGCTTCAGTCTCCCAAAGTGCTGGAATCACAGGCGTGAGCTACTATGACAGACCTAAAGTAATTTTTTTTTTTTTTTTTTAAGATAGGGTCTCAGCCAGGCGCAATGGCTCACGCCTGTAATCCCAGCACTTTGGGAGGCCGAGGCGAGTGGATCACGAGGTCAGGAGATCAAGACCAACCTGGCTAACATGGTGAAACCCCATCTCTACTAAAAATACAAAAAAGTAGCCGGGTGTGGTGGGGGGCGCCTGTAGTCCCAGCTACTCGGGAGGCTGAGGCAGGAGAATGGCATGAACCCAGGAGGCAGAGCTGGCAGTGAGCCGAGATAGTGCCACTGCACTCCAGCCTGGGTGACAGAGTGAGACTGTCTCAATAAAAAAAAAAAAATTAAAATTAAAATAAAAAGATAGGTCTCATTCTGTCGCCAGGATGGAGTACAGTGGTGCGATCATGGCTCACTGCAGCCTTGACCTCCCGGACTCAATCAGTCCTCCCACCTCAGCCTCCTGAGTAATCGGGACTACAGACGCACAGTAGCATGCTTGACCAATTTTTGCTTTTTGGGGGTTTGTTTTTGTAGAGATGGTGTTTCACCATGTTGCTCAGGCTGGTCTCAAACTCCTGGACTCAAGTGATCCGCTCACCTCAACCTCCCAAAATGTTGGGATTACAGGCTTTGCTGGGATTGGGCATGAGGCACTACACCTGGCCCTTTTCTATGGGAAGCAGTAGGGAATAGAAAGGTGATTAAAAATTAGACCATATGGGTTGGGTTATAGATAGATAGATAATTAGATAGACAAACAATCTGAAGCTTATTCAAATGTTTATGTATCAAGTTTTCTATGGATAAAGAAAAAAAAAACAGTAAATTCTCACTCTTCAGTCCTAAATGATGTAAAATTTTAGCTATTTGACTCAAAAAGATAAAAATTTAAAAATAAAATTTGATAAAGTCTGCAGCAAAATTTGTCTTCTCTGTGGAAGAAAGAAATCCATAAAATTAAACTTCATGTAGTGTCTGAGCGTAAAAGCTACAAATCAGCTAAACTTGTTGGAATGGGTTAAAATTCTCAAGATCAAACACATAAAGGAGAAGCCAGATCATTATAATACATTAGGAGCCCATTTAACTACTGTAGGATTTTCCCACTCCACATCCCCCAGGTTTAGTAAAGACTTTTCAAAAGCAAAGGTAGGTGTAACTGTAGAAGAGTTCATGTTATAAGTACCGCAACTTTGTATTTCCTGAAGTCTGTGTGGTTGAATTTGCAAATGGAACATTTCACTACTGCAGGTTTTGCACAAAATTTTACGAAACAAACCTGCATTAAGTTAAAGCAGAACTTAAATAAATGCCTTTTCTGGATACTTCAGAAACAATTTCCATATATTTCCTATTACAGAATTCTTTTAATTTAGATACTCCTTCAACATACATGAGTAGAAGGGAAATTCCAGCTCAAAATCTAAAAGTAGAGGCGGGTGCGGTGGCTCACACCTGTAATCCCAGCACTTTAGGAGGCCGACGCAGGCGGATCACGAGGTCAGGAGATCGAGACCATCCTGGCCAACATGGTGAAACCCCGTCTCTACTAAAAATACAAAGATTAGCTGGGCATGGTGGCACGTGCCTGTAAATCCCAGCTACTCAGGAGGCTGAGGCAGGAGAATCGCTTGCATCTGGGAGTAGGAGGTTGCAGTGAGAGGAGATTGCGCCACTGCACTCCAGCCTGGCAACATAGTGAGACTCCGTCTCAAAAAAAAAAAAAAAATCTAAAAGAATGCAAAGTGATCAAATAATTCCTCCATACCACATACCTCAATTTTCTAGCATAATTCTGAGTGATGCAGAGTGCCACACCTATCAGCAGAATGCTTATTTTAAAAATGTCCCTGATACTACCATGTACTTTTCCTCCTCCTGATTTTCAAATCATCCCAGTATTAACATCCATCCCTAAGGAATCTCACTAGTAGTTTCAGAAAAATGAATTTGATTTGTTTTACACACTGTGGGACAGACAACAAACAAGACCCCTTTTCCTCTGCCTCTTCGATGCTTCTCCTGGGCATGAAAACAGCCTGAACTGTGGCAACAGCTGGGGATCATTAAACTGACAGAAATAGCTTAGGAGACTCCAATGGTGTGTGAAGGCGGGAGGAGAGCCTGAGTATCAGATTAAAAAAAATCAAAAGGGCAAAAGGAAAGGGGGGCAGGGCAGGGAAGCCTAAGGAGTGTATCACACCTAAATTTCCTTTACCACAGCCAAGAAGATGCAGTGAAGCAAATGACAGGATACATGAATGCGGCCTAAATTGCTTAGCCTCCTACCTATTCCTAGATGGAAGGTTTAGTCAAACCTAAAAATGTGGGTCTCAATGAAGACATGGTGGGGAAGAGTAGGGAGGAGAACTGCGGAATCTCAAAGGCTAACTATGGGTCTGGAAGAATCACTTAGAGGAGGTTGCAATGATGGTAAAAATAAACTCTAAGATGGAGGAGGAGCAAGGGCTGTGAGAATACATCCCAAGCCCTAAGTGGACTCAGAGATTAACGTAGTCCTAAGGCATCTCCCTCAACTGGGAAGGACCAAATGCTACATGAAATGCATGTTCTTGTTCTTGCTAGAGCACAGCCATGCCTCCCCAGTGGTAGCTTTTCAACCTGGCAGGCCTTCGAAGGTCGGTGCAGGAATGAGCCATCTGCCTGGCCCACTGCCCGAGTGTGTTCAGCACATACCTGAATGCCCTAGAGTAGCTTTATTCAGATCACCCCAAGGGAGTGGGCTTGCAGATCCCGACTTACGCCTTTAAATCTGGTTAGTCCCAGGATCCTGGTGTACCTTCTTCATCCCCACACTTGTTAGGCTGTCTATTCAATATTATCATCAAGGCTTCTCCCACCAAGGCGTTTTCTTTATAACTAATCTTATAGGACTGCAGTTTCAGATTGTTCCCCACCTGCAAGCCCGAACAGGAAATGATTCGATTACGGATATTAAGACTGCAACTTTCTTTGGCAAGAGTGTTTTGTAACTATGAGATTGCACCAAGCTCGGTTGAACATTTTATTCAATGAATCTAATTACTTACTAAAGAAAGTTCCAGGCTGGTGACTGGTCTCAACAAAAAGCTACCACTATACTACCTTCTTCTTGAATAGCTTGCTTCTTTTCTTTATTGTTTTTTTCTTCCTTCCACTCTAGGAGGAAAATTTGCTTCTTTTCTAACCACAAATCTGGCAGGAAAATATGCTCATGCATATTTCCATACTAAGACATTTTTGTCTAAACAACTGTATTTGAATCTGGCTTTTTATAAGAAGTCCAAAAACCTTACAACGGTTGGCTCATTACGAACACTTTAAGTTCGTATTAAGAAGGGTACAGGGAGCCGGGTGCAGTGTGGCTCACGCCTCTAATCCTAGCACTTTGGGAGGCTGAGGCTGGTGGATCACTTGATCTCAGACAGCCTGGGCAACACGGCAAAACCCCATCTCTACAAAAAAATTAGCTGGGCATGGTGGCACTTGCCTGTGGTCCCAGCTACTTGGGGGACTAAGGCGGGAGGATCACTTGAGCCTAGGGGGTCAAGGCTGCAGTGGGCCAAGGTTGCATCACTGCAATCCAGCCTGGGTGACAAAGCAAGACTGTCTCAAAAAACAAAAACAAACAAAAGAGAAGGGTAGCAGGTGTACAAAAATAAATTCACTACACAAGAGACTAACAAAAGAGTGTAAACTTCATATATACTTGTGTGTGTTTGTGTGTGTATCACACAGTTCACTCTGAGGCTAAATAACATCTAAGGACAGGATATATGTTAACCACTATTGTGACTATAATCACCTCTCAGTGTATGCAGCCTTGGTGAGTACAGCCTTTACCACAGTATATCCCTTACCTAAAATTTTCAAATTAATGTCATAAATATTTATAAGTAATCACTTATTTTGTGTATGCGTTGGTACTAAGTATGACATAGGAACTGAGAAGGAAAACACCACTATACATTTATATAATACTTTACAAAGCTACTTTCATACGTATCTCATTTGACCCTATGAGCCAGAACTGGAGTCATTAGTCATTATACCCACTACTACACAATGAGAAGAACTAGTGTGCCAAGCTTAGAGCAACTTAGCCAAGTTCACCATTGGCAAGATCAAACCAAGAACTTTGGGTTCTTGACTACCAGACCACTACTGGGATATTAGCTGCCTACCACAAAAAGGCTTCTGCCCTCAAGGAATTAATCTCTGACACCTAATGCCTTGACTGGTGTTTCTCAGATGTACCAAGTTTCTTCTCAGAAAGAATCTCACTATCTCCTGGTCCAACATACACTGAATCTAATCAAGATATTTATAGAAAAAGGTTATTTATTAATATCACTGACAATGAACAGATGTGAGTTCCTTCTGGAGGCCAGAATCGTTAATGAGACTGAATAAAACTGAATTAGGACAGAGTGCTCAAAATGTATCTGTCACTTTGGGATAAATACCTCATTTTGCTTATGGATATGATACTGCCCTCTAGTGCCAGGAAGCACAGTAACAATCAGCAATCTCAGTAGATTAACTCACCTAATGCATATGAACCACCTACCATGTATAAAAATGCTTTGCTAGACACCGTGGAGAAAAAAAGAAGAAAGAAAAACTTAAACCTATCACACACATACAACCATCAAAACCACATAAGCCCCTTGAGGAATCTATAAATATAATAGAGAATATGAGAAATGAAAAACAAATCACTACAATCAGAGATAGCGTTACAAGTGCTTTAAGAGTTTGCAGATAATACATTACTAGAGTACAAAAGGGATTAGGTAAGCTTCACAGGGCAACAGCATATAAGCTATCTGAAGGCCTTCATAAACTAGAGATGAACAACATGAGCTAGGACTTGGAGGTAGGAAATCTACAAGGTTAAGGTCACAGCCAACACTCCCCAGTTTAGCTGGAGCATTACGTTTGTGAAAAAGAGTAACAGAAGGAAGGCTGACTAGGGTCAGACTGTGAAGGGTCTAGAACTGTGCTATCAGACATGGCAGCCACTAGCCACACATGCTATTTAAATTTAATTAAAATCAAATAAAATTAGCAGCACATGTCCCAGCTACTTGGGGAGGCTGACAGAATTGAGCCCAGAGTTTGAGTCCAGCCTGGGCGACACGGTGAGACTCCATCTCTCTCTTTTTTTTTAATTAAATTAAAAATTCAGCCGGGTGCAGTGGCTCATGCCTGTAATCCTCCCAGCTCTTTGAGAGGCCAAGGCGGGCGGATCAACTGAGGTCAGGAGTTCGAGACCAGCCTGGCTAACGTGGTGAAACCCTGTCTCTACTAAAAATACGAAAAATTAGCCAGGCATGGTGGCGGGCGCCTGTAATCCCAGCTACTCAGGAAGCTGAGGCAGGAGAATCACTTAAACCCTGGACATGGAAGTTGCAGTGAGCCAAGATGGCGCCACTGCACTCCAGCCTGGGCAACAAGAGCAAAACTCCGTCTCAAAAAAAGTAATAATAATTCAGCTCCTCACTGCTTTAGCCACATTTCAAATCTCAATGGGTACATTTGACTTGTGGCTAACATATTGTGTTATATCAATACCAATACTGATTGATGTTAGATCTTTCATAGATCTAACATCATTCATATTGTATCAGAGGTTGTATAAAATCATAAAACACCAACGTTTCATGATGGCTCAGTCCTGAAAAAAAATTCATGCAGATGTGATTGATGCCAAAGTCTATTAATAAGGAAAATAAAGCTATAAAAAAAGAAAATATTAAGAATTTATAATAATAAAACACAAGACACAATCATTTTCACTGGGTATCTTTGAGTATTACAAGGAAGAATGATCTTTGTCCCTCGAACACCTGCTTCAGCCCAAAAGCAGGGACATCAGATATTCTTAATACTTTTACCATTTGAGGCAAAATCTGTTTCTCTTGTGCAGTTTACAAAATGACAGCAATTAAAAAAATAATGTGTATCTGTAGAAGACATAATTTCAAATTTTTTTTTTTTTTTTATGGAGACGGAGTCTCGTTCTGTCGCCCAGGCTGGAGTGCAGTGTCGTGAACATGGTTCTAGCCTCCTGTGTAGCTGGGACCACAGGTGTACACCACCATGCCCAGCTAATTTTTTCATTTTTTTTTTTCTAGAGACAGGGTCTCACTTTGAAGCCCAGCCTGGTCTCGAAATGCTGGGCTAAAGTGACCCTCCCAGACTCAGCCTCCCCAAGTGTTGGGATTACAGGCATGAGCCACTGCACCCAGCCCATAATTTGAGTCCTTTCAAGACTGAGTCAATATACAGAATTCTAAATGAAAGGTTCTAAGCACACTATAAAATCAGCAAAGTAGCCGGGCATGGTGGCTCACTCCTATAATCCCAGCACTCTGGGAAGCCAAGGCGAGTGGATCACTTGAGGTCAGGAGTTCGAGACCAGCCTGGCTAACATGGTGAAATCCTGTCTCTATTAAAAATTCAAAAATTAGCCAGGTGTGGTGGCGAGCACCTGTAATCCCTGCTACTCGGGAGGCTGAGGCAAGAGAATCGCTTGAAGGCAGAGGTTGCAGTGGGCAGAGATCGCGCCACTGCACTCCAGTCTGGGAGACAAAGCATGACTCTGTCGCAAAAAAAAAAAAAAAAATCAGAAAAGTGTAGTTAATTGCTTAGGGTAGTTATCTAACATTACCATTCTGATCCTACTTATCACAAGCCTGAATCTCTATTGCCTATAGGTTTTTTTTGCATGTAACACAGATATTTTTAATGATCAGATTGAAAATATGGAACATTACAATCTTTTGAATTACAAAGTCAAAGGTAGCAGCCCAAGTCCTAAGCCATACTATCCCCCGCCTCTCAAATAATCTTCCCTTTAATGTTGCCATGGTGTTTCTTTGACGTTAGTCCAGAACAGTTCTAGATATTCAAAGAAAAAGCAACTGCCTCTCAACCAATTCTTAAAACTATTCTCAGCTGGGCGCGATGGCTCACGCCTGTAATCCTAGCACTTTGGGAGGCCAAGGCCGGCGGATCATGAGGTCAGGAGATCAAGACCATCCTGGCTAATACGTGAAACCCTGTCTCTGCTAAAAATACAAAAAACTACCTGGGCATGGTGGTGGGTACCTGTAGTCCCAGCTACTCGGGAGGCTGAAGCAGGAGAATGGTATTAACCCAGGAGGCGGAGCTTGCAGTGAGCAGGGATTGCGCCACTGCACTCCAGCCTGGGCGACAGAGTGAGATTCCATCTCAAAAAAAAAAAAAAGAAAAGAAAAGAAGAAAAAAAATATTCTCTCTGCAAACTGGGCACTGATAATCACTCCATCTCGTCTTCGATGTGTCCATTCATTGCTGACTCCACAGGCTCAAATCATCCTGTTAAAATTATTAAAATCCCAAAGAAATCTGGAAAACTCAAAAGAAATGTCTAAGTGTTTAGAAAAGTAGCATTTACATAATTATTATACATTGTATATAAATTCTGATAGTAGATAATTAGGGTTTCCAAGATAGGAGAAGAAAATATTGACAATTCTCTTTTATTCATATTTGACAGGATTTGGATAAAGCTCCTATTGTCGTTTTTTTCATAACCTAGAACTCTTCTAAAAGAATTTTCCTCAAATTTAAAAGTGAACTTTTCTAAATAACTCAAATGTGTCCATTCTACTCCCAAAGGATTTTCTTTTCCTGCAGTATAAGACTATGAAAGAAGCCGAGCACGGTGGCTCACACCTGTAATCCCAGCACTTTGGGAGGATGAGGCGGGAGGATCGCTTAAGGCTGGGGTTCAAGACCAGCATGGCCAAAATGGCAAAACCCCATCTCTACAAAAAATATAAAAATTAGCCGGGTGCAGTGGTGCACGCCTGTAGTCCTAGCTACTCAGGAGGCTGAGGCTGGAGAATCACTTGGGCCCAGGAGGTGGAGGTTGCAGTGAGCCATGATTGAGCCACTGTACTCCAGCCTGGGCCACAGGAGTGAAAACCTGTCTTAAAAAAAAAACAAAACCAAGACTATGAAGGAAGGCTGTTCACATAGGCAAACTCTTTTAATATTGATAAGACCAGTCCAAATTGTTCACCCTAAGCAAAACTAAGACGCAATACAAGTAAAAAGCCTTCCAAGTGTTATTTTATTTTAAATTATGATGTCTTAGTGTTATAAACCTTAAAGGGTTATCTATCTACTTTCAAGTATTCAACAGACAGAAGAAACTGAAATGATCATCAATAGCTCCCATTTGTATAGTACCTAAGGCCAAAGTGCATTTTATGGATAAAACATTGAATCTGACCCACATAAAGAGTAATTCCGCCTTATTAAAGAAAAGTTTTTTCTTCCCTTATTCCACAATCTAGGCTTGGCTATATGAGCTCTGCACGGTGGGGAAAAAAGGAGTAAGAAAGTGAAACATCCTAATCACTGTTCCACCAGGTCATGAAATGCACCCTACAGTACTATGTTCAGTTATCTATTTGTTGGGTGCTCAACAAACTTTAATACAAATCCTGGGAGAATAAACCACCCAAAGTCAAAGCTTGGATGGCTACAGAGAAATAGGACTGGGATAAAAGACAGCAGTTAAGTTTGAAAGGAAACAAAAGCATGCAAATCCCAAAGGCACAAATACTCGAACCTTCCCGCAAACTGTGATAATGGGTCAGGCACACTGCTGAGTAATAGCTGTCCTTTCTCGGCTTCAGGACAATCCACGAGAGTGGCAGAATCCTGCAGGTGGACTGATGAATCTTGGCCTTCTCCTCCAGCATGCTGGAGGAGATTCGAGTCTCCACAGGCCAATGCTGCAATAAACCACTCTTCCTTCCCTCTCTCCTTAAAGAGGCCATTTATTATTTGCCGAAGATCTGATTAGCCCTGCTCTTTAAGTTAAAGTGGGCACTTCATTCTACAGTGCAAAGGGTTGCAAGAACAGTTAGATCCCAAGTTTACTTAGGGAGTGGGGCATTAAAAGCAGTGACAGCAGAAGGTCAGAATCAGTAACTCTACTGGCAAAACATTTCTTCCTGTCAGCACTGGGCCTAGACACAGACACCTCCCTCTTCTATCCAAATGCCAAAAAGCAGAACTGAGATGATTTCAATGTGTAGAGCTGGAAGAGGAGAGGGTTCCCTTAGAGAAAATGCTCATAGCAACCAACCAACCTCATTCACCCAAAATAGTAAACAGTTGGTTTCTCTGCTCAGAACCAAAAGGCTTCTGCCAGACAAGCAGTATCACATGACTAGGTTCCCTCTTCTCTCTCTTGCCCTCCCTCCCTTCTTGTACAAAGCCTGCACCCAAAATGGAACAAGGAGCTATAACACAACATTATTTTACTGGACACATTCATCTTTAAAATGTTTGAAGATAAAAGATACCAAAAAGCAGAGGGGGGAGGTACCAAAGGAAAAACTCAGGAAGAATTTACTTTGAAAAAAGTCCTATCACAGTACTGATGTGGGAACCATAAACGTAATGGTTAACTGGCAAGTGTACTCAATGAATGAAAAAACAAATGGACACTTCTCACCAATTTGTAAACACTTTGCTGACAAAATATTTAAAAGAAGATACAGTTCAATACATATTTGACCTTTCCTTTAGAAAGACAATATAGGCTCTTAAGATGCTGGCTAGAGTCAGAGATAATATATTGGCACAATAGTGACAACCCACCAAAATTTGGGATTCAAACCCTTATCTTGTTGACCTCAGCTTACCTCACCATTTGATTTTACTCCTTGTATGTCACAGTCCCATCATTCACATCATTAGGAAGGAAATCAGGACAGCTACACTAACAGGCAACTGAAAAATCTACCCAGCTGATTATGAAAACAAAGGCCACCATGACACTGGCATTTCCACCTAAACAGAAGGGGGAAGATATTAAGGCTGACAGCACAGCTGGAACCAGATGTGCCACCATATTCTTCTCCCTACAAGGTTCCTCACACTTGAAAGCTAAGCGAGGCATGCAGTATAGAGACACAAAAATGAAAACCTCTATGCTGATCAATCTGTTCCACTAGGAAACTAGATAAAGTATAAGAATCAAAAGTGTCACAATCATCTGCCATGACCTCTACTCACAGGGCCAACAGGGGCACTTTGAGAGTAAAATCACTGATGCTCGTCCATCCCTTGCACTGTAAACTGCTCAATAAATATTTATAAAGTGGAAAGAAAAGGAAAAGGAAAATGAAAGAGGAAAAATTTACATGAGAAATCCTTAATTTAAGCAACAATTTTTCCAGCAAGAGCATGTGGAGATTGTTACTTGGCTACTGTCAGAATACAAATACCAGCAATAAATGATTTGTCATCAAGGATGAGGAGCAACTGGAACTCCCAGACATTACTGAGGAGGATGGAAAACGATAATGCTATGTAGAAAAACAGTTTGGGAGTTTCTTATAAATTTACACTTACCATAAAACCCAGTAATCCTATTCCTGAGTATTTATCTAAGAGAAGTGAAAACATACATCCACATAAAGAACTGTACATTGTCTTTGGATAATAGTGTTTAGGTCTCAGTTCTGTGCCTGATGTAAATTGTCTACCTTGTTTCACCTAAGAAGCGTGTCTTTGGAAATGTGAATTTAGAGTTGCCTAGCTAACAACTCTTCAGGGGAATGAAGCAGGTAATTGAAATTGATAGTCTAAAGTGGGAGAGAGAAACTATTTGAAAACTGGTAAATGAAAGATCTTAGATTTCTGTGTGTCTCTATGCCTATATGGTTTATATGTGTCACGTGTATGTGGTATTTCACTACCAAATTATATTAAAGAGCTCTTATCTATTGGCTTAGAGAAAAGTGCTTTTCTATTGTCTCTGAAATAAAAATAAACTCAAATGCCTTTTAGTTCATCTGACTTTAGTAATAAAGGGAGATATTATTATTTTATATTAATTGTAATTAACATGTCATTAAAACTACTAGGTTAAAAAAAAGAGCTATATGTGAATATTCGTAGCAGCTTTATTTGTGATTGCCAAAAAGTGTTCTTCAACTTGTGAATGGAATAAAAAATTATATACAGGCCAGATGCGGTGGCTCATGCCTGTAATCCCAACAGTTTGGGAGGCCAAGGTAGGAGGATCACTTGAACCCAAGGAGTTCAAGACCAACCAGGGCAATATAGTGAGACCTCTTCTCTACAAAAACCTTAAAAAATTAGCCAGGTATACTGGTGTGCACCTGTAATCCCAGCTACTCAGGAGGCTAAGGTAGGAGCATCACTCGAGCCCAGGGGGCGAAGGCTGCAGTGAGCCGAGATCATGCCACTGCACTCCAGCCTGGGTAACAGAGCCAGACTCTGTCTAAAAAAAAAAAAAAAATTATGGTACACCCCTTTAACAGAATACTACTTCAGCAATTTTTAAAAACCCAATAAACTATTGTTACAGGAAACAACACTGATGAACCTCAAAAGCACTATTATGCTAAAAGAAGCCAGAAGGCTTCAAGGCAAAACAACAGGCAGAAATCAGATCAGTGATTGCCAAGGGCTGGGAAACAGGGAAGGAGACTCTACAAAGAGGCATAATGGAATTTTGGGAGGTGATGGAAATAATCTATATGTCTTGATAAAAGGTGGTGGTTTACCTTTTAGCAAAACTCACTGAACTGTACCCCTAAAAAAGTGACTATTACTGCATATAAACTGATCTCAACTTTTTTTTTTTTAAAAAAGCAGATTACAAGATATTATGCATAGTTAAGAGTACAGGCTTGGCAAAGCACAGTAGCTCACGCCTGTAATCCCAGCACTTTGGGAGGCTGAGGTGAGAGGATTGCTTGAGCCCAGGAGTTCAAGACCAGCCTGGGCAATACAGTGAGACCCCGTCTCTACTAAAAATAAAAATTAAATAAATACTTTAAAAAGTACACCGTCTCGAGATCACAGTGAAACCCTGTCTCTACTAAAAAAAAATACAAAAAAAATTAGCCAGGTGTGGTGGCGGGCGCCTGTAGTCCCAGCTACTCGGGAGGCTGAGGCAGGACGATCACTTGAACCTGGGAGGTGGAGGTTGCAGTGAGCCGAGATTGCGCCACTGCACTCCAGCCTGGGCCACAGAGCAAGACTCCGTCTCAAAAAAAAAAAAAGTACACTGTCTGGGCTGGGTGTGGGGGCTCACACCTGATATCCCAGCACTTTGGGAGGCCGAGGTGAATGGAACACTTGAGGTCAGGAGTTTGAGACCAGCCTGGCCAACATGGTGTAACACTATCTCTACTAAAAATATAAAAATTAGCCAAGTGTGGTGGCGGTCGCCTGTAATCCCAGCTACTTGAAAGGCTGAGGCAGGAGAGTCGCTTGAACCGGGGAGGTGGAGGTTGCAGTGAGCCGAGATCAAGCCACTGCACTCCAGCCTGGCAATAGAGCGAGACTCCATCTCAAAAAAAAAAAAAAAAAAAGTACACTGTCTGGCTGGGTGCAGTGGCTCATGCCTGTAATCCAGCACTTGGGAGGCTGAGGAGGGCGAATCACGAAGTCAGGAATTCGAGACCAGCCTGACCAACATGGTGAAACTCGGTCTCTACTAAAAATATAAAAGTTAGCCGGGTGTGGTGGCACACGCCTGTAATCCCAGCTACTCGGGAGGCTGAGGCTGGAGAAGCGCTTGAACCTGGGAGGTGGAAGTTGCAGTGAGCCAAGATTGCACCACTGCACTCCATCCCGGGCCACAGAATGAGACTCAGTCTCAGAAAAAAAAAAATAAATTAATAATAATAATAATAATAATAAGGCTCTACAGCTAGATTGCTTGGGTTCAAATTTTGGCTCTACCACTTAGCAGCTGCTGTGACCTTGAGATATTTAACATCTCTATGCCTCCATTTCCTCATCTGTCAAATGAAAGTAACAGTTTCACCTCAGATCCATAATAAATGCATTTTAAGTAAAGGACTTAAAACAGTGCCCATTCTATAAGCACTCAGTAAATTTGAGCTGTTGTCCTCACACAATTATGTAACACATACATATACATGTTTCTATATATGCACAGGAGAGAGTAGAAGCACAGTCACCAATCTGGGTGGTTGGAATAGAACAATCTATTTTCTCTTTCTCCCTTTTGTTTATCTGTATCTTCTACATTTTCTACATTAAATAACTACTGTCTTTATAATAAGCCAAAAATCTTTTTCTCAAGAAAGGGCACCAGGCTGAGTCAGGAGTCCTGGTTTCCAGCAAGATCCATAATAAATGCATTTTAAGTAAAGGACTTAAAACAGTGCCCATTCTATAAGCACTCAGTAAATTTGAGCTGTTGTCCTCACACAATTATGTAACACATACATATACATGTTTCTATATATGCACAGGAGAGAGTAGAAGCACAGTCACCAATCTGGGTGGTTGGAATAGAACAATCTATTTTCTCTTTCTCCCTTTTGTTTATCTGTATCTTCTACATTTTCTACATCAAATAACTACTGTCTTTATAATAAGCCAAAAATCTTTTTCTCAAGAAAGGGCACCAGGCTGAGTCAGGAGTCCTGGTTTCCAGCAATATTACTAATCTCTACAAAGGAGTGGCTGGAGTAGACAAGGTGTCCTCTATCTCTAAAATGGAATGGTTCTCTAAGATTTATGGTGGGATTTGGCAAAGCTACACCCTTTGTTTTGTTTCATTTTTCTGTCAATACTTACTGTCTGCCTATCAAGTACCAGGTGTTGTGGACACAGAAAGGTGAAACACCTGCCCAAATGGAGTTGACACTACAGGCTGTTCAAGAAACGGAGACAGCCTTGTAACTATTTATACAATCCCTCAGCATGGTAAGTGCTCTGATGAGGACAAAGAAGAGGGGACCTTGCTGGGGCTGGAGAGTTAGAGAAGGCCTCCAGGAGGAGAGAAGGCACCTGCACTGAAATCTAAAATCATTTTTGTTTAAGTCAAACCAAAAAGATGGGAAGGGCATTCCAACCAAAGGCAGAGGAACGCACAAAAGCAAAAGTTATGAAAATAACAATTACTTGAGGAATGGAGAATAGAGAGAAAGAGAAATAGAGAAAGGTCATTTGGACAGCAGTGTGGAAACAAGGAGGGACAAAGACAGCAGCAGAGAGGCTGGTGAGGAAGAGGAAAATAATCTTCAGAAATCATATGGGTCAGGCTGGCTCACGCCTGTAATCCCAGCACTTTGGGAGGCCAAAACAGGTGGATCACAAGGTCAGGAGTTCGAGACCAGCCTGACCAACATGGTAAAACCCCATCTCTACTAAAAATACAAAAATCAGCCAGGCTTGATAGTGCACGCCTATAATCCCAGCTACTCAGGAGGCTGAGTCAGGAGAATCGCTTGAACTTGGGAGGCGGAGGTTGCAGTGAGCTGAGATCGCACCACTGCACTTCAGCCTGGGCAACAGAGACTGTCTCAAAAAAAAAAAGGAAATCGCATGGGGTAGTAAATCTTTTCTTCTTATGTAAAAGGCTACATATGCCATAAACAAACCTGATAAATATTAGTTTAAGATGTACCTTGGCCGGGCACAGTAGCTCACACCTGTAATCCCAGCACTTTGGGAGGCCAAGGCTGGTGGACTGCTTGAGCTCAGGAGTTGGAGACCAGTCTGGGCAACATGGCAAAACTCAGTCTCTACAAAAAAATCTTTTTAAAATATTAGATGGGTGTAGTGGCGCATGCCTGTAGTCCCAGCTACTCAGGAGGCTGAGGTGGGAGGACTGCTTGAGCCTGAGAGGTGGAGGGTGCAGTAAGCCAAGATCACAGCACTGCACTCCAGCACCTGGGTGACAGAGTAAGACCCTGTGTCAAAAAAAAGAATGCACTTTACTATATTTACAAATATAGCATGCACTTACAAAAATTTACCAAACAAAATGTCAGCATGCTTCTATTTTCCACAGTTAACGGTACACACTTCATATATATATATATATATATATTTTTTTTTTTTTTTTTTTTTTTTTTTTTGAGGCAGGGTCTCACTCTGTAGCTCAGGATGGAGTACAGTGGCATGATCACAGCTCACTGCAGCCCTGATCTCCTGGGCTGAGATGATCCTCTCACCTCAGCCTCCCAAGTAGCGGGGACTAAGGTACAAGCTACCATGCCCAGCTGATTTTTGCATTTTTTTGTAGAGATGAGGTTTCACCATGTTGCGCAGGTTGGTCTTGAATTCCTGGGCTCAAGAGATCCACCCACCTCAGCCTCCCAAAGCGGTAAGATTATAAGCATGAGCCACTGTCCCCAGCCTCATTCAATAAATATTTGTTGAGTATGTGTCATGCATATGGTAGGTGCTGAGGGAGAAGACAGACACAGACAGTAAACAAATGAACCATCAAAGCACCCAAGACAACCAACCAGATGTCTTTTTGTATGGCCAAGACCTATGCAGATCTCTACCTCTCAGGAGCAGGCCACAGGCAGGATGATACAGTGGCTAGGAATTTGCACTTGAAATCAGACAGACCTTTGTTTAAATTTTAGCTCTTATCACCTGTTGCCAACTCTGGTTTTGAGTAAGTTACTTAACCTCTCTAAGCTTTCATTTCCTTACCTGAAAATAAAGATAATATGACCAAATTTATACGGTTTTAGGGTGAATTTAATCAATCAATCAATAATCAGTGTGTTGGGTATACAGAATGTTCAGCCAATCGTCCCTTTTATTTTATTATTAATTTTCCACTTTTAGAACAGACAATGATGTCCCACAACACAGACAAAAATATTCACAGGGTAGAAAAAAAGGGAAAGAAAGGTATAAAAATGATCTGTTTAACATTTCTAAATTCACATCTTAGTGAATTCACAACCGTTTTTCTCGTAAAGATGTCATGCTTGGAACTTACATTCCTTTAGGATTTCTCAAACTGTTAACATCTTGTCTGCATTACATGACCTAGTAAATTAAATAAAATCTATCACCCAAAATAGGGAACCAGCCACAATCTCTCCCTGGATTCCTTGTTCTGATTCTCTGACTAATACTGAGTCATTTAAAGAACACAGACAACACAGAGCACTGATAAGCAGTCTGAACACAAAACTGAGGAGCAGAGGTGCCAGAGCACACTATGGACTGACCACAGACTACAAGCAGAACTTTCTGAAACAGAAAAATCAAGATAAAAGGAGAGTTTCCTAACTGGCTGTAACTTGAGTAATTATGCCTTCCAAGAGAAAAGCAGCACAGAAATTAACATATTTCTCAAGCCAGAAGAAAACTTTTTTAAAATTTTAATACCTCCTTATCTGTGAAAAAAAAATTTTTAACCAAATTTTAAAACTCCTTCCTCCCTATAATTACATCCTCAAAAATGTTTTAACTACCTCTTAAAATGTTTATTTCTTACAAATGACTCTGTAAGCAACACTGGTCATTTAAAGATTTTGAAGGCATACATAAAACACAAAAAGAAAATGTCTTCTCTGTGACCTGACACCTTAAGGGTCAAACTGATTTTACTTCAACTTTCACCATAAATTTCCCTTTGTATTAAAACCAGGTGTGACACTTCAGCCCAAAAACAAGTATTTAAGAAGCAGAGGAAACCTGGACAAGATTTTCAAGTAGACCTTTTTTTTTTTTTTTTTTTTTTTTTGAGACCGAGTCTCACTCTGTCCCCAAGGCTGGAATGAAATGGTACGATCTCGGCTCACCGGCTCACCGCAACGTCCGCCTCCAGGGTTCAAGCAATTCTCCTGCCTCAGCCTCCCTAGTAGCTGAGATTACAGGCGCTCACCACTACACCCAGCTAATTTTTTGTATTTTTAGTAGAGATGGGGTTTCACCATGTTGGCCAGGCTGGTCTCGAACTCCTGATCTTGTGATTTGCCCACCTCGGCCTCCCAAAGTGCTGGGATTACAGGCATGAGCCACCGCGCCCGGCCCAGTCTATGATTTTTTTTTTTTTATGCTTCATTAAAGTAAAAGTCTATGCCTACAAAGAGAAATAATAACATACTTTCATATTGCTTTCTTTTTTTTTGTTACAGTTTTTATTTTTTTTATTTTTTTTTTAACATTTCATTTTTTATTTTTTTTATATTTTTATTTTTTTTAATTTATTTTTTTATTGATAATTCTTGGGTGTTTCTCACAGAGGGGGATTTGGCAGGGTCATGGGACAATAGTGGAGGGAAGGTCAGCAGATAAACAAGTGAACAAAGGTCTCTGGTTTTCCTAGGCAGAGGACCCTGCAGCCTTCCGCAGTGTTTGTGTCCCTGATTACTTGCGATTAGGGATTGGTGGTGACTCTTAACGAGCATGCTGCCTTCAAGCATCTGTTTAACAAAGCACATCTTGCACCGCCCTTAATCCATTTAACCCTGAGTGGACACAGCACATGTTTCAGAGAGCACCGGGTTGGGGGTAAGGTCACAGATCAACAGGATCCCAAGGCAGAGGAATTTTTCTTAGTGCAGAACAAAATGAAAAGTCTCCCATGTCTACTTCTTTCTACACAGACACGGCAACCATCCGATTTCTCAATCTTTTCCCCACCTTTCCAGCCTTTCTATTCCACAAAGCCGCCATTGTCATCCTGGCCCATTCTCAATGAGCTGTTGGGCACACCTCCCAGACGGGGTGGTGGCCGGGCAGAGGGGCTCCTCACTTCCCAGTAGGGGCGGCCGGGCAGAGGCGCCCCTCACCTCCCGGACGGGGCGGCTGGCCGGGCGGGGGGCTGACCCCCCAACCTCCCTCCCGGACGGGGCGGCTGGCCGGGCAGAGGGGCTCCTCACTTCCCAGTAGGGGCGGCCGGGCAGAGGCGCCCCTCACCTCCCGGACGGGGAGGCCGGCCGGGCAGGGGGCTGACCCCCCCCACCTCCCTCCCGGACGGGGCGGCTGGCCGGGCGGGGGGCTGACCCCCCCACCTCCCTCCCGGACGGGGCGGCTGGCCGGGCAGAGGGGCTCCTCACTTCCCAGTAGGGGCGGCCGGGCAGAGGCGCCCCTCACCTCCCAGACGGGGCGGCTGGCCCAGCGGAGGGCTGACCCCCCCACCTCCCTCCCGGACAGGGCGGCTGGCCGGGCGGGGGGCTGACCCCCCCACCTCCCTCCCGGACGGGGCGGCTGGCCGGGCAGAGGGGCTCCTCACTTCCCAGTAGGGGCGGCCGGGCAGAGGCGCCCCTCACCTCCCAGACGGGGCGGCTGGCCCGGCGGAGGGCTGACCCCCCCACCTCCCTCCCGGACAGGGCGGCTGGCCGGGCGGGGGGCTGACCCCCCCACCTCCCTCCCGGACGGGGCGGCTGGCCGGGCAGAAGGGCTCCTCACTTCCCATTAGGGGCGGCCGGGCAGAGGCGCCCCTCACCTCCCAGACGGGGCGGCTGGCCGGGTGGAGGGCTGACCCCCCCACCTCCCTCCCGGACAGGGCGGCTGGCCGGGCAGAGGGGCTCCTCACTTCCCAGTAGGGGCGGCTGGGCAGAGGCGCCCCTCACCTCCCAGACGGGGCGGCTGGCCGGGTGGAGGGCTGACCCCCCCACCTCCCTCCCGGACAGGGCGGCTGGCCGGGCGGGGGGCTGACCCCCCAACCTCCCTCCCGGACGGGGCGGCTGGCCGGGCATAGGGGCTCCTCACTTCCCAGTAGGGGCGGCTGGGCAGAGGCGCCCCTCACCTCCCAGACGGGGCGGCTGGCCGGGCGGGGGGCTGACCCCCCCACCTCCCTCCCGGACGGGGCAGCTGGCCAGGCGGGGGGCTGACCCCCCCACCTCCCTCCCGGACGGGGTGGCTGGCCGGGCTGAGGGGCTCCTCACTTCCCAGTAGGGGCGGCCGGGCAGAGGCGCCCCTCACCTCCCGGACGGGGCGGCTGGCCGGGCGGGGGGCTGACCCCCCCCACCTCCCTCCCGGACGGGGTGGCTGCCGGGCGGAGACGCTCCTCACTTCCCAGATGGGGTGGCTGCCGGGTGGAGAGGCTCCTCACTTCTCAGACGGGGCGGCTGCCGGGCGGAGGGGCTCCTCACTTCTCAGACGGGGTGGTTGCCAGGCAGAGGGTCTCCTCACTTCTCAGACGGGGCGGCCGGGCAGAGACGCTCCTCACCTCCCAGACGGGGTCTCGGCCGGGCAGAGGCGCTCCTCACATCCCAGATGGGGCGGCGGGGCAGAGGCGCTCCCCACATCTCAGACGATGGGCGGCCGGGCAGAGACGCTCCTCACTTCCTAGATGTGATGGCGGCTGCGCTCCTCACTTCCTAGATGGGATGGCGGCCGGGCGGAGACGCTCCTCACTTTCCAGACTGGGCAGCCAGGCAGAGGGGCTCCTCACATCCCAGACGATGGGCGGCCAGGCAGAGACACTCCTCACTTCCCAGACGGGGTGGCGGCCGGGCAGAGGCTGCAATCTCGGCACTTTGGGAGGCCAAGGCAGGCGGCTGCTCCTTGCCCTCGGGCCCCGCGGGGCCCGTCTGCTTCTCCAGCCGCTGCCTCCCGGGCGGCGCTCGCCGGCGCGGCGGCAAAGACTGAGACAGCTCCGCTGCCCGCTGAACTCCATCCTCCCCCCATATTGCTTTCTTTTATTGGTGGTTTACAATCTCCTTTATGAAGATAGTCCTCTGTAGATTAACTGTCACGCTTCCAGGAAACGCTAGGATCTTTTTTCCTTCCTAGTGTCACAGAGGATACCTACTTGCTCCCCTTCTCCACTTTTCCCATCCCCCTTCCCCAATACACCCACACACCCTCATCTACGCACAGGGAAACCAGCAGCTAGTAAAGCTTCTGAACAACCTGTGCCTCCCTGCTCTGCTCTATTCTGCTTAAAGGCCTCCAAGCTGTACTGTGTATCATCAAGAAGAGTCTAAAGAAACCACAAAGGCAGGTTCTTCACTTTAGATGCAGAACTGAACTAACAAGGCTAGAAATCTGTTCATTTGTGCTTCACCACAACTGTGTGATCATCCCATAATGTATCACCATTTACTCTTTTTAAGTGGTTCAGATGTCACCAGACAATTAATTTCTCCACATTATGAACTGTCAACAAAATCAGAAATGTAGTCTGGGGGCCAGGCATGATTACAGGCGTGTGCCACTATGCGCAGCTAACTTTTGTACTTTTAGTAGAGACAAAGGTTTTGCCAAGTTGGCTGGGATGGTCTCGAACCCCTGGCCTCAAGTGATCTGCCCGCCTCGGCTTCTCAAAGTACCGGGATTACAAGTGTGAGCCACCGTGCCCAGCCTATAATGTTATTTTTAGAGTGGAGTGTCCTTTATCACATATACTTAGCTTGAGACTCCGATATTATTGATCAACAACAAATAGTCTTTATCAAGGCTGTACTGCAAAGAAGGCATCAGTGTTTCCCAGGATACTGGCTGGGCGCAGTGGCTCACGCCTGTAATCCCAACACTTTGGGAGGCCAAGGCAGGTGGATCACTTGAGGTCAGGAGTTGGAAACCAGCCTGGCCAACAAGGCAAAACCCTATCTCTACTAAAAATACTTAGCCAGGCATGGTGGCGCATGCCTGTAATCCCAGCTACTCAGGAGGCTGAGGCAGGAGAATCCCTTGAACCCAGGAGGCAGAGGTTGCAGTGAGCTGAGATCGTGCCACTGCACTTCAGCCTGGGCAACAGAGCAAGACTGTCTCAAGTTTAAAAAAAAAAAAATTCCCAGGATACTTAAAAAATAATAAACTGCCTGAAACTTCATAGATTAATTCAAAAGATTCAGTTAAATTTATATAAAATTAATTTCACAGCTTTAAATGTAAATGGTAAATAAAGTTCAAAACTGAACTGAGGATGATGAGCCTTCTCTGCATAAGTTCATTATTTTAAGAAAACAAATATTTTATAATTGAAAATTAGATATAAAAATTCATAACTGACTACCTAATTGCTTTGTGGCTGAAAAAAAATTAACCTAGACTTCTCAAATTTCTTAAGACTCAAGTTCTTGTAGCTGGGCATAGTAGCTCACATCTGTAATCCCAGGTACTTGGAAATTTAAGGCAGAAGGATCACCAGAACCCAACAGTTCAAGGCTGTACTAAGCTATGATCACATCACTATACTCCAGCCTGAGGAAGACCTGGTCTCTAAAAAAATACAAAGACTTAAATTATCAGATAATCTCAAGATAAATGCTATATCTAATCAGAAATTAGGCCATGGCTGGTTCCAAACAAGTCAGTACATCACATCAGCCTTTCTGTTAGGAAACAGTACCTTTTCTGATTAATAAAACCAGATGAGTGGTGAAAAACAATTTAACATTACTTCTAATTCTAATATTTTTATGAAAACAAGGAACTGAAAATTATTTTCTGAAACTAGATCTTAAAACTTCACCCACACAAATGTAAGCAATCTAAATGACAAGGAAAGAAAGAGGAAAGCAGTTACTTATGTAAGTGAGAAACCTGAAGAGGATTTGATCAGAATCCTCAACTTAGAATGAACCTCAAGATGTGTGACAAAGGCCATGCCACTCTTTTTTAAATTATGAAACATTCCAAATTGGAATGAATTCTCTGGATATAGTATCTTTGAGGAAACTCAGTCCCGCCACCCCTTCATGTCCATCATCTTACAAACATGGCTTAAAACTTACCTATTCTAAGAAACCTTCTCAAAAAGCTGATCCTCTACTTGCTGTACCTTCAGGATAAAGTTTCCTCTTATTTTGTAGCATAATGACTATATCTATCCCCAACCGAATGCTAAGCTCTTTGAGGAAAAGGATTAGCCATGTTGTTTACTTTTTTTGGCCACAAAATAAAACAGAGCTCTATGCAATGGATACTCAATAAACATTATCAGATACTCACAGCATCTAGTCCACTGTCTTTCAACAGATGCTCACAAATTACTGAATTCTTAGTAATTTATCATCATTGCCAACTTTCAGGCAAAGGGAAATGGAAAGACCTCAAACTCAAAATTAGCCCCTGCTAACGATAACATCTAGACTGTAGGGATCGACATTTATGTCAAAATGAAGTTAAAAAATTATCTATGAGTCTTATCCATCCTCTCTCATACTGTATCTAATCAAGAGACTACATGGCTTAATAGTCAGGTGTTTTGAGGTCAAGGGTTTAAACTCTAACTTCAGCATTTATCAGCTAGGTTCCAGTTTCTTGCAAAGTAAAATTTTACTTATCTTAAAGAATTGCTATTGGAGTTAAATGACATAACTACTTAAAGTGCCCGATACAAGAGAAGTAGTCAATACATGGTAGCTAATCTTACTGTTCAATAAGTAATGCCATGGTTTGAATATGTCCCCTCCAAAATTCAGGAGTTGTCAACGTGATAGTATTAGGAGGTGAGGCCTTTAAAAGATGATTAGGCTATGAGGGAACCTCCCTCATGAATGGGATTAAAGCCCTTATTAAAGAGGCTTCACACAGCTTTCGGGTGGCTTGCCCTTCTGCCTTATGCCATATGAGGACACAGCGTTCTTCTTCCCCTGCAGAGGATGCAGCCCTCACAAGACAACCAAACCTGCTGGTTCCTTGATCTTAGGACTTCTCAGCCTCTAGAACTATGAGAGATAAATTTCTGTTCTTAATAAATTACCCAGTGTCAGGTATTCTGTTGCAGCAGCACAAAATGAACTAAGACAATTATAAAGAAAAAGTAGATATAACATAGATTATATTATTAAAGTGCATTGGCCAGGCGCGGTGGCTCACACCTGTAATCCAGGCACTTTGGGAGGCCAAGGCAGGTGGATCAACAGGTCAGAAGATCGAGACCATCCTGGCTAACACGGTGAAACCCTGTCTCTACTAAAAATACAAAAAAATCAGCCGGGCATGGTAGCGGGCGCCTATAGTCCCAGCTACTTGGGAGGCTGAGGCAGGAGAATGGTGTGAACCCGGGAGGCGGAGCTTGCAGTGAGCCGAGATTGTGCCACTGCACTCCAGCCACTCCAGCCTGGGCGACAGAGCGAGACTCTTATCTCAAAAAAAAATAAATAAAGTGCATTATGACACCAATTCTTTGATAAAATATAGTATATAAAATATAATCCCTTCTTGAATGTGATCTGCTTCCCACTGTAGTGAACTTCCCCACAAAAATGATCTCTGCAGTAAGGTAATTTGCCAAGTAGTCTAGAAAATAAGATTGTGCACAGATGCACACTTATACTTCCCAGCATAACTCAGTTTTATGCAATATTTACATATTAATGGGAACTGAACACCCAGCTCTTTACTATTAAGAAACTGTGGTATTTATCCCCAATATCTTACAATCTACGTCTCACTGGCATTTGAAGGAGATGTGGCTTCTTCAGTGCCCAACGAGGTTGGATGTTCAGGGACTTATTCCAACCTACTTGTTAAGAATCTTAGGCAAATAATAATTCTCTAAATGGGGGGGTGATGAATCATGACTTTATTCAACTAGCTCATTCTGACTGCTGCATTTATCAACTACTGTTTTTCTATATACCATGTCTCTAAAACTAATGACCCCCATTTATCACCATTTTCACTGTTTAAGGAGAGTTTAAAAATATAGTAGCATAATACTATTAGCAAACAGCTAACCGAGTGTACTAGCTACCAGCAAGCACATGTGACACACAAAAAGTGCTCTATAAAATATGTCAATGAAATATTGCTGAATACACCATTATTTTAATTCTTCAATGACCACATATAAGAAATGCTGATTCTGCTTATTATGGTTGGTGAATTCTGACTAGGATACATTACGGTCTCCAATGGCACCTTGTTAAAAGCTGCTATGCCCCAAGAGAAGCATACTACAATCTTAGAAACTTCTCCTTTGGCCAGGCATGGTGGTTCAAACGTGTAAAACCAGCAATTTGGGAGACCAGGCAAGTGGATCACTTCAGTGCAGGAATTTGAGACCAACCTGGGCAACAAGGCAAAACCCCATCTCTACAAAAAATACAAAAAATTAGCCAGGCGTGGTGGCATGCATCTGCAGTCCCAGCTACTTCAGAGGCTGAGGCAGGATAATTACTTGAGCCTGAGAGTTCGAGGCTGCAGTGAGCAGTGATTGCACCACTGCACTCCAGCCTGGGTGACAGAGTGAGACCCTATGTCAAAAAGAAAAAAAAAAGAAACAAACAAACTTCCCAGCTGGGCGCCAGGGCTCACTTAAGCCCAGGAGTTCGAGACCAGCCTGGGTAACATGGCAAAATCCTGTCTCTAAAAAGAATACAAAAAATTAGAAGGGTGCCTGCAGTCCTAGCTATTAGAGAGGCTGAGGTGGGGGGATCACTTGAGCCTGTCAAGGCTGCAGTGAGCTATGACGGTGCCACTGCACTCCCACCTGTGTGACAGAGCAAGGCCCTCTCTGAAAGAAAAAAAAAAATTGTCCTAGATTAAGAACCACTGGGTTATTTCAAGGACTAAAGAAGTTGATTTAGGCCAGATGCAGTTGCTCACGCTTGTAATCCCAGCACCTTAGGCCAAGGTGGGTGGATCACGAGGTCAGGAATTAGAGACCAGCCTGACCAACATGGCGAAACCCCGTCTCTACTAAAAATACAAAAATTATCCAGGCATGGTGACACACACCTGTAGTCCCAGCTACCAGGAAGGCTGAGGAATGAGAATTGCTTGAACCCGGGAGGCAGAGGTTGCAGTGAGCCGAGATCAAGCCACTGCACTCCAGCCTGGGAAACAGAGCAAGAGAGAGCAAGACTCCACCTCAAAAAAAAAAAAAAAAAAAAAAAAAAAGGAGTTGATTTATATATAAAGTACGTAGAACAGTACCTGGGCACAGGTGCTGTTACTAAGATTAGCACAGTGGCTTCTAGGGAAACATAAGTTTCTCCTAGCAGCAATTGAAGACAATTAGATTCGTCCCCAATTTGATTAAGTAAACAACAAAAATTCAAATAAATCACAGATGCTGATAGGATGTGAAAAAATGTGTTTGTCTATTCCCAATAAGATTTATTTACGTGCTGGGCACAGTGGCTCATGCCTGTAATTCCAGCACTTTGGGAGGCCGAGGCGGGCAGATCATTTGAGGTCAGGAGTTCAAGACCAGCCTGACCGACATGGTGAAACCCCACGTCTATTAAAAGTACAAAAAAACTAGCTGGGCGTGGTGGTGCATGCCTGTAATTTCAGCTACTCAGGAGGCTGAGGCAGGAGAATTGTTTGAACTCGGGAAGCAGAGGTTGCAGTGAGCTGAGATCATGCCAGTGCACTCCGGCCTGGGCAACAGAGACAGACTCCGTCTCTCAAAAAAAAAAAAAAAAAAAAAAAAAAAGGATTCATTTAGACTCATTACCACTTTCTATGGATATAATGTATTCTGTTCATACTGAAATCTTTGGCCTCACAGTTGAGGTTGTCTCTCAATTGGAAGTTTCTTTAAGGTGGAAGAATGTTAGTAATATGTTCTTTCCATTGTAACTGTGGTTTGAGGGTACTTTTTTTTTTGCAAAGTAAGAGTCTGGCTTCTGGCTGGGCATGGTGGCTCACACCTGTAATCCCAACAATTTTGGAGGCCAAAACAGGAGAATCACTTGAGCTCAGGACCAGCCTGGGCAACATAGCGAGACTCTGCCTCTACCAAAAAAAAAAAAAAAAGAACTTGGTTTCTAAGATTATCATATGCTTTGTGTTCACGGTAGCTTTTAACAAGGTGCTGGTATCAACAGCTCAACCCTCAAACATCCATGCTAACAGCAGAAAATACATTGCACAGAAAGAAAAGATGGTAGACAGTATCTTTTAGAGTGGGCAGGAATGCTTGTATTTGTATTTAGTACTGAGTAATTATTTCCAATTTTCGAGGAAGTCACAAAGCTGCCACAAATTGTTTAACTATACAATTCTTCCTTTGCCAGGGTCCAGTGCCTGCTCAGCTTATCATTTCATACTGGCAAACAACTATACAACTTTTCCTCATCTGTGATACAAAGATTAAAATAAGCAGAGGTGGTCACATTCTAAATATTTCCTGGTTCACACCTTCCCCTATTAGGGAAATCACTTTTGGGCACAAAAGATCATCCATTCTAACTCTTACTGGGCAAATATCTTGTTTGTGTCAACTAAGTATTTTGTACACAGAATATAATGCCAATATCATTAAGTATTTGAAAGAAAGATTTGTCAAAAATATCCCTGTTATGACCTACTCTTAGGATAATCCAGGATTGATAAAAAGCCAAATTCTCCCCATAGCCGAAAGAGGTTTGCCTCAGCCTAAGGCTATTTTCCCTAAGTGAGAGTTTCTAAACTTTCTGGTGAGCTTCTCTTTCTCATCCAGCTGGTCAAAGTTTTCTGATAACAACATACCACACAACTGAAAAGCTAAGTTTCTCGGCCTGAATTTTTGTTTATACCTGATAGAAGCTACTGCTTTCTCCTAGTGGAAATTCAAAATACCTAAGTTTATCTCCAGAAAACTCTTCAAATACTTTCAGTAATCTAATGGCAACAGCTTTGCTACTAAAAATTTCCCAACATCTTCCTGTTTGGGCAGGTCTTGCTGAAATCCCCCTCCTCATAAGGAGGAATTTGAGAAAAAATACTGCCAACTTCAAGTTCCCTTAGGCAAATTTCCAGCCCCAGTGCAAGGCCATGAGGTTAAACATTTCTCAATGACGCAGGCTCCCTCAGAGGGAGGAACAAGAAAAAAAAAAAAAATCAAAACGTATTCTTCCCACTGCAGTAAATCAAGAAACAGCAGCCAAGTACTTTAAAAAAAAAAAAAAAGTGAAGTTAATACTGTTTGCTCTGCCAAGGCCCCCAGTGGGAGTACAGAACCCAAATGAGAGCTGTGGGATGAGAGAAAAAGAATTGCAGAACCAGCAATCCAGTCAAATTGACAGATATGTCTCCAGATTCTCTAGATAGTCTCTGGAGTACCAATACAGTGTAAGGTCCCAGCCACTGTATAATTTACAATAACTAGGACAACTAAAGTAAAGTGATTGAATTAGTGGCTGGGGGTAAGGAATGGTGTCACACATTAAGCAAATCATGATTCAGGATTAAAATGTACATTAGGTGAGAGGCCGGGAAAACTAAAGGAAAGTACATTTAAGCAACTTCTCGGTGAAGGAATATATAAGGCTGATCACAAAGAAGGCAAGCTCATGTGAGGGGCTGGTAGGGTTCTTGAACCTCTGGCCACCTGCAGATAAATAATTGATTGAAATAAAACCCGAAATGTTCTCCAGAAACAGATTAATACAAAACAGAATTTTAGAGTTCAAAAGGTCCTAAATGCTTACAAGAAAATGCCAGTGATGAAAATATCATGTGTACAGTGCTTTACTTCTCAAAGTGCTTTCACTGAATCATTAAATAAAAATTATTATGTACCTGCTATGTGTTAGGAACTGGCAATACAGAAATTGGATACCACCCCTGCTTTAAAGGGGCCATACTTCTAACAATGAGACCTGCTAGGAATGAAAATGCAGCAAACAATCAGTCTTTGGTGGTATGCAGTAAACATAAGGAGAGCACAGCAGAAGGGGCACCGAAGTTTCTGGGGGAATCAAAGACAGCACACATCTCAGAAGAGACAGCCCTTGAAGTGAGGCCAGAAGGCTGGCAAGCAGAAAGACTAACGGTTATATGCAAAGGAATATATGTGCTTTTTTTAAAAAAAGCACGAAGTGTTCTGGGAACCAAAAGCTGGTCAGTACTGCTGGGGACTGTGAGTTTGGAAGTGATATGAGATAACCACATAGTCAGAGACCAGACAAATAAAATAGCTTAAGTTTTACCCCACAAGAAATGGAAGAATTCTGAGCAGGAGAAAGAAAATGATTAGAATTGGTAGTTAGCGAAAGTATCTTGGCAGCTGAATGGACAGATTGGAGGAGAGTTGAACTATAGCCAGGGAGCCCAATAACAAGTCCCCTGAAACCACAGAGAAAAATGCTGACAATATGATATAGGGCAGAGAGACAAAATATAAGAAGTCAAGGTAGAGGTAAAATCTAGAGAACTCACAAGTCAAATAGATATGACAAGTACAACAAGAAAGGAGGAATTGAGACTGACTCCTAATTTTCTGGCTAGGGCAACTGGCACTATAAATTAGGGAATGCAGGTTGGGAGTAGTCACTGAGAATGGCGATATCAGTTTTAAGTGCACACTAGTCATTTAGATGTCCAGGTGGGAAGAATTAGTGGATTAACTGAATCTAGAACTCAGTAAACAGGTCAGGGATATAGATACATATACACGTATCACATGTGAATACCTTTCCTATTTGGAGGAAATTCTAAGACGGGGAAAGGCAGTCACCTTTTCCCACTACAGGAACTGACAGTAACAGAAATTCCCTCTCTCTGTTCCCTGGCATCTAGTTCACAAATATATAACCCAAGTCAATCAGATCCTCCTATGTAGATCTTTGAATATTGAAAGAATAACACAAAGGTGGAAAATATAATCAGAAATTATTCATGGCACTGTGGCAAGTGCCTACTGGTGGCAGTGCCAGTAGTAACAGATGTTCATGGGAGACCAGGCCAGCAGCAGTGGCAGAGAAGGTCCAGCAAGCAGTGCTAGAGAGAGTCCTCAGCCAACTGATCCCATTACATGGTCTTTACTATGTCTTGCCTCACTCAGTTTCTGCTCATTTTCTGAACTGTGTTATCCAGCCTTCCTTTTAAGGCTGTGCACTATCCAATACTTTTCCAATATATTTATTTTATGCTTAGGTGAACCAAGATTATGTGAAAAATCCTGAGTAGTACAGAACGAGGAGGGAACATAGAACAGGTGAGATGAGGCCTAGAATGGGCCCACTATATAGGGTGACTAGTAGGTCACTATGAAATTAGTTCATATGTGTCATCTCCTTCCATCCTTACGGTCCCTTGTGAGGAAAATAAGGCCAAGTACCATATCTTTATTTTAGGATAAATAAACTGAGGCTAAAAGAGATTAAGATCATACAGTTCTTTTTGCTATCCAAGAGTGTCCTCAAAAAAGTTGTTTTACAGGTGCTCATCAAAAGGAGATGTTAAATGAGCAATACTAATTCTTACAGCAAATGTCAATGGACACAGATGATAACCACACATGGGTCCCAATGCTGGTCTTCCAGCTTCTTCAATTTTGGTAATATAAAGAAGATCCTAACAGAAGCATTAAATTCCTTATAGACAATCACCTAGAAACATACCTAATGAGGATCCTTGCCATCATCCTTCCACTCAGGGTACCTTGGTTACTACTGAAAGAATACATCATAAGCTAAAGGGATTCCTCAAGTGGAAGAAAGGATCATCTATCCCTAACCATGAGAACCACTGTGGGAATGAGAGGTTGAGAGCTTTCGAAAGATGATTATTTCTCAACTTCATTCCTTTGGGATATGTCACAGCCAGTAAGGGAGAAATTGGAAAAAGCAGCTTTCACAAGCTGCCAAATCCATGTCCTAGTCCCAAGGGATAATTAGCCAGTGAGGTTTTGTGGAGCTGATGTAATGTTGGCAGAGGCTAATGTTTTATGGTTGAACATGTAGCCTCTTGAGTTTTAGCTACAGGGCTAAAAGGATGACATCCTGAAAAGCTAAGAAATTCATACCCATAACACCACCACTTCGCAATGTGCATCTTAAAAGTAATTTGTAAACTTTAACTGATCCATCTTTATCATGATTAGTTATGAACATTTGTTAAACTATAAATTCTCTAAATTTTATTTTATGTAACTATTTTGCTATGAAAAGAAATTTCTAGGTAACACAGACAATTTAGAAAGCTTAAAGTAACAAAATAATTAGAAGAAAGGAAAGTTTTACAAGGAGTGAGTCTGTTTGTGGCACTTTCATCCCACTACCACCACACCAAGTTTAAAGCCATCTGATGAGCTTATGAAAACAATTTTTGAAACTGAGTAGTCTAAGCCAAAAGTGTTCAGGAGTACCAAATCTCTCACAAAAAGTGTCAATCTTAGAAACCTTAGAAGTATTCTGAGATGCAGGAGGTAAGAATTAACGGACAAGAAGCAGAAATATTAAAACACTAACACTCTTGGTTTGAGTTTGAGCTGTTAAACTTCTTGCAGGCCTGGCACGGTGGCTCACGCCTGTAATCCCACCACTTTAGGAGGCCAAGGCGGGTGGATGACCTGAGATCAGGAGTTCGAGACCAGCCTGGCCAACATGGTGAAACCCCATCTCTACTAAAAATACAAAAATTAGCTGGGCATGGTGGTGTGTGCCTGTAATCCCAGCTATTTGGGAGGCTAAGGCAGGAGAATCACTTAAACCCAGGAGGCAGAGGTTGCAGTGAGCCAAGATCACACCATTGCACTGCAGCCTGGGCAACAAGAGCGAAGACTCCATCTCAAAAAAAAAAAAAAAAGAAAAAGAAAAGGAAAAGACAAAATGCTTGCCATTTAAAAAAAAAAATGAGTCCTTTGACTTAAATATGCCACAATGATCTCCAAATCCTGAACAAAACTAAGTACATTAATAAAAAAATAAAATCACTAATCAGTAAGGCAAAATATGTAGTGCTTTTAAATATGTGCTAGCTCCTTAATAAGAGACAACTTTTGGGCTGGGCGTGATGGCTCACATTTGTAATCCTAGCATTTTTGGGAGGCTGAGGCAGAAGAATCACTTGAGCCAGGAGTTTGAGACCAGCCTGGGCAACATAGTGAGAGCCTGTCTCTAGTTAAAGTAATAATTTTTTTTTTTTAAGTTAAAAAGAGGCCGGGCACGGTGGCTCACACCTGTAATCCCAACACTTTGGGAGGCCGAGGCAGGCAGATCACCTGAGTGAGGTGAAGAGATAGAGAACAGACTGGCTAATACGGCAAAACCCAATCTCTACTAAAAAATACAAAAAAATTAGCCAGACATGGTGGCATGTACCTGCAGTCCCATGTACTCGGGAGGCTGAGGCAAGAGAATCGCTTGAACCCAGGTTGGCAGTGAGCCAAGATCACGCCACTGCACTCCAGCCTGGGCAACAGAGCAAGATCCCATCTCTACAAATAAATACATAATTAAATAAATAAATAAATAATAAAAGTTAAAAAGAGAAACCTCTGATTCAACTCTGGGGAGAGGTGTATCCATTCAGGAATGTGGATATGAAAACTGTGGTTTATATATCTTTATAATTTCCTAAGAATTGAGAATCATGTTTCTTAAAATGAATGGTGGGGAGGGGGGAGTTACAGATGGCCAAAAACAAAAATGTCCCTCCTACATTTTTTTTTTTTTTTTTTGAGTCAGAGTCTCACTCTGTCGCCCAGGCTGGAGTGCGATGGCATGAACTTGGTGCACTGCAAGCTCCACCTCCCGGGTTCAAGCAATTCTCTGCCTCAGCCTCCTGAGTGGCTGGGATTATAGATGCAAGCCACCATGCCCGGGTAATTTTTGTATGTTTTTTTTTAGTGGAGACAGGGTTTCACCATGTTAGCCAGGCTGGTCTCAAACTCCTGACCTCAAGTGATCCACCCGCTTCGGCCTCCCAAAGTGCTGAGATTACAGATGTGAGCCACCACGCCCAGCCCTTCCTACCTCTTACAAAGGAACGGTTTGTACATGCTCTTCAGGGAAACATTTCTTTGGAGAAATAGTTGGGTTGAAGGACCTGGACACAGAATGAAATGGTTTCTCCTCAATTTCTCCAATATTTCTTCCTTTTTTTTTTTTTTTTGAGACAGAGTCTCACTCTGTCGCCCAGGCTGGAGTGCAGTGGCACGATCTTGGCTCACTGCAACCTCCGCCTTCTGGGTTCAAACGATTCTCCCGCCTCAGCCTCCCAAGTAGCTGGGACTACAGGCAAGCAGCACCATGCCTGGCTACTTTTTGTATTTTTAGTAGAGACGAGGTTTCACCATATTGGCCAGGCTGGTCTCCAACTCCTGACCTTGTGATCCACCTGCCTCACCCACCCAAAGTGCTGGGATTACAGGCCTGAGCCACTGTGCCCGGCCTTCTCCAATATTTCATATTCATTTATTTCATTCATTAACATATGTTTACTCAGCATTTACTATGTATCAAGCACCCTAATAAAATCCTGGATATAAAATGCTAAAACAATAAAAATAAGACACCTGCCTTTATAGCATTTACAGTCTAGTGAGAAACATATACATTTAAAAACCCCCAAAAATCTCATAAAATAATCACATACTAGGCCGGGTGTGGTGGCTCATGCCTGTAATCCCAGCGCTTTGGGAGGCCGAGTCAGGTGGATCACTTGAGGCCAGGAGTTGGAGATCAGCCTGGCAATAGAGCAAAACCCCATCTCTACTAAAAATACAAAAACTGGCTGGGCGTGGTGGCATGCACCTGTAATCCCAGCTACCTGGGTGGCTGGGGCACGAGAATCGTTTGAACTCAGGTGGCGGAGGAACCTAGAAAACAGAGAGGCAGATGGAACCTAGAAAGCAAAGAGAAAACAGCAGCAGGTAAAGTTGAAGAGGTAGGCAGGAACAGAGAAAATGCAGCCATGCATATCAGGAAACTCGCCTACCAGTATATAAGGACAAATATTGACTGCAGGACTAGATATTATTTAACCCCTTATTCTGAACTACCTAAACCAGAATATAATCCCTGTGCAGATGGCGACCACATTTTCAGTAGATTCTCAAACAACTTCCACGCAACATCTAGCACGTGACAAATTCTGTACACACACACACATAAATATACTATTTCCTCAAATTCAAACTTTTCTAAAAACATCCAAACTACCTACCTTAGTTGGGATTAAACATATATTTAGTAACATTGAATCGGTTGACCAAAAGCCTACATGCAAGAGGATCTTCAGGATAAAGCAATGGAAGATTATTTGCAAACATCTCAAGGACTGACTTAGCTGATATAAAACTCAGCTGTTAAGAAGTTTCTGGGCTAGGCACGGTGGCTCATGCCTGTAATCCCAACACTTTTGGGAGGTCAAGGTGGGTGGATCACTTGAGGTCAGGAGTTCGAGGCCAGCCTGGGCAACATGGCGAAATCCTGCCTCTACTAAAAATACAAAAATTAGCCGGCTGTGGTGGCAGGTGCCTTGTAGTCGCAGCTACTTGGGAGGCTGAGACAGGAGAATCACTTGAACCTGGCAGGTGGGGGTTGCAGTGAGCCAAGATTACACCATCACACTCCAGCCTGGGACACAGAGCGAGGGACTGCCTCAAGAAAAAAAAAAAAAAAAAAAAAGGAAAAAGAAAAAAAAAAAAAGTTTCTGAAAGCCTTCTCAGAAGAGAAGGAAGAGAATAAGCAAGGGAACTTTTTTCTTACCAGAGCCAACAAGGACCTTCACACAGCAAATGTTCCTACTCTAAAGATATACAGGTTTAATTTTAATTCCAACCCACAGAAACTATTAGCTACAACGGAAAAAATGTCTAATGTACGTTTATGGCAAGACACGCTAGAAGTTTTCCTTAGTTTCAAGCATATGACACTGGTTTTGGCCATAGGTATAGAGTCAGAAATATTACTAGACTGTAATTCAAAACAGCATCCCTTCTAATCCTTGTGAACAGGTACAACAGTCACAGTTAAAAACAAGGAAGCTTCTATGCAAAGGTTAGGGCTCATCGTACAAGAGCTTTTTTTAAATGTCAAATTTATTTTTTAAAAAAGAAGGCCATTCCTATGCAGAAAGAAGGTCTAGGACAACATAATTTTTTTCTTTTTTTTTTCCTTTTTTTGAGACAGGCTCTCACTCTGTCACCCAGGCTGGAGTGCAGTGGTGCAATCACAGCTCACGGCAGCCTCGACTTTCTGGGCTCAAGCAATTCTCCTGCCCCAGCCTCCCAAGCAGCTGGGACTATAGGTGTGCACTGCCACGCCTGGCTAATTTTTCATTATTTGTAGAAATGGCAGTCTCACTATGTTGCCCAGGCTGTTCTAGAGCTCCTGGACTCAAGCAATCCTCCTGCCTTGGCATCCCAAAGTGCTGGGATTACAGGTGTGAGTCACTGTGCCTGGCCCCTTAAAATACATATTCTAAAAGAAGAAAAAGTTGGAGGTTTTTTTGTTTTTTACATTTACGTTGTAGTGTTCTGGCAGGGAAAGATAAAACAGGAAGGGAAGGGGGACTAAAAAGTCAGGTAGGCTAAGTACTGGGAGAATGGAGCAAAGGAACCTCGACAAGTTAGAACAGCCTATCAACAGCTAACATACAGGGTCCGAAAAAGGGCTTGAAGTTCACATGAAAGGCAATATAGTATAGTGGTAAAGAGCACAGATTCTTAACCCAGGCCAGCTGGGTACAATCTTAGCCGTAAAATGGGATAAGAGCACCCATCTCACATAGTTGTTGCAAAGAATAAGAGTTAATATACGTAAGGAGCTTGGTACACGGTCTGCCACACTGCAATGTTGTGATTTATAATAAATATATATTTGGTCTTTGTCTTCACTCCTGGCACCGAGGTCCTAAAATTGGACCTTGAAATTTCCTAAGAATAACAAAGGTAAAAGGAGTCGTCTTTTGTTATTCATAACAGGTCCCTTTCAACCAAACCTGAGTTTATGTTAATGAGCTGACTTTGGAAAGCCCTTATGGATGAGGGCTGGCTGCCAGGGAAAACAATCATGTGTTAGAGGATTAGAACTTGCAGCCCCACCATACTCTGACTTCTGGGGATGCAAGAGGGGCTGGAGATTGACCTACTCATCAATGGCCAATGATGTCATTAATCATGCCTACATGATGAAGACTCCATAGAAACCAAAAAGGACAGGGTTTGGAGAGCTTCCAGACTGATAAACCCAGATGGTGCTCTGGGGGTCGTATGCCCAGAGAAGGCATGGGAGCATCACATAACCCCCTCATAGCTCACCCTATGCTTCTCTCCCATTTGGCTGTTCCTGAGTTTTATCCTTTATAATAAATTGACAAATTTAAGTAAAGGGCCTTCATAAGTTCTGTGAGTCGTTCTAGCAAATGATCCAACCTGAGGAGAGGCTTGTGGAAACCTCTGATTTGTAGCCAACTCAGACAGAAGTTGTGGATAACCTGAGGACCCACCACTATCGATCGGCATCTGAAGTTCAGGGAAATCTTGTGGGCCTGAGCCCTTAACCTGTGGGGGTCTGCACTAACTCCAGGGAATTAATGTCATAATTGAGTTAAATTGTAGAATATCCAGTTGGTGACCAGATGGTTGGAGAATTGGTTGTTGGTGAGGGAAAAAAAAAAACAAAACCTACACATCTGATGTCATCAGAGGTGGAGTGTTGAAAGGAGTAGTAGAGTACAGAAAAAAACAAAACAGGCCAGGCACGGTGGCTCACGCCTGTAATGCCAGCACTTTGGGAGGCCGAGGTGGGCGGATCACAAAGTCAGAAGATCGAGATCATCCTGGCTAACAAGGTGAAACCCCGTCTCTACTAAAAATACAAAAAAAATTAGCTGGGTGTGGTGGCGGGCACCTGTAGTCCCGGCTTCTCAGGAAGCTGAGGAAGGAGAATGGCGTGAACCCAGGATGCGTAGGTTGCAGTGAGCCAAGATCATGCCACTGCACTCCAGCCTGGGCGACAGAGTGAGACTCTGTCTCCAAAAAAAAAAAAAAAAAAAAAAAAAACCAGTGTCTGTCTTTCCTCTTCATGCACTGTAAACTCTAAGTGTTAGCTATTATCATTTTAAATATATTTATTTTTGCTGGAATTCTTACAAAATCCACTTAGAATTCGATATTCTAGACATATGTCTCTTTTATGTTTTCGTGATTTTTGTTTTGGAGGCTTTTGGTGGTGGTGGTGGTGGTTTTGTTTTTGGGGTTTTTTTTTTTTGAAGCAGGGTCTCACTCTGTTGCCCAAGCCAGAGTGTAGTGGCAGGATCTTGGCTCACCGCAACCTCTGCCTCCCGGTCTCAAGGGATGCTCCTGCATGATCTCTTTTAATAAAGTTAGTCTAATCTGTGCTTAAGGGAAACAATAAAAAAGATGTGTCCACCTGTGAGGCAGAATTTTAAATGGAAAACTACCCCTGAGTTTAGGCTTGGTGGGACCCGAAAAATGAGTGAGGATGGGTACATGGCGTAGAAGGAAATTTGAGGATAAAACTCAGGGCCACCTATAGAGATGGTCCTTCTCACTTAGAGACTACCCTCTAGAACTCTTCTCAAACCTTGGAGGGTTTTGTGTAATATTTCATTTAGTCAGCTCACTTCTTGGAAAGAGATCAGGGTTGAGAGATGAAGGCGATGTTGTTTTAGCGTTACCTACCAGTGCTGCCCTCTCTTCTCATGCTTGCTTACTTCCTTCAGGAGTCATTTTAACTCCAACCTCCTTGTGTCCAAACTGGCTCAAAGCACTCCAAAGTGGAGGTGAAAGGCAATCACGCTGATTTGTTATACCCAATTTGAGACATTTTTCTGTTGTACATAAAAGCAAAAAAGAAATAAAAGCAATAGAATGTTCCATAAACTTAAAAAAAATGTTATAACAATCACACCCACTCATGGGTTCTGAAAAGCACAATAATGGAGTCAGGCTAGTACAAACGCCTAAGAGCAAAGTCTGAGTGAAAGTGATCAATCTAGTTTCACTTTGGAAACTGGATAGAAACTAGCAACGGAAGTCAGACTCTATGAGGTAATTTTTGCAATAGTTGTTGGCCTTATAATTAATAAGAGATAAGATAATTTTAACCTAAAGGTCATTTTAAGCTTACAACAACTAGAGATAATTTTATTATAAGTTTTAAAAACTAACTTTATTGAACTTCAATTCAGACACAATAAACTTCACCTAGTGTACAATTCAAAGCGTTCTGACAATTGCATATGCCTGTATAACCACGACAATAAAGAGATATATTTTCATCCCTAGGGTTTTCTTGTGTCCCTTTGTATTCAATTTCTCCTTCCACTTCCAGCCCCAGGCAATCACTGATCTGCTGTCACTCTAGAGAAACCTGAATTTTTTTCCTCACACAATTTAAAAAATTGAGATACAATTCACATACTATAAAATTCAACCATTCAAAGTGCATAATTCCATAGTTTATCGCAACTAATTCCAGAACATTTTCATTGCCCCAAAAATAAACCCTGTATCCATCAGCAGTCACTCTCCATTTCCTGTTCTGGACATTTCATTTAAATGGAATCACACAATATGTGGCCTTTTATGTCTATGTCCTTTCATTTGGAAAATGTTTTTAAGGTTCATCATTTTTTTTTTTAAGACGAGTCTCGTTCTGTCACCCAGGCTAGAGTGCAAGTGGCTTGATCCCCGTTCACTGCAACCTCCATCTCCCAGGTTCAAGCGACTGTTGTGCCTCAGCCTCCCGAGTAGCTGAGACTATAGGCACATGCCACCAGCCTGGCTAATTTTTCTGTATTTTTAGTAGACATAGGTTTCGCCATGTTGCCCAGGCTGGTCTCAAACTCCTGGGCTCAAGCGATCCACCTGCCTTGGCCTCCCAAAGTACTGGGATTATAGGCATAAGCCACCACACAAGGCCAAGGTTCATTCATTTTATAACATATATCAACAGTGATTTCTTTTTATGAGTGAATAATATTCCATTGTATGGATATACCATATTTTGTTTATTCATCAACTGAAAGACATGTGGGTTGTTTCCACTTTTTAGCTATTTTGAAAAAGCTGCTATGAACATTTGTCTGTGTAAAAATACACAGACAAATGTTTTCAGTTTTCTAGGATATATATCTAGAAGTAGAATTGCTAGGTCACAGGATCTATGTTTAACTTTTTGAAAAGCTGCCAAATTGTAGTTTTTAAACTTTTCATTCTGAGATAATTATAGATTCACATAATAAGAAATAATAAACAGCTCATGTATAAACTTTTCATTCTGAGATAATTATAGATTCACATAATAAATAATACAAAGAGCTCATGTATCCTTTACTCAGTTCCCTCCAATGATAACATCTTGCAAAACTACAGTACAATATTACAACCAGAATACTGGCACTGTTAGTCAACATACACATTTCCATCACCCTGAGGATCCCTCATGTTGACCTTTTATAGCCACATCTACTTTCAGCCCCACACCATCCACAGGCCCTGACAATATGAAGAACCAATCTGTGCTTCATATCTATAATTTTGTCATTTCAAGAATGTTATATAAATAGAATCATACAATAGGTAACATTTTAGGATTGGCTTTTTTCACTCAGAGTAATTCTCAAGAGTCATTCAGGGTGTTTTATTTCTAAAACGTTTAAAGTTTGCCCCTTTTTAAAAGTTGCTGAGCAGTATCCCACAGCCTGAATTAATTAATTAATTAATTAATTATGAGACAGAGTCTCACTCTGTCACCCAGGCTGGAATGCAGGGGTGCAATCTTGGCTCACTGCAACCTCTGCCTCCTGGGTTCAAGCAATTCTCCTGCCTCAGCTTCCCAAGTAGCTGGGACTATGTGTGCCCGCTACCACGCCTGGCCAATTTTTGTATTTTAGTATAGATAGGGTTTTACCATGTTGGCCAGGCTGGTCTCCAACTCCTGATCGCAAGCGATCCACCCACCTTGACCTCACAAAGGGCTGGGATTACAGGCATGAGCCACCACACCCGGCCTCAAATGAATTTTTGGGATGGTACAAGGTAAGAGTCAATGTTCCCTCTCTCTCTCTCCTTTTTTTTTTTTTAAGACGGAGTCTTGTTCTGTTGGCCAGGCTGGAGTGCACTGGCACAATCTCGGTTCACTGCAACCTCCGCCTCCCAGGTTCAAGCGATTCTCCTGCCTCAGCCTCCTGCGTAGCTGGGATTACAGGCGCACGCCACCACGCCCAGCTAATTTTTGTATTTTTAGTAGAGACGGGGTTTCACCATGTTGGTTGGCCAGGATGGTCTCGATCTCCTGACTTCGTGATCCACCCACCTCGGCCTCCCAAAGTGTTGGGATTACAGGCGTGAGACACTGCACCCAGCCCTCTCTTAATTTTTTTAACATACAGATAGCCAGTTCTTTCCTGATTTGTAAGTTTTTATTTAAACCAGAGTTAGAAAAATAATTAAAATAACACTACCTCTAAACACTCAAAACCACTGCTATGACATAATCCTGCCATTTCAGTAGAACAGAAAATCCCCACGCCTTCCCCTCAGCTCGGAGGGCACAGGACTGGGCAGCAAGCTCCACCAGTTTGTAGAAGGAGTTCAACTTCCAGACAGCAGGGAAATGCCTTTCTCTGAAGTTATTACATGAGTTCACACTGAAGGGAAAGAAGAAAGTGAGCCTTATCATTTTCCCAAGATGCTGTGAGATGTGTTGGATTTACTCTCACTCATAATTGTGCAGGATGGTTGTTTTGTTTTGTTTTGAGGCAGGGTCTCACTCTGTCACCCAGGCTGGAGTGCAGTGGTGTGGTCTCAATTCACTGCAACCTCTGCCTCCAGGGTTCAAGCAATTCTCCTGCCTCCGCCTCCCGAGTAGCTAGAGTCACAGGTGTGCACCACCATGCCTTGCTAATTTTTGTATTTTTAGCAGAGATGGGGTTTCATCATGTTGGCCAGGCTGGACTCCAACTCCTGACCTGAAGTGATCCGCCCCCCTCAACCTCCCAAAGTGCTGGGATTACAGACGTGAGCCACTGTGCCTAGCCACAGGTATGTTCGGGATGGTTTCAACCAACATCAATAGAACCAACTAAGAATAGATGGCCTTCAGCAACACAGAGGGGTAGCACAGGAGTTCCAAAGATCAGTAGTTTGAAAATCAGGTCACAGGGAGTCCACGCTATATGATCTTGGGTAAGTCACTTAACATTCTTAGCCCCCCGTCTGTTCACCTGTAAAACCAAGGTTTGTTATCAGGTCATGTCTAAGATCCTTCCCAGTTAAACATTCTAGAATGCCAAAAATAAGCCTATTTGTTCTTTCTTTGAAAAATGAAGAAAAATGGCAAAAAAAAAAAAAAGTTGTCAAATTGTGAACGTTTATCTAACACAGAGAACTATACCAGGAGCAGGTTTTCTTTTTTGTTTCCTGTTTTACCCTATTCTTCCATACTAATTAGACATCATATAAATCCCACATATAAATCCAACACATCTCATAGCATCTTGGGAAATAAAAATAAAATATCTTTTGGAACTGAACTTCTCAACTTTAATATGCATGTGACAATCTTTTTTTTGAGATAGGGTCTCACTTTGTGGCCCAGCTGGAATACCGTGGTGCAAACACGGTTCACTGCAGCCTTGACCTCCCAAATTCAAGTGAGCCTCCCACTTCAGCCCCCTAAGTATCTGGGACTACAGGTGTGTATCACCATGCCTGCCTAATTTTTGCATTTTTTGTAGAGATGAGGTTTCACCATGTTGCCTAGGCTGGTCTCAAACTTCTGACATCAAGCAATCTGCCCACCCTGGCCTCCCAAAGTGTTGGGATTACAGCTGTGAGCCACTGCACCCGGCAAATAATCTTTTTAAAACAGATTGTGATTCCGCAGGTCTGAGGTGGCGTCTGAGATTCTGCATTCCTAATAGGCTTCCAGGTGATACAAAGGCTGCCAGACCTTGGAACATACTTTGAGTAGCAAGGTATTAGAAGAATACGGACATAGTATCTGTTTGAGTAACCTAATTAATGTTGATACCTAAGTTTTCAGTACTTTACATAACCAAATAAATTAGTCTTATGGCACTGATTTGAGGAATATAATCTTATCGATTCCCAAGAGAATATACTAAGAAAACAGTTCAAAAAATCAAGTTTAATTAATATTTTAGTTCCTCAAGATCCTATTTGCAAGGAAAAACAGAAAAACAGAAAATCAGAAAGATACAGCATCATGAATTGTTAAGGACAATTTTCACACCCTATAGTCAATGAGCAAAATATATTGCAGAAATGCACTTTCAAAAAATTAAAACAGGCTGGGCAACATAGTGAAAACCTGTCTCTCATTAAAAAAAATTTTTTTAGCTGGGCCTAGTGATGTGCACTTGCAGTCCCAGCTACTCAGGAATCTGTGGTGGGAGGACCACCTGAGCCTGGGGAGGTCCAGCCTGCAATGAGCTGTGATTATGCCACTGCACTCCACCCTGGGCAGCAGAGTGAGACCCTGGCTCAAAAATAAAAGCTACACAAAAAAATAATTAAAACATTGTATACTAACACCACCATTTTATGCCTACAACAAATCAGATTATTCTTACCCAACAAAAGCAAACAAAAAATTTAACGTGTTGTTTTTTGACAGAAAACTTCTGAGAGGTTCAGCAAATTGAGAGTAAATGAGTGTACACAGGAAGGAGCCACAGCTCTGCCAAGAACATGGCCTAACACAAACACTGCAAAGATAAATTTCAATAAGTCTTACAAAATAGAAACAAAGGCAAAAATGTAAAAGAGATTTATACAAACTCAACTGGTCAGAGGGAACAGTTTAATGAGATGGAGTGCCTCCTTATCATGCAGTATTTGGTCAGTGGAGGGAGCACTTTGACTGCAGAGGTTCCAAATTAACAGCTCTATCTCCTAATCATTATGCTTCCATCCATCTTCTTCCTCTTTTAACTGTACCTACCTGTGTATGTGCATACACACAATTTAACATAAGCTTTATTTATTTTTGTGCGTGTGCGTGTGTATGTTTTTGAGACAGAGTTTTGCTCTTGTCACCCATGCTGGAGTGCAATGTCGCAATCTCGGCTCACTGCAACCTCCACCTCCCAGGTTCAAGCAATTCTCCTGCCTCGGCCTCCCAAGTAGCTGGGATTACAAGCATGGGCCACCACACCCAGCTAATTTTTTTGTATTTTTAGTAGAGATGGGGTTTCGCCATACTGGCCAGGCTGGTCTTAAACTCCTGGCCTCAAGTGATCCGCCCGCCCCAGCCTCCCAAAATGCTGGGATTACAGGGGTGAGTCACTGTGCCCAGCCAACATAAGCTTTATTGGAATACAAAAGAAATGTATGCTCATCATAGAAAATCAGAAAGATACAGGAAAACCCAAAAGATGGAAAAAATATAATGTCCCCTATGAAATCTCACTACTCAGAGAAAGTTATTCATATTCTGGTGTATAGCCTCAAAGCCACTTTTCTAGAATTATAGAGATAAGTGGTAAACATTATTCCACATTTTAAAAATTATTTTAAAAAATTTTTTGTAAAGATGGAATCTTGCTATGTTGCCCAGGCTGGTCTTGAACTCCTGGGTTAGACAGGAAGCTGTCGGGGAGGTTTGCTTGAGCCCGGGAGACAGAGGTTACAGTGAGCCGAGATCCCACCACTGCACTCCAGCAGGGGGCGACAGAGCAAGACCCTGTCTCACAAAAAAATTATAAAAATATAAAAAACCAAAACTACAATGTACACTTATGAAAGAACAACAGTAAGAAAGGGAAATTACATTTTAGTATAAATACATAAAATTTTGATTCATACCCACTGAAAATGTTTCAAGGACACCTAGGGGTCCTCAGACCACACTTTGAAAACAATGCTCTATACTGTAGTGCCTCTTCAGTTAGGGCACGCTATACAAATATTTACAAGGCATGGTCTCAGGAACATACTTAACCTAAAAAATATCCTAATGATTTTGCTAAATCACCCATTCAACAATTATTAAGTGCTTACAATACACGAAGTATTCTTATACACAAGGCAGAGAATCAAAGAGGAAAAAAAAAATCCTCCTTGTGGCACTTACATTCTACGAAGAGACAGCCACAACCAATAAACAAATGAACTATCTATTCTGCAAATAAGTGGTATGAAGGAAAATAAAAGCAAGGTTTTACAAAATAGGATGGTCAGGGAGTGCGCCTAACTAAAAAAGTAACTTTTTTTTTTTTTTAAGAGACATGGTCTTGCTCTGTCACCCAGGCTGGAGTGCAGTGGCACAGTCATAGCTCACTGCCACCTCAAATTCTTGGGCTCAACTGATCCTCCCCACTCAGCCTCCTGTGTAGCTGGTACTACAAGCACATGCCATCATGCCTGGCTAATTTGTTGTTGTTGTTGTTGTTGTTGCTGTTTCACAGAGACAGCATCTCACCATGATGCCCGACTAGCCTTGAACTCCTGGCTTCAAGTGATCCTCCCCATTCGGCCTCCCAAAGCGCTGGGATTATAGGTGTGAGCCACCATAACAGGCCCAAAAGTAACATCTGATCAAAAATCTCAAGGTGATGCGGGAACAAGCCATGAGGCTACTCAGGGAAACGTGCTCTAAATAGAAGGAATAACAAGTACAAAAGCCCTGATATGCGAGCTAAGGTGCTCAGGGACAACAAACAAAGCCAATATGGTTGGGGTAAAACAAGCAAGGGAGAGAAGAGAAGCAGATAAAATAAGAGTTACAAAGCAGTTCATGTGGGACTTTGTAGACGAGTATAAGGACTGTGGCTTTTTCAGTGAATGAGAATAACTGGCAGGTTCTGAGCAAGGAGGGATATGACCTGATTAATTTTAAATGGATAATGTAATCGTGTTTAAACTCAAAAAGCTGAATTAAACACCTGTTCCATCTCTTACTGTGTGTCCTTAAGCTTTTGAACCTCAGTTTCCTCTGTAAATTGTGAAGATACAGACACTGCAAAAAGTTGTTGTGAAAATCAAACAATATACCTAAGGCTAAGGGGATTATGAGCAGTGGCTCACACCTGTAATCCTAATACCTTGGGAGGCAGAGGTGGGAGGACTGCTTGAGCTCAGGAGTTTGAGACCAGCTTGGGCAACACACCAAGATCTCATTCCCACAAAAAATAAAAAACTTATTGGGGCAGGGGAGGAGAAAAAAAATACTGGGGTGCAGCGGTACACGCCTGTGGTCCAGCTACTCGGGAGGCTGAGATGGGAGGATTGCTTGAGCCAGGAAGGTTGAGTCTGCAGTGAACCATGATCACACTACTGCACTCTAGCCTAGATGACAGAGCAAGACCTCGCCTCAAAGATACACACACACACACACACACACACACAAATACTTTTAAATTATGACAGACTATAAAAATTTCACTACTGAGTTTGTTTGCACTATGTAGTTGTCACATAGTCCTCTTTTCTAGGCCCTCTATACTCACCATACTGCCACCATCAGCCATTTATGCGACTTTGCCATGAGATTAATGCCCCAGACCTCTGATACCATGAGCTCAGCCTGATACTGCCCTTTAGCTTGACGAGTGCAAGGCAAAGAAAGTGGAGTTTTTTTTTTTTGTCATTGATGGCAGAGTGGTTTTTTAGCATTATTTTCCTTGTCGTTATAAAGAAAATCTTTTTAAAAAATAATGCATGTGGGCCAGGCGCAGTGGCTCACGTCTGTAATCCCAGCACTTTGGGAGGCTGAGGTGGGCAGATCACGAAGTTAGGAGATCGAGACTATCCTGGCTAACACAGTGAAACCCTGTCTCTACTAAAAATACAAAAAAAATTAGCCGGGCATGGTGGTGGGCGCCTGTAGTCCCAGCTACTTGGGAGGCTGAGGCAGGAGAATGGAGTGAACCCAGGAGGTGGAGCTTGCAGTGAGCCGAGATCGCATCACTGCACTCCAGCCTGGGTGACAGAGCAAGACTCCATCTTAAAAAAAAAAAAAAAAAAGCATGTGGTAATCATAAAAGTGAAGTTCCAAAAAAACAAGACTTTATGAGTCTCGTCTTTATTTAATTTGGCACTGTTTTAATAAAGCTAAAACTGTAGTTCTTGGTCTTGACAGCTTGCCTCATCCAAAAAGAAACAAAAAGGAGGAAAAAAAAAGATGCAGACTGACAAATGAATTCAAATTTCTTTGATCCGCGTCCTAACTCTAAGGGGACTTCAGATAAATCAATGAGTCACAGAAGGGGCAGGAAGATGTAAGCCAGAATACTGATGACAACAGCTGTCTGTCTACCTACCTGTCTTCTGAGATCATCATTAAAGTATGAGATCACCAAGACCAGGGAATACAGAGTAAGATAAGATGGAGGCCCACTGGAGAATTATGAGGCCTGTCGCATTCTGACTCCACTTCCCAGCGGGTGGAAGGTGAATACCCAGGCACTGGTTTTTATCTCCACCTCCTAAGATGTGAGTCATTCTGAGTAGTGACAGAATCCTGCAATGGAAAAGCCCAAAGAAAACCAAGATCTTTGGGAAAAATTATAAACAATCTCATTTATTAGAGGCCTCTGATGGTTTCTTTGAAATGGGTAAATTTCCTCATCTTAAAGTGGAGGGCAAGAATTTTCTACCTAAGGTTTCTCTCAAACTCTAAAATCCCTTAAATATAAAACTAAGTGGCCAGGCGTGGTGGCTCACACCTGTAATCCCAGCACTTTTGGAGGCAGAGGCGGGCGGATCACCTGAGGTCAGGAATTCGAGACCAGCCTGACCAACATGGAGAAACCCCGTCTCTACTAAAAATACAAAATCAGCAGGGCATGGTGGTACATGCCTGTAATCCCAGCTACTCAGGAGGCTGAGGCAGGAGAATCGCTTGAACTCGGGAGGTGGAGGCTGCGGTGAGCCGAGATCGTGCTATTGCACTCCAGACTGGGCAATAAGAGTGAAACTCTGCTTCAAAAAAAAAAAAAAAAAAAGTATGTTTTTTTAAAGGCTACATTAATATTTAGAGCAAGCTTGCCCATCCTGCAGCCTAGGATGGCTTGAATGTGGCCCAACACAAATTTGTAAACTTTCTTAAAACATTATGAGATTCTTTTTTTTTGCAATTTTTTAAAAGCTCATCAGCTATCGTTAGTGTTAATGTATTCCAAGACAATTCTTCTTCTTCCATTGTAGCCCTTGCCAAAAGATTTAGAGCATTAAGAGATCCAAAAAGTAGGTATTGCTAGTGCAATCTGGAGTTTTTCGTCAGTTCTACAGACCTGTGAGTGATGTGAACCCAAATGGGGCACCTTCCTTAAAGAATTAACATACTATCAAAAAGGGAAAAACTTATATGTCCACAATCTGCCCTATGATACTTCCTTTTAACCTCATTTTTATTAATTGCCACTCCCCTCTTGACCCATACTATTCTAAAACATACAGTGCAGAAACAAACTGTAATGATTAGGGAAATAGAAGTTAAAAAAATGCAGGAATTTTAAGTACACAGGTATCAAGGAAAAGAGAGACTAAATGGACTGAAGAAATATTTTATTTTTATTTTTTTGAGATGGAATCTTGCTGTGTCGCCCTGGCTGGAGTGCAGTGGTGCGATCTCGGCTCACCGCAACCTCCACCTCCTGGGTTCAAGAGATTCCCCTGCCTCAGCTTCCCAAGTAGCTGGAATTACAGGCACCCACCACCATGCCCGGCTAACTTTTGTATTTTTAGTAGAGATGGGGTTTCACCATGTTGGCAAGGCTGGTCTCGAACTCCTGACCTCAAGTGATTTGCCCACTTCAGCTTCCCAAAGTGCTGAAGAAATATTTTTAATAATAAAACAAATATTTTCAAATAGATAACATGTATGTGGTATAAAACCAAAAAGATTTTAAAGTACACAGTTTAAAAGCATTTTCTGAAGGATAAATCAAACAGAACACTTAGAAAACTTGAGTGTATAGGTTGTGCTGTATTTCTTAGGCTGGTTAGTAGGTGTGCATTAATCAAATCTTATAATACTTTATATATTCTTTGGCATTTATGGAGTACTCTAATAATCATAACAACAAAAAGTCTCTTCCACCCCAGTCCCCCAGTTCTCTATTCCCCTTTATTGAGGCAGCCAGGGTTACCAGCTTCTGTGGTCCTTCCAGAGACATCCTGTGCATGGACAAATGTGTGGGTGTGCATACATACATGCACAAGACAGAGAGAGAAAAAACAAAGTGACTCCCTAACTATGCCTCATTAAGATCAGATTTATGTCGTGGGACCAAAGCATACCTAAGGAACTGTCTCAACTGTTTTCTCTACAAGTGAATTCTGTCCTGCTGTTGTTATAACTAAGAGGACTGCACTAGATGGATACACCTTAGGGCCTGTCTAGTCAAAGCCTTACACATTAGCTGTCAAGAGCCAAGTCCTAGCATTTCTCCATTCTAAAACACACCAGAGTCAGTACCATGCCCCAATATTCCCTAAGACTTAGCTTCTGAAATTCCATAATGTCCATCTTATTTGTTTTGTTGTTTTTGTTTTTGTTTTGAGGCAGGGTCTCGCTCTGTCGCCCAGGCTGGAGTGCAGTGGCACAATCTCAGCTCACTGCAGCCTCTGCCTCCCAGGTTCAAGCAATTCTCCTGCCTCAGCCCCCCAAGTAGCTGGGACTACAGACATGCACCACCACACCTGGCTAATTTCTGTATTTTTAGTAGAGATGGGGTTTCACCATGTTGGCCAGGCTTGTCTTGAACTCCTGACCTCAAATGATCCACCTGCCTCGGCTTCCTAAAGTGCTGGGATTACAGGCGTGCGCCACCGCGCCCGGCCCCATAATGTCCATCTTAGATCATTAATTATCTAAACAAAATGATTCAGATATGTTTCCATAGTAGTGAGAAAAGCTCTAACTGTGGTTTGATTAGAACACTTAGATTCAGCAATAAACATCACAGGCAGACATGACATACTGCACATTCTGAGATGCAGAAGAATTCCAACTTTGAAAGCTATTTTTCAACAACATCTGCTTTGGACAAGGATTGGCTAAAATACAGGATGGTGGGTAGAAGATTCATTTCTTAATATAAGAACAGATCTCAAAATACTTCGATAAAATCTTGATTTAAAAGCTTATACTTATCAGGGAAAGTATGACAATCCAAATTTCATCACTCTCATTCATTCAAAAATACTAAGTACCATGTGCCAGTATCAGAAGCCAATATATAGATTAATATATTGCCCTTGAGAAGCTAATAATCTAATTAGGAAGACATATACATCTGGCTGGTTCCAAAGGACCAGTAAGAGACCACCAGCAGTGAGGAGGATGAAAGTTTTATTTTTTGAGACAGAATCTTGCTCTGTCGCCCCAGTTGGAGTAGAATGGCATGATCATAGCTTGTTGCAGCCTCGACCTCCTGGGCTCAATCGATCCTCCCACCTCAGCTTCCCAAGTAGCTCTGACTACAGGTGGGCACCATCATACCTGGCTTTTTTTTTTTTTTTTTTTTTTTAATTTTTTGTAGAGATGGGTCTTGAACTCTTGGGCTTAAGCGATCCTCCTGCCTCAGCCTCCTGAAGTGTTGGGATTACAGGTGTGAGCCACCATGCCAGGCCTGAAAGTTTGTATATAACATACATGAACATGTCTCACCAAAACCCCCAAGCTCCAAATATTCAAATGAAAATTGTTCATAAATATAAAACATACCCTGGAACTTTGCTATCATATTCAATATCCTGAAGTTTTATTTAGGGTAAAACTTTCCATCCTGAATTCTGTCAACAAGGTTTAGTTACTTTAAAACTCTCATTAAATAGCAGTCTCACCTATAAAGCATATATTCATATAGGTTAAAATATTCTATTGCTAGAAAACCTATGGCTCATGTTTATCTACTGATAAAGCCCAAAAGTCTTGACTTTTCAGAGAATGGCTTTTAGTTCACTGAGGCTTCATAACAGATGCTTTTTCATTTCCTATCATAAAGAGAGACAGTATTTTACTATACAGCTGTCATATTACTGTTACAATCCAGCTAATGGCTACAGCACTTCAGAACAAAACAGTAGCAATTTTACAAAACCAACACATTGTTAATGTTTTTGATCATATAGGAGACAGGTACTGGAGATATCAGTTTGCTATTACCCTTTCTATATCCAGAGTCTCTCCACTTTTACGAACATAAACAAAAGAAAGAAGTCCACATACACGCTACAGCAGACCCTTCATTCTACCTGCATCCAACACTCTTGTCAATTTCATTTCACCTACTATCATCCTTTGAAAGTTTTATGAAGTAGCTGGTCCAACAGATGGGTGGCTAGCCCTGCCCAACACATGACGAAGGAAAAACAGCTCTTAGCAAGCAAGACAAGAAAATATTAAGTATGTCCCTTTCCCTCTCAAGGCTGAGAACACTGAGACTACCTGAGAAGAAAGCAAACAATCTTTTAACCTTTATAAAGAAAAGTTACTGGACTGAGATGATCTGTAAGTAACAAGGTGATTTTAAAAAGGGAGAGAGTTCAAATGCTAAAATCTACCCCTCAAGATAAAACAGGCACTTGCCCACACATAGCAGAGAACTGGAATAGACAGGAAAAATAAATAAATCCAAATTAGTTTAACTGGGAGCTTTTTCATCAAAGACAGATGGGAAACATTCAGATAAGCACACTATCTTGTTTAGAACACAAAGCTCAATAGATCTGTAGGAGGAAAAGGAAAGGCAACCTGAAACACATAGCCTATATGCATAAAAAATGACTCATTATGGTCATATTAGTAAAACCAGAAAGAACAAAATGGTAGTGGTATCTGTCTTCTTTGCCCCTTCCCTGATCATAAGCTTTATTAACCAGATAGCATCTGATCCTGTCTTCAACTGATGTATATCTGTCTTTCAACATACTACCTAAAATGCTCCCCAAGGAAAACAGTGAGACCAATTCTGCCAGAGACAGTATCTGCCAGAACCAAGAAGTCTTATTTTCCTTTGAGTGAAAGCCAGTGGATGGGGAAGAGGTCCCCAAATGCCACTTGTCTGAATCTTTTAAGATATGCTCTGAAACAAGAAAACACTACAGATTACATTTTAGTAGAGATCTAAAAATAGCAAAAGAACATTCCCTATTTTTAGATATCTGACTTCCAAGTGTAAAAACACTAAAAGTAAAAGAAACCACTGAAAACTAACTATATTTTTAAAAGGGTTTTAAAAACTCTGAATTGGAAAACTGTTTTTAGAGATAAAATTTCAAAAATCCTCCCCTGTGTTGACTGACTCTTTGCTCAAACTTACCCATCTCCAAAATTTAGTCCTAATCCTATGTGTTATTAAGGGCATTTCCACAGAACCAAAAGATGGTACAGAAAGGTTATACCACAAACAAGAAAGAACAGCTAAGAAAAAAAATTTAAAGATGCTTTCATAAAAACATAGAGTCTAGACTAGTGATTAAAGACAACAATGTATAAAACAGCAAAGCAATTTAATTGTCTTTCATTTAAAACAGTGCCACAGACAATACAACACTTGATTAAAGAAGACAAAGAGTTTTTTTTCTCAAACAGGTCTCCGCAACTGAATAATCTTAAAACCAGTAACCATCTAATTCAAAGCTGTCAGAATAACTAGAATTTGCAATGAGAGAAAAATTAATAAAAAACTGAAAATGCAGTACATTTCTTCCTCCCCATTTCTGTCCACTCCTAGTACAAATATGACCCATTTTTTTTAAAGAAGCCTGTGGCAAATAAGATTTGTAGGAAATTATTAGCAAGTTAGGAAATTAGGATTTATGTGAATTACCTGACTGTACTGCCATCATTAACATCTCAGGTTCCAGTAGAGTCATGACGGATTCTTCCAGAAACAAAAATCCACAAATATAATGAAGAAAGTCAAAGTCACAGGAGAAAAGCTGTCTTGAAAGCTTTCACAAATTCAATCTGATGCCTTATGCTCAAATCAGACTGTGAGAATATCCCCTTCTCAGTGCAGTTACCAATTTATCCACCCTTCAGGCGAGTCAAGATGACACAGATTTGAATTACTGCCGACAGGAAACCAAAAAGCTCTCCAGTTAAGACATACTAAGTGTGGTTAGAACAGTGAGCAAGCTCCTCCCCTTGCTATTCGTCTCTGGGGGAGGGGAGAGACATATATAAAGAGACTTTCAGAAAACAGATCAACTGCTTTTTTCCTCTCAAGAAGAGAAGATGAGGTTTTGTTCAAAATCCCACTATAAGAGACTGCTGTTAATGCAGTTTAGTGGAACAGATTAAACACAATCCAAACAACTCAAGCTCATGAAAGAAGCAGTCCAATTACTGACCCATTGATGAGAGGTGGGGAAGAAGATTAAACACATATAAACACATATATACAAAATGTAAGCTCCATAAATTTTCTGAAAAAGAATTCCAACGGCTTTTTTATATGTGGTATTTATAGATAACAGGCTAAGGAAGTTGAACATTTAACTACAGAAGCTCAACTATTTCTCCACCCCCACTCCAATTAAAATATCTGTTTCAAAAAGTCATCTGAATACATTCCAGAGCTGTAATCTGTCTTTCAGATCTGTCAGTCCCCTAAAAGAGCCTCTTACTTGTGCCTATATTAGACATACGGTCTGTGAATAGACAGTATACTGATGTTATTTGATTTCATTTACTTTTTTTGTATGTTTGAGACAGGGTCTCACTCCGTTGCCCAGACTGGAATGCAGTGGTGCAAATGTGGCTTACTGCAACCTCGACCTTCCAGGCTCAAGTGCTCCTCCCACCTCAGCCTCCTGAGTAGCTGGTCTCAAACTCCTAGGCTCAAGCGATCTGCCCACCTTAGCCTCACAAAGTGCTGGGATTACAGGCATGAGCCACTGCTCCCCACAGCACCTTTCATTAACTGATATTCATAACAATGATATTAAGATTACTTTCAGTCTATCTGACTGAATTTTTTAAAGTTGGAAACTAAGAATCCATGTTTGGTGTGTTTATCTAGAATTCTTCAATCTTTCTCGTTAACTATCAGCCTGTATGTGAAAGCTGGCTGCTGCCAATAGCCCAGCGAATACCTTAATGCTTACATAGTAAACAAATGGTAAATAAAAGCAGTAGGAGACCTTAAGAGAGAAAATAGTCTCAGAATGACTGAAGGCAATATTTTGTTATTAGTAAAGAGAAGCAATGCAAATTTGGGGTGAGGGAGACTCAGTACAAGAGAGAAAAACTTCCTTCCTTTCTCACTCCAAGAACATCATGTTTAAAAGAAAAGCCAGAAAAGCTCTATATAGAACTGTGGGAATGACTCAACAGGCAATGAGTAGCAGCCAGTGTGGGCTAAATGCTGCTCTGGGAAAGCAGAAGCATCTCACTGGCCCCTTCTGGCAACCAAATTTTCAAACTGACTTAGGAAAAACGGGTAAATTTCAACTTTGAGTCTACATGACAGTCTGGTCAAAGGTTAGCAACTAAGGGAAAAGCATCCCTAAAAGGTTGAGAAGATTGAGTCATTCCTTGGTCCTTATGTGGGCTGTATAATTTGCTGTGTGAGAGGTTTTTTCTTTTTTTTTTTTTTTTTCTTTTTGAGACTAGGTCTCACTCTGTCCCCCAGACTGAGTACAATGGCATGATCTCAGGTCACTGCAGCCTCAACCTCCCAAGTTCAAGCGATCCTCCTACCTCAGCCTCCCAAGTAGCTGGGACTACAGGCATATGCCACCACACCCAGCTAACTTTTGTATTTTTAGTAAAGATGGGGTTTCACCATGTTGCCCAGGCTGGTCTCGAACTCCTAAGCTCAAGTGATCCCCCTGCCTCAGCTACCCAAAGTGTTGGGATTACAGGCCTGAACCACCACACCTGGTCTTTGTTAAATTTACTTTGTCTCTCTAGTAATGAGGGTTTTCAAATGAAACAAGTTTTCACAGTTCGGTATTTACAGGAAAATAAATATAAACTTTAAGATTCCTGCACAGAAGATGGTAGGAAGGGCAGAGGGCTGGCTGTCTCCCTCCTGCCAAAACTGTTCGCCATAGAAGAGAGCATGTAATGCCACAGTGTCAATACTCCAGCACCACAGGAGATATTGAGAGTCATGTGATAGGAATAACAAATAAACATAACATCTCAGTTGATTTGACTTTTTCTTAGCAATTCCACACCCACTATCTCACTGGCACTTTGAGGTAAAAAGACCTAAATAAAAGAAAAACAATTTTTTAAACAGTAATCTTTAAAAAATTAAACAAGAAGCACTTACTTTCGTAGGCCAAACGGGAGGGTGGGTTGAAACTAGAAGTTAGAGACCAGGTTGGGCAACATGGCAAGACCCCATCTCTACCAAAAAAAAAAAAAAGAAAAAGAAAAAAAGCCAGGTATGGTGATGCCTGTCTGTAGTCCCAGCTACTTGGGAGGTTGAGGCAGGAGGATCACTTGGGCCCAGGAGTTCCAGGCTACAGTGAGCTGTGATCACCCCACTAAACTCCAGCCTGGGCAACAGAGCAAGACCCTGTCTCAATAAATAAATAAATGGGCCGAAGCCGCCGCCGCCCGACCGCCGGGAGGATGGAGTTCAGCGGGCAGCGGAGCTGTCTCAGTCTTTGCCGCGGCGCCGGCGAGCGCCGCCCGGGAGGCAGCGGCTGGAGGAGCGGACGGGCCCCGCGGGGCCCGAGGGCAAGGAGCAGCCGCCTGCCTTGGCCTCCCAAAGTGCCGAGATTGCAGCCTCTGCCCGGCCGCCACCCCGTCTGGGAAGTGAGGAGTGTCTCTGCCTGGCCGCCCATCGTCTGGGATGTGAGGAGCCCCTCTGCCTGGCTGCCCAGTCTGGAAAGTGAGGAGCGTCTCCGCCCGGCCGCCATCCCATCTAGGAAGTGAGGAGCGCCTCTTCCCAGCCGCCATCACATCTAGGAAGTGAGGAGCGTCTCTGCCCGGCCGCCCATCGTCTGAGATGTGGGGAGCGCCTCTGCCCCGCCGCCCCATCTGGGATGTGAGGAGCGCCTCTGCCCGGCCGAGACCCCGTCTGGGAGGTGAGGAGCGTCTCTGCCCGGCCGCCCCGTCTGAGAAGTGAGGAGACCCTCTGCCTGGCAACCACCCCGTCTGAGAAGTGAGGAGCCCCTCCGCCCGGCAGCCGCCCCGTCTGAGAAGTGAGGAGCCTCTCCACCCGGCAGCCACCCCATCTGGGAAGTGAGGAGCGTCTCCGCCCGGCAGCCACCCCGTCCGGGAGGGAGGTGGGGGGGGGTCAGCCCCCCCGCCCGGCCAGCCGCCCCGTCCGGGAGGAGGTGGGGGGTCAGTCCCCCGCCTGGCCAGCCGTGCCGTCCGGGAGGGAGGTGGGGGGGTCAGCCCCCCGCCCGGCCAGCCGCCACGTCCGGGAGGTGAGGGGCGCCTCTGCCCGGCCGCCCCTACTGGGAAGTGAGGAGCCCCTCAGCCCGGCCAGCCACCCCGTCCGGGAGGGAGGTGGGGGGGTCAGCCCTCCGCCCGGCCAGCCGCCCCGTCTGGGAGGTGAGGGGCGCCTCTGCCCGGCCGCCCCTACTGGGAAGTGAGGAGCCCCTCTGCCCGGCCAGCCGCCCCGTCCGGGAGGGAGGTGGGGGGGTCAGCCCCCCGCCCGGCCAGCCGCCCTGTCCGGGAGGGAGGTGGGGGGGTCAGCCCTCCGCTGGGCCAGCCGCCCCGTCTGGGAGGTGAGGGGCGCCTCTGCCCGGCCGCCCCTACTGGGAAGTGAGGAGCCCCTCTGCCCGGCCAGCCGCCCCGTCCGGGAGGGAGGTGGGGGGGTCAGCCCCCCGCCCGGCCAGCCGCCCTGTCCGGGAGGGAGGTGGGGGGGTCAGCCCTCCGCTGGGCCAGCCGCCCCGTCTGGGAGGTGAGGGGCGCCTCTGCCCGGCCGCCCCTACTGGGAAGTGAGGAGCCCCTCAGCCCGGCCAGCCACCCCGTCCGGGAGGGAGATGGGGGGGTCAGCCCCCCCACCCGGCCAGTCACCCCGTCCGGGAGGGAGGTGGGGGGGTCAGCCCCCCGCCTGGCCAGCCGCCCCGTCCGGGAGGGAGGTGGGGGGGTCAGCCCTCCGCCCGGCCAGCCGCCCCGTCTGGGAGGTGAGGGGCGCCTCTGCCCGGCCGCCCCTACTGGGAAGTGAGGAGCCCCTCTGCCCGGCCAGCCGCCCCGTCCGGGAGGGAGGTGGGGGGGTCAGCCCCCCGCCCGGCCAGCCGCCCCGTCCGGGAGGTGAGGGGCGCCTCTGCCCGGCCGCCCCTACTGGGAAGTGAGGAGCCCCTCTGCCCGGCCACCACCCCGTCTGGGAGGTGTGCCCAACAGCTCATTGAGAACGGGCCAGGATGACAATGGCGGCTTTGTGGAATAGAAAGGCGGGAAAGGTGGGGAAAAGATTGAGAAATCGGATGGTTGCCGTGTCTGTGTAGAAAGAAGTAGACATGGGAGACTTTTCATTTTGTTCTGCACTAAGAAAAATTCCTCTGCCTTGGGATCCTGCTGATCTGTGACCTTACCCCCAACCCTGTGCTCTCTGAAACATGTGCTGTGTCCACTCAGGGTTAAATGGATTAAGGGCGGTGCAAGATGTGCTTTGTTAAACAGATGCTTGAAGGCAGCATGCTCGTTAAGAGTCATCACCAATCCCTAATCTCAAGCAATCAGGGACACAAACACTGCAGAAGGCCGCAGGGTCCTCTGCCTAGGAAAACCAGAGACCTTTGTTCACTTGTTTATCTGCTGACCTTCCCTCCACTATTGTCCCATGACCCTGCCAAATCCCCCTCTGTGAGAAACACCCAAGAATTATCAATAAAAAAATAAATTAAAAAAAAAATTAAACAAGAAGCAATGTAATCTTTCCCAATTGCTAAGATTTTGCATTTACTCTCAAGAGTATTAGCACAGCAACATTCATTGTGAAAACAGACTTTAAAATAAATTTCACAATTCTAAAAGTCTGAACCCCTGTGAAAGCTTCAGTTCCATTATTTTTTGTGCAAATTAGTAACACTTCATAGAAAAAGAACTAAAGTAAACTTTAACAAGGGCTCTGCACAAATGAAGATGACTTCAAGTTAATAGCACTAAGGAAATGAGAGATAATGATCTTAATTTCCAATAGAACAAAAGGTTTGCTTCTAATCCTAACTAGCTAATCAACACAAATTTGATATGATCTACAGTCTCTATTAATTCACTCTAAAGGGACATTATACTGCAGGATACACAGCCTTTTGTTTTTTTTTTTTTTTTTTTTTTGAGACAAAGTCTCACTCTGCCACTCAGGCTAAAATGCAGTGGCACAATCTCGGCTCACTGCAACCTCCGCCTCCCAGGTTCAAGTGATTCTCATACCTCAGCCTCCCAAGTAGCTGGGATTACAGTCGCCCACCACCACACCTGGCTAATTTTTATATATATTTTTAGTTGAGATGGGGTTTCACCATGTTGGCCCAGGCTGGTCTTGAACTCCTGGCCTCAAGTGATCCACCAGCCTTGGCCTCCCAACGTGTTGGGAATCCAGGCATAAGCCACCGCACCCAGCCTAGTTTTAAGTTGTTTAACAGTTTTGGCAGTTATTAACAATTTTTTTTTTTTTTTTTTGAGACAGAATCTTGCTCTGTCGCCCAGGCTGGAGTGCAGTGGCACAATCTCAGCTCACTGCAACCTCCACCTCCTGGGTTCAAGCGATTCTCCTGCCTTAGCCTCCCAAGTAGCTGGACTACGGGCGCCCACCACCATGCCCGGCTAATTTTTGTGTTTTTTGTTTGAGACAGTCTTTCTCTGTAGCCAGGCTGGAGTGCAGTGGCACGATCTCGGCTCACTGCAACCTCCGCCTCCCGGGTTCAAGCGATTCTCCTGCCTCAGCCTCCCGAGTAGCTGGGATTACAGGCACACACCACCACGCCTGGCTAATTTTTGTATTTTTAATAAAGACAGGGTTTTCACCATGTTGGCCAGGATGGTCTCGATCTCTTGACCTCGTGATCCGCCTGCCTCGGCCTCCCAAAGTGCTGGGATTACAGGCACGAGCCACCGCGCCCAGCCGACGACAACTATTTTCTTAACGTAACTATAATATTTTCACACTTAAATTTTATAAATTCCTTAATATCAGTTAAACAATCGGTGTTCAAATTTTCACGGTTATCTTTTTTTTTTTTTTTTTTTTCCCAGACAGGGTCTCACTCTGTTGCCCAGACAAGAGTACAGTGGAGTGATCTCAGCTCACTGCAGCCTCGACCTCCCAGGCTCAAACGATCCCCCCATCTCAGCCTCCCAAGTAGCTGGGACTGCAGGTACATGCCACCATACTCAGCTAATATTTAAAATTTCTGTAGAGATGGGGGTTGTCATCATGTTGCCCAGGCTGCTCTTGAAATCCTGGGCTCAGGCAATCCTCCCGCCTCAGCCTCCCAAAGTGGTAGGATTACAGATGTAAGCCACCACACCCAGCCCAGGTTAAAGTTTTTGAAAGGAGTATTTCACAGGTGGTAGTGTGTACTTGAGCACTGTGCTCCTCCTCTTCGGCCTTGTTTCTACTAAAAACCATCCTTGTTACCAACTGATTGTTATTTCTCTTTGAAAATTCAGTTTAAGGTGCTGCCTTCTCCATAAAGCCTTCTCTGATCCCTGGCACTCTCCCCACCTTTCTCACAGCCTCCATGGATATGCTAACTACCCCTCCTTTAGGCTCCCCCAGCACCTGTGCCTGCCTCCATTATTGTTCTTTACCACGTGGCTTAATTCTAGCCAGGCAGCGCGGTGGCTCAAACCTGTAATTCCAGCACTTTGAGAGGCTGAGGTGGGTGGATCAGGGGTTCGAGACCAACCTGACCAACATGGTGAAACCCCATCCCTACTATAAATACAAAAATTAGCCAGGCATGGTGGCATATGCCTGTAATCCCAGCTACTTGGGAGGCTGAGGCAGAATTGCTTGAATGCGTGAGGTTAAGGTTGCAGTGAGCTGAGATGGTGCCACTACACTCCAGCCTGGGTGACAGAGTGAGACTCTGTCTCAAAAAAAAAAAAAAAAAAAACCAAAAACATACAAACAAAAAATTCCTCTGCATTCTCAAATCTTGCTCAGTGTCTGACATACATGACAGCATTCATAAATGTGTGCCAAGTGGAATGAAAAGCCCTTATTTATCACAGAAATTCAAATGGCATAGGAAAAGTTCATAACAAAAAAAAATAATTACCTACCCAGAAAGGGCAGGTGCTCTGCTAAAATTTTCATTAGAACACATACTGAAGGTGTTATTAGAAAACTACATAAAGTATTGAAGTATGGAGTTAACATAAACAAAGACATTCACAATAATACCCTCAGGAATATTAAGTCAATGAGAACGAAAATGCTGAAATTATAGGGAATGAATAAGAGAAATCAGAAAAACAGAGAACCTTGGCTCACCTACAGGATAATCTTTAACCATAGAAAGCTGTCAATTTCACTAATATCAATTTCCATAATAAAATGTAACTTACACATGTATACACAAAAGCAACAAATGTATTTTTATGAACTCTGTGGGATTTCAGAGCACAGAAATGTAATCCAGTTTCTGTGCCCATTTCTGATTTGAGTTCTCACAAGTGTACGCATGAGTTTATTGAGGCTCAGCTGTACAAAAAATCTAGTCATCATACCCAAATGTCATGGGCTCCAACCACTTAAGACTTTCCCCTAGACACCTCGTATTGGGCACCACTCAAAAGATAACATAACCCAGCATGCAGGCAAGTTGCTACAGGTCCTGAGGCAGCTTCCATTTCCTGTGACCACAACCTATTGCTGATGAAGTACTGAGTCAAGACCTGTAAACCTGGGAGGATCACACATTACCACAGGTATATTATTCCTTAGACCCAGGATAGCTGATGGCTGTGTGTGTGTGTGTGTATTTTCTGTTTGTTTGTTTTTGAGACAGTCTTGCTCTGTTGCCCAGGCTGGAGTGCAGTGGCGCGGTCTCGGCTCACTGTAATCTCCGCCTCCCGGGTTCAAGCGATTCTCTTGCCTCAACCTCCCAAGTAGCTGGGATTACAGGTGCCTGCCACCACGCCCAGCTAAATTTTTGTATTTTTAGTAGAGACAGGGTTTCACCATGTTGGCCAGGATGGTCTTGAACTCCTGACCTCATAATCAGCCTGCCTCGGCCTCCCAAAGCGCTGGGATTACAGGCGTGAGCCACTGCATCCAGCCTAGGTGATGGCTATATTTTAAGCTCACTTTTTAAAGATTTTTATTTATTTATTTTAAGACAGGGTCTCACTCTGTTGCCCAGGCTGCAGTGCAGTGGCACGATCATGGCTCATTCATACTTTATGTCTGAAATAAAGTACTCATTTCACATCACTTCCTCCCAAACTCCCTCCACTGATATACTGGTACTCTTCCAGTTCCTTTGTGACAATTTTCCCCAATAACCTCTGCCTCCTCCTCCCACCCCCTACCCCTGTCTTCACACACGCTATTACTTCTTTCATTTGTCAAACCACTACTTATGCTTTGGATCTCTGCTTAAATGTCTCTTCCTCAAAGAAGCCTTCCCTACATGAAAACCCTCACTATTAGATCTGTTATTCTGTTATAATATCTTGTGTTTTTGTTTTTTTAAAAAGCAATTACCAAAGTTTGTAACCATGAATTAGCTCATCTAACTCTTTGTTGAGTCTTTTTCTTTCATGGAATTATAGAAGTTCCATGACAATAAGAACTTTATCTGTCTTGTTCATTACTCTCTCTCCAATACTTAGCACACAGTGCTAAGTGCTAAGATCTTAATAATCACAGAATAATTTTTCCAACATTAAAATGGTCAAATTATTTAAGCCAATATTTCCACTTCTAAGGAAATAATCTGAAATGCAAAAAAATTTTAAAAGATATTTATCCAAATATTAATGTAAGTGTGAAAAACAGAAAATGATTCAATTGTCCAACTAAGGAGAAAGTAAATAAATGATGGCACAGAACAGAATGTTATGTACCCCATTAAAAAAGGCTACTTATAAAAATATTTCAGTAATATGAAAAAAGCAGGACACAGAATTGGGTCTGTAGTATTAGCTCAGTTATTTTAAAAACACACATTTGCAAGAACACTAGAGGGATATAAACCATATACTAACAGTGATTTTCTCTGGGAGATGAGATCCATTAGAATTTGGGCTTTTGCTTTTGTTTTGTTTTGTGTTAGAGCAGGAACTCTATCTGGTATCTATTCTCCAGGGGCCTAGCATAACATGTGATGAATAAGTAAGAATGAGAAATTGATTATCTCTAAGTACTGGAATGAAGTAGGTCATGAAATTCTCTAAGTCACATTATAAACAGAATCATTTAATCAATTGACATGCCTAAGATTGGAGGATTTTCAACTGGGCGACCTAATCTAGAAAATCCTTGAAAACCATGCTTTCTGAGGAATATAATTAACAAAACTCTTTCCTTTCCCCAAGAAATACTGTAATTTGGATCAGAAACTGCCCACTCAAAATTTTTACTTCTCCCAGCAATTAATTAGAACCTCTTGTGCAACATTGTGGCATGAAAGGATACAGTTCGTACCCTTACAGAAAAAAATACATGATCTGTCCTTTATTCCACAGGCTGCACATGTGAAAACAAACTGGTACTTCTTAAATCTTACATAAAGGAGGAGAAAAACCACTGTGAAAGAGGAAAGGCCCTTTTCACTCCCATTTTCCTGCTTACTTTTCTTTACATAGCTCTTCCAATCCTATCCAGCACCTCAGATTACAGACACACATAGAACTGCACCTTTACATCTCTCAGAACAATATCTGAGATCAACAACAACATTTAGAAAATAAAATTTTTGTAAAAGGCAACATTTACAATCTCATTAAAACACACAAAGTGTCTAAAAACAAATCTAACTAAAGATGTGTAAGATCATCACAGAGAAAAATTTTAAAAACCCATTGGGAGGCCTTACAAAAGATCTAAATAAATGTGGAAAATATGTATTTACAGTATAATATTATAAAAATATCAGTTCTTCCTAAGTTGGTTCATAGATGCAATGCAATTCCAATCAAAATCCTGAGTAATTTTATATGGAAATGCAAATGACCAAGAACAGACAAGAATGAAACTCTTGAACAAGAACAAGGTGGGAGGACTTACTTCTCCCATACAACAGGGCTTATTACAGTTATCGTAATTAAAACTGTGAGGGCAGGAATACACAAATAGCCCAATGGAACCAAATAGCAAGCTCAGAAACATACCCACATAGCTAAGTCCTTGATATATGAAAGACGTAGCTCTGTTGATTAGTGGGGAAAGAAGAGTATTTTCAATAAACGGAATCCACTTGAAAAAAAATTAACTTGTGTCTTACCTTATTCCCATATGAAAAATTATTTCCAGAAACACAAGACACAAAACTCATAAACTATAAAAGACTCATATAAATTACATTAAATTTAGAAATTCTTTTTGTGTTTTGTTTGTTTGTTTTGAGATGGGGTCTTGCTCTGTCACCCAGGCTAGAGTACAGTGGCATGATTATAGTTCATTGTAACCTTGAACTCCTGGGCTCAAGTGATCCTTCTGCCTCAGCCTCCTGAGTAGGTGGGACTACAGGCATGAGCCACCATGCCCAGCTCATTTTTTTGAGAGAGGGGGTCTTGCTATGTTGCCTAGGTTGGTCTTGAACTCCTGGCCTCAAGCCATCCTCCCGCCTTGGCCTCCCCAAGCACTGGGATTATAGGCATGAGACACTACACCCAGCTAAATTTAGAGATTCTTAATCAAAAGACAGGATAAAGAGAAAGAAAAAGACAAACCCCAAAGTGGGAGAAGATGTCTGCAATACACTTAAGCAACAACAAACTAGTATTCCGGATATTTAAAGAACTCTTATTAAAGAAAAAAACCAATACAATAGAAAGAGTAGGCAAAAGACTTAACTTGCCACTTCACAAAAGAGGAAATACAGGCCAGGGCCAGCATGGGCTACATAGCAAGACTCTGTCTATACAAAATATAAAAACTGAGCCAGGCATGGTGGCACACTCCTGTAGTCCCAACTACTCAGGAGGGTGAGGCAGGAGGAATATTTGAGCCCAGGAGATTGAGGCCGCAGTGAGCACTATCCTCCAGCCTAGGCAACAGAGCATGACACTGTCTTGAAAAATAAATAAATAAATAAATAAATAAAATAAATATATATATATACACATAAAATAACGGAAAGTGATTTCTTTTACCAATTTTATATATATACATAAAATCATTGGTATATATATAAAATAACTGGTATATATAATTAGTAAAAGAAATCACTTTCCATTATGATATACTGATTCAATGGATGCCAGAACTCCTTGAGCTGAAGCCTAAGGGCTTAGTTCATTAGACAGATGTTTCCAGGCTTCTCCAAGCCCTGGCTAGATAGGATCCACAAGCAGATCAACTTTATCTTTTAGACCTAAGTTCTCAGCCTAGAAGACAGAGGAGTAATATTTTAAAATATACCTTGAAAGTTTTTATCAACGTTTTACAATTAGGCCAGTAAAGATTGGGTTAGCCAAAGGCACCTCCTCTCTTTAAGGCTCCAAGTTCTGTTTAGGAAATGAAGGTGTCGGGACCTTGACTGCCTACTGCCCCACAGGTACCTCTGCTAACCCACTGAATTCCTTTTTTTTTTTTTTGAGATGAAGTCTTGCTCTTGTTCCCCAGGCTGGAGTGCAGTGGCGCTATCTCCCGGCTCACTGCAACCTCCGCCTCCTGGGTTCAAGCAATTCTCCCGCCTCAGCCTCCCAAGGAGCTGGGATTACAGGCGCCTGCCACCACGCCCGGCTAATCTTTGTATTTTTATTAGAGACGGGGTTTCACCATGTTGGCCAGGCTGGTCTCAAACTCCTGACCTCAGGCGATCCACCCACCTCGGCCTCCCAAAGTGCTGGGATTACAGGCGTGAGCCACCACGCCCGGCCATTTTTTTCTTTTTTTTTGACATGGAGTCTTGCTCTTGTCACCCAGGCTGGAGTGTAGTGGTGTGATCTCAGCTCACTGCAACCTCCCTCTCCCCAGTTCAAGCGATTCTCCTGCCTCAGCCTCCCAAGTAGCTGGGATTACAGGCACCCGCCATCACGCCCAGCTAATTTTTTAGTAGAGGAGGGGTTTCACCATGTTGGCCAGGCTGGTCTTGAGCTCCTGACCTCAAGTGTTCCACCCACCTCGGCCTCCCAAAGTGCTGGGATTACAGGCGTGAGCCGCCGTACCCGGCCACCACTGAATTTCTATATGATACATGCTTCTATGTGAAACAGATCAAAGAAGTACATTTCTCACTCCACTCTCTCAACACACGGTACACCCATTCATGAAAAAGCACCTCCTCTAACTCTAGAATTTATTCTGTTCTAGAACTCCACACTTTCCAATTTCACAATCTTCTCAAAGATTTTTCATTTCTGCTCCTATCATTACCTCCCAAACAAATGACCATGCAAAAACCTACTGTAAAATACAACAATCTTCTTACCAGCCTCTTTCCTCCAGAGCTGAATGCTGGAGAGTAACAAAATTTAAGAGGTAGGCAGAGAAAGATAGCAAAAGCTCTGAATGGCAAAGGGAGTCGCTGGAAAGGTAGAGTTTAAAAAGCCGGAAAAAGGTAAGTCGTAGATATCCGTGGAGGAAAAGTTTCAAGTCTGAGGGAGAAGCCAACCATGTCAAATGATGCAAAGAGGTCAAGTAGCATAAAGACTAAAGAGGGCTTATTTGATCTGCAACAAAAAGAACACAAATTACTGTGGCAATGGCAGTTTCTGAAGACAGGTAGTGACAGAAGCCATAAAGCAGTTGAGTCTCTGGGATATGAGAAAGTAGAGAAAGCAATGACTGTAAACTATTCTTTCAGGAGCTTAAACACTAAGGGAAAGTTAGAGTTGCTGGGAAAGATTTCAGTTAATTTATATGCTAAGTGGAAACACTTCAGAGAAAAAGGCCGAAGATACACAAACACCTTGGGTCCAACAGCAACAGCTGCCTTCTACTCCACTGAGAAAACAGAGTTCTTACCTGTAGTGGAACAAACATGTAAACCATTCATTGATTCATTCAATAAATATTTATTGCCAGGCGCGGTGGATCACGCCTGTAATCCCAGCACTTTGGGAGGCCGAGGCGGGAGGATCACAAGGTCAGGAGATCGAGACCATCCTGGCTAACACGGTGAAACCCTGTTTTTACTAAAAATACAAAAAATTAGCCTGGCGTGGTGGTAGGCACCTGTAGTCCCAGCTACTCGGGAGGCTGAGGCAGGAGAATGGTGTGAACCCAGGAGGCGGAGCTTGCAGTGAGCCGAGACTGTGCCACTGCACTCCAGCCTGGGCGACAGAGTGAGACTCCATCTCAAAAAATATATATAAAATAAAATAAAATAAATAAATATTTATTGAGTGCCTATTATGATCCAGGAGTTGGGTATATGCCAGTGAACAAAATAAAGTTTCTGCCCTCAGGAAATAACTATTAAAGAGGAGAAAATAGACAATAAACACAAACACACACATATACACACACACACAATGACAGATAATAATAAGGGCTTTGAAGAAAAAGCAGGATCAAGAGTAACAGGAGGTGCTATTTTAGAGAAGACAAGCAGGGAAGGCCTCCCTGAGGAAATGACATTTGTGCAGGAACTTCAATGAAAGCACAGCAAGTACAAGGCCCTGGGATAGGAATAGGTTTGATGTGTTCAAGAAATAGCAAGAAGTCAGTGTGCCTGGGAGCTAAGGGATAAGGGTAAGAAATGATGTGAGAGAGAGGCTGGGCATGGTGGCTCACGTCTGTAATCTCAGCATTTTGGAGGACAAGGTGGACGAATAACTTGAGGTTAGGAGTTCAAGACCAGCCTGGCCAATATGGTGAAACCCCATCTCTAATAAAAATAATTTAAAAATCAGTCTGGCGTGGTGGCGTACGCCTGTAATCCCAGCTACTCGGTAGCTCAGGAATGAGAATCACTTGAACCCTGGAGGCAGAGGTTGCCGTGAGCTGAGATCATACCACTGCATTCCAGCCTGGGTGACAGGGCGAGACTGTCTCCCAAAAAAAAAAAAAAAAAAGAAAAAGAAATGATGTCAGAGAGAATACCAAGGCCACATCATAAGTACTATGATTTCATCATAAGCCTCACAGGAAAGCATTGAAGAGTTTTGAGAGTAGCGTAGCAGTGTCTGATTTCAGTTTTCAAAGGCTCACTCATTGCTGAGTAAAGAATTCCAATTACAATATAGGGTGATGAAGTAGGTTGATAAAGGGCAACAGGGCACAGTGGCTCATGCCTGTAATCTCAGCACTGTGGGAGGCTGAGGCCAGGGGCAGAGGGGATCACTTGAAGTCAGGAGTTCGAGACCTGCCTGGCCAACATGGTGAAATCCCGTCTCTACTAAAAATACAAAAATTATCCGGGCATGGTGGCGCATGTCTGTAATCCCAGCTACTCAGGAGGCTGAGGCACAAGAATCACTTGAACCAGGGAGGCAGAGCTTGCCGTGAGCCGAGATCACGCCACAGAACTCCAGCCTGGGTGACAGAGCAAGACTCCGTCTCAAAAAAAAAAAAAAAAAAAAAATTGGGAACTGGGAAAACCAAAAGAGGGGCATCTAACACTAAATATGAGTTAGGAAAGGCTTCAAGAAGAGTGAGAGAGAGAAAGCGTATCCCAAATGGAGGACACAGACGTAGAAAAGAAATAGGGGTTTTGAAAAGCCTTGACATTTATTTACACCAGCATGGGACAGAAAATATTGTATAAAAATATACCATTTAAGGCCGGGCCTGGTGGCTCACATCTGTAATCCCAGCACTTTGGGAGGCCAAGGCGGGCGGATCACAAGGTCAAGAGATCATCAAGACACCATCCTGGCCAACATGGTGAAACCCCATCTCTACTAAAAATACAAAAATTACCTGGGCGTGGTGTTGCGCACCTGTAGTCCCAGCTACTCAGGAGGCTGAGGCAGGAGAATTACTTGAACCTGGGAGGCGGAGGTTGCAGTGAGTCAAGATCGCGCCACTGCACTCCAGCCTGGCAACAGAGTGAGACTCTGTCTCAAAAATATATATATACCACTTACATCTACAAAAAAAAAAAAAATTATATCCAGGAACAAAACTAATATTTGTATGACTTTTCTGGACACATTCACAAAACTCTGTAAGACATTAAAGAAAACCTATTTAATTGAAGAGATAAAACAAAGTAATGGATAGGAAGACTCAATATTTAAAAATGTGTATTTTCCCACCCACTGTTTCTGTTTGTTTTTTTTAAGAGACAGGGTCTCGCTATGTCTCCCAGGCTGGAGTGTAGTGGTGCAATCATAGCTCACTATAATCTCAAACTCCTGGGCTCAGGCAATCCTCAAATGTCAGTCTCCCAACATGCTGGGATTACATTCTCCCCACTTACCTATAAACAACATATTTCAAATAAAAATCCCAGCGAGTATACCAAAAGACACATACAAGAATTCCATAGCAGCATAATTCATAATAGCCCCAAAGTGAAACAACCTAAACATCCAGGAACAGTAAAATGGAAAAATAAATTGCATTTTATTCATACAATGAACTGATTATACAGCAATGAAAATAAACTCTAGCACACACAATTCAACATAAACAAATTTCAAAAACAAAAAGAAACCACCAACAGAATACACACTGTATGACTCCATTTTTATAAGGTTTAAAAACTAACCACAGTGTTGAAAATCAGGATGGTAGTTTCCTTTGAGCAAGGGGAAGGGAGTATTGATTGGGAAGAAGCACAAGGTGGGGAAAGTTCTGGACTACTAGTATTTCCTCACTAAGCAGTAGTTACTAACAGGTGTACTCACTTTGTGATAATAACAACACTTATAAGTTGTGGGTTATTTTGTATTTATGTTATACTTCCATAACAGGAGTACTAGTGTCTGCAATTTACTTCAAGATACATCAAAAAAATTAGATTGAGGGCTAGGTGTGGTGGCTCACGCCTATAATCCCAGCACTTTGGGGGGCCAAGGAGGGCAGATCACCTGAGGCCAGGAGTTTGAGATCAGCCTGGTCAACATGGTGAAACCCTGTCACTAAAAATACAAAAATTAGCCATTCATGGTGGCACATGCCTGTAATCCCAGCTACTCGGGTGGCTGAGGCAAGAGAATTGCTTGAACCCGGGAGACGGAGGCTGCAGTGAGCCAAGGTCGCATCACTGCACTCCAGCCTGGGCAACAGAGTGAGACTCTGTTGCAAAAAAAAAAAAAAAAAAAATTAAATTTAAAGATGAGATTGATAGATATCTGTGTTATAAAGCAAGTTTTATAAAATGTTACAGGTAGAATCTAAGAGATGGGCACGCAGGTATTCACTGTAAAGTTCTTCCTACTTCTTTTTTTTTTTCTTTCTACTTTACGTTTAAATTTTTTCATAATAAAATGTTGGAGGTAAAAATCCCAAAGGGTTTTTTTGTTGGCAGAACTTGGTAAGGCAATTCTAAAATCATGGAAAATTAAAAGGGTAATAGCCAAGACAACTTTGAAAAAGAAAAAGGTAAGGAGATACGTGTCCTAACAGACAGAAAGACTAATTATTAGGCAATAACTAAAATAAGGTAGTACTGACACAGAGATGGACAGAGAGACCAGTCAAAGAAAAGAGAGCCTAAAAACTAACTCATGCACAGACAGAATACAGCAGGCATTAAAGATCAGTAGGAAAAAGTAGAACTATTCACTAAGTGGGGATTAACAGCTTGAATTAGAAGAAAATACAGAATATCTTTAACTTACAAGGAAAATGAATACTGAACAACAAATTACTGAAGAACACATAATTTTCTCTCATATATAGGTTTAAAACATGAGAAACAACATTATATATTGCTTAAGAATATATTCACATGGGTAAATAATACAGACATATTTGGCAATGAAATACCAAATTCAAGTTAGTAGTTTCCTCCAGGGGTAATGAAGATTTACGCAAAGTACATAAGTTGGGTGGTATTTGAACACACAATTTTCTATATTGTTCTTTATCCATTTTTTCTTTTTTCTTTTTTTTTTTTTTTTGAGACGGAATTTTGCTCTTGTTGCCCAGGCTGGAGTGCAGTGGCGCGATCTCGGCTCACCGCAACCTCTGCCTCCCAGGTTCAAGCAGTTCTCCTGCCTCAGCCTCCCTAGTAGCTGGGATTACAAGCATGTGCCACCATGCCTGGCTAATTTTGTATCTTTAGTAAAGACGGGGTTTCTCCATGCTGGTCAGGCTGGTCTCGAACTCCCGACCTCAGGGATCCGCCCGCCTCGGCCTCCCAAAGGCATGAGTCACCGTGCCCAGCCTCTTTATACATTTTCTCAAATCTTAAATATTCCATAACAAATTATAGATTTTTTTAATTAAAAAAAGGTTGAGGTATGAGTACATGGTTTTTAAACAGTACTTAACACAGTTTAATGGGCTGGAACAAATACTAGGAATAGGGGAATAAGAGAAGATGTTAAAAGAAAGAGACCAGATTCTGCAAAGCCTTATAAAACATGCCAAGAAATTTATTCACTTATTTATTATTTGTTTGTTTGTTTGTTTATTTGAGATAGAGTCTCATTCTGTCGTCCAGGCTGGAGAGCTGTGGCACAATCTCGGTTCACTGCAACCTCCGCCTCCTAGTTCAATCGATCCTCCCACCTCAGACTCCCCAGTAGCTGGGTCTACAAGTGTGTGCCACCAAGCCCAGCTAATTTTTGTAGTTTTAGCACAGACAGGGTTTCACCATGTTGGCCAGGCTGGTCTCTTAACTCCTGACCTGAGGTGATCTGTGCACCTCGGCCTACCAAAGTGCTGGAATTACAGGCCTAAGTCACTACACCCGGCAAGACATTTATTTGGTTTTTGTTTCATCCCACAAGGCAATCACTGAAAACTTTTAAGCTAGGAAGTCCTAAAAGATTACTCTGACAAGGCTATACGATAGAGTATGTTTCCTAATGACAGAGGCTTGTTTACCATTTAATCCCTAATTTTAGCATAGTTTATAATACATTGATATTAATGAATATATATGCTGAATTAATGAATTTATGGAAGGAATAGGGTGAGGGAAGCAGAGAAATTAGAAAGAAATTATAATAATCCAGGCAGGAAATGTTGGACTTACAATGATCACTTTAACTTACAGCTATCTATTTTACAAGAAATGTTAAGATTATTAGGAACTTTCACGGAACATCAAATAAAGTAAGAATCTGTAACATTATAAACATGAAGATCCTGGTTCAAATCAGGGAATGCAATAATTCTGTATCTACTCACCATTCTTCCGCTCACTAAGTGGAGGCAAATTGGGATTCCTGCCAGGGTGGAGGCCTAGGGTCAGCTCGGGCTGCAAGGAGAGCTCCTGCAGTTCATTGGCAACAGCTTCACTCTGGGGACTGGGTGCCGCAGATAAGGACACGAGCACTGGTTCATCATCATTTTCGCCGGCCCCTCCTCCGTCCAGCCCATTCACAGCAATGACGGAAGGGGGCAGGCACACCACACTGGAGAAATCCACTTTGGCTTTCGTGATGGCAATCTGGAAATGGAAGAAAAAATGGAAAGTTTAGATGGTACCATGATAATATGGTTTGGTGGTGTCCTCACCCAAATCTCATCTTGAATTGTAGTTCCCATAACTCACACATATCATGGGAGGGACTTGGTGGCAGGTAACTGAATCACAGGGGTGGTTACCTCCGTGCTATTCTCATGAGTTCTCACAAGATCTGATGGTTTTATAAGGGGCTTTTCCTCTTTTGCTCTGCACTTCTCCTTCCTGCCACCATGTGAAGAAGGACATGTTTGCAACTCCTTCCACCATGATTGTAAGTTCCTGAGGCCTCCCCAGCCCTGTGGAACTGTGAATCAATTAAATCTCTTTCCTTTATAAACTACCCAGTCTCAGGCAGTTCTTTATAGCAACGTGAGAACAGACTAATATAGTAAATTGGTACTGATAGAGTGGGATGCTGCTATAAGGATACCCAAAAATGTGGAAGCAACTTTGAAAATGGGTAACAGGCAGAGGTTGGAACAGTTTAGAGGGCTAAGAAGAAGACAGGAAACTGTGGTAAAGTTTGGAACTTCCTAGAGACCTGTTGAATGCCTTTGACCAAAATGCTGATAGTGGTATGGACAATGAAGTACAGGCTGAAATGGTCTCAGATGGAGATGAGGAACTTGTTGGAAACTTATATAAAGGTGATTCTTGCCATGCTTTAGCAAAGAGACTGGTGGCATTTTGCCCCTACTCTAGAGAGATCTGTGGAACTTTGAACTTGAGAGAGATGATTTAGGGTATCTGGCAGAGGACATTTCTAAGCGGCAAAGCATTCAAGAGGAAGCAGAGCATAAAAGTTTAGAAAATCTGCAGCATGATGATGCAATAGAAAACAAAAACTCATTTTCTGGGGAGAAATTCAAGCCACCTGCAGAAATTTGCATAAGTAACAAAGAGCCTAACATTAATCACCAAGACAATGGGGAAAACGTCTCCAGGGCATGTCACAGACCTTCACAGCAGCGCCTCGAAGGCATAGGAGGGAAAAATGGTTTCATGGGCCCAGGGCCTTCCTGCTCTGTGCAGCCTCAGGACATGGTGCCCTGAGTCCCAGCTGCTTCAGCTCCAGTCATGAATAAAAGGAGCCAAGGTATACAGCTCAGGCTGAGGCTTCGAAGCGTGCAAGCCCAAAACCTCAGCAGCCGCCATGTGGTGCTGAGCCTGCAGGTGCACAGAAGTCTGGAATTGAGGTTTGGGAACCTCCACCTAGATTTCAGAGGATGTATGGCAACACCTGGATGTCCACGCAGAAGTTTGCTACAGGGGTACAGCTCTCATGGAGAACCTCTACTAGGGCAGTATGGAAGGCAAATGTGGGGTCGGAGCGCCCACACAGAGTCCTCACTGGAGCACTGCCTAGTAGAGCTGTGAGAAGGCCACCATCCTCCAGACCCCAGAATGGTAGATCCACCTATAGCTTGCACCATACACCTGGAAAAGCTGTAGACACTCAACATCAGCCCATGAAAGCAGCCAGGGGTGAAGCCGTACCCTCCAAAGCCACAGAGGCAGAGCTGCTCAAGGCCGTGGGAGCCCACCTCCTGCATCAACATGACCTGGATGTGAGACATGGAATCAAAGGAGATCATTTCAGAGCCTTAAGATCTGACTGCCCCACTGGATTCTGGACTTGCATGGGGCCTGTAGCCCCTTTGTTTTGGCCAATTTCTCCCCTTTGGAATGGGTGTATTTACCCAATGCCTGTACCCCCCATTGTATCTAGGAAGTAACTAACTTGCTTTCGATTTTACAGGCTCATAGGTGGAAGGGACTTGCCTTATCTCAGATGAGACTCTGGACTTGGACTTCTGGGTTAATACTGGAATGATCTAAGACTTTGGGGGACTATTGGACACACATACTTGTGTTTTGAAATGTGAAGACCTGTGATTTGGGAGGGGCCAGGGGCAGAATGATATGGTTTGGCTGTGTCCCCACCCAAATCTCACCTTGAACTGTAGTTCCCATAATCCCCATGTGTTGTGGGAGGGACCCAGTGGGAGGTAATTGAATAATGGGAGTGGTTACCTCCATGCTGTTCTCATGATAGTGAGTGAGCTCTCACAAGATCTGATGGTTTTATAAGGGGCTTTTCCTCTTTTGCTTGGCACTTCTTCCTGCCACCTTGTGAAGAAGGATGTGTTTGCTTTCCCTGCCATCATGACTGTAAGTTTCCTGAGGCCTCCCGAGCCCTGTGGAACTGTGAGTCAATTAAACCTCTTTCCTTTATAAACTACCCAATCTTGGGCAGTTCTTTATAGCAGCAGTTTGAGAACAGACTAATAGACACGGACAAACTATGCCACTGGAGTATATGCCGATGCTAATATTATAAATTACATCACTGGCAAACTACCATTATTCTTAAAGCTTTTTGTAAAGTAAACTAGCACCCACTGCTCTCCAGACCCCCGAATGGTAGAGCCACCAGCAGCATGCAACCTCAGCGTGGAAAAGCCACAGGGGCAGAGCTGCCCAAGGCTTTGGGAACCCCTCCCTTTATATCAGTGTACCCAGAATGTGGGACATGGAGTCAAGGATTGTTTTGGAGCTTTAAGATTTAATGACTGCCCTGCTGGGTTTCAGACTTGCATGGGGCCTGTAGCCCCTTTCTTTTGGCAAATTTCTCCCTTTTGGAATGTGAATGTTAACTCAATGCCTGTATCCCCATTGTATCTTGGAAGTAAATAACTTGTCTTTGATTTTACAGGCTCATAGGTGGAAGGAACTTATCTCCAGATGAGACTTTGGACCTTTGAATTAATGCTGCAATGAGTTAAGACTTTGGGGGACTACTGAGAAGAAATAATTGTATTTTGAAATGTAAGAAGGACATGAGACTTGAGGGACTAGCGGCAGAATGATATGACTCTGATATTTGTCCCACCCAAATCTCATGTTGAAATGCAATCCCCAGTGTTGGAGGCAGGGCCTGATGGGAGATATTTGAGTCATGGGGGCAGATCCCTCATGGATTGGTGCTGTCCACATGGTAGTGAGTGAGTTCTTCCAATATCTAGTTGTTTAAAAGTGTGTGGCACTGCCCCCCTTCTTTCTCTTGCTCCTGCTCTCACCCTGTGACATGCCTGCACCTGCTTCACCTTCTATCATGTATAAAAGCTCCTTGATGGCACCATCCTTGTACAGGCTTGCAAAACCATGAACCAATTAAACCTCATAAATTAAAAAAAATTTTATATATATATATATATCTCCACTCACTGAATCCTATGTAGTTAGTAAGAATAATTTTTTTTTTTTTTGAGGCAGAGTCTCGCTCTGTTGCCCAGCCTGGAGTGCAGTGGCGTGATCTCAGCTCACTGCAAGCTCCACCTCCTGCATTCACGCCATTCTCCTGTCTCAGCCTCCCGAGTAGCTGGGACTACAGGCGCCCACCACCATGCCTGGCTAAATTTTTTTGTATTTTTAGTAGAGACGGGGTTTCACCAATGTTAGCCAGGATGGTCTCGATCTCCTGACCTCAAGATCCACCCACCTCAGCCTCCCAAAGTGCTGGGATTACAGGCGTGAGCCACCATGCCCAGCCCTAAGAATAATTTTTATAAAGCATTTCTAATGTGGGAAATGCTTATTCTAAAGCCACACTTAAGAAAAAGTAAGACATAAAACTACATACTCATATATTAAAATATTATACAAAGAAAAAAGATTTTAAGAAGTATACCAAGACACAAAAGAGGGGTTCTGTTTGATTGGACAATGAAAAAATTTTAAGGTTCCAAATTTTCTCTAAAATACTTACATGGCTTTTATAATAAAAAGACTATAGTTTCTGATCTATGAAGTGAGATTCCCTGGGCATTCCTTGCAAACTTTTATGAGGACTTTAATCTAACTTGCTTTAGTTGAAGAAACCAACAAAATATTGAACAGCCATGAAGTGAAGAAAGGCACTAGAAACTAAAAAGACAATTATGATCTAACTTCAAGTAAAGCAATAGTGTGCCCAAACCTGACTGTAGTTCTGGCTGATACATTTCACAGAAAATAAACTGGACTGGAAAAGATCCAGATAACAGTAATTAACATGAGGGAGATAATATTATGAAGAAAAAAGATACTAAGGACTCTCTACTCCAAAGAGACTGGAAGAAGATATAAGGGAGACAAGTTCAAAAAAAAATTTGAACTCAGTATTAGGAACTCAATATTCTCAAGGGTAATTGAGCATGGGCAAACAATGGGAAAAGGATTTCTTTTAGGGTTTGAATAATTTTATAAATTACAAAACAACAAATGTCTACCAACAAAATTCAGAATCTAAACTTCAAAGAATTCTTTTCCATCTTGTCTATGATTTATTATGGTTTGAACCATGTCTCTGTGTGTACTGGGAAAAAAACAACTGTTACACAGGATTAATCCATCCGGCTGAGTATTCTTTGTCATTGACTCTGAAAGAGCATGTCTGCTTCTTTTAACAGCAGCAGCCTTTCAGACTAAAAAAAAGACTTCAACTTTATGACATTCAAGGACCCCTTGAGAACTAACCTCCTTATTCAAAAGGAAAATAGAATGGTATCAAAACTTCAGCCCTAGGACTTAGGAAAAGTGGTTTCACATAGAGTAACAGGTTTTCAATAAACAGCTGTTAAATCATTATGGATTGTAAGAGTTCAGACCTCTCATAAGAAAATTAAGAAATTTAACTGCAACAATAACTCTGTATGCAGTAGATGGGCCTTGCAAAAGTATTAACACAAAACAAGCATTCTAATAGTTGTTAACTGAACAAAGAGAGAAGCAAATGAAAGATACATAAAGATAATCTAGGGAACCACGACAGACATGTCTTGGGGAAAATTTGGATGACACAAGGAAGACTGCATGAAACATACAGAAACACTAAAAATAATGTTAGGCAGTCAAGGACAGGAAACATCAAGCCTCATACCACTAAAATACTATAGCTAAACAGATGCGCTAGAATCATGGTTTCATATAAAAAGTTCTTAACTTAGCAAAACCCCATTATTTCAGACTTAACTGATATTTCTGATACTATAACTTGGTGTGAGATTAAGTAAAATCTTCTGCTATTTGGCAGGGGCAGGGTAATATAAAAGAGTGCCAGGTGGCCAGGCACAGTGGCTCACTCCTCTAATCCTAGCACTCTGGGAAGCTGAGGTGGGAGGATCGCTAGAGCCCAGGAGTTCCAGATCAGTCTCGGCAACATAGTAAGACCCTGTCTCTTTTTTAAAAAAAATTTTAAATAGTTTTTAAAAATTTTAAAAAGAAGGAAAAAAAGTGGTTAAAAGGTAAGTTTATTATCTAAGAGCTCCCAAGGCAGGAGGAAAGGTGAATTTAATGTTACATATGTTTTTTATCACAATTATTTTTAGATGTCTTGGCAAAAAAAAAATTTCACTAAGTAAACTTATATTACTGAGCTTGAAAGAATCCCAGGCTGGAGTGCAGTGGCAAGTTCTCGGCTCAGTGCAACCTCCACCTCCCGGCCTCAAGCAATCCTCCTGCCTCAGCCTCCCGAGTAACTGGGAATATAGGCATGCGCCACCAGGCCCGGCTAATTTTTGTATTTTTAGTAGAGATGGGGTTTTGCCATGTTGCCCAGGCTGGTCTTAAACTCCTGGACTCAAGTGAGCCACCTGCCTTGGCCTCCCAAAGTGCTGGAATTACAGGCATGAGAGCTCACCGAGTCCAGCCTTTTTCTTTCTTTCTTTTTTTTTTTAAGGGACAGGGTCTCTCTCTGTTGCCCAGGCTAGGGTGCAGTGGCACGATCATAGCTCACTGCAACCTTGAATTCCTGGACTCAAGTGATCCTCCCCCATCAGTCCCACAAGTAGCTAGGACTACAGGCACACCATCATGCCTGGCTTTTTTTTTTTTTTTTTTTTTTTTTTTGCAAGGGGTTGGGGAGATATGAGGTTTTTGCTATGTTGCCCAGGCTGGTCTCAAACTCCTGGCCTAAAGTGATCCTCCTACCTAAACCTTCCAAAGTGCTAGGATTACAGGAATGAGCCACTGTGCCTCGCCAAAACCATATATTCTTTAAAATGAAGTAAATTATTTAATTTACTTATCACTAATTCAGAACAAACTTCTTCCTACTACTTTGAATTATTATTATTGCTGGAATTCAGAGATTTAGCATTTACATGTGTTAATATTCCCAAGAGACAATAAAAATCCATCACATGGTATCAATATTTTTCTAATGAAGCATGAAGTTAACTTCATGAGTTTGTGATGCTCTTATGCATTTAGTGAACATAACCAGTATTTCTAGAAAATGATTTAAAGAAACTTTGTAAAAAACGGCCCCCCAAAAGAAAGCCAACCCAAGTCCAAGTCCAATGCTAAGCATAAAGAGAAAATAAAGTTCTTGGTTTTTTGGTTTTTGTTTTTTTTGGGGGGGTTTTTTGGGTTTTTTTTTTTTTGAGACAGTCTCGCTCCACCACCCAGGCTGCAGTGGCACGATCTTGGCTCACTGCAACCTCTGCCTCCTAGGTTCAAGTGATTCTCATGTCTCAGCCTCCCGAGTAGCTGGGATTACAGGCACGCAACACTACATCTGATTTTTGTGTTTTTAGTAGAGATGGGTTTTCACCATGTTGGCCAGGCTGGTCTCGAACTCCTGACCTCAGGTGATCCACCTGCCCCAGCCTCCCAAAGTGCTAGGATTACAAGTGTGAGCCACTGTGCCCAGCCAAGGAAGTTTTAAAAATAATGTTTCACCCAGGCGCGATGGCTCACACCTGTAATCCCCAGCAGTTGGGGAGGCCAAGGTGGGCAGATTGTTAGAGCCCAGGAGCTCAAGACAATCCTGGGCAACATGGCAAAACCCCGTCTCTACAAAACACACAAAAGTTAGGCATGGTGGTGTGCGTCTGCAGTCTCAGCTACTCCTGAGGCTGAGGTAAGAGGATCACCTCGACCCCAGGGAGGCTGAGGCTGCAGTGAGCTGTGATCATGCCACTGCACTCCAGCCTGGGCAACGAAGTGATACCCATCCCAGGGAGGAAAAAATGGTGTTTCTTAGAACACATACTTTTTTTTTCTTTTTTCAGACAGCATGTTACTCTGCCATCCAAGCTAGAGTGCAATGGAATGATCATAGCTCACTGCAGCCTTAAACTCCTGGGCTCAAGTGATCCTCCCAAGTAGCTAGGACTATAGGTGTGTGCCAACACACCTGACTATTTTTTCACTTTTTTGTAGAGACGAGATCTCACTATGTTGCCCAAGCTGGTCTCGAACTCCTGGCCTCAAGCGATCGCCCTACACTGGCCTCTCAAAATGCTGGGATTACAAGCGTGAGCCACCTTGCCTGACAGAACACATACATTTTTAATAGTTTAAAGAAAGGACTGTTTGATACTATATTACAATGCAAAAAGAAAAGAAAGAAAATAAGAATATCAAATTCTACAGACCTGAACCCCATGGTTGTGCCTACTACTAACCAGAATAAAAGAAATAAGCAATCTGAAAAACTGCTTTAGCAACTGTTCGATTCAGAATAGTTCTGTAATTAAGTTCCATATTTACAGAATTATTAAGGGCTTAAAGAGATCACTTAAAATTTACACATATATCTATACACATACACACACACACACTTTACCAAATATTTTTATTGGGTAAATTATATAGTGCTATTTGTTAATTTAGGGGATTTCAAAAGTTTCAGGATACATCCTTTAAAACACCAATATTAAACTATACTATAGAATAAAATCCTTCCATCAAGGCCATGAGGCAGGGAGTGAGGAAGAACACACAAAACAAGAGGGGCAGAATGTTGATAATGTTGAAGCTGGTTATTAGGTATTTAGAAATTCATTATGCTATTATCTCTACATTTGTATATGTTTGATAACATTCTCCTAGTATTTTTTAAAAAATAAGATTCTTCCACAGAATGATGGGAAGACTCAGTGAGACACAGCAAGGTTTCCTTAACCTTGAGATTAGAAAATAGACCAGAAGTCATATACAAGCACTGACAAAAGACTAATTTGGCATAAAATATACACATTGGATTTATTTCTCTAACAAACACACTACTCTCTATTCATTTTGAAAGAGCCCACAGGATAAAATCTCGTAAACTATGATAATCTAGAGACAAGACCCAAAAATGTTGAGGTATAGCCATCATAATTAAGTCCCCTTTACCAATTCCTGAATACTCCTGTAATTGTATTTACTGTAAAACCTGAATCACTTTTTAGAGTTGTAATTTATAACTCTACTGAGTCTAAGTTCATACTTTCTTTTTTTATCAAAGGATCAGTAACTCCAGTTTCTGGGCTGCTGATTCACATATGATCAACAGCAGCCAGAACAAAAACAGCATGGGGGCAGGGTCATCTCCCACAACCCATCTGTTTCCCTCTTTTGCTGGCCTGATTATGCATCTTTTCTCCACCCTACCCGCTTTAGGGCTGCATGCCTTCTGCCTGTACAGAACAACATACGTACCTAGAAACAACAGCATGAAATGTGTTAGAAGAATGGAAGAACGTAGACAGCTACTGACAACTCTAAAACATGAGCACTAGCACAATTCTTTATCATGACCCATGACAAAAAGGTGGTTCTATGCGACCAAATGGTATGGTTCTTCTGAAAATTTTTTTTAAACAATTGGTAAAAAAACTGTTTTCAATCAATTAATGAACTTTCTTTTAGCTGGACATATTTTTACTTTAATTCTCATTGATTTATTTTCAATGCAGTAAACCTAATCTTGAAAACTCTTACTGTCTCAGCAGGTATGTAGGGGTGGTGGGGGTGGATGTGGGTGGGTATGGGTATCTCTGTGTGTGTGTGTGTCTGTGTGTGTGTGTGTGTGTGTGTAAAATCTGGTATGAAGGAATTCAAATCAACTGAACAAGTGTTTCCTGATAGCTTACTATATATGTACTAGGTACTGCCCTACGTCCTACTGTAGAAGATGAGGAAAACAGCCAGGCATGGTGATGCATGCCTGTAGTCCCAGCTACTCGGGAGGCTGAGGTAGGAGGACTGCTTGAATCTGGGAGATAGAGGTTGCAGTGAGTCAAGACTGTGCCACTGTACTACAGCCTGGATGATGGAGTGAAACTATGTCTAAAAAAAAAAAAAAAAAAGTTACTGTATAGAAGATGAGGAAAACATCAAGTCTTGGCTAATTAACTGCCCTTGCCTCTGTCTCTACCACACCCATTATCTTCAGACACCTTAAAAACTACCAGGCTTTAGAGATGGCAAATAATAGGGCTTCCTATTCCTTCTTCATCTTGGAAATCATCTAAAAACGAGGAGTACAAGCAACAGAAAAATATAACAAAACAATGGAAAGCACATGGAAGAGTAATGTGGCAGATTAAAGATGGTTGCAAATTACCTGACACTTCCTTCCCATTAATGGTGGGGTTTATTTCCTTTGACCTTGAATCTGAGCTGGCCTCTGCCTTGACCAATCGAGAACAGTGAAAGTGATGGTATGCCAGTTCAGGGTCTAGACTTTAAGAGGACTGGCAGCTTCTACTTTGGTCTCTTGGAGCCCTGTGCCCCCATGTAAGAAGTCCAACTACCCTGATGGACAGATCCTAAAAAGAGGTCTCATCAGGTGGATCACGAGGTCAGGAGCTCGAGACCATCCTAGCTAACAAGGTAAAACCTCAACTCTACAAAAAATACAAAAAAATTAGCCGGACGTGGTGGTGGGCACCTGTAGTCCCAGCTACTCAGGAGGCTGAGGCCGGAGAACGGCGTGAACCCGGGAGGCGGAGCTTCCAGTGAGCCGAGATCGTGCCACTGCACTCCAGCCTGGGCGATAGAGCGAGACTCCATCTCAAAAAAAAAAAAAAAAAGAGGTCTCATGACTACACAGAAGGGCAGAGGAATCCAGCTGAGTCCAGCTTTCCAGACATCCCCACACCAAGGTGCCAGGCATATGAACAAAGCCATCCTGGACACCCCAGACAAGCCTAGTCACCTGCTGAATAACACTAAGAGATGACACTTAACACTGTATGGATCCAGGTTAATACCATATGGAGCAGGCAGAATAATCCCTAAGCTAAGCCCTGTCCAAAATCCTCACCCACAAAATTGTGATATGTAATAAATGGCATCAGACTTCTCAACAGCAGAAAAGAAAGAAAGAAAAGAAAAGAAGGGGAAAGAAAAACGGAAGGGAAGGGGAAGGGAAGGGGAAAGGGAAGGGAAAGGGAAGGAGGGGAAGGGGTAAGGGGGGAGGGAGAGGAAGGGGGAAAGGGGGGGAGGAGGGAAGGCAGAAAGGAGGGAAAGGGGGAAGAGGGAAGGGGGAAAGAGGGGAAGAGGGAAGGAGGGGAAGGGGGAAGGGGGAAGGGGGGAAGGGGGAACGGACGGAGGGGGGAATGGAGGGAGGGAGGGAAACATGGGGGTGAATAACAGAAAAAACTTAAGAATCTTAAGTGGTCATCTCAAAGTAGTAAGATGCAGGGTAGACTTCTAGGTATCTATAGAGTTCTCAACGAATTGGGTAGCCAAGGTGATAAATACCCTTTGGTAACAGCCAATGGTGACAAATAGCCAATGGCAAAAAATAATTTATGACCAGTCCATAAATTACTTGGCCTTTGCTCACTTCACCTCCTCTTGATGGTTCTACAGGGAATCAGTCATCCAAATATTTCCTCTTCCCCCAACAAAAAGGATAACAGTAACAATATAACACTGCCTCTTCAATTACAACAGTACCGGCCCCTTCACTACTGGCTTCATTTCTCACCATTCCCCTTTATTCACACTCTAATCACTGGTACCAGTTATGCGGCTCTTTACTGTGACTGCCTAGAATTGCCTCTTCTTCCCCATCCTACTTCCTTCTCTTTATTATCCATCCCCTTCGAATGGGCTAGGCTTCCACAACATCCCAAGATTGCTTTTATCACTGCTTACTTTTACTATTATCATGGATTGATCTCCCAGTAGATGGTAAATTCACTGAAAGGAACTCCATTCTACTGGTTTTTTTGTCTCAAGTACCCAGATACAATACTTGAAATTTAAAAAGAACTTAATAAATATTTGTTAATTTACTACGTATATTAACCTTACAGCAAACACATCATATATACAAAGTCAGCACAGATACAGAAAAAAAAAAAAAAAAAGGAAAGAGGGTTCTGTCCCAGGTATAAATACACAGAAGATCAGAAAAAGCTTCTAGAGAGGGCCAGGTGTAGTAGCTCACACCCATAATCCCAGCACTTTGGGAAGCCAAGCGGGGAGGATCCCTTGAGCCCAGGAGTTCAAGACCAATCTGGTCAACAAATATTGACTACCCACTACATGCCAGGTGCTGTCTGGGTATTGAGGATTACAGTAAATAAAACAAAGTTCTTGCCCTCAGGAAGCTGGAGACATAACTTAAATGAACAAAGTCATAGATGTGAGAAAATGTGAACTATGTTCTAAAAGGGCAATACAGTTTAGCCAATCACATGGTTCAAGTACAAGCAAATTAATATGGCAGTGGAGTTAGACTGGATTGGAAAAAAGAAATATGCGGTTGTGGGGGGAGGTTACAAAGCTACTTCATTAGGCAAAGTATAATGTGTTGATATCCTGAATTGGGGTAGTTAAATGCAAAGAAGGGAACGACCATACAATGTACCTGGCACAGAACAGGAACTCAAATCTTTGTCGCGTTAATAATGAATGAAGACAGGATTTATATAAGATAGAATGTGTTTCTGTTTGATTGTTGGGGATGGAGGAGAGACAGATGTCAAAAATTACTAAAGGTTTTAAGCCAGGGCAGTCATTACAACAGTATTCTGCTAATAGAAATAGGGAAAAGAGGAGGAATTTTATCTGTGGAGATAATAAATTTGATTTTGCATGTTGGGTCGAGGGACCAAAGAAAAATAATGGAAATGTCATTTGGGTTTCCATTAGGTACACGAGAAGGAAAACATGGGAATGAAGACAATGAGAAACAACAAAGATTACAAGAATAGGAAGAGAATAACAGAAGAAAAGTAGGAAGAGTTTGAGAAAGAGGAAAGAGGCTGAGTTACAGATATAAGGAAATAATAATATTGCTTTCAAACCTGACTCAGTTGATAATTCATAAATTCCTAGTCTCAGATCACCTACTCTGGATCTTGGACCATCCCTCACCATCCTTCTGATTCCTAAAATTGTCAAATACCGCTGAGTATCTAATTGCATATCAGCACTTTCTGCTTACACTATTTTAGAAGAAGCTCAATAATGCTGTAACTTTATTTTATTATTATTTTTATTATTATTATTTTGGAGACGGAGCCTTGCACCGTCGCCCAGGCTGGAGTGCAGTGGCGTGATCTTGGCTCACTGCAACCTCCGTCTCCCGGGTTCAAGCTTTCTCCTGCCTCAGCCTCCCGAATAGGTGAGACTACAGGCACACGCCGCCATTCCCGGCTCATTTTTTGTATTTTAGTAGACACGGGATTTCACCATGTTGCCAGGCTGGTCTCAAACTCCCGAGCTCAGGCAATCCGCCCACCTCGGCTTCCCAAAGTGCTAGGATTACAGGCATGAGCCACCCTGCCTGGCCAAAGTTCTAACTTTATAATGCTGAGGGGCAATCAGCTGTCCTCAGATTTAAAGACACAAGTAAGCTCATGAGCTTATGTATAGGGACGTGAACTCACCAGCTAGAAGAAACAGAAATTTTAAAAAAGAAAACAGAAAAAAAGTAAAATATGTATTTTATACCATGGCTCAACCCCTTTTTATTGACTACTTCTCTATACCATTCCCAACAAGCCCCTACCATGTGTGTTAGGTATACATGTGAACATCTTCCCTTAACTAAACAACATAAATTGCCTTTCAGTCTTATGGAACTCATGAAGACCTCCTGGGGTAGGCTGGGTGCAGTGGTGCATGCCTGCAATCCCAGGACTTTGGGAGGCCAAGGCGGGAGGACCACTTGAGATCAGGAGTTCAAGACCAGCCTGGCCAATACAGTGAAACTCCGTCTCTACTAAAAATACAAAAATTAGCTGGGCACGGTTGTGCACACCTGTACTCTCAGTTACTCCGGGGGCTGAGGTGAGAAGATCACTTGGGCCCAGGAGGTAGAGACTGCAGTGAGCCAAGATCGCACCACTGCATTCCAGCCTGGGCAACAGAGCGAGACTCGATCCCCACTTCAAAAAAAAACAAAAGACCTTCTGGGGTAGACCTGACTTTCATTAATTCACTCAACAAATGCATAGTGATGAGGCACTGTTTTAGGCACTGGGAGTACAACAGACAGAAAATATCTTCGCTTTCTTGGGCCTACATTATAGTGGGAGAGACATAAAAATGAAAATAAATATACAATAAAAAGTTTTTGGATAACTATAAGCATTATGTGCCTGGGGGCCAGGTGGCTAATTTAGATTAAATGACCAAAAGAGGTCTCATTGAGGAAGTGATATCCGAAAGAGACTTGTATAGCCAACCCTTATTATAAATGAGGCACTGTATGTGTATGCATTCAATCTTCACAACACTAAGACGTATATTTACCTAAATTATCCATAATTTTTTACAGTTGAGGAAACTGAGACACTGAGAGGTTAAATACTTGATCCTGGGCAGTGAAGCTTCAGACCTCATGCCTCTATGGCTCTGTCTGAACTTGACAAGAAACAGCCAGCCATGCAGAGGGAACAGCATATGCAAGTTAAAAAGCCATGAGGCAGGAATGAGCTTGGTATCTTGAAGGAACTAAATGAATGGCATGGCCCGAGAGGAATGGACATAAGTATATTACATAAACAACTGGATGCCACTGGGAGGTTTTACACAATGGAGTGATATGATCTGATTTATCATTTTTTTTTTTTTTTGAGACAGAGTCTCACTCTGTCGCCCAGGCTGGAGTGCAGTGGCGTGATCTCGGCTTACTGCAGCCTCCACCTCTTGGGTTCAAGCAATTCTCTGCCTCGGCCTCCTGAATAGCTGGGATTGCAGGTGCCCACCGCCACACCTGGCTAATTTTTTTGCATTTTTAGTAGAGACGGGCTTTCACCATCTTGGCCAGACTGGTACTGAACTCCTGACCTCGTGATCCACCCGCCTCAGCCTCCCAAAGTGCTGGGATTACAGGCGTGAGCCACCACGCCTGGCTGATTTATCTTTTTAAATAATCATTTTGAGGGCTGGGCATGGTGGCTCATGCCTGTAATCCAAGCACTTTGGGAGGCCCAAGGCTGATGGATCACTTGAGGCCAGGAGTTTGAGACCAGCCTGGCCAACATGTTGAAACCTCATCTCTAGTAAAAATACAAACAATTAGCGGAGCATGGTGGCGAGTGCCTGCAATCCCAGCTACTAGGGATGCTGAAGCAGGAGAATCACTTGAACCCGCGAGGCGGAGGTTGCAGTGAGCCGACATCACACCACTGCACCCTCGCTTGGGCAACAGAGCAAGACTCCGTCTCAAAAAATAAATAAAAATAAATAAATAATCATTTTGGCAGGTGTGTAGAGAAAGAATGACAAGGGAGCTGTTCACCTTAGCGTGCCACCTGACTCTGAGTTTGGTATAATTTACTATTCTGCCTGGCCCCTAATGAAAATGTAATAATGTTGTTTTGACCTGTGTCTTAATATATCACTGAGTTTGGTGATGTGACCTTGAGTAAGTCGCTCTGAATAAACATTTGTTATTATTATCTGTCCTATCATGAAGGGTCTTATAAGAAGGTACTCTGAAAAGTAGAGACATTAACTACAAGGTAATATTTTCTTGCAAACATTTAACAGAAATTTGACAATTTGCCTTAAACTCCTCCCCCACCTCCAAAAAGGCTGCTTGAAAATTAAAGCACTATTTTGACAAGATGACTTCATTACATTCCTTGAACTTTATTCATGCCCACAAACACTACAGGTATGCTTTCCTTATGATTCTCAATCCTTTTTCTATGGTGTTCAAATGTGTTCCAATTTTTAAAGGTGGAATTCTATTTGTCTTCTAGAGTTCTTCTCTAAGAGACTGAGTGACGGATATTTAGAAGTCCACACGCTACGTATAAGAGACCTGAATAAATTTAAATATGATCATCTGCACATATTTTGTGTATTCACCTACAAAATTATGTAATCTGTTATGAGACAATTTTCAAGTTAGGAATTCTTCAGTCGATTCTACTCTTACATCAAAACTCCATGCAGCAATCAGCCTAGACAACCTGAAATGTTGCCAGGCCACGGAAAACCTGCCACAGTAAGAAAATCTACCACACAGAAAATCTACAATAATAATTCTGTTCAGGTATGAATAATATAAAAAAAACTATTTTTGAAAATATTAACTTTGGAATGAAAAACTTGTTGAGACAAACCTCACCTAGCATAAAGACAGGCAGTAGTTTGGGGGGAAAGGAAGACATTTATAGTATTGTGCTTTGTTTTCACATGACAATGGGGCATTTGAAGAACAGCCCTATTTTCCAGTGCCAGAAGCCTCATATCCTTAGGTTTCTCAATGACATCCTCTCCGGATAGATCAAGAATATGCTCCTACTTTATAAAATGAACCATGAATATTTTCCTAAATTCTTGAGCAAATATTTTTAAAATACTGGAAATAAAATATCTTGCCATAAAAAAAGAACCTGTCATAATTTTGTAAGAGTATCCAAACACAGCAACACACACTCAGAGGAAAGTGTATATTCAAGGTTGAAATGTGTCTATGGGTCAAGAGGTCAAGCCTAAAGCTTCTAAGCACCTACCAGAGCCACAATGAGGAACTCTCAGGACAATGCACACACTGATGACAGCACTGTAGCACCAGTGAAAACACTCAGGCCATCAACAGCATGTTCATGAATTATTCTTCCAATTACACTTTAATTATAAAAACTAGCTTATTAATTAAACTAATCTACTCTGGTAAGATCAGTTACCACACAAAAGCAATGGCTCTTCAAGTTACCTTCATGGAATACAGTACAGAGTTTGTGTTAAAAATGCATTTTCACTTAGTTGTGGTTATTAAAGACTTTGATCAAGGCAGAACCTCTGGAAATACAACGAATCTTGACAATTTAAATAAAAACAGCTCCTTAGTCATGGCTCATTATTCTTCCTTTCAAAGCCTCTTGCTTCAAACAGTATTACTCTTAGCCAATTAATATTCTGTAAAAGGTGCTGAGAATTTTTGATCAAATAAAATGCAACAGATATTTTAATACCATTTTAAGCCCAGCACAATTATATATTTAAAGCTTTAAAACAATGAGGGAACACATAGTACAGGCAAACACATCCATTTTCCAAACAAAGTAAATAATACAACTAAAGTGTTCTCTACATCACTACAGGAGTTCACACATTACAACTACATCTAAGTGCAATTACTGTAAATTATAAAGTGCTAAGACACACAGCAGCACTAGTCAGCAGTCAGTGCTGTACATTTTGAAAGCATCTAATGTAGGCAGCAAGCATGATGTGGATAGCAAAAAAAGAAAAGGTAAATGCACACCAGCATGAAAATCTTCAAATACCTTATGGGTAGCCTATTTAAAATAGAAAGGTTCTAAATTAATCAAGGAGAAAGGAAGAATACTAGTGATCCATATTAAAAGAGAAGAACCACCTGAATGTAATAACTCAGATGTCGCATATAACATGAAAAAAATAATACAATAGGAAGAGAATTATGAGCCTTTTTATATACCAGACTATCAATAAGAAGCAGAAAATAAGGTGGGTGCAATGGTACACACCAGTAGTCCCACCAGGGACACTGAGGCAGAAGGATCATGTGAGCTCAGGAGTTTGAGGCTGCAGTGAGCTATGATCATGCCACTACTCTCCAGCCTGAGACCCTGTCTCTGAAAAAAGAAGACAGCAGAGAGTAGCCATTGAGCTGAGAACTGCACCATGGCAAAAGACATCAAGACCAAAATCAAGAACTACAGGACTGCCCCTTTTGACAGGCGCTTCCCCAACCAGAACCAGACCAGGAATGGCTGGCAGAAATACCTGGACCTCCACCACTTCAAGAAGGCAATGACTGCTAAAGGAGGTAATGTATGGCCGGGTGCAGTGGCTCACGCCTGTAATCCCAGTACTTTGGGAGGCCAAAGCTGGTGGATTACTTAAGGTCAGGAGTTCGAGACCAACCTGGCCAACATGATGAAACCCTGTCTCTACTAAAAATACAAAAATTAGTTGGGCACGATGGCAGCTGCCTGTAATCTCAGCTACTCAGGAGGCTGAAGCACTTGAAACTGAGAGATGGAGTTTGCCGTAAGCCGAGATTGCACCACTGCAGTCCAGCCTGGGTGACAGGGCAAGACTCCATAATTAATACATACATACATACATACATACATACATACATACATACATACATACATACATACATACATCAAGGGGGTGATGTCTCTGTTTGTGAATGGTACCAGCATGTGTACAAGTCTCTCTGCCCTATACCCTGGGCCTCAGCCTGGGATGACCATGGGCAGAAGGCACATTTCTTGGGAAGATCTGAACTGGCTCCACCCCACCTCTGTCCTTCTCCCAGGATGGTAAAGAAGAACCTGGGTATATGGTGATCCCTACCCTGGGACCCTGAATCATGTCTTAATAATAAAAATTCACTGGAAAAGTGAGAGAGGCGGGGAAGAAAACTGCAGCAGCAGGGAGTAAAAGAACCTCACTTAGATCATTGTGACAGGCCTGGGAGGTTGTTGCCCAATATCCTCTCTCACTCCTTCTTCCCAGTAAAAGAATACATAAGTTTTAGCTAAATACATATCAGAAGGAAGACTATGTTTTCCAGCCTCCCTTGCAGCTAAGTGGGGTCATGTGACTAGTTCAAGCCAAAGGACATGAATAAAAGTATTAGGTGTGATTTCTAGGAAATGTCCTTTTAAGAACTGGGGGCCAGGCACGGTGGCTCATGCCTGTAATCCCAGCACTTTGGGAGGCCGAGGCGGGTGGATCACGAGGTCAGGAGATCGAGACCATCCTTGCCAACACAGTGAAACCCTGTCTCTACTTAAAAAAATACAAAAAATTAGCCTGGCATGGTGGCAAGCACCTGTAGTCCCAGCTACTCGGGAGGCTGAGGCAGGAGAACGGCATGAACCCAGGAGGTGGAGCTTGCAGTGAGCTGGGATCGTGCCACTGCACTCCAGCCTAGGCGACAGAGCGAGACTCTGTCTCAAAAAAAAAAAAAAAAAAAAAAAAAAAAGAATTGGGTACATTATTCTTTAGGCACTTCTCCCTCCTCCTGGCTGGAAATGTATATGAGATGGTTGGAGTACAAGCAGCAAACTTAAGACTACGAGGAAGAGGCCACATGTTGAGAATAGCAAGGCAACAAATACAGAAAAAAACTAGTTCTCTGATATTGCAGAGCACCAAAGCAGTCCTAGGCTATTTCTAGACTTCTTTATACAAGACAAAAAATAGACTTATATCATTTTTAAAGCCAGTGTTATTTTACTTTCTTTGGTCATAAATAATGGAACATAATCCTAATAAAGAACATGGAGCCAGGAGTGGTGGCTCACACCTGTAATCCTAGCATTTTGGGAGGCCGATGTGAGTGGATTGCTTAAGCCCAGGAGTTTGAAACCAGCCTGGGCAACATAGTGAATCCCTGTCTCTACAAAAAAAAAAAAAAAAAAAAAAAAAAAAAAAAATTAGCTGGGCATGGTGGTGTGCGCCTGTAGTCCCAGCTACTCAGGAGGTTGAGGCAGGAGGATCACCTGAGCCCAGGAAGGTCAAGGTTGCAGTAAGCCTTGATTGTGCCACTGCATAGTATGGGCGACAGGAGTGAGACCCTCTCTCAAAAAAAATAAAATAAAAGAATGAAGTTAGACTGCCTACCTCACACCATACACAAACATTATCTCAGAATGGATCAACGATCTAAATGTAAGAGATGAAAATGTAAAACTCTTACAAGAAAATACAGGTATAATCTTCATGACCTTCAATTAGGCAACGGCTTCCTAAATAAAACAAAGTACATGGAACCAAAGGAAAAAACTAGATAAACAGGAGGTCCAGATATTTCTGTCAAAATTTTAAAGTTTTGTGCATCAAAGGATAATATCAAGAGGTGAAAAAGAAAACTCACAGATGAGAAAAAGTATTTACAAATCATACAACTGATAAGTGATTAATATCCAGAATATATAAAGAACTCTTACAATTCAACCACAATAAGGCAACCAAATTTTAAAATGGGCAATGGATTTGAACATACACTTCTCCAAAGAAAATATAAAAACAGACAATATAATCCCGGCACTTTGAGAGGCCGAGGTAAGTCGATCACGAGACCAGGAGATTGAGACCATCCTGACTAACATGATGAAACCCCGTCTCTACTAACAAGACCAAAAAAAAAAAGCAGCCGGGCATGGTGGCAGGTGCCTGTAGTCCCAGCTACTCAGGAGGCTGAGGCAGAAGAATGGTGTGAACCTGGGAGGCGGAGCTTGCAGTGAGCCGAGATCACGCCACTGCACTCCAGCCAGGGCGACAGAGCAAGACTCTGTCAAAAAAAAAAAAAAAAAAAAAAAAAGAAGAGGGACAATAAGCACTTCAAAAAATGCTCAACATCACTAGTCATTAGGAAATAATGAAAAAAAAAACAAAACACAGTGACATAGCACTTCACACCCAGTAGGATTGGTAAAACCAAAAAGTCAGATTATAACAAGTGATGGTGAAGATGCGGACAAACTGGAGTTCACGTATTATCCCATTCATATAAAGTCTAGAATTGGGACACATATAGAGAAATAAAGTAGATTAGTAGTTCTTTGGTTTGGGGGGAACAGGGAGATAGCAGGGTAAAAGTTAAATGGTACAGGTTCTCTTTGAGGTGATAAAAATGTTCTAAAATAAACTGTGGCAATGGTTGTATATGTGAATATACTAAAAACCATCAAATTGTACACTTTGCCAGGTGCAGAGGTGCACATCTATAGTCCCAGGTACTTGAAAGGTTGAGGTCTGAGAATCAAGAGAGCTCAGGAGTTCAAGGCTACAGTTTGCTATAATCATGCCTATGAAGAGCCACTGTAATCCAGCCTGGGCAACACAATGAAACCCTATCTCTTAAAAAAAAAAAAAATCCATACACCTGAAATGGATTAACTGTGTAGTCTGTGAATTTTATCTCAGTAAAGCTGTTTTTTTAAAAAAGGAAATGAAGTAGTTACACTTGCGTATTACTCCATTTTCGTGCTGCTGATAAAGACATACCTGAGACTGGGAAGAAAAGAGGTTTAACGGACTTACAGTTCCACATTGCTAGGGAAACCTCACAATCACAGCAGAAGGCAACGAGAAGCAAGTCGCGTCTTACATGGATGGCAGCAGGCAAAGAGAGAGCTTGTGCAGGGAAACTCCCGTTTCTAAAACCATCAGCTCTCATGAGACTCATTCATTATCATGAGAATAGCACAGGAAAGACCCGCCACCCCTGTAATTCAATCACTTCCCACCGGGTTCCTCCCACAACATGTGAGAATTGTAGGAGTTACAATTCAAGATGAGACTTGGGTGGCGACACAGCCAAACCATAACAATTTGCTATAACATGGATGAGCCCTGAAAGCACTATGCTAACTGAAAGAAGCCAGACACAAAAGACCACATATTGTATTATCCAATTTATATGAAACGTCCAGAATGGGTAAATCCACAGAGATAGAAAGTAGATTAGTGGTTACCTGGTGTTAGGGAGAGAGAGAAAAGGGAGAGGGAAGGAGTATGAAGTTTCTTTTTGGGATGATGAAAATGTTCTGGAATTGGACAGTGGTGGCAGTTGCACAATCTTGCGAAAATACTGGAAACCACTGAATTGTATTTTTGGTCTTTTTTTTGTTTTGCTTTGCTTTTTGAGACTGAATCTTGCTCTGTCACCCAGGCTGGAGTGCAGTGGCACTATCTCAGCTCACTGCAACCTCTGCCTCCCAGGTTCAAGCAATTCTCCTGCCTCAGCCTCCCAAGTAGCTGGGACTACAGGTATATGCCACCACACCTGGCTAATTTTTGTATTTTTAGTAGAGACAGGGTTTTACCATGTTGGCCAGGCTGGTCTCAAACTCCTGACCTTGAGTGATCTGCCTGCCTTAGCCTCCCAAAGTGATGGGATTACAGGCATGAACCACCGTGCCTGGCTGAATTATGTACTTCTGAAAGGTGAATTTTATAATATGTGATTTATATCTCAACTTTTAAGAACGAGAGCCAGGCACAGAATCCCATACCTGTAATTCCAGAACTTTGGGAGGCCAAGGCAGGAGAATCATTTGAGCCCAGGAATTCAAGACCAGACTGGGTAACATAGAGAGGCCCTGTGTCTTTAAAAAAAAAAAAGATATTCAGTAGAAGATTCAGATTTAATAAATATTTTCGCTGGGTGTGATGGCTCATGCCTGTAATCCCAGAACTTTGGGAGGCTGAGGCAGGTGGATCACTTGAAGCCAGGAGTTTGAGACCTATTTAAAAATAATAATATTTTTACTACTGCATCAAGGATATTTTTATTTTTTTTATAGAGATGTGAATCTCACTATGTTGCCCAGGCTGGTCTCGAATTCATGGGCTCAAACAATCCTCCTGCCTTGGCCTCCCAAAATCCTGGGATTACAGGGATAAGCCACTATGACAGGTCTCTGCATCAGGGACATTTGTAAGTTAAACTATTCTTTTTCTTTTCCTGTGAGTGCATGGTGGTAAAAACAAACAATGACCATGATACAGTCTGGTGCCACTCTCTCAACTTGTGCTAAGGTGCCAGCAGTCTTATCAGTCATTGCTTTTGCCATCATCAGTGAAAAAAGCAGTAACATTTTAACATTATCATAAAAACACAGTTAGCCCTCTGTATCCATTGGTTCTGCTTCTGTGTATTCAACCAACCACGGATTGAAAATATTCATGGAAAAAAGTGAATGGCTGCATCTATACTGAACATTTACAGACTTTCTGTTCTTACCATTATTCCCCAAACAATACAGTATAACAACTACAGCATTACACTGCATTAGTTATTATTATTATTATTTTTTTTTTTTGAGATGGAGCCTTGCTCTGTCACCCAGGCTGGAGTGCAGTGGCGTGATCTCGGCTCACTGCAACCTCTGCCTCCTGGGTTCAAGCTATTCTCGTGCCTCAGCCTCCTGAGTAGCTGGGAGTACAGGCATGCACCACCACGCCGGCTGATTTTTGTACTTTTTGGTAGAGACGGGGTTTCACATGTTGTCCAGGCTGGTCTCCAACACCTGGCCTCAAGAGATTCACCCGCCTCAGCCTCCCAAAGTGCTGGGATTATAGATGTTAGCCACCATGCCTGGCTTGTATTAGTTATTATAAATAATCTAGAGATGATGTGAAGTATATGGGAGGATGTAAATTATATGCAAATACTACACCTTTTTATATAAGGGACTTCAGCTCCATGGATTTTGGTACCCACAGCAGGGGTACTGGAACCAATCCTCCATGAATACTGATGAACGACTACAGTTGTGAACTTGTGATAACCAAAAGTGAAATCAGGGACCACCAGCAGTCCATCTGCAGACTCCACTTTGTGAACTCCTGGACTAGACTATAAGCTAGAAATAGGAATCCAATTTATATTTACACACGAGGCAGTATTGTGTGTTAGAAAAGTAGCATGGGCTTAGGTTCAAATTCCAGAACTGCCATTTAGGTGATGAGAGCTTAACTCCTCCATGCCTAAGTTTCCTGTGGTATAAAATGAGGATCGTACCTACTAACAAATTTACTATACAGATTAAATGAGATGAAGATCTAAAATTTAACAGGTGTTCAATAGATGTTAACTCCTTTCCCTGTTTTGTTCTCAACCAGCTCGTTCAGCCCCTTGCATAGAGAAGATACTCAAACGCTCAGTAAATATTTGTAGAATTTAATTAGTACCTCACAGAGATCTACAAAAGTCAAAGTTCTAAGATAAAATATAAATGCTAGATTTAGATATAAAATATTGAGATATGCTCAGGCATTTCTCAGAAAAATATTATACTCAGATTAAATTTTAAATTAAAAAAATCTTTTATAAAATGAGTCAAATATTTAAAAAATTATTTGCTTTCCAGGTGAGTAGCAGTAAAAAGTGAAATGGTATATGTTAAAAGACACACTGTTCCACATCTTTGAATCAAAAGGCTTTCACAACCTGTATATCTCCATAGCTCAACTATTTGAAATTTAGGTGATATAAACAATCCATGGTGACTTTTCTTCAGCCAATATGGTGATGAACAGCACCATTATTTTAGTCAAAGCATCTGATTTTACAAGCCAACACCACCACTTACTACCAGGGTATATGACCATAGGTTATTAGGTTGGTGCAAAAGTAATTGTGGTTTTTTACTTTCAATAGCAAAACTGCAATTATTTTTTTGCCAACCTAATATTTATCCCGATGAGTATAACAACAACTCTCACAAGTTAACTGTGAGGACTGAGTGACATACTACATGAGAAGCACTAACAATGCTAAGACAGTAAGAGCTCAACAAACACTAAGCATTTTTTTCTGATTTAAATATATTCAACTGATATTTTTGTAGTATTCTTACATAGCATCTTGGCACCATATGTATAGATGTAAATTTCTTTTTTTTTTTTTTTTTTGAGACGGAGTCTTGTTCTGTCTCCCAGGCTGGAGTACAGTGGCATGATCTCGGCTCACTGCAACCTCCACCCCGTGGGTTCAAGCAATTCTCCTGCCTCAGCCTCCCAAGTAGCTGGGATTACAGGTGCGCGCCACCACGCTCAGCTAATTTTTTTTTATTTTTAGTACAGACGGGGTTTTGCCATGTTGGCCAGGCTGGTCTCAAACTCCTGACCTCAGGTGATCCACCTGCCTTGGCCTCCCAAAGTGCTGGGATTACAGGCATGAGCTACCGCACCCAGCCTAAAGATGTAATTATTTTTAAGTTATTCATCTCAGTATATGAATGAAATTATTTTAAGTTATTCATCTCAGTAACGTTTAGGTGAATGCTGATAATAACTCAGTAACTTTTAAGTGAATGCTGATAATCCTAGCATCTCCCTAAATTGTTCAATTTACACCATAAATTTACTTTTCCCACCTTTTAAAGGGATAATGCAAGGGATTCTAAATCGTGGCATAAGTCTGGAATTCCTTAGATTACCCCTTTAGGAAGCGAAATTATGTTTCCAAGTTCAGACTCTGGCTTAAACTTCAAATTGTCCCAAAAATGGACTAGGGAAAATACAAAAACTTTCTACACCAACAGATATCTATCTTCAATATGTGAAGTGTATCTTTAAAAATACAAAACAGCTAGTAGGAAAAACCTCCAATATAATGTATACCTAAAGTAGTTTGTTTTCTGTCATCATTAAGATCATAATGAGGCCGGGCATGGTGGCTCACACCTGTAATCCCAACACTTTGAAAGGCCAAGGCAGAATGATGGCCTGAGCCCAGGACTTCATAACCAGCCTGAACAACATAGTGAGACACTCATCTCTATAAAATTTTCAAAATTAACTGGAGGCAGTGGCTCACGCCTGTAATCCCAGCCCTTTGCACTTTGGGAGGCTGAGGTGGGAGGATAGCTTGAGCCCAGGAGTTTGAGACCAGCCTGGGCAACATGGGGAGACCTCATCTCCACAAAAAATTTAAAAATTAGCCAGGCATTGTGGTGAGCACCTGTGGTCCCAGTTACTTGGGTTGCTGAGGTGGAAAGATCACTTGAGCCTGGGAGGTCGAGGCTGCAGTGAGCCATGATAGTGACACTGCACTGCACTCATGCACTCCTGCCTGAGTAACAGAGTAAGACCCTTGTCTAAAAAAAAAAAAAAAAAAAAAATTAAAAAAAAAAGACTATAATGAGATTGAACAGAAAACTACAGCTCAGAATCCCAAATATTCCTGATATGAGTGTATTTCCAACTTGAAAGACTCCATTTTGGAATGAGAGAAAGCACAACTTTAAAGGATGTTATGTACATAATAGACATTAACCATTTTACTTGATAATAATCAAATGTAACAAGATAAATACATAAAATAAACCACCATTTTCACTTCAAACATGGCATGTTTATGTGACCACTTCTAAACGTCTCTGGGGCACTACCCATCTCTGACATGCCTTCACAAGGTAGGTACAAGGAAAGGGCAGACACAGAGAAAAACACCCCTATTCAATCTACATCTGATTTTTTTTTTTTTTTTTTTTGAGACAGAGTTTCCCTCTTATTGCCCAGGCTGGAGTGCAATGGTGCGATCACCGCAACCTCTGCCTCCCAAGGTTCAAGCGACTCTCCTGCCTCAGCCTCCCGAGTAGCTGGGATTACAGGCATACACCACCATGCCCGGCTAATTTTGTATTTTTAGTAGAGATGGGGTTTCTCCATGTTGGTCAGGCTGGTCTCAAACTCCTGACCTCAGGTGATTCGCCAGCCTCAGCCTCCCAAAGTGCTGGGATTATAGGTGTGAGCCACCACGCCCGGCCTACATCTGATCTTTTTAAACCACTGTCTGGTAAGACTCCTGAGAATTCATGATCTTTTTTTCCCCCGAGACAGAGTCTTGCTTCGTCACCCAGGCTGCAGTGCAGTGGTGCAATCTTGACTCACTGCAACCTCCACCTCCTGGGTTCAAGCAATTCTCCTGCCTCAGCCTCCCAAGTAGCTGAGATTACAGACACGTGCCACCATGCCTGGCTAATTTTTGTATTTTTAGTAGAGACGGAGTTTCACCATGTGGGCCAGGCTGGTCTCGAACTCCTGACCTCAAGTGATCCACCCACCTTGGCCTCCCAGAGTGCTGGGATTACAGGTGTGAGCCACCAGGCTTGGCCAGAATTCATGATCTTTTCAATAACACTACTCACTCCCACCCACATACCGCAGTTCAAAAAACACTGCTCTGGAGGAAAGTCAAACTTGAAAACTCAATCTAAAATATAAAAAAACTCAGTACTCAGTAACTTCTTGGAGGAAAAAAGAAAATGAAACCAAGAAGAGAACATTAATCTATACTAAACAGAAGAGATGGTATGTAACATCCTTTCCTCTAAGAATGACAGAAGGGCCAGGCGCAGTGGCTCAGACCTATAATCTCATCGACTCAGGAGGCCAAGGCAGAAGGATCACTTGAGGCCAGGAGTTCAAGACCAGCATGGGCAATGTAGTGAGACCCCACTCCATTCTCTCAAAATTTTTTTTTAGAAAAGTAGCGAGTTGAGGCCAGGCACTGTGGGTCACACCTGTAATCCTAACACTTTGGGAGGCTGAGGCAAACGGATTGCTTGGGCCTAGGAGTTCGAGAAACATGGGCAACATGGTGAAACACCAGCTCTACCAAAAAAAATGCAAAAATTAGCTAGGTGTGGTGGCACACACCTGTGGTCCCAGCTACTAGAGAGGCTGAGATGGGACGATCACTTGAGCCCAGGAAGTCAAGGCTGCAGTGAGCCAAGATTGTGCCACTGAACTTCAGTCTGGGTGAGAGTGAGACCCTGTCTCAAAAAAACTAAAATAATAAAAAACAAAATAAATAAAAAGCAGCCAAGTGTGGTGGTGCATGCCCATAATCTCAGCTACTTGGGAGGCTGGGGTGGAAGGACAGTTTGAGCCCAGGAGCTCAAGACTGTGGTGAGCTGTGATCATGCCACTGCATTCCAGCATGGGTAACAGAGTGAGACTCCAACTCTAAAAAGAAGAAGAATGGCAGAAAGGAAACTAATGTTAACAGGGAAAATACCCATAGCCAAGTCTGCTAATTTAAAGATGAATGCTAAGGAATTTCCACGTCTTGTGAAGGCATGCATATCTTGTGCTAATTCTCTTAAGATTTAAGATGAATAGCCATAATAATTGTCATAATCTATCCCTCACTCCATTCTTCAGTTCCAAAAACCCTGTCTCCAAGAAGCTTGTCAAAAGCATACTTCCATCTAGTAATTTACACTTTCTTATTATACACAGTAAACATTTATTAAAAATAATAATATTCATAACAATAAACTTTTAAGGCATCCAACAATGTGGTAAGTGCCTGCCAGTATCATACTAGTTTACAGCCTTCCTCAGAATCAAAGTATGTATAAAGAACATCTGAAAGAGGGCAGTATAATGCTTAGCAAGCAGTATTCTCACACAACCAATAAAGACACAAATGCTGGCCAGGCGTGGTGGCTCACCCCTGTAATCCCAACACTTTAGGAGGCCAAGGTGGGTGGATCACCTGAGGTCAGGAGTTCAAGACCATCCTGGCCAACATGGTGAAACCCCGTCTCTACTAAAAATACAAAAATTAGCCGGGCATGGTGGCAGGCGCCTATAATCCCAGCTACTTGGGAGGCTGAGACAGGAGAATCTCTTGAACCTGGGAGGTGGAGGTTGCAGTGAGCCAAGACGGCGCCATTGCACTCCAGCCTGGGCAACAAGAGCGAAACTCCATCTCAAAAAAAAAAAAAAGACACAAATGCTGTTATAGAAGGAAACCAAAGTCCTAACTATAAAACATAAAAACCCATGCACTTTTAGTAAGAATTCATTCATGTGTTACTGTGTAACATTACTGTGTTAATCAAGCACTTTTCGAGCAAGGAAAAAATAAAATATGGACAAGTGGTGATTTTATAATAAAAACACAACATATGAACCACATTCATTGTACTTCTTCAAAAACCAACATTAATGACTATTAGGATGAATCATTTTTAGGACAGCAAATATAGAAACATGTAAAAAAAATATGTAAGCCCAATAATTTTTTTTAAACTCACCCATGTGATTTTTTTTCACTTTTCCTTTTTTGAGACAGGGTCTCATTCTGGCACCCAGACTGTAAAGCACTGGCATCATCATGGCTCACTACAGCCTCAAACTCCTGGGCTCAAGCATTCCTCCCACCTTAGCCTCCTGAGTAGCTGGGACTACAGGCGTGCACCACCACACCCAGCTAGTTTTTGTATTTTTTGTAGAGATGAGGTCTTGCTACATTGCCCAAGCTGGTCTCAAACTCCTAGCCTCAATCGATCCTCCCACCTTGATCTCTCAAAGTGTTGGGATTACAGGTGTCAGCCACTATGCCTGGTGACTTTTCCTAATTTTTAATTATGAAAGTTTATTTAAAATACAGAAAAATGAAATGATAAACCCAAATATAACAATTTATGACATACTGCCATATTTGCGTCAGATTTTAAGAAAGAGAATATTGGAAGTAAGTTGAAAGTTTCCCTCTTCATTCCACTGTCCTGTCTTCTCCTTCAGAAGTAAATATCCTGCTGAAGGTAATATAGCTTCTTTTAATCCACATCTTAAAACAATTTTGTAGCATACATATGTTTTCCTTAGACAACACAGTATTGGATTGACTGATGTGTTTGTTTAAAAGATGGGGTCTCACTATGCTGTCCAGGCTACACTGGAACTCCTGGGCTTAAGCAATTGTCCCGTCTCATCCTTTCATCTCAGCCTCCCAAGTAGCTGGGACTGTAGGCATGTTTTTATTTTGTCTTAACTGATCATAACAGGTATCACATTTAACTTCTTGTAACTTGCTTTTAATTTTTATTCTTTTTTTTTTTAAATAATAGAAACAGGCTTTCACAACATTGCTCAGGCTGGTCTTGAACTCCTGGCCTCAAGCAATCTTCCCACCTCAGCCTCAGTGCTGGATTACAGGCATGAGCCACCATGCCAAGCCACTTGCTTTCTTTTTTTTCAACATAATGCTTCCAGGATGTATCTATATTGACACATGTAGACCTGATTTGTCCATTCTGACTGTACTAGAGCAATAGGTTGCATTAAAATGCCACTGCTCGCTTATCCATTTCTCTGTAGCTTCCAAATTTTTTCCTATCACAAATATAAATGAAATTAAAACACGTGTACATGTTTCCTTTTGCATAAATGGAAGGTTCACCATTTATGCAAAATACATACAAGATGTATATTTTGTACTGCTGGTTCATAGGACATTCATCACCTTCACAAAATCTTGCCAAAAACTTTCTACAGAGCTCAATTTACACACCCATCAGCAGTGTATTAGGGTTTCTCTTTCCCCATATCCTTGTTAACAATTGGTAGTATGAGATTTTATAATATTTGCAAAATTTAAGTGTGTAAAATAGTATCCCATTGTTTGAGAAAGAGCCAACTTTATAGTTTTATTAGGTATATGGGCTTTCCCTTCTGTAATATTTTTAGTTCTAGATTATAATATGTATAATATATATACAACTTATTCCTTTCTTCTGTGCATCCACAGAGTCAGACACTATGGAATTTTACATCTAACATTTAATCCTACAATAGGAAAAAAAAGTTTTCTTTGCAATTATGATTTCCAAGTTGACATAAGCCTTTAGATAAATGATGATACGGAGTATCTTTAATCAAGGCATCCCATGTATCAGAATTTCATATAGCTCTACTCAGCAAAAAAGACAGGTATCTTACCTATACAGATAATTTGGTCTTACTTGTTAGATAATAGCTTTACTGGTATATAATTCACATACTATAAAATTCGCCCTTTCGAAGTATTCAACTCAGTGGATTTTAGTGTAATTTGCAAAGCTGTGGAACCATTACTACTAGCTAATACATCTTCTTTACCTTAAAAAGAAACCCCATTCCTATTAAGTGGTCACTCTCCATTCCCCTCTCTTCCAGCCCCCAGCAACTACTAATCTACTTTCTGTCTCTACGGATTTGCCTATTCTGGACATTTCACATAAATGGGATCATACAGTATGTGGTCCTTTATGACAGGCTTCTTTCACTTAGCATAATGTTTTCAAGGTTTATCCATGTTGAAGCATGTATTGGTACACCATTCCTTTTCATTGCCAAATAATATTCAACTGTATAGATATACCACATTTTATTTATCCACTCATCAGCTGATGGGCATTTGGACTATTCCATGTTTTCCCTATTATGAATAATGCTATTATGAATATTCATGTAAAAGTTTCTGTGTTGGTATATTTTTTCAATTCTCTTGAGTATATAACGATGAGAAGAATTGCTAGTCAAATGGTAATTCTACGTTATGCTATCTGACTTTAACACTAAGCAAATTTTAGCACTATGACATACATCAGGGTGCTGAATTCCTATGAGTTGCTTTAATCCTCTTCCCAAAAAAATTCATCAATTTGCTCTTATTCATAGTCTAAAAAAAAACTTCCCAAGGTTACTTCCTTCCATACAGCCACAGACGAAGGTTTTAACTTTATACACACATACACACACACACACACACACACACACACACCCTTCTCTACAATGTAAAGCAGTCTAACTTTGATTCCCTGGGAAACTGCACTGTTTGTTCAAAAATCAAGGTAAACCTACCTAACATATGAATACCATTAGCTCCTTTAAGGTTACAATTAAAGTTGCCCAGAACTCAGTTCATTATGTTATAGAAACAGAGTATGCACATTATGGTTCTTTCTGTATGAAAAAAAGGCTGATGGCAATCTGGCCAGGAGTACACAGGGGTGAGCTGAACAGTGCCCTCAGGTACTGCAATGCTAAGAGTCTCACTGGAGTGAAGCAGCTAATAGATTTAGAGCACATCCATGTCTTTTGCCAAATGAGGCAAAATAAAGTAAAAAGTCTTTAACAAATGGAGCTATGAAAGAGCCTGAAAAGCCTGAGAGCTACACAAGAGCTCTATTACTAATATTCTTCCCTGATTAAAAAAAACAGAGCTTTGTTTTGCCTGTAACAGACACTATCAATCCTCCCAGTAACTTGAAGGCAAATATAGCCACATGACAGCTCATTAGCATTTCAGAGAAAAAAACTATGATATTTAGTGAAAAACAAAATGTGTAATAATGAAACCATAGCTCCCTATGATGACACTAGGGGCCCAGCTCACAAACTAGGCAGTCAGAACTTTGGTAACCTTATCTTTTCTAAAGCTAAATTTTCCTGCAGAAGTGCCTCAAGACCAAAGAAGAGGACAATTCCCCAGCTTTACCTCTGGCTGGATTAGGCACACTCAAGCCACAAAACATAATACAAAGAGAATGTTGCAAGTAATCAGACTTGCAATTCAAGGAAAGCACAGTAAAGCAGAATCAAAAGACTCTCTAGGTCAGGGGTTCCCAACCCCCAGTCCATGGCCTGTTAGGAACCAGGCCACACAGCAGGACTGAGTAGTGGGGAGCAACTATTACGGCCTGAGCTCTGCCTCCTGTCAGATCAGCAGTGGCATTAGATTCTCATAGGCAGCATTAGATTCTCACAGGAGCACAAGCCCTACTGTAAAATACACATACAAGGGATCTAGGTTGCACCTTTCTTATGAGAATCTAATGCCTGATGATCTGAGGTGGAAGAGCTTCATCCCAAAACCTTGCCCCCCTGCCTCAGTCCATGGAAAAACTTTCTTCCACGAAACTGGTCCCTGGTGCCAAAAATGTTGGAGACCACTACTCTAGGTGGATCATAAGATCATAAGCACAGAGCAGTTCACAGAAAGTGCACAGGACGAGGTGCTCATCTCCAGTTTTCATCCCCATGTGGTATATATAGTATTTGTCATCTGCATAGTACTTTGTATGTCCAGACTATTTTATAATCACAATTCTGGGATTATTTCATCACAATAATCGAGTGTGACAGATTAAAATTTACTGTCCTTCTTCTAAGCATTCAGATTACAGTAGATGGGAAAAAAATCAGGATGGCAGAACAGAAAAACAGACTCTTGTAAGGTCTCAAAACCTTGTCAAAAACATGATAGAATTTCTGAATTTTAGGATTTGAAGAAATCTAAAGTGTCCAATGGTTTCCGATGCTAAGAAACTAAAGCTCAGAAGGGTTGTAAGCAATTTGCCCAAGGTCTCCAAATAAGTAAGTGGCAAAGCCAGGAAAACCCAGACATCATGACTCCCAAGTCAGCCTTTCCATACATACAACCATAGTGCCTTTTCCAAAAGCCAATAATAAAATAGATGCGGAGGATTCTGAGCTGTCTGGCTCAGCACGTTATCTTGTCTTTCAAAATGCTAAGTCTCAGGCAGGCGTGGTGGCTTGCGCCTATAATCCCAGCACTTTGGGAGGCTGAGGCAGGAGGATCACCTGAGGTTGGGAGTTTGAGACCAGCTTGACCAACATGGAGAAAACCTGTCTCTACTAAAAATGCAAAATTAGCCGGGTGTGGTGGCACATGCCTGTAATCCCAGCTACTCGGGAGACCGTAGCAGGAGAATCACCCAGGAGGCAGAGGTTGTGGTGAGCCAAAATCGCACCATTGCACTCCAACCTGGGCAACAAGAGTGAGACTCTGTCTCAAAAAAAAAAAAAAAAAAAGCCAAGTCTCTTGAGCTGGGCACAGTGGCTCAAGCCTTAATCCCAGCACTTTGGGAGGCTGAGGGGGGTGGATCACTTGAGGTCAGGAGTTTAGGACCGGCCTAGCCAACATAGTGAAACCCCATCTCTACTAAAAATACAAAAAATTAGCTGGGCGTGGTGGCGCACGCCTGTAGTCCCAGCTACCTGAGAGTCTGCGGTGGTAGGATCGCTTGAACCTGGGAGGTGGAGGTTGCAGTGAGCCAAGATCGCACCACTGCACTTCCAGCCTAGGCAAAAGAACAAGACTCGGTCTCAAAAAGAAAACAAAAAAGTCAAGTCTCTCCTCATATTCACTTACCAAAGAACAAAAATATTACAAGTCCAGAGAAGTCATCACTTCTGCCGATCTGAAGGGAAGAGGAAACAAGGCAGTCCAGGCCTCAATGCTGCTGAGCAGGAAGGCTCCATGGTGTAACTTGTTCTAGATGTCTGAGGTCGATGATTACTACTTTAATTTTTAACTTGTATGTAAAACATTATATAAACTTTTTTAAAAATCACATAGGCTAAATTTATAACAAAAAGTTATATATGCTGTATGATTCCACTTATATGAGGTACCTAGAGAGGTCAAAATCATAGACACAAAGTAGAAGGGTAGTTTCCAGGGGGAAGGAGGAGGAGGGAATAGGGACTTATTTGTTTAATGGGTGTAGAGTTTCCGTTTCACAAGCTGAAAAGAGTTCTGGAGATGGATGGTGATGACAGTTGCATAACATTATGAATGTATATAATACCACTGAACTATATACTTAAAATGATTAAGATGGTAAATTTCATGTGTATTTTAACACAATAAATGAAAGTGGGGGAAAGAAAGTAATAGTGAAGACAACATGACCAGAATAACATTTTAAAAGCATCAATTAGACAGCTAAAAGAACAGAGCTAGGTGATGGCAGGGGATGAGAGTTAGCAGAGAATGCAATTAGGAGGCTACTGGAGAAGTCTAGGAGAGAGATGAAGGTGGCTTAGCCAAGGGCAATAGTTGAGCAGAGAGATATAGTAAGACTTGGGATATATTTTAAAGCCTGAGTTAAAATTTCATGAACATATATCCTAACACAGTATTTTTAACTGCAATTCATAATACACAGGTCACAGAATCAATTTCCTAGGCCAACATCAACATCTTGCAATTAAATAAAATGGAATAAAATAGAAACGAGCAGATTGCACTGCACCTAATAAGGGTAAGTATTATTTCATGAAACTTTTGTTTTAGATATCGATATACTTACGTGTGTATTGGGTCTGAATGTAAAATACATCTTGAACGATGAACCACAGCCAAAAATGTTGAGAAACATTGCCCTAGAGACTGATAAAATGGTAGGTGGAAGTTGAGAGTAATTATTTTTTTTTATCTCCATCAAAGTCCTTACTAGGCTCAAGTGAAACAAGCTACAACAAGTTGAATTACATACCTAATAAAATCTTATTGATCTGCCAAACAAATACATCATTTGCTCTTCAAAAAAAAAAAAAAGAAGGAAAGAAAGAACAGTACAAACAATAACCAGGCATCACTGGAATGCGAAGCACAAATTGTATTATTTCCATCAACCATGAAGATACAAAGATTACTAAAGGAATAATGCCAATCTTCTTTAACCACTAAACCACTCTAGCCATTCAACTACTCTTAATTTTAGAAGTTAAACCCTACCAAAACACATTCATAATGGCAAACGCCCTCAGAATCTTCAGGAAAATACCTTACTCTCCCAACTGAGAAAATATGGCCTAATTCCCCTGGAATAATTCAGAGATTACATACTAAAGCTCTGAAGGATTTGTTCAAAAAGCTTCCTGCCATGAGCAATCACTGTTTTTTTCACTGATCAGGTCTTTATTAAAAATAAGCTGTCCAAAATTATTTGACCTTTATGGAATAAACCAACAAGCTCATGCAGCAGGCTTCGTTTCCTCTGTGGTAGGTTTTTTTTTCAGCTACTGATGTCTTGGTTGGTAGCTGCTGCCCTTTTTCCCACCAGAGGTTTCTCCTGCTTAAAAACAACAACCTTCTTTCCTTTCTTCCCTACCACAGGCTTCTTGACTGCAACCCCCTTTCTCATCTGATTTGGCCTCTAGTGCTGCTGGTGCTGCTGGTGCTGCTGGTGCTGGTGCTGGTGCTGCTGCTGCTGCTGCCACCGCCGCCGCTGCCTTATCCACCTGGAGTTTGTGGTTGCTGGCCTGGCAAAGCCTGGTGTTGCAGAGCATGGTCTTTGCATATGGGTTTAGCTTCAACATGATTTTCAGGTTTTCCAGGAGGTTTGTCCCCAGGACTCTACGATGAATCTTCCTGCAACGTGCTTGAAGGGCTTTGGATGTCTGGGCTTTTCAAGATTCTGCTAAGGTCTGTATTGATCATCTTGTGCATGCAAAGATTGCAGTTACTCTTGAGGAAACAGCTTTACACCAAGTGCCACACAATTGTCTAACTTCTAGAAAGCACTTTCAGTCCAAATGCAGAAATGTCCCACATGCCCATCAGGAGCAAGTTTCAAAATGTTCAGTTTGCTTACATTAAGCAGAATAATTCTAGGAATGTTTCGGAAGGCTTTGACAATACAATCATCTTCATTAGAGACGATGCAGGGTCCCTTGCGCTGGATACGATGGTTTCTCATTTTGCCCTTGCCAGCTCTCATTTGCTGAGAGGCATAGCCCTTTTTTGTATCACTCCAGGCTTAAGTGGCAAAACAGCCTCCTTGATTGTCTTGTAGCCTTCAACTTTATCTCTGACCACCAAAAAAAGTTCAGGAACTTCCTTAATATGATGACCTGTAGACATGACCAGCACTGGTAAGGCAGAGGCAGCCAGGGGAGAACAGATAGCATATTGTTTTTTGGATTGTGTTCACTCTACAGTGCCAACAGTGCCAGGTTTTGGTTGGTGCAAACATGTGGCCTCCATGACAGATATTTCCAAAAGCACCCTGGCCAAAAGAGTGAGTCCCACCACCTCAAACTCTGGGAATTTGAGACCCAACTCTGCCAGTACCCCAAGATTCAGCACTGGTCTGACGACCTGCTAATTCACTAACAAGATAGGGCTGTCTGTTGTTTTTGTGCAAGTTGGTGTGAACAAAGTTCACAATATCTGGTGGAATGGGAGCCTTGAATACAGGAGACAAAGTGACATTTTTGCCAGATGACTCCCCTTTTTCAGAGTACACTGATAACAGTGGATCAGCACATCCATGGGAAGGTGAGAAGGCCACACTCCAACATTTTTTTTTTTTTTTTTTGGAGACAGAGTCTCGCTCTGTCGCCCAGGCTGGAGTGCAGTGGCGCAGTCTCGGCTCACTGCAACCTCCGCCTCCCAGGTTCAAGCGATTCTCCCGCCTCAGCCTCCTGAGTAGCTAGGATTACAGGCACGCGCCACCACGCCCAGATAATTTTTGTATTTTTAGTATAGATGAGGTTTCACCATGTTGGTCAGGCTGATCTCTAACTCCTGACCTTGTGATCCACCTGCCTCGGCCTTCCAAAGTGCTGGGATTACAGGTGTGAGCCACCGCGCCCAGCCTCAACTTTTTTTTGTAACTAAGATAAAACATTATCTACTGATTTACCAAAGTATTTAGCTTAATTTCACAACAGTGACGCTATTGGCATTTTGGGTGAACAATTCTGAGTTTTCTCCACCAAATGCCAGTGATGCATCTCCCACCCACAGTCACTTAACAACCAAAAATGCCTCCATACTTTTCCAAATACCCTTTGGATATATGGTACCTTCCCCATTGAGAACCACTGAAAAATTTAGTTGGTAACTGTACTTAGATCAATAGATTGCCAGTTAATGAACTGTGGCCTCCAATTCAGGTCAGAGATGTAACATAGTAACAGTGCCTTGAATTTAACCATTTCCAACGTACACATTAAGATCATATAGTCTGGGCCAGATGTATTGGCTCACACCTATAATCCCAATGCTTTGGGAAGCCAAAGGCAGAGGACTGCTCGAGCCCAGGAGTTCGAGACCACCCTGGGAAACATGGCGAGACTCCATCTCTACAAAAAATTTAAAAATTAGCCAGGCATAGTGGCACATGCCTGCAATCCTAGCTACCGAGGAGGCTGAGGCAGGATGACTGCTTGAGTCCAGGAGTGCAAAGCTGCTATGAGCTATGATTGCGCCACTGCATTCCAGCCTGGGGCAATAGAGTAAGACCTTGTCTCAGGGGAAAAAAAAAGATCATATAGTCTGAGGTAGAAATAATATTTACCATTTTTTTCATAGCACTACGCAGTGCCGAAATCTTATATTCAAAGTAATATGCAGCAAATGTAGACATGGTTGGGGGGTGTATGGTTAACATATGGATCCTACAAGTATCCTAAAAAAGTGAATCTAAATCTCCCCCCAAGATTGTGACAGAGACAATTACAGCAGGAATGTCTATGATTATTTCCTTGAGCAACATCTATGAGCTACATTTATATGTTTATGTATACATGTACAGCTTATAAAGGAAAAAATCACTGCCTACTATGTGACAAGTGTTATCAGACTGAGAATAATATACAGGCTTACTGAACATCTGTGACCAACAAAAGTGCCAAATGCCTATTTAATCCTCATAAAAACGTATGAGGTATTACTATTCTATTTTACAAAGGAGAATAGTGAAGTACAGAGAGGTTAAGTAACTGCTGAGCCAGGGTTCAAACCCAGATAACTCCAGACCCCTCAGTAAGAGCTGTATTGTTCCAAGGGATACATGAGAAGACTGGAGGAAGGAATTTTAAAAGCAGGAAAGAACTTGTCTGAAAACTATGAAAAATGTTAATAATGTCTACTACATGCTAATAATGTCTACTAAAGTACAACTGTGAAAAGGTTGTCAACAAAAATTCCTTATGACCCAAGGAAAACTAAATTTGCGTCCCAAGGCTCTTAAGCAACTGTATTTAAACTCTGCACTTAAAAATTCATATTACAAGGCCGGGCACGGTGGCTCACACCTTTAATCCCAGCACTTTGGGAGGCCGAGGCAGGCGAATCACAAGGTCAGAAGTTCAAGACCAGCCTGACCAACATGGTGAAACCCCATCTCTAAATACAAAAATTAGCCAGGCATGGTGGCACACACCTGTAATCCCAGCTACTCAGGAGGCTGGGGCAGGAGAATCGCTTGAACCCGGGAGGCGGAGGTTGCAGTGAGCTGAGATCGTACCACTGCACTCCAGCCTGGGAGACAGAGCGAGACTCCGTCTCGAAAAAAAAAAAAAAAAACTTCACATTACAAAGAAGCTTAAATTAAATGAATTCTGAACTTCATTTTTTTGCATTTTTTGCATACTGTCTTCCACATAATACTCAATTTTTAAACACTGTTAGCCAGGTTAGTTTGTTGCTCTAAGAAGATGTATTGCTACTACGACAACTACATGGCACTTCTGTACAAGAGATATCAAAAGTAAATAATTAGTATGGCTGTATAGATTATGTATCACTAAGGGGAAAAGACAGTTTACAATGGATAAATCTGGCAGACAGGAACTCAACCAATGATGAGATTTAACATCATCATTAATGAGACAAACCAACATGGTAGGTAAGCCTTTAAAAAGCTCCAGTGTAGCCGGGCGCGGTGGCTCATACCTGTAATCCCAGCAATTTGGGAGGTCGAGGTGGGTGGGTCACGAGGTTAGGAGTTTGAGACCAGCCTGGCCAACATGGTGAAACCCCGTCTCTACTAAAAATACAAAAATTAGTCGGGCATAGTGGCACACACCTGTAATCCCAGTTACTCAGGAGGCTGAGGCACGAGAATTGCTTGAACCCAGGAGGCGGAGGCGGAGGCTGCAGTGAGCCAAGATCACACCATTGCACTCCAGCCTGTGTAACAGAACAAGACTCTGTCTCAAAAAAAGAAAAAAAAAAAAAAAAGGAAAAGCTCAAGTGTATGACAATATTCACATCTTTTACTGAGTATCTGAATACTTATGCACAGAGCAGAATTCTCCAAATCAGCTAATACCTAGTCTGTATACACACACAAGAAATAACCAATAAATTATTCCCTTTAAAAATAAATAAATAGCAGCTGGGCACGGTGGCTCACAGCTGTAACCCCACCACTTTAGGAGGCCAAGGCAGGCAGATCACAAAGTCAAGAAATCAAGACCATCCTGGCCAACATGGTGAAACCCCGTCTCTACCAAAAAAATACAAAAAATTAGCCGGGCGTGGTGGCACGCGCCTGTAGTCCCAGCTACTCAGGAGGCTGAGGCAGGAGAATTGCTTGAACCTGGGAGGTGGAGGCTGCAGTGAGCTGAGATCGCGCCACTGCACTCCAGCCTGGCGACAGAGCGAGACTCCGTCTCAAAATAAATAAATAAATAAATAAATAGCAAATGAAGTGAACAGAAAACCCAGAAATAATAACGAGCTCTTACTGAGAGGCCTGAGGCATTATAAAATAACAACTTTCCACTCCGGCCTGGGCAAAAGAGCGAGACTCCGTCTCAAAAAAAAAAAAAAAGATAACAACTTTCAAAGAAAAAAATAACTTTGAATAAAAGCTAAATCCCTTCTTTTCAAGGTTACACTTTTTAAAAAGTGTTGAGAAAATGTAATAAAAATAACAAAAGAGTGGTATGTTTGACCAGTAATAAGAAACTAATATATAAAGAAGAGGAGGAAAGAAGACGTGCAATACGCAGAGTGGTGGAAAACTTCATGAGTGGAAGATTAAATCCGATGCAGAACTTAATAAAATGTGCGCCTTACTTCAAAGGAAGTTTAAAAATGGTGTTTACAAGGGATCTTTCTGGGGTATTGGAAATGTAATACTGGAGTGGGGTAATGGTTGCACATCTCCACAAAATTACTAAAAATAAACTGTACACTTCAAACAGGTAAATTCTGTAGTATATAAATTATACCTCAAAGTTATTTTTAAAGAACTAACATTTGTTCAACAAAGAAGGAAAAATTATATTAAGTTTATCTCACTAAACCATAAAAAGGAAGTGGCCAAGAGGAAAAGTACAGTAATTCATTCAATAGACAGAAAAATAAAAATGGAAAAATGCATAGATTAAGAAATGTTAATGTGTCCATTTCAGCCCTTGAAAGGACAGTATAGTATCTCCAGGTAATTCTGCTGCTCTTAACCAGATTTTCTTCTTTCATAGATATATGCACAAGTCCAAAGGAGAAGGAAGACTTCAGTTTAATTGCATATCACCTAGGAAAGAGCTGAACAATTTATTCTGACCCCCAATTACTGCATGACTGAAAGACATAGAGATGGTATCTCCCATGAGAGAAGAATTTCAAGAGAAAATTTAAAAACAGAAAATCAAATTTATAATTGTTTTAAAAGAATGTGTGGGCCAGGCATGGTGGCTCATGCCTGTAAATCCCAACACTTTGGGAGGCCGGGGTAGGAGAATTACTTGAGGCCAGGAGTTCAAGACCAACCCGGACAACACAGTGAGACCTCAGTCTCTACAAAAAAAAAAAAAAAAAAATTATTTTTTTTAATTAGCCAGGCGTGGTGGCACACACCTGCAGTCCTAGCTACTCCGGAGGCTGAGGCAGAAGGATCACTCGAACCCAGGAGGTCAAGGCTACAGTGAACTGTAAATGTTCCACACTGCACTCCAGCCTGGGTAATAAATCAAGACCCTGTCTCTTAACTTAAAAAAAAAAAAAAATCTGTGGACATTTTTTTTTTCTTTTTTTTTTTTTGGAGACAGGGTCTCACTCTGTCACCCAGGCTGGAATGCAGTGATGCAATCACACCTCACTACAGCCTCTACCTCCCAGGCTCAAGCAATCCTCCCACCTCAGCCTCTCTAGCAAATGGGACTACAGGCACATGTCACCATGCCTGGCTAATTTTTTTTGGTGTTTTTTGTAGAGACAGGATTTCACCATGTTGCCCAGGCTGGTTTCAAACTCCTGGATTCAAGCAATTCATCCACCTCAGCCGCCCAAAGTGCTGGAATTACAGGCATGAACTACCACACCCAGCCTGGTAATTTCTTTACAAGCATAATGACAAGAGTCAATTCCCTCAACCAGGTGAAACAGCCAAATGGGGAATTTTCTTGGTATTTTTGAAGAAAATTAATTTGCATTGGCTCAGGGACTTTTGCAGAAGTTTCCCAAAACAGCAGTACTGTACTTTTTTACTCCATTTGCAGATACAGAGATCAAGCAAAACTGCACCTATAAACAACCCCAATCCACACTTGCTTTGAGCTCTGAAAATATTAACCTACACTGACCTCTCCTGCACCAACTTCAGCAAATCCTAGGTCAAGAGCCTCAACTTCCCAAAACAGCACAGGTGTCTCTAATTTCAAACCCGCCAGTCTCCACCCTGCCTTTGGCTAATCAGTAGCAAGCCCCCAAAAAAAGAAAAAAATTAACTCATATAATTATTCTTTCCTTCTCCAGAAAACAAATGAAGTAACATAAAACACTACAAAATTCTATTTCCTCTAAATGGCTATTATAAATAGTTCAAGACACTGAGTCACAATATTATTCACCTAGACTTGAAAAGCTGTAATATCAATGAACTTGATATATTTCAGTAAAAGAACATACATGAAAATTTACAGTACAATGCCTAACTCCAGCAGGAATTCAATAAAAGTTGGTACCTTTCTTTACTTTCCATTAATTTTATCACACAGTATTTCCATGGAATAGTTTATTACCCCAATATAAAAGTAGAACAATAGAAAAAAGATAATTTACTGACCACACAGATCACACCCAGAAAATTCAGACCACTAGATGATGACAAAGGATTCATTTACAGAAGTTTAACTTTAATCTACCGTCTCCTCCTCCTTCCTAGACAGCAGCGTCAATTCCAAGGCCATGTTCCTTCTGCTATAGGAAGTGGCTACACTGTTTTTCCCTGTAGCAATGTACTAATCTCTTCTTTGTGACTGAGAGAAAGCCAGTCTCAAGAACCTGTGCTAAGTGTAGATGCAGCAAGAGTCCAGACTGACATCAACCCATAGAACCCCACACACAAGTTTACAGGATTCCTGGTTGGGGAGTTCCGTTTTGACTGTCAAGTTTACTCTGCAACTGAGCCAGGTCTCCTGTACCAATAAGCAACGGGAATCTCAACATACTTATGGTGGTAGAAAACTAGAACTACATGAACTAGCAGTAGCCTTTACCTTGACAGGAAATATTCTGACAGAAATAGTTTTGCAGAGCTGCGTGAACTGCCATCTATAGCTCTTTTTGCAGGCACCTGACATAAGACAGATACATAAGCCAAAGCTCTATCTGGTGTACTTTTGTTCAGGCCCAGGAGCTTAAGATAGGAACAAAGCATGTTGTGTCAAATCAAACTCTAGTGGTTACAGATGGACAGATCCTGTCATCAGTAACAAAATTTACAGTTGCCAGTAATGGCCTGGCTACTGTCTAGTCAGGTCCTTTGTTGCATTTAGTCTACCATTCACACAGGCTACTGATTTTTAGAGTGATCAGAATAAGCTAGCCTACCATTACCCACCACCCTAAATTGGTTTACATAATGGCTCCAACACAAAAACTTCTGCCCTCAAGGACTGGATTAAAGAGGTAGGGGTATGTGTGGGTGGGTACATGTGTAAATTCATGGTTCTGTTCTAGGACCACCAAAATTTTACATTGGTTATGTTGTTTCTTAGCATTCTCTACATTCTAATGAGATACTAGATGTAGTCCACAACATTAAACCACAGGACAGACCATCAGGAGGCACGATGAGTGAGACTGAAAAAGATAATGTTTCCCCAAACAATAGTCAAATCTGATCTATTCTAGGTCAGTACAATTGAAGATACTAACGACCACATTAGGAAAGGAGGGAGGGAAGAGTAAATAAATCTGGGACCTACCTTGCTTACAATTCCCACAGACAGATGAAATTCAATTCCATGCCAACCATACCCTCCGATCACTACAACACAAACAGAAAAATAAAAGTTCATGCAATATAAACAGTTCTTCCCATTCCTAAAAGGCGTTTGGTTTCAAAGGTAAGAAGCTGTTTCTTATCTCCTTTCAATCCTCTCCATGCACACAACAGTGTTAAGAGTTCTGTCACTGGTTAAAAAAAAAAAAAAAAAAAAGGCCCATGTAAGTGGAGTTAAATAATAGGTAACACTGATTGGGCACTTCCTATATGCTAGATACTGTTGCAAGTACTTAAATATTAAAACTAATTCTCACAACAACTCTATGAGACAAGTGTTTTTATTAACTCATTTTATATCCTTATATCCAAATGACAATTGTCCTATACCTCTGAAAACTGCTCTTATTGGTGTTGATAAATGCCTTTTTTTTTTTTTTTTTTTTTGGACAAGGAGTCTCGCTCTGTCGCCGGGCTGGAATGCAATGGCGCAATCTCAGCTCACTGCAACCTCCGACTCCCAGGTTGAAGCAATTCCCCTGCCTCAGACTCCCAAGTAGGCTGGGACTACAGGTGTGCACCATTACGTCGGGCTATTTTTTTTTGTATTTTAGTGGAGACGGGGTTTCACCATGTTGGCCAGGATGGTCTCGATCTCCTGACCTCGTGATCCACCTGCCTCAGCCTCCCAAAGTGCTGGGATTACAGGTGTGAGCCACCGCGCCCGGCCGAGAAATGCCTTTTAAATAAACATAGGCAATCTCTACCACCGTAGGTGGGTTATCATAATGGTTTGTATGTATAAGTGTTCTACATTCATCATTTACTTCTTGAGTCCTCACAATGTGATGAGCACTAATACCAGGTGCTGAAGAGGATTCATTCTCTTCCCTTAAGGAGTTGAGAAACTAACTGGACAGATAAGACAAAACAAAAACAGTTCAAGAAATGGAAGTCCTTATTATGAGGCATAATACAGCCTCTTTGTGCAATCATTCACAGTAAAAAATCAGCAAGCTCTGGGGAAAAGAGAGGAAGGCTTTACGTAAGAGATGCTCTAAAGCTGGACCTTTAAAAATAAGTTAGATCAGCAAAGAGTGGAGAAAGTCTTTCCAGGCAAGGAAAAGAGAACAAAGACATAACAGAGACAGAATCAATGGTATATCTAAAGTCTTTTTTTTTTTTTTTTTTTTTTTTTGAGATAAGGTCTCACTCTGTTGCCCAGGCTAGAGTGCAGTGGCATGATCACAGCTCACTGCAGCCTCAACCTCCTGGGATCACATAATTCTCCCATCTCCCTGGCCCTGAAGCCTTTCATAATCTGATCCCACCCAGTCTCACAAGCCTTTGCTCTCTGGCCACTAATGTCCCTCCTCCTCCCCATTACCCACACCAAACTTCCTCCTAGAACATACTGTCTTTGATAGTTCTACTGTTTCTCCTACTACCTAGAATGTTCTCTTTTCCCTGGCGGGTAACATTAATCCTGGCACTCAAAAAAAAATAGCCTCTGTTGTAAATAATTTTTATTATTTAAGATACAACTGAGGCTGAGTGCCGTAGCTCAGTTGGAAGAAGAAAGAAAGATAAAAGAAAATAAATTTAGAGGTTTGACTGTTATCAAAAAAGGAGGGGAGAGAAACAATTCCCAATTAAATAAATGAATTGTGGTTTTTAAGCAGTCCACCTCAACAGATATGGTTACATATACCCTCAAACTGAACACCTATGAAAAGGCCAGCACTTCGGGAGGCCAGGGTGGGAGGATCACTTGAGGCCAGGAGTTCAAGACCAGCCTGGCCCCATCTCTACTAAAAATGCAAAAATTAGGCTGGGCGCAGTGACTCACGCCTGTAATCCCAGCACTTTGGGAGGCCAAGGCGGGCGGATCACTTGAGGTCAGGAGTTCAAGAACAGCCTGGCCAACATGGTGAAACCCTGTCTGTACTAAATACAAAATACAAAAATTAGCTGGGCGTGGTGGCACGTACCTGTAGTCCCAGGTACTCGGAGGATGACGCACAAGAATCCTTGAACCCGAGAGGCAGAAGCTGCAGTGAGCCAAGATCACACTGCTGCACTCTAGCCTGGGTAACAGAGCGAGACTCCATCTCAAAAACAACAACAACAAAAAAATAGCTCGGAGTGGTGGTACACACCTGTAATCCCAGCTACTCGGGAGGCTGAGGCATGAGAATCACTTGAACCTGGGAGGTGGAGGTTGCAATGAGCCGAGATCACACCACTGCACTCCAGCAGCCTAGGCAACAGAGTGAGACTCTGTCTCAAAAAAAAAAAGCCAACTATTACTCTACTCATCTCTCCTCCATGCTCTCATGCTCTCATAGCATCTATTTCTCTGTTAACACAGTTAAAACATTTGGTTGTCCCCAGGTTTTCTTCTTCCTTTCTCTCTTACTTGTCTGAACAAGAATCATCTTTTATACAACTTTGTATCTCGCAAGACCTAGCAGTGCCTGGCAAGTAACAGGTGCTCATTATATACTTGCTGATAGAAGGCCCAACTGACCAGAATTTACAAAGTGAATAACGATCCATTTAAACAATCTGTTGTGTCAAAAGCTAGTGTACTTCTACATTCTCACGAATACGTCTGCTACGTAATTACACCAACAATTCATGAACAAAAAATTAAAGTGGATTCACTAAAAACCACCAACTAGTTTTTGCTTGACAACACAACCAGGTCCTTATCCATGCCAACTAAGACATAAATGAAAGGTAAACTAATTCAGTTGATAATTTAAATATTATGGTTGGTGATCTTTCTTACTAAAACGGTGCCACAGCTTTGTATGTAGAGTAGCTAAAGGTATTTACATTGGCTTTAGTCATGGATAAAGAAGGTTACAAATTTAGAAGTCCAATACAAATCCAAAGTTTATTTTTAGAAGCTTTCCATATGGTAGGAGTTTAAGAAGTAAAACAGCAGCCTTTTCTCTGCCGAAAGCAGAGGGTAGTAGAGCGCCAAAGGAGCAAACCCTCTCCTGACTCTGTGCCTGGCACTGCTTCACGCAGAGGAAGAAATGTGTAGGGTAAGCGAGAGCCTCACTGAAAATCAGTCACCCAAGGCAACAGGCATTTTGAAAGTCTGTGCTATTTGAAGGCTTAAGTATTAATTTTATACATGCCCATGTTCATTTAAAACATTTATGGCTTGGAACTTAAAAAATGTTCTAATGTGCTAGTTTGTCCACATATTAATCGAGTCTGCCAGGTTTGAACATGCCAAGTTTAAAATACTCTCCAGATCGTTATGCAAAGGTATGAGCTCAATCTTTTAGTCTCAGGAAAAGGAATTTAGGAGAGAATGACTAAAACAATAGTCCTTCAATGAAAGCTACAACAGAAAAAGTCAACTCCTAAATAGTGATGAGTTACTTTTTAAAAATACCTGACAGATTTCTTACATTAATCTCAAATTAAGATCCTGGATTTTAGCTCAAAGTTGTCAGACAATGTTATTTTTTGGTGGTTGTTTCCCTCCCCCGCCCCTCCCCAGCCTCCTAGAGAATGGATCTTGAAATTGATTGCTACATGAGACCATCTTATATAAAGGTTGTTTTAGTCATTCACTGACTAAGCCCCTTTAGAATCCAAGTCTAACTCATTTTATATTGAAATGAATTCTATTTTTATATGAATAGTATTACAAGCAAAATTATCTTAATCTTTTATCAGCATTAGAGAAATGCCAATAAAACCTAGAATAACTACACTTTTATAACAAGAACCTCAGAAACTAACACATCCAGTATTTTCATTTTCAGTTGGGGAACTACAGCACAAGAGTTCAGTGATCTGATAAAAGAAAAATGAGCCAGAATCTGATTACTAGTACAATGTATTTATTCTACTACATACTACTAAACACACTGTTTTTGAAATTACAACAGAAAAGTTTAAATATCCATTCCCTAACTGGGAAGATTTTAAAAATTAGATGTGTGTGCCCCCCCAAAATTGGAAATATTGTTCCTTAAAAACTTGGGTATTAGAGGCCAGGTACAGTGGCTCACACCTGTAATTCCAGTATTTTGGGAAGCTGAGGAGGGCGAATTACCTGAGGTCAGGAGTTCAGCCTAACCAACATGGAGAAATTCCGTCGCTACTTTAAAAAAAAAAAAAAAATAGCCAGGTGTGGCAGTGCACGCCTATAATCCCAGCTACTTGGGAGGCTGAGGCAGGACAACTGCTTGAACCCGGGAGGCAGAGGCTGGAGGTTGCGGTGAGTCAAGATTGTGCCACTGCACTCCAGCCTGGGCAACAAGAGGGAAACTCCATCTAAAAAAAAAAAAAAAAAAACCTGGGCGTGGTGGCTCACACCTGTAATCCCAGAACCTTGGGGGGCCGGGGCGGGCTGATCACCTGAGGTTGGGAGTTCGAGACTAGCCTGGCCAACATGGAGAAACCCCATCTCTACTAAAAATAGAAAAATTAGCTGGGCATAGTGGTGCATGCCTGTAATCCCAGCTACTCAGGAGGCTGAGGCAGGAGAATCGCTTGAACCCAGGAGGCGGAGGTTGCAGTGAGCCGAGATCGGGCCATTGCACTTCAGCCTGGGCAACAAGAACGAAACTCCGTCTCAAACAAACAAAAAAAACTTGGGCATTAGAAAACTATAGCAATTATTTTCAATACTTTTGGCTCAATACATACGCACATAGACTCTCCAGTGGAAATTTAGCTTTTAAAAGATTTCCTTACATTCCAAAGGGGATGAGAATAATTTTTACAATCTAAGATGACATTATCCTTATCTTCTAAAAAATAAACTTCCCACAAAGAAAAAAAGCAATTTCATAGAATTCTGGGTCTTCTTTCAAACAAGCACTTCTTTGGAAAGAATGCCACTAATCCATTTTAATTTAGGGGAAGAGAATGCAAAGGATAAAAGGAAAGTTGCCAGGCACAGTGGCTCACACCTGTAATTCCAACACTCTGGGAGAGGCAGAAGCGAGCGGACTGCTTGAACCCAGGAGTTTGAGACCAGACTGGGCAATATGGCAAAACCCCATCGCTACAAAAAATACAAAAATTAATCAGGCATGGTGGTGTTTGCCTAAAGTCCCAACTACTCAGGAGGCTGAGGTAGGAGGATCGCTTGACCCCGGGAGGTTGAGGCCGCAGCGAGCTATGATTACACCACTGCACTCCAGCCTGAGCGACAGAGTGAGACACGCTGTGTCTTTAAAAAAAAAAAAAGAAGTGAAGGGAAAGGAACAAAAATGGAATGAAGAGGGGAAAAAGGAAAAGGAAGAAAGACAAAAGAAAATCAATTTAGAGGTTTGACTTATCAAAAAAAAAAAAAGCAGAGGGAAAATAACAATTTCCAGTTAAAGGAATAAACTGTGGGGATTTTTTGGAATTGTGGTTTTTAAGCAGTCCACCTCAACAGATATTGTTACATATCTCCTCAAACTGAACACCTATGAAAAAAATCTTAATCTCTCTCTGCCTGATTCCTCTGTTTGCTCTTTCTTCTGCACCCAAAGAGAAGATTAAATAAACTAGGCCCCCTGAAACAAGTAAGGGAGGCAGAAATGCGAATCCATGCAAAGTGCTGGTAATGACTAAAGCGATCCAAGAGTCTTAAAGGAGTCAAGAGAAACCACTGTGCTCCTAGGCATATCCATAACCTCCTACAAGAAGCAATACACTCTGCTGCCTTTCATATCCACCACAAATCTTTCCTTTCCGATTATCGGTGTGATGTGCATAGAGATTTTAAAGAACAGTTAAGGCAGGGCATGCTGGCCCACACTTGTAATCTCAGCACTTTGAGAGGCTGAGATTATATTTGATTAAGGTGACAAGAGGAAAATGGAAGCAATACCTGTATATATTAAAAAGGGAGAGAGAAAATAAAGAAGGCCTATGTAGCCTGCTGGTCAACCCAGATGCAGAATTCAACCGAACATGCTCATGTGCTCATTAAGGTACCATAACATATGCAATACTTTACAAAATAAAAAACTACAATCTTGGCTGGGCTTGGTGGCTCACGCCTGTAATCCCAGAACTTTGGGAGGCCGAGGCAGGCGGATCACAAGGTCAGGAGTTCGAGACCAGCCTGGCCAACGTAGTGAAACCCCGTCTCTTCTAAAGATACAAAAATTAGCCGGCCGTGGTGGCACACGCCTGTAGTCCCAGCTACTCAGATGGCTGAGGCAGAATAGCTTGAACCCGGAAGGTGGAGGTTGCAGTGAGCCAAGATTGTGCCACTGTACTCCAGCCTGGGTGACAAAGCAAGACTCCGTCTCAAAAAAAGCAAAACAAAACAAAACAAAAAAACTACAATCTCAAACTGTCCACTTATAAGAAGAGTTTCAAACTCTATAATAAAGTTCCCAGTTTTCCCTTCATCTGCCAGCATCCCATAATAAGCATCTCCTGTTTGACCATTATTAAGACTCAGACATAGTAGCTCCAGAGAAGTAGATATAGCTCTTTCCTTTTGAAACTGCAAAGCAAAACCCACTTTACAATTTTTAAGTTTTTGAACTTTTTTTTGTTTTTTTGAGACATGGTCTTGCTCTATTGTGCAGACTGGATCACAGTGGCACATCTATAGCTCAATGCAACCTCAAACTCCTTGGCTCAAGTGCTCCTCCCTGCCTCCGCCTTCAGAGGAGCCAGACTACAGGCATGTGCCACCATGCCTGGCTAATTTTTTATTTTTGTAGTGACAGAGTCTATTTTGCCCAGGCTGGTGTCAAACTCCTAGCTTCAAGCGATCCTCCTGCCTTGACCTCCTAAAGTGCTGGGATTACAGGCATGAGCCACCATGCCCAACTTCGAAATAATGTTTTTTAATACTTCCATTTTACTGTCTTATAGTAGCTGACAAAACACAAATTTAATTTAGCCTAGACTCTAGCCTAGTTTTATAATAAGTTAATTTCAGCAGTTATCACATAGATGACAAAAAAAAATACTCATCGTTTGATACTGATTAATTCTGAATGACTGGCCATAACCTTTAAAGCCTGAAGATCAGCTGGGTATGGTTACACTGAGCCATGGATGTGCCACTGTGATCCACCTGAGTACCAGAGCAAGACTTTGTCTCTTTAAAAACAATGAAAAATTAAAATTAAATAAATAATATAAAGCTTGAAGATCAAGACTGAAATCCCTTTCCCATCACAATCAGAGGTAGGGGGTCAAATCTCAGTAAATGAGGAAGAATAACAAAAATATAATGAGTCCCTGGCATCTGTTACCAACAGTGAATTCATCCTGATAGCAACTGGAACATTCCAGTGATCCTGGCAATGAGGAACATCGATGTAACATACTCCTTTTGTTTTAAATGCAAATTTTTCTCTCCTGTTCCCTGGAATGTCCCAAAACAAGAGAATGGTCCAGAGCCTGAGAACAAAGCACCTACGAAGAAGAACAACACAGAGAGGGACCTATACAAGACTACCACTAGTATCACAATCTAGGTCAAGGTCATTGGAGAAATCACAAAATCACACCATCTCAGCATTGGAAAGTGATCATCATGTGTCAACAAATATTTTCCAAGTGACCATGTGCTAGATGCTAAGGAAACACAAATGATTATGACAAAATCCCTATTCAAGTCATGTGTGCTAAGTACTTCAATACAGGAGTTAACTAAGGGATATGGGAGTATAGCAGGAAGAATAAAACAGCAGATTTTTCAAAATAAGTTGCCAAGAATGAACTTGGGATCACCACATCCACCATCTGCCAATATTACAAACAGAAGAATCGTGGTGATTCAGGATAAAGAGAAAGTAAGGCTGCAGTCACAGCAGGGCTAGGACTTGTAGCCTCCTAGAATCAAGGTCTTGCTCTCCTATGTGGTTGGTTTAAAAAATAGTTAAAGGCACCCCTGTAATCCCAGAACTTTGGGAGGCCAAGGTAGTTGGATCACCTGAGGTCAAGAGTTCAAGACCAGCCTGGCCAACATGGTGAAACCCCATCTCCACTTAAAAAAAAAAAAAAAAAAAATTAGCGAGGCGTGGTGGCATGTGCCTGTAATCCCAGTTACTCAGGAGGCTGAGGCAGGACATTCACTTGAACCCAGGAGGTGGAGGTTGCAGCGAGCCAAGATCACACTATTGCACTCCAGCCTGGGTGACAGAGCGAGACTCCATCTCAAAAAACAATAGTTAAAGGTGATTATGATCATTTCTGTCCCCCTTCATTTCTTCTTCACAAAAAACTGGCATCACAAGAAAGCACAGTTCTAGTCCAACCATTCACTCAGTGCCAATCTCTAATTTTTACAAGACAGTACTTAATCCTTTAAAATATTTGCTGAAAAAATAGTGCCTTCCCTTCCTCCAGAAAATTTTATGTACACACTAGGCTATTTACAGAGGTCTAGGTTACAACTTTAACTTCCAGAATAAAACTAACTATAATCACTACTAATGCCATGTGACTTTCCCTCTGGCCGAAGCTCTAAACTGTCTACCTCCCTAGGCTTAGAGAAGTCTTTCTAGCTCCGAGGCTTCTGACACTTCAGCTCTTCATTTTACTGCTAATTATGACTCTCAGGAATTCACCCATAAAGAACTACAGGAATTTACCCTATTAATCCACAAACCACATTTCATTTTCATTTTCCAGACAAATCTTAAAGGCCTGTAATTTACAACATCAAAAAGTATCAGATCTCCAAATGGAAAAACTTATCTCTGACATAGGAGTTTTTTCTTATTGGTAACCTCTCTCTATCCAATAGAAACATACTTAACTACCATAACATATTCTAACAAACTGCTGCTATTTCAGCAATTACAATAGAGTATATGCTTTTGATAGTGAGTCAGGTCTTGGGAGTGGCTTAGCACATGGAAATTCACCAGCCGGCATCTACACTGAGATTCAAGGAGACAAACGGAATTTTTGCTTCTGGTTTTTCCAAGAGTTAACTAGTGTTTAAATCGACTATATTATTCTGAATTACTTACAGATGAAATGGCAAAATGTCTGAATTTTATTTTAAAATATGAAGGAGGAGGTGTGGAGTAATATTAAACAAGATTGGTCACATGTTGAAAAAAAAAATTTTTTTTTTACTTTTTTTTTTTTTAATTTATAGAGATGAGGTCTCACTAGGTTGCCCAGGCTGGTCCTTGAACTCCTGGGCTCAAGTGATCCTCCCACCTTGGCCTTCCATAGTGCTGGGATTATAGGCATAAGCCACGGCACCCAGCCCCTGAATACTGTTGAAACTGGGTGACAGGCCCATGGTGGTGGTTCATTGCATTATTCTCCTTGTTTTTATATGTGTTTCAAATGTTCCATAATAAAGATTTCAAAATAAATTTTACTAATGTCATGATCTGGTGAACTTGGAAAACAGATAAAGAACAAAGTGATTCTTGGAACCAGTGATCTCCATAATCTACCTGAGTAAAAGCTGTTAGTTTCTTTTTTTTTTTTTTCTTTTTGAGACAGAGTCTTGCTCTGTCGCCCAGGCTGGAGTGCAGTGGCACCATCTCGGCTCACTGCAAGCTCCGCCTCCCAGGTTCACGCCATTCTCCTGCCTCAGCCTCCTGAGTAGCTGGGACTACAGGCGCCCGCCACCACACCTGACTAATTTTTTGTATTTTTGGTAGAGACAGGGTTTCACTGTCTTAGCCAGGATGGTCTCAATCTCCTGACCTCGTAACCCGCCCGCCTCGGCCTCCCAAAGTGCTGACATTACAGGCGTGAGCCACCGTACCCGGCCCTAAAACTGTTAGTTACCTAAGACATACCTAAATACTGGCCAAGCGCGGTGGCTCATGCCTGTAATCCCAGCACTTTGGGAGACCGAGGTGGGCAGATTCCAAGGTCAGGAGTTTGAGACCAGCATGACCAACATGGTGAAACCTCGTCTCTACTAAAAATACAAAAATTAGCCGGGCGTGGTGGCATGCACCTGTAATCCCAGCTACTCAGGAGGCTGAGGCAGGAGAATCGCTTGAACTCGGGAGGTGGAGGTTGCAGTGAGCCAAGATCGCGCCATTGCACTCCAGCCAGGTTACAGAGCAAGACTCCATCTCAAAAAAAGGAAAAAAAAGAGATACCTAAATTCTAACGCTTATTCCTCACTGAACATACTATTCAGCACGATCACCATGTGCTGACTTAGGCACCAACCTAAGTGCTGATGATACAGTGATAAACAGATAAATGCAATCTGTCTGTTGTTGTCGTTGAATGAATGAGGCAAGTATGTGGTGCCATAAACCAAACAAGAAGAGACTAATCTATGACCTATCAGGAAAAGCTTCCCAGAGGAGTTACCATCTAAGTTAAATTCTGAAAAATTAAACCCCAAAACACGAATCATTTATTTTTGACCCATGTTAACCTTTATCACTTACAGATTGTAAGACCAGCAAGCAAATGCCTATTTCTTTATGAAGTAACCACTTGTCTGTAAAGGAAAAATTAGCAAACCATCACTCATTCAACAAATATTAGATACCCACCATATGCTAACATACTAGACAAAAAAGATAAAACATGGTCTCTGCTCTGATGGGGTTTATAATCTAACAGCACAGGAAAACAAAAACAAGTAAGTAGGCAAGCCATCAAGCAGAAAACCAATTTCAAACTTCTCCAAGTTATAAAACCAGCAAAGAAGGGACTTTTGTGGGCAGAAAGTGCCAACTTTTTAGATATAGTGATAAGGAAAGTTGAAAGGACTGAAGACCAACGGATGACAGTGCAGCCGACTGAAGGGAGTGGGATGCCAGAAGAGGTGGTGAGATCAGCAAAGATACAGTATGTGTGCACCTTGTAGGTCATGGGATGAAATCTGGATATTATTCTAAGCACAATGGAAAAACCACCGCAGGTAAGAGTTTTGAGCAGAGAAGTGATGTGATTCCATTTATGTTTTTAAGAAGATCATTCTTGTTACTCTGGAAAGAATGGATTGATCGAGAATAATTTTTTACCAAGAAGAATTTTAAATGAGTAAAATCAAAACATCAAAACTGATTTTGGCCAGGGAAAATCATCTCTATATTCCATTACCAACCTAAAATCTTTTAAATTGCCTTACTTAGTCCAGGCTTCATCTACAGTTTGGGTTGGGATTGTTTGTTTTAATGCTTACAACCAACATGTCATGCCCTCTGAGGAGGTTCCTGGGAAGCTAAAACAGGCCCACATGCCTGGTGGTTAGCATTCTTTTCATTCTCAAATTGCTAAAGTCAGATTAATTTTCATTTATTCATCTCCTATTCCACAATCAGCTTCTTGATTGAAAGGAAAGGAGTAAGGGACTTCCTTGAGTGTTTCAGGAGACAATAAACTCTACGGAAAATCTGATAAGGAATGTGATTATATAACCTTTCTTCCTCCTGCCAACTATGTTCCAGGTGGGGACTCCACTATGAAAGCAATTCTAATACTCCTATCCAAATCTGCCAGCTCTCAGAAAGCTGCCTAAAGCAAACTCATTTAATTCTCTCTGAAAAAAAAAAAATTCTCATTCCAAAGTCTGAACAAGAATAAATTTCTAGTAGTGTTTGTAATTGATAAGGAAAGGAAAATAAATTTCACCATCAATCTCTGGGGCATGTGGCCAAATAATCTTAATAAAGAAACTTAATAAAGTTAGTTATGCTCAAAGAGATTTTACTCAGTCATTTGAAAAACAGAATGGAAGGAGTAACAGGAAACAATGCCTACATCTGTTAAATACTCATGAGCTTTACATATATTTCACTTTATCTTGACCACACCCCAACAAGATTAAGTATATTTCCACTTTACTGATGAGGACAGAGCCCCAGGAGTTTACACTGTCTCAAGGTCACATAGCTATTAAGTAGCTTCCATGGTCCCATATGCTTTCCATTAGACAAATGTTTAAACAAAGATCTAAATTATAGAAATTCTTCCACATGACCAATGAACTAATAATAGGTAAGTTTTTGTTTGTGTGTGTGTGCATGTGTATATGCTTCATCTGGAGGCCTAATCACCAATTATAATTCTTTTCAGAGGGAAAAAGTGCTTAGGATTCCTCTTTGGAGACATCAGACCACCAGAAAGAAGCTCTGAAGACATAAGGGAGTTTGGTGGCAAAAGCTATCAGGTTATTTGTTCCTAACAAAGCCAAAGGAGCTCCTCTTTGAAGGCAGCATATAATTTCTGGGGCTAGCAGCAGTGACTTCCTAACAAAGGCTCTAGGGACTCATGTACAAAAATCATTATCAAGCTCAGGAGTGTCTTGTAAGTGATTTGGGGTGGTTACACTCAGCAACACATACATACAAAAATAACTATTTTGTTAACAAATAAAATCAAGTAAGATAGCATACATGAAAGCACCTAACAGTGCCTAACAGAAAACAGATACACAATAGAAAATTAGTTTCTTCCACTATCTGCTCAAAGTTATTTGTATGAAAAACAAGTAACTGTGCTGGGTGAAGCCATAACCTCCTTGCCCTCAAAGCCCAGCCAGAATGAGTTTGCATACCTGGTGTCACGTTTGCTAAGAACAACAGGTACACAAGGCCGGGTGCGGTGGCTCACGCTTGTAATCCCAGCACTCTGGGAGGCCGAGGAGTGCAGATCACAAGGTCAGGAAATCGAGACCATCCTGGCTAACACGGTGAAACCCCATCTCTACTAAAAATACAAAAAATTAGCAGGGCATGCTGGTGGGCGCCTATAGTCCCAGCTACACGGGAGGCTGAGGCAGGAGAATGGCGTGAGCCTGAGAGTCGGAGCTTGCAGTGAGCTGAGATCACACCACTGCACTCCAGCCTGGGCGACAGAGCGAGACTCCGTCTCAAAAAAAAAAAAAAAAGAACAACAGGTACACAACAAGCTACATATCAAAAATCAGAAATCTTCTCTTAAGGATTATTTTATTTCCTCCACGAATCAGCACCATAGCATGGACAGAAAGGTATCCTTAAAGCAAGCCTTCCCAACAGCTGAGCACAACACAACTCAGCAAAACCACCTAGCCATCAGTGCAATCTGCATTACAATCTGCATTCATCCATTTCTATGATCACTAAGCAATCATACATAGCCTGGCACATTACATCATTATTAAACACTCCACACTAGGGCAAACTATTCTTCAACTGTTCCAATTGTTTAACTTTTGAAATGGAATGATTTTTGCTTCAGAAAAATTCTTTAACATCAATTCTATTGTTTAGATGCTTCTGAGATTTAGACTTTGGGATTAACAATCTCCAATATAATTAAAGTTGAGATTGTCATGGTAATAATTCCTTCAGTTAATACAGTAACAACTGTAAGGATCAAATGAAAATCATAGACAGGCCATCAGGGGTCATCTTTTTGTTTTTTTCTTTGAGACGGAATCTCACTCTGTCGCCCAGGCTGGAGTGCAGTGGCACAATCTCTGCTCACTGCAACCTCCGCCTCCTGGGTTCAAGCGACTCTCCTGCCTCAGACTCCCGAGTAGTTGGGACTACACACCCGGCTACTTTTTTATTTTTAGTAGGGACGGGACGGTGTTTCACCATGTTGGCCAGGCTGGTCTCAAACTCCCGACCTCAGGTGATCCACCTGCCTAGCCCTCCCAACAGTTCTGGGATTACAGGCATGAGCCACCATGCCCGGCCTGTCATCTAACTTAAGGTCCTAATTTTACAGAGGAAACAACTCAGACCCAGAGAGGTTAGACAATTTGTTCAGTATTACGTAGCTGATTAGTGACAGATGAAAAATTTTAAACTTCAAGTCTACTGATGCCCCTTTGGCCAGGTGACCTTTTTAAATAATAGCTGCCACTTATGGGATAATTACAGTGCACCAGGTGCTGTAGATGTGACCTCATTTAATCCCACCACAATCCTATGAGGGAGGCACTATCAAATCCATTTTACAAATGAGGAAACCAGGACTCAACCTCAGGTCTGTTTGATGCCAAAGTCTTTGGTCTTAACCACTACACCATGCCTCCCTACTTTCCATTCATTCATTCATTCAAATACTTGCTAAGCAAGTATAATGTGTCAGGTACTGTCTGAGCCCTAGGGATACTAGTGATGAAGATGGACAAGGTCCCTGCTCTTCTGCATAATAAAAATAAAAGTACTTCAATATGAGGTACTTTTTTGTTGGCAGGGGGAACACAGTAATGTGATAATAACCACAGGGGCAGCACTATGTTATCCCTTATATATGAAAATACTAAAAATGTAAGATTACCACATCGCACCCATTAGAATGACTGTTATCAAATAAACAAGTTTTGGTAAAGATGTGGAGAAACTGGAACCCTTTACGTTGTTGGTAGGAATATAAAATTACATTTAGTTGGGCATGGTGGCTCATGCCTATAAACCCAGCACTTTGGGAGGCCGAGGCAGGCGGATCATGAGGTCAGGAGATCGAGACCATCCTGGCCAACATGGTGAAACCCCATTTCTACTAAAATACAAAAAATTAGCTGGTTGTGGTGGTGCACACCTGTAGTCCCAGCTTCTCAGGAGGCTGAGGCAGGGGAATCACTTGAACCTGGGAGGTGGAGGTTGCAGTGTGCTGAGATCACACCACTGCACTCCAGCCTGGGTGACAGAGCAAGACTCCTTCTCAAAAAAAAAAAAAAAAAATTACATTTAGCCAGAAAGTACATTTAGTCAGATATTGTGGCTTGAATTTGTAATCTCAGCTATTCAGGAAGCTCAGGCGGGAGGATCACTCGAGCCCAGGAGTTTGAGGCTATGGTGAGCTAAGACTGCATCACTGCCAGCCTGGGCAACAGAGTGAGACCCTGTCTCTTTAACAAAAAAAAAAAAAAAAAAAAAACACTTTAAATTTTTGATAGTGAAAAATGACTAACCAAGATTTTAGGCTGGGCACGGTGGTTCACATCTGTAATCCCAGCACTCTGGGAGGCCTAGATGGGTGGATCACTTGAGGTCAGGAGTTCAAGATCAGCCTAGCCAACATGGTGAAACCCTGTCTCTACTAGAAATACAAACAATTAGCCAGGCATGGTGGAGGGCACCTGTAATCCAGCTACTCGGGAGGCTGAGGCAGGAGAATTGCTTGAACCCGGGCAGCGGAGGTTGTGGTGAGTCGAGACTGCGCCACTGCACTCCAGCCTCAGAGTCAGAGCAAGACTCTACCTCAAAAAAAAGTAAACCCATCAAAGATAACAGGTATTTGAAATAATATATTCTGAAAGGCAGATAAACGTATGTCCTCTTTAATATATTAATTCTAGCTTGAGCGTAAGTACAAACAGTTCTAATCAGAGTAAAGAGGATAAATAGATCTTTCCAAATTAAACTATCAAGATTACACATACATGCAATTCCAAATGTCTGTTTCTTTTTTTTCTCTTTTTTTTTTTTTTTTTTTTGAGACAGAGTCTCACCCTGTTGCCCAGGCTTGGAGGGCAGTGGCGTGATCTCAGCTCACCGCAACCTCCACCTCCTGGGTTCAGACGATTCTCCTGCCTCAGCCTCCCGGGTAGCTGGGACTACAGGTACCTGCCACCATGCCCAGCTAATATTTTATATTTTTAGTAGAGATAAGGTTTCACCATGTTGGGCAGGCTGGTCTCAAACTCCTGACCTGAGATGATCCACCAGCCTCGGCCTCCCAAAATGCTGAGATTACAGGCATAAGCCACCATACCCAGCCTCTTTTTTCCTCATTCTTATATTCCTGTTAAATTTCTCTCAGTTCCTCTGATGTCTCAGCAGAGACAAACTGACTACTGTACAGGTAAAGGCAGTTCATTAAGCTCTCTTACTGGACTCAGATTGCTGCTGTAGGAACTGCCTCCTCTTAAATTTCTGAGCTATTATCAGACAGAAGCAGCTCTTAATCTCCTTGGCTTCCTTTTCAGGGGAATGTGCCAAGAAAAAGTGGGGGAGAAAAGACCTAGGTCCACAGTATCTCAAGTATTGTACTTTTTATCCATTATGGACTCTAAACACATATTATTCAGCTTCATACTAGGAATCCACCATCAATCTTCCTGGTTTTATTAAACTTGCTTGGCATAGATATATTAGATACATAAGAAAGAAAATATATCAATTAGGCGCAACTACTACCCCAGTGACACTATGACATAAATAGGGGAAAAAAAGTCTTGGAGGGAAAAATAAGTAAAAAAAAAGAGAAATAATAGAAGGGCATTAAAGGAAGAGGTGAGTCTGAAAACAAATTTGAGATTGGATGATTCATTTGTGTTCACCAAAGAGAGTTGTTTTCTTTTACTTTTTTTTTTTTTTTTTTTTTTTGAGATAGAGACTTGCTCTGTTGTCCAGGCTGGCAGGCAGTGATGCCATCTCGGCTCACTGCAACCTCCATGTCCCGGGCTCAAGTGATTTTCCGGCCTCAGCCTCCCATGTAGCTGGGATTACACGCGTGTGCCACCACGCCCGGCCGATTTTTTGTATTTTTAGTAGAGAAGGGGTTTCAGCATGTTGGCCAGGCTGGTCTCGAACTCCTGACCTAAAGTGATCTGCCCACCTTGGTCTCCCAAAGTGCTGGGATTACAGGCGTGAGCCACTGCGCCCAGCCTATTTTTACTTTTTATTTTTAGAGGTCTTGCTCTGTCACTCAGGCTGGAGTGCAGTGGCACAATCTTTGCTCACTGCAGCCTTGACTTCCTGGATTCGAGTGATCCTCCTGCTTCAGCCTTCCAAGTAGCTAGAACTAAAGGCACTCAAACCACCACATCCAGCTTTTTTTTTTAATTAAATTTTTTGTAGAGACATGGTCTTACTGTGTTGCCCAGGCTGGTCTCGAATTCCCAGCCTCAAGTAATCCTCCCACCTCAGCCTCCCAAACTGCTGAGATGACAGGAATGAGCCACTGCGCCCTGCCCAAAGAGAGCTGTTTCCCAAAGGAGTTTAGACTCATGCTAACTTTAACAATGAGCAAGGAGTTTGGAGCATGGGACAGGAAAGCTGTTCCATGAATTCAGGGCAGCTTGACCAAGGTTAGAGAAATGACAATTATCAGTACAGAATGATAACCAGTAATTTTTAAAGTTCTGTTTGAAGAAAAACAGACTAATTCTGCTTGATGACCTATAAAAGTCTACATTAGTCATAATCAGATTTCATGAAGATGGTACACAGCTATAGACTAACTACAAGACCAAGAAGCAATTTGGTTCTAGCAACTAAATTAAGTCAGTCCACTCATTGCTCAGACTCTAACTGGAAAGGAAGAAAAAAAACAAAAACAATTTCTATAGCTATACCAGAATATGTGGAAATGTTTTTGCTTCTTCTCATCTAAAAAGTTATGTACAGAGTCTGTTATTAAGCCTATGTTATTTTTCCACAGATAGCAGAGTACAAAGGCAAAAACCAAAGAAATGGTAGTTGAAACAGATTCTAAGAACAGCTTATCCAGCATTTGCTTTTATAAGTCAAATGTAAATTTCATATATAATCAACTGACATTTGTGTAATTCCTCACAATGAGCAAGTACTTTATTTAGGCAATGTAAATACATATGGTAGATACTCAGTAACTATTTGAATGAATGAATGATCTCATGCATACTCAAGAGACCACTTCCAGGAGAAACCAAAAAAAATTAACTCTCTAAAATGACTGCAGTTAGGAAACGGCAAGAGAATGAAGGATGAACTATCTTCCTGCAATGGGGCTGCAAGAAGGTACGTTATTCAGCCACTCATTCATTCAACAGAAATGTGAGGACCTATTACAAGTCAGGCACTCTTACAGTACACACATGTGTGGCAGTGTAGATTAGCTGTTAAGAACTGGCTACCTCAATCAAATTTGGCACGCAAACGTTTTTTGTTTAGTCCACAGAGTATTGACCTGGAGAGTACTTTTTAATCAACTTTGAAGTATAATTTGCATACAATAAAAAGCACACATTTTGAGTGTACAGTTTCAGTGAGTTTTGATAAGTGTATACTCTCATAAATCATCAATCTCAATCAAGAAAAAAAAACATTTCCATAAGCCAGGCACAGTGACTCACACCTGTAATCCTAGCATTTTGGAAGCCCAAGGCAGGAGGATCACTTGAGGCTAGGAGTTTGATACCAGCCCGGACAACATAGTAAGGCTCTGTCTCTACAAAACAATGTTTAAAACTTAGCTGGGTATAGTGGTGCATGGCTGCCCAGCTACTCAGGAGCCTAAGGTGGGAGGATCACTTGAGCACAGGAGGTCGAGCCTGCAGTGAGCCATGATCATGCCACTGCACTCCACCCTAGGTGACAGAGCAAGACCCTGGCCCAAAAACAACAATAACAAGGACATTCCCATCACTCTTCATATCCTTTGCAGTCAATATTCCACCCTTACTGCATCTAATCACCACTGATCTAATTTCTATGACTACAGGTTAGTTTTGCCTAGTGTAGAACTTCTTATAAATGAAATCATATAGTAAGTTCTCTTTTGTTTTCTTTCACTCAACATGTTTTTGAGATTCATTCACAGTGCTGCATGTATCCATAATTCATTCCTTTCTTTTTTCTAAGTAGTAATCCATTGTTTATTTATCCAACTTGTTTATCCATTCACCTGTTGATGGCATTTGGGTTGTTTCCAATTTTTCCAGCTATTGTGAATAAAGCTGCTATGAACATTCACATGGTTTTTTGTTGACTGTATGTTTTCATTTCTCTTGGGTAACAAACACCTAAGAGTAGTATTGCTAAATTGAATAAGTATATATCTAACCTTGTAAGAAACTGACAAACTTTCCAAAGTGGCTGTACCATGTCACACTCCTACAAGCAACAGGCCTGAACTACTGCTCTACATTCTCACCAATTCTTGGAACTGTCCATCTTTTTAAACTTTAGCCATTCTAATGGGAATAAAATGCTGTCTCACTGTGGTTTTAATTTGTATTTCTGTCCAGGTATGGTGGCTCGTGCCTGTAATCCCAACACTTTGGGATACTAAGACAGAAGGATTGCTTGGGCCTAGGAATTCAAGACCACCCTGGGAAATACAGAGAGACCCTGTCTCTAGAAAAAAAAAAATTTTTCCAGCCTGGCTGACATGGTGAAACCCCATCTCTACCAAAAAATACCCAAAAAATAGCCAGGCGTAGTGGCGCACACCTATGGTCCCAGCTACTCTGGAGGCTGAAGTGGGAGAACTGCTTGAACACACGAGGCAAAGGTTGCAGTGAGCCGGGATCGTGTGCACTCCAGCCTGAGTGATGGAGACCCTGTTTCAAAAAATAAAAAAATAAGCCGGGCGTGGTGGCTCATGCCTGTAATCCCAGCACTTTGGGAGGCCGAGGCGGGCGGATCACCTGAGGTTGGGAGTTTGAGACCAGCCTGACCAACATGGAGAAACCCTGTCTCTACTAAAAATACAAAAAAATTAGCCGGGCATGGTGGCGCATGCCTGTAATCCCAGCTACTCGGGAGGCTGAGGCAGGAGAATCACTAGAATCTAGGCGGCAGAGGTTGCAGTAAGCCGGGATCACACCATTGTACTCCAGCCTGGGCAACAAGAGCAGAACTCTGTCTCAAAAAAATAAATAAATAAATAAATAAATAAAAAATAAAAAAAAATAAAAAAATTTTATGTTAGCCAGGCATGGTAGCACCCACCTGTAGTCCCAGCTACTTGGGAGGCTAAGGTGAGAGGATCACTTGAGCCACAGAGGTCAAGGTTGCAGTTAACTATGATCACGCCAAAGCACTCTAGCCTGGGTGACAAAGTGAGACCCTGTCTCCAAAAAAAAAAAAAAATATTATATTTCCCTTGCAATTATGTTGAGTATCTTTTTACATGTTTTGGACATTCATAAATATTTTTTCTTTTTCTTTTGAGACGGAGTTTCGCTCTCGTTACCAGACTGGAGTGCAATGGCGCGATCTCGGCTCACTGCAACCTACGCATCCTGGGTTCAAGGGATTCTCCTGCCTCAGCCTCCCAAGTAGCTAGGATTACTGGCATAAGCCACCACACCCAAATGATTCTGTATTTTTAGTAGAGACGAGGTTTCTCCATGTTGGTCAGGCTGGTCTCAAACTCTCGACCTCAGGTGATCTGCCTGCCTCGGCCTCCCAAAGTGCTGGGATTACAGGCATGAGCTGCAGCGCCTGGCCCATAAATATTTTCTTCTAAGAAATGTCCATTCAAGTCTTCTACTTATTTTTTAATTGGGCCATTTGTCATATTATTAAATTTTTAAAGTTTTTTAAAACATATTCTGGATATATATAGCATGTGTAAATATTTCCTCCCAAGTCTGTGGCTTACCTTTTTAGTTTCTTATGGTGTCTTCTAAAGAACAGAAGGCTTTAATTTTAATAAAGTGCAATTTATCAATTTTTACTTTTATGGTGAGTGCTCCTTACACGTGCTAGAAAAAAAAAAATCTGCCTATGTCAAGGTCTCAAAGATTTAGTCCCATGATTTCTCCTATAAGTTTTATGCTTTTAGTTTGTATGTTTAGGTCTACAAACCATTTCAAATTAATTTTTATGTATCATATGAGACTGGGATTGAGGTTCATTTCTTTACATACAAATATCCACTTGTTCCAGCAATAGCTGTTAAAAAGACTATACTTTCCCCTTCTGAATTATGTTTGCGCTATTGCTGAAAATCAATTGACTATATATGTATGTATCTATTTCTGGACTCTTTATGGTGTTCCAATGACTGGTAAATACTGCATTGTCTTGATTACTCTTGCTTTATAACAAGTTTTGAAATCAAGTAATTTTGTTTGTTCTTCCTCTTGTAAATTGTTTTGGCTATTATAGGTCCCTTGTATTTCCATGTGAATTTTAGATTCAGAAAGTCAATTTCTCCCCAAAAAGTCCTGCTGAGATTTTGGGGAAGACACAATCTTTAGATTATTTGGGGAAGACTGGACAGCTTAACAATATTGGGTCTTTCAAATCATGCAGATGGTATATCTCCACTTATTTAGGTCTTCTTTAACTTCTCTTGGCAATGTTTTATAATTTTCAGTGTAAAAGGTCCTATATTTTCTTTTCTTTTTTTTTTTTTTCTCTTTTGAGACAGGGTTCTGTCACCCAGGCTGGAGTACAATGGCATAATCTCAGCTCACTGCAACCTCTGTCTCCTCAGTTCAAGTGATTCTCCTGCCTCAGCCTCCCGAGTAGCTGGAATTACAGATGGCCACCACCATGCCCAGCTAATTGTTGTATTTTTAGTAGAGATGGGGTTTCGCCACGTGGGCCAGGCTGGTCTTGAACTCCTAACCTCAAGTGATCTGCCCGCCTCGGCCTCCCAAAGTGCTGGGATTACAGGCGTGAGCCACTGCACCCGGCCAATATTTTCATTTAATTATTTCATTAAGTTTATTATTTCATTATTTTTATCAGATTTATCCCTAAGTATACACATTTTTAAAATTTAAATTGTTCATCAACATTTTAAAATAAAGAAAATTCACAATTTAAAAATTCCAGACTTCTGGCTTCTTTTTGAAAAGAAATCAGAAGATCAGCAATTCAAAGTCTACACTCCTTCATGCCAACAATATACTAGAACTAACAAGTGGATACCTTAGAGCATGTACTCTTCAATTTGCCACAGTTCCTACCACTCTTTATTAAAACCCATGATATACCCAATACCATTCATTTAAGGCACCTGCTTGGAGCCTACAGAGAGCAAAAGGCTTGAGGGAAGAGGAAAGAGCATGGTATGATTAGATATGCATTTTAAAACTCTGGCTTCAGTGTGGAGAATTGACTGAAGGGAGTTAGAGAGAATGACGGACGGAAGAAAACCAATTAAGCATTTATTTAATTGGTTTAACTGGAAATAGGGTGGCTTAGACTAGCTAGAGTAGTTTTAGTGGCAGAGATAAGAAGGTGACAAATGAGGTAATATTTATGGAGTGATTATCAACAGAAATGGATAATGGAATGGACGTGAGGAGGAAAAGGGAGATGCCAAAGATTCCCCTTCAGGTTTCTGACTTATGTTAACAAGGTAGACACAAGTGCCATTTACAGAAATGGGGAACGTTGGAGCCAGAGCAACTTTAGCAGTAGGAAATGAGGATTAAGAGTTCACTTTGGAATGTAAATTTGAGATGTCTGTGAGCCATCCCAATGGAGATAGAAAGTGACTAACATTCAAAAAAGATGGAGTAGCTGAGCACAGTGGCTCACGTCTGTAATCCCAGCACTTTTGGAAGGCTGAAGCAGGCGGATCACTTAAACCCAGCAGTTCGAGCCCAGCCTGGGCAACATGGTGAAACAAAAAATATTCTACAAAAAAATACAAAAATTATCTGGGCATGGTGGTGCACACCTGTAACCCCAGCTACTTGGGAGGCCAAGGTGGGAGGATTGCTTGAGCTCCAGGGGCATAGGTTGCAGTGACCTGAGCTGGCATCACTGCACTCCAGCTTGGATAACAGAGTGAGCCTCTACCCCAGAAAAGAAAAGCAAGACGAAAGAAAGAGAGAGACGAGAGAAGGAAGGAAGGAAGGAAGGAGGGAAGGAGGGAAGGAGGGAAGGAGGGAGGGAGGGAGGGAGGGAGGGAGGGAGGGAGGGCGGGCAGGGAGGCAGACAGGCAAAATGATGAAGATACACATTTGGGAATCATTGTCATGTAAATGTTATTTAAAGCTATGGGACTGGATGAGGTCTCCTACAGAGAGAGAAAACAAAAGGATTTAAGGCTGAGTCTTGAGAAAATCTCACAAACGGAGGCCAAATTGAAAAGGAGCTAGCAAAAGAGACAAAAAATGGCAGGTGTGGTAGAAAGAATGGCCTAGCCAGGCGCGGTGGCTCACGCCTGTAATGCCAGCACTTTGGGAGGCCGAGGCCGGTGGATCACAAGGTCAGGAGATCGAGACCATCCTGGCTAACACGGTGAAACCCCGTTTCTACTAAAAAATACAAAAAATTAGCCAGGCGTGGTGGCGGGCGCCTGTAGTCCCAGCTACTCGGGAGGCTGAGGCAGGAGAATGGCATGAACCCGGGAGGCGGAGCTTGCAGTGAGCCGAGATCTCACCACTGCACTCCAGCCTGGGCGACAGAGCAAGACTCTGTCTCAAAAAAAAAAAAGAAAAAAAAAGAAAGAAAGAATGGCCTAGCCATTAGGAGAATAATGTCCTACAAAAAATCAACTATGTCAAATGCCACTTGAGAGGTAAAATAAGAATTCAATTCATTCATTCATTCATTTATTCAAAAAGTACTTATTAACACCTACTACATGCCAAGTACTGTTGGTGTTGAGGATACAGAAATTGACAAAGTCCCTGCCCTTGTACAGACGATCATCTAGTGGGAAGAGACGGACAACAAACAGATGAATGTCAAGTGGTAATAAGTCTTCTGGAGAAAAGTGAAGCAGGATAAGGGGAGTAGGGAATGCCAGGGATTGAGGAGTAAGGTTGTTTTTTGTTTTTTTTTTTTGAGACGGAGTCTCGCTCTGTTGCCCAGGCTGGAGCACACTGGCACAATCTCGGCTCACTGCAAGCTCCACCTCCTGGGTTCACGCCATTCTCCTGCCTCAGCCTCCCGAGTAGCTGGGACTACAGGTGCCCGCCACCACGCCTGGCTAATTTTTTGTATTTTTTTTTTTTTTTTTTTTTAGTAGAGATGGGGTTTCACCGTGTTAGCCAGGGTGGTCTCAATCTCCTGACCTCGTGACCCACTCGCCTCGGCCTCCCAAAGTGCTGGGATTACAGGCATGAGCCACCAGGCCTGGCCACTTTTTTATATATGGTAACCTCTCTGATAAGGAGACATCTGAGCAAACATCTGAAAAAAGTGAGGAAGTAAACCATGCGAAGGGAGAGAGTATTTCGGGTAGAGGGAACAGCAAGCACAAAGACCTGGCAGATGCAGGAAAAGCAGGGAAACCAATGGGGTTGCCACAGAGTAAGCAAAGGGAGGAGTGGCAGATCTTGAAACAGACTTTAGCTACTATTAATAACTGGAGAACAGATAATAAGAAATCAAGGGCAGAAGCAGAGAATGCACTTCAAAAGAAGATATTGCAGGCCGGGCATGGTGGCTCACGCCTTTAATTCCAGCACTTTGGGAAGCCAAGGCAGGCAGATCACTTGAGGTCAGGAATTCAAGACCAGCCTGGCTAACACAGCGAAACCAGTCTCTACTAAAAATACAAAAATTAGCTGGGTGTGGTGGCTCACGCCTGTAATCCCAGCTATTTAGGTGGCTGGGGTGGGAGAATCTCGAACTCAGGAGGCAGAGGTTTCAGTGAGCCAAGACTGCGCCACTGCACTCCAGCCTGGGTGACACAGCAAGACTCCTTCTCAAAAATAAAAATAAAAATAATAATAATTAAAAATATATATATATATATCAATAATCCAGGCAAGAAATAATAATGATGGTGTGATGGTCAGTTTTATGTGTCAGCTTGACTAAGCTACAGTCCCCAATTATTCAACCAAACATTAATCTGAAGTGTTGCTGTGAAAGTATTTTGTAGATGTAACTAACATTCATAATCACTTGGCTTTAAATAAAGGAGGCTGTCCTAGATAATCTGGATGGGCCTGATTCAATCCACTGAAAGGCTTTAAGGGCTGAGTGTGGTGGCTCACAGGAAGTGAAAACTAAAGTAGAGAAAATCTGTGTTGTTGTATAGAGTACATATACTTTTATAAACAGAATGTTGGTAAAAATATGAATGTTAAAGGTACTCTTGACAAGCACTCAGAAGGAAATGAGGAACACGTTATTGGAAACTAACAGAAAGACGATCCTCGTTTTACAGTAGCAGAAAGGTTAGCTAAATTGTGTCCAACAGTTGTATGGAAAGCAGAATTTTTAAGCAAGGAATTTGGAAATTTAGATTCCCAAGCAACATACTGAAGGTACAGCCTGGTTTCTTCTTGTTATTTGCAGTAAAACATAAGAGGAAAAATTAATAGGAGAAATGTTAAACAAAAAGAAATTGGCCGGGTGCGGTGGCTCACACCTGTAACCCCAGCACTTTGGGAGGCCGAGACGGGCGGATCACGAGGTCAGGAGATCGAGACCATCCTGGCTAACACAGTGAAACCCCGTCTCTACTAAAAGTACAAAAAAATTAGCTGGGCGTGGTGGCAGGAGCCTGTAGTCCCAGCTATTCAGGAGGCTGAGGCAGAAGAATGGTGCAAACCTGGGAGGTGGAGCTTGCAGTGAGCCGAGATCACACCACTGCACTCCAGCCTGGGCAACAGAGCGAAACTCCGTCTCAAAAAAAAAAAAAAAAAAAAGAAATCAGTACTTGATGATTTGGGAAATTCTCAGCTTACCTGGATCACAAAAGATTTATTTATTTTTGGAGACAGAGTCTCACTGTCTCCCAGGCTGGAGTGCAGTGGCGTGATCTTGGCTCAATGCAGCCTCCGTCTCCCAGGTTCAAGCAATTCTCCCACCTCAGCCTCCTGAGTAGCTGGGACTACAGACGCATACCACCACACCCAGCTAATTTTTTTTTTTTTTTTTTGAGACAGAGTTTTGCTCTTGTTGTCCATGCTGGAGTGCAATGGTGCGATCTCAGCTCACCACAACCTCCACCTCCTAGGTTCAAGTGATTCTCCTACTCAGCCTCCCGAGTAGCTGGGATTACAGGCATGCATTACCACGCCTGGCTAATTTTGTATTTTTAGTAGAGATGGGGTTTCTCTATGTTGGTCAGGCTGGTCTCGAACTCCCGACCTCAGGTGATACACCCGTCTCAACCTCCCAAAGTGCTGGGATTACAGGCGTGAGCCACAACATGCAGTCTTTTTTTTTTTTTTTTTTTTTTGTATTTTTAGTAGAGACAGGGTTTCACCATATTGGCCAGGGTGGTTTTGAACTCCTGACCTCAGGTGATCCACCTGGCTTGGCTTCCCAAAGTGCTGGGATTACAGGTATGAGCCACTGCACCCAGCCAACAAAATATGTTAAAATTAGGAAATTCACTGTTAAGAAAAGCATGCTGTGGAGAGAAAGTCAAGCATGTTGCAGGACAACCTCTTAGTCATGCTGAAGGGATCAGGAGTGTGACTCATGAATTCCTTCAGCCAACCATAAGCAGAAGGTAGGAATGGAGATGGGATTATCCAGAAAAGCTCTATAGAGAACCCTCTTGTCTAATGACAAGAACCCCCAAAATATACATAGGAGACCCACAAGGTTTCTAACAATGTTATATCAGCAGAAACACTGTCAACTTGGACTGAAAGGACAAATAAAGAATGAAATAAAGGAAGGCTGTTGGCTGGATGTGGTAGCTCACGTCTGTAATCCCAGCACTTTGAGAGGCCAAAGCAGGAGGATAGCTTGAGCCCAGGAGTTCAAGACCAGCCTGGGCAACAAAATGAGACCATCCCTACAAAAAATACAAAAAATGAGCCAAGTCTGGTGGTGCATGCCTGTAGCCCCAGCTACTCAGGAGGCTGAGGCAGGAGAATTGCTTGAGCCCCAGGAGATGGAGGCTGCATTGAGCCATGATTGTGTCACTGCACTCCAGCCTGGGTGACAGAGCGAGACTCTGTCTTTAAAAAAAAAAAAAAAAGAAGAAGAAGACTGAAAGATGTTGGACTACCAAAATTCTACATGCAGCAATCAGGCTAATAAAAATACTCTTTACTCTTTCAGCCGTAAAAAGAAAGAAAATTCTGATACATGCTACAACATGGATGACTCTTGAGGACATTATACTAAGTGACATAAGCTAGTCACAAAAGACAAATATTGTATGGTTCCACTTGTATGAAGTACTTAAGAGTAATCAAAACCATAGAGACAGAAAAGGGAATGGTGGTTCACAGGGGCTGGGGAGAGGAGAACAGGGAGTCATTGTTTAATGGGTATAGAGCTTCAGTTTTGCAAGATAAAAAGAGTTCTGGAGATGAACGGCGGTGATGGTTTCACAATATGAATGTACTTAACACCACTGGACAGTACACTTAAAAATGGTTACGATGGTAAATTTTAACACAATTTTTAAACACCGTGGGCAAAAACTCTACTCAGTTGCAAATATATGCTTCTCTTCAAGAAAAAGGAAGGATAACTATGAAAGCAGAAGCTAGAGCCAGAGACTCAGAGGGCAGAGTCTCGAGTAAAAGAAAATTACTCACAGGCTTTGAAACATAATAAAAATTTTCCCTGCTGGATTTTGAAATTACTTAGTACCAGTAACCCATTTATTCCTTGCATTTTCTCCCTTCTGAAACCGGAATTATCTATAACTGTTACACTATACATGTCTGACCAGTGTATTTTGGGAACAGATAACAGATGATTTAGATAATGAGACTTTAAACTTCAGAGTTGGTGACAGAAGAGATCTCGGGCTTGAGTTGATGTTGCAATGGGTTGAGACTTTTGGGGATGTTGGAATGAGATGGGTGTATTTTGCCTGTGGAACAGACGAGCAGAGAAGAGACTATGATAGGCTGAAAAATGGCCCAAAAGATATCCATAGCCTAATACCGGGAATCTGTGAATGTTACCTTTTACAGCAAAAAGGGCTAGGAGTCTTTGCAGGCATGATTAAATTAAGAATTTTGGGGCCGGGCGCGGTGGCTCACGCCTGTAATCCCAGCACTTTGGGAGGCTGAGGCAGGTAGATCACGAGGTCAGGAGTTCAAGACCAGCCCGGCCAAGATGGTGAAACCCCGCCTCTACTAAAAAGTATAAAAATTAGCCAGGTATGATGGTGGCCTCCTGTAATCCCAGCTACTCGGGAGGCTGAGGCAGGAGAATCACTTAAACCTGGGAGGCAGAGGTTGCAGTGAGCCGAGATGGTGCCACTACACTCCAGCCTGGGTGACAGAGCGAGACTCCCATCTCAAAAAAAAAAAGAATTATCCAGGTGGGCTCTAAGTCCAATCATATGTCCTTACAAGAGAAGAGGGAGGCAGAGATATGACAAAAACAGTGCAGGAGAAAGAGATGTGCAGAGAGATTTAAAGATGCTGACCTTGAAGATTGAAGTGACGCTGCCACAAGCCAAGGAAAGCCAGTAGCCACCAGAAGGTGGAAGAGGTAAAGACCAGACTCTCCCCTAAAGCCTCTGGAAGGAATACAGCCCTTCTGACATCCTGAATTTGGCTCAGTAAGACTGATTCAAATGTATGACCTCCAGAACTATAAGAGAATGAATATCTGTTGTTGTAAGGCACCAAGTATGTAGTAATTTCTTACAGCAGTCACAGGAAACTAAACTAATAGAGATGGCTTGGAAGAGGGTGATTATGGTGGAGATGATTAAGAAGTGATCAGATTATGGATATATCTTGAAGACAGAGCTAACAGTATTTGCTGATGAACTGGATTCTATAAAGTGAGAAAGAGAAGATGACTCCAAGATTCTTTCCTGAGTAACTAGAAGAGTTATCATTTTACTAAACTAAGGGAAACTCAACATGTTCAGCAACATGTAAGCCAGCTGTGATCACAATGAAAACTGTTTTGGTAGAATTGGGGACTGGATACCAGATTAGAGAGAGTTAGAAAGTCCAGAGTACTATGTTCTTATAATTTACTTTGAATACCATTCTGTTCTCTTTCATTGTTATTCCTCTATTCATTGCCCTCCCCTTTACCCAGCTCCAATCTTTAATAGACCAAAGTTATGTAACACGGTGATTGATTCTCAAAGCAGGCCAAAATGTTCAGGATACTGTCTTTTTTTTTTATTATTATTATACTTAAGTTTTAGGGTACATGTGCACATTGTGCAGGTTAGTTACATATGTATACATGTGCCATGCTGGTGCACTGCACCCACTAACTCGTCATCTAGCATTAGGTATATCTCCCAATGCTATCCCTCCCCCCTCCCCCAACCCCGATACTGTCCTTTAAGCCAAGGGAGGACAGAATCAGGAAAGGGGTGTTCATTCATTTGACAAATATTTATTGAGCATCTACTATACTTCACGCCTGGCACTATTCTGGATGCTGAGAATAGGGCAGAGAAAAGACAGATATGCTCCCTGGCATCACAAAGCTTATAAGAAAAACATTTTAAAATTACATATTTAATTGTAACTGTGGTTAGTGCTACAAAGGATAATTTTTGAGTACTATGAAAATTAACATGTATTAAATACCTATTTTGGGTTAAATGCTTTACATTCAGGTAACTGAATTTACCTCTCACAACTATCTTATAAGTACATACAGCTTCAAAAAGATTCACCAAGCATGGTGGTTCACGTCTGTAATCCCACCACTTTTGAGAGGATGAGGCGAGAGGATCTCTTGAACCACAATGGGCAACACAAAGAGACTCCATCTCTACAAAAAACCTTAAAATTATTAGCTAGGTGTGGTGGCACATGCCTCCGGTACCAGCTACTCAGGAGGCTGAAGCAGGAAGATCACCTGAGCCCAGGACATAAAGGCTGTAGTGAGCCATGTTCAAACCACTGAACTCCAGCCTGAGAAATGGAGGAAGATCCTGTGTCAAAATAAAATTATTTCAATTTAAAAATTTAAAAAGATTGTCCAGGCACAGTGGCTAACACCTGTAATCCCAGCACTTTGGGAGGCCGAGGTGGGTAGATTACTTGAGGTCAGGAATTCAAGATAAGCCTGGCCAACACAGTGAAACTCCGTCTCTACTAAAAATTTTTAAAAATTAGCCGTGCATGGTGGGGCACGCCTGTAATCCCGGCTTCTCAGGAGGCTGAGGCAGGAGAATCACCTGAACCCAGGAGGCAGAGGTTGCAGGGAGCCGAGATCGCGCCACTGCACTCCAGCCTGGGCAACAGAGCGAGACTCCAACTCAAAAAAAAAAAAAAAAAAAGATTAAAAAAGATTAATTCCCTTGTTGTCTAAGATCACTGAGCTAGTGAGCAATAGAGCCAGGATTAAAAACAGGTGCATTCAACCCCATCACTACTATCTCTAAACAGTAGGGAAACCAAATAAGTACCCAGAAGAGGCAGGGTGGATCATGAAGGTAAAGTTTTGAGAATCCCTGCTCTAGAAAGCGTTTTCTAAGCTTTCTAAGCTCACCTCATGAAAGTGAATTTTGGAAGGCATTCAAAAAATCCCTTGACACTCTCCAAATAGAATAAAAGGTTACACTATAATTAACTCAGCGTTATTTGGGAAGCCAACAGGCTATTAGACATGTTGAAAATAAAATGTCATGATTAGCTTGTCCAAATTGTATAAGTCATGCCTGGTTTCCATATATATTGATCCTGCCAGATACACTTTAAGAATCAGCTTTCAGGTAAAGGTCAAAACATTAACTTTTTAAAAAGGGTCATTCATGCTACAGAGTGTCTGATCTAGGAAAATGATTAATCCACTGACTCAGGGTATATAAAGACTCATGACAGATATCACACAAATGAACCATAACATCCTATGAACTTCTACTGGGTAAAAGAAATCTTTAAATTTATCTCAAATGACTAGCATATGATACATTATGTTCTTGGTTCCCTGTTCCCATTCCAGGACTCCTAACCCCCCAAAAAAACATCTGAACGGAAAGGAAGTATCAACAAGATAATGTTAAATAGTTCAATGAATCTATAAAATAGAATAAAAGGCTCAGTGGCTCATGCCTGTAATCCCAACATTTTAAGAGGCCAAGATGGGAGGATCACTTGAGCCCAGGAGATCAAGATCAGCCTAGGCAACAGAGTGAGACACCTGTCCCTAAAAAAAAAATAAAAATAGGAGGGGTGTGTTGGCTCAAACCTGTAATCCCAACACTTTGGGAAGCCAAGGCAGGTAGACTGCTTGAGGCCAGAAGTTCACAACCAGCCCAGGCAACATAGCAAGGCCCTCTCTCTAAATAAATAAATAAATAAATAAATAAATAAATAAATAAATAAATAAGGCCTGGCAGGGTGGCTCACGCCTGTAATCCATAACTTTGGGAGGCTGAGGCAGGCAGATCACTTGAGGTCAGGAGTTTGAGACCAGCCTGGCCAATATGGTGAAACCCTATCTCTACTAAAAACACAAAAATTAGTCGGGCATGGTGGCAGGCGCTTGTAATTCCCAGCTACTTGGGAGTCTGAGGCACAAGAATCGCTTGAACCCCGGAGGCAGAGATTGCAGTGAGCCAAGATTGTGCCACTACACTCCAGCCTGGGCAACAGAGCAAGAAGACTCCGTCTCATAAATGAAAATAAATAAATAACACAGAATAAGTAAATAAAATAGAATAAAAACCCACAACCTCTTTCCCTTCAATGCCACAACCTTAGAGCATGAACCTGGAGTGCAAATTTAAAGAGTGAAAGGCTCTTGCATAGAAGCTTTAGTTCAAGTGATTTCTTCTCATAAAGATGATCACATAAACAATGGACAAAAAAGAAAATAACCCTTACTTTTTTTTTTGAAAGTGTCTCACTCTGTCCCCCAGGGTGGAGTGCAGTGGCATGATCTCAACTCACTGCAACCTCCACCTCCCCGGTTCAAGCAATTCTCTTGCCTCAGCCTCCCAAGTAGCTGGAATTACAGACCCCCACCACCACACCCGGCTGATTTTTTTGTATTTTTAGTAGAGATGGGGTTTCGCCATCTTGGCAGACTGGTCTCGAACTGCTGACCTCAGGTGATCCACCCACCTTGGCCTCCCAAAGTGCTGGGATTACAGGCATGGGCTACCATGCCTGTCCTAAGATTTACTCGTTTTTTTTGAGATGAGGTCTGGCTCTGTCACCCAGGCTGGAGTGCAGTGGCGCAACTACAGCTCACTGCAACCTTCACCTCCCAAGCTCAAGCAATTCTCTCCCACGCCTCAAGTTTCCAGAGTAGCTGGGATTATCGGTGCACAGCGCCGCGCCCGGTTATTTTTTGTATTTTTTGTAGAGACGGGGTTTTGCCATGTTATCTAGGCTGGTCTTGAACCTCTAAGCTCAAGCAATCCTCCCAAAGTACTGGAATTACAGGCGTGAGCCACCACGCCCAGCCAACCCTTACTTTTAATTTCTAAATTTCTCTTGCTCTACATTTTAAAGGAAAGACAATATATACACATATATATGGCAAACTCAAAAAGACTACTTTAAATATATCCATCATATAACTAAATACGAAACACAAAGCCAGGGCCAGGCATAGTGGCTCATGCCTGTAGTCCCAACACTTTGAGAGTTCAAGGCGGGAGAACTGCTTGAGGCCAGGGGTTCAAGGTTACAGTGAGCTACGATCGTGCCACTGCGATCCAGCCTGTGTATCAGAATGAGACCCTGTCTCAAACACACACACACACACACACACACACACACACACTAACTAAAGCCAAAGTTTCAACCATGATAACACCACTCTAACACCAAAATTCAACACAGTGCATTCTAAAATATTAGGAAAGGACAACTTTCCAAGTTCCTGTAAATTTTGTGGTAGAGAAAATATGTACAAATTAACCACAATCAAGAGACCCTGGATCACTTACCCCATTTACAATTTAAAAGATACTGAAACACTGACAAAAAAAAAAATTCTAAAAATGTGGATATTACAGTATGCCTTTATTTGGTAATTTTTTTGTTTCTGAGACAGTCTCACTCTGTTGCCCAGGCTGGAGTGCAGTGGCACAAACACAGCTCACTGCAGCCTCGATCTCCCGGGCTCATGCACTACAAGTGCATGTCACCATGCTGAGCTACTTTTTTTACTTCTTGTAGACACACGGTCTTGTCATGTTGCCCAGGCTGGTCTTGAACTCCTGGGCTCAAGTGATCCTCCCACCTTGTCCTCCCAAAGTGCTGGGATTACAGGTGTAAGCCATAATGCCTGGCCCTTATTTGGCAAGTATTAATTGAGCAACTTAAGATGTGAGGTTACTATTATAGTTTTCCACCTCAGGAATGGCAACCAGATACATATAATGAATACCGCACAGAATATTTTCTGAGCTATAACATCTTGATTACTACTACAAAGAGTTCTCACTATAACTGACATTTTCGCTAACTATGCAAAAGACACTGAACACGAAAAGACATTTACTAGAGGCAAAGTTAGGAACTTCATATACATCATGGTAGGAAGCCAGAATTATTTAATTCAAAAACAGATCTGGATTCAAATCCTGGCCAGGCACAGCGGCTCATGCCTGTCATCTCAACAGTTTAGGAGGTCAAAGCGTGAGGGCAAGAGTTCAAGATCAGCCTGGGGAACACTGTGACACCCCGCCTGCACAAAAAAATTTAGCCGGGCATGATGGCACACGCCTATAGTCCTAGTTATGCAGGAGAACTGCTTCAGCAGTTTGAGGTTACAGGAGTTTGAGGACACAGTGAGCTATGACCCTGCCACTACACTCATGTCTGGAAGACAAAGCAAGACTCTGTCTAAAAAAAACAAAAAAGCAAAACAACAACAAAAATCCTGTTATCTAGAAGTTCCTCTAGAAGCTTCTCTTTGCTCATCTGCAAAATGCTGCTACTACCACTTATTTCAGAGTTCATATGAGGATTAATAAGGTAGCACAATGTCTACTATAAAGTAGATGCCCCTATTACTTCCCTCTTTACATTTCTTCATAATCCTTATAACGACCTCATGTTGTAAGGATTATTAACTCTAGTTTACAGATGAAGAAGCTGAATCACAGGAAGGTTAAGGAGTAAGCCTACAGTCACATACCTGGTAACTGTCAGTACCCAGATCTGCTGTGCCCTAAAACTTGACATGGACATGTTACCTCACTGGATATTTTACTCTGTCATATTATGAAGTTCAGAACTTTGTTTGAATTATGCCCATTATGCTTTAAATTTTAATACAAGAACAATTATTTTCAAAAACCAGAATCACCCATAATTTCCACTCATAATTTTAGAGGACAAAGACCTGTAAATAGCCTACCTATCTAGAAATTCAGTAACAGAGGACACACTCCAGATCTCAAAATGAACTAGCCAAATTACTCATTACAAGCTCTCATTTACACAGAGAATGATTTCTAAATGCATATCAATAAGAATGAGTGGGGAGCAAATGAACCAAACATACCACAGAAGTAAAAATGTGGAAGTAAAAAAAAAAAAAGACATTTTCACAACGCTCTTTCTTCCAAGGATTCTACAGATCTTCTATTACTGCTATATGAGCCGGCCTTAAATACTGTGTGAGGAACTGGCCTGGGCTCAGCCCCTGGACTGTTGTGGAACTCAAATCATTTAATTTCACAGTGCCTCCTCCCACTAAACAATGAGAGAACTGGACTTGAGTCATGAACCACAGAACTGAAGGCAACTTGAGCAATTAGTTCCACCCAATGCACCCTGACAGGTCACCCAATTTCTGCTTTAACACCTGCAGTGACACAGAGTGTAATTATCTTCTCTCCTCATACATGTGATATGGATTCAGTATTTTTAAGAATTTTGGCCAGGCACGGTGGCTCACACCTGTAATCCCAACACTTCGGGAGGCCAAGGCAGGAGGATTGCTGTGGCCAGGAATTTGAGACTAGTCTAGGCAATATAGCAAGACTCTCTTCTCTTCTCTACAAAAAAAATTTTTTAAATTAGCCAAGCAGAGGCTGGGCGCGGTGGCTCACATGTGTAATCCCAGCACTTTGGGAGGCCGAGGCGGGCGGATCACTTGAAGTCAGGAGTTTGAGACCAGCCTGTCCAATATGGTGAAACCCCGTCTCTACCAAAAATACAAAAAAATTAGCCGGGCATGGTGGCACATGCCTGTAGTCCCAGCTACCTGGGAGGCTGAGGCAGGAGAATGGCTTGAACCCGGGAGACGGAGGTTGCAGTGAGCCAAGATCGAACCACTGCACTCCAGCCTGGTCAACAGAGCAAGACTCCGTCTCAAAACATAATTAAAAAAAAAAAAATTACCCAAGCAGGCCAGGCACAGTGGCTCACGCTGTAATCCCAATACTTTGGGAGGCCGAGGCGGATGGATCGCCTGAGGTCAGGAGTTCGAGATCAGCCTGGCCAACATAGTGAAACTCCGTCCCTACTAAAAAAAATATATACATATACAAAAAATTAGCTGGGCGTGGTGGTGGGTGCCTATAATCCCAGCTACTCGGGAGGCTAAGGCAGGAGAATTGCTTGAACCCAGGATGCGGAGCTTGCAGTGAGCCGAGATCCCGCCACTGCACTCCAGCCTGGGTGACAGAGCAAGATTCCATCTCAAAAAAAAAAAAAAAAAAAAAAAAATTAGCCAAGCATGGTGGTACATGCTGTTGTCCTAGCTACTCAGGAGGCAGAGGCAGAAGGATCACTTAAGACAAGGAGTTTTGAGGTTGCAGTGAGCTATGATCCCACCATATGCTTCACAAGAGCTTAGAGGTGGAACTAGGGCCCACACTAATACCTAGAATGAGAACCTGTGTGGCTGAGTTTGAGGGACAAGGTTAATCTGGAGGGCATTTAAAAGGTACAGGACTGGCCAAGCACGGTGGCTCATGCTTATCATCCTAGCGCTTTGGGAGGCCAAGGCAGGCGGATCACCTGAGGTCAGGAGTTTGAGACCAGCCTGGCCAACATATAGTGAAACCCTGCCTCTACTAAAAAATACAAAAATTAGCTGGGCATGGTGGCACATACCTGTAATCCCAGCTACTTGGGAAGCTGAGGCAGGAGAATCGCTTGAACCTGGGAGGCGGCAGTTGCAGTGAGCCATGATCACACCACTGTGCTCTACCCTAGGCAAGAGAACGAGACTCTGTCTCTCAAAAAATAAAAATAAAAAAATAAAAGGTACAGGCCTGGGTGTGGTAGCTGGATGACAGAGTGAGACTCTGTCTCTTTAAAAACAAAACAAAAGAAACAAACAAAAAAACACCTGGGCAGTTTTTAAGTCAACAGAATCGTTTTTCTGTTGTACAAAATCAGAGATTTCAGACTTCAACTTGGAGAAAGCTGAATCCATTTCTATTTCCTTTCCTTTCGACGTAACAAATCTACTTCCTAAAGTAGTAAAATGGAAGTCATCTTCATTAGGAAGATCACTACTGCCTCTAAAGAGTTTATCTAAACTGATGCAGTTTCACAAAATCCGTCCTTTGAATTCCTAAACTTCTATACTCCAGATTTAGAAGTTTCTTATAATTAACTTTCTAATTTATTTATTTACTTGAGACAGTGTCTCATCTGTTAACCAGGCTGGAGCACAGTGGTGTGATCACAGCTCATTGCAGCCTCAAACTCCTGGGCTCAAGCAATCCTCCTGTCTCAGCCTCTCACATGGCTGGGATTATAGGCATGAGCCACAGTACCAGGCCTATACCTTTGAAATTCCCTCCAGGTTAACCTTGTCCCTCAAACTCAGCCACACAGGTTCTCATTCTAGGTATTTTTATTATGGGCCCTAGCTCTTGTGAAGCACATGCTCTTTTAAGTACTGCTTCCAGCTAAACCCATTCTACAGACAGAGAGCCCAGTAAATTCAAAGATACAAGATGGTAAGAGACACCCTTAATGGCAACTTGTGCACCTCCTTGGGTCTTATTTTAACTGTGGAATTCACCTAAATAAAGCCACTGGTTCACTCTACTTTGTAAAATAAAAATTATCTAGATGTAGGTACTTGACATAGAAAAATTGATGGTGAAGCAGCAATGGTTAACATTTAAATGCCTCCTTCTGCATACTCATATCAGTCTATATTCATTCATCTCTCTGACTCCAAACTAATTCACCCAGTCAGTTCTACGCTACTGCCCAAAACCAATGATGATCATAATAACCATGATAATGACATGCATGTAAAGCTGTTCCAAGGACTTTATATATTTTTATTTAATCCTCACAGCAACAATATGAAGCAGGCCCCATTTTTATCCCCATTTTACAGCTAGTGAGTCACAGAGAATATAAAGTAGCAAGAGTATCATAGTCACACAGTCCAAGTTCATACACACGGCCGGCAAGTAGAGCCAGGATTCCGATCTATGCAGTATGACTCTAGTATTTATGTTAACTACTTATGCTGTGTAACTGCTCATCTATCACTAAGTTACTGTTTTCATCAATATAAAAAAAAATGACTCCACCTTCACCATACACATAGATTTCAAATATTTTTCCTTATGTCAACACTGGCCTAAATTACTTAAAACATTTCATGTGAACCTAATTTAGTGTCTACCTCCACATATTAGCCTCCATGTGAAAGGTACATAGTAAACACACAATAAATATTTATAAATATCTGATAAAGGAATTAAATTTTTCCCATTCCTTCATTCCTCCAAAGGTAATCTTTCCTACTCTGAGTCCTCCCCTCTCCCCTACTTCAGAACTTCAGTACCTTCTTTTCAACATTTTCTACTTTACCCACTGTCGTGGCCAGCCTCCAAGATGGCCCCCAATGACCCTCACCTCCTGCCATTTACATTCTTGTGTAGTCCCTTCCCACAATGTGTGGCCAACAGAATACTGGAAAAATGATGGTATGTGACTTCTGAAGCTAGGTCATAAAAGTCAATGCAGCAGCTTGGTCTTTTGTATTACATGCTCTGAGGCAAGCTGGCTGCCATGCCATGAAGGCATTCATGCGGAGAGGCCCACATGAAGAGGAATTGAGATCTCCCACCAACAGCCTGCACCAACCTGCCAGCAATATGAGTAGCCACCTTGAAAAAGGATTCACCAGCCTCAGTCAAGCCTTCAGATGACTGCTACCTCAGCTGACATATTACTGCAATTTTTTTTTTTTGAGACAGTTTTGCTCTGTCACCCAGGCTGGAGTGCAGTGGCACGATCTCAGCTCACTGCAACCTCCACCTCCCTGGTTCAAGCAATTCTTATGCCTCAGCCTCCTGAGTAGCTGGGATTACAGGCATGGGCTGCCACTCCCAGATAATTTTTTTTTTTTAGATACTCTGCCGCCCAGGCTGGAGTGCAGTGGTGCAATCTTGGCTCACTGCAACCTCCGCCTCCCAGGTTCAAGTGATTCTCATGCCTTAGCCTCCTGAGTAGCTGGGACTACAGGCGTGCATCACCAAACCTACCTAATTTTTGTATTTTTAGTAGCGACGGGGTTTCCCCATGTTGGCCAGGCTGGTCTCGATCTCCTGACCTCAAGGGATCCACCTGCCTCAGCCTCCCAAAATGCTGAGAATACATGTGTGAGCCACCGTGCCCAGCCATTATTGCAATTTTTTGAGAGACCTGAGTTTGAATCACTCAGCCAAGCTGATTCCAAATTCCTGACTCACAGAAACTGTGAAAAATAAGAAATGTTGTCTTAAACACTAACTTTCGAGGTAATCTGTTACACAGGAAGACAGTTAACACACCCGCTCTCCAAAACTCTAATTTCCTTGAGAGCGGAGACTATTTCCTTGATTCTCAAAACTCTATTAAAGCCTTAGACATAAACAGCGCCCATATTTGCTGAATTGTGTCAGTGGGTCATTCTCTTTGTTCAATGTCCCCCTTCTTCCAAAATGTATTCATTTATAAAAAACTACTCCCCAAGCCTATACCACTTCATCCATAACCCATCAATGTTTTCTCTTTTCTCTTTCAAAAACCTGAAATATAACCTCCTGACCAAAGCTTTTTCTCAGTAAAGAAATGTTTCTTATGTTTGTCAATTGCAACTATCAACCCTAGCATTTATGTGAATATATATACACACACAAGAACACGGAGTAAATATATATTTGTTCATGTTCATCTTATATTCAAGAAATATTTACTGAGCACCTGCTATGTCCCAAGAACTGCCTTTGAAGCTGGGAAGAAAAACAAATATCCTCACCCCTGGGGAGCTTACAGTAGTATATGAGCTTGCCACAGTGTTTTCTCGAAATATAATACAACGATCTTTGTTAATACAACTTAAAAATTCTAAATTTCCCTTTGTAAATTAAATGGCTGTAAATCTACAAATCGTTTTTTAAATACACTTAAATAAGTATTTAAGCTGCACTCTCAAAGAAAGTTTATACCTGTTTAACAAAGTTAGTAAAGTGCTTCATATGGAATCTGTATATATCAATGTACTCCATTTTTACTGAATGTTCCCACAGGCCATACTTTTTAGGAAATATCACCAAATTTATAAGTATAAAATATATAAATAAAGATAGCCTTTATTTATTATATTGCCATATATAAAGCTTATAAAGATAAGCTTTATTTATTATATCGCCTTAGTGACTAAATCAAATATGAAACATTTCACAGAAAGTAACTTGCAATAGATGTAGTAAAATGATAATAATGATAATATGGGTAGAACTTTCTAACCTCTTTCATATTTACCTCTACAAAAGCATGTTAAAAGGAACCGTATACCATACTTTTAAGTCAGAGATTCAAGTCCTGGTTCTGTTAACTTCTGTATCCCTAAATGAGTTATTTAACTAGTTGCAGCCTATTTCCCTATCCTAAAGCAACACAATCAAAGCCTAGCTTTTATGTAGTGGGCATCAAGGAATGTTAGTTTCCTTCTCCCTTCCTGGGGCTTATAACTGGTATATCAGAAGATTTATCAGGATTTTTTTTTTTTTTTGAGACAGGGTCTCACCGCACATTCAGGATGGAGGGCAGTGTGAACATAGCTTACTGCCACCTCAAACTCCTGGGCTCAAGGGATCCTCCAGCCTCAGCCTCCTGAGTAGCTGGGACTACAGGTGCAAGCCACCACGTCTGCTAATTCTTTAACTTTTTTGTGGAGACAAGCTATCATTATGTTGCCCAAGCGGGTCTCAACTCGAACTCCTGGCCTCAAGTGATCCTCCTGCCTTGGCCTCCCGAAGTGCTAGGATTACAGGCGTAAGCCACTGTGCCCCGCCTATCAGGAAAACTTTCCAAGCTGTTATTTCTCTTTGGAATTTCCTCTCCTTCATCTGAGTTAACATTCAGCTCAAATGCCATTTTCTTTGAAGCCTTCCCATACATCCACAGGAAAAGCTCCCTTGACTCTCCCAGTGAAGTCTGGATTTAGAGTGTATTTCAGCGCGTTACAATCATCTGTCATTTTTTGCCTCTCCCACTAGACTGTGAGCTCCTCATGAGCAGGGACCATATCTCACTTATCTTGACAGCCCCAGCCCTTAGAAAAACACCTGGCACGTTACAAACATGGAACAAAAAGTCTGTTGAATGAATAAATGAAGTCATCCCTTAAGTAGTACTTGTAATTACTAACGGGTGACCCAAACTTTATGGTTTTGCCCTTTATAGGCTGAGATTCTATTTCATACTCTTTTTAATCACTCCCTAATAGCATCTGGCAGAGTACTAAGGACATGGAAACTCTCCAATAAATACTTTTGGGTGATGGGATACATATTACTCTTCCACCTCTCTTGATTTGACTCTAAATAACTTATTCAAGTGGATGTGACTTTTGGAAGCCTTCTTAAAAACGGGCTCTTCTTAATAGTTATTGGCCAAAAACTGAAACAAACACTAGAGCTAAACTACAGATATTTTTTTCTTTGCAGGTGTTTTTAAAGAACGCAGTAATGGATTGCTTCTTTCTAAATCATTTCAATAAGAAACAGTAACATAAAGCCCTTTGGTTCGCTATGAAAAATGCAAACGACATTAAGCAAAACTTAGTTTAATAACTTCCAGCCAAAGGTTCCCCACCCTGCAGTCATAGGGCTGTGGGCCAGCTGGCTGTACCACCTCACCCCCGGGAGATGACTGCTTTTCAACAGTAAAACTGCGTAAGTGACATTTGGAGTTTTGGGGGTCTTCTGAAGTAAAACATGTAGGTCTAACTTCTTACTGACAATAAGTCTTAACGTTACAGGCTTCGGCTTGATGTAGAAAGGACCCTGAAAAGATCTCAAAAACTTGCAACTCGGGGACATTCCAGACGTCTTATGAGTTTAAAACTATGTAAAAACATACGAAGCATGGGGTAATTCCATTATTATATTTAAGTGATGTATTCCACATTCCTGTATATACACACACTTCATGCCAAACAGAGGCTGGCAAGCAAGTTAACCATTCAACTGCCCTTTCGTTATGCTGCATAACAGGGAGACAACAGAGAGAAATCTTGACAATGCCAAGCTGGGCTAGTGCTTAAAGGCACACAGGCAAACCAGGCATTCTCAACATCCCAAAAGCAAACATTTCTTGGGCCCTTACTATGGGCCAAGCACTGTGTCAAACGCTTCACGTGAATTATTTCATTCGACACTTACAACAAACAACCGTATGCGATTGGTGCTATTATCCTCATTTTTCAGACGAGGAAACCAAGGCACAAGATTACACAGCTAGCAAGTGGCAGGTTTGGGAGTCGACTCAAAAGGTCCAGCCCTAGGCACTATGGAGTATCAAAGGTACCCGAAGCGGGGAGGGTGGACTGCATCAGCGTCCTGACAGACGCTTTCTTAGGAGGTAAAGTTCTTGGCCATCAAGTTTCAGATTTGCAGAGCCCTGTACACCTGGCAGCATTCAGGTTTGCTATACTGGCACCAACAAGTCCAGCTGAGCCTCCTTGCCTGGGAATCCCAAGGACTGCACTTGGATCCTGAAGGTCTGCACAAGACCCCAGAGAAAGCGGCCGACACCCCGTCCCTGCAATCAAAACACATCCCGGGAGAAGCGAGGGCGAGGACCTCCGTGCCTCCCCGCCCCGCGCAGCACAGCCCTGCCAGGCAGTGCACAGGTGCACGACCGCGCCCGCCCGCCCGGCCCGGCCCGGGTCCCAGCCCCGGCACAGTGACCGCCGCTCTGCGACTCCGGCCCCGAGGGCAGGGGCAGAAGGCCGGCAAGAAGAGGGCAGGGGACGCGAGGGCCGCCTCGCCCGACCCCCCGAGGACGCGCGCAGCAGGGTCGGGGGGGAAAAAGGATGCTCCAGGCGGGGCGAGGCCGCGGTGGGGGAGGGGTCCCCAACCCGGACTCTCACTCACCGCCTCGCGCGGCTCCCGGCCGGGTTCCGCGGCTCGCCCCACTCCGGCTCTAGCCGCCCGCGTCTCCTCTCGAGGCTCACTGTCCAGCCCGGGCGCACGGAGCTGAGAAGTCGCCGCCAGCGGAGGGCGTGTGGCCAGCGGCAACCAAGAGGGTGGGAAAGATGGGACCGTCGCTCTCGCCGCCGCGGCCACCACAGACACTGCCGCCGCCGGCTCCTCTCAGCCACGGAAGCTGCGGGCCCGCCCACCACGCCCGCCTCCCGTCCTGAAGACTGTCCGCTGGAGAAGTGACGGCGGCGCTAGCCAATCAGAGGCCTGATCGGGGTCGTGATCGGCGGACTAAAGGGCGGGCGGAGAAGGAAGCGGCATGAAGAAGGCGAAAACGGCGGCCTGACTTCCTGTGACTGACGGCACGGCGCAGCCAATGGGCAACGGGGAGATGACCTCATCTCTGAGGAAAGTCTGGAACTGGCTGAGCTGCGGCGAGGGGGTTGGCGACGAGCCGGGGGCGGAGCTCTGGGCCTTAAAGAGGCCGCAGCCCTGTGGTCACCCTGTGAAGGGAAGGGCGGTGGACCCTGCCGGATCTTGCGAAGTTGCCAAGGGGTCAATGCCCAGGCGCGAGTAATTACTGCATTAATCCCAGACCCCATCCCGATTCTTGTCGGGGACTGAAGGGTCTCCGCCTGGGGCTCCGAAGTCGATCATTTCACATTCACGCTTCCCAAAACGAGACACAATAAATTCCGCTCTGGCCTGGAGCCTTGAATTCCCGTTACGGTCCCGCCCCGCCGAGGCCCGTCGCCTTGTTTCTCTGAGTCAGTTTCCCCAACGGTGAAAGGGAGGACGCTGACACCTGCCTGCCCCTCCCTATCTGCCGAGGCCGTGGAGATCAGCAGCAGCGAAAGCGCTCTGGGCTTAGAAGAGGAAAAGGGCTGCGTGAGCCCAAGAGCTTGCATCGGAAGGCTCCAGGAAGAGCATCTGCAAAAAAGAGGATTCCACGGGATGACCCCCGACAACTCTTGGAATTCTAAAATCCTATACCCTTGCCCGCACCCATTCGTGTAGTGAAGGGGCGCGCGTTAGGCGCAGAGGCCACACGCTCCGCAAGTGAACCCGGGCACCTCTCTGAACCTATTCCGGGCTGAGGGCGGGGAGCGGGTGGCTGCCCGATTTAAAAACATGTATATGTATGTGTATGTGTATGTGTATGTGTATGTGTATGTGTATGTGTATATGTATATGTATATGTATATGTATATGTATATGTATATGTATTATGAGTGAAGTCCATGACTGCAACAGGGAGAAAGGAGAAAGGCGAAAGGGGAGAGAGCAACAAGGTAAGCCAGGCCCACTGTGATGACAGCTGCGGTCATGCAGGCCCTTCGTATCCGCCTTCCTCCCCAGCAATGGGAGAGAGCCCAGAAAAGGAGAAATAACCCCAACTCGATGGGGTGGAAAAGGGGGAAGCGCTTTCCGGAAGGCTTCCGGGATGGGGTCACCAGAGTCAGAGGAAGGAGTAACAGTAGATAGAAGAAGAAGTGGTCAGGGGCGTTCTTCTAGGTTTGGGGCGGACCCGCGTGAAGATGCAAAGACTGAAAAGGGGCGGCTCACTTTACATTCCAAGGTAAATTCTCACTATGACCCCCTTTTCCCCATCAAAGGCTTCTGGGACTGCCCATGGGTGAACTCAGAGGGAGGGTAGGAGAGGGTGCTGCTCTATCCAATGGCGGCAAAAGTCAAAGTGGCCTTGGGTATTCCCAATTACTCACTATAAATCAGCTTCCAATGCCGGTCGCAGAATCTTGGAGTTAGACGGGATCCTCGTGGGCTCTTAGTCACACACACCTTCCCCAAGGCAAAAATTCTTGCACAAAATACCTGATAAAATTATTTATTCGATAAATATTTTTTGAGTAAGAACACTGAGGGGGTAAGCTAGATGAGATACAGTCACTACCCTGGGGGTGCTTACACCAAACTGGAGGATGCTAAGGCACGTACTGCGGTGACTGCAATGCCAGGCCGGTATCCCAGGTGACTAAAACAGGATGCAGGCCGGGTGCGGTGGCTCACGCCTATAATCCCAGCACTTTGGGAGGTCGAGGCGGGCGGATCACGAGGTCAGGAGACCAAGACCATCTTGGCCAACACGGTGAAACCCCGTCTCTACTAAAAAACAGAAAAAATTAGCTGGGCGTGGTGGCGGGCGCCTGTAGTCCCAGCTACTCGGGAGGCTGAGGCAGGAGAATGGCGGAACCTGGGAGGCAGAGCTTGCAGTGAGCTGAGATCGCGCCACTGCACTCCAGCCTGGGCGACAGAGTGAGACTCCATCTCAAAACAAAAAACAAAAACAGGATGCAGTCCGGGCGCGGTGACTCACGCCTGTAATCCCAGCGCTTTGGGAGGCCGAGGCGGGCGGATCACGAGGTCAGGAGATCAAGACCATCCTGGCTAACACGGTGAAACCCCGTCTCTACTAAAAACAGAAAAAATTAGCTGGGCGTGGTGGCGGGCGCCTGTCAAGTCCCAGCTACTCGGGAGGCTGAGGCAGGAGAATGGCATGAACCCGGGAGGCGGAGCTTGCAGTGAGCCGAGATGGCGCCACTGCACACCAGCCTGGGCGACAGAGCGAGACTCCGTATTTAAAAAAAAAAAAAAAAAAGAGGATGCAGAAGTGCGCCTCGGAGGAGAAAGTACCCCCACTGGAATTATTGGGGTGGGGCAGATTTCCCCAAAACATGACCAAGGTGGGGCATTCCAGATAGTACCCACCCAGACACAGCCCTCCTTAAAAAGCCCAGGTAATGAGGAGGCACAAGTGTATTTTATTAGTCACAGGAAAAGAGATCTGCCCATTCATGGCAGAGACTGCAGGCAACCTCACCGTCTCACAAATATCTCTATACTTTTTCTGGACAACTTAAATTGTATACGTTTTATATACTATATATAGACACATATATATTTTGTGTATATATAAAGGGTTAGGCTGGATGTGGTGGCTCACACCTGTAATCCCAGCACTTTGGGTGGCCGAGACCAGAGGATCACTTGAGGTCAGGAGTTCAAGACCAGCCTGGCCAACATGGTGAAACCCCGTCTCTACTAAAAATACAAAAATGAACCGGGCGTGGTGATGCTCACCTGTAATCCCAGCTACTCGGGAGGCTGAGGCAGGAGAATTGCTTGAACCTGGGAGGCGGAGATTGCAGTGAGCCGAGATCCCACCACTGCACTCCAGCCTGGGTGACAGAGTAAGAGAGACTCTGTCTCAAAGAAAAAAAAAGCCAGGCGCGGTGGCTCACGCCTGTAATCCCAGCACTTTGGGAGGCCAAGGCGGGCAGATCACGAGGTCAGGAGATTGAGACCATCCTGGCTAACACGGTGAAACCCCGTCTCTACTATAAATACAAAAAATTAGCCGGGTGTGGTAGCGGGCGCCTGTAGTCCCAGCTACTCAGGAGGCTGAGGTGGGAAAATGGCGTGAACCCTGGAGGTGGAGCTTGCAGTGAGCCGAGATCGTGCCACTGCACTCCAGGCTGGGCGACAGAGTGAGACTCCGTCTCAAAAAAAAAAAAAAAAAGGGTTTATATATTTCTTATAGGTGGTCTGCCTCCCTCTAATCTCTGACCCCACTCCAGCCTGGGTAACTCTGAAAAAAAAAAGGAATAACATTATCTCTGACCCTAGATCCTAATGTTATCCTCTAAAGCTTCACCAAACATGTCTAATCCCACTTCACCCTCTTTCCCACACCCTCGACCCATCTCCACAAAACAGTAGGGAATAAGTCCCTTTTTCTTGCCATCAGGCCTCAGTGACTTCATGTCCTAATGACTTCATGCGGACATCCTTCAGGATCTATTGGCGACATGTGTTATTTGTGTCCTTCCCTGTAAACATTCTCTTTCTTTTGGTAAGAGAACTCCACTTTCCTCTGGGGAACTGTCAGAGGCGTTCGAACCAGGACTCCATCTTAAATAGGGGCTGGGTAAAATAAGGCTGAGACCTACTGAGTTGCATTTCCAGGAGATTAGGCATTCTAAGTCACAGGATGAGATAGGTCAGCACAAGATACAAGGACCTTGCTAATAAAATATGTTATGGTAAAGAAGCCGGACAAAACCCACCAAAGCCAAGATGGTAAGAAAAGTGACCTCTGGTCATCCTCACTGCTCATTATACACTATTTATAATGCATTAGCATGCTAAAAGGCACTCCCACCAGTGCCGTGACAGTTTACAGATACCATGGAAATGTCCAGAGGTTACCCTCTCTGGTCTAAAAATGGGAGGAAACCTCAGTTCCAGTTCCAGGGATTGCCCACCCCTTTCCCAGAAAATTCATGAATAATCCATCCCTTGCTTAGCATATAATCGAGAAGTGACAATAAGTATAAGCAGCTGAGTGGCCCATGCCACTGCTCTGCCTATGGAGTGGCCATTCTTTTGTATCTCTTTTTTTTTTTTTCCTTTTTTTGACACAGAGTCTTGCCCTGTCACCCAGGCTGGAGTGCAGTGGCACAATCTCAGTTCACTGCAACCTCTGCCTCCCAGGTTCAAGCGATTCTCCTCCCTCAGCCTCCAGAGTAGCTGAGACTACAGGTGCGTGCCACCACACCTGGCTAATTTTTGTATTTTTGGTAGAGAGGGGCTTTCACCATATTGGCCAGGCTGGTCTAGAACTCCTGGCCTCAAGTGATCTGCACCCCGACTCAGCCTCCGAAAGTGCTGGGATTACGGGCCTGAGCCACTGCACCTGGCCTCTTGTTTCCTTACTTCTCTAATAAACTTGCTCTCACTTAACTCTATGAATTCGCCTCAAATTCTTTCTTGCACGAGATCCAAGAACCCTCTCTTGAGGTCTAGATCAGGAGGCCTTGCTGGTAACAGAACCACTCCGCCCCACTGTCTATCCCTGTAGCTGCCTTGGGAATATGACTCACTACTCACCTTGGGGTTGGGGGGTGGGGGGGATCACATGGCCCAGTCCTAACCAATGAAAGCACTCCAACCCTTGCCTGCCATCATTTGTAGTGATTGATTTAGGGAAAGACATGTGATCAAGACAGTCCAGTTAGCGTGAGTCCTGGCATCTTGTTAGAACTACTGGGATGGGGCCGAGAGCAGTGGCACATGCCTGTAATCCCAGCAATTTGGGAGGCGGGGGGATCACCTGAGGTCAGGAGTTCAAGACCAGTCTGACCAATATGGTAAAACCCCGTCTCTACTAAATACAGCTGGCTGTTGTGGCTCGCGCCTGTAATCCCAGCTACTTGGGAGGCTAAGGCAGGAGAATCGCTTGAACCTGGGAGGCTGAGGCAGGAGAATCGCTTGAACCTGGGAGGCAGAGGCTGCAGTGAGCCAAGATCATGCCATTGCACTCCAGCCTGGGAAACAAAAGCAAAACTCCATCTTAAAAAAAACAACTACTGGGATGGAGTTTTCTCTACAGGAGGGTTGCTGAACTGTCTGGCTGTACACCTGGCATTAACAGTGAGGACCACAGGGAGAATAAAGCCAACACAAAACCAAACAATCACAGCTGAAATACGCATAAAGGCCATGACGGATGATAGCTCTGTTTGAGAACCTAGATCCAGTTCTTTTCTGGCTATTTGATTTCATAGGTGTCTTGGGTCAGGGCCCTTAGAAACAGAGCCTGTAAGACAGAGCCAATGAACAGGACTTAGTGAGGGAGGAAAAACCTGTAAGGGAGGAAGATGAGCAAGACAGAGAAGGGAAGAGACTCGAGTAAGGCTCAGCCTGATCTTTCCTTGGCCTGATGCACATAGGAGAGCTCTGGGCAGAAACAACACCACAGTCACTCACCTTGAGGCATGGACAGCTTTTTGTCCCCTAGTCTATGTCAGTGGTTGTGGGCCCTAAGGAAGTTAAGGTCCCCAAGGCCACTCCCTTCAAATGAGGGCAATTCTCTGAAATTTTGTGCAGCTGGGAACCCTTAGCAGCCAACACTCACAGCAGCTGGGGCATGGGTGCACTTACCTGCTCAGGAGGCATCATTTGAGTTGTCCGCTGTGGGCTAACACATTCCTATTGTTGCAGCAAAAATGTAACTATGTAAAGTGCTCAGGTATGACCTGACCTGACTGCCAAACAGTACCGTGAGCCTGTGGCCTTCCTCGGTCTGACTCCCTACGTCTACTATTAAACTATACTTTTTGCATGTGTATATGGAGACAGGGTCTTACTCTGTCACTCAGGCTAGAGTGCAGTGGTGTGATCATAGCTCACTGCAGCCTCCAACACCTGGGCTCAAGCGATCTTCCCACCTCAGCCTCCCAAGGAGCTTGGAAGTACAGATGCTCACCACCTTGCTCAACTAATTTTTAAATTTTTTTTGTAGAGACAGGGCCTGGTTATGTTGCCCAAGCTGGTCCCAAACTCTTGGCTTCAAGTGATCCTTCCACCTCAGCCTCCCAAACACTGGGATTACAATTGTAAGCCACCGTGCCTGGTTCATTTTATTTATTTTTTATTACTTTTTTTTTAATTTTTATTTATTTATTTATGACAGAGTTTTGTTCTATTGCCCAGGCTGGAGTGCAGTGGTGCAATCTTGGCTCACTGCAACGTCTGCCTCCCGGGTCCAAGTGATTCTCCTGCCTCAGCCTCCTGAGTAGCTGGGACTACAGGCATGTACCACCACACCTGGCTAATTTTTTTGTATTTTTAGTAGATAGCAGGGTTTCACCATGTTGGCCAGGCTGGTCTTGAACTCCTGGCCTCCAGTGATCTGCCCGCCTTGGTCTCCCAAAGTGTTGGGATTACAGGTGTGAGCCACCGTGCCTGGCTTCATTTTATATTTGCATCGGCAGATCTAGTGGCTGCACTGACCCTTTGGCTCAACCTGACTTTATAACCAATCCTTTCCACCCCCTTCCCTCTAGAGCTTTTCCCAAAAACTGATACTAAGCCAAATTCACTCTTGTATTTCTATAATTAATTCTTTTTTTTTTTTTTTTGAGATGGAGTCTCGCTCTTGTCGCTCAGGCTGGATTGCAGTGGCGGGATCTTGGCTCACTGCAACCTCCGTCTCCCGGATTCAAGCAATTCTCCTGCCTCTATAATTAATTCTTTAACACAAATGTAAAACTTTAAGCCTCACTCTGCTAATCATGAGCAGCCAGTTGTCCTTCTGTCCATTTCCATCCTTCTTTGCACCTTGCTGAAAACATGTGCTGATTTCATTCTGTCACCTATCCACTGGCCACCACTTCTGATTCTGCTGCTGCTGCTGAAAGGGGCAAATCCAATGACAGGAACCTTCAGCGAACCACTGAAGACTGATCTTCCTCCTTCCAACCTGTTAATTCATACTCTGAGAAAAGTTACTCCCCCATCCTTTCCCTCTCTATTTCTCTTCATGGAGAATCTCTCCAAAAGTATTTTCCAGGACTTGATCAACTCCGTCTTCAGCACATCCTGTGCTTTCCTATTTCTTCTTAAGTCTTTGTTCTGATTAGTTTTTTTGTCTAGAATGTCCTCTTTTATCTTCATCTATTCAAATCCCAGCTGACATCCCACTTCCTCCAGGAAGCCCTCCCATATTCCTCCAACGTAGGTGGATCTTTTCTTTCTCTGACAATCTGTAGCTCCTATTGTAACAAGCAGAATGCTAAAGCATTCCAAGTGCATTATCTTATTTCACATGAGGAAACTGAAGCTTAGAGAGGTTAAGTAACTTGCTCAATATCACACAGCTTAAAACTAGCAAAGCTAGGATACGGATATTAAAATTAAGATCCTGGGGCCGGGTGCAGTGGCTCACGCCTGTAATCCCAGCACTTTGGGAGGCTGAGGCAGGTGGATCACTTGAGTCCAGGAGTTTGAGACCAGCCTGGCCAACACGGTGAAATGCCATCTCTCCTAAAAATACAAAAATTAGCCAGGTGTGGTGGTGCATGCCTGTAATCCCAGCTACTCGGGAGGCTGAGGCAGGAAAATCGCTTGAACCTGGGAGATGGAGCCTGTTAGTGAGCTAAGATCGCACCACTGCACTCCAACCTGGGTGATGGAATAAGACTCTGTCTCAATAAATAAATAAATAAATAAATAAATAAATAAGATCCTGGGTGTAATTCAATAAACATTTGTTGGCTACATACAAGGAACTAGAGGAAATATAAAAAGGTGAAATAGATCAGCTTTGCCACAATCAAGAACAGGGTCCATGAAATGATGCTAACACGAACAATGCTGAAAGGATAGTAGAATGAGGTCTGGTCTAGGAAGGGAGTGTTCCTGTCTGGTGGAGAACCCACTGAGGCAACACATGAAAGAGCTTATGTTTGACAGGCAGTAATGAGGTGGGGCACTCCAACTTAGGAAACACTGTGAGTAATAACGTGGAGGAAGGAAAACAGAGGACATGTTTGAGCAAGGGAGTCACCTGGGTTGTTTGAGAGATAAGGTTTGAAAGTTTGCTGAGGCCTTGTTGTAAAAAGAACGCCATGGTAAAGGAGGCATTACGTTCTGGAAAACAGAATCCAGACTGTCTTAAGATTCACCTGGTAGTTTGTCAGTTGGAATGGAAGGAGAGTGAAGTGGGGCTGGAAAGATAAATTAAACCACTACTGTTATCCAGCCAGGAGGAAATAAAGACCCACAAGAGGGGAACAATCAGCATGGAGTTTTTTCCCCTCTACCCTGTAAACACTTTCCATATCTCTGTCCCCTAGACATTATAGCATCCTTGAGAAAGGGCAATAATTTAAAAAAAAAATATGCCCATAACCTTTAAACTGCTAACAATTTCTTCAAATGTAGTAAGCACTCAGCAAATATCTTTGGAAGTGAATTAAATGTATAAGTGAGGTGTTAAAATGCTAGGGCTCTGTGACCAAGCAAGGTGGCCCATACCTGTAATGCCAGCATTTTGGGAGGCCGAAGTGGGAGGATGGCTTGAACCCAGGAGTTCAAGACCAGCCTGAGCAACATAGCAAGACCCCATCTCTATTATATTAAAGTTTTTTTAAATACTGGGGCTCAATCGGGTGCAGTGGCTCACACTTGTAATCTCACCTCTTTGGGAGGCCAAGGTGGCATATCACTTGAGGCCAAGAGTTGGAGCCCAGCTTGGCCAACATGATGAAACCCTGTTTCTACTAAAAACACAAAAATTAGCCGAGCATGGTGGTGAGTGTCTGTAATCCCAGCTACTCAGGTGGATGAGGCAGGAGACTCACTTGAACCCTGGAGGCAGAGGTTGTTGCAGTGAGCTGAGATAGTGTCACTGCACTCCAGCCTGGGTGACAGAGTGAGACTCCGTCTAAAAAACAAACAAACAAAAAAAGCTAGGGCTCTGTTTACATAGTTTTATTGGGTCATCCCTGGGATTGCAAACACCTAGTATATCACTTGATCACAAAACTGAGCTAGTTTTTATTCAGCACCTACTGTGTACATCATCATCTCATTGAATTCTTCCATGAACACTTCATAGAAGGTACCAGCCTTATGTCCATTTCACAGATGATGAAAACTGAGGGTCAAGCAGGTAGAGGGACCAACAGTCCAGTTTGCAGGAACTGAAGGGTCAAGATGCAGGACTTTTACTGACCAGGGGAAACTAGGAAGCTTGGTATCCCTACCCAGCGACCTTGATTTGCATCACACATGCCAAAGTTTAAACACAAGTTTGATTAACTCAAACCCCCGTGGGATTTTATTCTGGCTTTCTGATCATTGCAGCCAATATAAATGTCTTCTTTGGGTACTTTCAGGATACAATCCAAACATAACCTCGAATCTAGCTCATGTAGTCGGGGCCTACTTGAGACTGAAGTACTTGACAGGCAGAGAACTCAAAATGGATGGGTTTTCTTCAGCAAGAAAAGGAATCCAGGCTGGGGAATATTCCTGGAGGACGTCCTTAGGAACGGTTCGATTATCAGTTGTTCTTTGACGCCCCCTGGTGGTTGAGAACTGTAACCCCGTTTTTGCCCCCTGGAGTAGAGAAGAGGCCGCGCTGGTAAACAACCAAGAGGTGGAACTGAACTGAAAGTTCTTATTGCTTGTGGAACAAAAAGATTTTGTTTTAAAAACAAAAACTTGGCCGGGCGCGGTGGCTCACGCCTGTAATCCCAGCACTTTGGGAGGCCGAGGCGGGCGGATCACGAGGTCAGGAGATCGAGACCATCCTGGCTAACATGCTGAAACCCCGTCTCTACTAAAAATACAAAAAATTAGCTGGGCGTGGTGTTGTGCGCCTGTAGTTCCAGCTACTCAGGAGGCTGAGGCAGGAGAATGGCGTGAACCCAGGACGCGGAGCTTGCAGTGAGCCGAGATCACGCCACTGCACTCGAGCACTCCAGCCTGGGCGACAGAGCTCGACTCTGTCTCAAAAAAAATAACAACAACAACAACAAAAAAACTTGCAAAGATTTTTTTTTTCTTAAATAAAAGCTTGCCATGATGTTATAGCCTAGGGTGAGGAGAATCAGACACAAAATTTAAGTGGATGCCAAAAACTTAGCAATTAAGAAAAATAATACAATATTTCAAAAAATCAAAATTAGGCCAGGCGCGGTGGCTCAAGCCTGTAATCCCAGCCTGGCCAACATGGTGAAACCCTGTCTCTACTACAAATACAAAAATTAGATGGGTGTGGTGGCGGGCGCCTGTAATCCTAGCTACTCTGGAGGCTGAGGCATGAGAATCACTTGAACCCCGGAGGCGGAGGTTGCAGTGAGCCGAGATCACACCACTTGCACTCCAGCCTGGGCAATAGAGCGAAACTTAGTCTCAAAAAAAAAAAAAAACAAAAAAAAACAAATGTAGGCTTGGAGCTGCCGGTGGCCATCTAGCTGTCAGAAGGCAAGAAGAGATTTGAAAATAAGGCCCAGGCCAGGCGCGGTGGCTCACACCTGTAATCCCAGCACTTTGAGAGGCCGAGGCCGGCGGATAACCTGAGGTCAGGAGTTCCAGACCAGACTGGCCAACATGGTGAAACCCCGTCTCTACTAAAAATACAAAAATTAGCCAGGCATGGTGGCAGGCACCTGTAATCCCAGCTACTTGGGAGGCTGAGGCTGGAGAATTGCTTGAACCCGGGAGGCAGAGGTTGCAGTGGGCCGAGATCGTGCCAAGAGTGAAACTCCCTCTCAAAAAAAAAAAAAGAAAGAAAGAAAAGAAGGCCATGTCTACAGCCATATCACCCTGAACACACCGGATCTCATCTGAAAATGAAACCAAATAACAACAAGGAGCAATGAAGGGTATAGAAGAGACAGGGGCAGAGTCCCCATGATATGATTCAAACCCCTGGATGGAGCAGCGCCTGAAGTCCTTAGCATATGGGGCAAATCACAAAGTTGGGTGGGGAGGTGATAAAGACTCCAGCAATTATGTGGAACTCTGCACTTTGAGTTGGTGGAACAAGTTATACTGATTTCTCTCCTTACCAAAATGCTACCTGATTAGAACAGCATTCTGAAGTCATTCTTTTTTTTTTGGAGATGGAGTCACCAAGGCTGGAGTGCAGTGGTGCGATCTTGGCTCACCACAACCTCTGCCTCCCCAGTTCAAGCGATTCTCCTGCCTCAGCCTCCCGAGTAGCTGGGATTACAGGCATGCACCACCATGCTCGGCTAATTTTTGGATTTTTAGTAGAGACGGGGTTTCACCATGTTGATCCACCTGCCTTGGCCTTCCAAAGTGCTGGGATTACAGGTGTGAGCCACCGTGCCCGGCTGTGAAGTCATTTTTTTACATGTCTGTTTGTGCTGCCTTCCTACCTACTCATTCTGAAGTGATTATTTTTTTCTTGCCTGGATGGACAAGGAGACTCAATACCCCACTGCACCTGAGTTTTGGAAAACTAGAGTGTGGAAAAAGCAGCAGCAGCTGCAGCAAAAACACTGATGAGAGTCAAACTGAATGATTATATTACACTAATGGTACCAGCTCCCGACAGGTGAATAAAATGTGCCTCATGATAGCAGTCATACAACAAATACCTTACAAGAAACTCACAGAGAAGAGGGGCAGAGCAACTCAGTGGAAAAGCAGGTGTGGTTTCAAAGCCTGGCTCTGCCCCGAGCCATGTGACCTTAGGAAATAGACTGTGTCCCTGAGTTTCAATCTCGTCACCTGTAAATTAGGAGTAACCATACAGATCGCAAGTCAACACCTGCCCTTGCACCGCTGCGGGGCTCAGCGGTCACTGACATGCAGTGAAAAAGTGGAAGTTCTAGCTGGGCGCGGTGGCTTATGTCTGTAATCCCAGTACTCTGGGTGGCTGAGGTGGGCAGATCATGAGGTGAGGAGTTCGAGACCAGCCTGGCCAACATGGTGAAACTTCGTCTCTACTAAAAATACAAAAATTAGCCAGGCATGGTGGCGTGTGCCTGTAATCCTAGCTACTCTGGAGGCTGAGGCAGGAGAATCGCTTGAACCCTGGGAGGTGAAGGCTGCAATGAGCCGAGATCGCGCCATTGCACTCTAGCCTGGGCGACAGAGCAAGACTCTGTCTCAAAAAAAAAAAAAAAAAAAAAAGGAAAGAAAAGTAGAAGTTCCTTTCCCGTCTATCCTGGGTCTTCACTGTCTACGTGCGTCCCCTCACTCCCAGCTGCTTGGGACCACGCTGTGCTTTGGTGTGGGTCAGTACCTGGACCCCTGGCCTGTCCCCTCAAGGTGTGCTTCTTCCTTCCCACAACACCAGGCCAGAGGTACTTGCTTTCCTTTCTCATCTTGGGTCTCTATTTTCCCACACCGTGGTGTGTCCCACACTTTACGGAGTGTTGGGGTGAATACAGAGAATGACAACAGAGAACTTATAGCTGTGGCCTAAACCTCATTGTAATGAGATGGAGAAAATTGTGTTCACTGGAACTCCCTTCAGAGGAAGCATTGTTTATTTATTCAGAAAAAAAAAAATTCTTTGGCCCAGTGCAGTGGCTCATACCTGTAATCCTAGCACTTTGGGAGCCCAAGGCGGGAGGATCTCTTGAACCCAGGAGTTTGAGACCAGCCTGGGAAACATAGCAAGACACGATCTCTACAAAAAATTTAAAAATTAGCCGAGCACGGTGGCACGCACCTGTGGTCCTAGGTACTTGGGTAGCTGAGGTGAGAGGATCACCTGAGCCTGGGAAGCAGAGGCTGCAGTGAGCTGAGACTGCTCCATTGCACTCCAGCCTGGATGACAGAGTGAGACCATGTCTCAAAAAAAAAAAAAAAAAATCCTTGATAAACCCACTTTGGGGAGGAGTTGAGCCCCCCTCCCCCCCAATTATTTAATAATAAATAAATAAATAAATAAATAAAATACCTAGAGAAGGAAAAACTACAACCCAAGGCATGACCTACTGGCACTACTCAAACAGTAGACATAAAGATTTATGGGGAGCAGGGGATCTCTCTTTAGGCCCAAGCTAGTGAACTGAAACAGTGTGACAGCAAATATCATTGAAGGCCAGGCCATTGTAACCACTTGATTCTACCTCCGCTCAGCCAGTCTAGGCCAGAGTGCTTAGGAGCAGAGCAGGGATGTACAGATGTCCCCAGTTCTCCACTCCTCTTGACCAGTAGGAACCCAGTATGGATGAGATGTAATGATTAGGTCCATAATGTTCAAAGTCAGCTTGTGACTTTGAGCAAGGGATTTTTTTTTTTTTTTTTTTTTTGAGGCAGAGTCTCACTTCTCACTCTGTTGCCCAGGCTGGAGTGCAGTGGTGCCATCTCTGATCGCTGGAACCTCTGCTTCCAGGGTTCAAGCAAGTCTCATGCTTCAGCCTCCTGAGTAGCTGGGATTACAGGTGTGTGCCACCATGCCTTGCTAATTTTTGTATTTTTACAGACGGCATTTCACCATGTTGGCCAGGCTGGTCTCGAACTCCTGACCTCAGGTGATCCACCCACCTCAGCCTCCCAAAGTGCTGGGATTACAGGAGTGAGCCACTGCGCCCAGTGCAGGTGACTTTAAGGGCACTTTTGCAAAATGCGAGTGATAATGCATTCTGATGGTTATAGATTAAGGTTAAGTAATTTAGCTGAGCTCAAACAGGCAGTAAATGGTAGAGCTGTGATTGGAACACAGACCATCCAGTGCCATAGTCCAGCCTCTTAGCTACAATGCCCTGCTTAGTTGTGGCTGGTCAGCTCTCTGTGGGTCCAGCAAGGGCTGTCACCCAGGCTGGAGTGCAGTGTTGCAATCTCGGCTCACTGCAAGCTCCGCTTCCCGGGTTCACACCACTCTTCCGCCCCAGCCTCCCAAGTAGCTGGGACTACAGGCGCCCGCCACCACGCCCGGCCAATTTTTTGTATTTTTAGTAGAGACGGGGTTTCACCGTGTTAGCCAGGATGGTCTCGATCTCCTGACCTCGTGATCCGCCCGCCTCGGCCTCCCAAAGTGCTGGGATTACAAGCGTGAGCCACCGCGCCCGGCCAACAGTGCAGTGTCTTAACGGTAGCTCTGCACAAAGTCACAAATTAGTCACAGTAACTTGTTACTTTGTATTCCTCTCACCTGTTTTGTGAGATTCCACAATTTCTCCTGCCTTCAGTTGCATTGCTTGGTGTATGATACATAGTCAATCTTTTTATCCATATCTCAGGAGCAAAATGTAACACAAATTCTACTTGTGGGTATCTTCCTGTATTCGGTTTTACAAAGCACTTGCATGTTGCCTTGTCAGGAAAGAGCAGTTGTTTCTCCAAAGAGAAAAGTTGTTTCACTAATATTAAGCTCATTCCCTATAGCTCAGTGTCCTTGCCTTTCTCTCTACATAATCACTTTTTATCCAAATGCTGAGTCACTATATAATTTTTTGAAGACATTTTAAATAGCCCTCAATTCAGTACACGCAGCACCAACACTGCACCTAACTCAGCTGAAGTTAAGACAATATGAACAGCTATGTTTAATTTATCAAATTTGCAAGCAATGATGATTCCATTAAAATGAAAAAAAATCATGTTTTAGGATTAGTTAAATGTGGTAGCAAATGCTGGTACTGATTAGAATTCTTACAACTGCAAGTGACAGGAAACAGACTAACTTAAGCAAAAGGACTGCATTAAGCCAGGAAATTCCAAAAGTCCCTGTAGTATAACAGTTTCAGGTATGGCTGGATTCAGGACTCCAGAATATAACCAGGACTCAGTTTCCTGCCATTTCTCTTTCTTTTCCGCAGGGTTGGTGTCAGTGGCAGGTTTCACATGCTGGCAAGCTGGAGCCAGCAGCTCCAGCTCCAGCTCTAGCACCCCTGGAGTTTTGAGTCCAGTGAAAAAAACGATGAGAGGCTTTGTCCCAGATATTTTAGCCTGAGTCTCAATGCCTCTCATTGGCTCCAACAGATCACATGCCCAGCCCTGAGCCAATCAACATGGCCACATCCGGGTCAGTTACTACTGCCTCCGCCCCATGCTGTGGAGCCCGGCTGGAAGCCCGGGGGTTGTTGGGTCTTCACCCGGGAAATGGGGAGAGAGACTGCGGGGCAGCTGGCACCACATACGTGCCTTACAGGTGGGGTGTGGGGACTTAGGAGGGCTTAGCACCCAGAGCATTAGCCCAGGGCCTGGCCCCTGGTGGCTTCTCCCGGCCGCTGGCTGCTTGGCAGGGCTGGAGGGGAGGAGACCCACAGTTTCGGGCTTGAGTCACCTCCCTCCTGGCCAGGCTTCGGCGGCACTGACTCAGCGCCTGCGTGAGCTGGATGCTGCCTGGAAAGCTAATCAGCCTCTGAGGCGAGTCATGCCTCCTGTGACGTGGGCTTGTGCTGTGAGTGGGCGGGAATGAATGAAGAAGCGTGGGCTCACCATGGTTCCTAGAGTGTTGATGAAGTGACGGGAGAGGGAGGCGGAAGTCAAGAGCAGCCCTTGGAAAAGGCTGCCAGCCCAGGCTGTGATGCTGTCTGCGGGCCCGTGCAGCCTGGTCCCGGGGTGGGCTCTCTGCACGCGGGCCCGTGCAGCCTGTTCCCGGGATGGGGCACACAGCTGCCACCTCCCCACACCCCAGCACCGGGGAGCGCCCCAGGGCTCCGCTGTGGCCTGCCCTGCGGCTGGCAGGCCATCCTCCGGTTCGTCCCTGTGTTTCAAACCTAAGTTCCATGAGGCAGGACGGGGTTGGTGGGGTCGGGCAGGAGGGCCGGGGATTGGAAGGTTGGCCAGCTCTACCTCCTGCCCTTCCCACCGCACCCCAAACTTAGCCTTGACAAACGGATCTCTGCCCTTCTAGGGGAGAGGAGAGGAGAAGAAATGGTGGTAGAGAAAGAAAGGCAAGGGGAGCTGTGCAGAACCACCCGGAAGCTTGAGAGTTCAACGCGGAGAACCTGCTCTGTGCCAGGCCCCCACCTGGGAGGTGTGGGCAACCTTCCTGCCTTCCGGGTGCTCAGAGTCTAGTCTGGAGACAATAAGAAAAATGGTTAATCACCATGGAATGTGCTAGCGCCTTAGCCCGAAGCAGGGGTCTGGTTATTGAGGTTTGTTGAAGGAAGATGCCTGTAAGGGCTGGGTGCGGTGGCTCACGCCTGTAATCCCAGCACTTTGGGAGACCAAGGTGGGCGGATCACCTGAGGTCAGGTGTTCGAGATCAGCTTGGTCAACATGGTGAAACCCTGCCTCTTCTAAAAATGCAAAAATTAGCCAGGCGTGGCAGTAGGTGCCTGTAATCCCAGCTACTCGGGAGGCTGAGGGAGGAGAAGCACTTGAACCCGGGAGGCAGAGGTTGCAATGAGCTGAGATTGGCCACTGCACTCCAGCCTGGGTGACAAGAGCAAAACTCCCCCTCAAAAAAAGAAAAGAGGGGGAGGGCAGGGGAGAAGGGGGAAGGGGGAAGGAAAGCAGGTATTGAAGGAGAAATTGCTGAGCTGGGCTCAGGTCTAGCCTTGGCCTGGGTTAGAGGAGTGGGCTCCAAGCAGAGTGGCCCCCTTAGAGGCAAAGAGAATGGCCTTGTCTGCCTCCTTTCAGGCTTTGGATGGGGCTGATAGGTGAGGTGGTGGGTGCTTGTCAGCCAAGGGCCCCTCCACATAAGGGGACAGGTGGGGGGCAGCTGCGAGTCTGTAGACCCAAGACTTGCAGCAGCTGGAGGACCGGTGAGCAGCCTGGTAAAGCGACCTGGGGAGGCACCAGCAGCATCTGCTGCAGTATGGCCACACTAGCTGTTTGATGGAGGACAGGGTAGGGAGCAGAGAGTAGGGAGCCGAGGGCAGGGAGCTTCCAGAAGGTCATTCTGCTGCATTGTGAAGAACAGCTGAGGAGGCGGCCAAGAGAAGAAAGGTCCGAGGGGGGCCGGGCGCAGTGGCTCACGCCTGTAATCCCAGCACTTTGGGAGGCCGAGGCGGGTGGATCATGAGGTCAGGAGTTTGAGACCAGCCTGGACAACATGGTGAAACCCCGTCTCTCCTAAAAATATAAAAATTAGCTGGGGCATGGTGGTGCGTGCCTGTAGTCCCAGCTACTCGGGAGGCTGAGGCAGGAGAATTGCTTGAACCCAGGAGGCAGAGGTTGCAGTGAGCCAAGATTGTACCACTGCACTCCCGCCTGCACGACAGCATGAGACTCTGTCTTAAAAAAAAAAAAAAATGGCCCGAGGGGTCGACATGTGCAGAAGTTACAGGAGCACACAGCCCTTTCTGGAAACCCTAAGATGTTTAAGGGTAACACGGGGTATGGGGGGAAGCAGGAGGTGGTGGTGAGAGAAGAGGCCTGACCCTGAAGGGTCACGTGTGCTCAACAAAAACAGGAGTTCTAAAAGAACCGGATTTTCCTTTCACCCCACCTCAGTTTTTTCTGCAAACAGTTGTGCGTGAAATCAGGACCCAGATGCTGCAGAACTGAAGTGGGAAGGGACTGACCACCACTGGGCAAAAGGCCGAAGAGGGTAGGCCACAGAGGGGCTGTCTCTAAGGGCTAAAAATACAAGGGTTGAGACCAACTGAAGTGTGGCGATTTCCTTGACGTTGGCATTTTGGTTTTGTTTTCCTTTTTTTAAGATAAGAGTTATATAGTAACTCAGAGCTCAGTAACATCAGCATTTTGGAAGTAGGATAGGAAGAAAGTCTCATCACAAGGGAGCCCTGTGGAGAGGAATGAGCACAGAATTTGGAGTCAGAAGAGTGGAAGGCCTGGGCTTGGGGCCTGGCTGCACCGTGCCGGCTGGATTGTTCTGGGAAAGCTGCCCAACTCTCTGCTCCGCAGTCCCCACATCTGTCACTAGGGATCATATCTGCCTCACAGGATCAGCTGAGATAAGGCACGTGTGTAAAAGGCTGTACAAATGTTAGTTACTATAAGGTTGTCTCAAAAAAATAAAACCCACGGCAAAGAGTATCCCAAGGCAGGCTCATTTTACTCCAATTACCATTTGGCACCGAGCAGATCAGGGGACTTACTGCATGACACAGCAAGTCAGTGGAAGAGCCAAGGAGTGCACTCATCCAAGTTACTGATTCCGATGTCAGCAAAACCTGCTGAAACCCATCTTCACACTGCAGTTCAGAGGGTGTCCCCAGGAAGCACCTCTCTGCAAAGCATGTTCAACGTAGTTCCCAGTGGCCTGCCAAATGGTCAGCAGCAAGGTGTAACTGGATGTCGCTTCCAGGAAGCAGAGTGAAAAGAGACAAGGAGTAGGAAACTAATGTCCAGAGTCGGCCATTTGCCCCAGGGACCGGAGTGGAGACTGCATTTCTAAGTGCTTCCTCTGTCCACAGCCCTCCTCCCCCATACCTTTTAAAAACAGATTTGCTGGCTGGGTACGGTGGCTCATGCCTGTAATCCCAGCACTTTGGGAGGCTGAGGCAGGTGAATTGCCTGAGCTCAGGAGTTCGAGACCAACCTGGACAAAACCCTATCTCTAGCAAAAAATACAAAAAGTTAGCCGGGCCTTGTGGTGCATACCTGTGGTTCCAGCCACTGGGAAGGCTGAAGTGGGAGGATCACTTGAGCCTGGGAGGTGGAGGTTGGAATGAGCTGAGATTGCGCCACTGCACTCCAACCTGAGTGACAGAGTGAGACCCCATCTCACAAAAACAAAACACAGATTTGTTGGCTGGGCATAGTGGCACATGCCTGTAATCCCAGCACTTTGGGAGGCCGAAGCGGAAGGATCACTGGAGTCCGGGAGTTTGAGACCAGCCCAAGCTGTGCAGCCCAGGCAACACAGCAAGACTTTGTGTTTCTTTTACAAAAAAAAAATTAGCCAGGTTTGGTAGTGTACACCTGTAGTCCTAGCTACTCTGGAGGCTGGGGTGGGTGGATCTCTTGCTTCCAAGAGTTCAAGGCTGCAGTGAGCTGATTATACCACTGTACTGTGGCCTGGGAAACAGAGTGAGACCCTGTCTCAAAAAAAAAAAAAACACCCAAAAGACAAAACACCACATTTGTTGAAATATAATTCACATACAATAAAAATACATCGTTTTAAAATGGACAATTCATGGTGATGTGCACCCGTAGTCCCAGCTACTTGGAAGGCTGAGATGAGAGGATCGCTGTGAGTCAATGAAACCTCTTTCCTTTATAAATTACCCAGTCTCAGGTATTTCTTCATAACAGAATGAGAATGGACTAATACATCCTCCCACCTCATCCTCCTAAAGTGTTGGGATTACAGGCGTGAGCCACCGCACCCAGCTGTTTACACTCTCTTGATGGTGTCCTTTAAAGCACACAAGTTGGTAGGAAGCAGTAGCTCATGCCTGTAATCCCAGCACTTTGGGAGGCCCAGGTGGGAGGATTGCTTGAGGCCAGATTGGGCAACATAGCAAGACCTCCATCTCTACAAAATTTTAAAAATTAGCTGGGTGTGGTGGTGCATGCCTGTAGTCCCAGGTACTCAGGAAGTCAAGGCTGAAGGATCACTGCAGCCTTGAGTCCGGCAGGTTGAAACTGCAGTGAGTTGTGATCGCACCACTGCACCCTAGTCTGACCAAAAGAATGAGACCCTGTCTCAGAAAAAAAAAAAAGAAAAAAAGGGGAAAAAACCCATAAAATTTTAAAATCATTATTAAGTCTAATTTATCTATTATTTTTTCTACTCTTGCTTGTGCTTTTGGTGTCAATCTAAGAAGTCTTTGCCTTACCCAAGGTTTACTGCTGCACTTTCTTCTAAGAGTTTTATAGTTTTCGTTCTTACAATTAGGTCTGTGATCCATTTTGAGATATTTTTATTTATTTACTTTTTTTGAGATGGAGTTTTGCTCTTGTTGCCTAGGCTGGAGTGCAATGGCGCGATCTCAGCTTACTGCAACTTCTGCCTCCCAGGTTCAAGTGATTCTCCTGTCTCAGCCTCCCGAGTAGCCTGGAATTACATGCACATGCCACCACGCCTGGCTAATTTTGCATTTTTAATAGAGATGGAATTTCACCATGTTGGCCAGACTGGTCTCAAACTCCTGACCTCACATGATCCGCCTGCCTTGGCCTCCCAAAGTGCTGGGATTACAAGTATGAGCCACCATGTCTGGCCAAGTTAATGTTTGTTTATCGGGTGAGACAGGCATCCAACTGCATTTTTTTTTTTAATTTTTGAGACGGAGTTTCACTCTTGTTGCCCAGGCTGGAGTGCAATGGCACGATCTTGGCTCACCGCAACCTCCGCCTCCTGGTTTCAAGCAATTCTCGTGCCTCAGCCTCCCGAGTAGCTGGGATTACAGGCATGTACCACCACGCCCAGCTAATTTTGTAATTTTAGTAGAGACGGGCTTTCACCATGTTGGTCACGCTGGTCTCGAACTCCCGACCTCAGGTGATCCACCTGCCTTGGCCTCCCAAAGTGCTGGGATTATAAGCATGAGCCACAGTGTCAGGCTGCATTTTTTTTTTTTTTAATTGCATGTGGATATCTGGCTCTTCCATATTATTCATTCCCCCAATGAATTGTCTTGGCATCTTTGTAAAAAAAAAAAGAAAAAATCACACAGCTCCTTTTTAAAGAAAGTAGACCAGGCTGGGTACAATGGCTCATGCCTGTAATCCCAGCACTTTGGGAGGCCAAGGCGGGTGGATCACTGGAGGTTAGGAGTTCGAGACCAGCTTGGCCAACATGGCGAAACCCTGTCTCTACTATACAAAAAATAGCCGGGTGTGGTGTCGGGTGCCTGCAATCCCAGCTACTTGGGAGGCTGAGGCAGGAGAATTGAACCCAGGAGGCGGAGGTTGTAGTGAGCAGAGATCATGCGATTGCACTCTAGCCTGGGCAACGACAGTGAAACTCCGTCTCATAAATAAATTAAAAATAAGTAAATAAATAAAGTAGACCATAAGCAGCTTGTGCAGCTCTTACAATTTCTGGCAAGTGAAACCAAGCCTCGGACACAGGCACTTCAGACCAGTGCCTATAGCCTGAGGTGACCACTGGTGCTTAATGGGGATTCCTAATACTTGATGGAGGCAAAAAAAAAAGTCCAATTCTGTCTCAGACATCACAGAAGCGTGGTGCCCACAGGGAAAGTGGATGACCTAGCTTTATCTGGTTCTCCCCACCTGCTACAGAAACCCTTAGCACCTCACTGGATCTGCAAGGCCTTTTGAATCAAGTAGCAGCACCTTCTCTTCCTCAGGGCTCCACTCAAAGCTGGTAGTTTGTTTTTATTTTATTTTATTTTTTTTGAGACGGAGTCTCACTCTGTTGCCCAGGCTGGAGTGCAGTGGCGTGATCTTGGCTCCCTGCATCATGCTCTGCCTCCTGGGTTCACAGCATTCTCCTGCCTCAGCCTCCCGAGTAGCTGGGACTACAGGCGCCTGCCACAATGCCCAGCTAATTTTTTGTATTTTTAGTAGAGACAGGGTTTCACCGTGTTAGACAGGATGGTCTCGATCTCCTGACCTCATGATCCGCCCGCCTTGGCTTCCCAAAGTGCTGGGATTATAGGCGTGAGCCACCGCGCCCGGCCAAAGCTGGTAGCTTTTAGGTCATCTAGTAAATGGGTTGGAACAGCAAATAGTATATAATGACTCCCAAATCCAAAGAGTCTCATGAAATATCACTTCTCTCTCTCTCTCTCTTTTTAATTGTTAAGGAATGGGATCTTGCTATATGCCCAGGCTGGAGTGTAGTGTGATTCACAGGCGTGATCATAGCACACTGAGGCCTCGAATTCCTGGGCTGGTGCCCAGGTGTGTGCCACTGCACCTGGCTAATCACACCTCTTTTGTGGTAGTGGGTGTAACGTAAGGTAAACTGTTCTTTACTTTTTTTTTTTTTTGGAGACAGAGTCTTGCTCTGTCATCCAAGCTGGAGTGGCAGTGGCATGATCATGGCTCACTGCAGCCTCAACCTCCCAAGCTCAAACAGTCCTCCTCACCTCAGCCCTCTGAGTAACTGGGACCACAGGCATGCACCACCATATGCCCGGCTAATTTTTTATTTTTCGTAGAGACAAGGTCTTACTATGTTGCCCACGCTGGTCTTGAACTGCCAGGCTCAAGTGATCCTCTCAACTCGGCCTCCCAAAGATTTGGAATTACAGGCGTGAGCCACCACACCCCGCCTGTTCTTTACTTTGTAGGATAAATCGGGACGTGTTCAGAACACTGGACCCCAAAACCTTTACTGAGAAATTGGGCCTTTGTGTTTTCATGACATTTCTGTCACATTTAGGATACCTACACTTTTCTGCTTCCCAGGCCCTAGGAGCATAATGTTGTCAGTAGAGTGGAATAGCATTGTGTTTTGTGTAATGAGGATGTGCTAAAGTCTGAGGTTTGGAGAACTGGCAGAAGAGTTAATGGAGTCCCGAGGCAAGATGGTAAAGGTGTATTGATGACTCTGATGCATGAAAGCAGGGTGTCTGACCTCTTCTTCTTGAAATAGAGAAATAGCATTTGTCAGCTCAGTAACTGCATACCAGGTGTGGGAGACTGTGTTTATTTTCTCCCGCAATGAGAACATATCTGAAACAGCAGCTGCAGTTGGCGTTGTCACATAATTAAGTTTATGGTAATTCACTGTCATTCTCTCAGAGACCCATCTGCCATCTTCACTGGCCAAACTGAAGAATGAAGGGGAAATTGATAAAATCACCACCCCAGAATTTTTCAAGGCCGTGATGATATTATTAATCGCTTCAGTTGCCCAGGAGTTTCAGCGTTGCTTTTGGTTTATGTGTTAGGCTGTTTTTGTGTTGCTGTTAAGGAATAACTGAGACTGGGTAATTTATAAAGAAAAGAGGTTTAATTGGCTCATGGTTCTGCAGGCTGTAGAGGAAGTATGTTGCTGATATCTGCTTGGTTTCTGCTGAGGCCTCAGAAAGCTTGCAATCATGGCAGAAGGTAAAGGGGGAGCAGGCACGTCACATGGCAAGAGTGGGAGCAAGAGAGAGGGAGGAGGTCCCAGACTTTTTTTTTTTTTTTTTTTTTTGGAGACAGAGTCACACTCTGTCGCTCAGGCTGGAGTGCAGTGGCGCGATCTTGACTCACTGCAACCTCCGCCTCTTGGGTTCAAGTGATTCTCCTGCCTTAGCCTCCCGAGTAGCTGGGACTATAGGTGTGTGCCATCACACCCAGCTGATTTTTTGTATTTATTTATTTATTTATTTATGAGATGGAGTCTTGCACGGTCACCCAGGCTGGAGTGCAGTAGCGTGATCTTGGCTCACTGCAAGCTCTACCTCCCAGGTTCAAGTGATTCTCCTGCCTCAGCTTCCTGAGTAGCTGGGACTACAGGCGCCTGCCACCATGCCCGGCTAATTTTTTGTGCTTTTTAGTAGAGACAGGGTTTCACCATGTTAGCCAAGATGGTCTCGATCTCCTGACCTTGTGTTCCACCCGTCTCGGCCTCCCAATGTGCTGGGATTACAGGTGTGAGCCACTGCGCCCAGCCTAATTTTTTGTATTTTAATAGAGATGGGGTTTCACCATGTTGCCCAGGGTGATCTCGAACTCCTGAGCTTAGGCAATCCGCCCACCTCGTCTTCCCAAAATGCTAGGATTACAAGTGTGAGCCACCGCACCTGGCCAAGGTCCCAGACTTTTAAACAAGCAGCTCTCATGTGAAGTAACTGAGTGAGAAGTCACTCATCACCAAGGGGATAGTGCTAAACCATTCATAAGGGATCTGCCGCCATGATCCGATCACCTCCCAGCAGGCCCCACCTCCGAGACCGGGAGACACATTTCAGAATGAAACGGCGTACGTCTGTAGTCCCAGCCACTAGGGACAGGGAGCTGGGGTGGGACTGAGGCAGGAGAATGGCTTGAACCTGGGAGGCAGACGTTGGAGTGAGCCGAGATCGTGCCACTGCACTCCATCCTGGGCAACAGAGCAAGACCCCATCTAAAAAAACACAAAAAACATTTTAGTGGCTCCCAGTTGCTTTCAAAATAAATAACCCCTTAACAGAGTTTGTAGTAAACATTGTATTTTTTTTGGTTGCTCATAAGTTGATCCCCCAGAAAACCAAGACTTTGAGAAATTCACTGGGAAGGGAAATACCGGTGCCTCTGAACAGTCCCTGGTGAGAGCTGCCAGCGGGGACGGCAGCAGCTGAAGTGGGCTTCCTCATTTCACTGGGGATGTGTAGAGCCTGCAGTGATAGAAAGCAAGTTGCAGCACTTACTTAATTTCTGGAGGAGAGTGAATGTGGTTATTGTAATAGGCAGGGCCAGTGGAGTTACCCAGATGGTCTGATCTGCAGAGATTGATTTGGCTAATTGACCATGGAGTCTGTGGAACCAAAATATATAAACAGCACATCCACTAAGTTGCTACTTGATGTGTGTACGTGAAAAACTTCAGGCTTGGTCAACAGAGATCTGACTTTAGCCACCGTGATTGAGAGCACAGTCTCTCACCCAATTTCCAAACCTGAGTCAGCCCTTGTTCCAGAAGTCCTGGAAGAAGTAAAAGCTGGATACCTGCAAGAAAGGACCCTGCAATTCCACAAGTACGGGCTGGGAATCTGCCTCTAGCCTTCCCCAGGAGTATCTGAGACCATCTACCAGGGAACTATACACAATGAAAAGATTAATACCAGACCTTTGATTTTTGTTTCCTCTTTTTTGAGAGGGAGTCTCGCTCTGTTGCCCAGGATGGAGTGCAGTGGCCTGATCTCGGCTCACTGCAACCTCTGCCTTCCAGGTTCAAGCAATTATCCTGCCTCAGCCTCCTCAGTAGCTGGGATTACAGGTGCCCACCACCACACCTGGCTAATTTTTGTATTTTTAGTAGAGACAGCGTTTCACCATGTTGGCCAGGCTGGTCTCAAACTCCTGACCTCAGGTGACCCTCCCGCCTCAGCCTCCCAAAGTCCTGGGATTATAGACGTGAGCCACCACGCCCGGCCTAGTATGGTAATTCTGTATTTAGTTTTTGGAGGAACCTTGCCTCAGCTTTTAAACTGGGATTGCACTCTTCTTGGGGTGGTTCCCAGTCACTGACTAGGCAGAGCTGTGGTACAGGGCCCAGCCATTTCTGCCTAATGTTGGACTGCTTTCCTCTGAAGCTTCCTGCTGGGCTGGCACTTTGCTTGGAAGGAGAAACAGCCAGATGTGCAATTATATACTGATTCATGGGCTGTAGTCCATGGATTGGCGGGTGGTGAGGGACTTGGAAGAAACATGATTGGAAAATTGGTGGCAAAGAAATTTGGGAAAGATGTATGTGGATAGACTGCTCGGAGTGGGCCGAAGATGTGAAGATATTTGTGTCCCATGTGAATGCTCACTAAAGGGTGCCCTCAGCAGAGGAGAATTTTAATAATCAAGTGCATAGGATGAACCATTCTGTGGATACCAGTCAGCCCCTTTCCCTAGCTACCCCTGTCATTCTCCAGTGGGCTCATGAACAAAGTGACCATGGTGACAGGGATGGAGGTTAAGCATGGGCTCAGCAACATGGGCTCCACTCACCAAGGTCAACCTGGCTATGGCCACCACTCAGTGCCCAATCTGCCAGCAGCCAAGACCTACAGGGAGCCCCCACTAGGACGCCATTCCCCAGTGTGGTCAGCCAGCTACGTGGTGGCAGGTTGATTACGCTGGACGACTTCCATCATAGAAGGGGTAGGGTTTTGTCCTTATTGGAACACACACTTACTCTGAATAAGGACTTACCTGCCCTGCACGCAATGCTTCTGGCAAAACTAGCATGTGTGGGCTTGTGGGATGTCTTATCCACCATTATGGTATTCTACACAGCATTGCTTCTGACCAAGGAACCCACTTGACAGTCAAATAAGTAAGGTAGTGGGCTCATGCTCATGGAATTCGCTGGTGCTACCATGTCCCCCACCATCCTGAAGCAGCTGGCTTAATAGAATGGTGGAATGGCCTTTTGAAGTTGCAGTTGCAGCACTGGGTAGGTGGCAATACTTTGCAGGATTCATTAATTATTAATTTATTTATTAATTTAAGATTTTTTTTCAATGATCAAAAAGTTGAAATGAGGCCGGGCGCAGTGGCTCATACCTGTAATCCCAGCATTTTGGGAGGCTGAGGCGGGGGGATCACCTGAGGTCAGGAGTTCAAGACTAGCCTGGCAAACATGGTGAAACCCCATCTCTACTAAGAATACAAAAATTAGGCTGGGCGCGGTGGCTCACGCCTATAATCTCAGCACTTTGGGAGGCTGAGGCAGGGGGATCACAAGGTCAAGAGATCAAGACCATGCTGGCCAACATGGTAAAACCCCGTCTCTATTAAAAATACTAAAATTAGCTGGGTGTGGTGGTGCGCACCTGTAGTCCCAGCTACTTGGGAGGCTGAGACAGGAGAATCACTTGAACCCAGGAGGCGGAGGTTGCAATGAACCGAGATCACGCCACTGCACTCCAGCCTGGGCAAAAGAGCAAAACTCTATCTAAAAAAAAAAAAAAAAAAAAAAAAAGTTGGCTGGCTGCGGTGGCTCACACCTCTAATCCCAGCACATTGGGAGACTGAGGCAGGAGGATCACCTGAGGCCAGGAGACCAGCCTGGCCAATATGGTGAAAGCCCGTCTCTACTAAAAATACAAAAATTAGCCAGGCGTGGTGGCAGGCGCCTGTAATCCAGCTACTCCGGAGGCCGAGACAGGAGAATCACTTGAACAGGGAAGGCAGAGGCTGCAGTGAGCCAAGATTGCGCCACTGCATTCCAGCTTGTGTGACAGAGTGAGACTGCATATCAAAAAAAAAAAAATGTTGAAATATATGGATGGTTTTTTGGTTTGCTTTTGTTTTTGAGACCAAGCCTCACTCTGCTGCCCAGCCTGCAGTGCAGTGGCACGATCATGACTCGTTGCAGCCCTGAACTCCTGGGCTCAAGGGATTCTCCTGCCTTAGCCTCTTAAGTAGCTGGGACTACAGGCACATACCACCATGCCTGGCTAATTTTTTAATTATTCGTTTGTAGAGACGGGGGTCTTACTATATTGCTCAGGCTGGTCTTGAACTCCTGGGCTCCAGTGAGCTTCCCGCCTCAGCCTCCCAAAGTGCTGGGATTACAGGCATGAGCCACCAAGCCCAGCCTAAGAATTGTGAATTTTACATCATACTATTCAAGTTACGGAATAATCACAGTAAATATCACTCAAGAACTTTACCTCCTCTTCTGGGAGACCGGATTAGTGTGTTTTCAGTTGTGCACAGGGTAATTGTTTCATTTAGGCAGAATTATGACCTTGTCACTGTCTTTACTTGAGGAGATTAAGTATGGTTTAAGGAGATGTTTATGGATGCCAAGCTGACAAGGAGTGGACTTGCCATGGGTAGTATTAGGTGTCAACTTGACTGGATTGAGGGATGCCTAGTTGGCTGGTGAAACATTGTTGCTGGATGCGCCTGTGAGGGTGTTTTCAGAGGAGTTTTTTTTTTTTTTTTTTTTTTTTTTTTTGAGACAGAGTCTCCCTGTGTCTCCAGGTTGGAGTGCAATGGCATGATCTTGGCTCACTGCAACCTTTGCCTCCTGGATTCAAGTGATTCTCATGTCTCAGCCTCCCAAGTAGCTGGGATTACAGGTGCCTGCTACCATGCCTGGCTAGTTTTTTTTTTTTTTTTTTTGAGACAGAGTCTCACTCTGTCGCCCAGGCTGGTGTGCAGTGGCACGATCTCAGCTCACTGCAAGCTCTGTCTCCCGGGTTCACGCCATTCTCCTGCCTCAGCCTCCCGAGTAGCTGGAACTACAGGCGCCCGCCACCACGCCCGGCTAATTTTTTTGTATTTTTAGTAGAGACGGGGTTTCACCATGTTAGCCAGCATGGTCTCTATCTCCTGACCTGATCCACCCGCCTTGGCCTCCCAAAGTGCTGGGATTACAGGCGTGAGCCACCGCGCCCAGCGCCTGGCTAGTTTTTGTATTTTTAGTAAAGATGGGGTTTCACCATGTTGGTCAGGCTGGTCTCAACCTCCTGACCTCAGGTGATCCACCCCCCGCGGCCTCCCAAAGTGCTGGATTACAGGCGTGAGCCATGGCGTCCAGCCCAGAGGAGATTGATGTATGCTTCAGTGGACTGAGAGAGGAAGACCCGCCCTCAGTGTGGGTGGGCACCATCCCATCTGCTGCCCACCCCCGACCCCATTCCACCACTAGGACAAAGCAGGCAGAAGAGTGGGGATACTCAGCTCATGCTCTCCCTCCTGGAGCTGGCTGCCTCTATCTCCTCCTGCCCTTGGAAAACAAGACTCCAGGTTCTTCAGCTCTTGGAATCTGGAACTTGCACCAGCAGCCTCGTGGGGGCTCTGAGGCCTTTGGTCTCAGACTGGAGGCTGCACTGTTTGCTTGGCTGGTTCTGAGTCTGTTAAATTTGGACTGAGCCTCAGTACTGGCTTCTCTGGTTCTCCAGCTTGCAGACAGCCCCTTGTAGGACTTTGCCTCTGTAATTGCGTGACCCAGTTCCCTCTAATAAATCCCCTTTCATATATATCTTATTGCCTCTGTCCCTCTGGAGAAACCCTGACTAATACAGACACTTATGTTAACTCCATAACTTGGCTATTGTGAGTAATGCTGCAATAAACATGGGATACAGATATCTTCTTGAGATACTGATTTCATTTTCTTTGGATATAGACTCAGAAGTGGGATTGCTGAATAATATGGTAATTCTATTTTTGGATTTTGGAGAAGCCTTGTTTCAGCTTCTGAGCTGGGATCACACGCTTCTTGGGTTGGTTCCCAGCCACCGACTAGGCAGGGCTGTGGTGCCAGGGCCTGGCCACTTCTGCCTAATGTTGGACTGCCTTGCTCTGGGGCTTCCCACTGGGCTGGCAGAGCCCTTGTCAGGTCAGCATCACAATCTCTGGACCCCTTCCCGATGTGCTTCCCTTCTTCCTTGGCCAGCGCTCACCCCACAGACACATTTGGTACTCCTCTCTCCACCCCAGCATCTGCTCCCAGAAAACCCAACCTGTGGCACTTCACTTCATCTATTAAATGAGATGAGAAAGAAAAGCAACTTTTCAGCCAGGCATGGTGGCTCACACCTGTAATCCCAGCACTTTGGGAGGCTGAGACGTGTGGATCATTTGAGGTCAGGAGTTCAAGACCAGTCTACCAATATGGTGAAACCCCATCTCTACTAAAAATACAAACAGTTAGCCGGGTGTTGGCCGGGCACAGTAGCTCATGCCTGTAATCCCAACACTTTGGGAGGCTGAGGCGGGTGGATCACCTGAGGTCAGGAGTTCAAGACCAGCCTGGCCAACATGGTGAAACCCTGTCTCTACTAAAAATACAAAAATTAGCCAGGAGTGGTGGTGCGTGCCTGTAATCTCAGCTACTTGGGAGGCTGAGGCAGGAGAATCACTGAACCCAGAAGGCGGAGGTTGCAGTGAGCCGAGATTGTGCCACTGCACTCCAGTCTGGGCAACAGAGCCAAATAAATAAATAAATAAAAACCACACAATTAGCCGGGCATGGTGGTAGGTACTTGTAGTCCCAGCTTACATGGGAGGCTGGGGCAGGAGAATTACTTGAACCCGGGAAGCAGAAGTTGCAGTGAGGTGAGATCATGCCACTGCATTCCAGCCTGGGCAACAGAGTGAGACCCTGTTTCCAAAAAAAAAAAAAGAAAAGCAACTTTTCATCCTGTTTTCTTTAAAAACTTGAGCCTCTCCTTGGTTCTCTGGAGCACTTCCCAGTGTTTTCCGGGCTGTGAGCCCTCTTTAAATTATCAGGCCCAGAAAGGCATGGAAATGTGACAGCAGTCACGTCTCACTCCCCCTCCAGCTAAGTAATCAGCTCTGGAAGCCACTTGCTGTGTGGGCTCTAGACTGACTGATGCCAAGTAGCCATAAAACACCACACAATGGACACTGTAATTCACTTGCTATAACTCAACAGTGTACAGCTAGTCACTAATCAGTGTTATTTCTTTAACCCAGTGAGCATCCTTGAAACTCAACTTTTGTAATCGCCCCCTCTCCTGATTAATCCTCTTTAAAAACTCAAGCCTCTCTTTGAGCACTTCTCAGTGTTTTCCAAGCTATAATCCTCAACCGTGGCCCAAATCACTCTCTATATTAATTTTGTCTCAGTTTCCTTATCTGGATTGACAGAGGATAACAAAATACCTAGTTGTTGACCAGGCACAGTGGCTCATGCCTGTAATCCCAGCACTTTGGGAGGTGGAGGTGGGTAGATCACTTGAGGCTAGGAGTTCAAGACCAGCCTGACCAACATGGTGAAACCCTGTCTCTACTAAAAATACAAAAATTAACCGGGTGTGTTGGTGCACACTAGTAATCCTAGCTACTTGGAAGGCAGAGGCAGGAGAATTGCATGAACACAGGAGGCAGAGGTTACAGTGAGCTGAGATCGTGCCTCTGCACTCCAGCCTGGGCAATAGAGTAAGACTCTGTTTCCAAAAACAAAAACAAACAAAAAAAAAACCTAGTCATTTCAATAATTAATTACACGATGATATCAACTTGAACGCCTCCTCCTGAATCAGTGGGGCTGATTTTCCATTTGCCCCTTTAAATTCACTTTTCACCCTTTCCACCCTGCCCTGGGCCCCAAGATGCTGACCCTCAAGAACAGCATCAACAGACAGAGGTCAGAGGGCAAGAGGAGAGTGAGGTCAGATTATTTACTCCTTTGGACTGCTCCCTGCCAGGTTACTGCTGATTGGCCGCCTCACTTTTAAAAAAAATTTTATTTTTTGAGACAGCAACTGAGTCTTGCTCTGTTGCCCAGGCTGGAGTGCAGTGGCGCAATCTTAGCTCATTGCAACCTCTGCTTCCCGGGTTCAAGAGGTTCTTGTGCCTCAGCTTCCCAAGAAGCTGGGATTACAGGCACCAGCCACCACACCCGGCTAATTTGTTTATTTTTCTTTTTTTGAGTTAGAGTTTCACTTTTGTTGCCCAGGCTGGAGTGCAATGGCACAATCTCAGCTCCCCGCAACTTCCGCCTCCCAGGTTCAAGCAATTCTCCTGCCTCAGCCTCCCGAGTAGCTAGGGTTACAGGCACGTGCCACCAAACCTAATTTTGTATTTTTAGTAGAGACAGGGTTTCTCCATGTTGGTCAGGCTGGTCTCGAACTCCCGACCTCAGGTGATCTGCCCACCTTGGCCTCCCAAAGTGCTGGGATTACAGGCGTGAGCCACCATTCCGGGCTCCCTCACTTTTTAACTGCTCTTTCTGGATTCTGCTCACTTCTCCCCTTCCCTCAGCCCCCAGGCCTGAGAGCGGCAGTGGCTCTCTGCTGTTCATAGCCCCAGCACACTGCTCAGCATTCCCTGTTGATCTCCCTTAGCTATGCCCAAACCCTGGCAAATAGGCCCTTTACTAAACTCTCCTGCATTTCCCTGTTTGAGTTTGTTCTGTTTCCTTCTGACAACCCGATGGATCCCATCAATGAGGACACTTTCCACTGCTGCAAGTGTTCCCAACTGATATGGTTTGGATTTCTGTCCCTGCCCAAATATCATGTCAAATTGTAATCCCCAGTGTTGGAGGAGTTACCTGGTAGAAGGTGATTGGATCATGGGGGCGGGTTTCCCCCTTGCTGTTCTCGTGATAGTGAGTGCTCATGAAATCTTGTTGTTTAGAAGTGTGTAGCTGGCCGGGTGTGGTGGCTCATGCCTGTAATCCCAGCACTTTGGGAGGCCAAGGCGGGCAGATCACCTGAGGTCAGGAGTTCGAGACCAGCCTGACCAACGTGGTGAAACCCTGTCTCTACTAAACATACAAAAATTAGCCGGGTGTGGTGGCAGGTGCCTGTAATCCCAGCTACTGGGGAGGCTGAGGCAGGAGAATCGCTTGAACCCAGGAGGCGGAGGTTGCAGTGAGCCGAGATCATGCCATTGCACTCCAGCCTGGGCAACAAGAGCGAAACTCCGTCTCAAACAAAAAAAAAAAAAAGAAAAGAAAAGAAGGTATGTAGCACCTTCCCCTTCGCTTGCTTCCTCTTGCTCCTGCCATGTAAGATGACCCTGCTTCCTCACCACCTTCCAACATGATTTTAAGTTTCCTGAGACCTCCACAGCCACGCTTCCTGCCCAGCCTGCAGAACCATGAGCCAATTAAACTTCTTTGCTTTATAAATTACCCAGTCTCAAGGAGTTCTTTATAGCAGTGTGAGAACCAACTAATACACCAGTGTCATGTCCAGGCAAAACAAAGTTCAAAGGGGGCAAAAGAGACAATCTCGTTTTGTATCATCTTTGCAAGAACAAGGAAATCTTTACCAAATGCCTCTCACCACAACACTCCTCCCCTTTACTGTCACTAGTAAGAATGAGTCACATGCTGCTTTAGCCTCCAGTTCCCAGAAAACAGAGCCTGAGACAAAGGGGGTGTGTCGGTATTTTACTGGGAAGAGCGATCCTGGGAATCAGGAAGGAGGGTAGAGGAGCAAAGCAGAGAAGCAGATAGCAACAAAGCAATGATTTCCGGTTGGCCAGGGCTAAAAGTGTTTGGTTGCTCTAACCTATGGGGCTGCTGGGAAGCTACATGAAATATGCCTCAGGATGGTATGTCCTGGGGAATCCTGGGGAAAGTACCTATCCATGGCTTCCACCCTACATTGGTCAAAGGTTCCCCTAAGGAGCATTAACTCTCCCTGCACTTCTGGGTTGTTCATGCGAGGGCACTCCGTGGATTCCCAGATTCTAAGTTGTGGCAGCAACAGAGAAGACCCAAGACAGAGGGTAAAAGGCACACAGCACCGTGAGGTCACAGCTGTATCTGCACCTGTACCTGGACTTTGTTGGGGACTGTGCCAGAGCAGGTCAATGGATGAACTATGAGCTAGGTGTGGTGAAAAGGACCTGAAGAGATGCACATGGGTGTCCAGTAGACATGCTCACCCCTGAAACAGTCACTGGCAAGAGGAATGAGATTGCTGTTGATTCACTGGTTTAAAGTAATCATTTGTAGTAGAATGGGTGTTGAGCATGCTACCTGAATTCTTCAAAGAGGACATCCTTAACTCCCTCTCTAAAAGACCCCTTCACCCCCAGTCACTCTCATCACCCCATCCATTTCCTCAGTGACACTAAAAACAGTCAGTAATCAGCCTGTGTAGCTGGCATTATGGATTGACTTGCTCAGTGTTCACTCCTCCCACCTTCACTCCTACCATTCAAAGGCCAGAGAGCTCAGACCCACCCCTCTCTGCTTCCCTTGCTGCTCAGTCTTGGTTTAAGTTCCTCTGGCCAGGCTCAGTCACTTTGGTAGTGCAGATAATGGCAGGGATGGCCTAACTCCAGAGCCATGATTTTGTGAGTCCCTAAAGCCCTTTGTGATTAAGTTACATGGATTTGTCTGGATTTGAACCCTGAAAAGGACATCTCGTTCACTTATCAGCTTGCTTGTCATTATTTGTCTCTCCCCACTTTAGTTTAAGCTCCCTTATACCAGGCATTTGCTCGTTTTTCCCCACTGTATCCACAGAGCCTAGCACAGTGCCTGGTATGTAGTACATGCTGTGTAATGATTTGTCTGATGGATGAAAGGATGAGTAAATGGAGATGGGAAGACTATGGCATGTGGAAGAGGAGGAGATACTGGACAGTAATGCTCATTTTCCCAAACTGTAAACTTTGGAATGCCCAAGAGCTCAGTCCTCACAACACCTTTATTCACACTCACTCCCTAAGTAAGCACATCCAGTCTCATCAGTTTAAATTTATATCTCTGTGAGCTTTTGAGATTGCTAAATAAAATAAAAAATAAAATGGCAGGGCGCGGTGGCTCACGCCTGTAATCCCAGCGCTTTGGGAGGCCAAGGTGGGAGGATCACAAGGTCAGGAGATCGAGACCATCCTGGCTAACACGGTGAAACCCCATCTCTACTAAAAATACAAAAAATTAGCTGGGCCTGGTGGCAGGCGCCTGTGGTCCCAGCTACTCGGGAGGCTGAGGCAGGAGAATGGCATGAACCCGGGAGTTGGAGCTTGCAGTGAGCCGAGATCACACCACTGCACTCCAGCCTGGGCGACAGAGGAAGACTCCATCTCAAAATAAATAAATAAATAAATAAATAAATAAATAAATAAAATAAACATTTTTTATCTTCAGGCATGACTTCTCCCTTGAACTTCTTTTTTTTTTTTTTTTTTTTTTTTTTTGAGACAGAGTCTCGCTCTGTCGCCCAGGCTGGAGTGCAATGGCCTGATCTTGGCTCACCGCAACCTCCGTCTCCCAGGTTCAAACGATTCTCCTGATTCAGCCTCTTGAGTGGCTGGGATTACAGGCATGCGCCACCACGCCTGGCTAAAACTTCTGACTCTTACATCCAACTGCTAACCACTACTTCCATTAGGAAGTGAATAGACATCTCCAATGTAGCATGTCTAAAACAGAACTTTTTTTTTTTTTTTTTTTTTGAGATTGAGTCTCACTCTGTCGCACAGGCTGGAGTGCAGTGGTGTGATCTCGGCTCACTGCAAGCTCTGCCTCCCGGGTTCATGCCATTCTCCCACCTCAGCCTCCCGAGTAGCTGGGACTACAGGTGCCCGTCACCACCCGGCTAATTTTTTGTATTTTTTTTTTAGTGGAGACGAGGTTTCACCGTGTTAGCCAGGATGGTCTCAATCTCCTAACCTCGTGATTGACCTGCCTTGGCCTCCCAAATTGCTGGGATTACAGGCGTGAGCCACCGCATCTGGCCTAAAACGGAACTTTTTTGTTGTTGTTGAGACGGAATCTTGCTGTGTTGCCAGGCCGGAGTGCAGTGGCACCTTTTTGGCTCACTGCAACCTCTGCCTCCTAGAGGTGGTTCTCATGCCTCAGCTACCTGAGAAAGAGGGAGGAGGTCCCAGATTTTCTTTTTTTTTTTTAAGAGACAGAGTCTCACTCTGTCGCTCAGGCTGTAGTGCAGTGGTGCAATCTCGGCTCACTGCAACCTCCGCCTCCCGTGTTCTAGCGATTCTTCTGCCTCAGCCTCCCGAGTAGCTGGGACTACAGACGCGCGCTGCCACGCCTGGCAAATTTTTTGTGGTTTAGTAGACACAGGTTTCACTGTGTTGCCTAGGCTGGTCTCGAACTCCTGAGCTCAGGCAATCCACCCGCCTCGGCCTCCCAAAATGCTAGGATTACAGGCGTGAGCCACCGTGCCCGGCTGGTAGACATTCTTAAACTTCCCGGGAGAGCCTGGACAAATTGAGCCCCCATTGCCCACAGCAGCAAACTTGGCAATGTACCCTTATCCTGGCTTTTCCTTCTTCCCTGACTCACTCTGTTCCCTGACACCTGCTCCTTAAAATCACATCTAAAATAAACTACTGCACACAAGTCCTTGTTTCAAGCTCTGCTTTTAGAGAAAATCAAATTAAGAAAATTGGTACCAGGAGTGACAGTAGAAAGAAGGGGACCTCCCCCACAACTCCATCCAATTGAGTTTCTGGAATATATCAATTACCAGTCAGAAGCCAACAAGGATTCCATTGCTGGTGGTAAATAGGGGGCTTAACAACCCTGGCCTGGTGTGCAGTAGCATCATATTGACACTCTTACCTGTGGTTGGTTGAAATGAAGTATAAGTGGAAGAGGAAACATTGAACTATGCAGTAGCTCTAGATGTGAACAGTGTGGGAGCTGTGGTAATTATAAGGACTATGGAGTTAGCTGGTTTTTGTTAACTGCTTTGGAAGACTGGAAGAAAAAAATGGCAGACTCTGTGTGCAGTGGCTCACACCTGTAATCCCAGTACTTTGGGAGGCCAAGGTGGGCAGATCCTGGCAGAACCAGGAATTCAAGACCAGCCTAGCCAACATGGTGAAACCCCATCTCTACTAAAATACAAAAATTAGTTGGATATCTGGCAGGTGCCTGTAATCCCAGCTACTCAGGAGGCTGAGGCACAAAAATCACTCGAGCCTGGGAGGTGGAGGTTGCAGTGAGCTGAGATCGGGCCATTGCACTCCAGCCTGGGTGACAGAGGGAGACTCTGTCTCAAAAAAAAAGAAGAGATAAGAAAAAAAAAATGGCAGAGTCAGATAGCCAGCTATCAATTCAGGACATACAACAAAAGCCAGAAGGCCTCCAAAGCAACAATGAGAGACCCTCATCTTCTGCAGCAATAAGGCAGACATTGCTGAGAATAAGACCCAGATTCTAATTGTAAGAGTTGCAGAGGTGCAAGAAAGATGGAATATGGGCAGCCCTAACACATCACCAAAGCCAAAGTCAAGTCCCTGATAGGAAAGGATTGGAACCCTGATGCCTAGCAGGGGACATCTGGGTGTACTTGAGAACACTGAACCCCCAGATTTCTCTGAACCCCCTGAACATTCCAGGCCAGCAAAAGTAACCTTCTCTCCCTTGCTAGAGGAGAGCAGCCTGCCCTTGTCTGGAAGTCATGCTAGGATTCAACTGACTTGCAAGAGGATGTTTTTCCTCAGATATGCTCCTCATTTCCTCTCATTGTTACTTCTCCTGACTCTTAACACTCGCAAGTACAAGGGACTTTTTTTTTTTTTTTGGCAAAGTACAGGGGACTTCATTAATGGTACATGACAAGGTGGGTCTCCGTAGGCCCCACCCTATTCAGGGGTCTGACATGGAAACTGTGTCGAGGGGAGATGCTCAGTGTGGTGGGGGCTGAGCGCAGCAGGGTTCCCCAGCAGCTGAGGGCCCCCCTCTTCCTCTTGTGCTCTCACTGGGATTGGTGGCCTGGGGCTCTTACTCCTTGGAGGCCATGTGGACCATGAGGTTCACCACCCTGTCATACCAGGAAATGAGCTTGACAAAGTCATTGTTGAGGGCAATGCCAGCCCCAGCATTGAAGATGGAAGAATGGGTGTCACTGTCAAAGTCAGAGGAGACGACCTTGTGCTCAGTACAGCCCAGGATGCCCTTGAGGATCTCCCTCAATGCCTGCTTCACCATCCTCTTGATGTCACTGTATTTGGCAGGTTTCTCCAGATGGCAGGTCAGGTCCATGACCAACATGTTGGTGGTGGGGACGTGGAAGGCCACGCCAGTGAGCTTCCCATTCAGCTCGGGGATGACTTTGCCCACAGGCTTGGCAGGAATGATGTTCTAGAGAGCCCTGCAGCCATCACACTACAATTTCCCAGAGGTACCATCAGTAGTCTTCTAGGTGGCACTGAAGGCATGAACTGTGGTCATGAGTCCTTCCATGGTGCCAAAGTTGTCATGGATGACCTTGGCCAGGGGGGTTAAGCAACTGGTGGTGCAGGAGGCATTGCTGATAATCTTGAGGCTGTTTCCATACTTCTCATGATTCACACCCATCACAAACATGGGGGCATCAGAAGGGGCAGAGATGGTGACTCTTTTGGCTCCCCCATCTAAGTAAGTCCCAGCCTTCTCCATGGTAGTGAAGACACTGGTGGGCTCTATAACATAATCAGCACCAGCATCACCTCCTTTGATTTTGGTGGGATCTCATTCCTGGAAGATGGTGATGGGATTTCCACTGGTGACAAGCTTCGCGTTTTCAGCCTGATGGTGCTGTGGAACTTGCCATGGGTGGAATCATACTCGAACATGTAGACCATTTAGCTGAGGTCAATGAAGGGGTCATTGATGGCAACAATATCCATTGTGCTAGAGTTAAAAGCAGCCCTGGTAACCAGGCATCCAATATGTCCAAATCTGTTTACTCCAGCCTTCGCTTTTCCCTTGGTGCCTCAGGGACGCAATTGGTGCTGCATGAGAAGATGCAGCTGTCAGTCGAACAGGAGGAGCAGAGAGCCTGCCATTGCTTCAGACTCAATAACTGGGGCAGGTCTCAGTGTTATAGCTTGGGATGGGAAATACAGCTTCTGCTTTTGGAGAAAATACTTCACCCATGAGGACCAGGACCAGCTAATAAGGACTGGGAGAAATAAAGGGACTATGTGTGGGAGTGGATCTTTTTTTTTTTTGAGAGAGGGTCTTGCTTTGTCACCTATGCTGAAGTGCCATTGTGCAAACACTTCTCTCTACAGCCTCAATCTCCTGGGCTCAAGCAATCCTCCTGCCTCAGACTCCCAAGTAGCTGGGACTATAGTCGCATGTCACCATGCCTGGCTAATTTTTAATTTTTTGTAGAGAAGGCCTCGCTGTGTTGCCCAGGCTGGTCTTGAACTCCTGGGCTCAAGCGATTCTCTCACCTCTACCTCCCACAGTGCTGGGTTACAGGTGAGAGCCACCCCATCTGGCCAGAAGTGGATCTTGAGGGTGCTAGATGATGCAAATATAAGGTTGAAAGGAGAGAGTTTTGGCCAGGCGTGGTGGCTTATGCTTATAATCCCAGCACCTCGAGAGGCCGAGGCAGTAGGATACCTTGAGCTCAGGAGTTCAAGACCAGCTTGGGCAACATAGCAACACCTTGTCTCTACAAAAAATTTTAAAAACCAAAATTAGTTGGGCGTTGTGGCTTGTGCCTATAGTACCAGCTACTCAGGAGGCTGAGGTAGGAGGATCACTTGAACCGGGGAGTCAGAAGTTGCAGTGAGCTGAAATCTCACCACTGCACCCCAGCCTGGGTGACAGAGTGAGCCCCTGTCTCAAATAAAATGAGTAGGCCAGGTGTGGTGGCTCACGCCTGTAATCCCAGTATTTTGGGAGGCTGAGGCTGGTGGATCACTGGAGGCCAGGAGTTTAAGACCAGCCTGGGCAACATAGTGAGACTCCATCTCTGCTAAAATTAGCCGGGCATGGTGGCACATGCTTGTAATCCCAGCTACTCTGGAGGCTGAAGCCAGAGAATCACTTGAACCAGGAGGCAGAGGTTTCAGTGAGCTGAGATCATACCACTGCACTCCAGCCTGGGCGACAGAGCAAGACTCTGTCTCAAATGAAAAAATACATACATAAATTAATTAATTAAAAAAGAAAGGAGACAGTTTATTGACAGGGGAGAACTCTCCTGCAACACAGGATGTAGCTGGAGCCAGTCCTAACATGCTTCTGGGATAGCTCCATGAAATGGTTTACAATAATAAGGTGGGGATGCTGGGATGGCCATTGCAGAGTTTTGGGATTTTTTGTGCATAGTAAAATACACATAAAATTTGCCTCTTCACTTTATATATTGTGGTAGGATATACGTAACATAAAATTTACCATTTTAACCACTTTTAAGTGTCCAATTTAGTGGCATTAAGTACGTTCACAATGTTGTGCAGCCATTATCACTGTCCATTTCTAGAACTTTTTTTTTTTTAAGATGGATTTTCGCTATTGTTGCCCAGGCTGGAGGGTAATGGCACAATCTCAGCTCACTGCAACCCTCACCTCCCGGGTTCAAGCAATTCTCCTGCCTCAGCCTCCTGAGTAGCTGGGACTACAGGCACATGCCACCATGCCCGGCTAATTTTTGTATGCTTAGTAGAGGCAGGGTTTCACCATGCCAGCCAGGCTGGTTTCAAGCTCCTGACCTCAGGTGATCCGCCTGCCTTGGCCTCCCAAAGTGCTGGGATTAGAGGCAAGAGTCACCACACCTGGCCAGCTACACACTTTTAAACAACAAGATCTCATGAGCACTCACTCATTATCACAAAAACAGGAAGGGGGAAATCTGTTCCCATGGTCCAATCACCTCCCACCAAACATGCTTCCTCACTTCCTTAAGGACTTTTCTGGAAGTGCTTCTCAGTGAGGCCTTCCTCTACTGCAAAAAGCTTCCCCTGCCACAAAGAGCTTCTTTTTTTTTGAGACAGAGTCTCGTTCTGTCACCCAGGCTGGAGTGCAGTGGCGTGATCTCAGCTCACTGCAATCTCCACCTCCTGGGTTCAAGCGATTCTCATGCTTCAGCCTCCCAAGTAGCTGGGATTACAGGTGCTTGCCACCACACCTGGCTAATTTTTGTACATTTAGTAGACACAGGGTTTCACCATGTTGGCCAGGCTGGTCTCAAACTCCTGACCTCAGTCAATCCACCCGCCTCAGCCTCCCAAAATGTTGGGATTACAGGCGTGAGCCACTGTGCCCGGCCAAGACTGATCCTTTCAAAACATGTCTGATCATGTCTTTTCTCAGCTGAAAACCCCCTGGTGACTCCCATTTCCCCTAAAGGCAAAGCCAAAGTGCTTATACTGGCTGGCAAGGCCTGGCAGAATCTGCCCTTCCTGCTCCTTCCTCTCTGATGACAGCTCCTGCTAATCTCTACTATAGCCACAGTGCTCTCCAGAGTCACACTGCACACTCCTGCCACAGGGCCTCTGCACTGACAATTTCCATGGCAGGGAATGCTGGTCCTCCAGAATATTTCTTCTTCTTTTTTTTTTTTTTGAGACGGCGTCTCACTCTGTCACCCAGGCTGGAGTGCAATGGCATGATCTCGGCTCACTGCAATTTCCACCTCCCGGGTTCAAGCGATTCTCCTGCCTCAGCCTCCCAAGTAGCTGGGACTACAGGCGCCCGCCACCACGCCCAGCTAATTTTTATATTTTTAATAGAGAGGGGGTTTCACCTTGTTGGCCAGGATTGTCTCGATCTCTTGACATCATGATCCGCCTGCCTCGGCCTCCCAAAGTGCTGGGATTTCAGGCGTGAGCCACTGCGCCCGGCCACTCCAGAATATTTCTAAGCATGCTTCCTCACTTCCTTCAGGACTTTTCTCAGAGAGGCCTTCCTTGATGATCAATCCTCTATAAAATGGTAACCTCCACCTCTCTTGGTATTCCTGGGCCCTCTCACCCTGCTTTAAGTTTTTTACAGCAATTGCCAATATCATAAGTTATCTTTATGTGGAGTATATATTTTTTCTTTTTTTTGAGACGTAGTCTCGCTCTGTCACCCAGGCTGGAGTGCAGTGGCGTGGTCTCGGCTCACTGCAAGCTCCGCCTCCCGGGTTCACGCCATTCTCCTGCCTCAGCCTCCCGAGTAGCTGGGACTACAGGCACCCGCCACCACGCCCGGTTAATTTTTTGTATTTTTTAATAGAGATGGGGTTTCACCATGTTAGCCAGGATGGTCTCGATCTCCTGACCTCGTGATCTGCCAGCCTCGGCCTCCCAAAGTGCTGGTATTACAGGTGTGAGCCACTGCGCCCGGCCATATTTTTTCTTTTTTCTGAGACAGGGTCTTTCTGTGTCGCCCAGGCTGGAGTGCAGTGGCCCAATCTCAGCTCACTTCAATCTCTGCCTCCTGGATTCAGGCGATTCTCCTGCTTCAGCTGCTTAAGTAGCTGGAATTACAGGCAGCTGCCAACATGTCCGGCTAATTTTTGTATTTTTGTAGAGACGGGGTTTCACCATGTTGTCCAGGCTGGTCTTGAACTCCTGAGCTCAAGCAATCCACCCACCTTGGCTTCGCAAAGTGCTGGGATCACAGGCATGAGCCACTGCACCTGGCCCAACCCTGTTCTTCAGAATCACCCTGCACACTTCCTGCCGCACGGCCTTTGCACTGGCGATTTCCACAGCCAGGAATGCTGGTCCTCCAGAATATTTCTAAGCATGGTTCCTCACTTCCTTCAGGACTTTTCTGGAAGCGCTTCTCAGTGAGGTCTTCCTCGATGATCAATCCTATATAAAATAGCAACCTCCACCTCTGCTGGTATTCAGGGGCCAGCTCACCCTGCTTTAAGTTTTTCATAGTAATTGCCAATACCATGAATTGTCTTTTGAGGGGTTTTCTGTCTCCCCGCAACTTGAATGCAATCTTCATGAGGACAGGGACTTTATCCCCCACCCCACCCCCACTTTTTTTTCTTTTTTTTTTACTGCAAAACCTAGAACAGTGCTTGGCAGGTAGTAAGTACTCAATGAATGTTTGTTGGATGAACCCAATAAGTAAACAAGATAGAGGACACATGTAGGGATCTGCCCGTGAACCTCGACCCCTGGCTCCTGAGTCTGGCAGTGGGTGCAGTGGCAGCTCCTGTCTGTGAGGGCCCCAGAGGCTGGCAGCAGGATGCCTCCGTGGAAAATTCCCTTAACGCCTTTGCCTCTGCAGCTGTTCCTCCGGGATGATCTCTTTGGGGGATCATGCTCAGATATTTGTCTCAAAGAGTCCCAGGCCAAACCTCAGGGACCTCAGAGCGTTTAGAAAAATAACACCTCTGTGAGCTTGGTCCAGGCAGATCCCATGCAGAGAGGAGTTTGTCCCCTTCCAGTCCCCGAGGTCCTGGCTATTGCCAGCATGGAGTGACCTGTGTCACCTCTGAGTGCCAGGCAAGGGTTCAGCAGCTGACGACTCAGCTTCTGCAGGATGCTGGCAGCATAGCCAGCGAGATAGTTGGAAGCCGTCAGGGCACAGGGAAGGGGCCGAGGGTGCCCTGAGTGTGCATGGGGGGCAGCCCTGCTGCAGTCCAAGCCTTTGATTCCCAAGCTATGTGCACAGTTTCCTCTGGACTCTGCCATGTGGCCCAGCCACCCATACCTGGAATAGGGGCTAAGCCAAGCTGCTCTCTCCTCCAAAGGGAGGCAGCCTGTGTGCTTTGTCCGTTTGCCTTTGCAGAGACCTCGATCTTCACGCAAGGCAAGCAGCAGCCCCTGTAAGCACACGAGACAATCCCAAGTGTCAGTGGGAAGGAGATCCCTTTCCTGATGGGGCTGCCTGTGTCCAGTCCCTCCCAGCTTCCCCAGGGCCCTGGGGCTCTGCAGGCATTCAGAAGTGGAAGCCAGCCACAGCCTGGGACTGAAGAGGTTAATGTGCATCTGCCTCCGAATGTTAATGTGTCTAGGTGATGTCAGTGGGAGCCATGAAGAAGGGAGTGGGGAGGGCAGTTGGGCTTGGAGGCGGCAGCGGCTGCCAGGCTACGGAGGAAGACCCCCTTCCCAACTGCGGGGCTTGCGCTCCGGGACAAGGTGGCAGGCGCTGGAGGCTGCCGCAGCCTGCGTGGGTGGAGGGGAGCTCAGCTCGGTTGTGGGAGCAGGCGACCGGCACTGGCTGGATGGACCTGGAAGCCTCGCTGCTGCCCACTGGTCCCAACGCCAGCAACACCTCTGATGGCCCCGATAACCTCACTTCGGCAGGTGAGTTGACTGGGAGCCCTCCCTCCTCTGGGCTGTGGGTGGAAAATGGGAAGGTTTCACCCCTGAGCCAAACTGCTTGGGAAACTTTATCACAGTTCTTGGGGACAAGATCTGTGGTCTGCTTTGCTCTGAGGGGCAGGAGAAAAGGGGGCAATGGTCCGCAGGGGCAGACGGGCAGGAGCAGAGCAGGGGGCGAAGGCATATTCAGAATGGCAAGGAAGGGGGGCCAGCCGTGAGACAGCAGGGGAAGGCTCGCTGCTGGGTTCCAAAGATGCTTGGCAGAAAAAATTCCAGGCTGGAAAAGCAAGCGAGAGAAGCTGGAGGGTGGTATGTGGGAGACAGCTGGGGGCTCACTCCTGCACTGTTAGCCTCAGCTTTTTACTCCCACTTGGATGATGAGGTCTGAGACATCCTTACTGCCACCTGGGAGAGGCCCTGGGAAGGGAAGACTTCACAGAGCCATGAGGGGATTAACTTTTCTGGTGAATTAAGCTTCCTGACATTTCCAGAGCTGCGGTGCCCTGGGATTCCAGCTTTGAAGGAGAAAGGAAGGAAGGAAAAGAGGAAAGGCTTATGTAGATAATTTTTCCAGGCTGCTGAGCTCCAACAGACAGTTTCTGTCTCTGCTTCACTCAAGAAGCCCAGGCTCAGAAGATACCAATCAAGGAAATCCCCGCTAGGAAGCCTGGGGTAGGGAGAGCTGCTGGCTTGACCAGGGCACAGCCGGCAAAAGCCTCTACAAGACAGTCACCCACAGATATGCCCAAGAATCAGTACACAGTTTCCAACCAGAGATCTCCAAAATGAAACACTCAGGGCTACACATAGGAAAAGCACGCACACACACACACACACACATACACAGACACTTACTTTTGTGTCCTTCTGGCTATGCTGACGAGTTTTCCTGGTGAAGCCCGGGGCTCACAGAGTAATCTCTGCAGACAACTGTGGTTCTTGCCTCTGGTGCCTGCAGGAGGCAGGCATGTTGTGTCCTTCCAAGACAGATGGCTCAGGGCACTCTGGTAGGATTCACCAGGAAACTCATGGAGAAGGGAAAAGGGACAAGATTAGCAACAGTGAAGGGAGGGAGAATGGTGGGAGAGGATTCCAGATGAACGGTGGGTCGCTGGAGGCTGAGCATGCCAGCAGGATGTCAGTTCTCAGAGCAAAGCCCATGTCAAACAGCCAACGCTTGCTCCTTCTGTCCCCAGGATCACCTCCTCGCACGGGGAGCATCTCCTACATCAACATCATCATGCCTTCGGTGTTCGGCACCATCTGCCTCCTGGGCATCATCGGGAACTCCACGGTCATCTTCGCGGTCGTGAAGAAGTCCAAGCTGCACTGGTGCAACAACGTCCCCGACATCTTCATCATCAACCTCTCGGTAGTAGATCTCCTCTTTCTCCTGGGCATGCCCTTCATGATCCACCAGCTCATGGGCAATGGGGTGTGGCACTTTGGGGAGACCATGTGCACCCTCATCACGGCCATGGATGCCAATAGTCAGTTCACCAGCACCTACATCCTGACCGCCATGGCCATTGACCGCTACCTGGCCACTGTCCACCCCATCTCTTCCACGAAGTTCCGGAAGCCCTCTGTGGCCACCCTGGTGATCTGCCTCCTGTGGGCCCTCTCCTTCATCAGCATCACCCCTGTGTGGCTGTATGCCAGACTCATCCCCTTCCCAGGAGGTGCAGTGGGCTGCGGCATACGCCTGCCCAACCCAGACACTGACCTCTACTGGTTCACCCTGTACCAGTTTTTCCTGGCCTTTGCCCTGCCTTTTGTGGTCATCACAGCCGCATACGTGAGGATCCTGCAGCGCATGACGTCCTCAGTGGCCCCCGCCTCCCAGCGCAGCATCCGGCTGCGGACAAAGAGGGTGACCCGCACAGCCATCGCCATCTGTCTGGTCTTCTTTGTGTGCTGGGCACCCTACTATGTGCTACAGCTGACCCAGTTGTCCATCAGCCGCCCGACCCTCACCTTTGTCTACTTATACAATGCGGCCATCAGCTTGGGCTATGCCAACAGCTGCCTCAACCCCTTTGTGTACATCGTGCTCTGTGAGACGTTCCGCAAACGCTTGGTCCTGTCGGTGAAGCCTGCAGCCCAGGGGCAGCTTCGCGCTGTCAGCAACGCTCAGACGGCTGACGAGGAGAGGACAGAAAGCAAAGGCACCTGATACTTCCCCTGCCACCCTGCACACCTCCAAGTCAGGGCACCACAACACGCCACCGGGAGAGATGCTGAGAAAAACCCAAGACCGCTCGGGAAATGCAGGAAGGCCGGGTTGTGAGGGGTTGTTGCAATGAAATAAATACATTCCATGGGGCTCACACGTTGCTGGGGAGGCCTGGAGTCAGGTTTGGGGTTTTCAGATATCAGAAATCCCCTTGGGGGAGCAGGATGAGACCTTTGGATAGAACAGAAGCTGAGCAAGAGAACATGTTGGTTTGGATAACCGGTTGCACTATATCTGTGAGCTCTCAAATGTCTTCTTCCCAAGGCAAGAGGTGGAAGGGTACTGACTGGGTTTGTTTAAAGTCAGGCAGGGCTGGAGTGAGCAGCCAGGGCCATGTTGCACAAGGCCTGAGAGACGGGAAAGGGCCCGATCGCTCTTTCCCGCCTCTCACTGGTGCGATGGAAGGTGGCCTTTCTCCCAAGCTGGTGGATAATGAAAAATAAAGCATCCCATCTCTCGGCGTTCCAGCATCCTGTCAATTTCCCTTTTGCTCTAGAGGATGCATGTTTATTTGAGGGGATGTGGCACTGAGCCCACAGGAGTAAAAGCCCAGTTTGCTAGGAGGTCTGCTTACTGAAAACAAGGAGACCTGGGGTGGGTGTGGTTGGGGGTCTTAAAACTAATAAAAGCTGGGGTCGGGGGGCTTTTGCAGCTCTGGTGACATTCTCTCCACGGGGCACATTTGCTCAGTCACTAATCCAGCTTGAGTGTCCGTGTGTTCTGCATGTGCAGGGGTCATTCTAGTGCCCGGTGTGTTGGCATCATCTTTTTGCTCTAGCCCTTCCTCTCCAAAATAAAATCAAATAAAGGAAAATCTCCACCCACATCACTCTGGATGTTCTTGTGGACTTGGGGGTGGGTGTGGGCTGGGGCGGGGAAGGTGGGCAGCAGAAAAGAGAAAGAGGGGTCACTTGGTTGTGGAATTTAGATCTTGGTTCATGCTGCATTTTTAGGAAGCATGAAGCAGGGATCTGTTTTTCTGAACCCACAGGGAGGATTCAGTGGCATAAATGGAATTACTGGGGATTCATTAGATTTTGCAGTTCTGCTGCTGGGCTTGTTCTTGGGACTCAGCTTCCTGTCTTCTGCACAAAATCCCCTGGGCTTTGTTGTCATCAGTGATGAGTCCTCAGGCCCCAAGTCCCAACCCCCACTCCCCCGCCTCAACCCTCACCCCCGCTGAGTCACCAGCCGCAGAGCCAGCTCTTAGGGCAGCTGAAGCCTCTCTGCTTTCTACAGCTGAGATCTGGTGTGGGCACCTTGAACAGAAGATTACAGCCGGGGCCACTGGGAGGCAGCCACGACTGCTGCTTGGCTGCTGCTTCTTGGTGTCTTCACTGAGAGGGGACTGGGAGCCGTCAGTGCAGTGCTCAGCAGACCTTACTGAGAGAGCGGGAGAAAGCTGCAAGCATCCTGAAAGCAGGGGCAGCAGCACAGCCTGTTCCTCTTCAGAGCTGCAGCAGGGAGCCTCTTCAGAAAACTTCTGGGCAGCTTCCTTGGGTCCTGGGGACTTTTTTTTTGAGACAGAGTATCGCTCTGTCGCCCAGGCTGAAGTGCAGTGGTGTGATCTCTGCTCACTGCAAGCTCCGCCTCCCGGGTTCACACCATTCTCCTGCCTCAGCCTCCCGAGTAGCTGGGACTGCAGGCATCCGCCACCACGCCCGGCTAATTTTTGTATTTTTAGTAAAGACGGGGTTTCACCATGTTAGCCAGGATGGTCTCGATCTCCTAACCTCATGATCTGCCTGCCTCGGCCTCCCAAGGTGCTGAGACTGCAGGCGTAAGCCACCGTGCCCGGCTTTTTTTTTTTTTTTTTTTTTTGGACACAGGGCCTTGCCCTGTTGCCCAGGCTGTAGTGCAGGTGACATGATCACAGCTCACTGCAGCCTCGACCTCCCAGATTCAAGCAATCCTCCCACCTCAGCCTCCCAAGTAGCTGGGACCACAGGCGCACACCATCATGCCTGGCTAATTTTTTATATTTTGTAGAGACAGGATCTTGCCATGTTGCCCAGGCTGGTCTCAAACTCCTGGGCCCAAACAATCCTCCCACCTTGGCCTCGTGGAATGCTGGGATTACAGGCTTGAGCCACCACATCCGGCCCCTGGGGAGCTCTTTATCACAATCATTAGTATTTCCTGGCCTGTGTTCCCCTCCACCCAGCACCTGGGGAGTAAAGAAGCTGATGGTTATTTTCCTTACTCACTAACAGTAGGGTCTCCAGCTGCCACCCGTAACTTGAAATCTATTTTAGACGCACACTCAATAAAAGAAGATTCTGGCCAGGCGCGACGGCTCACACCTGTAATCCCAGCACTTTGGGAGGCCGAGGCAGGTGGATCACCTGAGGTCAGGAGTTCGAGACCAGCCTGGCCAACATGGTGAAACCTCATCTGTACTAAAAATACAAAAATTAGCCAGGCATGGTGGCACGTGCTTGTAGTCCCAGCTACTTGGGAGGCTGAGACAGGAGAACCACTTGAACCCAGGAGGCAGAGGTTGCAGTGAGCCGAGATTGCACCATTGCCCTCCAGCCTGGGCAACAAGAGCGAAAACTCCATTTAAAAAAAAAGAAAAAAAGAAAGAAAAAGAAAAAAGGATTCTTAGGGAAGCCTTGAGGCAAATCCAAAAAGACCCAATTCCTAGCCACAAACGTGATAAAAGGAGGTCTTCCTGCATCGGGTTTGTCTACTGGAAGGCTTCCCTGGGTGTCCATCAGCCCCAGCCCCTGCCTGCTCCTCACTCCCTCTCACCTTCCAGCACTCCAAGGAGGAATCCCAGAGAGGAAACAAGTGAGACGGCCTCTCCCAGGGAATGCACATCACCAAGTCAACAGCTCACAGTGGGTGGGTGGGTAGGCACACGCCCAGCGAAAGCCCCAGCAGCTCCTGGGGAAGGGGGCATCCTGTCCTTCAGCTCTTAACCCCACACTGAAACAACTGAAATGGAAGCAGAGTGGGTGGAGTCATGAAAGTGGGTGGGTAGCAATGTAAACCTTCCGGAGGGGAGAGGCGGAGGGGAGAGATGAGTTAGGGAGAACAGGTGGTCGAGGGGAGAAGTGGGGCAGGGAGGCTTAAAGGGTGGGGGATTACGATGGGAGCTGCCACCACCACATCTCTCCCCAGCCTGATTCCGCGGTAACCGGGACACACTTGCGATGTGGATGAGGGGAAGCACAGGCAGAGGTGAGCGCTGGGTTGCTGGCGAGGCATTTTCCTGACATCGCTGGTGGGGATGGTGGACCAAGTGCAGAGCTGGGGTCTGAGGCACGAGGGGAACTTTCTTTTCCTCTTCCTTAAGCCTGGGGATGTGGCCAGAACCTTGGGGAGCTGTGGAGGCCACTGTGAGCTGCAGACAGAGTCCAAGAAGCGGGTGAAGACCCTGCGGTCCATCTCTTTGCTCCTTTCCCTCTTCCCACATTTAACAATTAGTTTCTCCCATGGGGGCCCCATCAAGTCATCTCCTCAAACCTGGCCAGTGCTTCATCCACTGCTGCCTTATCTTCTCCCCAGAAAATACTTCTTCCCCAACTGTGAGGATTATGCTCCGAAACTACCCCCCAGCACCTGGTAGACTTTCACAGCTGAGAGACATTGACCTCAAAGTTTAGGTTGCAAGTGAGTCCACAGAACCACTTCCGCACATTGCTGTTCACAAGAGAAGCAAGAAGAGCACCAAACACGGCAACTGGCATTGGGTTTGTGTTTGCTTGTTCCTTTCTGAATCATCAGTTTTCATTTAATTAATTAACTTATTTTTATTTATCTATTTATTTTGAGACAAGATCTGGCTCTGTTGCCCAGGCTGGAGTACAGCGGTGTGATCTCAGCTCACTGCAGCCTCGACCTCCTGGACTCAAGCAATCCTCCCCCAACTTCAGCCTTCCAAGTAGCTGGGACTACAGGTGCATGTCACTATGCCCAGCTATTTTTTGTTTTGTTTTGGTGGAGACGGGGTTCCACCATGTTGCCCAGGCTGGTCTTGAACTCCTGAGCTCAAGCAATCTGCCCACCTCAGAGTCCCAAAGGGCTGGGATTACAGGTGTGACCCACTGTACCTGGCCTAATATACATATTTATTTATTTATTTATTTATTTATTTTTATTTATTTTTGAGACAGAGTCTCGCTCTGATGCCCAGGCTGGAGTGCAGTGGTGCAATCTCAGCTCACTGCAATCTCTGCCTCCAGGGTTCAAGCAATTCTCCTGCCTCAGCCTTCTGAGTAGCTGGGATCACAGGCATGCGCCACTACGCCTGGCTAATTTTTGTAGTTTTGGTAGAGACAGGGTTTCACACTGTTGACCAGGCTGGTCTTGAACTCCTGACCTCAGGTGATCTGCCCACCTTGGCCTTCCAAAGTGTGGGATTACAGGCAAGAGCCACCACGCCCGGCCTCTTTTTTATTGTGGTAAAATACACCTAACATAAAATTTACTATTTTAACAATTTCAAGTGTACAATTCAGTGGCATGAAATACATTCACGTTAATGCGCAGCTCTCACCACCATCTATCTCCAGAACTTTTCCATCTTCCCAAACTGAAATTCCATACCAATTAAACACCAACTGGCCATTCCTCTGTCCCCATAACTCCCAGCAACCACCGGGCTACTTTCTGTCTCTGGATTTGACTGCTCTAGGAACCTCATATAAGTAGAATCACACAGAATTTGTTCTTTCGTGACTGGCTTATTTCACTTGGCATAATGTCCTCAAGGTTCATCCACGTTGTCATATGTGTCAGAATCTTCCTCCTTTTAAAGGATGAATGAATATTCCATTGTATGTGTATACCACATTTTGTTTATCCATTCATCTGTTGTTTCTACCTTTTGGCTATTGTGAACCTGACTGCACAACTATCTGTTGGAGTCAGTGCTTTCCATTCTTTTCAGCATATACCCATAAGAATTGCCAGATCAGGCCGGGCACGGTGGCTCAGGCCTGTAATCCCAGCACTTTGGGAGGCCGAGGCAGGCAGATCACGAGGTCAGGAGATCGAGACCATCCTGGCTAACACGGTGAAACCCCGTCTCTACTAAAAATACAAAAAATTAGCCAGGCATGGTGGCGGGTGCCTGTGGTTCCAGCTACTCGGGATGCTGAGGCAGGAGAATGGCGTGAACCTGGGAGGTGGAGCTTGCAGTGAGCTGAGATTGTGCCACTGCACCCCAACCTGGGCGACAGAGTGAGACTCCATTTCAAAAAAAAAAAAATTAGCTAGGCATGGTGGCGGGTGCCTGTAGTCCCAGCTACTTGGGAGGCTGAGGCAGGAGAATCACTTGAATCTGGGAGGTGGAGTTTGCAGTGAGCTGAGATTGCACCATTGCACTCCAGCCTGGGCGACAGAGTGAGACTTCATCTCAAAAACAAAACAAAACAAAACAAACAAAAAAAAAGCCAGATCAGGGGCCGGGCACAGTGGTTTATGCCTGTAATCCCAGCACTTTGGGAGGCCAAGGCAGGAGGATCGCCTAAGCTCAGGAGTTCGAGACCAGCCTGGCCAACATGGTGAAACCTCATCTCTACTAAAAATACAAAAATTAGACAGGCATGGTGGCACATGCCTGTAATCCCAGCTTGGGAGGCTGAGGCAGGAGAATCACTTGAATCTGGGAGGTGGAGGTTGCAGTAAACAGAGATCATGCCACTCATACTAGCCTGGGCTGCAGAGTGAGACTCTGTCTCAAAAAAAAAAAAAAAAAAAAAAAAAAAAGGAAAAAATAATTGTCATATCATATGGTAGTTCTATTTTCAATTTTTTGAGAAACTGCCATAGTGGCTGTACCATGTTACATTCCCATCAACAATGTGCAAGTGTTCCCATTTCTCCACATCCTCATCAACACTTACTTTCTTTTTCTTTTTAAAATAAAAGACATTCTAATGCGCCTCAAGTGGTTTCATTGTGATTTTGATTCGCATTTCCCTAATGATTAGCAATGTTGAGCATCTGGTCATGTGCTTCCTGACTATTTGTATTTCTTCTTTGGAGAAATGTCTATTCAAGTCTTTTGCCCATTTTTAAAATTGGGTTGTTCTTTTGTTATTGTTAGCAACTATATTTTACTCAATTCAAACTAGTAATAACTGGTTCTGCATGACTTGTTACTAAGAAAAATAAAAATAAATGTCAAAAAATTAAGCTCCTTCTCCTCTGCAGTTCAATAAATTACTTTTTTCTTTTTCTAAATTGAGCACTGGGATGGAGAACCACTTGTTCCTCAAACCTCTTCTTCCTCCCATACCTATGATCTGTAATAAGTCAAACTGACCCAGTAGCTGGAGCTGAGGAGATCAGAAAAAAGCAAGGCAGCAAAACAGTGATGGACAACTGTTCCCAGACCAAACCGAGGGTCGGGCTGCTTATTCTTGCGGCACAATAACGAGATGTGGATGAACTGGGAAAGAAGGAAGTTTTTATTTCTGTAACCAGTTTTAGGGAGAAGGCCTGGAAAATATTGTGAGACCAACTCTTAAATTACAAAGCTTTCCAGAGCTTACGTACCTCCTAAGCTGTATGTCTACGTGTAGGTGTGCATTCTTCTAAAAACATATATAGTGATCAACTCTTTTTTTTTTTTTTTTTTCTTTTTGAGACAGAGTCTTGCTCTGTCGCCCAGGCTGGAGTGCAGTGGTGCGATCTCGGCTCACTGCAAACTCCGCCTCCTGGGTTCAAGCAATTCTCCTGCCTCAGCCTCCTGAGTAGCTGGGATTACAGGCGCCCGCCACCACACCCAGCTAATTTTTTTGTATTTTTAGTAGAGACAGGGTTTCACCATGTTGGTCAGGCTGGTCTCGAACCCCTGACCTCTTGATCCACCCGCCTTGGCCTCCCAAAGTGCTGGGATTATAAGCATGAGCCACCGTGCCCGGCACTCTTTTTTTTTTTCTTTTTTTTGAGATGGAGTTTCGCTCTTGTCTCCCAGGCTGGAGTGTAGTGGTGCGATCTCAGCTCACTGCAACCTCCACCTCCCGGGTTCAAGCAGTTCTCCTGCCTCAGCCTCCTGAGTAGCTGGGATTACAGGTGCGTGCCACCACACCCGGCTAATTTTTTTCTTTTTTGTATTTTTAGTAGAGATGGGTGTTTTACCATGTTGGTCAGGCTGGTCTTGAACTCCTGACCTCGTGATCCGCCTGCCTACAGCCTCCCAAAGTGCTGGGATTACAGGCGTGAGCCACCGCGCCCAGCCCTGATTAACTTATTTTAATCTATAACTAAGGTCTAAGTCCTGAAGACCTTCCTCTGGAGCCTCAGTAAATTTACTTAATCTAAATGGGTCCAAGTGCGAGGTGATTACCCTTATCTTGTCTCCTGCTAAATCATGGAGGTTTGGGGAGTTCCTTCAGACCCCTAGTAAACTTGTTTGTGGAGGCCTGGGGTGTTTCTTCAGACCCACAATAAAATTTGTTTAATCCTAAATGGGTCCTGTTAAGAATTCCTTCATTATTTTGTCATGCTTTAAGGCCCAGGAAAGGCCTAGGCAAAACTCTTGGTGAACTTTTGTTACATTCCAGCCTTTGTATAAGCACACTGGCTCTTTCAGCAATTTTTTATTTTTTTATTTTTATTTTTATTTTTATTTTTTTTTTGAGACAAGAGTCTTGCTCTGTCACCCACAGCTGGAGTGCAATGGTGAGATCTTGGCTCACTGCAATTGCCGCCTCCTAGGTTCAAGAGATTCTCCTGCCTCAGCCTCTAGAGTAGCTGAGATTACAGGTGCGTGCCACCATGCCCAGCTAATTTTTATATTTTTAGTAGAGACGATGTTTCACTATGTTGGCCAGGCTGGTCTCGAACTCCTGACCTCAGGTGATCAACCTGCTTTGGCCTCCCAAAGTGCTGGGATTACAGGTGTGAGCCACTGCGCTCAGCCATCTTTTAATATTTAACTTAACCACTCAGTCAGTACTGAAACTGTTGTTATGGAGGCCTGCATGAGTGGGACCTGGCCTGCCACACAACCTCACTGGAGTACACCAACCTCAGATCTAATCCTGAGGACAGCCGAGGGAGGAACCTTCCAGATGGTCAGACATGGGATGGATAAGCCACTCACTTAATTCTCTGCAAAGCTGTCTCCTCCATTTGTGATGAATGGTGGTGATCTTGGACTACACAGAAGGGCAACACCCAAAAGAAAAGAGTCACTGCTCCCTCTTGAATCCGTCAAAGCAGATCGGGCTTCCATCCCCCGGCTGCCTCTCTTCGAAGCTTTCTCCTCTCAGGGCTCTCCCCGTCAGAGATCCTGTGCCCCTTCTCTCCCCAGAAAGGCAGGGAAATCCCTAGACTTGCACCTCGATATCACCTAGCTCAGGGGGTGTAAAATCAGGATGATTAAATGAGATGTTGCAAGTGTAACCCAAGTGCTCCCAGGGACACCTTAACCGGAAATAACATTCATATAAACCCACTTAAGTCTCCATCCTGCGAGGCGATGGGCCAGCCAGTGCCTTCCCAAATATCTCTGTGTGGTTACCTGCTGCCTCGGGCTCAGGTCATTGCTTGGCTGGTCACTACCTCTCCAAGCTGCTCTACCTCTCTGCAGGTGCTTCCCCCCAAGGCAGCCAGTGCTAGTGCAAGCCCGAGGCTGGGGCTGGGGATTGTCAAAGCAGGGAAGGTGGGGGGCGGGTGACAGTCCAGAATCGGATAGCACTGGAGTTGGCTGGCAGTCCTCACAATCCCTGCAGTCTGCCTGTTGCATTCTGTCATTGTGGGGAGAGGCCATCCTGCCCTCCCAGGCCTGGCCTGCTGTCCCAGGTCCGAGCCATAGACACTGGGTGAGACCCCTTTTCCCATTTCCCATTTCCTCTCTCCTCCCAGTTCCAGGATCTCCAAAACTCCCCTCTTCTGGCTAACCTGGAGAAAATCCACAATTCAGTGTACAAGGCAAAATAGTTCATGCCAAGGAAGACGCCCCTTCACTGTATTACGCACCACAGCGTATTCCTCTGTGCCTCAGTCTCTCTTACTGGCGAAAGGGGGAGAAGAGACGCTTTATCTTTGCACACCACCCTCAAAAAAAACCTGTTAAATGCTTGTCCAACAAAAGTATTAGTAATTTTTCTGGCTGAGCATGGTGGCTCACTCCTGTAATCCTGGCACTTTGGGAGGCTGAGATGGGTGGATTGCATAAGTTCAGGAATTCAAGACCAGTCTGGGCAACATGGCAAAACCCCGTCTCTACGAAAAATACAGAAATTAGTTGGGCATGGTGAGAGCATGCCTGTAGACCCAGCTACTTGGGAGGCTGAGGTGGGGGGAGGATCACTTGAGCCCAGGAGATAAAGGCTGCAGTGAGCTGAGATTGCACCACTGCCTTCCAACCTAGGCAACAGAGTGAGAGCTTGTATCAAAAAAAAAAAAAAAAAAAAAAAAAAAAAAGAAAGAAAAGAAAAAAGAAAAAGAAAAAGTATTAGTAATCTTCTAACAGAAGTTCTGTCCAGGATCTTTAGAGTATAGAGTAGAATCCAACATTTGGCTGCTGAGAAGTTCATCCAACCCACAGATGTGGTTTTTTGTTTTTCTCTTGCATGGTATAAAAAAGATTGTGAATTAGTTGCCAGCTTTTGAATCCATAGCTTTACTTAAAAATCTGGGTGACCAGCTTCCCTTGAAATATCAGAAGATCTGGCTACAGGGTTTACCTTCCCATGTGCCAACAGTCTGCTGGATGCAAGAAGCTACACTCTTAGGCAGTCATGCACTCCCCAGTTTGCCACAGTCTCCACTCCTCCCTATTGTCCCCTTGACTCAGCCAGCTTTATTTACTTAAGTCACTTGCCTGTACCATACAGACATTTAATTTCATATCCCTGGGTCCAGCTCATCAAATAGAGCTTTGTGAACCACATCAATGATTTTGGATTTTATACCAAAGCCAAGAGAAATCATCAAAAGGCTTTCCACATAGGAATGATATTGTTACTGGATAGAAGGTCTTGACTGTAAGTTGTCCAGATTCTTGGCACATTGAACAAAGAATTAAACAAAACACACAAAGCAATGAAAGAACGAAGCAACAAAAGAAGAAACAAGCAACGAAAGCGCAGATTTATTGACGTGAAAGTACAGAGCGTGAGCCGGCTCAAGCAAGTGGGTTAAAAGTCCCGATTACAATGTTCTTTAGGGTTTTTATTAAGCTAAAAGAATTTGGTGGCTGGGCGCGGTGTCTCACGCCTGTAATCCCGGGACTTTGGGAGGCCAAGGCGGCCAGATTACCTGAGATTGGGAGTTCAAGACCAGCCTGGCCAACATGGTGAAACCCGGTCTCTACTAAAAATGCAAAATTAGCTGGGCGTGGTGGCACATGCCTATAATCCCAGCTACTCCAGAGGCTGAGGCAGGAGAATCGCTTGAACCAAGGAGTTGGAGGTTGTGGTGAGCCAAGATCTCGCCATTGCGCTCCAGCCTGGGCAACAAGAGCGAAACTCCGTCTCAAAAAAAAAAAAAAAAAAAGAAAAAGAAAAGAAAAAAAGAATTTGGTAACACCCCTAGGTGCCCTTTAGAGGCCTCCAGTTGGTTACACCTTATGAAGGATTGGCCCACGACCAATCAGAGGCTGAAGTGGAAACTTCTGTCTTGTTATCATAGGAGTGAGGGTGCGGCCTGTGTGCAGCCCAGTCTTGCCTAGAACTGGCTGCATCTGCTGTTCTTTTGCTTATGCCTTAACCCATGGTTACCCTAATTCCCTATTATCCTGCCTCAATATGATTAGATTTTCATCCTTAAATCATCACTATAGATTCTGTATAGAGAATGGGATAGAAGCAGGTGGAAAATGAAAGCAAGGAGACCCACCGACCCTGGAGACCAGGCGACCCTGTACAGCAGCAATGGTAACGGCCTGGATTAGGGTGGTGGCAGTGGAGGCGGCGAGAGGTGGACACATATGAGATGTGTTTGTAAAGGAGAAGCCACAGACATTGGGAAGAGCTGGATGTGGAGGGTGAAGTGGAATGTGTTGATGGCACGTGTGATGGAGGATGGAGGGGCCATTGATTGAAATAGGGAAACTGAAGGGGAATCAGATTTGTGGGAGGAGATTTATTTATTTATTTATTTATTTATTTATTTGAGACCGAGTCTCGCTGTATTGGCAGGCTGGAGTGCAGTGGCACGATCTCGGCTCACTGCAACCTCCGCCTCCCGGGTTCAAGCAATTCTCCTGCCTCAGCCTCCCGAGTAGCGGAGACTACAGGCGCCCGCTTCCACACCCGGCTAATTTTTTGTATTGTTAGTAGAGACGGGGTTTCACCATGTTAGCCAGGATGGTCTCGATCTCCTGACCTCATGATCCGCCTGCCTTGGCCTCCCAAAGTGCTGGGATTACAGACGTGCGCCACTACACCTGGCGCAACTGCCTCTTTTAGGGGAAGCAAATGCTCCCTAGTTTGCCACAATCGCCACCACTCCCTATGGTAACACTTGGCCTGAATCACTCCCTTATCCTTGTCTGACATTTATACTTGCGATTTTGGCCTGGAGCAATAAGTACTATTTGTAGCATGATTTTAAAAGGGTGATTTTTTTTTCTCCCTACTAAACATGGACAGCACTTAATACTATGCCTAAAGCACTTAATAAATGTTAGTTTTTTATGTTTCTCTGTTTTTTGTTTTTTTGTTTTTTGAGATGGAGTCTCGCTCTGTCACCCAGGCTGGAGTGCAATGGCTCGATCTCAGCTCACTGCAACCTCCGCCTCCTGGATTTAAGTGATTCTTCTGCCTCAGCCTCCTGTGTAGCTGCGATTACAGTCACCTGCCACCACGCCCGGGTAATTTTTGTATTTTTAGTAGAGACAGGGTTTCGCCATGTTGGCCAGGCTGGTCTCGAATTTCTGACCTCAAGTGATCCTCCCACTTCGGCCTCCCAAAGTGCTGGGATTACAGGTGTGAGCCACCACTCCTGGCCTAAATATTAGTTTTTAATTCTCTCTCTCTTTCCAGGCCTGTCCTCCATTAACCCCCATGGGATGCTCTGGAATCTTTTCCTTCTTCTCTGGTTGATTGTAATAACTTAAAAGCCCTGTCCCTACCCTGCCGTTTTTTCCACCTGACTTGGCCTCCACTCCGATGGCCTCCTTGAGTCCTCCCCACCTTCCACTCCAGCTTGGTTCTCTGTCTCTCCATGAAGCCCTCCCAGCCTCATCAATCCTCAAATGAATCCATCATTTTCTGGATTCCCTACAAACCTTCCTAGCTCTGCCACTTATTAGAAGATTAATCTTGCCCTATCATGTAATTTGGATTTTTTTTTATTTTTTTTTATTTTTAATGTACTATTGCCTTGTCTCTCCTAAGTCCATTGTGAGCTTGTGGTTAGGGAGGTGTATTTCTTCATATCTCAGCAGCTTTCACGCATTGCTTTGAACACAGCAGGTACTCACTACATAGTGGTTGATTGATACCTTGTTCACACCTCCCTAGAAGTGGACACCTATTGTCTTGCCTGCCAAACCCATCTTCCTTCTCTGGAAGCTGTTCCCTGTCTCTCTACCCCGCTCTCCCCCATCCTCATTGTAACGATGGAAGACTTCCTTCTCTACAGCCCCCGCCCCGCCATGCACGTCTCTCTCAGCTCCAGAGAGGAAGCTACAGTGTCTCACCAAGCTCTTGGAGGAGAGCAGCAGTTACAGCCAACATTTATTGAACATGTGCCAGAGACTGTTCCAGATGGTACATAAACTCTTAATTCAAGCTCATTAAACCCTGACAAGATCCCTACAAGGCAGGCAATATTTTTATCCCCATTTTACACAGGAGGAGACCAAGGCAGAGGCCTCCCGGCTGCTGCGTCTCCCATGCAGTACATAGGTTTATCACACTCCAATCTCTCTCTTCCTCTGTCACCATCAAATCCCCACTTTATTCTCCTGCCAGCCACTTCCACAGCACAGTCCAGACTGTTTCCCAGCTCCGTGTCTTGCCTTGTGCAGTTCCCCTCACCTGGGAATACTATGCCCCGCCTTTTTTTGTCTGAGTGACTCCTTAATCTTTAAGACTTAGGTCCGTCATTGCCTCTTCCAGGAAGCCCTCCTTGCACAACCTCTTGGCTCTCAGGTGGGGGGAATCGGTACCATCTCTCCATCACACTTTATTTATTTTTCTTTTCTTTTCTTTTCTTTTTTTTTTTTTTTTTGAGACGGAGTCTCACCCTGTCACCCAGGCTGGAGTGCAATGGGGCGATCTCAGCTCACTGCAACCTCCGCCTCCCGGGTTCACACGATTCTCTTGCCTCAGGTTCTGGAGTAGCTGAGATTACAGGCTCCTGCCACCATGCCCAGCTAATTTTTGTATTTTTAGTAGAGACGGGGTTTCACCATGTTGGCCAGGCTGGTCTCGATCTCCTGACCTTGTGATCCTCCCACCTCAGCCTCCCAAAGTGCTCGGATTACAGGCGTGAGCCACCGTGCCCAGCCTATTTGTTTATTTATTATTTATTTATTTTTGAGACAGAGTCTTGTTCTGTCACCCAGGCTGGAGTGCAGTGGCATGATCTCAGCTCACTGCAACCTCCTCCTTCCGGGTTCAAGCAATTATCCTGCCTCAGCCTCCCTAGTAAGTGGGATTACAGGCGTGCACCACTACACCCGGCTAATTTTCTTTCATTTTTAGTAGAGACGGGGTTTCACCGTGTTGGCCAGGCTGATCTCGAACTGACCTCGAGTGATCTGCCCGCCTCGGCCTCCCAAAGTGCTGGGATTACAGGCATGAGCCACCGCGCCTGGTCCCCCTTTTTTTTTTTTTTGAGATGGAGTCTTGCCCAGAGCGAGACTAAAGCATGCAGTGGCATGATCTCGGCTCACTGCCACCTCAGCCTCCCAAAGTGCTGGGATTACAGGCATAAGCCACCGGTAATCACGACCCATCACACTTTAATAATAATGCCCTGGGCTTCCCTCTGGAGTCGTGCTCACCGCATTGCAATTGGACACTTTGTTGACTTATTTGTGCCTCCATAGACTCCAGGCTCCATGAAGACATGGACCTCAGGGCTCAGCCCCCAGCCTGATGCAAAGGAACCTCAGAGTTTTTCCCAAATCCAATGTCCCAGCTGATGCTGCCAGTGGAGAAACCATGCCTCTTATGCCAGCATCAAAGAAACGCAGAGACGCCAGAGCAGTGGAGAGCTTCCATCCAACAAACTGAATACTCATGAGGCACACAGTTACTGGGAGAAAAGTGGCAGCATTGGACAGACAATGGCAAGAGTTGTCAGGGATGTGCAGAAATGGGAACCCTCAGACACGGCTCATGGGAATGTCAAATAGCGCAGCCACTGTAGAAAACAGTTTAGCAGTTTCAAAATGTTAAATATAGAGCTACTATAGAATGCAGCACTTCCAATCCTACAAGGCGGGCAATACTACAAGGCAGGCAATCCTACAACGCAGGCAGGCATTACAGACTCTACTGCATTTTTACAATGTGAACTTTCCATTCCTTTCTTGAACTCTGTTCCTGCCTCTTCCTCACAATCTATTACACAGCTTTCAGGGGCATCAAAGACTGAAACGCTATCTTCTTCTATTTGAAATGGTTCCAAAGTTGCTTTAATAATGGCCCAATCATTCCATACTGTAAGTGGGATGATTTTACCTTCCCTACTTGCTTGTTTTAATTCTTTGCCAATTTTTTCCCAGTCTTTTAAATCTAAAGTTCCCTGTTCTGGAAACCATGGGCAGAATTGTTCTATTGTTTGAAATAGCGTAATTATATTTTCTGTAGAAGCTTTAACTCCCCCTCTTCTGATGGAGATATATACCCAAGAGAATTGAAAATATATCCACACAACAACTTGTACACAAAGGTTTATAGAAGCATTATTCATAATTACCGAAAGGTGGAGACGGCCGGGCGCAGTGCCTCACACCTGTAATCCCAGCAATTTGGGAGGCCAAGGCAGGCAGATCACGAGGTCAGGACTTTGAGACCAGCCTGGCCAACATGGTGAAACCCTGTCTCTACCAAAAATACAAAAATTAGCTGGGTGTGGTGGCACATGCCTGTAATCCCAGCTACTCGGGAGGCTGAGGCATGAGAATCGCTTGAACCCAGGAGGCAGAGGTTGCAGTGAGCCGAGATCGCATCACCGCACTCCAGCCTGGCGACAGAGCGAGACTCTGTCTCAAAAAAAAAAAAAAAAAAAAAAGTGGAGGCATCTACAAGTCCCTCAACTAATTAATAGACAAATAAAATGCAGTAAATCTATGCAATGGAATTATTCAGCCACAAAATAAAGTACTGATACATGCTACAACACACATGAACCTTGAAAATATGCTAAATAAAAGCCAGTCACAAAAGATCTCATATTGTGTAATTCCATGTACATAAAATGTCCAGAATAGGCTGGGCATGGTGGCTCACGCCTGTAATCCCAGCAGTTTGGGAGGCTGAGGCGGGAGGATCACTTCTGGCCAGGAGTTTGAGACCAGCTTGGGCAACATAGCAAAACCCCATCTCTACAAAAAAAATTAAAAATTAGCCAGGTGTGGTGGTGCACACTTGTAGACCCAACTCCTTGGGAGGCTGAGGCACAAAGGATCGCTGGAGTCCAGGAGTTTGAGGCTGCAGTGAGCTATGATCATACCACTGCACTTCCAGCCTGGGTGACAGAGCAAGACCCAGTATCTCTCTCTCAAAAAAAAAAAAAAAAAAAAAAAAAAGTCCAGAATAAGCAAATCCATAGAGATATCAAGTAGGTTAGTAGTTGCCAGAAGCTGAGGGGAGGGAGAGATGGGGAGCGACTGTTAACAGGTACAGGATTTCTTTCAGGGGTGATACAAATGTTGTGGAATGAGATCGTGGTGATGGTTGTACATCTTTGTGAATATACCAAAAATCACTGAATCATACACTTTAAAAGTATGTGAATAAAGAATTCACACACTTTATGGTATGTGAATAAAGAATTCACATACTTTATGGTATGTGAATTTTATCTCCATTTTAAAAAGTGTCAGAGCATGCAGAGCTGAGGAAGGCAGAGACTGTGAGGGAGGTGACGGGGCGAAGAGAGCAGTAATGACCATAATAACCAGGATGGCTAACAGTCAGCAAGTGCTGGCTATACATCAGGCACCAGGCTAAGTAGTTTACACAAATTATCCTACTTAATCCCCACAACAACTCTCTAAAGCAGGATCTAATAGTACCCTCATTTTATAAATGGGGAAATTGAGACCCTAGAAAGGGTAAGTGACCTATCAATGGTGCACCTGCAAAGTGGCTGAACCAAAGGTGGTCTATGGCCAAAGCTGCGCCACAGCACAACGCTGCCTTGTGCAAATGACCACACACAGGACAGAATGTAAAAGGCAGAGTCAAGGTTACAAGGTGCTGGGAGAGGCAGAAGAAGTCTTCATATCCCACTGGGGATCCAGGACATTGGAAAAGGATTTTGAAGGGTAGATAGGACTTGGACAAGCAGAGATAGAGAAGAGCAAGTTTTAGACAAGTGGCAATAACTTGAGCAAGTAGGTAAAAGTGGGAAGGTTGGGTGTGTTTATACCAGGTACCATGGCTCATGCTTGTAATCTCAGCATTTTGCGAGGCCGAGGTGGGCAGATCGCTTAAGCCCAAGAGTTTGAGACCAGCCTGGGCAACAAAGCAAGATCCGGTTTCTACGAAAGAAACAAAATAAAATTTAACCAGGTGTGGTGGCATATGGCTGTGGCCCCAGCTACTTGGAAGGCTGAGGCAGGAGGATCACCTGAGCCTGGGAGGTGGATGCTACAGTGAGCTGTGACTGTGACATTGCACTCCAGCCTGGGTGACAGAGTGAGACCTTGTCTCAAAAACAAACAAAAAACAAAAAAACCCACACACATTTTTTTTGGTGAAATTATGGGTGGCCACCTAACATGCATGTCCCCTTCCTCTTGACTACCAGAACCCCCAGGCGATGGACCATGAGTAGTCTAAGCCCTATCAGGACAATCCAGCCTCCAGGGTTCCCTGCCTTCATTGCAACTAAGAGTGATCCACAGGACCTAAGCAGAGAACTACTGTGGGAACTTCTGGAAAAAGGTTTTCTTTTCTCTCTCTCTTTTTTTTTTTTTTTTTGAGAGAGAGTTTCACTCTTGTCACCCAGGCTGGAGTGCAATGGCACGATCTCGACTCACTGCAACCTCCACCTCCCAGGTTCAAGCAATTCTCCTGCCTCAGCCTCCCAAGTAGCTGGAATTACAGACGCCTGCCACCACGCGCAGCTAATTTTTTGTATTTTTAGTAGAGACGGGGTTTCACCGTATTGGCCAGGCTGGTCTTGAACTCCTGATCTCAGGTGATCCGCCCACCTCGGCCTCCCAAAGTGCTGGGATTACAGGCATGAGCCACTGTGCCTGTCTCAGAAAAAGGTTTTCTTTCCTCATAAAAGAAAACAGATAAGGTTGGTACTAGCCGGGCTCTTCCTCCTTTCTCCCTGTCTTGAATGCAGACGCAACGTCTGAAGGTGCACATATTGTCTTGGGACCCTAAGAATACAAACCGAAATACTAAGGTTGATGAGGCAAGAAGGCAAAGAACAGGGGTACTGGCCGGGCGTGGTGGCTCACACCTGTAATCCCAGCACTTTGGGAGGCCGAGGCAGATGGATCACCTGAGGTCAAGAGTTTAAGACCAGCCTGGCCAACATGGGGAAACCCTGTCTCTCCTAAAAAATTCAAAAATTAGCCGGGTGTGGTGGTAGGCGCCTGTAATCCCAGCTACTCGGGAGACTGAGGCAAGGAAAATTGCTTGAACCGGGAGATGGAGGTTGCAGTGAGCCAAGATCACACTACTGCACTCTAGCCTGGGCGACGCAGCAAGACTCTGTCTCAAAAAAAAAAAAAAAAAAAAAAAGAACAGGGTACCCAAGGCATCACTGATTTGTGGAACAAACACCATCTTCTAGACTTCCTGTTGTGCAAGAAAAATAAATCTGTATTTGTTTAAGCAACTTTTCTGTTAATTGCCAGTCAAAGGCAACCCCTAACTTACACAGAAGTGGTAAATATACTACTTTGGCTGGGGTGCAATAAACTTGCCTCTTATTCTTCCTCTAATTATTCCATTAGATAAACTCTTAGCAGTGGAATTAAATCTAATCAAATGGTATAGTGGACATTCAGTTTTGTCTTCCTAGACTCCATAACCCATTCCTGACAATATCCTGAACTTCCAACCTTGTGGTTTAGAAAGTACTGACTTCATCCCAGCTCCAGGGATGGGCCCTCACTGGCTTTAACCAATCACCTCAGCCTCCCAAGTAGCTGGGACTACAAGCATATACCACCACCCCTGTCTAATTTATTTTAAAAGCTATTTGAAGTGTGTTTTCTGTTACTTGAAATGAGGATGCCCTAAGTGTTAAGAAAGTTATAAACATTTTTAGGATCAGGTCGGTGTATTGGTGCTGTGGACTGAATTGTGTCCTCTAAAAATTCCTAGGTTGAAGCTGAAGGAGTGAAGTATGTGCCATCCCAAAATATGCCAAATTGGTATGTTGATTATTTCGTTGAAAACATTGGAGGGGCCAGGCGTGAGTGCCTGTAATCCCAGCGCTTTGGGAGACAAAGGCAGGAGGATCACTTGAGCTCAGGAGTTCGAGGCCAGCCTGGGCAACAAAGTGAAACCCTTTCTCTATATTAACAACAACAAAAAAAGACACCTGTAATCCCAGCACTTTGGGAGGCCAAGGCAGGTGGATCACCTGAGCTCAGGAGTTGGAGACCAGCCTGGCCAACATGGTGAAACCCCGTCTCTACTAAAAAATACAAAAATTAGCTGGGCATGGTGGCATGCACCTGTAATCCCAGCTATTCTGGAGGCTGAGGCAGGAGAACCACTTGAACCCAGCAGGCGGAGGTTGCAGTGAGCCAAGATCATGCCACTGCACTCCAGCCTGGGCAACAGAGTGAGACTGTCTCAAGAAAAAAAAAAAAAGAAAAAAAAAGAAAACTTTGGAGAAAATGTGGTTTCAGAAAGGGTGAGCTGACCTGTCTCTTCCTGCATGCAGCAAGCCATAAGGATTCCTCTGGGAGGGGTACACTCCCCTTATCAGGGGGGTGAAAATATCCCTTATCACCAGAGACTGGAAGTTGGGGGCTGCAGTGCAGTGGACCTGAACAACTATACTTCATGAAGTAACCTTTATTTTCTTTTCCTTTTTTTTTTTTTTTGAGACAGAATCTGTCTCACCCAGGCTGGAGTGCAATGGCACAATCTCGGCTCACTGCAACCTCTGCCTCCCGGGTTTAAGAGATTCTCCTGCCTCAGCCTCCCGCGTAGCTGGGATTACAGGCATGCACCAACAGGCCTGGCTAATTTTTGTACTTTTAGTAGAGATGGGGTTTCACCATTTTGGCCAGGCTGGTCTCAAACTCCTGACCTCAGATGATCCGCCTGCCTCGGCCTGCCAGAGTGCTGGGATTACAGGTATGAGCCACTGCACCTGGCGCCCGAAATGACCTTTCTATTCTGCTGGTTGTATACCCTCCCATACATCTCCCGGTGACTCCCTTAGAAATTTACTGCCCGTAACCAGATCCCTTTTGCCCTGTTATTTCTTCTCAAATGTATTGTTCTTTGTCGAAAAAGTATAAATGCATCTTACTTTGGCCACTTCTTCAGACTTCACTCTTGTGAAGATCCCTGTGTACATGGAAAACTAATAAAGCTTATATGCTTTTATCTTGCTACTCTGCCTTGTGTCAATTTGGTCTCTAGATATAGCTGAGAGCCCACATAAGAGGCACATGAGGTTGGAGGTGATCTCTCACTCTGCTGCAAAACAAAGCCCTAACCCCCAAATGTGTTAGTATCTGGAGATGGAGTCTTTGGGAAGCGATCCGGTTTAGAGGAAGTCTTGAGGGTGTGGCCCTTATAAGAAGAGACATCAGAAAGCTTGCTTCCCCTCTGCCTCTCTCCACCTGCACACTTCTGTGAGGATACAGAAGACTGATGTCTGCAAGCCAGAAAGAGTCTTTTATTTATTTATTTATTTTTGAGATGGAGTCTCACTCTGTCACCCAGGCTGGAGTGCAGTGGCACAATTTCAGCTCACTATACTTTCTGAAGTAACCTTTCTTTTTTTTTTTGAGACAGAATCTCCCTCTTTCGCCCAGGCTGGAGGGCAATGGCGCAATCTCGGCTCACTGCAACCTCCACCTCCCGGGTTCAAGCGATTCTCCTGCCTCGGCCACCTGAGTAGCTAGGATTACAGGTGCCCACAACCAAGCCCAGCTAAATTTTGTATTTTTAGTAGAGATGGGGTTTCACCATGTTGGCCAGGCTGGTCTTGAACTCCTGACCTCAGGTGATCCGCCCACCTCGGCCTCCCAAAGTGCTGGGATTACAGGCATGAACCACCACACCCGGCCAAGTCTGGCCAGGAAGAGAATCCTCAGCAGGAATGCAATTGGCTGGCACTTTGATCTGGGACTTCCCAGCCTCCAGAATCAGGAGAAATAAATGCCTGTTGTTTAAGCCGCCCGGTATTTTATTATATCAGCCTGAGCTGACTAAGATGATTTGTGAGAGCTTTTTTTGTTGTTGTTGTAAATGTTAGAAATTTAACTCTGATTTGAGCAAAAAGGGGGAATGTATTGGCTTATTAAAGGGAAACGTTGAGGACTAGATCTGGCTTTAAGTCATGACTGGATCCAAGGGCTCAAGGCCATCGGGACAGACATTCCCTTTCTCTCTTCCTCACATTTTATTTTATTTTATTTATTTATTTTTTGAGATGGAGTCTCGCTCTGTCATCCAGGCTGGAGTGCAGTGGTGCAATCTCAGCTCACTGCAACCTCTGCCTCCCAGGTTCAAGCAGTTCTCTGCCCCAGCCTCCCGAGTAGCTGGGATTACAGGCCCTCGCCACCACGCCCAGCTAATTTTTTTTTTTTTTTTTTTTGTATTTTTAGTAGAGACAGGGTTTCACCATCTTGGCCAGGCTGGTCTTGAACTCCTGACCTGTGATCCACCCACCTCAGCCTCCCAAAATGCTGGGATTACAGGCGTGAGCCACCGCGCCCACCCTCTTCCTCACGATTTATCTCTCCTCACTGTCTGGCTCAGTTTTCCTCTCTTTTGGCTTCCTTCTCATAGGGGATGTTCTCCCAAGTGGTAGCAAAGATGGTGCCCAGCAGGCATGTAAACTTGCCTTGTTCCTACTGGCAGCAGCTCCAGGAATTAGCATATCTTCTTTCCTGCTACCCGGTACTCCTTGCCACCTTTCTCCCCAGTGTCTGTTTCAAACCCTGAATAAGCCTCTGATTGGTCCTGTATGAGTTACATATCTTCCCACTTCCACCCAATCAAGCATGAAAACCAGAGAAGTGGAACACACTTATTGGCTAGGATCAGTCACATGGGTATCCCCACTGTGTCCTTGTCTGTGTCTCAGCTTGATACATTCTGTGTTCTCAGATCCTCCTGGGGTCTGTTTTGCAACATGTGACAAGAAAGTAATCTGGGCTTGTTGAAGTGGCTCATGCCTGTAATGCCAACACTTTGTGAGGCCAAGGCAGGAGGATCACTTGAGCCCAGGAGTTTGAGACCAGCCTGGACAACATAGGAAGACCCCATCTCTATTAGAAACAAAGAAAGTTTAAAGTAGATTTAGAGGTTGAAAAAAAAATAAGAAGAAAGAAAGTAACCTGGTTGCAATTACGTGGTTGTAACAGCAGCCTGGAGACAAACCAATTCATTGCAAAAGGGAAAAACGAGAGAGTTTGGTTCATGGCAGTTCTGCTGTCTCTCTATCCTAGTCTCTCCAGAAAAAAAGGCCCAAAAGCTAAATGCCGGCAACATTACCAACCCTGGACAAAGCTCTTACTTGCCAGACAAATGGACTTTGGGCACATGCTGCCTGGCACCTCTGCCTTGCATGGTGTCCCCTCGGGTCAGCCCACCCTCCCTGCACTAACCATCTGAGACCAGCTGGCTGGCACAGCAGGCCCACCCAAGCCTGGAGAGTGGCTGCCCCGCCTCAGCCTGGCCGCCAGCCAATAAGAGCTTTGCCAGAGCTTATACATTTCTGGTGGCCTCCCCAACTCTCTTTCCTTCCTTCCTTGGGAAATGGAGTAAAGAGCAAGAAACCAGAAATTAAGAAAAATCTTCTGAAGGAAACGGGGAAGGGAATCTTAAATGCCATCCATCTTTTCGGTAAAGCACTCCTAAATGTGACCAGTCCCCTGCTGTCTCCATCTCCTTGACCACTCAGTCGACCACTCTCTACTTTATTTATTTATTGAGACAGAGTCTCACTCTGTTGCCCAGGCTGGAGTGCAGTGCCACAATCTTGGCTCACCGCAACCTCCACCTCCCTGGTTCAAGCAATTGTCCTGCTTCAGCCTCCCAAGTAGCTGGGACCACAGGCACGTACCACTACACCCAGCTAATTTTCATATATATATATATATATATATATATATATATATTTTTTTTTTTAGTAGAGATATATATGTTTATATATATATATTTTTAGTAGATATATATATCTATATATATAGATATATATATATTTTTTTAGTAGAGAAAGGGTTTCACCAAATTGGCCAGCCTGGTCTCGAACTCCTGGCCTCAAGTGTTCCTCCCGCCTTGGCCTCCCAAAGTGCCGAGATTACAGGCATGAGCCACCTCTTTACTGATGCCTCTCAAATCCTTATCTCCCTTTCTGACCCCCTGGTTCGAATATTTCCATCTGTTCACATGACAATTCTATCATCCCAGACTCAATAAAGTGAAACCATTTTCCATTATCTTTCTACCACTTACCATCCACACTAACTTACTCTCTAAAATTCCCCATTTCTAGGCCGGGAGCAGTGGCTCATACCTGGAATGCCAGCACCTTGGGAGGCTGAGGCAAGCGGATTGCTTTGAGCTCAGGAGTTTGAGACCAGCCTGGCCAACAAGGTGAAACCCTATCTCCACAAAAATACAAAAATTAGCTAGGCATTGGTGACTTGTGCCTGTAGACCCAGCTACTTGGGAGGCTGAGGCTGGAGAACCACTTGAACCTGAGATGTGGAGGTTGCAGTGAGTTGAGATCATACCACTGCACTCCATCCTGGTGACAGAGTGAGACTCATTCTCAAAAGAATAAAATTAAAAACAAAAAAATCCCCCATTTCCATTCAGGATATTCTGTCCCTTGCTCTTCATTCCTAAAAAGAACAAACTATTTTTCTCTACACACTCACTGTAGTTTCTCTACCATACTTTGCTTCTGACACCAAATTTGTAAGAAGTTCTCCCACATCAAACAATGCTCCAATTAGCATCAGGGGATGCTGACCAGGTGTCTTACAATTAAACTCGATTCTGACACGAAGTGCCTGGAGTTAGTGGAGACCCCACAGGTTAAGGGCTCAGTCCCACAAGACTCCTCCCAACCTCGGTTGCCAATTGATAGTGGCTGGGCCCGCGGTTACTCAAAACCTCTATCTGACTTGGCTACAAATCAGAGGTTCCCTCGATCCCCCTCTTCAGGTTCAGTTATTTACTAGAACAGCTCAAAGAACCCAGGAAAAGTTTACTTCCTATTACAGATTTTTTACAAAGGCTATTTTATTTATTTACTTATTTATTTTTGAGACAAGGTCTTGCTCTGTTACCCAGGCTGGAGTGCAGTGGCGTGATCTCGGCTCACTGCAACCTCTGTCTCCCGGGTTCAAGCAAGTCTCCTGCCTCAGCCTCCCAAGTAGCTGGGATTACAGGTGTGACACCACACCTGGCTAATTTTTGTATTTTTAGTACAGATGGGGGTTTCACCACGTCAGCCAGGCTGGTCTCGAATTCCTGACTTCGAGTGATTGGCCCTCCTCAGCCTCCCAAAGTGCTGGGATTATAGGTGTGAGCCATCGTGTCCAGCCTACAAAGGATATTTTAAAGGTACAAATGAACAGCCAGGGGAAGAGATACCCGGGATGAGGTCCAGAAGGGTCCCAAGCACAAGAGCTTCCATCCCCTTGGAGTTTAGGGTACGCCGCCCTCCCCGCACGTGGATGCCTTCTTGTTCATCAACTTAGAACCCTTCAGGTTAGGGTTTCTATGGAGCCTTGATTGATTAAATCATTGACCATTGGCGACCGGCTCAACCCTTTGGGAGGGTGTGGCTGAGAATTCCAACCCTGTAATCATTTGGTTGGCTCCCCCAGCTCCCAGCCTTCATCCTTAGGGACTTCCCTAAATCACCTCATTAACATAAACTCGGGTGTGGGCCAAAGGTGCTTGTGATGAATAACAGAAGATTCTCCTTTCAATCCTTCTGGAGCTATTTCAGGAACTAGGAACGAAAAGCAAATATGATAACACCAGATGCTCCTTTTGGTTTCTATCCCTTAGAAAGTAACAAAGGTATTAGGATCTCTGGCCAGGAGCCTTATATTACATTATTTCACACATTTATTCCTTCCATCTGATTTCTGGTCTCAGAAATACCTAGGTTTATGCCCCAGGATGGCCATAGACTTGCTGTGTGACTTTCAACAAGTCACTTAACCTCTCTGAACTTTTTAAAAAGTCTGTAAAAATGGAAATCTGAATACATTCCTTGTAGGGTTGTTGTGAGAACTGACGTGTATATAAAGTAGCACAGAATAGGTGCCCCCCAAAAAACCTTCATTCTCCTCTTCCCTCTCTTTCTTGGTAGCATCCTAGTCTAAGCCCTCCTCATTACATACCTGGATTACTACAGTAAATCCCCAAAGGGTCTCTGGTTTTCTAGTCTCTTTCACCAATCCAGTCCATCTCAAACACCAAGACTGGAGAAATCTTCTTAAAATATTGTATTCCTCTTTTTTTTTTTTTTTTTTTTTTTGAGATGGAATCTCACTGTATCACGCAGGCTGGAGTGCGGTGTCATGATCTTGGCTCACTGTAACCTCCACCTCCCATGTTTAAGTGACTCCCCTGCCTCAGCCTCCCAAGTAGCTGGGATTACAGGAGCATGCCACCATGCCCAGCTAATTTTTGTATTTTTAGTAGAGACAGATTTCACCATGTTGGCCAGGCTGGTCTCAAACTCCTAACATCAGGTGATCCTGCCTCAGCCTCCCAAAGTGCTGGGATTACAGGCCTGAGCAACTGTGCCTGGACTTAAAATATTGTATTCCTTTTGTCACTTTTCTGACCTTTTGTAATTGCCCAATGGGTGCTTCCCGTCTGCTGCACAGACCAAATTAATTTTTTTGAACTGTGGTATTGCAGTAAAGCAAGAGTTTAATTAACACAAGGCTGGTTATACAGGAGAACTGGGGTTATCACTCAAATCAGTCTCCCTGAAGGATCAGTGGTTCAGATTTTTCAAGGATAGTTTGGCTGGCAGGGACTAGGGAATGGGTGCTGCTGACTGGTTAGGGATGCAATTGTAGGGGCGTGGAAAATGGTCCTTGTGCACTGAGTCCACCTCTTGGTAGGGCCACAGTCATGGTCATGGGTCACGAGTCTGAAAAACATCTCAAAAGGCCAATCTTAGGTTCTACAAGAGTGATGTTATCTATAGGAGCAACTGGGGAAGTCACAAATCTTATGGCCTCTGGCCTCATGACTCCTGAGCAGTAAGGGATTACAGAAACTACACCTGCATTTTGACAGAATTCAGCTTCCCCTCATAATCCTAATCTTTTGGCTTTTCACTAGTCTTACAAAGGTGGTTTCAGCTCTCAAATTAAAAGGGACTGTTATCATCCTTGCTTCAAAGTTAAACTATAAACTGAATTCCTCTCATGGTTAGCTTGGCCTATGCCCAGAAATGAGCAAAGAGAGCCAACCTGTGAGGCTGGAGGCTAGATGGAGTCACCCATGTTAGATTTCTCTCATTGGAATTATCTTTGCATAGGCAGTTTCACTTTACCCATTGCCATCAGGTTACATTGTCAAAGACCCATTCTAGCCCTAAAATCTGCAATAACATGGACTTTTCTCATTTTTTGAGACAGAGTCTTGCTCTGTCACCCAGGCTGGAGTGCAGTGGCGCGATCTTGGCTCACTGCAAGCTCTGCATCCCGGGTTCACACCATTCTCCTGCCTCAGCCTCCTAAGTAGCTGGGACTACAGGCACCCATCACCACGCCCGGCTAATTTTTTGTATTTTTAGTAGAGACGGGGTTTCACCGTGTTAGTCAGGATGGTCTCGAGCTCCTGACCTTGTTATCTGCCTGCCTCGGCCTCCCAAAGTGCTGGGATTACAGGCGTGAGCCACCACGCCCGGCCAATAATATGGACTCTCATATCCAGGATAACTCCCTTGTGTCTTTCTTGAAGCCCATGGGAATGAATGCAATGGCCCAACCAAGAGAAGAAGAAGAAAGAAGATGAAAGAAGATGAAAGAAGAAGAAGAAGAATAGGAAGAAGAGGAAGAGGAAGAGGAGGAAGAAGGGTGAGGAGGAGGAGAAAAGAAAGAAGAGGAAGAAAGCTAAGGATAGAATCTTAGAAACCTTCACTGTTCAGGGCTGGCTGGGGAAGAGGAATCAGCAGAGGAGCTTGTGTTGGATCATCCAGAGAGGCAGGAGGGAAGCCAGGGGAGCGGTGGCATCCTGGAAGCTGATGGAAAACATGGTTTCCACGAGCAAGTGACCCAGCGGGTCAAATGCTGCAAAAAGGTCAGGATGAGGCCTGGCAAGGATCTGTGGTGGATGAATAGTGTCCTCCCAAAAGATACGTCCAAGTCTTGACCCTGACACCTGTGACCGTGACCTTATTTGGAAATTGAGTCTTTGTAGATATAATTAAGTTAAAGGTCTTGCGTTGAGGTCATATAGGTCCATCCTAAATCCTATAGCTGATGTCCTTGGATTTTTTTTTTTTTTTTTTTTTTTGAGATGGAGTCTTGCTCTGTCGCCCAGGCTGGAGTACAGTGGCACAATCTTGGCTCACTGTAACTGCCGCCTCCAGGATTCCAGAGATTCTCCCGCCTCAGCTTTTTTTTTTTTTTTAATATTTATTTATTTGTAGTTTGGTGGGGGTTTTTGTTTGTTTGTTTGGGTTTTTTGTTTGTTTGTTTGTTTAATAGCTCTGCTGGAACCAATATACATCTTTTCTTAAAGCAACATTCCTTTAGTTACTGCCATAGCGCTCCTCCTCTTGATAGTCAAGCTTCCTGGAAAAGTTGCTCCTACTGGTTTAGAACCCACCAAAGTCAACCAATGACCTCTTTATTTCTAAATCCAATGTGCCCTGTATTAGTTTCCTAGGCTGCCATAACAAAATACCACAAACTTGGCAGGTTAGAAACTGTGAAATAATGTATTATCTCATAGTTCTGGAGGCCAGAAATCCAAAATCAAGTTCTCAGGTAAGTTGGTCCCTTCTGGAGGCTCTGAGGCCCACACAGGCACCACTCCAGTCTCTGCCTCAGTCTTCACCTGGCTCGCTTTCTATGTCTCTGTGTCTCAAATCTCCTTCTCCTTTAATAAAAATTGAAAGACAGCAGGGCACGGTGGCTCATGCTTGTAATCCCAGCACTCTGGGAAGCCGAGGCCAATGGATTGCTTGAGCCCAGGAGTTTGAGACCAGCCTGGCCAACATGGTGAAACCCTGTGTCTACTAAAAATACAAAAATTAGCCGGGCCTGGTGGCAGGTGCCTGTGGTCCCAGCTACTCGGGAGGTTTAGGTGGGAGGATCGCCTGAGCCTGGGAGGTCAAGGCTGCAGTGAGCCATGATCACGCCCCTGCACTCCAGCCTGGGTGACAGAGTGAGACTCCGTCTCAAAAAAAAAAAAAAAACCCAAAAAACAAAAAAACCAACCAGACCAAAACAAACAAACAAAAACAAGCAAGCAAACAAACAAAAAGCACACTGCTAATGAAAAAAGGGTTCTTATGTTGATAGGCTTGAAAGGATAGGATTCACAGATTCACAGGATGTCAGGGCTGGTAGGAACCTTAAACACTGCCAAGTCATAAGCACAGGGCCTGGGGAGAATGAGCTAGTGCATGATATTATCGTGCTTTCCTCTTTTGCACTCCCTTTTGTGTGACCTCCTTCCCCTTCTGCCAGAGGCATCTGTTTGCCTCAGAGACGATTAGGATTGCAAAGAGAAATAGAAAGCCAATACGCAGCTGTGGACATCCAAAAAAATATTCCTCTGTGTAAGGCAAAGTAATAGCTTTGAAAGCCAGTCTTTGCCAAGAGAGAAAAGGATTTTCTAAACAATTTAGGCACGTGTTAACATATCAAGAGCTAGGCCTGTTGGACTAGATCACTGAGTTTTGCTGTGTGTGCCTGGGGTGGAAGGAATCCAGATGTGATGCAGTGGCTGTGGCCCCAGGATGGCTGCAAAAGGAAGCAGAGGCAAGGGACACAGGCCGTCCTACTACTGCTTCTTAAGCTCCTCCTCCAGGCCAGAGGCAGGGGTTGAGGGAGGTGCGTGTTGGAAGGGTTGAGGGACAGCTAAAGGCACAGGATCCTCAGCCCTCTGTCTTTTTTTTTTTTTTTTTTTTTTTTTGGAGATGGAGTCTTGCTCTGTCACCAGGCTGGAGTGCAGTGGCATGATCTTGGCTCACTGCAACCTCCGACTCCTTGGTTCAATCAATTCTCCTGCCTCAACCTCCCAAGTAGCTGGGATTACAGGCACCCGCCACCACACCCAGTAATTTTTTGTATTTTTAGTAGAGACGGGGTTTCACCATGTTGTCCAGGATGGTCTCCATCTCCTGACTTTGTGATCTGTCTGCCTCGGCTGCCCAAAGTGCCAGAATTACAGGCGTGAGCCATCGCGCCCAGCCTCCTCTGTTTTATTTGGAGCCCTAGGAAGTATCCCATAGTGGTCTGGACACTGTGTCCAGCAATCAAGAGGACAGGAAGTAACAATGAGCTGGGAAATGACTGCACAGGTGAGCCTGGGCCCCACACTTGGCTCCCCACGGCCACAGGGCATCCTGAAATCCCTCCAGGATCTGACCAGGGGACTTGCAAGAGCTGAAGGGCCTTGAGATTCCCAGAGTGTCAGGGCAGGAAAAAGAGACCAGTATATGTGCAGACCTCACAACAGGAACTCAGCCATGAGGACTCACCGGGCAGGGAGTGTCAGCAGGGCACTCCAAAAGGCCCACATGGGGGCTGGGCACAGTGGCTCACGCCTGTAATGCCAGCACTTTAGGAGGCTGAGGCAGAAGGATCGCTTGAGCTCAGGAGTTCAAGACCAGCCTGGACAACATAGTGAGAGCCAACCCCTACAAACAAATTTTTTTTTTTTTTTTTAGACAGAGTTTTGCTCTTATTGCCCAGGCTGGAGTGTAATGGGGCAATCTTGGCTCACTGTAACCTTCGCCTTCTGGGTTCAAGCAATTCTCCTGCCTCAGCCTCCTGGGTAGCTAGGATTACAGGCATGCGCCACCACGCCCGGCTAATTTTTTATTTTTAGTAGAGATGGGGTTTCACCAGATTAGCCAGGCTAGTCTTGAACTGCTGACCTCAGGTGATCCACCCACCTCGGCCTCCCAAAGTGCTGGGATTACAGGCATGAGCCACCACACCCAGCCTCCAAAAAAAATTTTTTTTAATTAGCTGAATGTGAAAAAAAAATTAGCTGAATGTGGTGGCGTGTGGCGTGTGGCTGTGGTCCCAGCTACTTGGGAGGCTGAGGCAGGAGGATCACTTGAACCCAGGATACTGAGGTCACAGTGAGCTATGATCGTACTACTGCACTGTAGCCTGGGTGACAGAGCGAGACTCCATCTCAAACAAAACAGAACAAAAAAACCAAGTATTTACAGAGACATGAGTCATCGAGAGGCTATCTAAACCGAGATAAGCTGCAGTGCAGTGATGACAGTTTCTTTCCACTTCCCCGGAGGGGCTCATGGCTCAGCAGATCAGCTGCAGGAAAGAGAGAAACATCGTCTCTCCGTGCGCCTTTCCTTGTATATTAATCTGCGATCCTGCTACACATGCCACTGTCAGTCAGGCCATGCTACGAAGCCTGGGGAGAACAGGGCAAGATTTCCGAGGCCTGGCCGGAGGCAACAGGCACATAGAAAAGGGGTATGGGGTCCGGAAGGTGCAGAGTAAATGTGTGCGTGGGGCAAGATTCCCCCAGGGATGGCTACAGGCACAGTTGCCTCTAGGATGGGATGTAGAGAAATCAAATTCAAGGGTACAAGTAAATATCTTTATATACCCTGGGGGCGACAGAAGGAAGCTTTTTGTGGGAGAACCCAGAAAAGAGAGCTCAGAAGGAGAAAAGTCTCCTAAGCTGCTGGGTAGAGACGGGCTGTTTGAGGTTTTTTTTTTTTTTTTTGAGACAAAGTCTTGCTCTATCACCCAGGCTGGAGTGCAGTGGCACGATCTCTGCTCACTGCAATCTCTGCCTCCCAGGTTCAAGTGATTCTCTTGCCTCAGCCTCCCGAGTAGCTACAGTTACAGGAGTTGGCCGCCATACTCGGGTAATTTTTTTGTACTTTTAGTAGAGATGGGATTTCATCACATTAGCCAGGCTGGTCTCGAACTCCTGACCTCAAGTGATCCTTACACCCCGGCCTCCCAAAGTGTGAGAATTACAGGTATGAGCCACTGCGCCTGGCCTGGGCTGGTTGAGTTTAATACAAAAGTCAAGGATCCTTCTCCTCGGTTCACTTAGTCCTCCCCACGGCCCTCGGCGTTTGGCATTCTCTCTTTTTTTCTTTTTCTTTTTTTTTTTTTTTTTGAGACAGGGTCTTGCTCTGTTGCCCAGGCTGGATTGGAGTACAGTTCGTCATCATGGCTTACTACCTCCCCGGCTCAAGTGATCCTCCCACCTCGGCCTCCTGAGTAGCCAGGACCACAGGCATGTGCCACCATGTCTGGCTAATTTTGTTTATTTTTTTGTAGAGATGTGGTCTTGCCATGTTGCCCAGGCTGTCCTCGAACTCCTGGGCTCAAGGAGTTCCACCCACCTCAGTCTCCCAAAGTGCTGGGATTATAGGCGTGAGCCACCACCCCTGGCAGTCCTCAGCATTCTTCAAACAAAACTAGGGCTGGGCATGGTGGCTCATGCCTGTAATCCCAGCTCTTTGGGAGGCTGAGGTGGGAGGATCTCTTGAGCCCAGGAGTTCAAGACTAGCCTCGGCAACATAGTGAGACCCTGTCTTTACAAGAACAAAACACAAAACAACAGAGTCGCTGTTTTCCCTCAATTCTATAGCAAGGACGAAATCAGGGAGTCCACAGGGCGCATGGATTTGAACCTGGGTCTATCTGGCTCCGCACTATGCTTTCCCTGCTATATCCCACTACCTGATTGAAGGAGAGAGATGGGACTTCTGAGGACAAGGGAACCTTCAGGTGAGGCTGGAGGTCAAGTCCCTAAAGACTTCCTTGCTTAGGGGGAGATTTAATGATTGGCCGCCATCATCTCAAGAGAAGAGACGATCCCTCTCCTGCCTGGTTTGCTTGACCGAACAACCTCACTGTGGAAGGTAGTGGTGAAGGGACACCACCTTGAGATGAGGTGGACCTGGGTTCATATTCCTGCACTGAGATCTTAGGCAAAACACTTAAGCTTGTGGAGCCTTAGATTTCATTCTTATAAAAATGGGATAACAATTTCCACCTTACTAAGCCGTGAAAAGCATTACATGAAGGGGAATGTAAATTGTGTGCCTACCACAGAGCCCGATACAGAGAACAGGTGAAAAGAACTGAATTTAACTCTACCTACCCATCTGTCATCCCTCCTGCAGCTCTATTCCGATCGGCATTTTCTTTTTCTTTTTCTTTTTTTTTGAGATGGAGTCTTGCTCTTGTCGCGCAGACTGGAGTCAATGGCGCGATCTCGGCTCACTGCAACCTCTGCCTCCCAGGTTCAAGTGATTCTCCTGCCTCAGCCTCTTAAGTAGCTGGGATTACAGGCACCTGCCAAAGCCCAGCTAATTTCTGTATTTTTAGTAGAGACAGGGTTTTACCATGCTGGCCAGGCTGGTCTCAAACTCCTGACCTCAGGTGATCCGCCCGCCTCGGCCTCCCAAAGTGCTGGGATTACAGGCGTGAGCCACCAAGCCCCACCTCAATCAGCATTTTCAAGGTTAAATGCCCTGGAAGAAGCCAGGCGAAGTAACTTAAAACCTGAGCAGGTTTAAGAGTCTTGCTCAAGCAAGCTCACTGGGCCCTTGAACTTTGGTGTTTTTTTTTTTTTTTTTTTTTTTTTGTACAGACATGGCCTTATTATGTTGCTCAGGCTGGTCTTGAACTCCTGGCCTCAAGCGATCCTCCCACCTCTGCCTCTTGAAATTCTGGAATGACAGGCATGAGCCACCGCACCTGGCCAGAACTTTGGCATTCTTAAACAAAAATCTAGAAAAGCTTTTCTTGTAAAGGAAACAGAGCAGTCTCCATGGGGGCTTAGCCTGCCCGGCACCTCTGGGGAGTATCAGAAAAGGCAGCCCAAGTTGGTATGGCCCATGACATCAGTGTTATAGTCCAGACACTGGGTGCATTCTGTCCACCCACCACGGGACAGGGCTCGGCCAGGTCCGCACCTGTCGGGGGTACGTGCTCTCTCAGTGATGGCTGGCCACTGACAGAAACAGTGCACTGACCTCAGTAAAAGAATGCCAAAGTCTGTCTTTCTTTCTCAAGTAATGTGGAGGAAAAGGAGCTCCTGCCAGGTGCAGAAGAAAGAAGAAAACCCGTTCTTGGCAGCAGGGGGATCAGGTTGCCACAGCAACGAGCTTCTTCCAAGTCCACTCATTATGTGGCTTTTGAATTAGACTTCCTTCTGTACATCTCACTGCACTGATTCCCTCGTCTTCGGCCGGCTCATTTCCCGAGCTTCTCCTGGGGAAATCAACACAGAGGGGAGTCTGACCTCTCCTTTCAAGGCTTGGTCCTGCTTGTCCCTGGGATGACACAATATTTACTTGTTGGTTTACACTTGGAAGAACCTGATCGCCGTGCAGAATGAAGAGCCCCTCCTCCTCTGTGGGTGGGAGCGTTGACTGGTACAACTTCTTTGAGCAGCAATTTGGCCCAATACAAGTGCATACCCTTTGATCTCACGGTTCTGGGGCTTAACCCCGGCATGACAGCATTTTTGTATAATAACAGCAAAAAGCTGGAAACGACCTTCACATCACTGATGGGAGATGGGTTAAATATCAGCTAAGCCACCAGACAGCTGAAGGAATAATGAGCTAGAGCTTATGTACCCATATGGAAAGATGTACTGTTAAGTTAAAAAAAGCAAGTTGTTCAAACTCATAGAAACAGAAAGGGGAAGGGTGGTTGCCAGGGGCTCGGGGCAGGGAGGAATGGGGTTGTTTAATGGGTATAGAGTTTCAGCTTTGCAAGATGAAAAAATTCTGGAAATTGGTTGTACAACAATGTGACTATAACTACTGAATTCTAAACTTAAAAATGATTAAGGCCAGATGCAGTGGCTCACGCCTGTAATCCCAGCACTTTGGGAGGCTGAGGCGGGAGGATCACGAGGTCAGGAGATCAAGACCATCCTGGCCAACATGGTGAAACCCCTTCTCTACTAAAAATACAAAAATTGGCTGGGTGTGATGGCGGGCACCTGTAGTCCCAGCTACTTGGGAGGCTGAGGCAGGAGAATCGTTTGAACCCGGGAGGTGGAGGTGGAGGTTGCAGTGAGCCGAGATCGCACTACTGCACTCTAGCCTGGGACAGAGCGGGACTCTGTATCAAAAAAAAAAAAAAAATTAAGATGGTAACTTTTATGTTGTATGTTCTTTACCACATAAAAAAAGTCAAGTTGCAGAATGGAATTATACTTATTGCATTTGTGTGTGTGTGTTTTTTAAAAAGGGCTAAAACAAGTTTGTGAGGAGACAAAATAAGCTGTTGTCAGTGCTTACCTTTGCAGTTGAGGGGCATTAAAGGGGGAAAATATGTTACTTTTCATTTTTTTCCCTTCTAAGGAGCTTTTTTTTTTTTTTTTTTTGGATACAGAGTTTCACTCTTTCGCCTAGGCTGGAGTGCAGTGGCAGGATCTCGGCTCACTGTAACCTCTGCTTCCTGGGTTCAGGCAATTCTTGTGACTCAGCTCTCCAGTAGCTGGGACTACAGGCGCCGGCCACCACACCCGGCTAATTTTTGTATTTTTAGTAGAGACGGGGGTCTCACAATGTTGGCCAGGCTGGTCTTCAACTCCTGGCCTCAAGTGATCCGCCCGTCTAGGCCTCCCAAAGTATGGAGAGCTTTTTAAAAATATATAATTAATTTTGACAAGCCAATAAAGATAAGGAGATGAAATTACTATGCCTGATCTATAGAAAGTCAGCATTAATTCAGCAGATATTTACTGAGTATTAACTTACTATGTACGAGGCACAGTGCTAAGGACTGCAGATACAAGGGCAAGAGAGGCAGGATGGTTCTCTCCCTCCCAGATCTCACATTTTATGGGAAGACAGTCATTAAACTGGCGGACAGACAAATGAGCAATATGTACAGCTGGTGGTAAGAGCCCTGAAGGAAAGACACAGGTCTGCGACAGAAAACACTGGTAGGAGCTGGGCGCGATGGCTCACGCCTGTAATCCCAGCACTTTGGGAGTCCAAGGCAGGCGGATCACCTGAGGTCGGGAGTTCGACACCAGCCTGACCAACATGGAGAAACCCCATCTCTACTATAAATACAAAATTAGCCAGACATGGTGGCGCATGCCTGTAATCCCAGCTACTCAGGAGGCTGAGGCAGGAGAACCACTTGAATCTGCAAGGTGGAGGTTGCGGTGAGCCGAGGTTGCACCATTGTACTCCAGCCTGGGCAACAAAAGCAAAACTCCATCTAAAAAAAAAAAGAAAAGGAAACAAAATTTCAGGACCCTCTAAATTTATTTTGCCAAGGGAGAAGCCCTGGAGACTGAGTCACATAGCATGTTTGCAATTCTACTTCTTAGACCATAGATTAAGTCTCTTCCCATTGTTATTATTATTATTGTTATTATTATTATTTGAGACAGAGTCTTGCTCTGTTGCCCAGGCTGGAGTGCAGTGGTGTGATCACGGCTCACTGCAATATCCGCCTCCCAGGTTCAAGCAATTCTCCTGCCTCAGCCTCTTGAGTAGCTAGGATTACAGGTGTATGCCACTGTGCCTGTCTAATTTTATATTTTTGTTAGAGATAGGGTTTCACCAAGTTACCCAGGCTGGCCTTGAACTCCTGGCCTCAAGTGAGCCTCCTGCCTCAGCCTCCAAAAGTGCGGGGATTACAGGCATGAGCCACCGTGCCCAACTTATTTTAAATTTTTTGAGGAACCTCCATACTGCTTTCCATAGTGGCTGTACAAATTTAAATCCACTGTTAAACAGCAGTGTACAGGGCTTGCTTATCTCTACATCCTTACCAGTACTTGGTATCTTTTGTTTTTTGATGATAGCCATTCCAACACACATGAGATGATAGCTCATTGTGGTTTTGATTTGCATTTTCTTGATGGTTAGTGATACTGAACACTTTTTAATTTACCTGTTAGCTATTGGTAAGTCTTCTTTTCAGGAATGCCTGCTCAGGTCCTTTGCCTGTTTTTAAATCAGGTTATTTGTTTAATTACTACTGAGTTGTTTGAGTTCCTTATATATTATGGTTATTAATCCTTTATCAGATGTATGGTTTGCAAATATTTTCTCCCATTCCATAGGTTGTCTCTTCACCCCGTTCATCTTTTTTTGTTGTTTTGGTCGTTTTTTGTTTTGTTTTTGAGACAGTGTCTCACTCTGTCACCCAGGCTGGAATACAATAGCTTGATCTTGGCTCACTGCAACCTCTGCCTCCTGGGCTCAGTTGATCCTCCCACCTCAGCCTACCGAATAGCTGGGATTACAGTCATGCACTACCATGCCTGGCTAATTTTTGTATTTTTGTTTTATTTATTTATTTATTTATTTATTTGAGACGAAGTCTCACTCTGTTGCCCAGGCAGGAGTGCAGTGGTACGATCTTGGCTCACTGCCACCTCTGCCTCCCAGGTTCAAGTGATTCTTCTGCCTCAGGCTCCCAAGGAGCTGGGATTGCAGGTGCCCACCACCATGCCTGGCTAGTTTTTGTATTTTTAGTAGAGACGAGGTTTCACCATGTTGGCCAGGCTGGTCTTGAACTCCTGACCTCAAGTGATCTGCCCGCCTTGGTCTCCCAAAGTGCTGGGATTACAGGCATGAGCCACCGTGCCTGGCCCCATTCACCTATTTTTTTTTCTTGAGCTTTGGGATCATATATTAAAAAAAAAAAAAATCATTGCCCAGACCAATGTCAAGAAGCTTTTCCCCTATGTTTTCTTCTAGTTTCACATCTTATGTTAAAGTCCTTAATCCATTTTCAGTTGATTTTTATATAAGATGTGAGACAAGGCTCCAATTTAATTCTTCTGCAGGTGAATATTTTGTTTTCCCAACCTGCGTATTGAAGAGTCTGTCCTTTCCCCATTGTGGGTTCTTGGCCCATTCGCAGATTAGTCGAGTGTAAGAGACCTAAAAAAAGAAGCCCCCAGGCAGCTTGAGACATGAAAGCAGAAAAGAGCAGGTGAGGAAGTGACATCTCTGGCTCAGGCCACCAAAAGGAAGAGGAGGTCACCCAGCTCTTCACGCCACAAGCTCACCACTTCTCAGGGGTATCTCATGGCTCCAGTGCTAAAAGAAGAGACAATTTTTATCACCTAATATATATCAAGAACTATGTTAAGTGCTGAGATATGAGAAGGAAGAATCACTGGCAGGCAATCAGGGGAGACAAACACATAAACAGAGCATTGTAACCCAAGCCCAAGCTTCCAGGTGCATGGTTGGAGCAACCACCCAGAGTGCTAAGAAGGGCCCTGATGGGGAGAAGGGGAGGGTAGGATTACAGAGAATCAGCCTCTGTAGAGCTCACCCCCCAAGTCAAGCTAGGATCAGTGGCTCGGATACCAGTAACAATGATTTACCTTTAAATGTGTGTCTGCTGGGTGTCACTTTGCAGACCTGTCATAGTGCCTAAGGGCACAGACTTTGGGACTGGATAACTTGGGTTCAAATCCTAGCTCTGTGACCAGCTGTGTGAACTCCTGCAAATTACTCATATGCTATCTGAGCCTCAGTTTCTTCCTCTGAGAAATGGGGATAATGATACCTAAGGGTGTTGCAAGGATTAAATGAGTTATCATATGTAAAGTGCTTAGAATGATGACTGGCATGTATTAAGACCTTTTTGATTATTATTATTATTTTTTTGGAGATGGAGTCTCGCTCTGTCACCCAGGCTGGAGTGCAGGGGTGCAACCTCGGCTCCCGCAACCTCTGCCTTCCGGGTTCAAGTGATTCTCCTGCCTCAGCTTCCTGAGTAGCTGGGATTACAGGTGCCTGCCACCACACCCGGCTACTTTTTGTATTTTTAGTAGAGATGGGGTTTCATCATGTTGGCCAGCCTGGTCTCGAACTCCTGAACTCAGATGATTCACCTGCCTCGGCCTCCCAAAGTACTGGGATTACAGGCATGAGGCACCGTGCCCGGCTGCTTTTTTCTTTCTTTCTTTCTTTCTTTCTTTCTTTTTTTTTTGCTGGGAACCCTTTCTCCATAAATCCCTTGCACAGGGATCTCTGACTCAGGTTCTGCTTCTATATGGCTGACGACAACACGTCATCTGCTTTCTTTCTTTATAAAATCATGGGATGTAAAGGGTCCCTCCATGCAGGAGTCTGGCTTCCTCCTGGGTAGGAGTCTACTCCATTTTTGAAGCTTTCCAAGCAGCATCCCCCTTCTCCACGTGACTGTGGACAACTATGTTACCATGTGCGCAGGAGGGCTCCAGAGAGCAGGTGAGTACGGATGCTGCGATCCCAGCATCCCAAGTAGCTCTGTCCATGTCATGGCTGCAGGGCGACATCAACGGGAAAACCACAGGCTCAGCAGGCCAAAGTCTGAATCCCACCTGTATTTGTTTTCCAGGGCTGCAGTAACAAAGTATCACAAACTGAGTTACTTAAAATGACAGAAATGTGTTGCCTCAGAGTTCTGGAGGCTGGAAGTCCAAAATGAAGGTGTTGGCAGTGTCATGCTCCCCCCAAAACCTGTAGGGAAGGAAGATCCTTCCTTCAATCTCCAGCTTCTCGTGTTTGCCAGTGATCCTGGCTTCCCTAGCAAGTAGGAATTGCATCGCTGCTATCTCTGCCTCCACTGTCGCATAGCTATCTGCCCCTGTGTGTCTCCTCTCTTCTCTTCTTCCTTCCTCCTCCTTCTCCTTCTAGACAGGGTCTCACTCTGTCACCCAGGCTGGAGTGCAGTGTCGCGATCAAGGCTCACTGCAGCCTCCACTTCCCAGGCTTAAGTGATCCTCTCACCTCAGCCTCTCAAGTAGCTGGGACTACAGAAGTGTGCCACCACACTCAACTTATTTTAAAATTTTTTGTAGAGGCAGGATCTCACTATGTTGCCCAGGCTGGTTCGAGCTCCTGGGCTCAAACAATCCTCCCACCTTGGCCTCCAGAAGTGCTGGGAGTACAGATGTGAGCCACTGCCTGGCCTCACACTTCTTTTTTTTTTTTTTTTTTTTTTTGAGATGGAGTTTTTCTCTTGTTGCCCAGGCTGGAGTGCAATGGTGAGATCTCGGCTCACTGCAACCTCCGCCTCCCGGTTCAAGCAATTCTTCTGCCTCAGCCTCCCAAGTAGCTGGGATTACAGTTATGCACCACCATACCCAGCTAATTTTTCCTTTTTTTTTTTTTTAGTAGAGATGGGGTTTCACCACGTTGGTCAGGCTGGTCTCAAACTCCTGACCTCAGGTGATCCACCTGCCTCAGCCTTCCAAAGTGCTGGGATTACAGGCACACGCCACCGTGCCCAGCCGGCCTCCCACTTCTTATAAGGACATAAATCATCTTTGATTAAAGGCTCCACTCACTCCAGTATGATCTCATCTTAACTAACTGCATCTGCAATGACCCCGTTTCCAAATAAGGTTATAGTCTAAGACTTCAGCATATCTTTTTTTAGGGGACAGAATTCAACCCATATCAGCATCTCTGCCATTAGTTAGCAGTGGGATGCCTCAAGTCATGCAACCTCTGCTTCAGGTTTTTCAGCTGTAGGAATGAGAATACCAGCGTGATACGGCTAGGAAGTGGAACACGTGGGATCATGAACTTTCCACTGCGGTACTTGGCCCATGGAGCTAGATATGCACATCAACAGTGACGCTCTCCTCAGCAGCATTCTCCTGGGTGCCCAAAGGCTATTAATACAGCCCCCTCATCCTTCCCCCACCCCACCAAGCTGCCCCCACACTGACTGCCCTGTAGGAGAGCTTAGCTCTTCCCTAGAGATCTAGTTTTTATTAATAAAAGACAACCGGAGCCTTTCAGAAGGTTAGGCTTAAGGGTCCATTATTTAAGTGCCATTGCCTGTGATGAGTCTTTGAGTAATAGGAGTGCTAAGTGCATACTGGGCAGGACGACCCGGGTGAGTCGAACATGCAGAAAAGATTCAACACACAGCCCTTTCTGACCTCACAGTGACTTTGCACTAAGTGCAAATCAATCTTCCCGAGGCAATTTCCTGTTGCCAGGACAGAGCTGTCTCCCCTCTTCTCGCCCTCCTGCTGCTGTGCTCCTGCTTCATGCTGGCTCCGACAAAGGGGTGAGTGTTCAACATTTCTCTTAATTGATGCTGTGACAGGTCTTTTGCTGACATATCCTGGCATCTGTCTGCCTTATTCACTGCAGCACAGCATCAATCTGAAACTGTCAGCTGTTTCCAGAATAATAGGATCTCTTCCAGATCTAAGCCTCAAAGCTTGCATTGATTTTATTCATTCTAGGATGTCAGTAGGTTATTTCAATTATTATTATTTTTTTATTTTTGAGACAGAGTCTTGCTCTGTCACCCAGGTTGGAGTGCAGTGACATGATCTTGGCTCACTGCATCCTCCGCCTCCTGAGTTCAAGCAATTCTCCTGCCTCAGCCTCCCACATAGCTGGGATTACAAGCATGCACCACCATGCCCGGCTAACTTTTGTACTTTTAGTAGAGACAGGGTTTTGCCATGTTGGTCAGGCTGGTCTCGAACTCTTAACCTCAAGTGATCTGCCTGCCTCGGCCTCCCAAAATGCTGGCGTTACAGGCATGACCCACCATGCCCAGCCTACAGTAGGTCATTTCAATTGGCTGTCCTCACCCACTCTCACCCCAAGCTCTCCCAAACTAAGGCAATGAAAATTATTTGAACTTGGAAATCGTCCCCTCACCTTGCTGATGCTTCTCTTCAGTATTCAGTGCTTCTCAAATTTCAAAGTGCAAACAAGGCCGGGAGCAGTGGCTCACACCTGTAATCCCAGCATTTTGCGAGGCCAAGGCAGGTGGATCACCTGAGGTCAGGAGTTGAAGACCATCCTGACCAACATAGAGAAACCCTGTCTCTACTAAAAATACAAAATTAGCCGGGCGTGGTGGCGCACGCCTGGAATCCCAGCTACTCGGGAGGCTGAGGCAGGAGAATTGCTTGAACCCAGGAGGAGGAGTTTGTGGTAAGCCAAGATCGTGCCATTGCACTCCAGCCTGGGCAACAAAAGCGAAAAACTCCGTCTCAAAAAAAAAAAAAAAAACTAAATAAATAAAGTGCAAGCAAATCACTTGGGACCTTGTTAAATGCAAATTAAAATTCTTTTTTTTTTTCTTTTTTGAGACTGGGTCTCTCTATTGCCCAGGCTGGAGTGCAGTGGCACAATCATAGCTCATTGCAGCCTCCACCTCTTGTGGCTCAGTTGATCGTCCCACCTCAGCCTCCTGAGTAGCTGGGACTATAGGCATGCACCACCATGCCCAGCTAATTTTTGCATTTTTTTGTAGAGATGAGGTTTCACTACATTGCCCAAGCTGGTCTCGAACTCTTCCTGCCTCGGTCTCCCAAAGTGCTGGGATGACAGAAGTGAGCCACCGCGCCTGGCCAGATTTTGCCTTCCTAACAAGCCCTCGTGTGCTGCTGAAGCTGGGGATCCACAGGTCTCACCTTGCATGGCCACACCTACCTGTTTCCTCTCCTCAAAGTTGACAGATGTGCCAGGGATGTGACAGGTAATGTGACCAAGGTTTGCCTTGGTGCTAGAGGAGCCGGAGGGGGCGACCACCTAACTGCCCAGGGGAGGTAAAGGAGACCTCCCTGAAAGGTAAGCCACTGGGAACAGGGCCAGGACAATCTGTGCTTCTAGAAAAATCACTCTGGGGTTGGGCACGGTGGCTTATGCCTGTAATCCCTGCACTTAGGGAGGCCAATGAGGGTGGATCACCTGAGGTCAGGAGTTCGAGACCAGCCTGGCCAACATGGTGGAACCCTGTCTCTACTAAAAATACAAAAATTAGTTGGTCATGGTGGCATGACCCCGTAATCCCAGCTACTTGGGAGGCTGAGGCAGGAAAATTGATTGAACCTGGCGGGTGGAGGTTGCGGTCAGCCAAGATCATGCCACTGCACTCCAACCTGGGCAACAAGAGCGAAACTCTGTCTCAAAAAAAAAAAAAAAAAAAAAAGATCCCTCTGGGAATGGCCTGCTGTGTGGAGAAGTGTGGAGAAGGAAAGGAGGACCTGGACTGCAGGTGGAGGAGGACCAAGGAGGCTCTTGTAATATCAAGATCAAGCGTGATAAGGTCTGAAGTGGGACAGTGGGACAGAGGCGGTGGGGCTGGAGAAGAGGGTAGGGCCAGGGAGGCTTCGTGTGGGAGGTGGAACAGAGGGGTAGTCGGTTGTGGGAGGTGTTGGAGGAGGCAAACCTCACCCCTAGACCTCTAGGTCTGAAAGGTGTGAATGAGAAATAGCCTTCCAAGAGCGATACCAGGGGGCGGTGTTCCAAGGGAAGAATGAGGACCAGGAGAGAGCATTCAGGGAGTAGAATGAGGAATGAGGTTTGCCATTGAAAGGGATTCCAATGAGAAGGGTTCAGAAGAGGCTCCGGGCGAGAGGGAGGTGGAAAACGATGCAATGGGCAGCATTCGGAGCGGGGGCCCTGGCGTGCAGGAGCACCTGGGGCTCCTGGCAACATGACGTTGATATGACGGTAACCATTTTTTTTTTTTTTTGGTATGCAATGGTAGGAATCTTTTTTATGTATACTTACTTCACGAATTGCCCCGAAAGCTCTTAGGTGAGGGCCACAGGTAGGCCTTCCTCTTTTAGGAAACCTAATATTGTATAAATCAGTGTAGCCTGGCCGGCGGTTCATCCCATGGCAGCAGCTAGCAACAGACAGGCGGTGTCCAGGACACTCACCATATGTTAAAAAGCAACAGCCTGGGTAATCATAGGCACAGAGTAAAGATTTTTTTAAAATTTAAAATCAATAAGAATTTTATAATTAAAAAAAAAAAAAGTGGCCGGGCACCAGTGGCTCATGCCTGTAATCCCAGCGCTTTGGGCTGCCGAGACGGGTGGATCACCTGAGGTCAGGAGTTCGAGACCAGCCTGGTCACCATGGTGAAACCCCATTTCTACTGAAAATACAAAAATTAGCTGGGTTTGGTGGCGGGTGCCTGTAACCTCCACTCACTGCAACCTCCGCCTCCTGGGCTCAAGCAATCCTCCTACCTCAGCCTCCCGAGTAGCTGGAATTACAGGTGCGCACCACCACACTCAGCTAATTTTTCTATTTTTAGTAGAGACAGGTTTTGCCAAGTTGCCCAGGCTGGTCTCAAACTCCTGACCTCATGTGATCTACCTGCCTCGACCTCCCATAATCTCTCATTAACCTTTAAGCCTTTCTTCTATAAGCATTTAAGGCCATACCTTTCCCTTTAAGTATGACCTTAAGGCATCTCACAAGTTTTGATATGAGGCATGTTCATTATCACTTAATTCTAAATAATTTAAATATCCATCATGATTTCTCCTTCCACCCATGAGTTATTGAGAGAAGTGTTTCTAAAGTCTCAAGCATGTTTTTTTTTTTTGTTTTTTTTTTTTGAGACGGAGTCTTGCACTGTCACCCAGGCTGGAAATGCAGTGGCACGATCTCGGCTCACTGTAACCTCTGCCTCCGGGGTTCAAGCGATTCTCCTGCTTCAGCCTCCCAAGTAGCTGGGATTACAGGCGCCTGCCACCACGCCCAGCTAATTTTTTGTATTTTTAGTAGAGATGGGGTTTCACCATGTTGGTAAGGCTGGTCTTGAACTCCTGACCTCAGGTGATCCACCCGCCTCAGCCTCCCAAAGTGCTGGGATTACAGGTGTCAGCGATGGCACCCGGCCCAAACTGAGATTTTTTATATGCTGGATTTGGTTGAAGACTTCACTTCAACCCTCATGTTTTTGCCCTAATGTTTGCATCTTTTGGTCCCCTTTCTTCTGCCACCCTCATCTTCCTTCTCCTTTAGTTTTCTCGCCCTTTCCTTCCCCCATCCTTAACTTGCCATCTGCGCCATGGAAAGGGCTCAGTCCAGGTGAAGCAATGGCTGGCCCCTGGCCCTGAGGCTTCGGTGAGATTCGGACCAGGTGTCACCATGAAGCCTTTCATTGTTGCATCTTGAAAACTGACCCAATCACAGCCTACCAGATCAACGAGAGATGTCAGAATTTACCAATGTCAGAGCCATAAAAATGTTTTTTTCGAAATGAGTAATTCACCTGTTACACTAAATATGGGCCTCCAGATGTCACAGTATCACAGTGCAACAGTTAAGTCTTTGTTTTTTATTTTATTTTTATTTATTTATGTATTTTTTTTTGAGACAGAGTCTCGCTCTGTCGCCTAGGCTAGAGTACAGTGGCGTGATCTTGGCTCACTGCAACCTCCGTCTCCCAGACTCAAGCAATTCTGCCTCAGCCTCTGGAGTAGCTGGGATTACAGGCGTGTGCCACCATGCCTGGCTAATTTTTGTATTTTTAGTACAGTCGAGGCTTTACCATGTTGGCCAGGCTGGTCTCAGACTCCTCACCTCAGGTAATCCGCCTGCCTCGGCCTCCCAAAGTGTTGGGATTACAGGCGTGAGCCACCGCGCCTGGCCAATTAAGTCTTGTTTTAAACATGCCATTGGTATGACCGTAACCATCATTTTTTTTTTTTTTTGGTATGCAATGGTAGGGATTTTTTTTATTGTAAACTTGCTTCATGAATTACGCCTAAATCCCTTAGGTGAGGGCCACAGGGAAGTTTCCCTCTTTTAGGAAACCTAATATCATATAAATCAAGACTTCTAGCCACGCCAAGGTAAACCATTAGGGATGCTTGATTTTGCAAATGTGTTAAAGATATGGGCTTGGGAAGAAAATACTTTCCCAGCTGGGCACAGTGGCTCACGCCTATAATTTCAGCACTTTGGGAGGCCAAGGTGGGTAGATCACCTGAGGTCAGGAGTTCGAGACCAGCCTGGCCAACACGGTGAAACCCTTGTCTCTACCAAAAATACAAAACTTAGCCAGGCATGGTGGCACGCACCTGTAATCTCAGGTACTCGGAAGGTTGAGTCAGGAGAATAGCTTGAGCCCAGAAGGTGGAGGTTGCAGGGTGGCAGTGAGCTGAGACCACACCACTGTACTCCAGCCTGGGCATCAGAGACTCTGTCTCAAAAAAAAAAAAAAAAAAAAAAAAAAAAAAAATATATATATATATATATATATGTATGTATGTATCTATCTATATATATGTATGTATCTATATATATGTATGTATCTATATATATATATGTATGTATCTATATATATGTATGTATCTATATATATATATGTATGTATCTATATATATACTTTCCATTTTTTTTCCTACTCGTGTGAAAGAGACCGTGAAAGTGAAAGGAAAAGAAGATGGTCCAATCGCAAGATAAGCAGGCCCTGTAGACAAAGCAGACAGTTCAGCTACTAATGCAGTGTGGAAGGAGAGCCCTAGAGGCCAAGCACTAGTAATAAACTCAACACTTTCTGAAATTGCTAGGATCTGAATGAGGAATAATTGTGAGTGAAGAAGCCAGTGTGCTGGCTGTTCAGAGATAAGTGATTTTTTCTTTTTTCTTTTTTTTTTTTTTTTGAGATGGAGTCTCGCTCTGTTGCCCAGGCTGGAGTGCAATGGCACAATCTCGGCTTACCGCAACTTCTGCCTCCCAGGTTCAAGCGATTCTCCTGCCTCAGCCTCCCGAGTAGCTGAGATTACAAACATGCGCCACCACGCCCAGCTAATTTTTTGTATTTTTAGTAGGGTCGGGGGGTTTCTCCATATTTGTCAGGCTGGTCTTGAACTCCGGGCCTCAGGTGGTTCACCCGCCTCGGCCTCGCAAAGTGCTGGGACTACAGGCGTGAGCCACCGCGCCTGGCTGCTAAGTGATTTGTAAGCTAAGACATACTCTTAAATTCCTTCAAAGCAAGGGAAGCAGTGACTGTTTTAAGAACAAATACTGTCTTTGAAATTTGAAATACAGGATAGACAGGGGCTCCTTAAACCTAGTAATCCTTTTGTCTCTTTTGGTCCATCTCAACCACAAACCAAGCAAACATGCACATGCTTGTCAAAAACAAGTCAATTATTTTGAAAATCAATTAAATTATTCATACCCTTTGAAATTTCAAAGGAAAGTCGAGAGAGAGAGAGAGAGAGAGAGAGAGAGAGTCAGTTAGAAGTCACGGGTATTGAAGTGCTTATTAGTTAAATCGGGTTCTTTGTCTCTCTACTTTGCTAATGGCTGATCTTTTGACTTTTCTGATGATTAGCCCTGGCTATCAAGTGAGATTCCATGGGGCTTGGTTTGTTCATACTCTTCTGAGTGACATTTTCCCCATTCTAATAGCCTAAAAGCATAATGAGGTAAATGAATCACAAGTGATAATGAGTTTTTTAAAAATCTAGGCAGGAACAAAACTGGCTCATTACCATGAAGAAGTAGCATTCTGATGAGGACAGGAAATCACTGAGGAACAGGAGAGAATGCATAAACTACCACTTATGTGTATTGCTAATGATATGCCAGACACAATTCTAAACACTTACATGACGGTCTCATTTAATACCAATGCAAAAATTCTACAGATGAAGAAATGGGGACTCAGAGAGATTAAGTAGTTTGCTTAAGGTCACACAACTAGGAAATGACCAAATTGGCATTTAAATGAGACAGGCTGGCTGAAGCCTGGACTGCCTCTGCCTTTTTTTTTTTTTTTTTTTTTTTTGAATCAGGGTCTCACTCTGTCACCCAGGTGATCACGGCTCACTGCAGGCTCGAACTCCCAGGCTCAGGTGATCCTCCCACTTTGGCCTCCCAAGTAGCTGGGACTACAGGAGGGCCACAATGCCTGGCTAATTTTTTTTTTTTTTTTTGAGATGGGGTTTTGCTATGTTGCCCGGTCTGGTCTCGAACTCCTGGGGTCAAGTGATCTGTCCACCTCGGCCTCCCAAATTGCTAGGATTACAGACATGAGCCACCGTGTGCAGCCTGCCTCTGTCCTTCTGAAAAAAAGGTAATGGCAAAGGCATGGGGGAAAAGTTAAACATGTTAAAGAAAAGGCTGTAGATATTTCCATATGCATGTCGATTCATGTAGTAGCTTCCTAGCACTTCGGTAACAACCATAACCCAGCGGCGTTGGTGGTACAGTAGCGAGCATAGCTGCCTTCCAAATAATCATAACTTTGGTGGGATTTTTTGTTGTTTTTTTTCTGAAACAGGGTTTCGCTCTTGTAGCCCAGGCTGGAGTGCAGTGGTGTGATCTCGGCTCACTGCAACCTCCTCCTCCCAGGTTCAAGCGATTCTCCTGCCTCAGCCAGTCGAGTAGCTGGGATCACAGCTGCCTGCCACCACACTCAGCTAATTTTTGTATTTTTAGTAGAGATGGGGTTTCACCATGTTAGCCAGGATGGTCTCGAACGACTGGCTTCAGGTGATCCACCCTGTTGGGGTGATCAGACCCAACACCAGGCTGTGGGGGCAACGAAGTCCGGGGGAGTCAAAGGAATGAGACAAGACAAGTTAAGAGTGAAAGTGGGACCGCAGGCCAACGCTAGTATGGAGGCTGCGAAGGCCCTGAGCGCTGGGAGCCCGAGCTGTTTATTGGTGATCAAAGAAGCAGGTGGTGAGGATGTGGGGGTTGAAAGGAAGCAGTGCATCAAGCGCATGATCTATGGCCGTGACGGTTTAGCATTTTGTTTGAAGCATATGGAACATGTTCTGCTACTTGAGATAATGGGAGTGATAGAAGCAAGGAGCCTGCAAGTCTAGACACATTCCAGAGGTCACGAGGGTTTTTATGCCCTGAGCCCTGGATTCCATCCAAGCCACGAGAGCTTTTATGCCCTGGGTTTAGATTGTGGTGTGGCGGGGCAGCCTTCCACCCTTTAGCACAGAGCTTGGTGTTCCAAAGGCCACGAGGGGTTTTAGACCCTGGACCCCAGACATGTTCCAAGACTCTTTTACATTATGTCAGACATGCAAGCCCTGCCTCAGCTTTTTTCCCAACACTCAGCTTTTACCCAACATACCCGCCTCGGCCTCGGCCTCCCAAAAGTGCTGGGATTACAGGTGGGACCCACCGTGCCCAGCCCCACTTCAGTGGTTTAAAAGAGCAGATATTTTCTCTCACACAGTTCTGGAGGCTGGAAGTCTGCAATCCAGGTGTCAGCAGGGATATGCCTTAGGGGAGGAGCCTTCCCTGCCTCTCCCAGCTTCTGGTGGCGCCAGGTGTCCCTTGGCTTGTGGCTGCATCACTCTCATCTCCATCTCCATCTTTACATGGGCTTCTGCTCTGTGCGCCTCTCCTCCATGTGTCTCTTATAAAAATATTTGTCATTGGATATAGGGCCCACCTGTATAATCCAGGGTGATCTCAAGATCCTTAACTAGATCTAAAAGGACAACCTTGGGAGGCATGGTGGCTCACACCTATAATCCCAGCACTTTTGGAGGCCAAGGGATCGCTTGAGCCTAAGAGTTTGAGACCAGCTTGGCTAACAGTGAGACCTCAACTCTATTTTATTTAAAAAAATAAAATAGGGCCAGCCATGGTGGCTCACATCTGTAATCCCAGCACTTTGGGAGGCCGAGGCAGGTGGATCACAAGGTCAGGAGATCAAGACCATCCTGGCTACATGGTGAAACCCCGTCTCTACTAACAAATACAAAAAAATTAGCTGGGTGTGGTGGCGGGCACCTCTAGTCCCAGCTACTCGGGAGGCTGAGGCAGGAGAATGGCATGAACCCAGGAGGCAGAGCTTGCAGTGAGCCGAGATCACCCCACTGCACTACAGCCTGGGCAACAGAGCAAGACTCCGTCTCAAAAATAATAATAAAATAAATAAAATAAATACAATCTCTCCTTATACACAGTTTAATACAATCTGTCCTTACACGCAGTTTAATGGCTACTACTGCTTTCATTCTAACAACTGTAAGACTCTCAACATCTTCTGAAAACTTGGCTGAAAAGTGATATTCTTTCTTTCTTTATTTTTGATAGGATCTCTCTTTGTTGCTCAGGCTGGAGTGCAGTGACACGATCTTGGCTTATTGCAGCCATGATTTCCAGGGCTCAAGTAATCTTCCCACCTCAGCCTCCCGAATAGCTGGGACTATAGGAACACCACCAGGCCTGGCTAATTTTTGTATTTTTTTTGTAGAGATGGGGGTCTCACTATGTTGCCCAAGCTAGTCTTGAACTCTTGGGTTCAAGCGATCCTCCCGCTTCGGCCTCCCAAAGTGCTGGGATTACAGGCATGAACCACAGCACCTGGCTGAAAAGTGATATTTAATATATTAATTTCTGTTTTCTCCATTGTATCAATGAGAAAATTAATTATCTTCAGGACCACTGGATCCTCACCCCCTCGTCATTTTCTCTGTCAGAGGCAAGTCAAGAACTCTGCTACCACTGGGGCAGGATCCAGTCCTGGGGTTGGTGGGGTGGAGTTTGCCTGCAACAAGAAGTTGTGATTTTTTATAAAATTGCAGAATCTATTGTTATAGGAGGAGCTTTGCTTTAATGGTTTTTCAGTTTGTCCCTTTACTTACCATAGGGATTCCTTCTGTTGCCAGTCCCTTGGGGGCAGGGACTGTGTCTTCCTCCCTGTATTCTGAGCCCTGCATAGGGCCTGGCCCTTGCATAGGTGTTCAATCAATGTGTCAAATACATGAGTGAATGGACAAGCACACCTTTTCTTTTCTTTCTTTTTTTTTTTTTTTCTTGAGATGGAGCCTCGCTCTGTCGCCCAGGCTGGAGTGTGGTGGTGTGATCTCGGCTCACTGCAAGCGCCGCCTCCCCGGTTCACGCCATTCTCCTGCCTCAGCCTCCCGAATAGCTGAGACTACAGGCGCCCACTACCATGCCCAGCTTTTTTTTTTTTTTTTTGTATTTTTAGTAGAGACGGGGTTTCACCGCGTTAGCCAGGATGGTCTCGATCTCCTGACCTCGTGATCCACCTGCCTCGGCCTCCCAAACCTGCTGGGATTACAGGCATGAGCCACTGCACCTGGCTTTTTTTTTTTTTTTTTTTTTGAGACGGAGCCTTGCTCTTGTTGCCCAGGCTGGAATGTGTGATCTCAGCTTACCGCAACCCCTGCCTCCCGAGTTCAAGCAATTCTCCTGCCTCAGCCTCCCGAGTAGCTGGGATTACAGGCATGTGCCACCATGACTGGCTAATTTTGTATTTTTGGTAGAGATGGGATTTCTCTGTCTTGGCCAGGCTGGTCTCGAACTCCTGACCTCAGGTGATCCGCCTACCTCGGCCTCCCAAAGTGCTGAGATTACAGGCGTGAGCCACCACATCTGGCCTCGAGCACACCTTTTCTGGTGCACGTAAAACTAGGTCGGGTTCTTAGGGACTGAGTCACCTGACTAACACTAATCAAATACACACAAACAAAACCACAAACTGCTCTGTCAAGCAGGATGTCAGCAGTTTCCTTTGCATGAAGGAGGGTGGGGAGGGGGTGTTGTAAGGTGGGTCTCCAGAATGATGGAATAGGGTCGCTGTCGGGAAGAGGCTGAAAACATTACTGTGATATTTTGTCTTATAAAATTCTTTTTGGTTTTTTTTTTAGAGACAGGGTCTTGCTCTGTCACTCAGGCTGGAGTGCGGTGGTATGATTATGGCTCACTGCAGCCTCGACCTCCTGGGCTCAAGTGATTCTCCTACTTCAGCCTCTTGAGTAGCTGGGACTATAGGCGAATACCACCGTGCCTGGACTTTTAAAATGTTTTGTGGGCCAGGCGCGGTGGCTCACACCTTTAATCCCAGCACTTTGGGAGGCTGAGGCGGGAGAATCACGAGGTCAGGAGTTTAAGACCAGCCTGGCCAGCATGGTGAAACCCCGTCTCTACTAAAAATACAAAAAATTAGCTGGGCGTAGTGGCGGGCGCCTGTAATCCCAGCTACTCAGGAGGCTGAGGCAGAGGTTGCAGTAAGCTGAGATCGTGCCACTGCACTCCAGCCTGGGCAACAGAGTGAGACTGTCTCAAAAAAAAAAAAAAACGTTTTGTGGAGATGCAGTCTCATTATGTTGCCCAGGCTAGTCTTGAACACCTGGTCTCAAGAGATCCTCTCGCCTTGGCCTCCAGAAGGGCTGGGATTCAAGGTGTGAGCCACCACACCTGGCCTGGTTTATAGGATTCTTGTATAAATTCTCTGTGGGCCGAGCCTAGACTAGAATATTGCCCAACTTCCTTTGCACAGCAAAATGGATTTCATAGGATCAATTAAGAGTATTTGGACCAAACAACTATCTCTCTTACTTTGTTAGCCTGGATTGCAGGAGTCACAATTACTTACAAGTCAAAAAGATGAGGAGAGGGCTGTGGCAGTTGTGGTCTCAGGCCTGCAGCAGCCTTTTGCAATATTGAGTTACCCTGCGGGCTTTGTGAACTTGGAATCACAGACTCCTCCGAGGTTGTGCCTCAGCCTCCCCAAAACGTGAGAGGCGAGGGCAGAGCCTACTTACCTTTCACCTCCTAGCACCTGAGCCGGAGCACCTGGTTCACAGTAAGCACTCAATCTGTGTGTGCTGAATAAACAAGAAACTGCCTGTTCCTGCCTCGGGGCAGGACGCACCGCCCTAGTGACTGTAATACTCTCCTCCACCAGATTTGGCAGCTCCCCTCCCTTACACAGCCCTGGGGAATTACTGCTCTTTTCTTTCTTTGGTGTCCTTTCTCTAAAGTGCAAATAGTTCCTTCTGGACACACGGTCTGTCTGCAGCCTGCCAGTATCATTCACCCTTGCTTGCTTTTACCTTCTGTTTTGTCTTCCTGAGACAACATTCTTGTAACAATTCCAGCAAAGTCAAACTTTTTTTTCTTTATTATTACTTTTTTTAATCCACTCTTGCACTCTCACCCTTTACTCTCTCTCTCTTTTTCATTTCTTTTCTTTTCTTTTTTTTTTTTTGAGACAGGGTCTTTTTGTCACTCAGACTGGAGTGCAGTGGCATGATCTCCACTCACGGCAGCCTCAATTTCCTGGACTCAAGCGATCCTACCGCCTCAGCCTCCGGAGCAGCCAGGACTACAGGCGCTCAGCACCACGTCCGGCTAATTTTTGTATTTTTTGTAGAGATGGGGTTTCGCTATGTTGGCCAGGCTGGTCTTGAACTGCTCACCTCAGGTGATCCACCCGCCTCAGCCTCCCAAAGTGCTAGGATTATAGTTGTGAGCCACCCTGTCTGGCCTCTTTATTTTATTTTACTTATTTCTTTTCCTAATCTCGAGGACCTGTGAAACAAAATCCTACTCTGATTTAGAAGATACCAGGTCCTGCTGGGCGTGGTGGCTCATGCCTGTAATCTCAGCACTTTGGGAGGCCGAGGTGGGAGGATCACTTGAGATCAGGAGTTCAAGATCAGCCTGGCCAACACGGCGAAACCCCATCTCTACTAAAAATACAAAAATTAGCCAGGCGTGATGGCATGTGCTTGTAATCCCAGCTACACAGGAGGCTGAGGCAGGAGAATCGCTTCAACCTGGGAGGCGGAGGTTGCAGTGAGCCGAGACTGCACCACTGCACTCCAGCCTGGGTGACAGAATGAGACCCTGTCTCAAAAATAAAAATAAAAAATCTCCTGAGTTTTACATCTAATGATACAGAAGGGCAAAAGACACAGTTGGGGCAGTAGGGGAAGGGGAACCATCTTTCAGTTATTTCAGCAATGTCCCCAGGTATTTTGAACCACAGTGAAGAAGAAAGAAATCAACAAAGTCAGCGCTACCCCTGCCACACCATTGGCTACACAAGGTTACAGTTTCTATAGCTACAAGCCTGTCTCTTAGGGAACGCAACATACCACAGAGTGGCCTCCCTAGAAAGGCCACTTAGTCATGTGAAATGTAGATCTCTGCTGAAACAGAGATGTTTTCCCTTGGAATTTACAGTTAATAAAGTGACACTCAGTAGTGTGAACGTGACAGAACGGGATACAATAAGAGAATGAATCTGCTTCCCTCAGATGGAAATAAACAGGCTGGACTGTGATGACAGCCAATAGAAAACACAAAGCCTGGCCAGGCGCCGTGGCTCACACCTGTAATCCCAGCACTTTGGGACACCGAGGCAGGCAGATCACGAGGTCAGGAGTTCAAGACCAGCCTGACCAACATGGTGAAACCCTGTCTCTACTAAAAATACAAAACTTGACCAGGCATGGTGGCGCACACCTGTAATCCCAGCTACTAGGGAGGCTGAGGTGGGAGAATAAACCCGGGAGGCGGAGCTTGCAGTGAGCCGAGATCGTGCCAGTGCACTCCAGCCTGGGCAACACAGTGAGGCTCCATCTCAAAAAAAAAAAAAAAAAAAACGAAAACACAAAGCAATTATCTGTTCATTGTGATACGATGTCAGCTGTTGGACCTGGCGTGCTTCCAGAATGAGCTTGGAGATATGCTGGAGGATTACAAAACAAAACCCCTTACAGATCAGGACTCAGAGCAACAGATTTTTGTTACACGATCAAACGATAAGAATACCATTACTATACCATAATATATTCTCATTTCTCTTGCACTTTCTTGCATATTATTGAATTTATTTATTTAAAAACATATATATATATATACAGAGAGAGAGAGACAGATGGAGTCTCACTCTGTTGCCCAGGCTGGAGTGTAGTGGCGAGATCTTGGCTCACTGCAACCTCCACCTCCTGGGTTCAAGCAATTCTTCTGTCTCAGCCTCCCGAGTAGCTGGGACTACAGGCGTGTGCCACCACACCCAGCTAATTTTTGTATTTTTAGTAGAGACAGGGTTTTACCACACTGGCCAGGCTGGTCTCAAACTCCTGACCTTGTGATCCGCTCGTCTTGGCCTCCCAAGGTGCTGGAATTACAAGCATGAGCCACCGCGCCTGGCTATTTATTTTTAATTTCTTTAAATTTAATTGAATCCTCTAACATCCTTCCAAGATTGTTACGTAAAACACCCACTGTATAGGAGAGAAAACTAGGCCAGATGTGGGGGCTCATGCCTGTAATTGCAGCACTTTGGGAGGCTGAGGCAGGAGGATCACTTGAGCCCATGAGTTCAAGACCAACTTGGGCAATAAAGTGAGACCCTATCTCTACAGAAAAAAGTTAGCCGGGTGTGGTGGCACATACATGTAGTCCTAGCTACTCAGGAGGCTGAGATGGGAGGATCACTTGAGCCCAAGAGTTCAAGGTGCAGTGAGCTGTGATTGCACCACTGCACTCCAGCCCAGGTGACAGAGCAAGACCCTGTCTCAAAAAACAAACAGATTAAAAAAGCAACAGAAAAAAAAAAAGAAGAGAAAACAAGCTTCAAAGATGTGACACAATTGCCAAAAGCCACCAGACAGTCAAGTAAAGAACGAAGGAAACAACTAAATAGGACTTGACCCCAGGTCTCCTGAGGCCACACCCAGGGAGCTTGCTACTTGAACCAGTGATGATTTAAAAAAATAACTCGGCCGGGCTCAGTGGCTCACGCCTGTAATCCCAGCACTTTGGGAGGCCAAGGCAGGCAGATCACATTCAAGACCATCGTGGCCAAGATGGTGAAACCCCGTCTCTACTAAAAATGCAAAAAAATAGCCGGGCGTGGTAGCACGCACCTGTAGTCCCAGCTACTCAGGAGGCTGAGGCAGGAGAATCGCTTGAACCCGGAAGGCGGAGATTGCAGTGAGCCGAGATCGCACCACTGCACTCCAGCCTGGGTGACAGAGCGCGACTCTGACTCAAAAAAAAAAAAAAAAAAAAAAAAAAACAACTCACATTCCTCTCTGAACGCTTGGAAGAGCAACTTGGATGAAATTATTACACCCAAGCAAAGATCTTGGGTGTAATCACAGAGCTCACATGGAGGACCATGTGAGAGGCTTTTACAAACCTCAGAGCCCTAGGAAAGCTCTCTGGACCATTTATCAAGAGGAATCAGGCTTTTGGCATTTTTGAAGAAAAAGTAATAAATGACATGCTAAGTTTATGAGAAGATATTTTTTCCCTGAATTTATTCTCTTTCCCATCGGAATTAAATTCTAATATTCATACAGAAGCAACACATTTGTTCCTAAGTCAAATAAAGAACCCTATCTAAAGGCATAAAAAACCGTTGAATTATAGCAGAGGCATACAAAATAAAAATTTTATAGTTCCCCCAACCTCACTGGAGGACCTCTGCCATAGCTAAGAAAAATAGCCAACACTTTCAGAGCACTTAGCTAGGCTGGGCGCTGGTCTGTACAGGAATTTTGACTTTTTTTTGAGACGGAGTCTCGCTCTGTCGCCCAGGCTGGAGTACAATGGCGTGATCTCGGCTCGCTGCAACCTCCACCTCCCAGGTCCAAGCAATTCTCCTGCCTCAGCCTCCAAAGTAGCTGAGATTACAGGTGCCTGCCACCAGGCCTGGCTAATTTTTTGTATTTTTAGTAGAGACGGGATTTCACCATGTTGGCCAGACTGGTCTCGAACTCCTGACCTCAGGTGACCCACCCACCTCAACCTCCCAAAGTGTTGGGATTACAGGCGTGAGCCACTGTGCCTGGCCTGAATTTTAACTCAATTAATCTTTCCAAAAACCCTACAAGGAAGGAAGCATTACCATCTTGACTTTACAGATGGGAAAAATAAAGGGATACAGCTTGCCTGAGGTCACACTACTAGTACGTGGTGGAGCTGAGACCCGGGCCTGGGCAGCCTTGGGGCCAGTCCCCGCTCCGAACCACTAGACCGAGTCTGAGATGACTTTGATCCTTCTTCCTGAAGGGAAACATTTGGACAGAAGAATTCTGGGTTTTCTCCCTAACCTCTATCCTCCGCCCCACTCAAGCTCCTAATTTTGTGAGACGTAGAGATCCCCAGTGTTCACTGAGCTATACCAACAATGGGGAATGCTCAACGCCACTAGTCATTAGGGAAACGCAAATCAAACCCACAATGAGATACGCCTCACACCAGTCAGAATGGCCTTCATTTATTTATTTGTTTGTTTGCTTATTTATTTATTTTTAAGACAGAGTCTTACTCTGTTGCCCAGGCTGGAGTGCAGTGGCGCGATCTTGGCTCACTGCAACCTCCACCTCCCGGGTTTGAGCAATTCTCCTGCCTCAGCCTCCCGAGTAGCTGGGATTACAGGCTCCTGCCACCACACCTGGCTAATTTTTGTATTTTTGGTAGAAATGGGGTTTTGCCATGTTGGCCAGGCTGGTCTCTAACTCCTGACCTCAAGTGATCCGCCCGCCTCAGCCTCCCAAAGTGCTGGGATTATAGGCATGTGCCTGGCCAGAATGGCCATTATTAAAAATTCAAAAAATAATAGATGCTGGCAAGGTTGCAGAGAAAAGGGAATGCTTATACACTGTTGGTGGGAATGCAGATTAGTTCAGCCACTATGGAAGCAGTCTGGAGATTTCACAAAGAACTTAAAATACAACTACCATTCAACCCAGGAATCCCACTACTGGGTATAAATCCAAAGGAATATAAATCATTCTACCATAAAGAGACATGCACGCATATGTTCATGGCAGCACTATTTACAGTGGCAAAGACATGGAATCAACCTAGATTTCCATCAGTGGTGAACTGGATAAAGAAAACATGGTATGGGCCAGGCATGTTGGCTCACTCCTGTAGTTCCAGCACTTTGGGAGGCCGAGGTGGGGTGGATCACTTGAGGTCAGGAGTTCGAGACCAGCCTGGCTGATATGGTGAAACCTCACCTCTACAAAAACACAAAAATTAACCGGGAGTGGTGGTGCGCCCCTGTAATCTCAGCTACTCGGGAGGCTGAGACGGGAGAATCACTTGAACCCAGGAGGCAGAGATTGCAGTGAGCCGAGATTGCAGTGAGCCAAGATTGCGCCACTGCACTCCAGCCTGGGTGACAGAGCAAGATTCCGTCTCCCAAAAAAAAAAAAAAAAAAAGAAAAAGAAAGAAAGAAAACATGGTACATATACACTATGGAATACTACACAGCCATAAAAAGAATGAAATAATGTCCTTTGCAGCAATATGGGTGGAGCTGGAGGCTATTATCCTAAGTGAATTAACTCAGGAACAGAAAACCAAACACCACATGTTCTCACTTATAAGTGGGAGCTAAACATTAAGCACACGCTGACACAAAGAAAGGAACAACAGACCTAATTGTGGGTGGAGGGTGGGAGGAGAGTAAGAATTGAAAAACTACCTACCGGGTATCATGTTGACTACCTGGGTGACAAAATTATCTGTATACCAAACCCCCATGACACACAATTTACCCATGTAACAAACCTGCACATGAGGCCAGTTAAAGTGGCTCACACCAGTAATCCCAGCACTTTGGGAGGCCGAGATGGGAAGATCACCTGAGGCCAGGATTTCGAGACCAGCTTGGCCAAAATGGCAAAAACCAGACTGGCCAAAATGGCAAAAAAAAAAAAAAAAAAAAAAAAGAAAGAAATACAACAGTTAGCCAGGTGCAGTGGCACATGCCTGTAGTCTCAGTTACTCAGGAGACTAAAGCATGAGAATGCTTAAGCCTGGGAAGCGGAGGTTGCAGTGAGCTGAGATCGCACCACTGCACTGCAGCCTGGGCAACAGAGCAGGACTTTGTCTCAAATAAATGAATAAATAAATAAAAGTTGGAAAGAAAATAATTATGCTTTCAAAACCACTTCATAACATGGGGAGCTGGATATGTTCTGATGTAGAATAACAAACAGACGCAACTGTGCTTATTACACTGATTTAAATGATATACATCACAATCGTGGTTTTATAGACATACACTGTGCACAGACAAATAAATGAGGAATACATTAAATATTAACAATGGTTGTTTGGAGGTGGGAGAACTGTGGGTGGTATTTTCTTCATCCATTTATCTAACTGATCCAAGTTTTCTTCAGGGAGGAAACTTGTATAAATGAGGGCATACAGGCCCGGCGCGGTGGCTCACGCCTGTAATCCCAGCACTTTGGGAGGCCGAGGCAGTCAGATCGCTTGAGTCCAGGAATTCGAGACCAGCCTGGACAACATGGTGAAACCCCATCTCTACAAAAAATACAAAAATTAGCTGGGTGTGGTGGTGTGTGCCTGTAGTCCCCGATACTTGGGAGGCTGAGGTAGGAGCATTGGTTGAGCCCAGGAGGTGGAGGTTGTAGTGAGCTGAGATTGTGCCACTGCACTCCAGCCTGGGTGACAGAGTAGACACCCTGTCTTCAAAAAAAAAAAAAAAGGGGGCAAAAATTTTAAATCATGTCACGATTGGGAGTAATTTAGGCAAAACTTGCCTGGGAGCAAGGAGTATAGACTAGAAAATTGTTTGAAGTTCATGCTTTTGTAACAAGGGCCGGTTCTAGAATTTGGCATCAGATGGGTAGCAGCTTTGGAAGGAAGCATAAGAAAGGGACACACGAGGACTCCACACAGCCCCAATTGTCACTTTCCACCACCACATATCCTCTTTAATTCTGAGAGTATTCAAAGGAGTTTAACCATTCAGTGGATGATACAATTATCACAGTGGCATAGCCAGTTGTCCTGTTAACAGCCATCACATGTGACCCTGGGGAGCCCAGGCTTCTTTCGTGGTCAGACCTAAACCTGCTGAGAGAGGGTGGTTTCATGTTAGTCACTGACAGAGCACATCTCCAGCTCTCACTGTGGAATCCAAGTTTTCCTTTCGCCTTCCTGCCTCATTTGGTTCTGCCCATTTGCTTGGAGCCAGAAAGGGAAAAGGAAGAACACAGGACATCCTCTCCGCTCTGCAACTGACCCAGGTCTGTCTATAACACCTCCTGACAGTGCCCAGAAATCCTCCTATTTAAACCATTGGCCCCTGATGCGATTTCTTTTCCAAATATGCTCATAGATCATTGCAGAGACAATGTTAAACTCGAGAGCATTATCATCTGTATAAATCAGTCTCATCTTTAACCGTAACTCAGAGCTTCCATGTAGGAATACGCACCGAAACACAGGCTACCGTCTGCGTTCTCATGGAGCTTACGATTTAGCTGCACTGATAGGATATTTACACATGAAGAAATAACAATGTAAGAAAATTCATAGACACTAATTTTTAGGGACAAAGCAAACGTCTTTTTTTTTTTTTCCAGACTGAGTTTCTTTCTTATTGCCCAGCCTGGAGTGCAATGGCACGGTCTTGGCTCACTGCAACCTCTGCCTCCTGGGTTCAAGCGATTCTCGTGCCTCACCCTCCCAAGTAGCTGAGGTTACAGGCACCCACCACCATGCCCAGCTAATTTTTTTCTGTTTTTAGTAGAAACAGGGTTTCACCATGTTGGCCAGGCTGGTCTCGAACTCCTGACTTCAGGTGATCTGCCCACCTTGGCCTTCCAAAGTGCTGGGATTACAGGCGTAAGCCACCACTCCCAGACACAATCTTGTATGGATGGCTATCATCCAAAATAATTGCAAGCTTCCTGTGGGGGCTGGGATTGCTTCATAGTCCTCCATACACCCCCTCAGGGTCCCCACAATGCCTTGAACACCATAATGCTCTGGTAAATGTTTTGGTCTGGAAATTCGATGTCATTCTAAGTCCATAGTCCTTGTCTAGTTAGACACTGGTGCTTCTATCCTAACGAAGGTGAGTCTTCCTCTCTGCAGATGGTACAGTCAAGATGACCTAGCTGTAACCTGGCTACTAGAGGACCAAGGAGAAAAATAAACTTCTACCACGCTTTCGAAAACAAGCACTCAAACTCAGGAGATACTTGATTGAAGTTGAAAGAGTGGTGCATTCCCCAAGGCAGTACCCTCATGAATGGGATTAGTGTCCTTTAATAAAAGAGACCCAAGAGAGGTCCCTTGCTCCTTCCAGCATGTGAGATTACAGCAAAAAGATGCTGTCTATGAACCAGAAAGTGGGCCCTCACCAGACACTGAATCTGTCGGCACCTTGATCTTGGATTTCCCAGCTTCCAGAAGTGGGAGAAATAAATTTCTCTTGTAAATAAGATAAACAGTTTATGATATTTTATTATAGCAGCCCCAAGGGACTAAGACAGAAATCCAGTTGTACACCAGATGGTTGTAACACGTTCAGTGGAATGAAAACCTTGTGTCTTGGCAGGGTGCAGTGGCTCATGCCTGTAATCCCAACGCTTTGGGAGGCTGAGGTGGGAGGGTCACTTGAGGCCAGGTGTTCAAGACCAGCCTGGGCAACATAAGGAGATGTCCAGATAGCCGGCAAAACAGTGTTCCTGGGTAGGCCTGTGATGGTGTTTCCAGAAGAAATTAGTGCTGTGAGTCGGTAGAGTGAGTAAAAAAGAGTCTCTTAAAAAAAATGTTGGCCGGGCACGGGGCTCACGCCTGTAATCCTAGCACTTTACAAGGCTAAGGCAAGTGGATCACTTGAGGTCAGGAGTTCGAGACCAGCCTGGCCAACATGGTGAAACCCCATCTCTACTAAAAAATACAAAAATTAGCTAGGAATGGTGGTGTGTGCCTGTAGTCCCAGCTGCTCAGGAGGCTGAGGCATGAGAATCACTTGAACTCAGGAGGTGGAGGTTGCAGTGAGCCGAGATCGTGCCACTGCACTCCAGCCTGGGTGTGGTGGTATGCACCTGTAGTCCCAGCTACTCAGGAGGCTGAGGCAGGAAGATCGCCTGAGCCCAGGAGATTGAGGCTGCAGCACTCCAGCCTGGGCAACAGAGCAAGATCTGGTTTCCAAAAAACCCAAAAAAACCTTGTGTCTTCATGTGGAGATTAAGTATGGTTTAAGGAGATGTGTATGGATGACAAGTTCAAAAAGGATGGTCGTGTGATGGTTAATTTTATGTGTCAGTTTGACTGAGCTAAGGGATGTCCAGATAGCTGGCAAAACAGTGTTCCTGGGTAGTCCTGTGATGATGTTTCCAGAACAAATTAGCATTGTGAGTTGGTAGATTGAGTGAAAAAGATCCTCCCAGGTGGATCGCGAGGTCAGGAGATCGAGACCATCCTGGCTAACACGGTGAAACCCCATCTCTACTAAAAATACAAAAAATTAGCTGGGCATGGTGGCGGGTGCCTGTAGTCCCAGCTACTCAGGGGGCTGAGGCAGAAGAACGGCGTGAACCCGGGAGGCAGAGCTTGCAGTGAGCGGAGATTGCACCACTGCACTCCAGCCTGGGCGAGAGAGTGAGACTCTGTCTCAGAAAAAAAAAAAAAAATTAGAAAAAGATCCTCCCTGTCAGTGGGTATCATCCACTGTTGAGTGGACAAAAGGTGGAAGAGGGGCGAATCTGCTCTTTCTGGGCTGACATCCATTTTCTCTTGCCCTTGGAGGTCAGTGCTCCTAGCTCTTGCTTTTGGGCTTAGACTGGGACTTACATCATTGTGCCTCTGGTCCTCAGTCTTCAGATTCAGACTGAATTATACCACCAGCTTTCCTGGTTTTTCAGCTTGCAGATGGCAGATCCTGGGACTTCTTGGCCTCCATAACTGCATGAGCCAATTCCCATAATAAATCTACACTTGATCTTAGCCACAAGGCCGAGAAACGATCAATTCCTATAATAAATCTCTCTTATAATATCCTGTTGGTTCTGTTTCTCTGGAGAACCCTGACTAATATACCTTTTTTTTTTTTTTTTTTTTTTTTTTGAGACAGTCTTGCTCTGTTGCCCGGGCTAGAGCACAGTGGTGCCATCACAGCTCACTGCAACCTCCATCTCCCAGGTTCAAATGATTCTCCTGCCTCAGCGTCCCGAGTAGCTGGGATTACAGGCACCTGCCACTATGCCTGGCTAATTTTTGTATTTTTAGTACAAATGGGGTTTCATCATGTTGGCCAGGCTGATCTCGAACCCCTGACCTCAAGTGACCTGCCCGCCTCAGCCTCCCAAAATGCTGCAATTACAGGCATGAGCCACCGCGCCCGGCCCTAATACACCTTTTAACCTAAAATTTCAGGACTTTCTTTACTTAGAAAATTATATACACATATATAGCTGTGATTGTGCCACTGCAATCCAGCCTGGGCGACAGAGTGAGCCCTTGTCTCAAAAGAAAAAAAAAGTTTGGTATATAATCTTCCAATCCCTTTCTATGAATTTAAATGTTTATTTTCTACCTAGTAATCTTATTTTTTTTAATTCTTTATTTCCTAGATAATGTTCATTGAACCTTTTTGTATTGAGAAATTTTAAGGCACATTTAAAAAATATATTCTAACCAGGCACCGTGGCTATCTTAGCACTTTAGGAGGCTGAGGCGGGTGATCAGTTGAGGTCAGGAGTTCAAGACCGGCCTGATGGTGAAAACCCTGTCTCTACAAAAAATACAAAAATTAGCCGGGCACAGTGGTGTGACCCTGTAATCCCAGATACTGGGGAGGCTGAGGCATGAAAATTGCTTGAACATGGGAGACAGAGGTTGCAGTGAGCCAAGATTGCACCACTGCACTCCAGCCTGGGCGACAGAGTGAGGCTCTGTCTCCAAAAATAATAAGAAGAAAGAGAGAGAGAGAGAAACAAACAAACAAACAGAGGCAAAATTAATATAAGTAGCATTTTTTGTTGTGGTTGTTGTTTTCTTCCTGAGACAGAGTTTTGCTCTTACGCCCAGGCTGAAGTGCAATGGCCATGATCTCCGCTCACCACAACCTCCGCCCCCAGGGTTCAAGCGATTCTCCTGCCTGAGCTGGAGATTACAGGCACCCACCACCACCACGCCCAGCTAATGTTGTAGTTTTAGTAGAGACAGGGTTTGGCTATGTTGGACAGGCTGGTCTCGAACTCCTGACCTCAGGCGATCCACCCACCTCGGCCTCCCAAAGTGCTAGGATTATAGGCCTGAGCCACTGCACCCAGCCCCGTTTTTTTTGTTTGTTTGTTTGTTTTTTTTTTTTTTTTATTTTTATTTTTTATTTTTTATTTTTTATTTTTATTGATCATTCTTGGGTGTTTCTCGCAGAGGGGGATTTGGCAGGGTCATAGGACAATAGTGGAGGGAAGGTCAGCAGATAAACAAGTGAACAAAGGTCTCTGGTTTTCCTAGGCAGAGGACCCTGCGGCCTTCCGCAGTGTTTGTGTCCCTGGGTACTTAAGATTAGGGAGTGGTGATGACTCTTAACGAGCATGCTGCCTTCAAGCATCTGTTTAACAAAGCACATCTTGCACCGCCCTTAATCCATTTAACCCTGAGTGGACACAGCACATGTTTCAGAGAGCACAGGGTTGGGGATAAGGTCACAGATCAACAGGATCCCAAGGCAGAAGAATTTTTCTTAGTACAGAACAAAATGAAAAGTCTCCCATGTCTACTTCTATCCACACAGACCCCGCAACCATCCGATTTCTCAATTTTTTCCCCACCCTTCCCGCCTTTCTATTCCACAAAACCGCCATTGTCATCATGGCCCATCCCCAATGAGCCGCTGGGCACACCTCCCAGACGGGGTCGTGGCCGGGCAGAGGGGCTCCTCACTTCCCAGTAGGGGCGGCCCGGCAGAAGTGCCCCTCACCTCCCAGATGGGGCGGCTGGCCGGGAGGGGGGCTGACCCCCCCACCGCCCTCCCGGACGGGGCGGCTGGCCAGGCAGAGGGGCTCCTCACTTCCCAGTAGGGGCGGCCGGGCAGAGGCGCCCCTCACCTCCTGGATAGGGCGGCTGGCCGGGCGGGGGACTGTTCCCCCCACCTCCCTCCCGGACGGGGCGGCTGGCCGGGCAGAGGGGTCCTCACTTCCCAGTAGGGGCGGCCGGGCAGAGGCGCCCCTCACCTCCCGGACGGGGCGGCTGGCCAGGCAGGGGGCTGATCCCCCCACCTCCCTCCCGGACGGGGCGGCTGGCCGGGCGGGGGGCTGACCCCCCCCACCTCCCTCCCGGACGGGGCGGCTGGCCGGGCAGGGGGCTGACCCCCCCTCCCCCCTCCCGGACGGGGCGGCTGGCCGGGCGGGGGGCTGACCCCCCCACCTCCCTCCCGGATGGGGCGGCTGGCCAGGCGGGGGGCTGACCCCCCCACCTCCCTCCTGGGCGGGGCGGCTGGCCGGGCAGAGGGGCTCCTCACTTCCCAGTAGGGGCGGCCGGGCAGAGGCGCCCCTCACCTCCCGGACGGGGCGGCTGGCCAGGCGGGGGGCTGACCCCCCACCTCCCTCCCGGACTGGGCGGCTGGCCGGGCGGGGGGTTGACCCCCCCACCTCCCTCCTGGACGGGGCGACTGGCCGGGCAGAGGGGCTCCTCACTTCCCAGTAGGGGCGGCCGGGCAGAGGAGCCCCTCACCTCCCGGACGGGGCGGCTGGCCGGGCGGGGGGCTGACCCCCCCCACCTCCCTCCCGGACGGGGTGGCTGCCGGGCGGAGACGCTCCTCACTTCCCAGACGGGGTGGTTGCCAGACGGAGGGGCTCCTCACTTCTCAGACGGGGCGGTTGCCAGGCAGAGGGTTTCCTCACTTCTCAGACGGAGCGGCCGGGCAGAGACACTCCTCACCTCCCAGACAGGGTTGCGGCCCAGCAGAGGCGCTCCTCACATCCCAGACAGGGCGGTGGGGCAGAGGTGCTCCCCACATCTCAGACGATGGGCGGCCGGGCAGAGACGCTCCTCACTTCCTAGATGGGATGGCGGCGGGGAAGAGGCGCTTCTCGCTTCCTAGATGGGATGGCGGCCGGGCAGAGACGCTCCTCACTTTCCACACTGGGCAGCCAGGCAGAGGGGCTCCTCATATCCCAGACGATGGGTGGCCAAGCAGAGACGCTCCTCACTTCCCAGACGGGGTGGCGGCCGGGCAGAGGCTGCAATCTCGGCTCTTTGGGAGGCCAAGGCAGGCGGCTGGGAGGTGGTTGTAGCGAGCCGAGATCACGCCACTGCACTCCAGCCTGGGCACCATTGAGCACTGAGTGAACGAGACTCCATCTGCAATCCCGGCACCTCGGGAGGCCGAGGCTGGCGGATCACTCGCGGTTAGGAGCTGGAGACCAGCCCGGCCAACACAGCGAAACCCCATCTCCACCAAAAAAAAACGAAAACCAGTCAGGCGTGGCGGCGCGCGCCTGCAATCGCAGGCACTCGGCAGGCTGAGGCAGGAGAATCAGGCAGGGAGGTTGCAGTGAGCCGAGATGGCAGCAGTACCGTCCAGCTTTGGCTCGGCATGAGAGGGAGAGGGAGACGGGAGAGGGAGAGGGAGACGGGAGAGGGAGAGGGAGACGGGAGAGGGAGAGGGAGACGGGAGAGGGAGAGGGAGAGGGAGACGGGAGAGGGAGAGGGAGACGGGAGAGGGAGAGGGAGACGGGAGAGGGAGAGGGAGACGGGAGAGGGAGAGGGAGACGGGAGAGGGAGAGGGAGACGGGAGAGGGAGAGGGAGACGGGAGAGGGAGACGGGAGAGGGAGAGGGAGACGGGAGAGGGAGACGGGTGTTTGTTTGTTTTAAGTAGGGTTTGTTTGGGCCAAATTTGAAGACTGCAACCCAGAAGACATAGATTCAAGTTGCCCTGAATATATGCTTCAATTAGCAGCAGCTATACATGGGTTTTTAAAGGAAAAAAGAAGGGGTAGTTCTTACACTGGTTCATTAAAATAACATAAGCTATTGATTGGCTATACATTTTTTTTTTTGTATCACAAATTCTAGGAACATGAAGATAATGGGTAAGGGTCACATTCTGCAACTTGTGATAACATTTTAGGTCATTTATCAGCTAGTCTGGAAACTACAGGTAAGGAAAGAAAGAAGAAAATGCTTTTAAACAATTGCCTGGGTGCAGGTATGTATGTGTGACTGAAGTATACTCATGACTCGCTGGGTGTGATACATTTTGCAAACCTCACATAGCTCAGACTGCTCTAAGCTACTTCTCATTCTCAATGTACAGGGATTTCTTCCCACATATAACCAAGCAATTATTATTATTATTATTTTTTAGACAGTCTTGCTCTGTAACCCAGGCTGGAGGGCAGTAGTACAATCTCAGCTCACTGCAACCTCTGCCTCCAGGGTTCAAGCAATTCTCCTGCCTCAGCCTCCTGAGTAGCTGAAATTACAGGCGTGCACCACTATGCCTGGCTAATTTTTGTATTTTTAGCAGAGATGGGGGTTTCACCATGTTGGCCAGGCTGGTCTCGGACTCCTGACCTCAGGTGATCCACCTGCCTCAGTTTCCTAAAGTGCTGGGAATACAGGCATGGGCTACTGTGCCTGGCCCAAGCAATTCTTTAGCAGAGTCTCCCGTGGACAACAGCTGGGTGTCCTCCAATTCAATAACATCACATCTCACACATTGAGTGCTCAGTTCCACAAGACTGCCTGTCACTTCAGAGGTCAATTGCAACCCTCAGGTTGTAACCTGATCTTCTCACTGGCTGGCTATAAATCAGGGCTCCCCTCCACCCCCTCTTTGAGTTTGATTAACTTTCTAGAGTGGCTCACAGAGCTCAGGGAAATCATTTACATGTACACATTTATTTTATAAAGGATATTACAAAGGATACAGATGAACAGCATGATGAAAGAGATACATAGGGCAAGGCATGAGGGAGGGGGATGAACTTTCAGGCCATCTCTGGGCACACCACCCTCTAGACACCTCCACATGTTCTGCAATCCAGAAGCTCTCTGAATCTAATCATTTTAGTTTTTTTTTTTTTTTTTTTTTGGTACGGAGTTTCACTCTTGTTGCCCAGGCTGGAGTGCAATGGCGCGATCTCGGCTCACCGCAACCTCCACCTCCCGGGTTCAAGAGATTATCCTGCCTCAGCCTCCCAAGTAGCTGGGATTACAGGCATGTGCCACCACGCCAGGCTAATTTTGTATTTTTAGTAGAGATGGGGTTTCTCCACATTAGTCAAGCTGGTCTCGAATTCCCAACCTCAGGTGAGCTGCCCGCCTCGGCTTCCCAAAGTGCTGGGATTACAGGTGTGAGCCACCATGCCTGGCCCATTTTAGGTTTTTATAGTCTTCATTACGTAGGCTCGATTGTGTGAAAATAAGTAATTCAAAATCTAAGTGATTGTGAAAGCAGCAAGAGACAGACAAATTCCTAGGCAGACAGAAACAGGTCCCCGGTGAAACCCAACCTTCAAGCCAAAGACAGCCTGCAGCCTGAAAAATGGGCTGCCCATTCCATATAGAGTCCACAAGTGGAGTAAGAACTTCCTCAATGCCTTTTTAGCCAGTCGAATGGTGCTTTTTCCAGGCCTGCCCATGGACCAGTCAGCATGCACGCCCCCATCCTGAGCCCATAAAAACCCTGGACTTAGCCACATGTTGGGACTACCCACCTTCAGGCCCCCTCTTACACAGAGGGCTACCCACCTCAGGTCCCCTCTCATGATGAGAGCTGTTCTGTTGCTCAATAAAAGCTTCTCTGCTCTGCTGACTCTCTGGTGTCCATGTAACCTCATTCTTCTTGCACATGAGACAAGAACCTGGGACCCACTGAACCATGGGTGTGAAAGGAGCTGTAACACTGTAGCCCACCCATCCTCTGCCAGTGTCGGGCGGCCATCCCACGTGACAGGAAGAGGCGGCGGTGGGGCTGGGGCAGCCCAGGAACCTCAGGCCAGAGTGGGGCAGCAGGATTGACGCCCCGTTCACTGAAGCATGTGGATGGCAGGAACTAATGAGCCATAACATGTCCTCCCGTTTGCCACTGGGAGGCAGGAACAAACATAAGCTGTAACATGAATGAGCTGTAAGACGCTCCCCACCACCACCATTTGCTGTGCTGTAGGCAGCAGGAAGGAGAGAGAGCTCTAACAGTCCTTGGGGGCTCACACCTCAGGACTCCCCAGGTGAGAGCCATAACACCCCTTGGGGCTCTGTGGTTGCTGGCATCTCCAAGTTTTCAGGTGCTGCTGTGTCCCCCTCGTCCAGACACCGGTGCCCAAGGTGGAAGACAGTCATGACATGCCTGGACCAGCTGCGGGCTGAGTGCAGAGCCACGACGGGTGCAGAATCTGGGCTTGTAGCATGAACCAAGCACAGCCTGCTGGACTGAGTGGGGAGAGTAAGCCCAGTGGTGAGCCCGGAGCCAAGCGAGGCCCGGGTAGGGGTGCCCCCAGCCATGAAGATTTCTGGCTGGTGAGGTGGCACTGAAAGAATCCTGTGTCAGTTGGAAGTTTAAAATATTTTGAACCTTAAGGGAATGTGATTATGGGACCTGAGTGTCATAATCAGGCAGCTATAACCTAGGCAGCCAGCTGTAACTTATGTTTCTCTGATTATAGAGTGGCCTTCTTCCTTACCTACATTGTTTTGTAAAATGTTGTAAATGACTAAAGAGCATCAGGGACCCCTTCCCTCTTAACTGTTGATTTTCATTTTAGATTAACCTCCCTCTTTTCCTTCCCACACAAAGACTCCGCGACTATCACATTATCTAAGATAGAGTGTCAAATACACACCTTTGAATTGGAAAGGAAATGAAAACAAGTTGTAAAGAAAAGGAAAGCTGTAAGGAAAAGAAAATAAACTGCAACTAATTAAATTGTAACTCATACACCAGTCTGATATAGAAAATGTTATAATCCTACTAAATTTCTTTATTTTCAGCCAATACAAGCAAGACCTTAACTTTTAATTTTGGAGCACTGACCCCATTTCTCTGGAGTCTATGTTACCCAGATGACTGTTCCCAGCTTTTTGCTTGAATATACTCTCTAAAACTGGATGCTGATGCTTTTGGTTATTTCAGGATGACAACTGATTATATCATTGGCCACTGATGATCAACTCCACTTTCTCTCTCCTCCCTGGAAGTTGGGGGTGGGGTGTGGACTGAAAGTCCCAACCCTCTAATCCTACCTTGGGCTTTCTGGTGACCAACCCCCATCTTGAAGCTATCTAGGGGCTGCCAGCCCCATCAGTCACCTCATCAGCATACAAAAGATACTCTTATTACTCCTCTGACTCCAAGGGTTTTAGGAGTTGTGTGCCAGGAACCAGGGACAGACACCAAATATATATATCTTATTATGAATCACCATATCAAAGAGGTAAATAATTATAAGATACTACTCAAATATTCTTTAGCCTATCTAATTTTCAAAAAGAGATGTTAAGAGTTCCACATGATTAGTGGATTTGTCGATTTCTTTTTTTTTTTTTTTGAGATGGAGTCCTGCTCTGTCTCCCAGGCTGGAATGTAGTGGCCCGATCTCAGCTCACAGCAATCTCTGCCTTCCGGGTTCAAGAGATTCTCCTACCTCAGCCTCCTGAGTAGCTGGGATTACAGGCATGCACCACCACGCACAATTAATTTTTGTATTTTTAGTAGAGACAGGGTTTCTCCATGTTGGCCAGGCTGGTCTTGAACTCCTCACCTCAGGTATCAACCTGCCTCAGCCTCCCAAAATGCTGGGATTACAGATGTGAGCCACTGCACTGAGCCGGATCTGTCAATTTCTTTTAGTAATTCTGACCATCTTTGTATTATGCATTTGAATCTATGTGATTAAATGTATTAAATAAAAATTACAGGATGTTATTGTTTTGGACTAAGTTTCTGCTCTTGGATCCAATGGACAAGATCAAAAATCAAAACGGACTCACCTATGCCAAAGTTCCACATCACTAAACCCAAACCAAGTTGACTGACCCTCCCCAAAATCACAAATAATTTCCCAAACAGGCCAGTTTAAATCTTCATTTGGCATGATAATGAAGTTCCCTCTGCTTTAGTCCTTACAGGAAAAAAGTAGCTTGATGTTTGCTAGTCAGTTATTTTTCTATTGTTCTGTCTCTCTGTCCCTGCCTTATAAGAAACATAGCTTTGAAATCACCAATATGCTCTTTGCTCTTTGCTTCTGCTTTCTGTCTTTGTTTTTTTGAGACAGGGTCTTGCTCTGTTTTTCTTTAGCTGTTCTGTCTATAAAGCCAACCTCTTCTGTTGCCCAGTTCTAGAACTGCCAAAAAGCTAGTTAACTGGGAGTGGGGTGAGGGGGAGAGGACTAGAAGACTTAAAAAATAATTTTATTTATGATATAATAATACTGTATACCTGACAGTGATTCATCCAGAACAGAGCTGAGAACCTAGGAAATAAGAGGCGTTTAAGTCACCAAACAAGGTATTGCACTTTATTCATAGGAAAATGTCCTCCTCAGTGTACTTGCTCTTGTTTTATAAAAACTTCTAAAAACTTTGTGGCTCTTTGGCAGTCTCACCAAATTAGAAATTGCCTATTAGAAGAGAATGTTCTCAGACGCAGGCATGTGAAGGTCAGAAAAAGTGTTAATTAACAGCTAGGAACAGGACAATATGTATTTGTTAAAAAAAAAAAAAAAAGATACAGAAATGCAAAAACACAGCAGTTTGGAGTGGTTCTTTGAAGGGACAAGCCGTCCAATAAGTTCCCAAAGGTATTGAAACTGCCTTTGGAAAATTATAACTGAGGAAATTGTGGCAGTGAAAGAAATCAGACCTAACTGACTCTATCTTGCTTCTAACCTTTAAGCTGTCCTTGTTCATTCCTGGACATAGGCCGAACTAGCTTTGGGAAGGAATTCAGTTCATGGTTTGACTCTGAAACAAAATTATTAACAGCCCATTCCTGAAAAGACCCCCTTCTTGCCTGGGGAGCAGTCTGCCTTTGCAGGACCAACAAATTAGCTACAAGATTAGAAATTACAGTTTAGGGGTCTTGTAGCCTCTGGCTCTAAGAGTCTGAGCCTCCCCAGACTGCTCCTCGGGATAACATCACTATTGTAAAACCTAAGATCAGTGCTTGAGATATTTTGCAGACCCTGTACTCCATGGATCAGCTGACACCACCCAGACCTGTAATAAGGCTCAACCAGTTCTGCTATCCCACCCAGGAACAGAAAACAGCAAGAAAACCTCACTTTGACTCCCTATGATTCCATCTCCAACCTGATCAATCAGCACTCCCCACTTCCCAAGCCCGTGCCCCACAAATTATCTTTAAAAACTCCGATCCTCGAAGGCTCAGGAAGGCTGATTTAAGTAATAATAAAACTCTGGTCTCCTGCACAGCCAGCTCTGCGTGAATTACTCTTTCTCCATTGCAATTTCTGTCTTGATAAATTGGCTCTGCCTAGCCAGAGGGCAAGATGAACCCACTGGGCAGTTACAGTATCCCCACATTATGTGCCACCAGAGTGACACATCACAATGATGTCCCAGTGCTAAAGCAAAAACTGAATGATATGTATTATGTTTATTTGATTTTTCATTTTTTATTTTTATTTTTGGAGACAGGGACTCACTCTGTTGCCCAGGCTGGAGTGCAGTGGCATGATCATAGCTCACCGCAGCCTCCACCTCCTGAGCTCAAGTAATCCTCCTGTCTCAGCCTCCCAAGTAGCTGGAACTACAGATGTGTGCCACCACACCCAGCTAATTAAATTTTTTTTTTTTTTGTAGAGACAAGGTCTCATTAGGTTTCCCAGGCTGGTCTCAAACTCCTGGGCTCAAACAATCTCCCAACGTTGGCTTCCCAAAGTGCTGGGATTACAGGCATGAGCCACTGTGCCTGGCCTATGTTATGTTGAAAGTGGCCAAGGATGGGCCGGGTACGGTGGCTCACGCCTGTAATCCCAGCACTTTGGAGGCCGAGGTAGGTGGATCACCTGAGGTCAGGAGTTTGAGACCAGCCTGGCCAACGTGGTGAAACCCCGTCTTTACTAAAAATACAAAAAATTAGCCAGGCGTAGTGGTGGGCGCCATTAATCCCAGGTACTCGGGAGGCTGAGGCAGGAGAATTGCTTGAACCCAGGAGGCGGAGGTTGCAGTGAGCCGAGATCACGCCATTGCACTCCAGCCTGGGCAACAAGAGTGAAACTCCATCTCAAAAAAAAAAAAAGAAAAGAAAAAAGAAAAAAAAGAAAGTGACCGAGGATGTTTAGCTTTTGAGAATGATTTCTGTACAAAATGGTTAAAAGAAAACAAAGCAATAAGTCAAAACATTTTGGTGCATAAAGAAGTAGCATTGCAATGATGTTAGTGACACAGGATGATTTTGATGCCGCTTCGACACCTGGAAACATCCACGGCTGGCAGCAACTCTGTCCAGGCTTGGCTTGGCTCTGGGCTTACTCCTGGGCTCACTCCACCAGCTCGCCCTGGCAGGCTGCGCTCAGCTCAGGCTACCAACCCAGATCCTGTGCATGCGCAAGGATTCCGTGCTCAGCCTGCAGCTGAGCCAGGCATGCTGTGGACCATTTTCATGTTAGGCACCAGCTTTTAGATGAGGGGAACGCGGTAGCGGCTGAAAACACGAACATGCCAGCAACCATGGAGCCCCAAGGGGTGTTATAGCTCTTGCCTGGGATGTCCCAAGGTTTGAGTCCCCAAGAAATGACGCAGCTCTCTCTCATTCCTGCTGCCTGCAGCACGGTGAATGGGGGGCGTATTACAGCTCATTTGTGTCACAGCTCCTCCAGTCCCGTCGCCCGCAGCTTGGTGAATGGGGGCATGTGGTGCACAGTGGCTTTTTCTCCCCCTTTGCTCGGCGAGCAGGAGGGAGAGCTACAGTGTTACAGCTCTTTGCGCACCCACCATTTGGTGGGTTCCAGGTTCTTGTCCTGCAACCAAGAAGAATGAGGTTAGGCAGACACTGGAGAGCGAGCAAGGCAGGGAAGAATGTTATTGAGTGACAGAAAAGCTCTCGATAATGAGAGGGGACCTGAAGTGGGTAGCCCTGTGTGACAGGAGAGCCTGAAAGAGGGTAGCCCAATGTGTGGTGAGTCCACGGTTTATATGGGCTCAGAATGGGGGCGTACATGCTGATTGGTCTATGGGCAGGCCTGGAAAAAGCACCATTCAATTGGCTAAAAGGCATCAAGGAAAGTTCTCACTCCGGTTGTGGACTCTACCCAGAACTGGCAGCTCAGTTTGCAGGCTTTAAGCTGTCTTTGGCTTGAAGGTTGGGTTTCACCAGGGACCTGCCCCTATCTGCCTAGGAATTTTTCTCTCTTGCCACTATGATTAGGAAAACAATCTGTTTATGTAGTGCCACGTATTCAGTGCTGCGTACAGCGTAGGAGTTCAGTCCTACCGAGCCTGCTTGCAGGCAGTGAAACAATGCAGGAGCCGGGCACGGTGGCTCACGCCTGTAATCCCAGCACTTTGGGAGGCCAAGGTGGGTAGATCACCTGAGGTCAGGAGTTCGAGACCAGCCTGGCCAACATGGCGAAACCCAGTCTCTACTAAAAATACAAAAATTAGCTGGCCATGGTGGCGCGTCCCAGCTACTTGGGAGGCTGAAGCAGGAGAGGTACTTGAACCCAGGAGGCAGAGACTGCAGTGAGCCAAGATCGCGTCACTGCACTCCAGCCTGGGTGACAAAGCAAGACTCAGTCTCTAAAAAAAAAAGAAAAAGGGAAAAAGAAACAATGGAAGAACTCTATGAAAAATCCATAGCTAATGCTCAAAGGCAAAAGACAGGATGCTTTCCCCGAAGATCAGGAACAAGACAAGAAATTACATACATATAATGCAATAGAATATATAAACTGTCTTAGTTGGGTGACACTAATGCAAACCAAAAATAGAATTCTAAGACCCCCAATTAACTGAATGGACCCCTTCTCTCAGCCGAGGGGATTCCAAAGTAAACCTGAAAAACCATTTCAGGCCATGATAGGAAAAAGGTGTTGAACGTGCCTCATTATACTCTCCTCTTGGAATTCAGGCACAGCTGCCCAGCATTAACATTAAAACAGGGACCTTGAGGCCAACAAAACATACTCTTTGTAGCAATAAGATACCAAATTCCAACCTGATTCTAGTATAGCATCACATGACAGCCAGCAGGCCCTAAAATATTAAAGTATTTTACCCCCAAAATATATTTCTTTGACATATTTCTTTTTTTTTTAGACAGAGTGATGGAGTCTCGCTCTGCTGCTCAGGCTGGAGTGCAGTGGCGTGATCTCGGCTCACTGAAAGCTCTGCCTCCTGTGTTCATGCCATTCTCCTGCCTCAGCCTCCCAAGTAGCTGGGACTACAGGCGCCCACCACCACACCCGGCTAATTTTTGTATTTTTAGTAGAGATGGGGTTTCACCATGTTAGCCAAATCTCCTGACCTCATGATCCACCTGCCTTGGCTTCCCAAAGTGCTGGGATTACAGGCATGAGCCACCATGCCCGGCCTTCTTTGACATTTCTAAATGACCCTACAAAGTGGTCTCTTGTGGGGGAAATTTACATTCTCTAGAGAATTCTGGCCCCTTTCCAGGTCTTTTTCTGATCCTGAAGAGATTGGTTCAGAATCTAGCACCTTTTAGAGATCTAAACAGGAAACATTTGCCATCTATTGCCTCTAAGGGCACCCACCTGTGAGACTTCATCTATATAGTAAGAACTTTAGTCTCCACAACCCACCCCTTATCTAAACCCAGATACTCCTTTCTATTGATTCCAGGTGTTTTGTTTTGTTTTGTTTTGAGGCAGAGTGTCGCTGTCACCCAGGCTGAAGTGCAGTGGCAGGATCTCAGCTCATTGCAACCTCTGCCTCCAAGGTTCAAGCAATTCTCCTGCCTCAGCCTCCCAAGTAGCAGAGATTACAACAGGCATGCATTACAACACCCAGCTAATTTTTTTTTTTTTTTTTTTTTTTAGTAGAGACAGGGTTTCACCATGTTGGCAGGCTGGTCTCAAACTCCTGACCTCAGGTGATCCACCCTTCTTGGCCCCCAAAATGCTGGGATTACAGGTGTGAGCCACTGTTTCTGGCCGATTCTGAGTCTTAAGATAATAACTCTTTCAACAAATTGCCAATCAGAAACTCTTTGAATCCACCTAGGACCTGTAAGCTCCCCTCCCCAACCTTTCCGGGCTAAACCAATGTACAGCTGACATGTATTGATTGATGTCTTATGTCTCCCTAAAACATATAAAATCAAGCTGTAACCCAACCACCTTGGGCACATGTTCTTAGGACCTCTTAAGACTGTGCCTTGGGGGCTGGCACAGTGGCTCACGCATGTAATCCCAGAACTTTGGAAGGCTGCAGTGGGTGGACTGCCTGAGGTCAGGAGTTTGAGACCAGCCTGGCTAATATGGCGAAACCCTGTCTCTGCTAAAAATACAAAAAATTAGCCAGGCATGGTGTTGGGCGCCTGTAATCCTGGCTACTCGGGAGGCTGAGGCAGAAGAATTGCTTGAACCCAGGAGGCGGAGTTTGCAGAGAGCCTAGATTGTGCCACTGCACTCCAGCTTGGGCAACAGAGCGAGACTCCGTCTCAAAAAGAAAAAAAAAAATTCTCCCTAGTTTATGTTCTTTATAGCTCTTAGGTATGTCTAAAATCACTTTACTGGTTTATATGCTTATTGTCTGTCTCTTTCCATTCTAATGCAAATCCCATAAGACAAGAATCTTGTCTGTCTCATTTACATTTTATCCCTATTGCTTAGCAAAGTGGCTGGCACATGGCAGATCTTCAAAAATTATTTGTTGACGTCTTTTTAAGGGACAGGGTCTCGCTCTGTCACCCAGGCCAGACTGCAGTGGCATGATCGTAGCTCACTGCAGCCTCAAACTCCTAGGTTCAAGTGATCCTCCCACCTCAGCCTCCAGAGTAGCTCAGACTGCTGAAACATGCCACCATGCCTGGCTATTTTTCTTTTTAATTTTTTGTAGAGATGGAGTCTTGCCATGTTACCCAGGCTAGCATGGCTAGCATTCCTGTTTTGTTTTGTTTTGTTTTCCTTTTTCATGAGACAGAGTCTCACTGTCTCCCAGGCTGGAGTGCAGTAGTGTGATCTCAGCTCACTGAAACCTCCACCTCCCGGGTTCAAGCGATTCTTGTGCCTCAGCCTCCCAAGCAGCTGGGATTACAGGTGCATGCCACCACGCCTGGCGATTTTTGTATTTTTAGTAGAGATGGGGTTTCACCATGTTGGCCAGGCTGGTCTTGAACTCCTAGCCTTATGTGATCCACCCGCCTTGGCCTCCCAAAGTGCTGGGATTACAGATGTGAGCCACTGAGGCTAGCATTCTTGTTTTATTACACAGTACCTTTTCTACTCACAAGCTCCTGAGATCATGCATGTATTTCTCAGCTTCCTTCTGCCTAGACACGCCCACACTTCATTCAAGTCAGACTAAGATAGGAGTGCATCAACCATATGGTATTTAATATGGTGAAATTTCTAAGGCACTAAATCTTAGGGAAGCCATGTCTTTCTCAACACTGTAGCCCACCCCCCTCAATATAAACTCAATGGACAAATATTTACAGAATATTCATAGCAATGCCTGGTACTTAGCCATGTTAACGAGGATTCAGAGCTCTGAATCTACTTGGTTGAGCGGGTAGGTAAGTAAACAAATAAATACAATTTAATGCTGAAGGTGCTTGACAGAGCTTCACCCAGAGTATTATGTTCCAAAAACTAACAAAGACATACATACCTCCCAGCCTAGTCAATATAGTGTAAGACCCCACCTACAAAAAAAAAAAAAAAAATTAGCTGGGCAGGGTCACACTTGCCTGTGGTACCAGCTACTCGGGAGGCTGAGGTGAGTGAATCGCTTGCGTGGTTGAGGCTGCAATGAGCTTTAATCATGCCACTGCACTCCAGCCTGGGTGACAGAGCAAGACTCTGTCTCCAAAATAAAATAAAATAAAATAAAAAGCATTCCAGAGACCTTTGTCTTACGGACATCCTCACCCAAACTTGAAATTCAAATGATGGGCCTACTCTTTTTAACGTGGGTGTTACTGCATAAATCATACCTCAAGGAAAAAGATGCAGGAACTGAGCCTTGAAAGATATTCTTTTTTTTTTTTTTTGAGATGGCATCTTGTTCTGTCTCCCAGGCTGGAGTGCAGTGGCGTGATTTCAACTCACTGCAACCTCTGCCTCCTGAGTTCAAGCGATTCTCCTGCCTCAGCCTTCTGAGTAGCTGGGACTACAGGCACCTGCCACCACACCCGGCCAATTTTTGTATTTTTAATAGAGATGGAGTTTTACCGTGTTGGCCAGATTGTTTTCAAACTCCTGACCTCCAGTGCTGGGATTACAGGCGTGAGCCACCGCACTCGGCGGAAAGAGATTCTTAGTAAAGGTCAACCAAATACTAAAAAAGAATCCAATTTATTTTCTTTCATTGACTGTATGCTGAATCTACCTTTGATCTTTGGAGAAAAGAGAAATAGTGCTGGCAAACTTCTGAACTTATTTGCTAAGTTGCTTGTTAAGCTAAACAATCACAACCATCGAGTGGCTATATTTTTAACCTGGGGTCCTTTGGCATATAATATGTATCGAGAGTAATAGGCTTACCTCTTCTAGGAAGACAGCATGCTGTTGTGGAAAAAAGGATGGCATTTGAAATTAGAAGACCTGTTTGGTCCTGCTCTGTCAGTTACTGGCTGTTTGACTATGAATGAGTCATTTAACAATTTGGAACCTGTCTCCACACCTATAAAATGGAGATATCACCTGCCCACTGCATCTCAGAGGTCTGCAGCACCAAATAAGAGGGTGGATGCCAGATTGTTTTATGAACTACAAAGAAATATACAAAGATTAATAATCAGTGTTTATATCTGTATGCTACAGCTTTAGCCAGTCACTGGCACAAATGTACTCAGTAAGTGTTCGTAAAATAAATTAATATCTCAAATGCTCCTGGAATATAGACCAATGAGAGCTCTAGTCAGCTATAACCAGGAAGCCTCAATAGTTACCACATTTATTTCAGATGATATGGGCCAATTGTGGTGGCTCATGCCTGTAACCCCAGCACTTTGGGAGGCCAAGGCGGGTGGATCACTTGAGGTCACATGTTCGAGACGAGTCTGACCAACCTGGTGAAACCCCGCCGTCTCTACTAAAAAAAAAAATACAAAATTAGCTGGGCGTGGCGGCGCGTGCCTGTAATCCCAACTACTTGGGAGGCTGAGGCAGGAGAATTGCTTGAACCTGGGAGGCAGACGTTGCAGTAATCTGAGACCGTGCCATTGCACTCCAGGCTGAGCAACAAGAGCGAAACTGTCTCAAAAGAAAAAAAAATACAGATGATGTGGAAAGACGTTTTACCTGTTTACATTAACAACACTTGTTTAGTGAGGATTTGATTTTTAAATTCATGGGTTGTCAAAATGCTTTTTACCTCCTGCTCTGACTTTTAATCATTTTTCTGCCTGTTGGCACTTCCACCAATGGTGAACAGGAACGAGGGAGTTTTAACAAACTGTGGATCATTCTATTTTGTATGTTTCTTTTCTTTCTTTTCTTTTTTTTTTTTAGACAGGGTCTCACTTTGTTGCCCAGGCTGGAGTGTGCAGTGGTGCAATCTCAGCTCACTGCAGCCTTGGCCTCTGAGGCTTGAGCAATCCTCCTGCCTCGGCCCCACAATTAGCTGGGACCACAGGCACACACCACCATGCCTGTATTTTTTGTAGAGGCAGGGTCTTGCCATGTTGCCTAGACTTGTCTCGAACTGCTGAGCTTAAGTGATCTCTCTGCCTTGGTCTCCCAAATTGCTGGGATCACAGGTGTGAGCCACCGTGCCCGGCTGCCTAATTTTGCAGGTTTCTGTTAGCTCCAATAAAGGCCATAAAGAGGTGGATACTACTGGCCAAAAACTGTAACTTTTGTGTCTCGCACTTCAATACCTGTTGATATGGAGAGGTACTTGGCTTCATTCTTTGGCCAAAAAAGATGATAAATGATAGATGACAAATTAAAAGTTTGGGCATACGCTTGGGGAAAGAAAAAAGTAAAACAATACAATTTCAGCAAAGTACTACCAACTCCACTCTTTGCTTTAATACATATAAAAAGGTGCTTCAAGGTAGTGTTCCACTAAGTTCAAGCCACAGCTCCTATTCAGATTGTTTATGAGATCTAAAAATGCTTCCTTTTTTTTTTTTTTTTTTTTTTGAGACGGAGTCTTGTTCTGTTGCCCAGGCTGGAGTGCAGTGGTGTGATCTTGGCTCACTGCAACCTCTGCCTCCCAGGTTCAAGCGATTCTCCTGTCTCAGCCTCCTGAGTAGCTGGGATTACAGACACAAACCCCCACGCCTGGCTGATTTTTGTATTTTTAGTAGAGATGGGGTTTCACCATGTTGGTCAGGCTGGTCTCGAACTCCTCGTGATCCGCCCGCCTTGGCCTCCCAAAGTGCTGGGATTACAGGTGTGAGCCACAGCACCCGGCCTAAAAATGCTTCTTTTTCTGGTTTAATTGGGAACAAATTTCACTAGGCATCTCTGACAGCAGTGATTTATAATGATTTATAATAAGAAGCTGACTGCAATGCCCTCTGGTGGTTTAAAGCTTTCTTCATATCTATAACTGCAAAGTTAAAAACAAATGCAGCCATTTTCTATCAAATGGGAGTTTATTTATGAATGAAAACATCAACAAAGATAATCCATAAAATTTCCTTTTGATTTCCATGACTATCATCATAATAATAAAGCATTTCTACAGATGCACTTTGCCTAACATAACTCCATGGTTCAAGGGGTTAATAAAATAATTTAGCCTGTAATCCCAGCCTCTCAGGAGACTGAGGCAGGAGGGTCACTTGAGCCCAGGAGTTTGAAGCTGCAGTGAGCTATGACCATGCCACTGTACTCAGCCCGGGGAAATAAAGCAAGACGCAGTCTCCTAAAAACAAAAAAAAAAAAGAGATTTGGCCGGTCGCGGTGGCTTACACCTGTAATCCCGGCACTTTGGGAGGCCGAGGCGGGCGGATCACGAAGTCAGGAGATTGAGACCATCCTGGCTAACACGGTGAAATCCCCTCTCTACTAAAAATACACAAAATTAGCCAGGCGTGGTGGCGGGTGCCTGTAGTCCCAGCTACTCGGGAGGCTGAGGCAGGATAATGGCGTGAACCCAGGAGGCGGAGCTTGCAGTGAGCCGAGATAGCGCCACTGCACTCCAGCCTGGGCAACAAAGCGAGACTCCGTCTCAAAAAAATAATAATAAAAAAATTAAAATATAAATATGTTATATATATTTACTATATATAACATATGTAAATATATTTAACATGTATAACATATATTAAATATATATAAAATATATATCTAAAAACAGTGAAGACTTAAGGTGAAGGATAATTTATATATTATCCTTATATATGTATTTAATACATTTATATATAAATGTGTGTATATAATTTATATATACATATTATATATATATTATATATATATATATATATATTTTTTTTTTTTGAGGCAGTATCTTGCTTTGTCACCCAGGCTGGAGGGTGGTGACATGATCATGGCTCACTGCAGCTTCCACCTCCTGGCTCCTGGGCTCAAGCAATCCTTCCATCTCAGCCTTCCGAGTAGCTGGAATTGCAGGTGTGCACCGCCATGCCCAGATAATTTTTTCTAGAGATGAGGTCTTGCTATGTTGCCTAGGCTGGTCAAACTCCTGGGCTCAGGCGGTCCTTCTGCCTTGGCCTCCCAAAGTGCTGGGACTATAGGCATGAGCTACTGCACCCAATCTTTTATAATTTTTAATACACTAACAAATGCAAAATAAAGAACTCAAAAACTCAACTAGTTTCTTTTTTTTTTTTTTTTTGAGATAGAGTCTCACTGTCACCCAGGCTGGAGTGCAATGGCGTGATCTCGGCTCACTGCAACCTCCACCTCTTGGGTTCAAGCAGTATTCTCCCACCTCAGCTTTCCAAGTAGCAGGCAAAAACAACAAAAAACAGACAGGTTGGACTTCATGAAAATTTAAAAATGCGTACATCAAAAGACACTATCAACAGAGTAAAAAGGCAACCCACAGAATGGGAGAAAATATTTGCAAATCATACGTCTGATAAGAGATTAATATCTAGAATATATAGAGAATTCCTAAAACTCAACAACAAAAAAACACTTGATTCAAAAACAGGCAAATAACTTTTTTTTTTTAAATTCTGAGTTGGCTCACTAGGGAGTAGGCAAGTGACTTGGATAGACATTTCCCCAAAGAAGATATACAAATGGCCAATAAGCAAATGAAGAGATACTCATTATCACTAATCATTAGGGAAATGCAAATCAAAACGACAATGAGATACCACCGCACACCCCGTTACGATGGCTACTATCAAAAAAGCAGAAAATAATAAGCGTTGATGAGGATGTGGAGAAATTGGAACCCTTGTGCACTGTTGGTGGGAGCGTAAAATGGTGCAGCTGCCATGGAAGAGTACGGTGATTCCTCAAAAAATTAAAAATAGAGCTGGGCACAGTGGCTCATGCCTGTAATCCCAGCACTTTGGGAGGCTGAGGTGGGTGGATCACCTGAGGTCAGGAGTTTGAGACCAGCCTGGCCAACATGGTGAAACCTTGTCTCTACTAAAAATACAAAAATTAGCCAGGTGTGGTGGCGGGCACCTGTAATCCCAGCTACTTGGGAGGCTGAGGCAGGAGAATTGCTGGAACAAGGGAGGTGGAGGCTGCAGTGAGCTGAGATCGCGCCATTGCACTCCAGCCTGGGTGACAGAGCAAGACTCTGTCTCAGATAAAAAAAAAAATTAAAGATAGAATTACCATATGATCCAGCAAATTTACTTCTGGGTATGTATCCAAAAGAATTAAAAGCAAGGTTTCAAAGAGATATTTGTATACCCATGTGCACAGCAGCATTATTCACAATAGCTAAAATGTGGAAGCAACCCAAATGTCGATAGAGAAGCAAAATGTGATATATACATACAATGGAATATTATTCGACCTCAAAAAGGAAGGAAATTCTGACCTATGCTACAACATAGGTGAACCTCAAGAACATTATGCTGAGTGAAATAAGCCAGTCACAGTTAGACAATTACTGTGTGATTCCACTTAGATGAGGTACTTACGGTAGTCAAAATCATAGAGACAGAAACGAGAATGGTGGCTGCCAGAGGACAGGGGAAGGTGGGGAGTGGGGAATTAGTGTTTAATGGGTTTAGAGTTTCAGTTTTACAAGATGAAGCGTTCTAGGATGAATGGTGCTGTTGGTTGAACAATATTACAAATATATTAAATGCTTCTGAACTCTACACTTAAAAATGGTTAAGATGGGGCGGGGCGCGGTGGCTCACGCCCGTAATCCCATCACTTTGGGAGGCCGAGGTGGGCGGGTCACCTGAGGATGGGAGTTCAAGACCAGCCTGACCAACATGGAGAAACCTCGTCTCCACTAAAAATACAAAATTAGCCGGGTGTGGTGGCGCATGCTTGTAATCCCAGCTACTGGGGAGGCTGAGGTAGGAGAATCGCTTGAACCTAGGAGGCAGAGGTTGCGGTGAGCCGAGATCGTGCCATTGTACTCCAGCCTGGGCAACAAGAGTGAAACTCTGGCTCAAAAAAAAAAAAAAAAAAGATTAAGATGGTATGCCATGTGTATTTTACCACACACACACACATGAAAATTAGGAGGGGAAAAAAAAACCTCATCTAGTCTCTGTACTAGTTTCCAAGTAAACATCTCTGTATTAATCAAGATAAATCCAAGTCCAGACCTTGATAATAACAAGAATTCACAGTAAGCCTAAACTGTTCTTCCTGGTCAGTCTTCATAAAGGTAAAATGAAACAATTAATGCTATGTCTCATTATTATTATTATTTTTTTTTTTTTTTTGAGGCAGGGTCTCACTCTGTCGCCTAGCCCTATGTCTAATTTTTAAAGTACATTTAAAATTAGCCAGGCATGGTGGCTCATGTCTGTACTCCCAGCACTTTGGGAGGCCAAAGTGGGAGGATTGCTTCAGTCCAGGAGTTTGAGACCAGCCTGGGCAACATAGTAAGACCCTATCTCTACAAAAATAAATGAAATAAAATTAGATTTAATTTGTTTTTTTTTGAGACAGTCTCACTCTGTCACCCAGGCTGGAGTGCAGTGGCATGATCTCACTGCAGCCTCTGCCTCCTGGGTTCCAGTGATTCTCCTGCCTCAGCCTTCCGAGTAGCTGGGATTACAGGTGCCTGCCACCAAATCTGCCTAGTTTTTGTATTTTTAGTAGAAATGGGGTTTCTCCATGTTGGCCAGGCTGGTCTCAAACTCCTGGCCTAAAGTGATCCCCCAGCCTTGGCCTCCAAAATTGCTGGGATTACAGGCGTGAGCCACCATGCCGGTTTTTTTGTTTTTGTTTTCTTTTTTTTTGAGACAGGGTCTCGTTCTGTCGCCCAGGCTGGAGTGCGGTGGTGCGACCATGGCTCATTGCAACCTCTGCCTCCTGGGTTCAGATGTTCCTCCCACCTCAGCCTCGCAAGTAGCTGGGACTATAGGCGTGCACTACCATGGCTGGCTAATTTTTGTATTTTTTGTAGAGGCAGAGTTTTGCCATGTTGGCCAGGCTGGTCTCAAACTCCTGGGCTCACGTGATCCACCAGCCTTGGCATCCCAACGTGCTAGGGTTACAGGCATGAGCCATGACACCCGGCCTACATTTTAAATTCTTAGAGTACAAGCACCTTATCTTCTTTCCCAAGTCTACATGTAGACATAACTGCTAAGTAGAATGGGGGTCCTAATCACCCCTCCTCCCTTGTTGAAGGCCCTCTGTGACCTGATGCTGTTTCTTCTCCTCCGCTTCAATATTTGTTCAACCCAGAGGTCCAGGTTGGAAAGCTTCTGGATCTAATTCAAACCAATGCACAAATAATAAAGTATCATCCTCTTCCTACTTTGCATATGCTATTTATTTCCTGTCGAGGTCCTCCACCCACTGCTTGGTGTATTTCTAGTTCAAATGTCACCGCCTGGCCCCACAGTTCAATACAGAGTTAGGTCCCACTTCCTCATGCTCTCAAAGCAACTCCTGAACATTTACAGCACATTTCTCATCAGAACTCATCAGCGGTACAATTTTAAGTTGTTTTTGTCTGACTCCCACGCTGAACAATGACATACATGAGGGCAGAGACTATTATTCATCTGTATAATCCCAGCAATCTGCATAGTGTTTGGATATGGCAGATAATCAAAAATGATTTCTTAAATGAATATAACCTTATTCTTAGAATAGGAATTTGCAATTTAAGAAGGTCCTCCATATGACACCCACACAGGGAACCACCTGCTGGATTGGCCATCCAATTTGCCAATGGGTTCTATAGAAACCACAGCAAAACAAGAATGAGGTGCACGTGACACAATTACATCAATAGTGCCCTTAGGGTAGATCATTTTGGTGACTCCAATTAAAGAATAAATGAAGATAAATAAATAAATACATTTCTAATTAAAGAAATAAATGAAGGTTACTTTTTTTTTGCGGGGGATGGAGTCTTGCTGTCACCCATGCTGGAGTGCAGTGGCATGATCTCGGCTCACTGCAGCCTCTGCCTCCTTGGTTCAAGCTATCCTCCCGCCTCAGCCTCCCAAGTAGCTGGGATTACAGGCGCCTGCCACCACACCGCTAATTTTTCTATTTTTAGTAGAGACAGGGTTTCACCATGTTGGTTGGGCTGGTCTTGAACTCCTGACCTCAGGTGATCTACCCACCTTGGCCTTCCAAAGTGCTGGGATTACAGGCGTGAGCCACTGCACCCGGCCTAGATGGCTTACTTTTAAGGACATCTGAAGAATGTAGTATGGCAGGGTAAAAAGAGCCTCAACTAGGAATCCCTACCCCTATTCATGAGGTGTGTGACTATAGATAAATTACCCTTTAAGCTTCAACTACTTCACCTGTTAATGGGAATAAACCCCATACGCTGGAGTTGTTACAAGGATATCAAGATGTACATAGGCCGGGCGCGGTGGCTCAAGCCTGTAATCCCAGCACTTTGGGAGGCCGAGGCGGGCGAATCATGAAGTCAGGAGTTCGAGACCATGATGTTCGAGACCAGGAGTTCGAGACTGGCTAACATGGTGAAGCCCCATCTCTACTAAAAATAGAAATAAATTAGCCGGGCGTGGTGGTGGGCACCTGTAGTCCCAGCTACTCAGAAGGCTGAGGCAGGAGAATGGCTTGAACCCGGGAGGCGGAGCTTGCAGTGAGCCGAGATCGCACCACTGCACTCCAGCCTGTGTGACAGAGCGAGACTCTGTCTCAAAGAAAAAAACAAAAGATGTATGTAAATTAATTGTGACTAGCATTTAGTGGGCATTCAATTTCTTGTATAGAAGTTTCAGTACCCACTCTCATGCTCTGTAACTAGTTTCAAACAGAGTTCTCCTTCCTTTTCAATGTCATTACAGACTGAATCCATTTGCTGGGTCCCACAGTTCACTGTCCAGTATGTACTTGCCACACATTTTTTGAACATCTCTTTTGAGTGTTGTGGTAGGCACTGGTCTCTCCCTTTCCTTGACTCTCATACCAACTCCTAATTTCTTTTTCACTCTGTCTTTAAATAGTAGCTTTCCTTCTTCTCCACTTAGCCCCTAGAAAACTTTTTTTCTTGCTCATTAAGCCCACTGAATACACTTTTCAGGGGCAACAAGTATATCCCAGAAAGATCAGCACTAACCTTCAATTTATATAGTAATAAAAGCCCTCCCACTGCTCCTATGAAGGCAAAACAAAACAAAACAATCAGGGTCTCAATCAGCCACTTTTTTGTGGTGGGTGGGGGGTGCGGGGTATAGGTTCTTGCTCTGTCACCCAGGCTGGAGTGCTGTGGTGCGACCATGGTTCACTGCAACCTCCGCCTCCTGGGCTCAAGCGATCCTCTTACCTCAGCCTCCCAAGAAGCTAGGACAACAGGCATGAGCCGTGGTGCCCAGCTGATTTTTTTTTTTTTTTAAGTAATTGAGACGGGGTCTTACTATGTTGCCCAGGCTGGTCTCGAAGTCCTGGACTCAAGTGATCCTCCTGCCTTCGCCTCCCAAAGTGTTGGGATTACAGGCGTGAGCCCTGGTGCCTGGCCTCAATCAGCCACTTTTAGTGCTATTCTCATGAATATCCTACAAATGAGGCTTTGTGTATGTTGGGTATTCTGGTGACATTCCACACTGCCAGGCAAGTAATTAATTCACTTGCCCAGAGAAGGGCTCTCCTTAGGTGTGTGGCATTTGGCTCCTCAAGTCACCATTCTTTAGCTTTTCAAAAGAGCCAAGGTGAGTCACTAGCTCAATCAGTGATGTTGCCATTAAACCAGTTCATGTTTTACTGATTAACTGATAAGTGTTTGGGAAACTTGACTACTAAATAAAATATAAAATTACTGGATTTGGCTCCTTTTTTGAGAAGATACAACAAAGGAAGGCTCCCAAAAAAGAAACGTTCACAATTAAAACAAACGGGAAGATTGAGAGGTCATCATTTCTACTTGACAGATGAAGACCTGGAAGCTCAAAAAGGTCAAGTGATCTGTCTGTAGCCACAAATGCTAATAAAGTGACAGAATGAAAACTGGGACCAGGTCTGGCTCAAAATCCAGAGTGCCTTCCACTAAATCACAGATACATCTATTCAAATAGCCATATCCCTAACCAGTAACAATGATATCATAATAGTTGTTGCTAACATTTATCTAGCTCTTCTCATGTGGCAAGTACCGGGCTAAGCGACTTACGTGTATGATCTCATTTAATCCTCACAATCCCCCTATGAGGTAGGTTTATCAAGATCTCCGTTTCGCCAGGCGTGGTGGCTCACGCCTATAATCCCAGCACTTTGGGAGGCCAAGGTGGGCGGATCACCTGAGGTTGGGAGTTTGAGACCAGCTTGACCAACATAGGGAAACCCTGTCTCTACTAAAAATACAAAATTAGCTGGGCATGGTGGCGCATCCTGTAATCCCAGCTACTCGGGAGACTGAGGCAGGAGAATTGCTTGAACCCGGGAGGCGGAGGTTGCGGTGAGCCGAGATTGTGCCATTGCACTCTAGCCTGGGCAACAAGGGCGAAACTCCATCTCAAAAAAAAAAACCTCCATTTCATAATTGAGGAAATCAAGTTTCATAAAAGTTCAGTAATTGCTTTGTTACCACAGCTGGTAAGGAGTAGGGCAAGTTTGCACCTAGGTCTAATTCCAGAACCCATTCTCTTAATCATTACAGTAGATTGCAGGAAACTAAAACTCTAGTCCTGCTTCCAAAGCGGCAAGTCATTTGAGAGTTTTCTCTCAATTTCCTTGTCAATTAAATGGGGATATTGTTACTTGTCCTTACCTATTTCACAGAAATATTAGGATTATAAAATGAGAAAGTATATAAGCTTTCAAAAGGGAAATTGCTATATACATCTAGGTACTGTCTAAAGTTTCACTCAGATCTTCCCTATTCCACAGTCATAAAGGGATTTGGCTGACATCATTAGCTCTCAAACATCCTCTGAAGTGGGTAGTATTATCTCCACTTATCAAACAGCAAATTACAAAGAGATGGCGTAAAATGCTAGTCAGCAACAGAGCTGGGAATAAAACCCAAGATTTCTAACTCCCATTGAATATGTTCTTATGCTAGATCTATTTCTGCATTTCATACTTAACTGTACAACAGACAAGGGTAGAAATATTACAGTGCCCACTTCAAAACACATATTAAATACTTACAGAAATTACATTTTCTACTGCTGTGACACTAATACAATCCCTAAGGTTCTTAATCCTCATATTCTAGAGAAATTGCACAAAGTATCAAAAATAAAAAATTCCCATTTCCCTAGTACAGACTTCAGCTCTTTAGTTTCCTCAAACAACTTATTATTAACCAATGGTTATAAAACTAGGTGGGTTACTAACTAGTTTCAACTAGTGAGTTTGTAAATTTCCATAAGGAACATAACCCTCAATGTTAAATTGTTTCCTCATAAAATCAGAAAAAGAGAAGCATCAAATACATTCTCACATCATAAATACCTAATACAGCTATATAATTCGAACTGGAAATTATCCTAACAGACCAACTCACAATATTCTGAGCTCAAAATTCAAGTTCCAAAGGGAACGGCATAATTAAAACAATAATGAAAATACACATGACACCTTTATGATCATTTTTCTCCTATACAGAAATCAAAATAATTTTGTACTTCCCACTCAAGGTCTGCCACAGGCACACAAAAACCTTAAAGTAAAATTAAAAAATAGAAAAAACAATTCTGTCTTCAATTCTCTGACTTAAATAGGGGATGAATGTTCAGTCTTCTTCCCAGATTATTAGCTCCTGCTAATTTTTGTTTGCTAGAACAATGCAATGATCTTTAACAATCATATACTTTGAAATTACCACAGGGACTAAAGAGAGGAAATAAGAGAAGGAAATTTCCACTCTCAAAATTGAACTAAATCCTTAATAATGAAGTATTTCATTATTACTCTCTCTGACTAAATCATGGACTTACAAATGAAAAACCCGCCATTTTGTCATAGGGACAAAAAGGAAGTCATAGAAATCCAAAGAACCGCTCTGCTAATGTCAAGTGAATTTGCTTCCTGAGTGGGTCGAGATATCTAAATCCACTCCTGGCCGCATAATAAAAGCCTTACCACCTTAACAACGTGCTGTGAGGTGAAAGCAAAAGATGACATACGACTCCTAGATTTTTCAGAGGTTGTTTTAATACATTAATCTCTTTCCTTTGAGAAAAATCTTTATCTTGATGTCTATAATCGAAACCAATCACTTCTTCTCATGGGTCAGGGGTCCTATGGTCTCCTGAACTTTAATGTGGCTGTGAATCACCTGGGAATGTTAAAATACGGAACAGGATTCAGAAACTCTGGGTTGCGTGCCCAGCAAGCTCTCAGCTTGTGGCAGTACTACCGTCTGATGGACCACACTGAGCAACAGGACTCTAAGGAAGGTTTCCAAATGAAATAACCTCAACCAGATGTTTATTTTCAAAATATACGGCCTACACCAAGTTTATAAAGGGAGATAATATCCAGACCTCAACAAGATATCTGCTCCCCTTCTCATTTTTGTGATTTTTCCCATCTGGTTGCAAACTCAACGTAATACCTTAATAAAGAGCAATTTTCAAGAATATCTTTTTTGTGCTGACCATTTATTGGGACTTGACTGACCAGGGCTTGTAAGAATGGACACAAAACTTCAAGTCTTTCGTAATGAAAGGATTGATTCAAAATAAATATTCTAAAAATTATGTCAAACACTAATGAATAAGTGACATTTACAAATAGTTTATAAGAGAATCATTTGGGTGAACAATTTTCATTTCACAAAATAAATAGCTCATATCCAAAAAAGACACCTCTCCTTAAGCAGGGAAAAAAAAGCCCAACAAAAATAAAGTCATGCCCGTGGCACAGCCCTAATGTTAGTTTTAGGGAGGAAAACACCAACACTGAGACATACAAAAGTATTTGAGGAGAATTACATGTTATTAAATTTGTCCTAGAACCTGGGGGAGAGTTCAGGGAAAGAGAACAGCTGGTATATTTAAGAAAGATTTAAATAGAAAACATTACACATGAGAGCAAAATAGTCCATTTCTCTTAAGAAAACCAATAAACACTCACAAACTTTCATTTTTAGGTTTTCAGCAATGTTTTTTTCACATTAGTCCAACTGCCACCCCAAAATCCAACCAGCCAGCATGACAATTAAGGTGACAACAGGTCCAGTTGGCCATACTCCCTGTGCACCCTTGGATGCTTTTCAAGCCAATGAGGGTAACATTTGTGGTGGCAGGAGCCAGAGTCAAGGGAGAATCACTTCTCTTCACTCAGGAGGAAACCTCCCTCTTGAGCATCTTCGGAATTTTTCATGGGAAGGCGTCTCAGTGTTGGTGTGCACGCTTCAGCCCCATAACTGTGAAGGTGGCAGCTGTCAGTTTCTCATAAACAAGGAACATGAGAGCAGCAGTGAGGACTGTCTGCAGCAGTTTGGCTTCAAGGCCTTTGTAGAGTCCCATTATTCCAAAACGTCTAAAGGGAAAGAGGTTTGAAAAAACAGAAGTCAGCTCCTGCATCAGAGAACATGCTACCTAGATAGCTACTTTGATAAGAACAAGCAATAGAGGTTTTAGATTTCAACACAGACTTCTGTTGTCAAAGTACTTTCCTTTTTTTGAGACGGAGTCTCGCTCTGTCGCCCAGGCTGGAGTGCAGTGGCGCGATCTCGGCTCACTGCAAGCTCCGCCTCCCGAGTTCATGCCATTCTCCTGCCTCAGCCTCCCTAGCAGCTGGGACTAGAGGCACCCGCCACGACACCAGGCTAATTTTTTTTTGTATTTTTAGTGGAGATGGGGTTTCACCATGTTAGCCAGGATGGTCTCGATCCCCTGACCTCGTGATCTGCCCGCCTCAGCCTCCCAAAGTGCTGGGATTACAGGTGTGAGCCACCGTGCCAGGCCCTAGTTTTTGGTTCTTACAAATAATGTCTTAAATTTGGAAGCAAGCTACATGTCCATCAACAGATAAATGGATAAAGAAAATGTGGTACTTATACAAAATGCAGTACTATTCAGCCATCAAAAAGAATGAGAGTTTGTTGTTTGTAACAACATGGATGGAACTGGAGGTCATTCTGCTAAGTGAAACAAACCAGGCACAGAAAGACAAATATCGCATGTTCTCACTTATTTGAGGGACCTAAAAATCAAAACAATTGAACTCATGGAGATAAAGGTAGAAGGATGGTTACCAGAGACTACTGGGAAGAGTAGTGGCGGGGGGAAGGTGGGGATGGTTAATAGGTACAAAAATAGATAGTTTGAATAAGACCTAGTATTTGCTAGCACAACAGGTGACTATAGTCAATAATAATTTAATTGTACATTTAAAAATAACTAAAAGAGTATAATAGGACTGTTTGTAACAAAAAGAATAAATGTTTGAGAGGATAGATACCCCATTTTCCATGATGTGATTATTATGCTTTGCATGCCTGTATCAAAACATCTCACATACCTCAAAAATATATACCTACTATGTACCCACAAAAATCAAAAATTAAAAAATTAAAAAAAAAAAAACAAAGCCATTATTAACATTTGTATACAAGCTTTTGTGTAGACATATGCCTTCATTTCTCTTGGGTAAATACCCTGAAGTGGATGGCTGGGTCCTATAATAGGTGTGGTATATAAAAATTTTTAAAGAAAATGCCAAATTGCCTTCCAAAGCAGCTGTACCATTCTATATTCCCACCAGCAGCATAAGAAAGTAAGTTCTGGTTGCTCCAACATCCCTCCCAATACTTGATATAGTGAGTATTTATTTTTTACTTTATACATATTCTTTGTCTTTTATTTTATTTTATTTTTTGATAGAAGGTCTCACTCTGTTGCTCAGGCTAGAGTGCAGTGGCACAATCACAGCTCACTGCAGCCTCGACCTCCTGGGTTCAAGCAATCCTTCCACCTCAGCCTCCTGGGTAGCTGGGACTACAGGCAGGCACCAGGATGCCTAGCTAATTTTTTATTTGTGTAGAGACGGGGTCTCACTATGTTGCCCAGGCCAGTATCAAACTCCTGAGCTAAAGCGATCTGCCTGCCTTGGCCTCCTAAAGTGCTGGGATTATAGGTGTGAGCCACCACGCCCAGCCTAATTTTGTCTTTTAGTCCCTTGAATGTTCTTTTTTTTTTTTTATTTTTTTTATACAAGGTCTTGCCTCTTTAGCCCAGGCTGGAGTACAGTGGTGCCATCATAGCTCAGTACAGCCTCAATCTGCCGGGCTCAAGTGAATCTCCTGCTTCAGCCTCGTGTGTAGCTGTGATTACAGGTTTGTGCCACATGCTTGGCTAATTTTGTAAATATTTTTTGTAGAGACAGGGTCTCACTACTTTGCCCAGGCTGGTCTTGAACTCCTGGCCTCAAGCTATCCTCCTGTCTCAGCCTTCCAAAGTGTTGGGATTACAGGCATGAGCCACTTTGCCTGGCTGCATATTTTATTTTAATAATAAATTTATTTTCAAAGTATCTTGTATCTAGGAACAGTAATAAAGTTATAAGAGCTTTTGCTTCAAAGGAGGTCCCTGACTTATCTGACTTCACTAAGTGTCAGTTTCTTTAAATGAAACAGGAAATGACAATAGTTCTTAACTCACAGAGCTACTGTTAGGATTGACAAGGCTGGGCGCGGTGGCTCACACCTGTAATCCCAGCACTTTGGGAGGCTGAGAAGGGCAGATCACGAGGTCAGGAGATCAAGACCATCCTGGCAAACACAGTGAAACCCCATCTCTACTAAAAAATACAAAAAATGAGCCAGGCGTGGTGGCAGGCGCCTGTAGTCCCAGCTACTTGGGAGGCTGAGGCAGGAGAATGGTGTGAACCCAGGAGGCGGAGCTTGCCGTGAGCGGAGATAGCGCCACTGCACTCCAGCCCGGGCAACAGAGCGAGACTCTGTCTCCAAAAAAAAAAAAAAAAAAAAAAAGGATTGAGATTACCTATGTGTAGCCTCTAGGTCAGTGTCTGCCACATGGCAAACCACTGAAAATGTTAGCTACTCTTACCAACACCACCATCATCATTATCATCATCATCATCACTATTATCACTTTTTCCACTGCCCCCTCCCTTCTCCAGTACTCCTATTCTATAGGCAGATGTTATATTGCTAAGAGGCATCATAGGATATGCCACTGATGAAAGCACACTCAGGGTGACTGAAGTATAGAAGGGTTCTCTTTCTGAAGGAGTTCTGAATATTTGTAACTAACAAAGAATAAGAACCTGAACTTTTCCATAATTTCCCAAAATGCTGTCATACTGTACTAGGCTCCTAAAATGGGAAATGTCTAAGCACAGCAAGCAAGGGAAAGGTTTTGGAGGTTGCCACCACCAAGGCAGTAGTGTGAGAGAGGGAAATGCAACCCCTCCCTGGCAGAGATGGCTGCTGAAGGAGAGCACGGAATGTGAGGCATCTACAAAGCTCACCTTACTCGTTGGTGAAGAAGATAGAGAATATTCCGAAGACTTCCCAATGTTCTGTTTTCTGGGTTTAGTCTATGACGCCCAAACTGAGGAAAGAGGGAAAAAAAACAAAAGTACTGTTGCTGTTTTTTAAAATCTTCATTTTTACCTGGGGAGGATATTATGTTGGAGTAGTATCTTATAGCATACATTAATAAATTTATCCAATTAGTACCATAGATTTCATTAATCCTGTATTTTTCAACTGAGTGAAATATTTCAATCAAATAAGTGAAAATAAGAAAAATTTTTCCTTTTTTTTTTTTTTTGAGACATCTTCTCACTCTGTCACCCAGGCTGGAGTGCAATGGCACAATTTTGGCTCACTGCAACCTCCACCTCCCAGGTTCAAGTGATTCTCCTGCCTCAGCCTCCCGAGTAGTTGGGATTATAGACATGTACCACCACGCCCGGCTAATTTTTGTATTTTTAGCAGAGATGTGGTTTCACCATGTTGGCCAGGCTGGTCTCGAATTCCTGACCTCAAATGATCCACCCACCTCGGCCTCCCGAAGTTCTGGGATTACAGGCATGAGCCACCATGTCCGGCCTAAGAAAAATTTTTCAATGAAGCAAGCATAATAATTTTCATTTTATAGAGAGGTATAGGGAAAATTCTACCTCAAAAGAAAAAAATATGCCCAGGATGATGATTTAGATATTGATGGTAATAACTTCCACTTCTTTAAGAAATTCTGAGAAATGAATCATTTAGAACATCTGCAGTCTAAGCTCTTCAGATTATGTGTTTACATTATAAAAGTGTTAAAATACATTTATAAGGATGCTACTGAATTCCCTTATGTTAAGTACCAATTTTAAAATAATATATTAGTAAAAATGCTTTTAACAGAAGGTACTAATTTTTCTGAACTGGAATATTCTCACTACCACCCCTATTTTATCTAGCAACAAGCCTTTTGAAATTTTTCTCCAAAACAGATCTTGAATCTGTCCTCATCCTACCCCTCTCCTCTCCAGTGCCACCACCGTGGTCCAGGCCACCATCCTCTCTTGCCTGTATTACTGAAATGGCCTCCTACTAGATTGCCCCTGGCTTTCTCTCTTAGCTTTCTGACCAATTCACCACATAATAGCCACAACAGTCTTCTTCAATTGTAAATCACAGCACATATTCCCCAGCTTAAAGCCCTTCCCATCACATATTCTCAGCTTAAAGTGCTGAGGATAAAAATCTACATTCCTCACCTACAGTTTCCCTGCTGCTCTTGCAATCTCACCCTGAGCCACTCTACTGCCATAGAGGCCTTCTTTCAGTCCCTAGGATACACCAAATTCTTAGTACATTGATATGGTTTGGCTGTGTCCCCATCCAAATCTCACCTTGAATTGTAATAATCCCCACAAGTCAAGGGCAGGGCCAGGTGGAGATAACTAAATCATGGGGGTGGTTTCCCCTATACTGTTCTTGTGGTAGTGAATAAGTCTCATGAGATCTGATGGTTTTTTTTTTTTTTTTTTTTTTTTTTTTTTTTTTTTTTGAGACGGAGTCTCGCTCTGTCGCCCAGGCCGGACTGCGGACTGCAGTGGCGCAATCTCGGCTCACTGCAAGCTCCGCTTCCCGGGTTCACGCCATTCTCCTGCCTCAGCCTCCCGAGTAGCTGGGACTACAGGCGCCCGCCACCGCGCCCGGCTAATTTTTTGTATTTTTAGTAGAGACGGGGTTTCACCTTGTTAGCCAGGATGGTCTCGATCTCCTGACCTCATGATCCACCCGCCTCGGCCTCCCAAAGTGCTGGGATTACAGGCGTGAGCCACCGCGCCCAACCGATCTGATGGTTTTATAGGAGGAGTTCCCCCTGCACTTGTCCTTGCTGCCGCCATGTGAAGAAGGACATGTTTGCTTCCCCTTCCACCATGATTGTAAGTTTCCTGAGGCCCCCCAGCCATGCTGAAATGTGAGTCAATTAAACCTCTTTCCTTTATAAATTACCCAGTCTCAGGCAGTCCTTTAGAGCAGCATGAGAATGGACTAACACACACATCATGCTCCCCCTGCCTGGAATGCACTTTCGTCCACTCTGCCCCACTAGGGCCTTACCCTCCTTTGCATCTTGATTTAAATATTCCTTCTCAAAGAAGCCCACCTCCAATCATGCTATCTAAGAAGAGCCCCACCATGCCCCTCTCCAGTAAATAATTTCCTTTATAGTTCTTTTTTCAATTTGTAATTACCTATTTATTTTGCTTGTTTACCTGTTCATTCTCTCTTCCACTAGCTCCATAAGGGCAGGGATTATGACTTTTATTTACCACTGCATGCCCAGGTCCTCCCACAGTGTGGATGCTTAGTAAATATTTGAATGGATAAATAACTGAATGAAATAAAAAACAGAAGTTTGAGAGTGCTTCAAAAAAGCTAAATCATTCATTCCTCCTGAGTGAACTAAAGGAATTAACCTCTGACTTTGTAAAGGATAATCCCTGCTGGGGCACCAAACCAATCAACTTGAATGAGAAGGAAGCAAACTTATGCTTTCCTGAGGTCTTTAAGGAACTTGTCTCCACATCTGTGTTTTCTGAGACATTATGTTACCTAAGAAATTACAAATGCAAACTTCATTCTAAACCAATGACAGCCAGCCTAGTTAAGCAGAATATCAAACAAATGAAAAAATGGGGGCCAGGCACAATGGTTCATGCCTATAATCCCAGCACTTTGGAAGGCCAAGGTGGGAGGATCGCTTGAGTCCAGGACTTTGAGACAAGCCTGGAAAACATGGTGAGACCCCATCTTCACACAAAAAAATTTTAAATTAGCTGGACAAGGTGGTGTATGTAGTCTCAGCTACTTGGGCAGCTGAGGCAGGAGGACTGCTTGAACCTAGGAGGTCGAGGGTATAGAGACCCATGGTGCACCACGGTACTCCAACCTGGGTGACAGAGGGAGATCCTGTCTCAAAAAAAGAAAAGAAAAAAAACAGATAGGGAATATTCTGGTATACCAACTAACTGCTTTATTGCTTTATTAACATTGTTTTAAATCAAGAGACTACATGTATTCGAATGCTGTTTGACTAAATGCGAAGAGAACTCCAGCACTCACCCTCAGAATTGACTGTACCGTCTGCAGGGGATAGGTCACCGTGGTGGCAATCGCTTTGGCTACTGCACCAATGATGAACACATCCAAGGAAGAAAGCTGGAAAGCAAAGGAAGAACAAACCATATCAATCAAGTCAACAAGAAGGTGTCAGACAGAATTATTTTACTGCTTTCAAAATCAAGGATTACCTTCATCCGTTTCTTTAAAAGCTGCCGTTTTAAACCTTCATAAAACATGAACTGGATGGCAGGATTGAAGACCAACAGCAATGAGGGAAATGTGCCATTCCATAAAGCCGAGATTCCTTCATCGCGAATGATCTGATGAAAAGCATCTAAGCAAGAAATCAGGGACTTTTGAAAAGCATGATCACAATCCCCCAACTAGAGAAGACAACATGAATTCTGTTGAAATGTACCCAGAACACAAACCATACTGGTTCTATAAAGATTTCCTTCTTGCAGCCGGTTGCAATGGCTCACGCCTGTAGTCCCAGCACTTTGGGAGGCCGAGGCGGGTGGATCACGAGGTCAGGAGTTTGAGACCAGCCCAGCCAGCATGGTGAAACCCTGTCTCTACTAAAAATACAAAAATTAGCTAGGTGTGGCGGTGCATACCTGTAATCTCAGCTACTTGGGGGGCTGAGGCAGGAGAATTGCTTGAACCCGGGAGGCAGAGGTTGCAGTGAGCCAAGATTGTGCCACTGCACTCCAGCCTGGGTGACAGAGCAAGACTCCATTTCCAAAAAAAAAAAAAAAAAGATTTCTTTCTTGCAATGATAGTTTGGGGTCAAGTTTATCGGTTAATTACTTTTTGATAATCAGACATTGACAGTCACCAAGTTATTGAGAGACCAACTTCAATCACAGGCAACTGTTCCTGATGATCGAATCCTCCTAAGTCATTATCACCATCACTGGGAATTCTGGATTACACAGAACTGTGAACTGAGCCCACATATTTCACAAAAAAGTCCAGCACAAGAAAAGATAAGATCGTTTCCTAGAATTTATTATACAGGATTTGACTTTTAAAAACCACTATTTCACTACAAAGATTGATGTATGGGAAAGGAGAACCTGGCAATGTGGTACTATTGAAAGGCAGAAGCTCAAAGATATCAGATACCAATCTGGTGTCTATCCAAAGACAACACTAGAATAAAAAAGTATAGATCATTCTTCAAAAATATTCATCCCCTCCCATTGATACTCTTTGGGAGCAGCATACTTCTCTACCCCTTGTCTTGGGCTTGGCTATGTGATGTGCTTTGGCCACTGGGATGTCAGCAGACAAGGTGCCAACAGGGTTGAAAGGTGTTTATACCATTGGGTGTGTCCTCTTGACCTTTTGCCATCACAATGAGAATATGCTCATGCTGGTCCCAGAAAGAGGAGAGCCATGTGAACTGAGACTGTCAGGCTACGGTCAGCCTAGATGAGCCAAATCCACGTCAATCCACAAACATGTGTTAAAAAGAAATGCTATTGATGGATGCCGAGATTTGAGGTTGTCTGTTATGCAGCTTTTATTTTTTTTTAATTATACTTTAAGTTCTAGGGGACATGTGCACAACGTGCAGGTTTGTTACATATGTATATATGTGCCATGTCGGTTTGCTGCACCCATTAACTCATCATTTACATTAGGTAAAAGCAATGGCAACAAAAGCCAAAATAGACAAATGGGATCTAATTAAACTAAAGAGCTGTTGCACAGCAAAAGAAACTACCGTCAGAGTGAACAGGCAACGTACAGAATGGGAGATAATTTTTACAATCTACCCATCTGACAAAGGGCTAATATCCAGAATCAACAAAGAACTTAAACAAATTTACAAGAAAAAAAATCAAACAAACCCATCAAAAAGTGGGCAAAGGATATGTTATGTAGCTTTATGTGGCAACATATTCCAGATACAAAGAAGGAAGAAAACCCTTAAATAGGAATTCAGCAAAGAGATACTTACCAATGATACCTTTGTAGTTTGTTGGTACAATGTCTTCATTCCTAAATTTTGCTCCTTGAAGCTTCAGTCTGGTGTTTACCACCCAGAGTGGAGTTGTTAGCAACACATTAACCACTCCTTTAACAAGAAAGATGGAGAGAAAAAGGGAAGGCAAAATGTCAGCTTTTAAGCTTTGCTGCTTTAAAGCTACATACCAATATTCCATTTATATCTCTGTCACTGACCTCTTAGGAGACCTAAGGTAAGGTGTCTCTTTGTGCCAGGGTACAACACAAGCCACTACTGTTAGAAGCGATTTGGAAGCTTTGCTGATAGCAAAATGGCTGGCGGCAGCAGCTCTCCAGATGAAGAGCAATAAGTTCCCTCATTTGTACAACAGGCAATCTATTTGTCAATTTATATACCATTCAAAGTAGCAATTTTGATATAGCTTTAAATATAATTTTAACGTAACAGCTTTAGAGATGAGAGTGGCTTACAGCTAACATGCTAAGTCCATGACAATATCAGATAAAACACACAATTTACAACTCTTACTTAAGTAGCTCACACGGTTTGAAGTGAGTATGGATATGGTACAATGAGTGACAGGAGGGGGAAAGGTGGTGACATTTAAAAGTGCCTTAACAGAGACTAGAAGCTCGCTGAAGAGTTCCTCCTTGCTGAGAGCATTAGGATAGGCAGGCAGCAAGCATCAGGTAAGTGTCACAAAACACCTGAAACAGCTTCACAAGCATCATGATCCTTACAAGCTTAAGGATGGGGATCTTGGCCCCCCAAGGTTGCCTCAGAGTAGAACAATACAATGAGCCAGGTGCTTCTTTTTTGAAAACATATGATCCCAATTTAACACCATCTTGAGATATTAAAATATTCCTCACCAGTCCTGAAATGATTAAAAAAAAATACCAGATAGAATTGTAACAATGTGCCTGACACATGGTATATACTTTATAAACATTTGTTAAATAAATAGTGGAACAAATGAAGCAATGAACAAACTCAGTAAAAAAGCACACATCCAACTGTCTGGCTCTAGTCAAGATCTGAAGAACCAAGAGAAAAAATCCTAAGGAAGAGAAGTCTTTTACTAAAATCCATTTAAAGATAATTGAAGAAATAAAGTTTTGATTTAAGGTATCTCAAAATATTATATATAGGAAATACAGTCTAACCAAGGATAAACTTGACAAAACAGCCAAGAGATTCAAATTCAATTTTTTCATTAGTTGCATACAGTTGTTAAAGATATTTTGCTGCCTATCTCTAAGGAGCATTATAAGAGCACATTTCTCAAAATAAAAGGCATCACCTAATAATTTTATCAGTCGTATTTGTTATATTTTTATAGATTCACATAACATTAAGGAGTCATCTTTAGTTATAACTTAAAAGGCTCATACATTGTCACTGGAGGCATTGCCTATAATCTAAAAAACCCTTAGTTACAGATTCTTCCTAGTCTCATTTTTTCAAAAGCACCCATGCCCCAGAGGCCAGTATAGAGGGATATTAACACATTCCTGTTTGCCTAGATTTTAGAATGTATTCCTATTCAATGCAATGCACACTTCACTTAACAGAGAAAAACCAACAGCCAGAAAAATCAGACTAGAAAGTGCTATTGAGCAGTCTACTGCATTTGTTTTAAGAGAAAAGGAGGACAGGAGAGCTCAGGACCAGAGATCACAAGCTTCCACAGATACCGTAGAAAGGTATAGTGCACCCACCTTTCTAAACAAGTGAAATATGTTGCCTGTTAAATAAATTCTTCAGAAATAAAAATTTTCTTCATTTAAGAGGTAGGCACATACAAAAACACTTAGGAGGCAATGCAGCTAAGATTAAGATCTAACCATTCTTTAAAATTCTGCTTTCATGCCCAGTGTGGTGGCTCATGCCTGTAATCTTAGCACTTTGAGAGGCTGATATGGGAGGATCACTTGAGCCTAGGAGTTCAATAGCAGCCTGGGCAAAAGAGGGAGACTCCATCTCTAAAAAAAATATTAAAAATTAGCCAGGCAGGGTGGCACACTCCTGTGGTTCCAGCTACTCAAGAGGCTGAAGTGGGAAGATCGCTTCAGCCCAGGAGGTTGAGGCTGCAGTGAGCTGTGATCATGCCACTGCACTCCAGAGCTGGGCAACAGAGTGAGACCTTTTCTTATTAAAAAAAGAAAAAAGAAAAAAAAATCTGCTTTCATATCCCCATTATTAACACAAGCAGAAAGACTAAAAGGATTCTTTTTTTTTTTTTTGAGACGGAGTCTCGCTCTTTCGCCCAGGCCGGAGTGCAGTGGTTCTATCTCGGCTCACTGCAAGCTCCGCCTCCCCGGCTCACACCATTCTCCTGCCTCAGCCTCCCGAGTAGCCAGGACTACAGGCGCCCGCCACTGCGCCCGACTAATTTTTTGTATTTTTAGTAGAGACGGGGTTTCACCGTGTTAGCCAGGATGGTCTCGATCTCCTGACCTCGTGATCCGCCCGCCTCGGCCTCTCAAAGTGCTGGGATTACAGGTGTGAGCCACCGCACCCGGCCTAAAAGGATTCTTCTCAAGGACAACCTCAAGTACAAAAATGTACCACATTACTTAAATAACAGATTATAAAGTCCTTGTAAGAACATTTGGTATTTCAAAGCTTTTTATCTGAGAAGTTCAAGTACTTTTTTTCACTCTCTAAGCCAAAATAGATGGAGGAGTATTTTTTAACCAGTATAATTTTATGAGTTCTGAGAGAAGCTACTCAAAATACTTGAGAATCCGAAGCTTTACTAAAACTTGCAACCTATATCATCAAGCAAAGGTCAGCATTCCACTGAGAGAAGCATGCCACAAACCATTCGTGAGTACCAATTCCAACTCCTGACAGGCCCAAAGGATAAAGAAAATTGTCTGCTTTTTTGTAAGCCCGTGTAACTCTTCTGCCAGTTCCGGCCGGGTGCGGTTGCTCACGCCTGGAATCCCAGCACTTTGGGAGGCTGAGGCGGGTGGATCACAAGGTCAGGAGTTAGAGACCAGCCTGGCCAACACGGCGAAACCCTGTTTCTACTAAGAATACAAAAATTAGCCAGGCACGGTGGCGGGCGCCTGTAGTCCCAGCTACTCAGGAGGCTGAGGAAGGAGAATCGCTTGAACCCAGAAGGTGGAGGTTGCAGTGAGCCGAGATCGCACTACTGCACTCCAGCCCGGGTGTCAGAGCGAGACCCCATCTCAAAACAACAACAACAACAACAACAACAACAACTCTTCCGCCAGTTCCAAGCTGTGGATGCTACTTCCGCTCTAAAGTAGAAATACAAATTAATACTTTACCTACCAAAGGGCAGAAGACTGTTTTTTTTCTAATTCTAATGTCTATAATTCTATTTTCTTTCTTTCTTTTATGTAACAAATCATTTACAAGAAAGAATAAACCAAAATTAAGAGATGAATAACAGTAATTGAACACACTAAAATTATTCACTAAATCAAGGAACAATTAGAACACAGCTATTTACTCCTGAAATCTTGAAAACAATTAGTTTTATCAGCAGTGAGTCTCCTTTGTTACGGAGAGAAAACACAAACGAAGTAGGCTAATTGGGTATGCACTTCTGGAAAATATGTGCAATGACCATGGATATAAGAAAATGGCAAAACAAAGGCACAAATCTAACAAATCTCACTTGACTCCGTAGGAAGGAATGAAACTTTACACACAACAGGAACAAACCTGTCTTGCCAGATTTAAGGCCAGAGGGCAGGAAATACATTTTGAACTATCACAACAATGATAATACCTTTGGCATTCAGTAAGAGTTATTGCTAAAAATTCCAATTTCATAAAAATAAGTGTCTCTTCATTTATCTGTTAAGGTTCTGTTCCCACATTATTCCCCAAGATATGAAGCTTTATAGGCTTGTTTTTCTGGGAAAATACAATAAATAATAAATTTCTAAGTTTCAAGAAGAATTTGAAGAGCAACAACGCTGTTCCTAGTTCTCCTTAGAGATGATACAACTCATTTCTACAGTGATTATAATACTCACAGCAGGAAGAAAGCTGTTATAATTATTATAAAAATATGTACATATTAAGATATAAAAACTTGTTATGAAGAGAAGTTTAAAACTCACAAAAGTAATTTTCAAGGAACTCTCAACCTTCAGAAAAAGAGAAGACCTACAATCAGAGAATCTCACAATTAACAAAGGATTGTAAAATTCTTTAACCCAGAGTCTCCCAACTGTGACAGTACTAATATTTTGGGGTGGAAAATTATTTGTTGTGTGTGTATGTGGGCTCTTGTGTAGGATGATTAGCAGTCTCCCTGGCCTCTACCCACTAGATGCCACATTTGACCCTGTGGGTCAAAATCAGCCTCAGTGGAGAACCACTAATCTAATCCAATCACCAAGTGATTATTCCTTTTATTCTTTACAATTTCAAAACACAGGAATTCACTTTCACACCTGTTTTATTCCATTAGCTGTTACAATTATTTATTTTATTTTATTTTGTTTTTTTGAGACATGGTCTTGCTGCAGCCTCCTACTCCTGGGCTTAAGTGATCCTCCCTCCTTAGCCTCCCAAGTAGCTGGGATTACAGGCACATGCCGGCTAATTTATTTTTAATTTTTTACCATTCCCAGCACTGAAGTTAAAATATGTAGAGACAGCTTTAACTTGACTTAACACCATACTATCTAAAATGGTACCTCTTTTTTTCTTTTTTGGAGATGGAGTCTCGCTCTATCTCCCAGGCTGGAGTGCAGTGGCTCGATCTCCGCTCACTGCAACCTCCGCCTCCTGGGTTCAAGTGATTCTCCTACCTCAGCCTCCCAAGTAGCTGGGATGATAGGTGCCCGCTACCACACCCAGTTAATTTTTGTATTTTTAGTAGACAGGGGGTTTCGCCATGTTGGCCAGGTTGGTCTCAAACTCCTGACCTCGGTAATCCACCTGCCTCGGCCTCTCAAAGTGTTGGGATTACAGGCATGAGCCACCGCGCCCGGCCAATGGTACCTCTTTCTAACCCTCAGTACTCTCTATCCCTTCTCTGCTTAAATTTTGTCTGTAACCTTATCCTCTAACATACTATGTATTTTCCTTGTTTATTGTCTATCTTACAATATTAGATTGTAAGCTTCATGAGGACAGAGATTTTCATTTTTTATTTACTGCCATATCCTTAGCATCTAGAACTGGATTTAGCACATACTAGACACCCAATATATATTTGATGAACAAACCATGATGAATAAATGGCTTGTGGGAAAGGGTATATACTTTTTCTTTATTGTCCAAGCGAACTAGGCCAGGATCACAATATATTTACTTATCCTAAAGTATACAAAAAGTCACTTTGGAATTGCTAACTCATACGTTTGCAGGGGGAGAAAACATATGTACTAAGTTTCATCTTTGTTTCTAGTTGCTTTAAGAAGGTAGATTTAATATCAATAAAAATAAATATTCTTTTTATTTTTTAAAATAAATATTCAGCTGGGAGCAGTGGCTAATACCTGTAATCCTAGCACTTTGGAAGGTCGAGGCAGAAGAATCTCTTGAGGCCAGGGGTTTGAAACCAGCCTGGGCAACACAGAAAGACCCCCATCTGTACAAAAAATAAAAAAAAATTAGCTGGGTGTGGTGGCATCCCTGTAGTCCTAGCTACTGGGGAGGCCGAGGCAGGGGGATCTCTTGAGCCCAGGAGTTGGAGGCTGCAGTGAACTATGACTGCACCACTGTACTCCAGTGCCCGGATGACAGAGCAAGACCCTATCTCAACAACAACAAAAAAAAAAAAAAAAAAAAAGAAAAGGAAAAAAAATAACCTTGAAGGTTTCTCAGTATATAGTGAACTATAACCTACCTGGATCTTGTGCCAATCATAGAGTTTCAGCCAATCACAGGCAGCCAACTGTTCAAATAAGGTAAACAAGTGGTAACTAATCTGGCTGTTTCTGTACCTCACTTCTGACTTCTATATGTCACTTTCCTTTTTCTGTCCATAAATATTCTACCATGTGACAGCTCCAGAGTCACTCTGACCTTCTGGTTCTGAGGGCTGCCCAATTTGCGAATTGTTCTTTGCTTGATCAAACTCTGTTAGGCCAGGCATGGTGGCTCACGCCTGTAATCCCAACACTTTAGGAGGCTGACGCAGGTGGATCACCTTAGGTCAGGAGTTCGAGATCAGCCTGGCCAACAGAGTGAAACCCCGTCTCTACTAAAAATACAAAAATTAGCTGGGCATGATGGCTTGCGCCTGTAGTCCCAGCTACTTGGGAGGCTGAGACAGGAAAATCTCTTGAACCTGGGAGGCGGAGGTTGCAGTGAGCGGAGATCGCGCCACTGCACTCCAGCCCGGGTGACAGAGTGAGACTCCTTCTCAAAAAACAAACAAAAAAAGCTCTGTTAAACATAATTTGTCTAAAGTTTATCATTTAACAGTGGCCATTTGGGAAAAACCTAAAAGGAGGCAAAGGAGTTATCCACATGGTTACCAGGCAGAGGTCATAGCAGGTACACAGGCAGACACGTGCCAGGAGTGTTTAGGATGAAGAAGTCAGGGTGGCTGCAGCAGTGTAAGTAAAGAGAATAGGATGGCCGGGTTAAACAGGCTTTGCAGGACAAGGTAAGGACTTTGGCTTTTCCTCTGAGTGAGATGGGAAGCAACTGGAAGGCTCTGAACAGAGAAATGACATGATCTCATTCACTTTTTAAAATTTTTTTCTAAGAGACAGGGTCTCACTCTGAATGACTCCTGAATAGCTAGGACTACAAGTGCATGCCACCATGCCCTGCTAATTGGTTTTTTTTTTTGGTAGAAATGAGGTCTTGCTATGGTGCCCAGGCTGTCTTAAACTCCTGGCCTCAAGCGATTCTCTCACCTTAGCCTCCCAAACTGCTGGGATTATTGACATGAGCCACTGTACCCAGCCCTCATTCATGTTTTAACATGATCACACTGGCTGCTGTGCTGAATACAGACTGAAGGAGACTAAGGAGAAAGTGACAGATCAGTTAGGAGGTTCTGGCTGGGCACAGTGGCTCACGCCTGTAATCCCAGCACTTTGGGAGGCCAAGGCAGGCAGCTCACTTGAAGTCAGGAGTTTGAGACCAGCCTGGCCAACGTGGTGAAACTCCGTCTCTAGGAAAATACAAAAAATTAGCTGGGCATGGTGGTGTGTGCTTGTAATCCCAGCTACTAGAGAGGCTGAGGCAGGAGAATCGCTTGAACCCAGGTGGCAGAGGTTGCAGTGAGCCAAGATCATGCCACTGCACTCCAGCCTGGGTGACAAAGTGAAACCCTGTTGCAAAAAAAAAAAAAAAGTAGGAGGCTCTGGAGATAATTCCAGAAAGATTTGATGATGGTGGCTGGGACTGAGGTGGTGGTGGAGAGGAAAGTACGGTTACTTCGCATATCTTAGGGGAAGTGGATCCAGGACCCCCTTGGATATCAAGATCCCCAGATGCTCCAGTCCCTGATATAAAATGACACAAGTATTTGCATGTAACCTACATACATCCTCCCATACACTTTAATGTCTAGATTACTTATAATACAATGTAAAGGCTATGTAGATAGTTGTTATACTGTATTGTTTAGGGAATAATGACAAGAAAAAAAGTCTACATGTTCAGTATAGATACAACTACCCTCTTCTTTTTCCCCAAATACTTTCAATCCACAGTTGGCCGAATCCACAGATGTGGAACCCACGGATGAGGGCCGACTGTAGTTGAATTCTGGGTATCATAAGAAGAAAGGTTTGCTCATGGATTGGAGGTGGGGTCAGAGAGAAGAAGATATATTCAAGATTTTTGGTGGAGCAACTGGAAGACCAGGGCTGCCATTTAGTAAAATGGAGAAGACTCCAGGAGGAGCAGTATTTTAAATTTAATTCATTCACTCAACGTTTAATAAGTACCTTCTATGTACTAGGCAGTGTGCTAAGACACTGGGGATGTGGAAATAACAAAAATGTAATCTCTGCCTTTAAGGAGCTTACTGTCTAGCAAAAGATGAAGAAGAATATGCAGACTTATTGTTAGACAATAAACACTAAGACAGAGGTAGATGCCATGTTGGAGCACATAGAAAGGGCACCTAACCCAGAATAAAACCTAGGGGTGGTGGGTACAGGAAACAAGGAAAGATTCCTGAAGAAGAGGTAGCTGAGAATAAAGGGATGAATGGGAGTTAATAAGATGAAATAAGCAGTAAGACTGTTGTCAGACAGACCACAGTTGCTGTAGAGGAATGGGGTTACTACATGGCTTGGTACAGTCAAAGACTCACAGATTGGCATGGAAGTACACCCATACCATAATGCTTTCCCTACAGTAACAGATGCAACTGGCATAAGCAGATTTGAGAATAAACAGTTCACTCTTGGTAAGCGTAAAACTCAGTTACTAGAAGTGGAAGAGCACAGGCATCCTAGCGAGTAGCCTACCTGTTACAAGGGCTCAGCGTGCTGTGGTGTCTGCAGTCAAGATCAGTAAAGATCAAGCTTGAGGTAATTTGTATCACAGCAGATAAGATATGTCAGGCTTTTATCCTATAAAAGTATACCAGCAGGAGTCTGGTATACTGAAGGTGCCAAGCTGCATGCAAGGAACAGATACTGAAAGCTTTTAAGCAGGGATAAAACAGACTTAGAGTTTCAGAATAGCAGTTCTTGACAGTTTTCTTTTCTTCTTTTTTTTTTAGACTTGAAAAACACTTATTTTACTGTCTTCGACAACAACAACAACAACAACAAAGATAGGCAGGGAAAGTCTAGAGGACTTAGAATTGAACCAGCTCCATACAAAAATGAAGATGGTATAATGATGTGAGTTCAAAGAAAATGACTAAAACAAAATTTTACAAACATCTTTGTAGGTTTATGATAAACTGTCAACCTTCCATTTAATGCATTTACTTTTGTTTTATTTATAGAGATGGGGTCTCGCTATGTTGCCGAGATTGGTCTTGAACTCCGGAGCTCAAGCAATCCTCCCACCTTGGCCTCCCAAAGTGCTGGGATTACAGGCGTGAGCCACTGCACTTGGCCTTAATCTGTTTACTTTTATAAGCCTTCTCTATTTAGAAGTACGCACTACACAAGTACATACATTCTGGTATTTTACCATGAAAATTTCACTTTTCATCACAAACTAGTGACTTGCCTTTTTACCCATACTTATACGCATGTAATACCTTCCTAGTGGTACATCTTAATCAATATATATTTTTTAAATCTTGATTTTTAAATGAATCTTTTTAGTGCTATGACATGATGGGCTTAATTTAACAGATGAAGCATGATATGGTAACTACATTGTACTGTTTAAACTAATTCACAGCTGTAGGAAAATGTTTGATTTTTGAAATATAACCAAGATGAGGCTGGACAATAATAAACACTGGGCCGGGCGTTGCGGCTCATGCCTATAATCCCAGCACTTTGGGAGGCCAACGCAGACAGATCACGAGGTCAGGAGTTCGAGACCAGCCTGACCAACATGGTGAAACTCCATATCTACTAAAAATACAAAAATTAGCCAGGCGTGGTGGTGTGCGCCTGTAATTCCAGCTACTCAGGAGGCTGAGGCAGCAGAATCACTTGAACCTGGGAGGCAGAGGTCACAGTGAGCCAAGATCACGCCACTGCACTCCAGCCTGGGAGAGAGAGCGAGACTCCATCTCAAAAACTTAAAATAAAATAAAATAAAAACAAAACAAAACACTGAAATACTGGAAGACAGTGAATGAATAAATAATATGATTTTTCATCAGTGGCCATTCATTATTTTGCTTTTAGAAACCTGGAAGAAATTATCTTCTTTGAGTTTCAAATGTTCTGGTAAATCTAGTCATTTCTTAGCTTCCTCAAAAATCACCTTGAATTGCTGAAATAAGTGACTCTCATGAATCAAAGTTCTTTTCTGGTCTGAGGTAGCCAACAACGGCCACACTCAGGATTTCCCCATAGAAGTGCTCTTTGAAGGTATGCATGGTATGTGTTTCCATGGACTTCTTCGTATTCTCATAGTATGGGTTCCATCCTATGCTCACCACCATCTTCTGACCATCTCTACTTCCAGCACTGGCCCAACCATAATAAATGCCACTGGATATATCGGCTGGCAGATTATCTACCACTTGCTCAGGAAAATTAGCTGTGGGGGATGCCCAGCTGCTTGTAGCCACGGCCGAAGCCCCATACCACTTGGTCCCGGCAGGAGTATGACAGATGCTTCGTAATGCAGTCTGCTCGAGGCATGGGCTGCAGCCCGGTCCCTGCGTCCTACAGAGACACCGTCCACGCGGTGCCCGGACCCCGGACCAGCCACGGGGTGGGAAGGGGCGTGAGCTCTGTCTGCCGCGGGGGTGCACCAGGGGCCCGACGATGCCGATGACACGCCACGGAGGATCCCTGATGCCAGCGACTCAGGAGCTGGGTCTCCCAACCATTTTCATTTTCTTTCTTTCCTTCTTTCCCTACCTTTTAAAATATTTTATGTTTGTTTGTTTATTTAGAGGTAGAGTTTCCCTCTTGTTGCCCAGGCTGGAGTGCAGTGGCATGATCTTGGCTCACTGCAACCTCTGCCTGCCAGGTTCAAACAATTCTCCTGCCTCAGTCTCCCAAGTAGGTGGAATTACAGGCACCTGCTACCACACCTGGCTAATTTTTTGTATTTTCAGTAAAGGTGGGGTTTCACCATGTAGGCTAGGCTGTTCTCGAACTCCTGACCTCAGGTGATACACCCGCCTCAGCCTCTCAAAGTGCTGGGATTACAGGCGTGAGCCACCGCGCCTGGTCTAAAATTTATTTTTTATAGAGATGGGGTCTTGCTATGTTGCCCAGGCTGGTCTCAAACTGCGGGCTCAAGTGATCCTCCTGCCTTGACCTCCCAAACTGCTGGGATTACAGGGGTGAGCCACCACACCTGGCCTTGGACCATTTTCTGACAAGACAACAGATGATGCTCACAGTCAACACAGACCCGTAGACTCTCCTATGTGTCAACTGTAATCCTACCCCCTTCTCACACACTCAAGAAAACACTTTAGGCTGGGCGCGGTGGCTCACGCCTGTAATCCCAGCACTTTGGGAGGCCGAGGCAGGCAGATCACCTGAGGTCAGGAGTTTGAGACCAGCCTGGCCAACATGGTGAAACCCTATCTTTACTAAAAATATAAAAAATTAGCTGGGCATGGTGGTGGGTGCCTGTAATCCCAGCTACTCAGGTGGCTGAGGTAGGAAAATTGCTTGAACCCAGGAGGTGGAGGTTGCAGCAATCCAAGATTATGCCACTGCACTCCAGCCTGGGCAACAGAGTGAGACACAATCTCAAAAAAAAAAAAAAAAAAAAAAGTGGAAGAGTGAACTTTAAAGTTAAAATACAACAATTAAGGTTAGTAGGCTATTTATTATATGTGTTACTTTAACTGACTTTTTAAAATTGAGCCCTGAAAAAAAAAAGAAAAAAATTGTTCATGAGCCCTGAAAAAAAAATTTTAGACAAGTGGAAAAAAGTAAAAAATGAAAGCTAACTGCCCTACTATACCAGTCCAGCTGTGTTAGGTATGGGGGAGTCTGCTGTAATCCTAAATTGCACTAAGAGTTAGAAAGATGAACAGGACAGAGAGAGTAACACAGGGGTGGTATATATCTGGTGGGTAATGGGATGGCAGACACAGCAAATAAACCGCTTTGGACAATTTAAAAAGCAAAAGATTTCAACATATAGTCCATGAATTAGAAGTTTCATGGAAAGTTATATGAGTTAGTCCCTGTAAGTTATAATCTTTCAAATGCAAATACATATAAACTAATCTAAAATGATTAAAATCAAAGTATTACAAATAACTGGTCTCAAGTATAGAAGATCCCACTAGATTGCCATTTGTTGTAATTTATGTAAAAAACAAGTCTTTTTCTGTACAGGAACTATTCTAATTTTTTTCCCCAAGTGAACAAATCTCAAACTTGAGTTCTTTGAGTCGTGATACTCTTTGAAAACTACTCTCCTAGAAAGGCTGCAAAACTGTGCAAAGTGGGTTCATGAGGAAGACCTCAAAGGGAAGATCAGACTATAGTGCAATAGTCCAGGTGAGCAATGATAAGGTTTGATTTGGGGAAATGGCTATGGATATGGAGAAGAGGAAATGGATCCAAGAGACAGTGAGGAGACAGACCAGTGGTTCTTGATGGCCAAGCAGATGTGGAGGGTGGGAAGGCACGAAGAGCCTGTGATGACTCCTAGACTTCTATCCTGAGTTATTTATCCAAAATTCAACTTCTCTCCCCTTCTCTCTAAGCACATGGCTGGTTCCTCTGGCCACCAGCCTCCATCCTGAAGCTATCTAGGAGCCCACCAATAGTAACTTTATTAGCCTAAACTCAGAGATAGTTCAAAGGGGCTCATTAGGAATAACAAAAGATACTACTACTCAGGAAATTCCAATGGTTTTAGGAACTGTGCCAGGAACCAGGGACAAAGGCCACATACATTTTTTATTATACCACATACAGACATCCTACAACTTCAGAGCAAAAAAATGTAATAACCTGATTAAAAAATAGACAAAGAACCAGAACAGACATTTCTGCAAAGATAATATACAAATGGCCAACAAACATATGAAAAGTGATGTTCAGCATCACTAATCATCAGAGAAATGCAAATCAAAGCCACAGTGAGATATCACCTCATACCCATTAGGATGGCTACTATCATAAAACAGAAAGTAAGTGTTAGTGAGGATGTGGAAATATGGGAACTTCTGTGTACTGTTGGTGGGATTATAAATGTTACAGTGTTATGGAAAACAGTATGGAGGTTCCCGAGAAAACTGAACAGAATTCCAAATGATCCAGCAATCCCACTTCTGGGTATATATCCAGAAGAATGGAAAGCAGGCTCTCAAAGAGAGAGCTACACATCCATTTTCATAGCACTATTCACAACAGCCAAAAGATGGAAGCAACTTAAGTGCCTATTAACAGATGAATGGATAAACAGAATGTGATATATACATATAATGGAATATTATTCAGTCATAAAAAAGTAAGGAAGTCATGTCACATGCTGTATGGCATGGATGAAAGTAGAAGACATTATACTAAGTGAAGTAAGCCAGTCACAAAAAAAACAAGTAGTGTATGATTCGACTTATATCAAGTATCTAAAGTAGTCAAATTCTTAGAAACCGAAAGTAGAATGGTGGTTACTAAGGGGCTCAGGGAAAGGGAAAAGGGGAGTTTAATGAGAATAGAATCAGGTCTGCAATATGCAAAAGTACTGGAGATTTGTTTCATAACATTGTGAACATGTTTAACACTACTGACCTTACACTTAAAATTAACATGGTAAATTTTATGTCACGTTTTTTAACACAATTAAAAAAAAAAAAACCAAGTTGGAAAACTGGCTATATTCTTTGTAAGCATTACTTTGGGCTAAATAACCTCTTAGAGGATATAAAACCACAAGGTAAATATAAAAACATTTTATACCCAGAAAACCTTGTTACCTGCAACAAACCCAACTACCAGATCTTTTCCAGTGGTAGAATGTTGACCTTTGACCCAGAGTGCTTTGAGGCTATTAAAAGTGTAGAAATAGACAAAATTGGAGCAGCAGAGACTGGAAATCACTGGAAACCACCCTCGATATGGTGCCAGGCTAGGGGAAAAACACAATAAGCAAAGTAAAGGTCATGGACAAATTAGAAATTGGCAGAGAAATCCTAGGAAAGGCTGACCATCATTCACATGGTCTCAAGCTTCACTCCTACACGAATACAAGGGACTCCAAACTGTACACACACCTCACATTCTGAAGGATGTCCAAATCAAGAAATCTATTCTAGCACTAATGATACCAAAGAAACAACACAAAGTCTGATTGATTTATTAATTCCCTCCCTTAATTTTCTTTAGTAACATTGGTATATAAAATTAGAGACAACTTCCTCATGGCTGTTAGTTAATAGAGTACCATTCATGTTTTATTACAGGGCAAGAACAGTTAAAATGAAGTAATTATAGGAAATAAGTATCAAAAAAAAAAAAGATGGGGGAATTCACAAGGGCACAGGAGCTCACAGGAGCTCCTACAGGCCAAATCTGGGGCAATTTGAATACCAAAATAATGAAGTACAGTAATCAATTGTAAACCATTGAAAAATAGACATTTCTGAGCCTATACCAATAATAAGTAGATAAATAAATGAAGGAGAAGGGGAGGTCCTGCTTATAGCAGAATGCCAACATTGGTACCTGTAGAGGCAATGCTGGAGTTGGAAAGTCGTCATTTTGCAACTTCGTGGTAAATTTAGGGGAAAAATGTTGATAAAGCACAGGATATTTGTATTGTTTTGAAGTATCTCCACATAGACTGCTTATAGTTGCAAGGGAAGAAAAAAGTAATTGCACAGTGGCTAAATCAAATTTAAGAAATCATAATTAGCCAACCAAAGGCAGGCAGACAATATGTGAGTCAAGATGTGATATCTTGAGAAGGACACAATATCACCTGTGCATTATTCAGGCCAATAATGTATAACCTCAATGGAATCATGAGGAAATGTGAGGCAAACTTAAAAATGAGAAACTTTCTATTTTCTTTTTTTTTTTGAAACGGAGTTTTGCTCTTGTTGCCCAGGCTGGAGTGCAATGGCGCGATCTCGGCTCACCGCAACCTCCACCTCCTGGGTTCACGTGATTCTCCTGCTTCAGCCTCCTTAGTAGCTGGGATTGTAGGCATGCGCTACCACGCCCGGCTAATTTTGTATTTTTAGTAAAGACGGGGTTTCTCCATGTTGGTCAGGCTGTCTCGAACTCCTGACCTCAGGTGATCCGCCTGCCTCGGCCTCCCAAAGTGCTAGGATTACAGGCGGACTGTATTGTTTAAAAGTGTCAGTGTCATGGGGCTAAAAGGCTTTGATGTATGTAACTTACTCTCAAATAATTCAGAGGAAATTTGTGTGTGGTGTGTGTAAGGAGAGAAGGGAGGTGGGAGAGAGACAGCATGAGCAAAAATAGTAAAACAAACAGGAAAAGATGTTAACAGATGAATCTGGGTAAAGCATATACTTGTCTTCTTTGTACTAAGTTTAGTTTTGCAAATTTTTGTAAATTTAAAATTATTTCCAATAAAAAGCTAAAACAAGAAGTACATAATCTGTCTTAATGCACCTGACAGGAATGAACTAAACAACTATTATTTTTTTTTCAGTTTACTGTATATAAAACAATGCATTTTAGTTTCATGGAAGACTCCATGATCAAGAATCAAATGGCTTAAGGTAAGCATTGTACAAAAATAAATAAAAAGAATCAAATGCCTCACTACAGATCTTTAAGAAACTGAAAACAATTATGTACTTATAAATCAGGCAATTCCAAATTCACAACATTAGAGTGCTGTGAGAAAGATAGAAAGTAAGCATAACTCTACTGGAAGCACAGGAATCTCCTAACAAGTTGCTTTAACGAAGGTGAACTGAGGTAGTACTCACAGTCCTTCTTCTTTAATGATCTCCAGGAGCACCATGTGTGTAGTTTTGGATTTTCTTTTCTCATCAACTACAAGACCAAACAGTGCATGTTTATTTTATTAATTAAAAAAAAAATTTTTTTTTTGAGACAGAGTCTCACTCTGTCGCCCAGGCTGGAGTGCAGTGGCGTGATCTCAGCTCACTGCAACCTCCACCTCCTGGGTTCAAGCGATTCTCCTGTTGCAGCCTCCCAAGTAGCTGGGATTACAGGTGCACACCACCATGCCCAGCTAATTTTTGTATTTTAGTAGAGGCGGGGTTTCGCAATTTTGGCCAGGCTGGTCTTGAACTCCTGACCTCAAGTGATCTGCCCACCTCGGCCTCCCAAAGTGCTGGGATTATAGGCATGAGCCACCGTGCCCCGCCTATTTTTTAATATTTTTAGAGACGGAGTCTCACTATGTTACCCAGGCTGGTCTCAAACTTGTGGGCTCAAGGGATCCTCATGCCTCAGCCTCCCAAAGTGCTGGGATTACAGGCGTGAGCCACCATACCCGGCCCGTGTATGTTTAAACTAAATCCTTTGAGGATTATAATTGTTAACATCAGCAAGTTTCACTGAAATGCCATTTACCTCACCTTTGAGCTCCCTAGGTTGCCCCAGAACTAAATGATGCCCCTGTGTGACCATGTGCTAAATTCCCACTGCAGATCCCTTGCCCTTCATCTGTTACTCATGAACCATAAAGCAGTCTAATTTAATTCCTAATTTCCAAAGGAAAAGACGACAGAAAACATTTCTTCCTTTTTTTTTTTTTGAGACGGAGTCTCGCTCTGTCACCCAGGCTGGAGTGCAGCGGCGTGATCTCGGCTCACTGCAAGCTCCACCTCCTGGGTTCACGCCATTGTCCTGCCTCAACCACCGGAGTAGCTGGGACTACAGGCGCCCACCACGATGCCCGGCTAATTTTTTGTTTTTGTAGTAGAGACGGGGTTTCACTGTTAGCCAGGATGGTCTTGATCTCCTGACCTCGTGATCCACCCGTCTTGGCCTCCCAAAGTGCTGGGATTACAGGCGTGAGCCACCACGCCCAGCCTAATTTATTTCTTATATTTCATAAATTTCATAAAGCTCTCTTGTTTTATTCAATTAATGTATATATTTTCTCATTTTAGCATCTTATAAAGCAGAGAGGAAATAAATTACTATCTACCTTTTACAGGAGAGGCTATAGACACAAAAACTGGAAGGACAGATGTGGTCGGCAGCAAAGCCAGTATTAACATTCAAGTTTCTTTTTTCTTTTTTTTTTGAGACGGAGTCTCGCTTTGTCGCCCATGCTGGAGTGCAGTGGTGCGGTCTCGGCTCACTGCAACCTCTACCTTCTGGGTGCAAGCAATTCTCCTGCCTTAGCCTCCTGAGTAGCTGGGATTACAGGCTCCTGCCACCATGCCCAGCTAATTTTTTGTATTTTTAGTAGAGACAGGGTTTTACCATGTTGGCCAGGCTGGTCTTGAACTCCTGACCTCAGGTGATCCGCCCGCCTCGGCCTCCCAAAGTGCTGGGATTACAGGCGTCAGCCACCACACCCGGCCTAAAATTCAAGTTTCTTAAAGGGTTTTAGCCTTGCGTCTGTCTCCTAATCTAAAAAATAAAGTCTCAAAAGGACAAGGACTGTGTTTTTCCTGGCATTCTCACTGAAAACAAAACTCACCTCAATTAACTTCAAATTTCCTACCCATACCTGAAAAGTAATTTTAGAACATAAAATATGCAAATTAACCAATTTCCTAAGAATTAAAATTGGTACCAGTATGGCTTGTGGGATGGCAAACTGGCAAACTCCTATAGAAGGCAATCTGAGGCTGGGCATGGTGGCTCACGCCTGTAATCCCAGCACTTTGGGAGGCTGAGGTGGGTGGATCACCTGAGGTCAGGAGTTCGAGATCAGCCTGGCCAACGTGGCGAAACCCCATCTCTACTAAAAATACAAAAATTAGCTGGGCATGGTGGCACATGCCTGTAATCCCAGCTACTCGGGAGGCTGAGACAGGAGAATCACGTGAATCCAGGCCGAGATTGTGCCACTGCACTCCAACCTGGGTAAGAGAGACTCTGTCTCAAAAAAAAAAAAAAAAGAAGGCAATCTGGCAATAACCATCAAAATTACAAATACAATTACCCTTTAATGCAGTAATCCTATATCTGGGAATTTATCCCATAGAATTCACAGAAACAACATGGCATAGGAACAAATCTATTCTTACATCATTTCTGTAATAACAAAAGGGTGGAAACAACCCCAGAATCTACAACAGGGGAAGGGTGATACAGGTTATGGTGCATTCACACCATGGAATGGAACACTCCACGGCTGTAAGACAGACGAAGACGCTCCCAATGCGCTGATTCAGAAGGCATCTAAAACATACTGTTAAGTGAAAAGTTCAAAGTACAGGACAGCATGTAAAGTATGCTTTTTGTGTAAAAAAGGGAGAGAAAAAAAAGTAAAAAAGGGAGAAAATTAAGACTATATATTCTTATTCGCTTGTTATTCCATAAAGAAAGTCTGCAAGGCTACTCAAGAAACTGATAAACATGCTACCTGCAGTGAAGAGGAAAGGGAGACAGGGCAGACTAAGAGTGAGCATTTTCACTGCACTGTATACCTTTTTATATATTTTGCCTGTTGAATCATGTAAAATTATTTATCCAAAAACTATAAAATTACCCAAAAATAGTAGGCATAAAGGGTTTAACCTTTGAATTACTATTGAAAGCTAATCTTACTCATCTCTTCATGCAAGTTCTGGCATAGGTTTACAATTTCAACTTGAACAAATCTGAGGAAAAAACAAGCAAGAATCACAGTGAGTTGTAGAGTCCCATAAAGCTGCAAAGGCAGATTAGGACTACATGCCTACATTAGCAATGGCATTGAGTATGTGGCTCCAGTATGTTCCTATTCTGCCTCTTCTTTTGACACCATCTAACTCCCTCAAAAAACTCTCCACTGTGTGCCTTAAAAAAGTCATATGGCTTCTTAGAAAAGGATTGTAACAAATCAAAATTATTAGTGCAAGACCACTCAGGTTCTTAGATTAGAAAATGGCTAAGGCTATGACTCATCCAGGAATGACTCTCTGTTAATTAGGAAACATGATATCTTCTAGAAAGAAAAGGAAAATAAACCTTAAAAATAAAAAATAAAATAGGAAACAATGATGACCAGTATTTAAAGTCAATGGTGGATCTCTATAGTATCAGAAATCATTGATTAATTCAGAAATCACTAGACTGGGGTGGAGGCCGAGGTGCACCAGGCCTGTATGCCCGGCCAGCCCTTCCTCCGCAGCCAACAAATGCACATGGGTTTTTCTTGCTGTGGCCACAAGGACATCTGATAAAGCCTTTGCCCCATGGGCACCTCTGGCTTTCCCACCCTGACCTGGAACCTCTGCAAGGGCTGTAGAGTAAGCACTGCCTCTGCACCCCGGGAGGAACAGCGGTCCTGAGCGTCTCAGATCTGCATAGAAGGGGGCACTGCCCATTCTCATTTCCAGGCTAAAGTCACCCCAGAGTGTGGCTTCACAGGGTGTGTGGAGAAAACCGCAAGCAGCTCATCTAAGGAATGAGTTTGAAAGCCTCCCGCTTGGCTCTGATGGAAATACACCTGTTCTGGAAATTCGAAGGGGCTGTTGATATGGTCTTGATCTTTGCCTGTCTTGTCATCAGTTGTCAGCAACAACTGGGCAAAAAGCTCTGGAAAAGCTCTGGAGGCAAATTGAGTCCACAGAGCTACAGTCCACCCTTTACCCTGGGTCTTAGAGAACTCATCTCAGACAGAGAAAGCAACATGGCCTGATGTGCACCATTGGTTCCTCGGAACCTTTTCCCCATCTGCCTCTTTCAGATCACTGATGGGCAGAAAAAGAGTGAAAGCTTCCTTCCCCACTGTAATCTGGAGCAGGAAGTCAAGGGGCCTCTAGAGTGGGAAAGGGGGTGAGCAACTTTAGGCCCCAGTCTACCAGGTATCTATCTTCTCCCTCTTCTACAACTTATTTCAAACTTCTGGGATACAGTTTCAGCTGAAAAGTTTATTTTCTCAGTCAAAACTTGTTCCCCCTTAACCCTATCCCCTCTAGAAAAATAAAAGCACACATACATAAAAAAAAAAAAAAAAAAAAAAAGAGGCTGGGTATGGTGGCTCATCCCTGTAATCCCAGCACTTTGGGAGGCCAAGGCAGGAGATCACCTGAGATGAGGAGTTCAAGACCAGTCTGGCCCATATGGTGAAACACCGTCTGTACTAAAAAAGAGGTTCCTGTAATCCCAGCTACTTGGGAGGCGGAGGCAGGAGAATCGCTTGAACCCAGGAGGCGAAGGTTGCAGTGAGCCGAGATCATGCCATCGCACTCCAGCCTGGGCTACAAAAGCGAAACTCCGTCTCAAAAAAAAAAAAAAAGAAATTACTAGCGAAAATGTTTGCTTCCTGACACCATACAAATAGGAGTATGATTTCTACTTACCCTGAAGTCGAAGTCTAGCTGTATCCAGGGGAAAAAACACTGTCATTGCTGTCACGCTTCCCTGAAAAGTTTGAAAAAGGCCATTACAGCATCACAAACATAGTTTAAGTCACAACTTTTTTTTTTTGAGACAGGATCTTGCTCTGTCATCTAGGCTGGAGTGCAGTGGTTTACGGCAGCCTTGAACTCTTGGGCTCAAGTGATCCTCCCACCTCAGCTTCTCAAGTAGTTGGGGTTACAAGCACATACCCTCCAGGTGTATATCACCATGTTTGGCTAATTTTTAAATTTTTCTGTAAAGATGGGGGTCTCACTTTGTTGCCCAGGCTGGGAGTCACAACTTTTTTTTTTTTTTTTTTGAGATGGAGTCTTGTTCTGTTGCCCAGGCTAGAGTGCAGTGGCACGATCTCAACTCACTGCAACCTCCGCCTCCCAGGTCCAAGCGATTCTCCTGCCTCAGCCTCCTGAGTAGCTGGGATTACAAGTGCCTGCCACCACGCGACTGTTTTTTGTATTTTTAGTAGAGACGGGGTTTCACCATGTTAGCCAGGATGGTCTCGATCTCCTGACCTCATGATCCACCCGCCTCAGGCCTCCCAAAGTGCCGGGATTACAGGTGTGAGCCACTGTGCCTGGCCGGGAGTCACAACTTTTAAATGAACAAAAGTTTATTATTAGCAATCGATCAAATCAGATTTTTAGTGAACGAATACATACAATATTTTAATCTATTAGGATTAGCAATGTTCAAGCTTCTACTATGCTTTAGTAGAAGTATTTAATTTTTCAGAAGAAAACTCCTCTTTCTGTCTCTCTCAGACACTGAAAAAGAAAACATTTCCCTGCATATGACAAACTTAGGGGTTTGCAACCTAGGACACATGTCAAAGATAGCAGGCAAATGGATTTTTAACCTTCTACAGGTCAGTTTCTGCTATCATGAGCACTCCCTGATAACCCCCAAAACCAAAATACCCGGTAATTAAACAGACACATACTTTTATTCTGTGCTTAATACATTCACCACAAATTGAAAGGACAGGTAAGAATCATATTGTCTTTGAAATAGTAGTTTGCTTGTGTTTTAAATTAAATAGGAACAATCTCTTTGCCAACAATTCTTTAAGCTCATCCAAGATAACACAATGACACAAATTATCAATGAAAAAAAACAAGCAAACAACAAGTTTTTCCACTCATAAGGTCCTATATAAAAACCACAAACATATATTTAGGGATGAAACTATATACATGAAACTTCCATTTTGGTTTATGGTTCTCAATCCAGATGCATACCCACTGGTATAGATTTACAGGCATAAAATCAAGTTTCAGACTGCTGATCTAATAATGGTTACAAAAAAAATTAACTAATTAATTAGTTAATTATTTTAGAGACAGTGTCTTGCTATGTCATCTAGGCTCCAGTGCAGTGGCGAGATCATAGTTCACTGTAACCTTGAACTCCTGGGCTCAAGCAATTTTCCTGCCTTAGCATTCCAAGTATTTAGGACTACAGATGTGTGTCACCACACCCAGATAATTTTATTTTTTGTAAAGACAGAGTCTCACTATATTTACCCAGGCTGACCTCAAACTCCTGGCCTCAAGTGATTCTCTGGCCTCAACTTCCCAAAGTGCAGGAGTACTAGGTGTGAGCCACTGCACCTGGCTTCATACAGTATTTTAATCATGAGGTAGAGGTTGCAGTAAGCCAAGATCGTGCCACTGCACTCCAGCCTGGGTGACAAAGCGAGAGTCTGCCTCAAAAAAAAAAAAAAAAATTTTGAATAAAGGCCAGGCATGATGGCTCACGCCTGTAATCAATTCCAGCACTCTGGGAGGCCAAGGTGGGCAGATCATGAGGTCAGGAGTTTGATACCACCCTGACCAACATGGTGAAATCCCCTCTCTACTAAAAATGCAAAAAAATTAGCTGGGCCTGGTGGCACATGCCTGTAATCCCAGCTACTTGGGAAGCTGAGGCAGGGGAATTGCTTGAACCAGGGAGATGGAGGTTGCAGTGAGCCGCGATCATGCCACTGCACTCCAGCCTGGGCAAAAGAGACTCTGTCTCAAAAAAGAAAAAAGAAAAAAATATATTACATATATATATATATATATATATATATATATATATATATATGTAAATGATAAATAACTAGGAGCTAGGTCAACTTAAATAAGAAAATTTGGTAGGCCTATTATCAATTTAAATAGGTCAGCCTCCATGACAAGGGAGAATACTCTAATATTTGTATTCTTCAAAACACATATTGTTACCTCTCCCCGCCTATCAGCTTACAATTGGTTGTTCAGTCCTCTAGGGTGCCATTAGCACTTATTTATGGCTCTTTCAGCACATATACTACAGTGAAATCCAACTCTTCTGCTAATTTGTGAGAGCATTCTTTCTATATCTGTGCACATCCTAGATTCTCAATTAAACATTTATTCAATTCACTGTACTTTCACTTATTTATGCTTTTTTGATGACCCCAACATAACTGTTCTTTTCTAGTCATGATAAATGATTAAATGATACTCAATGTTTCAAGAAATGACACTCAACGACTAAATGATATTCAATGTCTCACAAAACACTGAACCCACAAAGCTTTACAAATCCTACAAATCCATGCATCCAGCATCCTTGCTCATCTTCAGGAGGCAATTTCCAAGAAAAATGGGAGCTGGAAAGTTAGAGAAAGCTTATTAAGTTTATTAAGGCTCTGGCACTCATTTTCTATCGCATGGTACTGCATTTCTTTTCTTTTCTTTTTTTAAGACGGAGTCTTGCTCTTGTTGCCCAGACTGGAGGGCAATGGCGGGATTTCGGCTCACTGCAACCTCCACCTCTTGGATTCAAGCGATTCTCCTGTCTCAGCCTCCCGAGTAGCTGGGATTAAGGGCGCCCGCCTCCATGCCCAGCTAATTTTTTGTATTTTTAGTGGAGACGGGGTTTCATCATGTTGGCCAGGCTGGTCTCGAACTCCTGACCTCAGGTGATCCACCCGCCTCGGCCTCCCAAAATGCTGGGATTACAGGCGTGAGCCACCGTGCCTGGCCGGTACTGCATTTCTTTGAAGGGTACTGCATAGACAGGGCATCTCCAGACAGAAAAAGTCTAGCCTGGAAGCTACCTCTTCAAACACTGGGCCACCTTCATCCCTCTTTTCTGCCAGCTTTAAATAGACACGTGAAGGTTCCTAAACATAGAAGTCCTTGCCTACCTATCTGGATATCTTGAAGTGAAACACCAAGATAAAGAGAACAGTCAGCCCAAACAGCTCATTGGTCTATTACTACCTCAAGAACTGGCATATGAAAATTCAAATCAGGCCAGGCACGTTGGCTCAAGCCTGTAATCCCAGCACTTTGGGAAGCCGAGGCAGATGGGTCACCTGAGGTCAGGAGTTCGAGACCAGCCTGGCCAACATGGTGAAACTCCCCCTCTACTAAAAATACAAAACTTAGCCAGGCGTGGTGGTGGGCACCTGTAATCCCAGCTACTTGGGAGGCTGAGGCAAGAGAATCACTTGAACCCGGGAGGCGGAGGTTGCAGTGAGCCAAGATCGTGCCACTGCACTCCAGCCTGGACAACAAGAGGGAAACTCCTTCTCAAAAAAAAAGAAAATTCAAATGAGTAACACCAAGTAACAGTTTTATAAATTTAGTAGCACTGGAAAGACTGGATCAAGAGGGTTAGCTGAAAACCCACCACTGCCTCCTCCCTACTCCAATGATTAATAATGAGAACAGATTTTTATATAAAAGGACTATATAGAAAAACAAAAAGGGGTCTAATTGGTAGATGAGAATTAAAAGAATACCACAGTGAGACATTTCAAAATTTATTTATTTATAAGTGCCATGTAATAATTGTACATGTTTATAGGGTGCAGTGTAGTGTTTCAATGCATGTACACACTGTATAATGATCAAACTGGGGTAATTACCACACCCATTACTTTAAACATCATTTCTTTGTGGTGATAATATCGGAAATCTTCTCTTCTAGCTATCCTGAAATACGCACGACATTGTTATTTGCTATCGTCACCATAGTTTGTAATAGAACACCAGAACTTATTCATGTCTAACTTTTTCTTCTTTTAAAGAGATGGGGTCTCCCTGTGTTGCCCAAGTTGGCCTTGAACTCCTGGGTTCAGGCGATCCTCCTGCCTCAGATTCCCGAGTAGCTGGAACTGCAGCCCTGTGCCACCACAGTACCTGACTTAAATGAAACTTTGTACCCTTTAACTAACCTCTCCTGGTCCCCCTCTCCTTCCTACCATCTCTAGCCCCTGGTAACCACTATTCTACTCTCTACTTCTATAAAATCAATTTTTTTAGATTCTACTTATGAGTAAGATCATGTGATGTTTGTTCTGTGCCTGGCTTACTTCACTTAACATAATATTTATTGTCCAGGTTCATCCATGTCACCACAAATGGCAGGATTTCATTCTGTTTTACAGCTGAATAAAATTCCCATTGGTATATTTACATTTTTCTTATCCATTCATCTGTAGATAAGCATTGATTCCACATTTTTTCTACTGTGAATAGCACTGCAATTAACACAGATATGCAGAGGTCTCTTTGACACGCTGATTTCATTTCCTTTGGATATATACCCAGTAATGGGATTGCTGGATCATATGGTAGTTCTATTTTTAATTTTTTGAGGAACCTCCATAATGTTTCCATAATGGCTGTACCAATTTACATTCCCATCAACAGTGTGCAAGAGTTCCCTTTTCTCAGTATCCTCACCAGCATTTGCTAGTTTTTGTTTTTTTTTTTTTTTTAATGGCTAAGTTGGAAAGTGGCTCACCGTATGCTACACATTTCCACTATGTCGGATCTCACTTCTAGTTTCCAGCTGAGCCATCTGAGGTGACTGGGCAAGTCCTTTCTCTGAATGTTTCATTTCCCATAAACGAGAAAATAGGTGGAGGGCCTTAGAGAGTTTTGATGTGAATAACAGCTATTAGATATCATCAAGAGCTTTTTCTCCAGACGACACTGACACAGGCACACTGGGTTCTGCTTTCCTTATATCCCCCTTCTGAGCCCAGGCCCTGTTCCTCTCACTTTCAATCCCAATTCGGGCTTCAAAGGACTAGCAAAAGGAGTCCTTTTAATAATATCTAGTGCTCCTTTGTCCTGAAATCTGGCTAAGGGAAGATTTCAGGGCCTCAGCTGGTTGAGGAATGGTAGAGACAATCCATCCTTGCCCATCTACGCACCCAAGCCCAGAGCAAGTGTGTACTTGGGGCTCGCTGGTACCTAGATGTGCAAGGTCACTCTACCAGGGCCCCTGTGAAGGAATGGGATCCCTATTTTCTGTCTTTTTTATAATAGTCAATCTAATTGGGGTGAGGTGATATCCCATTGTGATTCTGACTGGCATTTCTCTAATGATTAGTGATGTTGAGCTTTTTTTTAAGTATCTCTTGGCCAATTCTATGTCTTCTTTTGAGAAATGTCTATTCAGAGCTTTCATTTTTTTAATTATTTACTTGGTTTTTGTTTGTTTTGTTTTTGTTTGTTTTTGCTATTGAGTTGTGTGAGTTGCTTGTATATTCTGGATATTAACCTCTTGTCAGATGCATAGTTTGCAAATAGTTTCTCCTATTGTATAGGTTGTCTCTTCACTCAGGCCAGCCATTACGCCCAGCCTGAAGTGTTTTATTGAGTGTGTGAGAAAAGGGTGGGATTATGGTTGACATGCAGGAGAGCCTCCGGGTCTGTGTCGATTGTGAGCATCATCTGTTGTCTTGTGAGAAAATGGCCCAAGGCCAGGTGTGGTGGCTCACCCCTGTAATCCCAGCACTTTGGGAGGTCAAGGCAGGTGGATCACTTAAGCCAGGAGTTTGAGACCAGCCTGGGCAACATAGCAAGACACTGTCTCTATAAAAATAAATATAAAAAAGGTGAGGAAAGAAAGAGAAGGAAGGAAAGAAAGAAAGAAAGAAAGAAAAAGAAAATGGTTAAGTACTGCTGTTCTGAACAAAGCATTATTGGCTGGGAGCAGTGGCTCACGCCTGTAATCCTAGCACTTTGGGAGGCCAAGGCAGTAGATCACTTGAGGTCAAGAGTTCAAGACCAGCCTAGCTAAAACGGTGAAATCCTATCTCTATTAAAAATACAAAAATTAGCTGGGAGTAGTGGCACACGCCTGTAATCCCAGCTACTCGGGAGGCTGAGGCAGGAGAATCGCTTGAACCTGGGAGGCAGGAGAATCGCTTGAACCAGAGGTTGCAGTGAGCCAAGTTCGTGCTACTACACTCTAGCCTGGGCAACAGAGTGAGTGAGACTTCGTCTCAAAAAAAGATAGCAGAGGAATACAGAAGAGTAGTTGGAATGCTGCAGTGTGATGAGGACTCAACCCAACATTCCTGGCTTTGAAGATGGGATAAAAAGCCACTAGCCAAGGAATGTGGCAGCCTCTAGAAGCTGGAAAAGGCAAGGAAATGGATTATCCCCTAGAGCACACATGTCCAACCTTTTAGGGATAATCCTGGAACATACTGGAAGAAGAAGAATTGTCTTGGGCCACACATAAAATATACTAACACTAATGAGAGCTGATGAGCTTAAAAAAAGTTCTGTGCATAATTTTTGTGATATCCGCCACACCAGATAAGCAAAAAAGTCCTCGCATTCAAAGGGCTGGACACGGCTGCAGGCCTAGAGTCTCCAAAAAGGAATACAGCTCTGCTGACACTTTGATTTTAACTCTGTGAGACCCACATCAGTCTGATCTACAGATCTACAAGAACTACAGAAAATAAATTTGTGTTATTTTAAGCCACTAAGTCTTGGTCATTTGTTACAGCAGCAATAGAAAACTAATACAGCCGGATTACTATTACGCAAATTGTGGACACAAACACTGGGAAGCAGAAGGAAGCCCTGGGCCAGCTTTCAGGTTGACTGACTGGGTGCCACAGTAATACCAGACAGGCAGTACCAGTCCCAGCTAGTAACTGTGAGTATGGGAACCTGACATGCCAAAGGTGACTTGGAGCACCCAGCTGGAACAGGAAATTCTGTGCCCAGAAAGCTAACCATTATCATATTTTGCCAGAAACCCATTCCACTTTTTTGCTACAATCCCTGGAGGCTGGAAGCAGTAAACAGATAGGCAGAGGCAGGGGGAAAGCTGTGAAGTGGGGAGGAAACTAAAAGCTGACCAGTTTTAACCAATTAAAGGAAAGGGTACACACACATACACACACATGTATGGATTTCTTTTAGGCTTTGTTAGAAAACGTAAGTGTAAATGTGAGGGTTAAATATTTAAAGTTGAAATGTAGGCTTCCATTTCCAGCAATATGGTAGCCTAGACAACGTGCTGCAAAATACCTAGAAATGTCGAATAAAATATATATAACAAATATCCTTTAAATGCTTAGCTGAGCTTGCAAGAAAGTAAGGGAAATCCATTGGGGCCAGAAAGAAGATTAAAAACCTACAGGGTTATGAAGGCTCTTCTATTTTGGTTGTCTGAGGATTTTTTTTGCCAGTCTAATTGCTCAAGGGGCTTAAAAAAAAAGGTGAAATTAACATATTATAAAATTAACCATTTTAAAGTATTCCATTCTATATATTCATAATATTATTCAACCAGTACCAAAGTTCCAAAATATTTTCATCATCCCAAAGAAAATCTCATACTCATTAAGCAAGTACTTCCCATTTCCCCCTTCACTCAGTTCCTGGCAGCCACTAATCGGCTTTCTGTCTCTATTCTGGATATTTACTCTAAAGGAAATCATGTAACCTGTGACTTTTTGCTACCGGCTTTTCCTTTCTTGTCTTAGAGATGGGGTCTTGCTATGTTGCCCAGGCTGGAGTACTGTCTGTACCTATTCATAGGCACAATCATTGTATACTACAGCCTTGAACTCCTGGCTCAAGTGATCCTTCTGCCTCACTCTCCCAAGTAGCTATGACTACTGATGATTGCCACCATGCCCGGCCATGGCTTCTTTACACTTATCATGCTTTCAAGGTTCACCCATCTTGTAGCACATACAAATTCTTCATTCCTTTTTATAGCTGAGTGTTCCATTGTGTGTATATGCCACATTTTATCTATTCAAAATGTTTTGGAATGAGATAGAGGTGGTGGTTATACAACATTGTGAATGTATTAAATACCACTGAACTATGCTTGAAATAAGTTTATGTTGTATGAATTATATCTCAATTAAAAAAATTAATCCTCACAACAACCCAGTGAAGCAGGCACTATCATTCTCTTTATTTTATAGACAAGGAAGCAGATGCCAAAAGGTACAGCAATTTTCCTAAAGTCAGACAGCTTGTGATAGAATCAGTATTTGAACATAGGCAGCCTGACTACAGAACTCACGCTCTTACTATAATTAAAACTTTTTAAAAATTACTAATATAGAAATAAAAATTAGAGGCCAGGTGCGGTGGCTCATGCCTGTAATCCCACCACTTTGGGAGGCCAAGGTGGACGGATCATGAGGTCAGGATATCGAGACCATCTTGGCTAACATAGTGAAACCCCTTCTCTACTAAAAATACAAAAAATTAGCTGGGTGTGGCAGCGTACACCTGTAGTCCCAGCTACTCAGGAGGCTGAGGCAAGAGAATAGCATGAACCCGGGAGGCGGAACTTGCAGTGAGCCGAGATCGCGCCACTGCACTCCAGACTGGGTGACAGAGCAAGACTCCATCTCAAAAAATAATAATAATAATAATGTACTCCAAATGCTAAAGGTAAATTTGGAACACAGCATTCTATACCTCAGGGACTTGCTATATTTGTCTCCTAGCCAAGCAAACACAAAGATGACTGTTTTTATAAGCAGCTGTTACCTGAAGCAAAATTATTTGTTATATATGTGAGTCTTATGCCAAGCTGTATAAGCATATAACTTTTCAGAATTTGAATTAAATTTATCTTAACATAAACACTCATTTTTTTCCCCTGAGGACTGTCTGTTCACTTACATAAAATTAGAAGGCACAAAATACCGAGAAGATAACCACAATGTACAATACTGTTGTGCGAGAGGCATAAAATAAATCCATTATTTTGAGTCCCACAGAATTCTAACCATCTATCTGAGTGGGAGTTCTAACGCTGACAGCAATTACAATTTTAAACAATCTATTTCCCAAGAGACACCCTTCTTTGTATCTCACTCAAAACATTTTTAATTACAACACTCTATCTTCCCACCCCCACAGCATTTAACCATTCAGTGTTGGGAGAATAAGTGACTTCCTACACTATATTGGCACTTGAAGCAGTGGAGTCCCTTCAGCTGAGAAGTGAGGAGATGGGGCAGGGTAGTTAAGGGGTCTGCCCAAAGCCAGAGTGGCAGAGGCAAGGTTACAACCAAGATCTCTGACTCCTACTCCTACTGTTTATTGTTCTCCTACAGAAGTTCTCAACCTTTTTTCAATGAAGACACACATGACGTTGAAATTTTCTTTTCCACTTATAAAAGTGTACACAACACACACACATAAGATCTGGGAAAATCAAACAACTAATTCTTAAGAATGATTATATGGGAAGGGAGGGAATTAAGAGTGGTTTCCATTTCTCATGCTACGCATCTCTGTACAATGTTTTTATAAAGAAGCATGTGTTAAACATTTCCGTTTTGAAGTGGGTAAGAGGCAAATATTTTTTGTAAAAGACATCAGAACACAAGATATAATACAGTCTAGTGATTCTCAAACTATAGTCTGGAGATCCCTAAAAGTCCCCAAATCCTTTCTAGGAGGTTTTGTAGGATTAAAAACCTTTTCATAAGAATCATTATGAAATAATAAAATGCTATTTGCCTTTCTCATTCTTATTCTCTCACAGTGTGTAGCAAAATTTTCCAAAGGCTATGCATAAATGTGTGATATTGCAACAGACTGAATTCAGAAGCAGATAAAAGGATCCAGCTATCTTCTATCAAGTCAAAGAGAGGTTTGCAAAACTATACATCAATGCCATTCATCTTATGACGTTTTGGAAAATATGGTTTAAAAAATATAGCTTATGTATGTTAACATGTAATGGATGTATTTTACCTTTTTTTTTTTGTAGAGGCGAGACAACATTGGAATTTTAGGTATGAGCAACCACACCCAGCTAATGTATTTTTAATGATTTTTAATGAATTAACAAATATCTTGGCCGGGCTCAGTGGCTCATGCCTGTAATCCTAGCACTTTGGGAGGGCGAGGTAGGAAGACTGCTTGAGGCCAAGAGTTCAAGACCACCATGGCCAACAACATAGACCACATCTCTTTAAAAAAACAAACAAACAAAAAGGCTCACACCTGTAACCCCACTTTGGGAGGCCGAGGTGGGCGGATTGCTTGAGCCCAGGAGTTCGAGACCAGCCTGAGCAACATGGTGAAACATGTAGAAACCCAGTCTCTACAAAAAAATTAAAAAAAAAAAAATTAGCCAGCGTGGTGGTGCACGCCTGTAATCCCAGCTACTTGGGAAGCTGAAGTGGGAGAATTGCTTGAGCCTGGGCTGTTGGGGCTACAGTAAGCTGAGATTGTGCCACTGCACTCCAGCCTGGGTACACAGTGAGACCCTGTCTCAAAAAAAAAACCAAAAAACAAAACCAAATATCTCAATGATTTCTCAGTTTTAATTTCTAACACAATAATATTGATTGTTATAACCACATAAGCAAGACTCTGGGGTTGGTGAAAATTTTTAGGAGTGTGAATGGGTCCTATGAGTATAGTTTGAACAGAGGCCATTAACTACAAAAAAAATACATTATTAACAAACTTCATTATTATATACTATCATCTAACCTGACATCATCACACTACCTCTGGGTTGGCCACTGTCCTTTCCAGGAAAACTCTATAAAAAGGTAAATACCTCCAGGAAGCTATATATTATATAGGATATTAATTATATCCTACAATTAATGTCTTACAGATGATCATTTATTAGGGTTTTTTTAAAATGATGGGCTGTGATATTATGATGCAAAGTATATATCTGGTCCTCATCCTAGGCTCCTGACACAGAGCTCCTGGTAAAATTCTTGTAATTTCCTGAATGATAGGAATGTCTTTTGTTATAATAGTGTCTTAGTCCCTGGTTCCTGATACAAGAGCATCCAAGACCCTTGGAATCTCCAGAGTGCTAACAGTGTCTTTTTGTATACTGGTGGTCCCTATCTTTTAGTGCATTAATTGCATCTTCAGCTGTATCTAATATGTTCAGAAATCTGTGCTTGAATCTGAACATATCACTAAGCTTCAACAATTAACAAATTCATAGCTATGCATTAAATATTCTTTTTTTTTTTTTTTTTGAGACAGAGTTTCACTCTTGTTGCCCAGGCTGGAGTGCAATGGCGTAATCTCAGCTCACTGCAACCTCCGCCTCCCGGGTTCAAGTGATTCTCCTGCCTCAGCCTCCTGAGTAGCTGGGATTACAGGCATGCGCCACTACGCCCGGCTGATTTTGAGTTTTTAGTAGAGACACGGTTTCTCCATGTTGGTCAGGCTAGCCTCAAACTCCCAACCTCAGGTGATCCGCCCACCTTGGCCTCCCAGAGTGCTAGGATTACAGGCGTAAGCCACCGAGCATTAAATATTCTAATAGTAAATTTTTAATCGATCAAAGCAAAGCATGCACATAGTTTAAAAAATCACATAGTATAAATGACAAAATATAGCAGTTTTTGCCCCACTCCTCTCTATTTTATCCAATCTTCCTTCAGAGAGGCAATTAAATTCTTCTAGTTGTTTGTTTTGGAATTTATACATCTCCATATAATAATATACTGATATCTTATTAATCATTTTTAGACATTATTTACATTCTCTTATGGGGAATGAGAATTCAGCTCTCTTATACCACATTCCCTCTTTTTTTGTGGTTATTGTTTTGAGACAGGGTCTCACTCTATTGCCCTGGCTGGAGTGCAGTGGCACAATCTCAGCTCACTGCAACCTCCACCTCTGGGTGGAGGTCAATTAATCCTCTCACCTCAGCCTCCCAGGTAGCTGGGACCACAGACGTGAGCCACCACACCCAGCTAATTTTTGTATTTTTTGTAGAGACAGGGTTTTGCCATGTTGCCCAGGCTGGTCTTGAATCCCTCTCTTTATTCTCTCCATCCTTCTAATAGTTAAGATTTTTGCTTAAATCAATATTCAGTGTTCCCATGATTATCATGTATTAACTTTTATTTTTAATTTTTGTTTTTTTTTTTAGTAGAGATGCGGTTTCACTGTGTTGGTCAAGCTGGTCTCAAACCCCTGGCCTCGAGTGATCTACCCGTCTCAGACTCCCGAAGTGCTGGGATTACAGGAGTGAGTCAATGAGCCTGGCCAATCGTGCAGTAACTTTTAAATTGTAGTCATTTTATTTCTAGATTTCTTTTTTTTTTGAGACAGGGTCTCATTCTGTCGCCCAGGCTGGAGTGCAGTGGTGCAATCGTGGCTCACTGCAACCTTGGCTTCCCAGACTCAAGTGATTCTCCAGCCTCAGACTCCTGAGTAGCTGAGACTACAGGTATGAGCCAGCACAGTGCTGGCATCTGCTTCTGGTGAGGGCCTCAGGTGGCTTATGATCATGGTGGAAGGTGAAAGGGGAACAGGTATGTCACATGGTAAGAGAGGGAGTAAGAGAGAGAGGCGTGGGTACCAGGCTCTTTTAAATAACCAGCTCTCCCATGAACTAACAGTGAGAACTCACTCATCACCAAGGGGATGGCACCAAGCCATTTATGAGGGATCTGCCCCCATGACCCAAACACCTCCCACTAGGCCTCACCTCCAACACTGGGGGTCACATTTCAACATGAGATTTGGAGGGGTCAAACATCCAAACTGAGATTTGGAGGGGTCAAACATCCAAACTGTATCAGTCACATAAACGATTTTTAGCCTAAGTTCTTGGGGATTTGGGGGTTCCTCTTTTTTGTGAACAATTCTGAACTGACACCTGGATTTCTTTCTTTTTCTCTTTTTCTTTCTCTCTCTCTCTCTCTCTCTTTCTTTTTAACTTATTTATTTTTAGAGATGAGGTCTCACTACATTGCCCAGGCTGGTCTCAAACTCCTGGCCTCAAGTGTTTTGCCTGCCTCAGCCTCTCAAAGTGCTATGATTACAGGCGTGAGCCACCACGCCCAGCCTGGCACCTGGATTTCTTAAGAATGCATCATCATCTACATTTCAGGCTACTTACTAAAAAAAAAAGATGGTTTATTCATTCTGGGCTATATCTCTCCTGTAAATATCTAAAGTATACTTTTTAATTTGGTCAACACAATCCACATATGAAGTTGGGCTTACAGATAGAGTAAGAATGAAACACTGGGTAAATCTGGTCAAGACTTGGTCCCCCCAGCGTGTGCAATCTTATGGGAATAATAGATAAGAACATACATAAATACAGAAGCATATTTTCATGCCTTTTAAGCATAAAACAATGATGTTTGGGTTGGTATACCAACCAAATCACCAAATGTGACTGACTGTTTCTAAAATGTTGATTCATCCTAGCAGGGTGAAAACTAGTGGTGGGGGTAAAAAAGACAATGCTAGTCCAAAATCAGTTTCCAGAGGGGTCCCGACGTGGCTGAGTCACAGCAGCACCACTGAAATCAATGTATAGCCTCTCCTGATTTAGAACACTGCATTATAGAACAGAAAGATTATTTTAAAGCCAGACACGGTGGCTCACACCTGCAATCCCAGCACTTTAGGAGGTGGGAGAATGGCTTGAGCTCAGGAGATTGAGGCTGCAGTGAGCTGTGATCATCCCACAGCACTCCAGCCTGGGAAACACAGTGAGACTTAGTCTCAAAACAAATAAAAATTTAAAAAAATTTTTAAAAACCACCTAAGATGTTTTCTGTGGTTTGAGCTAATAAAATTCTAAAGATTAAAAGCCACTTACAATGGCTTTCATATTTAAAAATGTTATTCACCTCATCAGAGTTAATGTAAGTCTTTTCCCTGACATAACAATCAAGCTAACTCATACATACACAGACAGATAGGCAAGTTACACAAATGGCCTCATGGATGACACTCTCGAGTGTTTAGGGATAAAATATAGGTTTACGTCCCAAGTATAGTATATATTACATAAGTAACTTCAAATCTCTATGTCTCAATTTCCTCATTTGTAATTTTGAGACCGGTATTTGTCAAGGTTGCTATGAGAAGTTAGAATCAAATTATGGAAAGTAGCTGGGCATGGTGGCTCACACCTGCAATCCCAGCACTTTGGGAGGCTGAGGTGGGTGGATCACTTGAGGTCAGGAGTTCGAGACCAGCCTGGCCAACACGGTGAGACCTCATCTCTACTAAAAATACAAAAATGAGCCAGGAGTGGTGGCACACACCTGTAGTCCCAGGTACTCTGGAGGATGTGGCAGGAGAATCACTTGAACCTGGGAGGCAGAGGTTGCAGTAAGCCGAGATCGTGCCACCGCACTCCAGCCTGGGTGACAGAGCGAGACTCTGTATAAAAAAAAAATACCCTCTCTATTAAAAATACAAAAAGATTAGCCGGGTGTGGTGGCAGACACCTGTAGTCCCAGCTACTCGGAAGGCTGAGGCAGGAGAATGGCGTGAACCCAGGAGGCGGAGCTTGCAGTGAGCCGAGATCACGCCACTGCACTCCAGCCTGGGCGACAGAGCGAGACTGAGTTTCAAAAACAAAAACAAAAAATTATGGTTGGCACCTAGCATCATACCAGGCACACAGGTGGCACTCAACAATTGTTGGTTTCTACATGTCCTTTATAGCTATAGTATCTGTTAGTAGTAGAAACCACTGTTAATTTTAGGGCCCTAAAAGGAGTAATGTCTTCTCAAGTTCCTTCCAAAAGAGCAATTGCTATTTAGTAAAAAATAAACACCAACTGCTCTTTCAGAAGGAGCTTCAGAAAGGTAGAAGGGTCAACAGTATAGAATACTTACAAAGAACTGGAATCAATTAAGAATGCAAAAACAGTCAGTAGATGTATAGAGCACTCTTGACATAAGTAACTCCATCTTAGAAAAAGACTCCTATCTTTCATTTCAAAAAGCACTTTGACAACAGGGACCAGATGTTTTTCCAGATAAAGACACAACCAAGCATGCTCTTCCACTATCAGTCCTTACCAGAAGACTCTGTGACCATAAAAAGAACAGGACTTAAAAAACTCAAAATGGTCTTAACAGACACTGTCTTGCTGTCACTTGTTATAAAAGCCTGATATCTGTGTCCAAAGGCTCTGCCCACATCAAGGATTCTTTCTTACAAGACCAACACACTGCCATGATGAAACCAGGATACTTGTCTATATCACTCTCCCCGGACTGGTTAGGTAACCCTTTTTCCTCACCCTTTTCTCTTGATGTTCAATGTTACTTTGTTGCAGAATGTTTAATCTACATCATTTATGTATTAATTAGGTATACTATTATATATGATTTACAATATTGACTGACTACCTAGTGAATGAGAAGTACTAATAAAAATTGCCTCCTTGAGAACTCCATGTAACTTGTCTTTTATAACTGAAATAACACAATAAAAGTCTGACATTGTGAAAAGACACAAATGTGTGTGTACCTGGTTATCCATGACCTTAAACCATTCACAATAGTAGATTAAGCTGTTAGGAAGTCAGAGTTGACCTTTGGAAGAACAGTTCCAGTGGTCAAAGTAGGATGAGGAAAGGCAGTACGTGCAGAATATATATATATATATATATATATATATATATATATTGTTGTTGTTGTTGTTGTTTTGTTTTGTTTTGGTTTTTTTTGTTTTTGAGACGGAGTCTTGCTCTGTCGTCCAGGCTGGAGTGCAGTGGCGCAATCTTGGCTCACTGCAAGCTCCACCTCCCGGGTTCATGCCGTTCTCCTGCCTCAGCCTCCCGAGTAGCTGGGACTACAGGCGCCTGCCTCCATGCCCGGCTAATATTTTGTATTTTTAGTAGAGATGGGGTTTCACCGTGTTAGTCAGGATGGTCTCGATCTCCTGACCTCGTGATCTGCCCGCCTCAGCCTCCCAAAGTGCTGGGATTACAGGTGTGAGCCACCACACCCGGCCCAGAATATTCTTTAAATAAGCTTAGCACAAAGGGAAAGAGAACAGGCAGAGGCTGAAGAAGCTACCAGATTCCAGATCAGATTGGTATAGTTTTCTGATGGGACAGACCTGACCATGTTTGAGGGCTGAACAGAAGCAGATACTAGGTTAAAGCTATAGGAAAGAGATGAAAATTACTGGAGCAAAGTCCTGGAAGAAAACTGGCCATGGGCTGGAGGGGAGGACAAAGATTGAAGGTAGCAGACACTGAATATGTCTATTTTTCCTCTGAGACCAGCAGAATGTAGAAAACACGAGTACAACTGTAATTGGAAAAAACTGAAAAAACTCATCCCAAGTAGGTTCTATTTTATCTAGAGAGTAAAAGGTAAGATCATCTGCAACAAGTGAAGGGAATGGGTGGAGATGGCCATGAGGCAAGAGAACATTTCAATTCCCTTAAATTTCTAAAACTAGGTATAAGTGCTGTATTTGCAAGAATATACTTGAGACAGAAATGAATAATTATGGTCTTACTACAACGTTCCATTATGCTAGATGCTCCACAAATATAATCACATTTACTTCCCACAAGAACCCAGTTAAGTGAGGCATTGTTATTGTCCCTGTTTTATAGTTCGATTGATGATGGCATTCATAGTTAAGCTTTACTACAGAACCTTTTTTTTCAGCTATTATGCCATATTTGCTTCTTAAAAAATTAAGTTATACAATACTATGTATGACGATATAATTTCATTAATCGTTTTTGATTCAGGCATAAACAAAGTTAGAAAAGTAATTCCAGGCCAGGCGCAGTGGCTCACGCCTGTAATCCCAGCACTTTGGGAGGCCAAGGCAGGCGGATCACCTGAGGGCGGGAGCTCAAGACCAGGCTGACCAACATGGAGAAACCCCGTCTCTACTGAAAATACAAAATTAGCCAGGCGTGGTGGCACATGCCTGTAAACCCAGCCACTCGGCGAGAGGCTGAGGCAGGAGAATCGCTTGAACCCAGGAGGCGGAGGTTGTGGTGGGCCGAGATTGCATCACTGCACTCCATGCACTCCAGCCTGGGCAACAAGAGCGAAACTCCATCTCAAAAAAAAAAAAAGAAAGAAAGAAAGAAAAAGAAAAAAAGAGAAAAATAGGCAACAAGTGAAAAAAAGAAGTATCTTTGTAGATTAAATAGAAATATATTACCACTATTGCCAGTCACTCTCTCTATAGCAGGAGTCAGAAAACTATGGCCTATGGGCCAAATCCAATCTAATATCTGTTTTTGAAAACAGTATTTTATTGGAACACAGCTCTGTCCATTCATTTACTGTCTACAGCTGATTTCACACGACCATGGCAATGTTGGGTAGCTGTGACAACGGTACACAAAGCCTAAAATATTTCCCATCTGCTCTCTTTAAAAAGTTTGCCAATCTCTATGTTCTTTTATAGCACTTAACTGTATCTAAAATTATTCTACTTATTTTTTATTTATTCATTTATTTTTTATTGTTTTTTTTTTTTTTTCTTGAGACGGAGTCTTGCTCTTGTCACCCAGGCTGGAGTGCAATGGCACAATTTTGGCTCACTGCAACCTCTGCCTCCCAGGTTCAAGTGATTCTCCTGCTTCAGCCTCCCGAGTAGCTGGGATTACAGGCGCCCACCACCATGCCTGGCTACTTTTTGTATTTTTAGTAGAGACGGGGTTTCACCATGTTAGCCAGGCTGGCCTCGAACTCCTGACCTCAGGCGATCCGCCTGCCTCAGCCTCCCAAAGTGCTGGGATTACAGGCGTGAGCCACCGCACCCAGCCTATTCATTTATTGTCTGACTCCCCTATTGCAATGCATAGTTCATGAAGAAAAAGACCTTCTCTACTGTACTCCTTGCACCTAGAACAGCGTGTGGCACATAGAATGCACTCAATAAAGGTGTTTAATGAACATTTATTGCAAGAAGGAAGAGAAAAACATTTCCCATCTTCTCACTTTCTTCTCTTAGATGCACTCCAACTATTTCCCCCACCACTCCACCAAAACTGGTCTTTTCAATTAACCACTGGATTTATCAACATGATAAATTCTCAGTTATTTCTCAGTCCTCACCTTACTTGACCCATCAGCAGCATCTGACCCAGCTGGTCTACTTCCTTCCCCAGAAACACTTTCTTCACGTGGCTTTCACTCTTAGTTCTTAGCTTCCCTCCTGCAGTACTGATCCATCCTTCGTTTGTCTCCTTTGCTGGTGCAATCTTATTTTCTCGGCCTCTTAATGGTTAGCCTGCTCCAAGACTCAGTCATTGAGATTCTTCTGTCAGTCCATACACACTTCCCTAGTGAGCTCATCTAGTCTCACGACTACTCTTAGGCATTTCAAACTCCTCCAAAACCAAAGCCAAATTTATCATTTCCCCCAAAACCTTCTCCTTCACAGCCTCTGCCATCCCAGTAAATACCACCATCCCTCCAGTTACTGAAGCCAAAAACTCTTGGAGTCAACCAACCCTCATTTTATAAATATATTCCAGGTCAATGATCACTTCTACCATGTCTGCTACCACCCGGATCCAAGTCACCATCATCTCTCGCCTGATAATTGCTTGTCCCCTGTTCCCTTACATTCTACTCTCAACACAGCAGCCAGGGTGATCACGTTTAAAGGTAAATCAGCAAGTTCAACAGCTAGCCAGAGTGAAAGTCTCACACAATTTGGCCCCCTGAAACCTATTTGCCTCTTTGTTCCCTCCACTCCGGAAACACAGGCCTCCATGCCCATCTTAAAGCAAGTCACGCAAGCGTCCATCTCAGCCTTCATGCTGGCTGAAAGGCTCTTCTGGCTGAACTGAATGAACCAGGCTTCCTGAATTAGGCATTTTCATGAAATGCTGTGTCACTTAATTCTCTAAACTCTGTGAGGTAGGTATCACTTCCCCCACTTTACAGATTAAGAAAGTAAGGTTTACAGGGCATCTAGCTAACAAATGATGGAGTTAGGGTTAAATCCAGATTAGTCTACAGAGAAGGTGAGCTCTCAGTGAAGTTTCTGGAGGCTAAACAGAGGATTCAGTGATGTTCCTCTGAAGTCACAGTGATTTTAACAGCTAAAGGTGTGTGCTAACAACTGGTGAAGAATATGAGAAAAGGCAGTCAAAGAGATAAAAGAACCACAAGAGGAGTCACCCAAGCCAAAAGTGGAAAGTTTTAAGGAAAAGAGGGGAGAGGGGAAGTGTCAAGTGGAACCTAGACACCAGAAGCCCAAGAATCAAGCGTATACCTCATAACAAACCACACTTGTGGTAGACAGGAACCCAGATCTTGATTTAGAAAGAAAGAAAAAAAAGCCAGGCACAGTGGCTCATGCCAGCAGTTTAGGACGCCAAATCGAGAGGATCGTTTGAGGCCAGGAATTCGAGACCAGCCTGGGCAACACTGCCAGACCCCAAAAATTTTTTTTAAAAATGTAGCCGGGTGTGGTGGCTCACACCTGCAGTCCCAGCTACTCAGGAAGCTGAGGTGGGCGGATCGCTGGAGCCCGGGAGATCGAGGCTGCAGTGAGTCGTGATCGCGCCACTGCACTCCAGCTTGGGCAACAGAGCAAGACCCTGTCCGGAAAAAAAAAAAAAAAAAAAAGGATCTATCTTCTCCTGCCAATAACGGTGCCCAGAGCTATCCTACTAGGTATTGCCACTTGCCCGCGGCAAGCGTGAAGACAGGCTGTAGGGAAGCATGTGACTAAGCAACACGGCTTCACACCTACGTTCTCCTCCGGGCCAGTAAAGCAAAGTGTGTGAGTGTGCGGTGGTAGCCTGACCTTAAACTTCCCACGGCAAAGATGCGGACCCTGAGCGGGCACGTGTGAACACGGCTCTCTACCCCGCAGTCTCTAGGAGACCAGGAGGTGGCGGAGTCTCGGCCCTTACCCCGAATTCCTCCAACAACTTTCCGCCAATGGCCCATTCCTCTCTGCCCCACAGTCATGACAGTGGACCCCAACCCACACTACCTCCCTCTCAGACCCATCCCTCAGGCATATCCCGGGACTGGCCCCCGAGAAGCCTTATAACCCGTTGCGGCCCGGGCGTAAAGACCCCGTCTCACCACGGCTCCGGCCACGGCGTGGACCAGGCTTTCGTAGGACAGCACGGAAGCCATTGGTGCGGCTCCTCGAAGACCCAGCCACACTTTTCCCACAGATGCCGCAGCCAGTGGAGTTAGGAAAGGAGCACCGGAGCTCAGGGTGTGAGAGTCGCAATCCCCGCCCTCTCAAACCCGCCCGCCTGCCCTAGAACCACTTCCGGGTCGCGGGGCGGGAAAGCGGGGGGGGGGGGGCGGCTAAGAACGCCCCTGAACGCTGATTGGCCCCTGTGGGCGCGGGGCGGGACAGCGAGGTGTTCGCGGGGCTGGGCTCCAAGGCGCAAGGCGGCCTGACACCAGGTACCCGGCTCCCGGTTCCTCCGACGTTCTCTGGCGTTCCCGGGCCCTGACCAGTTCCTCCATCTCAGAAGTCTTAATGGCCTTCTTTTACTCTGGTGACAAAGATGGGGAAACTCAATGAGACTCCAGTCTCCCTGTTTCTCTGCGCCTGAGCTCTTTTCTATTCTGAAAGTCACATTTTGGCCAAGAGGAAAAAAACTCACTTGTGGACTTGGAAACTTCTTCCTCCAGAAAAACCCTTGAGTGTGGTGGGAAGAGATGTTGAGCATCAGGAGCCCAAAATACAAGACGCGAGTGGGAGCCTCCCCCTAGTTGGCAACTATGGAAGTCATTTAACCTCTTGGGTTTCCTCTGTGAAATGACAATGTACTAGTACCAACAATCCCCATCTGCTGTGAGGATTACGAAAGCCAATTTATGTAGTAGTACTTCATAAAATACTGAAGGAAAAAAATTTTTTTCCATGTTGCAAAGTGACTAACAAAATTACACAAAACTAAAGCAGCCACATTCAGCTTTAACCTGTCATACTGTGAGATTCTGCTTCAGGATGCTCCTCAGGGACTCAGGGATTCTTTCCTGAGACACCATCACCACTTGTCTTTACCATGTTTCCTTTTAGAATATCCTCGTGATAACTCCTCAGTGCTGACTACATGCCAGGCTTAGTGTTTTATGCCCATCATCACACTTAATCCCTGGGAGAGGGGTCTAACAAAGTTTAACCTGGCCGTTTTCACAAAATTTGCAGAAGATACTGCTTCCAGGAACATTCCCATCACGCCATAGAATCATGACGTGAAAGTGAAGGACCAAAAGTGAAGCGAAGATGATTTTGGGCTGGGCGCAGCGGCTCAGGCCTGTAATCCTAGCACTTTGGGAGGCCGTAGCGGGCAGATCACTTGAGGTCAGAAGTTTGAGACAAGCCTGGCCCATATGGCAAAACCCTGTCTCTATTAAAAATAGAAAAAATTAGCCGGACATGGTGGCACGCGCCTTGTAGAAATTACAATGTTGAAACTGCAGCTACTAGGGAGGCTGAGGCAGGAGAATCGCTTGAACCCAGGAAGCAAAGGTTGCAGTGAGCCAAGATTGCACCACTGCACTCTAGCCTGGGACAGAGTGAGACTCCTAAAAAAAAAAAAAAAAAGATTATTTTGGCATGGGAACATAGAAACTAGTTGGCTGTAAAACTTGAGAACTCAGTTCTCATTGACTCCTGATCAAATTGGGAGCTTGCTGTCAAGAATATACTGGATTATGCATCATAGTTATGAAAACATTGTTAATACTTTGTTTTGACGTTTTTGTATCTTACATACCAAAAACATTTTGATCAGCTTTTTTTTTTTTTTAAACCTGAGACAGTGTTTCTCTGCGTTGTCCAGGCTGGTCTTGTACTCCTGGGCTCAAGTGATCCACCTGCTTCAGCCACCCAAAGTGCTCGTATTACAGGCATGAGCCACTGTACCGGGCCTTGCAACCTTTTTTTTTTTTTTCAGATGGAGTTTCACTCTTGTGGCCCAGGCTTGGCTCACTGCAACCTCCGCCTCCCGGGTTCAAGTGATTCTCCTACCTCAGCCTCTCGAGTAGCTGGGATTACAGGCATGCGCTACCACGCCCAGCTAATTTTTGTATTTTTAGTAGAGACGGGGTTTCATCATGTTGGTCAGGATGGTCTCAAATCTCTTGACCTCGTGGTCCGCCCGCCTCGGCCTCCCAAAGTGCTGGGATTACAGGTGTGAGCCACAGCGCCCAGCATGATCAACTGAAGACTGACATACTGAAAACAGTATTTTTTTTTTTTTTTTTGAGACGGAGTATCGCTCTGTCACCTAGGCTGGAGTGCAGTGACGCGATCTTGACTCATGTTAGCCTCCATCTCCCGGGTTCAAGTGATTCTCCTGCCTCAGCCTCCCGAGTAGCTGGGACTACAGGTGCACGCCCCCATACCTGGCTCATTTTTGTATTTTTAGTGGAGACAGGGTTTCACCATGTTGGCCAGGCTGGTCTCGAACTCCTGACCTCAGGTGATCCACACACCTCGGCCTCCCAAAGTGCTCAAATTAGAGGTGTGAGCACTGCACCCAGCCAAAGTCATTTTCATATAATCAGTATGCACTGAAAAACGTAGACACTGCATAGCTACATCAGTTATTAACTGGAACTATGAAGCTGTGATGTTCGAGACACACACATACATACATATATATATACACGTATATATATATATATACGTATATATATATACGTATATATACGTATATATATATATATATATATATACACACATATACGTATATATATATATATATTTTTTTTTTTTTGAGACAGTTTTGCTCTTGTCGCCCAGGCTGGAGTGCAATGGCGCAACTTCAGCTCACTGCAACCTCTGCCTCCCAGGTTCAAGCAATTCTCCTTCCTCAGCCTCCCGAGTAGCTAGGACTATAGGCATGCACCACCACGCCTGGCTAATTTTTGTACTTTTTAGGGACAGGGTTTCACCATGTTGACCAGGCTGGTCTCGAACTCCTGACCTCACCCCCCCCCCCACCCCCTGGCCTCCCAAAGTGTTGGGATTACAGGCGTGAGCCACCGTGCCCGGTTGAGACATAATTTTTAAAAATTATAACTTAGTTGAGCACAGGGGGTCATGCCTGTAATCCCTGCACTTTGGGAGGCTGAGGCAGGAGGATTATTTGAAACCAGGAGTTCCAGACCAGCCTGGACAACAAAGTAAGACCTCATTGCTGTTAAAAACAAACAGATGGGCATGGTGGTGCATGCCTGCAGTCCCATCTACTTGGGAGGCTGAGGTGGGAGGATTGCTTGAGCCCAGGTCAAGGCTGTAGTGAGCTGCAATTGCATCACTGCACTCCAGTGTGGGCAACAGAGAAAGATTCTGTTTCAAAAAACCTAAGGATTGTAATTTTTGGCTGCTTTTTTCGTTCTAAACAAGTATCTACTTGTGTGTCCAATTTAGTGTTCATAATTACATTCTTTTCCTTAAAGAGGGTCCTTTGAATTATATAAGCATCATACCCCTTGACACTACATAAAGTATATAAAAAATTTAGGGCCATTCTATATACACCCATGCTATAAGAATTAAAGGAACCTAGCTAGTACTTGCCATTTCGTGTATGTTGCTTTTACACTGGCTTAAGTATGGTCAGGTTACTTACCCTGCAATCTAAAAATGTCCCAGTGATCTGTGTGAGTAAACTACTTAATTATGTATTAGATGCCTAGATTTTCAGAGCACCACAGACATTTACATTAGTTCTACTTACCTCCTGGCTTCTTAGAGCCGTAATTTTAAAATTAGGATTTCACCAAACGTCAAAGTTTTTATTTATTGCTAAACAACTTTATAGAAAACCATAAACTTACACTTCCACCAGCACTATATGAAAGGTCTCACTGAAAAATTGCCAACTTGACATACTATTTAAATTTGCTTTTTAAAGCTCAGTTACTCACTTTTGTTGCCTATTTACTTTAGGACATTTTCCTCTCCAAACTGTATGAGCTCTATTAAGTACATTATATACTGGTTGTAAATACTGGCACATATTGAACTTTTTATAATTACTGTACTATAATTTTTACTTAGTTTATTCTTGCCCTTATTTGGGGGCTCGTCATGCACTTCAATTATGCTGTGTCCCTTACTATTAGGAAGAAACCCCCTGGATGTACACATCAGCACATCAAGTGTGTGACACTCCTTATTTAACCAACCTTATTCAAATGTACATTTTAGTTTTCAGTTCCTTAAACAATTCTGCAAGAATCAACCTTGTACACAGAGGCAGCACAGTACAGAGTTTGGGAGAAAGCCCTTTGAAGCCACAAACCTCTGTATTCAAGAATCTCAGCTTTACAAATAATCAGCTGTGTTATCCTGGGCAATTTACTTATTAAGTGCTTCAGTTTCCTTATCTATAAAATTGTAAAGTGGTGCTAACAGTATCTACCCTTATGGTCATTATCAGAATTGATCCAATACTTGCAAACTGATTATAACAGGGCTTGGCACAAACACTACTTACCTGTGCCTACTCAGGTGCATTAATTTTAGTCATCAGCAAATCTCTAAAATGAAATTGTTTCTCCTTTATCTTATCAAACTAGTATTTCCTAGTATGGTAGACTGCTAGGTGTCACCCCAAGTCGTCTTTCCTGTTTCTACTCTTAAGTTTTTTCTTGAGCATGTGATCACACAGTTATGGATGACAAACTGGCTTTCCCTGCAGCTAAACATAGCCTGAACACACAAACTGACCAATGGGATATTAGAAGTAATAAAATGTTAACATCATATATTATCTTCAGTATCTCAGCGTGTTTCCCAGAGCCCCCTTCTCCTATTTCCTCAATTGGAGAATGAGCACCAGAGCAAGCAACTTTGGACTAGAAATGGAAGCTACCTTCTAAGTATGGCAGAATGCCTGCCTCTGAACAGCTACCCAAAATAAAGTACATGTTTTTTAGGGGTTCTTGTTTGCAGCACTTAATAGTCTGCAGCCTAATATACCTAGTAAATAACCTGAGTACCAGAGACATAAAATAGAACATATGCTACAAAAAGTCGGGGGTGGGGGGGGAAATTAAAAACTAGTTTTTGTTTTTTGAGACTGTGTTTCGTGATCTCAGCTCACTGCAACCTCTGCCTCCCAGGTTCAAGTGATTCTCCTGACTCAGCCTCCCGAGTAGCTGGAATTACAGGTGCCCAACACCATGCCTGGCTAGTTTTTGTATTTTTAGTAGAGACGGGATTTCGCCATGTTGGCCAGGCTGGTCTTGAACTCCTCACCTCAGACGATCTGCCCGCCTCGGCCTCCCAAAAGTGTTGGTATTACAGGCGTGAGCCACCGCACCTGCCCAATATCTAGTTTGAAACCGTATTTTAAAGACAGCTAGAAATATAACTATATTTTTAAGCAGAAAAAACTTCCTTCTGATAGCATCAGTACAAGAAAACATTTCTGGTTTAGAATATTGAGTTGAAAATTAAGAATGTATATTATGGAATTTAAAAATCTAAAAGCACAGGACACATTTTCAGAAGAGGAATTTTACTTTTACCCACTTATGGTAATATTTGCAATATTAGAATATAATTAGGTTAAATAAATCAAATAAGGAATCCAGAAGAAACTGTTCTTGAGTTAAGCCAAGTACACACTGGCAATTTCGAGAAAGGAGAACTCTACACATTAACAAAAGAACACACAAGCTCAAATGCAAGTTTATATGGTGAGTGTTTTTAAAGGATTTAAAAAGCATGCTCCATCAGCATAATAGCTTTTTCTCATTTATGTAACAGATGCATTTCTGTCTGCTTGTGTACAGCAAAGGGTTAGAACCTGAATAAACTTATTTATGATTTCAGAAATGTGGTATTTTAGAAATGTACTCCATAGAATTTACTTCACTGCTCCTACCACTGATTCTTCAAATAAGCAAAGTACAGAAGGCCTTATCCCTTGAAAATGTTTTTAAACACTAGCACTTTAAATTGAAACACTGGTAGAAACGTAGCAATGTCAGGTACAATGCCTATACTTAGTCTTATTTAAAATAAGAATTGAATGCACAACAGAAAATTTATCATTTTCTTTATCATTGGAGGGGAGGGAAAGAAAGCAAGCAGAGGTGGGGATATAGTTACACTATTTAAGAGCTGAATACAAAGACAATGAGTCTTTCATAGTCTCAACAACTCCACAATGAATAACTGTGGATTATCTCATTTATAATTCACATTGGATAAAAAAAATCGGTTCCCCTCTGTGTGTATCAATTTAATTCAAACCTTATCTTCAGAATACAAAGATGAATACTACAAGATAAACTAACTGCAATAGGTTTTTCTAAGTAGAAGACCAAACACCAAAGGGAATCCCTCTTTCCAATGTCTTCTGATAAGGCAAGATTTTGCCAGAATGGAAGTCTAACACTTAAATAAGCATTCTCTTGGCCAAGTAAGAAACTACAGTTGTTGTGGGTATTACCCTACAATTACCATATGTATTACATATTAAATTAAACTCAGCATTAAATATGCTTGTATAATTACGCTGTTAATGATGATAGCAGTGATGATGCCGGTGGAAAAAGCCTGTCTTTAGCTCAAGAAAAGTAAGGGAGACAAATGTAGCAAGCAGAAAGCAAACACAGATTTGGGCAATTTTTGACTAGGAAAGAGAATTTTAAGCATAGAAATATAAAAAGAAAAGTACTACCTTATTTCCCTTACGTGGAAATAATATGAAAAACACTTATTAGATATACTGGACAACAAGAGAACTAAGTACTCCAACTCTACTGCAGCATTACAAAAAAAACATCCCTTCACCACAGTGTAAGATTTAAGGGCAACCTGCCCAAGGATGCATGTTATATCAAACACAGCAAGATTGCTGCTGCCCTGCCAAGTACTTCCAATCCCTACCCAGGTCCTACTGAAATACGGGTGGTCCCAATTAGTTTTATTGAAATAAATCTTTAAAGAAAAAGATAAAGCATTTAAAAAGACAAGTCAAAATGCATCAGGAACCACATATCCAACACAAACTTTATCCTCAAATGAGTTATGTTTGCCTCGCACTAATAACTTTTATTTCACTCAGAGCAGTAATCTTCCATACATAAGTATATTCCCTGCCAATAATTCAAAGAAAAAAATCCAAAATGATTAGTAAAGAAAAATATAAGAATTAACAGGCCCTTTAAATTTGTTTTAAATATTTTGAAGATTTAAAAAGTGTTTAAAGTTTGTAATTCCTAGTAGGAAAACATTATCTGAATGAATACCCTAATGGCAAACCACTGTAAAATGCTTCAGCTGCATTTGGGGGAGAGGGGTAGGGATTATCTTCAAAGCACCCCAGCTCTCTTGATGAGAAGGTCAGAGGTACACTGGTTTGTATTATTGCGACATCCATAAGGTGATCTAGGTTGCTTTTCCTTCAGCAAGGGCTTTATTTATCAGAAGGACATTACGCTTGACCTCCAAATTTGGCTGACAATTTACTGATGAGATTCATAACCTTTGGGTTGCTCTGGTATTTTGACATATTTGCTGGGTTCTGAGCCACATCCTGGAAAGCCACCATAACTTCTGGATCCTGAAAAGAAAGGGTTCATTAGTATTTAAAAAGTGTCCTACTGGGTCAGTAAGTTTATTATCCTAAATTCCATCTCTTATTTAGACCTGTAATTTGGTGATAGTTAAGTTAAATGGGGTTTAGATGAGTGCTTGAAGTATCAAAATCAAGCTGAATTAAGTCATTTGAACTGTATGATGAAAAAAGCACAATTTTGATACAAAGAAAAGGACAACTGGATATAATTGCCGATTGCTAAGTATTTCCTAGTTTTAAAAATTTAAGTTACTCACTCTGCATAAAGAAAATAAATGTCACTCTTGCATAATTAGCTATTTGGTAACTGTGATAAATAAAAAATAGCTATGAGAGTAACCTTTGTCTCCACACAGAATTATGAAAGAATTGCCTTAATGATACAAAGTCCAAAGTTTTTCTTCCAAGTCTTACCTGCATGGCTGCAAGAACCTCTGGATCACTAAGAATTTCATTGAGTCCAGGCATTCCAGCCATTCCAGGCATGCCCCCTCCCATTCCAGGCATTCCTCCGGGAAAATTACCAGGCATTCCCCCAGGAAAGCCACCTGTAATAAAAAATGAATAGACACTAATCATACTCCCAAATATTCTGACACAGTATTTCATCCACAAAAAGTACAGGTTCAAAGAATATGGGTGCCACTAAGCACAAAGTAGTCTGAAGAGTCTGAAAATTCTAACCAGACTGCAACAAGACATAAGTTATAGCTTCTAATTATCTCTTTAAAAACAAGGCTGTAAATCAGACTTTGCTACCTCCTGGATTAACTTTTTTCTAGTAATAACACTGTTTTTTATTTTTGTTTGTTTTGAGACGGAGTCTTGCTCTGTCGCCCAGGCTAGAATGCAGTGGTGCCATCTTGGCTGACTGCCACCTCTGCCTCCCGGGTTTAAGCAATTCTCCTGCCTCAGCCTTCTGAGTAGTTGAGACTACAGGCACGCACCACTATGCCTAATTTTTATATTTTTATAAATATATTTTTTATTTTTATAAATATGTTTTATATTTTTATATCAAGTTGGCCGGGCCGCTCTTGAACTCCTGACCCCAGGTGACCTGCCTGCCTCCCTCAACCTCCCAAAGTGCTGGGATTACCGGTGTGAGCCACCATGCTCAGCAACTTTTTTCTAGTAATAACACTGTTAAAAAAGACTAATCTCGCCTTAAAAGCAAAGAGTCATCTAACAGTTCCTTAGATAATTATAAATTGTATAATTATCTTAGATTATAAAGCTAGTCATTTTGATCATCTTTCAACTCTCCATTCTTGAATATTTGTCTGTTTCAATTTAAAATTAATTCATACGAGTTTAGTTTAGGTTTTTGTTTCAACTATACTCTTCTAGCATAGATCTTCCTTCAGTTAAGGACGACCTTAAAAGGCTTATCTGTTGATTTTTCATTTCCATTTCAAATAAAATAAAAATTCTCTGAAAGTGAAACTGGAAACCTGGATTTTTAACAAGAATTCCTGGTGCTTCTTTACAGAGAATAATGCTCTAGCAAAAAGGATTTTATTCTCTCAGTATAATTTGTTCGATTATAAACCCAAATAATCTACTCTGTTCTTCAATATCATAAACCTGTATGTCTACTGGAGATATTCTAAAATTACAATTAATAATATAGAGAAAGATGGCTGGGCGTGGTGGCTCAAGCCTATAATCCCAGCACTTTGGGAGGCCGAGGCGGGCAGATCACGAGGTCAGGAGATCGAGACCATCCTGGCTAACACGGTGAAACCCCGTCTCTACTAAAAATACAAAAAAAAAAAAAAATTAGCCGGGCGTGGTGGCAGGCGCCTGTAGTCCCAGCTACTCGGGAGGCTGAGGCAGGAGAATGGCGTGAACCCGGCAGGCGGAGCTTGCAGTGAGCCAAGATCACGCCACTGCACTCCAGCCTGGGCGACAGAGCGAGGCTCTGTCTCAATAATAAAAAAAAAAATAATATAGAGAAAGACAACATTAATGTATTCTACAAAGGGTCACTGTAAGTAAAGCCGTTTTAAAGAAGGAAACACATGATAAAGTCATTTTTACCTGCTTCCACAGTTAATTAAAATATGGCCATTAATAACTAACAATCAGAGATGAAGAAATCTAAGGGGACCATAAAACAACTTCTAGTTTCTCTTGCTGCCCCTACTTATCCCAAAGCTTTGAAAAATTAGTGCCTACCCGTAACGAAATTACTGACCCAAAGCTTGTCAAATCTAAATAAAATGTACATAACAGAAAATTCTCTCTAGTACTAGCCCAACATTAGCAGTCACTTTCTAAAACAAAGATATCTGACAATAAGATTATTTATATTTTACATAGGAAGTAAACTATGAGCTAAATTTAATTTCTTGCTTTTTCTTCAAACAGCAGGTCATCCTCAATATTTGTTCTAGGTTTGTTTTCTGTTGCTGTGCACATACTCTTTCAGAATAAAGGCTAGATTTTCTAGCATCGGATCATGCAACTAAGTTCTAACCAGTGACATATAAGCATACGTAGCCTCTAAAAACTTTCCTTAAGAGAAAGCTAGTTACCATTAAACAACTGGAGACAGTTGTTTAAAAAACAAAAAATTAAGTCTTGTCCTGGTCTTTATATAAATTCCACACTGTCGTAATCAGGAAGTACTCAATAAATCTTCTGCGTGCCTTTTCCGTCTCTTCTATCTCTGTGTTAGTCCTGTCCTCTGGTATTCAAAGATTTGCCTCACTAGCAATTTCTGATCACATTTGAAAGAAAAATACGCTATTTTTACACTGTACAAAAAACATCATTTTTATGCCTAATAATTCCATCATTTCTTTTACCTAGGTTCTTCATGAATATCACTGTATAAGAGAACAAAATCAGAATATCACTTTATAATAAATATTAAGTATTATATTAAAATATCACTGTATAATAGAACAAAACAGTTTTAACTTTTCTTTAAATATACCTGGAAAAGAGCCATACTGAGCTCCTGACTGTCGTCTGGCTTCTTCCTCCTTTGATACAAAAGGAAATAAATTATATAATAGAAGAAGAAATAAGTGCTGTCCATGCAACCTGTCCATGCAAGACCATGAAAAAATTGTAAAATAACCTAGTAGATGGCAATACTGAACTGAAGGATATACTTCATACCCCCTTCAAACATTTTTTCCAAACTGGATTCTCAGTGGGCATTATTCTTGGTAGTAATTTCAAGTAAAGTGTTTTACTTCTACTCTGGAAACAAGTAAACCTGGAAAACAATTTATAGTACTAATATGAAAACTCTAAATTCATCCTGGCTTTAAAACACCCATAGGGAAGGACATGGCTAGATTACCAAGACTACCATGACTTTTGTTTCCTAGGTACATCTTTTCCGTTATTCTCCCTACATAATACAAATGTAGATTTATTGATTTGTTTTTGCTGCTTTTTAAAAGAGAAAATGAACAAAAAATAAATATCCCTCATATGTAGTTTTAAAATTATTGAGGAGATATATTGCTTTTAAATATCAAGGAGATAAATTACTTTTAAAGATTATAAACTATAACCTTAAAATCAAGTATGATGCTTAATATTAAATGGACAAAAAATTAGAATGTAACATATTATATAATACAGCCTTAGGTTCTTTCATGTTCTTTCATTCAATAATGTTAGAAATAAGTAGGTGAATTATTGTAGCATCACACTATGTTGCCCAGGCTAGTCTCGAACTCCTGGGCTCAAGTGAACCTCCCACCACAGCCTCCCAAGAGCTGGGACTATAGGCACTTGCCACCTTGCCCTGCTAGAATCATTTTTAAATAGCAACACATCCACTGTTGGAAGAGAGGAGGAATCATAAATTTAATTAATCTGGCGAAGCATCCTCAAAAGATCAAACAATAATACTGTCACATTTCAATTACTTGACCTGGAAAAACAACTGATTTTATAAAAACACAAACAAGAATATAAAATGGTGAAATAAAAGCTCACTGAATAATTTAAGACTAAAAATGTCCCCCAAATTAGATACAGTGAAAGGAGACTCCCCATAAGTAATATCATTACTCTATAGAACTGTAGCCAGCATTAAATAAAAGAGCCAGGAATTAAAATTTTAGTGTCCTAATGCCTCTACATAATTTGCCGTATTTTCCTTTCATGGCTTAGCTATAGGAAATTTACCCTCTGGGCTCTCTCATGCTCTTCTCGAGCCTTCTTAACTCGTTCTATTCTTTCTTTGATCTCTCGCTCTTCACGTTTTCGCTCATACTTTCTCCGATGTTCTGCAATTTTCTGTGCCTAGAAAAAAGAGCCATAGCAAAATAAGCTTGCTCCAAAAGCTGAATAACATCAACACAAATATTCTTTGTAGAGAGATGTTTAATTCAACATGCAGTTCAGAAAAATGACAGATTTGTCTTGTACAAAAAGACCTAACACAAGCTAAGCCTTTAAGAAAACCAACCTCAACTGCATGAGGCACTGTAAAACAGAGTAAAGGGGCCTGGGATTTGAAGTTAGAAATGTTATAATCTCAAACAATTAAGCTCAAAGATTAACAAACAGGTTTCTAAGTGCATGACAATTCTTGCCTGCTAGTTTCTATCAGATACACAGTGTTTAGGTTTCAGACGGACAGCTGAATTCAGTAGGAAGAGTATTATTACGGATGTCTGCCGTGGGAAGGCAGAGACTGGGAACTCATACCCCAAGTATATGCCACAGTATATTTAAGTTTCTGTATCCATAAAATGGGAGAGGAAGAAATATTTAATATTATCAAATTGCTATAGGGATTAAGAGGGAAAAATGTAAATATGTATACCAGACACTAGTATCAAATAAATGCTCTGGATGTTATTTCCTCAGAGAATAAAATACATTTAAGAGATTCATATTCAACTGTCACTTTAGCTTGTTTACACTTTGCTGACAAAGTTACAACTTTGCCCTATTTTAAGAAGAAAACAGAAAACCAAATGAACTCTCTGGCAGTAAATAATTAAATTCAATACAATTCCCACTATCTTAAAATCTCTGAGAGTAAATTCTTGACAGCTGAACTTCCCACAAAATGAAGGATTTACCATGTAAACACATTAAAATTATTTTAACCAACAATTTTAGATAAAAATCATCCTTAAAAGCTGGAATGTTCTACTTTTGGGATTCAATATTATTATTTTTAAAAGATTGAAACTTCTTTGTTTTATTAAGACAGCCTCGCTCTGTCACCCAGGCTGGAGTGCTGTGGCGTGATCTTGGCTCACTGCAACCTTCCACCTCCCAGGTTCAAGTGATTCTCCTGCCTCAGCCTCCCGAGTAGCTGGGACTACGTAGGCGCATGCCACCACACCTGGCTAACTTTTTGTACTTTTAGTAGAGACAGGGTTTCACTACGTTGGCCAGGCTGGTCTTGAACTCCTGACCTCATGATCCACCTGCCTCGGCCTCCCAAAGTGCTGGGATTACAGGCATGAGCCACCGCGCCTGGCCGGAAAGCCTGAAACTTCTTAACTTCCACAAGGTCTTCTTGCTTTATAAAGTGGTTGTACACACCTATGATAAATAAGGACACATCAGATTCAATCCTGGGTAATGCTAATTATAGATTTTCTATTTGTTTCCTTGTTGTAAACCTGATACCCCCTTTTCTAATTTTCTGGTTATAATTCCACTGCAGGCTTCCAAACAAAGTAACAGAGTTTGCTCTAATAATGCATGAGAAATGAAAGCATGAAAACCTAATGAGATCTCCAGAGTCGAGCACAAACTTCAGCAATTACAGATTATATCTTCCAATGGTTTGTTTCTTTGCCTGTTTTTCAGATGAATTACAGCTGTCGGGGGCTAAGCACTACAGCGATGGAGTATTTAACTAATGACTTTCCCTTTCTCTACTTTGACATACCCTAGGTTGAACTTCTTTCAGCATTGCACTAGCATCTTCATCATAATCCAATTTACAGGCAAGGGCAAGATCATGGGCTGCTTCTTCCCAGTGGCCTAGAAGTCTGAAACAGATTTACACTCATTTTAGGAGCCTTTTATACATATTCACCTATGTGGCATGATATCTTTCTTCCTTACAAAAAAGGATTGTTCTAAAACAGGCTTAAGTTAAATATTAACTATAAACTTTCACTAACCAATTCAATTACTATATCCCATTTTAGTTAACTCTATAAAAACCTGAAAACATTTAAATTTCCTCTATTTAAAGCTGCTTTTCTACTAAAAGCTAAAAAACAAACAAAATCTTTCTTAATTCAGAATATCGTAATTTTCTAAGTATGTAGACCAGTAACTTTCAACTCGCCCAAACCAGGACTAACATAATGTGTTAGCTTTTAGCTACCTTCTATGTAAGACAGAAGAGAAAATAATACATGTGTACAGGCTTTACGAAAAACTCAGAACAAGTAAACCAGAAACTAAAGGTTGGTGACAGTAGGTGAGAATGGGGCAGAGGAGACAGCAACGAAAACTGAGAATTCACTGGGTATACCTTTTAACTCAGGTGTAACTCTTCGAACATTTAAATGCTTTACATACTCAAAAAATAAAATCAGAAAAATGGAAATAAAGCAAATCCTAAACCTGAATACAAACAGAAATAAGAAGCTGTGTGGCTGGGCGCGGTGGCTCACGTCTGTAATCCCAGCACTTTGGGAGGCCGAGGCGGGCAGAACGCGAGGTCAGGAGATCAAGACCATCCTGGCTAACCCGGTGAAACCCCATCTCTACTAAAAATACAAAAAACCAGGCGCGGTGGCAGGCGCCTGTAGTCCCAGCTACTCAGGAGGCTGAGGCAGGAGAATGGCATGAACCCAGGAGGCAGAGCTTGCAGTGAGCCAAGATCGCGCCACTGCACTCTAGCCTGGGTGACAGAGGAAGACTCCATCTCAAAAAAAAAAAAAAAAAGAAATAAGGTGTGGCTAGGCGCGATGGCTCATGCCTATTATCCTAGCACTTTGGGAGGCTGAGGCTGGTGGATCACCTGAGGTCAGGAGTTCAAGACCAGCCTGGCCAATGTGGCAAAACCCCATCTCTAATATAAAAAATTTGCCACACATGGTAGCGCACACCTGTAATCCCAGCTACTTGGGAGGCTGAGGCAGGAGAACCGCTTGAGCCCGGGGCGGGTGCAGTGAGCCAAGATTGCACCACTTCACTCCAGCCTGGGTGAAGGAGCAAAATGCCTCAAAACAAAACAAAACAAAACAAAACACTGTGTATTGCATTAACAACATAAGCTACACAGAAAAAAATGAATTCAAGTAACTTTTCATAGTTATCTTGACTGTATATTTCAAGTGGGATATATATTCTAAGAATAAGAACATCCTTGGGTCACACCTGTAATCCCAATGCTTTGGGAGGGGAAGGAGGGCAGATCACTTGAGGCCAGGAGTTTGAGAATAGCCTGGCTAATAGGCGAAACCCCCTCTCTACCAAAAATACAAAACATTAGCTGGGCATGGTGGGGCGCGACTGTAAGTAATCCCAGCTACTCAGAAGGCTGACTGAGGCAGGATAATCACTTGAACCTGGGAGGTGAAGGTTGCAGTGAGCCTAGATCGCACCACTGCACTCCAGCCTGGGCAACAGAGTGAGACTCTGTGTAGAAACAAAAGACAAAGCAAAACAAAAACTTCCCAAAAAACCTTCAAACTTTACTTAGAGTGTATACTGTTTTTAAGGTATTGTAATTCTGAAACAGTTTTATGTATATCACAGCATTGTAGTAAGTAAATGTAAAACTAGGACAAAAATTTTTACCACACAAGTGTCAAAAATACAAACTAAAAGGTAAAACAAAACATTTAATGTTACATTTTAATAGAAAATATCAGTATAAACTCACAATTTCAAGAATTTTTTCCCTAAATTCATGATTTTTAAAATGTTTTTTTCTAGCTGTTCATTGAAACGACAGTACATACCAGAAGCAATGAACAGACACAGTGATCAAATCTTAGTTTCCGCTATAATGAACCACGATTTCCCACAGAAATAGCTTATTTTCAGTCTGAGACAAGCAAAGCACAAGATGAGCCAACGCTGTCTTGTATTAGAAGGCAAAGAAATACTTGGACTAATGGGATTTCAAAAGGATCAACAGCAATGCATGGGCTTTTCCTGTGCTGACACAGCATTAATAAATTTTATTTCAACTTTTAATGTTTATCTTTAACATGTGTCATAAAATCCACTAGAGCTACTCTGAGTCAGCTAATACAGTTGTCCTAAAAACATATCCATCTTTATCTCCATCCACATTTGAGCCCTTTCAACCCAGGTAACATGTGAAAGTCACTGAACACTTCATTCCCAAGATACAAATATTCCTAAGTTTTGCTGCAAGGTATAATTACTAATCTGGGTTAAATTCACCTCTTTATGCCCCCCCGCCTTCTCCTAATTTTTCAGGTGGCCTAGCAGTGACTGAAGTAGTTTCAGGCTGGCATACTCCTTCTTCTATAATACACTGGTAGTTCAATGCTAACTTACAGAGTCTGAAAGTAAGAGAAAATTTGTAAGGACACTGATAAAAGATCATTCTTTCTTTTCCTGGAATTAATTTTAAGTAAAAATCCTTTCCTTATATTTGGCCATATGTAGTCAAAAACTGGTAAGAGTAGCTTTATTTGAATGAAAAAAATGAAAATACTTTTTATTTCTTCCTTCCTATATTCTCACTTCTTCTTTTAAATTTCTTTTTTTTTTCTTTTACCTTTTAAGCAGCTGTCTACAAGCTATCTCACTTCTTGATACTAAGTACACACTAATTTGAAAATTAAGTCATTAGGAACTTTTGTGTTTTTGTTTAAACAAAGCATCTTAAAACATCAGATTTAAATGTAAAGAGTTCTGAAAATAATTAAATTCAATTATTTACCTGTGTGCTTTCCCCCGCCACTTGTAAGGCTGAGCTGAATCAGGATTTATTTCAATGGCTCTGTCACAGTCTCGGATGGCAGCATTTGGCTTCTGTAATTTGACGAAGACACTGAAAAATAAGTGTGTTATTAAAAAGTATTCATTTCAGTAAAAGTTTTGGGATCAACACAGAAGCAACTCTATTTAAACAAATGTGCAGAAATTATTTGCCAGGGGATGCTTTTCTGTTTAGAGTTCTCACCTGGCCCTCTTGGCATACAAAATGGCCAAGCGAGGATTCAGCTTGATGGCATCTGTGAATAAGTCAATGGCTTTCTGGAGTTCACCTAAAGTGAAACAAAAGTTATCGAGAAATATTCAGAGGATAAAAATATTAATAAAAAGTTTTGATCTGTTATCCAGTTAAGTCTTTTACATTTTTCTTTTAATCAAGTAAAAATAAAAAAGACAACTAAGTTATACTAAAACTGGCTCTTGAAAGCAAATCTTACCACACCTATACTGTAACTCACGAGGTAAGACAATTTCTGAGTACGTAAGCCCCTAACTAACAATAGAATAGCACATTCTTAGTATGACCCATATTGATCTTGTTTAAGGAAAAAGTAGACGGGCACGGTGGCTCACGCCTGTAATCCCAGCACTTTGGGAGGCCAAGGCAGGCAAATCATGAGGTCAGGAGATCGAGACCATCCTGGCTAACACGGTGAAACTCCATCTCTACTAAAAAATACAAAAAATTAGCTGGGCGTGGGGGCGGAGCCCTGTAGTCCCAGCCACTTGGGAGGCTGAGGAGTGGCGCGAACCCGGGAGGCGGAGCTTCCAGTGAGGCGAGATCACCACTGCACTCCAGCCTGGGTGACACAGCACGACTCCGTCTCAAAAAAATAAAAATAAAAATAAAAGAAAAAAGTAAAAAGATAAAATCAATTTAAAGGATAAGATAAATTAATTTTATTCCATTGATTTTCTTTTATCCATTAAATTAAAAAGAAAAAATTAAGCTTAGAAAGGAAAAGTAACCCATGTTAACTTCACAGGGCTGATTTTAAAAGAAAACAACAATATGCTTATTATTTGAATTCAAAGAAATGGTACAAAAATTCAAGAAAACTAGAATTCATAAAAGACCATAACCTATACTTTAATTCATTTTGTCCTATTCTCATAGTTAGCTTCTTTACTAATCCCTTATGTCATTCAACAAATAAAACACCCTATAGAATCAGAAGAGTTCTTTGCACAAAGTCTAAATCTTGGGGAGGCAAGACAAATACAGAATTTTTTTTAAGAGACAGGGTCTAACTCTCACATAGGCTAGAGTACAGTGGCATGATCATAGCTCACAGGCTGAAGTGATCATCCCACCTCAGCTTCCTGAGTAGCTGGGAATACAAGCCCACAACACTAAACCTGGCTAATTAAAAAAAATTTTTTAGAGACTGGGCCTCACTGTGTCACCTAGGCTGCTCTCGAACTCCTGGGCTCCAGTAATCCCCCCAACTCAGCCTTCTGAGTAGCTGGGATTACCACTGTGCCAGGCCGAACACAGAAATTTTTAAATAAATGTCACAATTCACTGTGAAAGATACTTAGCCAGTTAGCGAATGAGTAAAGGACTTGAAAAGAACTCACAAAAACAACACAGAAAAATGCTCAGTCTTATTAATTACTACTACAGGTATCTATTATAGGTAATTACACTTAAATGTCTAATAAACAACTCAGACCTACCATGTTCAAAACCTAAATTTTTTTTATGACAGGGTCTTGGCTGGGCACAGTGGCTCACGCCTGTAATCTCAGCACTTTGGGAGGCCGAGGCAGGTGGATCACCTGAGGTCGGGAGTTCAAGACCAGCCTGACCAACATGGAGAAATACCAAGACCAGCCTGACCAACGTGGAGAAACCCCGTCTCTACTAAAAATATAAAATTAGCCGCATATGGTGGCGCATGCCTGTAATCCCAGCTACTCAGGAATCTGAGGCAGGAGAATCGCTTGAACCCGGGAGGCGGAGGTTGCGGTGAGCCAAGATCGTGCCATTGCACTCCAGTCTGGGCAACAAGACTGAAACTCCATCTCAAAAAAAAAAGGTCTTGCTCTGTCACCCAGGTTGGAGTGCAGTGACACAATCACAGCTCACTGCACCCTCAACTTCCTGGGCTCAAAGGATCCTCCCAGCCTCAAGGGAACCTCCCATCTCAGCCTCTCAAGTAGCTCATATTACAGAAACGTGCTACCACATCCAGCTAATTTTTTGTGTTTAAGAGATGGAGTCTCACTGTGTTGACCAGGCTGATCTTGGACTCTTGGACTCAAGAGATCCTTTCGCTTCGGCCCCTCAAAGTGCTGGGATTGTTAAGTGTGAACCACCACGCCCACTCAAAACCGAAAAACTGAATTCCCATTTCCTAGCCCATTTCCAAATCTATTCCCAATCTGTATCTTCCCAACTAAACAAATGGCTCCTCCATACATTTAGTTCAGGAGTTGGTAAACGTTTTCTGGAAAGGGCCAAATAAGAATTATTTTAATCTCTGCAGACCATACAATCTGTCATAACTACTCAATGATGCTGTTGTAGTGGGAAAGCAGCCACAGTTAAGTGCCAGACGTGGGATTCAAACCATACCACTCTGGCTCCATACTCCAGGTTTTAATTACATTCTCCAAACAAAACTGCCTTCACCAACCTTGGTGGAGCTTGGATTCACAACCCCTGCTTTAGAATACTAATCTTTTATCCTTTAGAATACACTATACAATTGCATAAATTCTAAAATCAGAACTAGATTAAATTTACAAAGGCACATGAACAGAGAGTTCAGAAAAAAGTGAGAAAACAAAAACATGATTAGGTGATAGCCTCATTTTCCTTTTGTTACATATTGCCGAGACAGTAAATTTTAAAATGGGCTGGGCACAGTGCCTCACACCTGTAATCCTAGCACTTTCAGATGCTGAGCTTGGGAGGCCTGCTTGAGGGCAGGAGTTCAAGACGAGCCTGGGCAACAGGATGAAACCCTATCTCTACCAAAAAAAAAAAAAAGAGATAATAATTAGCCAGGCATGGTGGCAGGCACCTGTATTGCCAGCTACTCAGGAAGATTGCTTGAGCCTACAAAACTTGAGGCTGCAGTGAGCCATGACCATGCCACTGCACTCCAAACTGAGTGGCAGAGTAAGACTCTGTCTCTTAAAATTTAGGTGGTAGGGAAATTAGCAAAAGTTTCGTGCGATGAAAAGGAATGGTACAGAAGAGCAATGGCTGGGAACAACTGATAGGTATGAATTAAAAGTTGAAATATGTGAAGAAAAGCTTTCCAGAGAAACAGTATAGCATAAATAAAAAAAAAAAAAAAATTCTAGAACAGTAAAGTCTGACTGGAGAAAACAAGATTGGAGAAGTAAAATACAGGATCTTAGTCTGGCAGGTCTATAATCCTCTGATGAAGATCTTAAATATATATGCAAAAGTTAATCACAGGTTACAAGCAAGAGTAGAATAAAAAACAGCTCTAAGAATAACCTAGGGAAAGTAAACAGAAAGCAATAAAGGAATAAATTTTTCAGGAAGGTAAACTATTAAGGCAACTGCAGTATAAAACAGTATAAACATGTTTTAAGGAGCTAAATTAATCAGGTGGTAGAATCACAAAATGTTTAAAATATATACTAACTCGGAACATCAATACTGAACTCATTCTAAAAATAACTTCAATCATCTTCTAAATCTAATAATGAAGTCCAAATGCACATGAGCACTATACAATAGCATCTAGTCAACTATGGCATTGTGACACACTATCACTGTTATAAAGAGTGAAATATTACTCAAGCAGCCACAGTACCCAAGTTTATACATGATTTGTTCTTACAAATTATAACCGATCAAACATTACACTTAATACTACCATGGGCCGGGCGCAGTGGTTCGCGTCTGCAATCCCAGCACTTTGGGAGGCAGAGGCGGGCACATCACTCGAGGTCAGGAATTTGAGACCAGCCTGGCCAACATAGTGAAACCCCGTCTCTACTAAAAATACAAAAATTAGCTGGAGATGGTAGCACACGCCTGTAATCCCAGCTACTAGGGAGGCTGAGGCAGGAGAATTGCTCGACTTGGGGTGGAGGTTGCAGAGAGCCGAGATCACGCCACTGCATTCCAGCCTGGACGACAAAGCACGACTCTGTCTCAAAAATAAAAAATAAAATAAAATACAACTGAAAAACAGAAAAAAGAAAAAAATAATAACCTATTGTTACCTTGGAGAGTTAAAAAAATAAATATATATAAAAAAAGAGGCTGGGCGCAGTGGTTCATGCCTGTTATCCCAGCACTTTGGGAGGCTGAGGCGGGCAGATCACGAGGTCAGGAGTTCAAGACCAGACTGGCCAGCATGGTGAAACCCCTTCTCTAATAAAAATACAAAAAATTAGCTGGGCATGGTGGTACGCGCTTGTAATCCCAGCTACTCGGGAGGCTGAGGCAGGAGGACTGCTTGAACCCGGGAGGCGGAGGTTGTAGTGAGCCGAGATCGCATCACTGCACTCCAGCCTGGGCAACAGAGTGAGAATCCGTCTCAAAAAAACCAACCAAACAAACAAACAAAAAACAAAACCGAATACTATCACCACTTTCTCACTCTGAGGGGATTTACTCAAGAGAATCTAACATGCTCTGACTAGGACGAAGATTGGTATGCCTATGAACATCATCTGTCAAGGGTATTAGTATGTAAAAAGTTAAGGGTCACTGTTCTACTACTACTTTTTTTTTTTTTTTTTAAAGCCTTTCACCTCTTTAAAGCCTCTTCTCAGCAGAAAAACACCACGATAGGGTCAGGAAATCAGAGACACTGAATCAAATAAGGATCTGTCCTTGCAGAGAGAAGTGATTTCAGCCTCTTTTATCAATGAGGAAGGGGTGACTGGATAATAGGACACTATCTTCTCCAGTATAGGACAGGTACATGTAACTTCTCTTCTACTTTACCACTATTTAAGTTACTGCAATAAATATTCTGACTACCATAGAAATGTAGCAAAAAGATTACTCACCATCATTTAGGGCTTCAATAGCAGCCACTTTTTTATCATTTGCCTGATCCATCATCTCCTCCGTTATCTAGGAAGAAAATAAAAATCATCTTAGAATTAGTAGAGAGAGAGAGAAGGAAGCAATTCATACTTTCTTAGGGATGAGGCGCAGTCACAATACCCATTTTCATTCATTCTTCTGTAGTCTCCAGAGAACAAAGAGACAATTATGATAACTCATTAGTGAGAAATTACATACGAGTTTTAACCTTTTATACTAAACAAATTTCACTCCTACACTCTGCCCGAGACATAACCTTTGCTTAACCTTCCGTCCCAACCAAAGCATACCAGCTCCTACCTAGCTATCCATAAATATTAAACCCAATCTCCTCACAAAAAGATAACTAGCTCCTTTTAGGTTTAAATCCTCAGAAGAGAAAGGTCTCATTCCTTTGTTCCCACAAACAACTATTGAGCACCTATGCTATATAGATAGACCAAACACTGTACAAGATGCTGACAGTATAAAGATTAGTTAAGAACAAAAACATGTGCATCTGGGCAACAGAGGGCGATCCCATCTCTCCAAAAAAAAGAAAAAAAAAAAAAAAAACAAGCTGGGCATGGTGGCACATGCATCTGGTCCCAGCTACTCAGGAGGCTGAGTTAGGAGGCTCGCTTGAGCTCAGGAAGTCAAGGCTGTAGTGAGTCTTGATTGTGTCACTGTACTCTAGCCTGGGTGACACAGAGCAAGACCATGTCTCACCCTACCCCTGCAAAAAAAGAACAAAGAGTTATAGCAAACATCCTCCTAAAATGGAAAGCTCTGGAGATCTTTAACCACAGGAAAAAAATATACAACTCATGCCTATAATCTCAGCACTTTGGGAGGCTGAGGCAGGTAGATCCCTTGAGCCCAGGAGTTCAAGACCAACCTGGGCAATATGGCGAAACTTCGTCTCTACAAAAAATAAAAAGAAAAAATAAATATTAAATATAAAAATAATGTTTTATTTAAAGACAGGGTCTACCTCTGTCACCCAAGCTCCGGTGCAGTGGTGCAATCACGGTTCACTGCAACCTCCATCTCCTGGGCTCAGCCTCCCCTCAAGTGTAGCTGGAACTACATGCTCGCAACCTACTAAATGTTTTGCTTTTTTTTTTTTATAGAGACGGGTTTTCATCATGCTGCCCAGGCTGGTCTAGAACTCTTGGACTCAAGTGAGTTGCCTGCCTCACTCTCCCAAAGTTCTGGGATTAGAAGCATAAGCCGCCACTCCTGGCTGCAATTTTATTTTGAAGGTAATGCAGGACACAGGATACAAAGTCTATATTCAGAGGAAGAGAATGTATGTGGTCTAACCAGACACCTTCCAAAATAAATCTGCAACTCCAAATGCTAATACCGGCAAGCATAATGGTATAAACCTGTCCTACAGAAACGGACAGTTGAGTAGTGAGATTAAAAGAACTTCCCCTGAAAATTCAGAGCCACAGCCAGCCTTTCATCTGGAATTCTGTATTACCAAAGTAATTGGAACAAACAAAAAAACACCATGCTGAGACTTTCAAGGGGTCCTTGAGTTGGTAGCACCAATTCAGAGACTTCATGGAAGCAATCACCTTCTTACCTAGGCCTCAAAATTTTTCTACAGGTGAAGTTCCAAAGAACACATTTTCAAAATATCACACACAACACACAAACACATCATAAAGTAAACAAGGTACCTTAATGAGCAAGAGCCATGAAAAATAAGAGTAAGACCAGCGAAGAGTTCAACAAGGAATTTAATGTGTTTAATAAAAGTAAATTCTGAAAATGAGTAAAGAGCAAAAGACTTACAAATAACCAAGTAGACTTCAAAAAGATTTGAAGTACCAAAATGAAAAACACAAGCATTCCAATTCAAACATCAATGGAACAGACAAAGCATAGACTGCTTTTCAGCAGAGAGTGATAAAGAAATGAAACTTAATAACAAAAGTCTAACATTACCAGGGATCCAGAATTAGAGCATAAAGTAAACAAGAAGGAGGCAATATTTAATAACAGCTGAAAATATTCTAGAGCTAAAGAAAGTTAACCCTAGAATTTGATGCTCACTGAATCCCAAGCAGGATAAATAAAAAATTATAAACCTAGACACATCATAAAAGAAGTAATACCATCAATAAACATAACATTTAACCTTTAAAGTTTCCTTTGACAAATGGTGACAGAAAGTACTTACATTTGTTCTTAACAAAAATGCACAAGACTTACGTCAGGTGCAGTGACTCATACCTGTAATCCCAGCACTCTGGAAGGCCAGGAGTTTGAGATTTTGTCTCTACTAAGAATTTTTAAAAATAAAAATAAAAAACTAGCTGGACATGGTGGTGCATGACTATAGTCCCAGCTGGTCAGGAGGCTGAGGTGGGAGGATCACTTGAGCCCAGGGCGTCAAGGGCGCAGTGAGCTATGATTGTACCACTACACTCCAGCCTGGATGGAAGAGTGAGACACTGTCTCAAAAAAACAAAGCACAAGACTTATGGGGAACACGTTAGTAAGTTATTAAAATATTTTAAAAACACCTAAAAATTGGGCAGATAACATTATTTATGGATAGTTTATCTCAATGGTGAGGAGATATATCTTTTCCCGAACTTGATTTAGATTTAACACAATTCTAACAAAGGGGAAAAAAACCAATGGAAGCGGGGAGACTTGATCAACCTATTTCTAAAATTTACTTGGAAAAACAAAAAGCCAAGAACAGCCAAAAGACTAAAAAGTTTTGGGGGTCCTTGTTCTACAAAATAACAAGACTTAGTATCAGACGATGTGGCATTAGTGAACAGAAAAAAAATAGACAAGCAGAACAATAAACTCCTGAAACAGACCCACAATATTCAGAAACAGTGTATTTTAGTTTTGGTGGGACCGGTAGATTAAAGGTGAAAGGTGAGTGTATAAAATGTTCAGAAGAGAAAAAGCAATGCACTACAGCAATTATAACCTCAAAGTAATAAAGCAGAAAATATCTGCATTAAAAGATACTATTTTTGAAACAACATGAAGAAAGATGAGTGAAGATGAGTCACAAACTAGCAGAAAATATATGCAGCACTAGCAACAAATTATTAGCATCCAGAATATTGAAATGAAATACAAAGCAGTAAGAAAAAGATCCAGCAAAAAGTGGAAAAAGTTTAAACAGGAGTTCGCAAATGCCAGTGAACAGCCAATAAACATTTAAATATGCTCAGCCTCATTAGGAATCAGGAAAATGCATTTTTTTTTTTTTTTTTAAATAGAGTTTTGCTCTGTCGCTCAGGCTGGAGTGCAGGGGTGCGATCTCACCTCACTGCAACCTCTGCCTCCTGGGTTCAAGTGATTCTCCTGCCTCAGCCTCCCAAGTAGCTGGGATTACAGGCGTGCACCATCATGCCTGGCTTATTTTTGTATTATTAGTAGAGACGGGGTTTCACCATGTTGGCCAGGCTGGTCTCAAACTCCTGACCTTAGATGATCCACCCACCTCGGCCTCCCAAAGTGCTGGGATTACAGGCGTGAGCCACCCTGTCTGGCCAGGAAAATGCAAATTAAAAGCCACAAAAAGATACCATTTCCCACAATACTTGGCAAAGATGAAATCTGATAATATCAAGTTTTGAGGATAAAAACCAATCTTTTAAAACTGCTATTACTATATTAGAGTGTTTCTCAAATTTTTATCAGACACTAAGGAGCCTTTTTAGACATCTTTTCCTCATTTCCATATCCCCAATTTTAATACCACAGATACACTACATATTAATATTCTATGAGTCTTTGGAGGACCACTAACCATTGTAATATATAGAATTTTTTTTAAGCCCTCCTCCCAAGAACCAATTTTCACTCCCTTGAGGGCCTGTTATGACAAACCATTCTGTAATACAATTTGGCATTAGATATTCCATCAAGAGCAACTCCACTAATAGGTATGTATTTTAAGTGAATTCTGCGTTACAGTGCAAGCAGTCACACCAGATGCAAACTTAAAAAACAGATAAAACAGAAAGTAACAGTATTTATTTTCATTAGTATTTTAAGTAGTAAAATACAATGCTTGCCTAAAACGCCTGAAGTCAGAGAAAGATTTACTATGCGCTTTTCCTGGAAGAATCGTGTCATAAAATCATTGCAACAGCAGGACCTTTCACATTTCTTAGAACAAGCAGGAAATCAAGTCACCGAACTTACCTCCGCATTTTCATCTCCCATTTCTTGAGGAGCATCAGTGTCTGGTTCAATCACACCTTCTTTATCAATTTCTGCCAAAGTCGAGAAAATGACAATAAGACCTGCACCGTACAATATAGTAGCCACTCCCAAGATTATTAAAAACTGACATACTATGACTACTACAATTAATTATTTTAAGTATTGATGCATTTTAAAATATGTTCCCATTAAACATTTCGTTACTTTGGTAAGACTACACTTTACGTTAACTGTCACATCATGTAAGATATTTATTATCAGGTTGTAGTGGGGTTGTTGACATGTGCAGTTTCTAGTATTACACATAAATACACCACTGATTTAGTCATTGTATATAAATACACCATTGTCAACAAACTGATTTAGTTCAAATAATTTTTTTCTACACACTGATGTACTATGTTTTTCAAAAATATGCAGGTAAGCTACAGTGATACTTCAACGTAAATCAAAATATTTTAATATAATTACATTCATTACTTTCCTTTTTTAAAATTAAAATAATTTTGGGGGGGGCACAGGATCTTACTATGTTGTCCAAGAAATCCTCCCACCTCGGCCTCCCAAAGCACTAGGATTCCAAGCATGAGCCACTGCACCTGGTCCCTAATTATTTTCATTTTTAAAAGTAGCATGGACAAGTTTTAATTTTAAAATAAAGGCTTACTACTGATGCAGAATCAAGTACCAAGGCTAGATTTAAAAATAAATTTAGTTTCCATATGTACAGTAGTGACCAAAGCTAGTACTTACAACCAAAACAGTAAAGAATGAAAAGCAGTATCTTGCTTTTCAAATTGTCATTTAACAGTTGTCAGTTAAATGACAACTGTAATTTGTTGCAAGTGGAAAACGAGTTTTATATATATATACACACACACACGCACGTATCATTTAAAAAGAACACATTTGCAAATAGTTAATTTGATAAGAAGTTTCCTTAGTCAAAAAAAAAAAATTTAAAATCACCCACCTAAAATCAGAATTACTGTCCAGCAACAACAAAACTTGACGCATGACTGACAAACTATATATATACATATATGTATATGGTGTACAATGCGATGTTTTAACATACAGGCATATCGTTTTTTGAGACGGAGTTTCGCTTTTGTTGCCGAGGTTGGAGTGCAGTGGCGCAATCTTGGCTCACCGTAACCTCTGCCTCCCAGGTTCAAGCAATTGTCCTGCGTCAGTCTCCCAGGTAGCTGGGATTACAGGCATGTGTCACCACACCTGGCTAATTTTGTATTTTTAGTAGAGATGGGGTTTCTCCATGTTAGTCAGGCTGGTCTCCAACTCCCGACCTCAGGTGGTCCACCCGCCTCAGCCTCCCAAAGTGCTGGGATTAAAGGTGTGAGTCACCGTGCCTGACCTCAGGCATACCTCATTTTATTGTGTTTCACTTTACTGCACCTCACATAATGAAATGATTCTCACCCATCATATTAATAACTATCCATCTCACATATTTATTTGTTTTTGGTGAGAACACTGAAGATCCAGTCTCTTAACAAATTTCAAGTATACAGTATTATAGTCATGCTGTATACTGGATCTCTGGAATTTATTCAGATTATAGCTCAAAGTTTATGCCCTTTAACACGGTAAAAAAATTTTAATCCATTTTTTAACAGCAACTAAGCTTGTCTATCAAAGTTTGATTTGTATACAAAAAAGAAAACACTTTTAGGTGGAGAGTTGGTTAAAAAATTTATTGTAGTTTTAGAAACTGGTAGAAAGTAAGACTAAAGAGGCATTTTATAAAAAGTAAAAGATCTTCAATTTAGCACTCAAACAACTGCCAGTAGAATGTAAGACCTCTAATGATATCAAAGATAATTTGATTCAGGCCAGGCGTGGTGGCTCACACCTGTAATCCCAGAACTCTGGGAGGCCAAGACGGGCAGATCACCCGAGGTCAGGAGTTTGAGACCAGCCTGGCCAACATGGTGAAACTCTGTCTCTCCTGAAAATACAAAAAAATTAGCCAGGCATGGTGGCATACGCCTGTAGTCCCAGCTACTCAGGAGGCTGAGGCAGGAGACTCGCTTGAACCCAGGAGGGAGAGGTTGCAGTGAGCCGAAACTGTGCCACCACACTCCAGCCTGGGTGGCAGAGCGAAACTCAAGTCTTCCAAAAAAACCCCAAAAAAACAACAAAAAAAAACTGATTCAAAATTTAAAACATTTCAAGTACTTTTCTTCAGGTTCTGTGATATAAGAGACTTCCAAATTCATGAAGAAATTTAGTCAATTTGTGGCCAAAAAACCAACCAAACTCATAGCACAGATAACTACTCTTCTAAATATGAACCAGTTTTATCAACATGGTTGTAAGAACTAAACAAATACTATTTTTTGGCACTCAATTCAGTTATGGGAAAACTTTTGGCTGGGCATGGTGGCTCACATCTGTAATCCCAAACACTTTGGAGGCCAAGGCAGGTGGATCACCTGAGATCAGGAGTTCAAGACCAGCCTGACCAACATGGCAACATGGCAAAACCCTGTCTCTACAAAAAAAAAAAAATACAAAAATTAGCCGTGCCTGGTGGCACACGCCTGTAGTCCCAGCTACTAGGGAGGCTGAGGCATGAGAATTGATTGAACCTGGGAGGTGGAGGCTGCAGTGAGCTGAGATCACACTGCTGCACTCCAGCCTGGGCGACACAGTGAGACTCCGTCTCAAAAAAAGAAAAAAAAAAAAAAAAAGAAAACTTTTTAAGTATGCTTAGAACAACTTTAATATGTAACCCAACTTTTTCTAATACAAACATTATGAAGTCTGATTTATTATCAATGAAAATGTAAAACCTGAATTGAGGGGTGCCACATGTGTAAAATACCCTTTGGAGTTTGAATGCTATTAAAAAAAGAAGCAAAATAAATTATTAACAAATATTGAGGCCAGGTGCAGTGGCTCACGCCTGTAATCTCAGCACTTTGGGAGGCCAAGGTGGGTGGATCACGAGGTCAGGAGTTCGAGGCCAGCCTTGCCAACATGGTGAAAGCCCGTCTTTACTAAAATTATAAAAATTAGCCGAGTGTGGTGGCAGGTTCCTCTAATCCCAGTTACTCGGGAGGCTCAGGCAGGAGAATGGCTTAAACCTGGGAGGTGGAGGTTGCAGTGAGCCGAGATTGTGCCAGTGCACTCCAGTCTGGGTGACAAGAGCACGACTCCATCTCAAAAAGAACAAAAAAACAAAAAAAAATATTGATTACACATGTCAATATTTCAACCAATATGCCATTAATATCTGAATTTATTTCATGTTTCCTTTTACTTTCTAAAATGTGACTACTAGAACATTCTAAGTTTCATATGTGCCATTATATTTCTATTACACAGTGCTGATTTAAGTCACTTTAATAAAAATCAACAAAGTATCACATCATAGGTTTTCAAATACAAACTAACTACCGTCTCCTCACCTAGATCACTTTCCTCACTTGATGGTTCGTCTGCCTTTAAGTCTTCCTCCACCTTCTTACTATCAGGTTTTTCTTCCTAGCAAAGGGAAGACAAACAGTACTATCAGTATTTAATAACATACCGAATATTTATACTAATTTCTACAAATCTATGTATAAACTGTCAAATATGGCCAGGCATGGCGGCTCATGCCTGGAATTCCAGCACTTTGGGAGGCTGGGGTGGGTGGATCATTTGAGGTTAGGAGTTCAAGACTAGCCTGGCCAACACGGTGAAACCATCTCTACTAAAAATACAAATTAGCCGGACGTGGTGGTGCCCGCTTGTAATCCCAGCCACTTGGGAGGCTGAGGCAGGACAATCACTTGAACCTGGGAGGCGGAGGTGGCAGTGAGCTGAGATCATGCCACTGCACTCCAGCCTGGGCGACAGAGCAAGACTGTGTCTCAAAAATAAAAAAACAACTGTTCAAAATAAAGTTTGAACATTGACAATAAACAGTTTAGAGATTATAAATAGCCTCATGTCCACTCACATTATATTTTATTGCCAAATTTAGTAAAAATCTTTACAAGGGTTTTTGAGTTTTGGAACTGCAAATAAGAACCTGTGGAATTACAATAATAAACAATGAAAATTCAAAGAATTTAAAAGTGCACGACATATAGAAAGCAACACTTTCTTCCCATCCTATAAATAACCAGTGTGGTTTCTTGTATATCCCATTGCAGGATAGTCTCTCTATATATGAAACAACTCTATCCTTTGCCTTTTGCATTTAACAACGCTGTGTATCTTGTAAATTATATACCATTATCAGCCTACCTTCATCTATTCACTCAACCATATATTGTTAACCATTTTTAGGTTGCTTCCCTGTTACTTAAAAAATTAGAACCAAGGCAGGGCGCAGTGGCTCATGCCTGTAATTCCAGCACTTTGGGAGTCCGAGGTGGGTGGATCACGAGGTCAGGAGATTGAGACCATCCTGGCTAACATGGTGAAACCCCTTCTCCACTAAAAACACAAAAAAATTAGCCGGACGTGGTGGTGGGCACCTGTAGTCCCAGCTACTCAGGAAGCTGAGGCAGGAGAAGGGCGTGAACCTGGGAGGCAGAGCTTGCAATGAGCCAAGAGATCGCACCACTGCACTCCAGCCTGGGCAACAGAGTGAGACTCTGTCTCAAAAAAAAAAAAAAAAAAAAAAAAATTAGAACCAAAAACCTACCTTGTCACAAAATATTTGTTGAGTCCCTATAAAATGTGCAAAGTCTAGGTATTCTAGAATATATTGAAAAGAAAAGACAAGCCATAATTCTAGTTTAGAATGTTTTTCTTACAAAAAATTTTCAGCTGACACATAGGTTAAATATAATTTTGCCTTCATACACATTTGCCAAATAGCAAAATATCTAGGGCTCAGAAAATACCACTCTGATAAATGGTCCTTTTAAAAAAAAGGTAACTACTTTTTGGGCTTTTGCTTACCTTTTCGCATTCTCCTTCTTAATAGACATAACTTCCACTTTAAGATCCAAATAGATAACAATGTTTAAGTTTCTAAATAATAAAACAGCTATTTTCTTGTCGATTTAAGACAGCTAATCAGAAAATTTGCAAAAAAAAAAAAAGCCTTTTAGATATGAAGGCAGAAGAGAGAAATAAAAAATTATGAAGAAAGCATTCTGGGCCAGGCATGGTGGCTCACGCCTTAGTCCCAGCACCTTGGGAGGCTGAGAGATCAGTTGAGGTCAGGAGTTCGAGACCCACCTGGCCAACATGGCGAAACCCCATTTCTACTAAAAATAGAAAAATTAGCCAGGCATGGTGGGATGCACCTGTAATCCCAGATACTCGGGAGACTGAAACAGGAGAATCGCTTGAAGCCAGTAGGCTGAGGTTGCAGTGAGCCGAGATTGTACCAGTGCACTCAGACCTGGGTGACACAGTGAGACTTTGTCTCAGGAAAGAAAAAACAAACAAATAAAAGAAAACATTCTTAAACATGTATGTTCCCCTTCATCTGTCTCTCAACTTCAGCTACTGGTAACCTTCTCCTAATCTTACACGTCCTTTAAGCAAATATGCTAACCCAACACCATGATTCACACTCACAAATATCACTCAGGTAGTAGAGCAAAAAAATTAAATTACTGACCTGGGATACTTCATTTACTCTGCAAATAATAAATAAAGTACCTACAATGCATATGACACACTGTAAGGCAATGATGAAGACTACGGATGCACACCATCACGGAGCTTACCACTTACAGGCCATACATGTAACTTTTATTGTCATGTATTCTAAAACAGTGAACATCCAACCCTAAATTCTCAGTTCTAAATCAGAATCCAGAGAATTCGGGTCTACAAAGTTATAAAGATAAAGAGGTCTTAAAAGGTCTTATTTCCAAGTGATCTTGGGGAAATCAGGAGTGATAACTGGAGAGCAGCAGTTTAAAAACAACCCCTAAGAAATCTTATAGTACTTTATCACAAAACATACAAATGAAATTAAAACTTACCTTGGTATTTTCTTCTGATTTAGCTTTCTGAGTAGCAGGTGGTACTTTACCACCCATGCTTGAAGAAGATGAGAAAAAAGATATTTGTTTAGAAAATTAAAATTCACTGTCACGCAACGTATTTACACCTAAAAAATAACGTTAGACATTTAGATGACTACCTTTTCAAAATTTAAAAGTAAACTCTCAATTAATCTGAATGCTGTGGTATTATTATGGTTAAATTTTTTCCAGCTTAAAATTTATTTTAAGGCTACTGGCTAATGAACCCCTTTCTTTGCCTCAATGAGTCAAATAAACATAATGTATAGCTTCTCTGTGCCTCTTCCCAGAGGAAAAGAGGCAGATATGTCAACATGCAATGACAAAATCATTTGCACAAGCTGTTAACTTAGAATTCAACTCAGTAGGTATATCTGAATCCTAAATTTGAAACTTGAAATAAGAGTTCAATTAAATTCAAATATGCAGTTTATGAAGTAACTATACCGTCATGATATAATTCAAAATGTTTGTGTCCTGTGACTGAGACCTATGAGAATTTTTCTTGCTTATATTTGCATGCCCATCACATTATAGATTTTCTCCTTATACACCCCTCCCAACCTCATCCATTAATACTTCCTCCTGACCCTACAAACTCTTCTTTCCCAAATAGTTCAGGGCAACACAATTCATTATAAGCAAATAACTAGAAGAGAAAAATTACAAAGAATTAGCGTTACATGCTCCATTTGGTGCAGACCCTATAGTATATGGGCTACCTGCAACAATCCAGTGACTAAAATGGTTGATAGACTTAAGAGCACTCCACAACAGTTGGAAGCAACGTAGACATTATTAAAATTTGCCTTAAAAACAAACAACAAAAGCCATTAACTATGTAAAACAAGGGGATATATTAACTTTGAAAACAGAAAGGGTTCTTTTTTTTTTTTTTTGAGATGGAGTCTTGCTCTGTCACCCAGGCTGGAGTGCAGTGGCACAATCTTGGCTCACTGCAACCTCCACCTCCTGGGTTCAAGCGATTCTCCTGCCTCAGCCTCCCAAGTAGCTGGGACTACAGGGTGCATGCCATCACACCCAGCTGATTTTTTGTTTTAGTAGAGACAGGGTTTCACCATGTTAGCCAGAACGGTCTCGATCTCCTGACCTCGTAATCCGCCAGCCTTGGCCTCCCAAAGTGCTGGATTTACAGGCATGAACCACTGCGCCCGGCCTGATTCTTTGTAACTAGAGTTGTCATATCCACACTTACATTCATTTCAGTTGGGTGGAATTTGTGGTCATAAGGGTATGTGCAGGCTGAATTTAAATGGGCATCAGTTTTCTGAAGTTCTTTTATCAATTTACACTTTTATCAGCAATGTATGAGAATTCCAATTGTTTCACGCCTTGGCCAATGCTTAGCTATTGTCCATCTTAAAGATTTTTTAGCCATTCTGATAGGTGCCTACTGGCATCTCATTGCAGTTGAGTCCCTTTTCATATATTTACTGGTCATTTAAAAAGACTTTTTTGTACAGTTCAACTCTCATCCAGCTTTCTAATAGATTGTCCTTCTTTATTTGAAGGTGTTGTCTGTATTCTGCATATGAACCCTTTGTCAGCTTTATGTGTTGCAAATATTTTCTCCCACCCTGTAGGTTGCCTTTTCACTCCCTTAGTATCATCTGAGAATCCCAATATGAAGCAAAAGTATAAATGCAAAGTAGCAGATGGAATGAAAAGAAACAGAATTTGGAATTTCTTATAAGCACCATTCAAACGAAGAAAATGTGCCTACTTTTTCCATTATGTTTAATATGATAGAAGAAAATGTTACACAGTACCCTTAATATGGAATAGCTCCCATGTCAAACATAAAGATTATATGATCCAAAACATCCTAATCTGCAATTCAGCAAAGTAAAATGATTTAATGATAAGGAACAGGCATATAGACACCACAAAATTCTTTTCTATGGAAACACTACTTTGCAAAAGAGCACAGTAATCACCAGTCCTTTGTAGTTAAATTTTAATGAAGACACAGGGTTTCTTACACTGTGTTCTTCCTAAGTTTCAAAATGCAGCGTCAGGAATGTATTTAGAGTGACATCCAGACATAGTATAACTTACAGTACACTAACTTTGGGAAGTGATATTCCTGCCAAGAAATGTATTAAGCTAAATCCAATCCTAAGGGAAGGCCAGACAAACCCAAATTGAAAGTCTATAAAATAACTTGCCAATAACATTCAAACTGTTAAGATCATGAAAGTCAAGGAAAGACTGAGGAACTGTTTCAGAATGGAGACTACGTGACATGGCAACTAAATGCAACACATAAATCTGAGGATTAGATAGCATAAATGCATCAGCATTAGTTTCCTAAGTTTAGTATTTGCATTGTAAAGACTTTGTAGGAAGTACACACTCACTGGTGTTGGGGTATAATGTTGGCAGCTTACTCTCAACTAGTTCAGAAAAAATTCCTTTGTACCATACCTGCAATTTTTCTGAGCTAGAAATTGTTGCAAAAAAAATAAAAACTTTAAAAAAAAAAGAGGATTTACTCATAAGCTAGATTTAGTTTCTCCCATCCCAAATTCTAGTTAACTAATGGAAGAAAACACCAACTCATAGGTACGAAATTTCAATTAATGCTTCCAAGGCTTAGAACAAGCTACTTTCTGGCCAAAAACTGCCACTTAGACTTTGGCACTACAGGCTTTTTTATGTTACACAATCAAGTAGGACCAGTGTAGAGACTTTTCTCACATAGGACCACATAAAACTTCATTCACATTTCTCTTAATTTGATAACCTTCTAATCTGCTTTGTGCTATGGTTATTTGTACACATGTACAAAAAATTGGTTGCTACACTCTAAATTCTATATTGAGGGTAGAAATGCATTCTGTTCATTTCCTTTACAACATTTAGGAAAAGCCATGTGCCACGTACTGTACTAGGGAGTAGAAAACAAAGACACTCTCTTCGATCTTAATTACCATCAAGTAAAGCCATGAAACCACATACAAGATACTAAATTGTTAAACGGGAGAAAATAGAGTGGGAGAATGCTTCTGTCTCTAAAAAGGGAAAAACAAAAATATCTCAAAACACAGTTCTTGAAAAGAACAGTCTCCTGGATCCTCACTGACAACTAGTTCAGAAAGACTTTTAGTATTTCTCTTTGTGCAATTTAAAAGGTTAAACTAATAAATCCTTATATCAAATAAAACTAAGCTATAAACAATGCTAGCAATTATAGCAAATAGGCAGATGTACTGTTCTTCAACAGCTAAGCCTGTGAGAAACACATGTTTTCAACTTGAGTAACCCTAACAGTAGCATCAGGCCTAGGAAGACGTCTGGACCTAGAAGTCTCCACATTCAGCCCCATCTGCCACAATCTCGAACTGCAGACTGATGAAGGCAGAGAGAGAAACTGACACAAACGCAAAGGCCTCAGAGTTTATAAAAATCTTAGTTTAAATACAGAAATAAAGAGAAAAAGCTTCTATATTAAATATCTCAATTTAAGTTCAGAATAAAGTCCCTACATATGCCATGATGCTTCACCCCATACTTCAGCCAACTCAGGATGGCTAAAGAATGTAAGTGGAATCAGAAAGAAAAACTGGAATTACCTATGTTAAAATAAGGTATATGACTATTTCTTGTTTTTGTTTGGGAGATAGTAGTGCCTGACAAATATTTTGCAAACCTTAAAGTGGAATTCTCTACATAGGCACAATCACTCCAGCACAAGTCAGGAGGACACTGTTCTTACACATGCTTTTAATTTGTTCTTCTGTGTCTCCTCTTCCTCACTAGTAAGAATGAAACAAAAACATTGTATCCACTTAATGTAAAGTGGAGCCAGCTCTTGGAGCCGGCTATTTTCTTCCTGTGATACTTGTCTACGTTACCTGGAATTTTAGAAAGAATTTATTAACTGCAGGTTCTTTCCTATAATTAGGATAAAAGCATACAAATATCTTAAGGCTTTTGGATCATCAAGCTGTTCAATAGAGAAAACGACTAAAACCTAGCCCTCAATTCCTAATCCTGACATTTCCCGGTTGAGGAGTTTGCAAAATAGACTTCTTACCAATATTCATAAAGTTACTATTAACATAGTAATATTAAATGGTCTCAGAATTTCACATATAAGTAAGTCTTCCAGTAGTTAGACAATTGGTGGGGAGCTAAAAATTGAAAAACTTCTTAGAGGAAAAAAATACAACATACAACGCTGACAGATTGTAACGAGTTTTTTCCTTAGAACCAGATTGTTGTTAAGAAATATTCTTTGAGCTATTTGGTAATCATGAGCTCATCTTCCCACACAAAAATATCACGCTGGGTGAAGTGGCTCACGCCTGTAATACCACCACTTTGGGAGGCGGGGGAGTCCCTTGAGGCCAGGAGTTCAAGACAAGCCTGGGCAACTTAATGGGACCCCCATCTCTACAAAAAAATTAAATTAGCCAAGTATGGTGGCTCGATCCCGCACTGCTAGCCACCTGGGAGACTGATGCAGGAGGATCGCTTGTGCCCAGGAATTGGAGGCTGCAGTGATCCCGCCACTGTATGCGGCCTGGACAATACAGCCAAACCCTGTCTCTAAAAGACAAAAGTCACTAAACACATAACGTTCACAGCAGCACCTCTTAGGAGTCGCAATGGTCTGCATAGTTGCTATTTATCCCTGTTTAGTGCAATTTGTATGTCATCTTTTCAGTTCCCCATTAGTAATAATTTTTTAAAAAGTCATCTTAGGGAAGACTTCCCTGTCACTTTTTCTCTTCGGTGCTCCTTCAACACATAAAATGCTAATTACTATTATATAGTAAATATCAAAACGAACTTTTCTATTTATTCGTCTAAATAGACAGTACTTATACTGTTTCCTAGCACCAGGCACAATGCCTTGTCAATTAACTCCTTGCACGTAGCGAAGTACTCTACAGTTAAAGACAACAAGATTATATCCTGGAAACATGCCAGGCCTTAAGAAATTATTTTTCTCAGACGTGTTTGGAGTGATAACACTGCCAAGTAACGGAGGTATAATAAGTGATTCTCAAGATAATTAATCCTACGCAGCTACAAACGCTGTAAGGTAAAAACAATCATTTTTACAGTTATCATTTTTATTCTTACTAGTTTTGTAACTTTTAACTTACTAGTGTTATATTATTATAACACGACGTAAAGGAATAGTGCGTAAAGGAACTGCTATGTACCAATGAGACCTGAGCAGGGCACACAAGACTGAAAGAAAAACAACCCCACGCAAAATCTAAGTCTTGCAGTTTTCACTCCTCGCGTCTCCAGTGTCCACGCATCCGCAGTCCTGTTTTTGTATTTCGCCCAAGATACACCCCTGGGCAACCTCAGGGTGCGAGGAACCCAGCTCTGCCTCCTGCTCCCCGCGGCTCCTGTACTACCCAAGGCTCGCGATCTTCCATGACCCCTCGAAGTTGCCTCCCTTTCCCGGGCAAAGAAGGGGCAGCGACCCCGCCTCGCCCGCCGGACCGAGCCAGGTCCAGCCTGGCTCCCCCCTGGGGCCGTGCTTCCCCCGCCCCCAACGGTCCTCAGGCCTGGGTCTCACCTCTCCACCCACTCCCTCAGGAAGCGCATTTCCTCGGTGTGCAGAACGCTCGGATCCTGCTTACACATTTTCACAAAGGCCCGAAGCTCGTTCACTTTGCGGGGGTCCATGGTAGGGAGGTGGTGGGCGAAACTGGGGGGGCTACGGCCCGGTTCCAGGCCCAGGCGCTGGCTCGGCGTGACCGCGCAGAAGGGGGCGGCTGCCGCAAGACAGAACAGACTAGAACCTCCCCGGCCGCTGGCTCCTCCCACCCAACGGTCTCGTGACCTCGGGTCCTCCGCCTGCTCATTCCTACTCCCTCTGCGCTGCTCCTGCGCGCTCCCTAGAATCTTCTAGAAGCGTGGCTGTTCGTGCTGTTGCCTGCCTCCCTGCGCATACATTCTCATATTCTTAACTAGGAACCAGCTCCCTGGATGGGGCAACCCCAGAAATGGGCGACTTCAAGGAGGCGGGAGATAACATCCCCTCCAGGGGGCGACGTCCAAGAGCATATTGTGTGGCTGCGTGCACTGAGTAGAGCTCAACGCCCGGGACCTAAAAAAAAAAAAAAAAAAGGGCGTGGAGCCGGAGGGTCGGTCCCAGCTCGGGGCATGACGTCACAACCTGCGCCGCCGCGCAAGGAAGGCCCGCGAGCCGCCTCCGCCGGAAGGGGAGGTGCGGCTGGCCCGGTTTCCTGGCGACGCGGCCCTGCAGGCGGTTGCGTTCCCCGTCGTTACCCTCTTTCTCTTCCCGACGCGTGAGTTAGGCCGTAATGCCTTGGCTGCTCTCAGCCCCCAAGCTGGTTCCCGCTGTAGCAAACGTCCGCGGCCTCTCAGGTTAGACTCTTCTCCCACGGTCTCCTCCCATGGTGTCCCCTGGAGGGACCCAAGTTGGTCTCAGGCGATCCCTGGTTCGGCTGACCCTTCTCCTGGTGGGGCCTCCGCTCCCCAACCCTCTGTGCTCCGCGGATTTCTTCTATACCGGCTGCTCCTGGAAAGGGGTGGGCCCAGTGTGTTCTCTACCGTTGAGGTATTTTGTGAAGCCGAAATGACTGCAGAGAGAAAAGTGTGCCATCCCCCAGAGGGGCTGTCTTCCAAGTTACTCGGACTCCGAAGTTGTGGCAATTATCACACTTAAGTGACAAAGTGTCTCACATCAAGTAGCTCTTGTTTCTGTTAGGCGTGAGAGCTTGCTCCAGAATATACACGAAGCATGTTTAGTAACAAATTCTTTCAGCAGCTCCTCTTAGGAGAGGTAACTGTTTCGAAATACTTCTGGGGCGTTCTGTGTCTGAAAGTCCTGTTTGCAAAGACAAGACGAAGGATAAGGAGAATAATTTTTTGTAGGGTGTCCTCTATTGCGAGCAATTAATCTGATGAACATAAAGCTTAATCAGTGAAAACTGAATCACCTTCCTTGCAGGCGGATCTGCCATTGGATCGTATTTCAGTTTTTTGGGTCAATATATGAACAATGTGTGAACCAGAACGTATGGTATTTGACATCAAAGCTATGTCTTGGCATATGTTTATGTTGATATACTTGAATTCATTTAAAATGGAATGTTAATTACATCGACTTCTTACTATAAAAAATAAAAAGTTATTGTCCAGTGCACAGAACTTGTTCTTCAGTTCTCATAGTAAAGCTGCAGAAAGACAACTCTCCGTGGGATTAGGTGAAAAGAAAGATGTGCAATTTTTCAGTCTTTTTTTGAGACAGGCTCTCATTCTGTTGCTCAGACTGGAGTGCAGTGGCAATCTCTGCTCATTTGCAACCTCTGCCTCCTGAGTTCAAGCAATTCTCGTGCCTCAGCCTCCCGAGGTAGCTGGGATTATAGGCGTGTGCCACCACGCCTGGCTAATTTTTGTAATTGTAGTAGAAACCAGGTTTTGCCACGTTGGCCAAGCTGATCTCGAACTCCTGGCCTCAAGCGATCCACCCTCCTCTCTGAGCCACCGCCCCAGGCCTGGAATTTGCTTTTATTTGAAAGGCTCTCCCCAGCCTGACTAAAGGAGCCATACTACCAGAAGGAACACTTGCAAAGGCACAGAACTCTAAAACGGAGTGGCCAGCACTAAGCGTTGCAATCGTTTAGTATGGCTGGAGAAGCTTTTTTTTTTTTTTTTTTTTTTTTGAGACAGAGTCTTGCTCTTGTCGCCCAGGCTGGAGTGCAGTGGCGCGATCTCTTGCCTTACTGCAACCTCCACCTCCCGAGTTCAAGCGATTCTCCTGTCTCAGCCTCCCGAGTAGCTGGGATTACAGGCGCCCGCCACCACGCCTGGCTAATTTATGTGTTTTTAGTAGAGATGGGGTTTCACCATCTTGGCCAGGCTGGTTTTGAACCCCTGACCTCGTGATCCACCCGCCTCGGCCTCCCAAAGTGCTGGGATTACAGGCGTGAGCCACCGCGCCCGGCTTAGGAAAAGATTTTTTGAAAGATGTTCTCAAACAAAATAGTAGGCATTACACGAAAATGATTCTGTGATCAAATACTTTTGGGGAATGCTGCCTTTCATAATGTACATAATAGTTTAATTCTTTTTTTGGAGATGGGGTCTTGCCATGTTGCCCAAAGTAAACTTGAACTCTCACCTCAGCTTCTCAAAGTGTTGCGATTATAAGTGTGAGCCACTGCACCCAGCCCTTAATAGTCTAGGTTTCTGAGAGATGTGTTCCGCAGTAATTTGCAAAATGTGTAAAAATGTATTTGACCATGGACCCCTTTTCTGTGATGAATCTTGAACTGGTATCCCTGGAACAGATTTTGGGAGAAGTTGGGCTAGAGCATAAGATGAGTACAAGGAGCTGATAGGAAATCAAGTTGGGAAAAAAGCTGGTGGCTGGCTCGTGGAGGGCCTTGTATATTATGTTAAGCAAACAATTAGCTTTTTCCTTTAGATGGTGGGAAAACTTTGAGGAATTTTAAGCTATTGAGTAAGATGATTAAATCTAAATTTTTGGTTTTCTGTTAAGAGTGAAGAAATGGACTACAGGGCATGTCATTACATTCTTAAATTTTCTGAGACACTGATTTTTGCTTTAGTTTTTGGAAAATTGCAATTTTTTTTTCAACTTTACTACCACATGCATGATAACAGATAAACTCTACTAAATATCACATCTTATATTAGAAGCATTTAAAATACCCTGGGCTTTTATTATTTTATTTTCTGAAAATAAACTTTGAATACTAATTGTCCGCAGTCTCTTCTATAGAATAAATAACCTTTCCTTCTCCCATCTGCCCACTAAAAATCAAATACCGATACAAAACACAAGCTCTTGACTATAGCTGTCTTTTAAAAATAGCAGATATTATAATTTTTTTCTAATTTCGCATTTGTATTTGGCCAAAGTTGAATAAGTTTTAGTGCTGCTAGATGTAACTCAAACCATTTGCTCGATATCTGATGTATTTGTAACCCATCTATTTTTCTCCCAACATGACTAAATTAAAATGGCTATAGGTGCTATTTTAGAGTAATGTATTTGTAGATTTTGTGTACAAACTCTAAACAAAAATAGAAAATTTCCTGTCTGGAGTGATTCACTGATGGCCTACCATACAGACTGCTCTGAGGAATTCAGGATAAGACTGGCCTTTAAAAAAAATGTGGTAAAATATACTACATAAAATTTACCATGTTACCCGTTTTTTAATTTTTTAAATTTTCTATAGTTTTTCTTTAGAGACAGGGTCACACTCTCAGCTGGAGTGCAATGGCAAGATCATAGCTCCCTACAACCTCAAACTCCTGGGCTCAAGCAATCCTCCCACCTCAGCCTCCTAAGTAGCTAGGCCTACAGGCACGTACCACCACACCCAGCTAAATTTTTAAAAAAGTTTTTTCATAGAGGACAGGTCTCATTATGTTACCCGGACTGTCGTGAAATTCTGACTTCAACCCTCCTGCCTGGGCCTCCCAAGATGCTAGGATTACAGGTGTGAGCCACTGCACCCAGCTAAGTCTATTTCTAACTTAAAATACTTTATACTTTAATTTTTAATTTGTAGTACCTTTAAGTTATAATGCATCAAATGCTGTTCCTCCATTGGAAAACAGCCATTTCATGAATAATTGTGTAGTCTGAACCTGTGTGTCTTGATACATTCTTGTCTTCTAATGCTATGCATGTTTCGTAAGTTTGTATAGTGGTTTTAATTAGAAAAAAGAAAAATAGGCTATAAACTCTACTAAAGAAAAATTCAAAAGTAAAAAACTCATTGCAGTTTTCCAAATTCCTTTTTTTTTTTTTTAAGACAGGGTCTTACTTTGTCACCCAAGCTGGAGTGCAGTGGCGTGATCCCATTACACTGCAACCTATGTCTTCCAGGCTCAAGCAGTCTTTCTACCAGCTTCCCGAGTAGCTGGGACTACAGGTGCACACCACCACACTTGGCTAATTTTTAAATTTTTTGTAGAGAAAAGATCTCACTATACTGCCCAGGCAAATTCTTATTAGCACCAACTGTCACCACAAACTCATCCTTTTCTGACATACCCATTCAAAAAAACTACTAACCAAATGTCCACAATCCTGCTAAAAGTGTTGAAAAGCTCTTAGTATAGTATTAAGTGTTATCTACAAAATTTGTGATTAACCAAAACACACACAATTGTGTTCAAATGTTATATATTTGAAGAGTCAATTTAACAATTCCTTTTGGTAGACTTCTTTTGCACCTCTTTACGCTTCTTTTTTTTCCTCTTACCACCCTCTTTGACTCCTGCTGAGAAAATAGGGGGATCTCTGTTGCTGGTAACCCAAGATATACCTCCCTCATCATTGTCCACGAAAGTATATTGAGATACATGTTTGGAGCTGTGAGAATTTGGTGAATAGTTGTTGAATGACTGTGTTCTCCAGCTGCATTCTTTTGCAAAGCCCTCTTCATTGGCCACACTATTTACAAGAAAAAATGTCAACTCTCCATTATCTTCAGCTTCTCTTTCTTGATCACTTTCAATAATTTTCTTTGTATTAATATTTCTGCCATTAACGATTTTGTCTGAAGTTGTAACAGATATGTAGTTGTCCATCCCACTATTATCAAAAGCCAGGGAAGAGAAAGAAGTAAGGCCTTCATGCCCCAATGAACCCTGTGATGTATATCCTGTATCATATGAAGAAAATTTCTCAAAAATTGGATATTCACTGGCAGTGGAGAAAAAGTATCCTGCATCTCTGTTTCTGTTTCCATAGGAGCTTCCTGGACGATTTAACAGGTCCTCAAGCGAGTCTTCAAAGAAGTGAAAAGAAAATGGATCCCTTTCATGAAAAATTTCTTTAAAAACATCATCTGGCTTATGGAATGTGAAGCCGTACTCACATTCATCATCAAAATGACTTCCACCTCCGTTTAATCCTTCTGTGCCATATTTATCATAAATGTCCCGTTTCTCATCATTTGATAATACCTCGTATGCCTCAGCTACTTCTTTGAATTTTCTCTCTGCTTCTTCTTTATTTTCTGGATTTTTATCAGGGTGCCATTTAAGTGCCACTTTATGATAAGCTTTTTTAATGTCCTCAGGTGAAGCATATCTTTGCAGTCCTAGAACTTCATAGTAATCCACCATGTTTTAACAGATAGTTGGAAGTGGGTGTGCTGGGTATTGAGAACCGTGGTTTCCTCAGCTCAGGCTCTGCTGGTGGTGGTGATAGAGGTAGTGACTGCAAATAGGTACACTTTTATGTTAAAGACAATGTTATTACCATGTGCTAAGAGATGAGGATACTGATTATGTGGCAAGCAGAGTTACAAATATGTCAGAGAGGGCTGCATTATGGTGTCATTCTGGGGTCAGTGTAGGGACTGGACCTTCCAAATAGAGCTAGTCCAGAGTCGTACCAGACCATCCTGAATCCTCTGGACTGTTTCCCCTGTATGTTTCCCTGGAAGCTTCAGGCAGTGCCTCATAAGCCAATGGAATCTGTTGCTAATAGCCACAGCATATCCCTTGCATAATATGACCTCTAGATTACTGCGCCTTAATTGCTTCCCAGCTCTTCTATGCTTTGGTTTAGAAAAATGAAGTACTGACTTACGGGTGAAGAAAGTATTCAAACAGTTGACATATTTATTTCAGTCAAGAAACAGTTCAGAGGGAGATACAAACAAGTAACTTAGTTACAATATAATAGTTATGATGAGAGGAAGTACTGGATGCTAAACAATTATATGAGAGACAGCTCAGGCTGGGGGTGTCAATGAAAGCCTCTTGGAGGAAGTAGCCTGATATGTTAACTTTCTGCATGCCAGTGGTAAGTCATTTGAGATTATAGTATCTTTGTCCACCCAAGGTTTACTGCTGTAAAACATGTAATTAAAGATTTGGAAAGTTGTGTGTTTATGTATTCACTGTATAATTATTGATTGTCTACTTTGTGCCAGGCACCGTTTTAGCCACTGGTGATAGCAGTATTGAACAAAAGACACCAGTTTTCCTGGTGCTTGCATTATAATAGAATACAAATAGGAGAACAAATAAAATAATTTAAGATAATGCGATATGTGCTCCAAAAAAAATAGCAATGTGCTGGGGGCAGAGCGCTACTTTAGATTGGTTTTAGAAGGCTTCTGAGGAGATGACATTATTGCTGAGACCTATATGACAGTCAGCCACATAGTGATCTAATATGGTAGCCACTGGCCATGTTGATGGACATTTTGGTTGTTGCCAGTTGGGGCTGTTGGACATAAAGCTAGCACTTATTTCAAGTACAGTGGGAAGCCTTTGTGGGGAGTGGGGAATATGCAAGTTTAATGATGTGATTTACATTTGTAATGGATCAGTGGCTACTATTTGGAAATTCAGTCATGTATGGGAAAGTAGAATTCGAGAGCCAAATTAGAAACAGACCAAAGGTGATTTTCTTTGGGGATAAACTACCAGTAGTCTAGACCCGAATTTAAAGGTCTTATATTCTATACCTGGCTCATTTTATTGTCTGAGAAAATTCCCTGTAATCTTTGTTTTTCCTCCTCTATGTTGTGTTTATTTTATTTTCCATCACATTTATAACCCCTCAGTTAAATGATACGCTAATGAAATCTAAAACTGTAGTGTATGCTTCTAGTCTTTCAAGACCATTTGTCAGGTCTGAATATTTTTTTGCTTTGCATTTTTATATATACTCATTTTTTAGAGGTATTGTGAAATGCTTAAAACTCAATTTAAATTCTCTCCAGTGTATGTGCTTACATGTACTTATGTGTGGCTTACCCATGATTATAATTTGCCTACCACTGGAAATAATAACCAATAATGTCGAAAATTATTTGAGTACCCTCTGAGTCACACTGTAGCAAGTGCTCATTTAACTGACACAGCACTCTAGCAAAATAAATATTTTATGCCCATAAGAAAACAGACGTTCTGAGAGAGAAAGTAATTTGTCTAAGGCTACATAGCTTGTTAGTGAAAAATCTGATTTTTAAACTTGAGTCTAATTTCAAGTTCTCATTCCACTCTACTGCATTTCTCGGACTAGGACTTAAAGAGTTTAGGTTCTAGGCATTCCACAAACAGATACTGAGAACCTGCTGTTACCGGAAAGGGGTCCCAATCCAGACCCCAAGAGATGGTTCTTGGATCTCGTGCAAGAAAGAATTTCAGTGGAATCCACAGAGTAAAGTAAAAGCAAGTTTATTAAGAAAGTAAAGGAATAAAGAATGGCTACTCCATAGGCAGAGCAGCCCCAAGGGCTGCTGGTTGCCCATTTTTATGGTTATTTCTTGATTATATCCTAAACAGGAAGTGGATTATTCATGCTTCCCCATTTCAGACCATATAGGGTAACTTCCTGACGTTGCCATGGCATCTGTAAACTCTTGGGGTGCTGGTGGGAGTGTAGCAGTGAGGACAATCAGAGGTTACTGTCATTGCCATCTTAGTTTTAGTGGGGTTTGGCCAGCTCCTTTTTTTAAGAACATCACAGGTAAAGCTCACAGGAAGGTGACAGTCTAGGAGAAGATGTTCGCAGTGTCTAAATTTGACAGGGACTTATTTTATTTTCATTATTATTGTTACTATTATTATTATTTGAGGTGGAGTTTCGCTCTTATTGCCCAGGCTGGAGTGCAATGGTGGGGTCTTGGCTCACTGCAACATCTACCTCCCGGGTTCAAGCCATTCTCCTGCCTCAGCCCGCTGAGTAGCTGGGATTACAGGCATGCACCACCACGCCCGGCTAATTTTGTATTTTTAGTAGAGAGGGGGTTTCTCCATGTTGGTCAGGCTGATCTCGAACTCCCAACCTCAGGTGATCTGCCCGCCTCAGCCTCCCAAAGCGCTGGGATTACAGGCATGAGCCACCGCACCCAGCTGGTCAGCTTCTTTACTATAACCTACCTGTTTTATTAGCAGGGTTTTTGTGTCCTGCATTTTGTGCTGACTTCCTATTTCATTCTGTGATTAAGACTGCCTTAACTTACTGGGAATGTAGCCCAGTAGGTCTTAGCCTTATTTTACCAAACCCCTACTGAAGATGGAGTTGCTCTGGTTCAAACGCCTCTGACACTATGATACAGAGAAAAGGTAGAAAATAGGAAATTCTGCTCTTAAGAAATTCATATAGTTTGAAAAAACTAATTTCAGTGGAGTGTAAAGTTATAATACGAGCACTTGTTTCTGCAGTTATACCCTTCTTTGTTGATCCTTTGCCTCCCAGCCATCCGCTGTGCCATTTTCTCTGCCTCTTCACAACAAAACTTATCCAGAGTATTGTCTCAGTGTCTTTGCTTTCTTACATCCTATTCCCTCCTTGGCATACTCCAATCTGTCTTCTGTCTTCTTTACTCTGCTAAAATCGCCAGGGTCTCCAGTGATTGATGTTACCATATCCAGTGGTTGTCCTTTTGGCTTCCTTGTATTTTGAAGCACTTGCCACACTGTGAGCCCTCCTCACTTTTTTTTTTTTTTTTTTTTGAGATGGAGTTTCACTCTCGTTGCCCAGGCTAGAGTACAGTGGTGTGATCTCGGCTCACTGCAACCTCTACTTCCCAGGTTCAAGCCATTCTCCTGCTTCAGCCTCCCGAGTAGCTGGGATTACAGGCATGTGCCACCATGCCTGGCTAATTTTGTATTTTTAGTAGAGACAGGGTTTCTCCATGTTGGTCAGGCTGGTCTCGAACTCCCGACCTCAGGTGATCCACTTGCCTCGGCCTCCCAAAGTGCTGGGATTACAGGTGTGAGCCACTGCGCCTGGCATAGTCCTCCCCACTTCTTAAAACACTTGTTTTTTAACTTCCTAAATACCACACTCTTTTTTTGTGGGGGGCGGGGGGGCAGCGGGTAGAGACAGGGTTTAGCCATGTTGGCCAGGCTGGTCCCGAACTCCTGGCCTCAAGTGATCTGTCTGCCTGCCTCGGCCTCCCAAAGTGCTGGGATTACAAGCATGAGCCACCATGCCCAGCACTAAATACTGTACTCTTCTAGTTTTCCTTCTTTCTCCTGTGCTCTTTCTCACACTAAAATATTACAGTGCCAGGCTTTGTTCAGTCTCCCTGGGTAATACCCATTCCCAGGGCTTTAGATGCCATCTGTGTGCTTATAACACCCTAATTTATATATCTAGCCTAGCACTTTTCTCCCTGAAATTAAGATTGCTCTTTGACCTCTCCATTAAATTTATTTCCAATAAATATCTCAGGCTTTCCTGTTGCATGTAGTGGTACAACCATTTATTCACTTGTTCAAGTCAAAAATCAAGAATTATTCTTAATTCCTCTTTTTTCTTTATTTCTTATGTCCAATTAGAAGCCAGACTCATTGACTTTTAACTTCAAAATACATTTCAAATCAAGTCACTGGGAAAATAAAGTCAAATAACAAGTGATCTCTGCTTCCAAAGATTGTTCATAGTAGACTGGCAAACTAATTAGCAATTATGTGAAGTGTAGTAGGTATTAAAATAGAAATCATAGGAGCGTTGGGGAAGACATCTGAAACAAGCAGAACAGAGGCAGTAGGTGTGAGAAGAGTAAGAGAAGTCTCTTGCGTAAGTGATGTTTGAGCTGGTATTTTTTAGAATTTCTGTAATCGTATAAGCAGGCAGTGTCCACTTTAGACTAAGAGAACTATATTTTTTAATGCAAATGCTATTATGATGCAGAATGATTTAGCCGGGGTTCTTCAAGTAGCTTAGTGTGGCTGCAATAATGTTTTTTGAGGATTAGGTCAGATAAGGGAGCAGGATCCAAATCATGAAGTTTCCTAAGCAAAAGAGTTTGAAGCTTATGAACTGGATATTTTTGAAATAGGACTTAACACACCAGCTTTGCTACTAATTATATGACTTCGGGCAAAAGATGTTTAATGTAAGTAAAAAGCTATTGAGACCTTTTTTAAAAATTTACTGGGAATAAACATCTTAATTTATGTCTCCTGTTAAAGTGTTACTTGTTTGCTTTGAATTTAATAAAGTTAAGCTCCCTCTGCTTGAGAGTGGTCCAAAATATGCTAGGATTATTTCATATGAGCATTGAAAAAGGAATCAGTTAACTTTTTATATTCTGAAATTTTACTGCCTAATGAGATTACAGAAGACACTATGTGTGCATGAGTACGTGTGCACGAGCGTGCATGTGGAGAAGGTGCAGGAGGAGAGAAAGAGAAATCACCAATGCAACAGCAGCCTACTCCACCAGTGGGTTAGTGCTGCTGGAGGGAGATGAAAAGATTAGGAAGGTAAGATAGCTTTGAAGGCTTTGTATTCTAAATTAAGGAGTTAGATTTTTAACTGTCACGTGAGGTAGGCATTATCATCATTATTTTACAAACACAGAATCAGACTCAGAGAAGTAATCTGGACAAGGTTACACACTTAGTACCAGAGAAGCTGAGATTCAAACTCAGGTTTATTTGACTTCATAATCTTTGCTCTTATCCCTCCCCCTTGCCGCTCACTAGGTCCTCTCTGTTTAATCTCAACAATCAATACTGTACAATCTCCTTGTGAACATACAATTTCTGTAAGGACTATGAATTATGAATAATAATATATGTATTTGGGAGAGAAGAGTCTTAAAAGTTAATTCCAGTTTGTAGAAGATTGTTTAGAAAAATCATAGCTTCTTCTAAAAAGATTTAAAAAAAAGAAAAATCATAGCTTCTAAGATGATTACAAAGAAATTGGTGTGGGTTTCCAACCTGGGCAACATAGTGAGACCTCATCTCTACCAAAAATAAAAAAAATTAACCAGTCTTGGTGGCACATACCTGTAGTCCCAGCTACTTGGGAGGCTGAGCCACTGACTCCAGCCTGGGCAACAGAGTGAGACTCTGTCTTAAAAATAAATAAATGAATAAATATTGAAGGAGAGAAGGAAGGAAATATTAGTTTGCATTTTTCTAAAGCATCCAAACTGTTGGAGATGGATAAGTGCATTTATACCATGAAGACTTTCTAGATCTATTGTTTCATTTCATTTATTGCCTAAGCCCAGAGGAACAAAGCTGCAGTGAGCTATGATCATGCCACTACACTCCAGCCTGGGCGACAGAGTGAGACCTGTCTCAAAAAAAAAAAAAAAAAACCCAACAAACAAAACTCCTTATGTGTGAATCCACTGTTGCATTCACCATTTAATATTGTAATGCTCTATTTTGTCTCACCTCCACTAGACTGTGCATTCTTTAAAGACCACAGCATATAGCCTTGTCATTCATGTGTCTTTCTTTGAGCATGTTCCAATCATGTGCAAAGAATTTTTTAATTAATGCTAATAACTAACATTTGTTGTACTCTATGATTAAGCATTTTTCATAAATTATTTTATCTAGCTCTGACATTCCAAGATTAAATGAGATAGCATGTGCATATTTTCTCATGCTTAACATATTCTCAATAAAAAATGTTGATTATCTTTTCCTGAGTTTTAGGACACAGCTTTATGCTATCTCTGTGATACCCTTTCAAACTGCCTCTGTGATATCCTTCCCCTGCCTTTTTTGGTTCCTTTCTTCTGTTTTCATAGCTCCTTATTCATACCTTTATTATATATGTGTGCGTGTGTGTGTGTGTGTGTGTGTGTGTATGTGTATAAAATATTATAGCAGACAAATGTCTCTGAGGGTAAAGATCTCATTTCTGTTTTCCTAAGGCCCAACACAGAGTCTGACACAGAGCAAAGGCCATATAAATATTGAAGGAGGGCCAGGTGCAGTGGCTCATGCCTGTAATCCCAACACTTTGGGAGGCCGAGGTGGGCGGATCACTTGAGGTCAAGAGTTCGAGACCAGCCTGGCCAACAGGATTAAACCCCGTCTCTACAAAAATTAGCCAGACATGGTGGCACGCACCTGTAATCCCAGCTATGTAGGAGGCTTGAGGCAGGAGAATCACTTGAACCCAGGAGGTGGAGGTTGCAGTGAGCCGAGATCATGCCACTGACTCCAGCCTGGGTGACAGAGTGAGACTCTGTCTTAAAAAAAAAATAAATGAATATTGAAGGAGAGAAGGAAGGAAATATTAGTTTGCATTTTTCTAAAGCATCTAAACTGCTAGAGATAAGTGTATTTATACCATGAAGACTTTCTAGATCTATTGTTTCATTTCATTCTCTTTATTCTTCATTCAGGATGTATGTTGTGTTCACAGCGAAGGTACTCCCTTCAGCCTGTCCCAGAAAGGAGGATTCCAAACCGATACTTAGGCCAGCCCAGCCCCTTTACACACCCACACCTCCTCAGACCAGGTAAGGCCTTTTAACTGTGCTATCTCCCCATTTAGGTTCTGTCTAGAGCAATGCTATGCAATAGAACTTCTTGCAGTAAGCTCTGGATCTGTGCTGTTCCATAAGGTAGCCACTAACCTCACATGGCCATTTTACACTAATAAGGTTGCTAGTACAGCTGAGGAGCTGAACTTTTTATTTTATTTAATTTTAATTAATTTAAATTTAAGCTTAACTACATGTGGGTACTGGTGCTTTATTGACAATACTAGTCTAGAACAAGGTTTAAATATGATAGACCTTATAATTCAGAATAATTAATGAAAGGTATGTATTTCAGGATGTTTTTAAAGCAAAGTTCTATTTCTAAGTCAGCTTTTAGAATTGTATACTATTGTGAATTACTGTGTTAAAGACATTTTAGAAAACATGTTTTTTCTTGAAATTATCAAATATTTACTTTAAAATTATAACCTATTTCTATATAGATTAAGCAAGATTTCCAGATTTGTTTGTCACAGATTTGAGAGGTAGTATCCCAGTTGATAAAGGTGATGCAAAAAAATGATAAAGGTTTGTTTTACTAATTTTTTTTTCTGCTATAAGATCCCAGCGTTGCTGCCAGAAGATGTCTTATAACTATTGCTCAAATTTAGACCTAAAGGTTTTTTGTTTTGATTTCTTGCACTTAAGGGGTGAACTATGACTAATGAATATCTCAGAGAGGAAGGTAGGGTAAAAGCAAACACATTGTAGAAAAAGCAATCAGGTTTTCAAGGAAAATTAATTGTTCTTTCTGCCATAAGAAATTAAATATGTATTTGCCATATAAGCATATATATTACTAATGGAAATTTACCTTTAGAAATATGTTCCTTTTTCACTATCCCCACTCAGTGAATGATACCAGTATGTTTCTCAGTGAGGGCTTCCTTTTGCTGATTTTTCATCAGACTCGAATTCCTGCTGGGAAGTCGGCTGAAACTAAGGAAATGCAGCTCACCACTGAAACCCACAAGAAATCAGAGTTTTTCAAAGCTGTAAGGTAAGCTTAATAGCAACCCAGTTGGTATTAATTTTAGTATTTATCTACCCTATCAACCTACCTGTAGACTCGAGTTATTTTTTTAAGTAGAATTGATAGTTTTACCAGCTTTGAAAATTACTGATTTCTTGTGGTGAGATATTTTTACATGGTAAGCTGCATTTTCCAGGCCTTAAACCTAGTAATTATATTGTCAAGATAATGGCCTCTGTATCTAGATTTTTTTGCTCTATACCTTAAGTGCATGTTAAGTATAAGTGAATGTAAATAAATATGTACACGTATATGTTCACATACATATGTATGTGAATATCTGGGGGAAAAGGGATGCCTGTCCTAATTTTACTCTCCTAGACGTGGGATTTTGGACATTGGGGTAAGTGAGAAGGGATGGAAGTAGATGGAATTTTAAAACAGAATTATTAGTATTTTAAACCTCAAACTATCAGATGTACCATTAGGTACAGATTTTTCTGCAGACAAAAGTATCAAAAGAATTAATCATTTGTGTTTCTCCTTCCAGAGATGCAAAACTTGTGGAAGTGTTAAAGTGATTGTAGGGTGAAGCAGAGTAAATTTTTAAGAAAAATTAAAAGGGGCCGGGCGCAGTGGCTCATACATGTAATCCCAGAACTTTGGGAGGCCAAGGTGGGTGGATCACCTGAGGCCAGGAGTTTGAGACCAGCCTAACCAATATGGTGAAATCCTGTCTCTACTAAAAATACCCCCCAAAAAAAAAATTAGCCGGGTGTGGTGGCATATGCCTATAATCTCAGCTACTGGGGAGGCTGAGGCAGGAGAATCACCTGAATCTGGGAGGCGGAGGTTGCAGTGAGCCAGAATTGTGCCACTGCACTCCAGCTTGGGGGACAGAGGGAGACTCTGTCTCAAAAAAAAAGGAAAAAAAATTTAAAGGCATGTAATACTTAAAAAGTCTCTTAGGCCAGGTACAGTGGCTCACGCCTATAATCCCAACACTTTGGAAAGACAAGATGAGAGGATCACTTGAGGTTAGGAGTTCGAGACGAGCATAGGCAACATAGCAAGACCCTGTCTCTATAAGAAATAAAAAAAATTAGTGCTCCTGCCTATAGTCTCAGCTACTCGGGGGACTCAGGTGGGAGGATTGCATGAGCCCAGGAGGTCAAGGATGCAGTGAGCTGTGATCATGCCTCTGCACTCCATCTTGGGTGACAGAATGAGACCGTGTCTCTCTCTCTCAAAAAAAGTCTCTTACGCAGTTGGCTTGTTAGTTTAGGATATAAAATTATGTAATGTGCACTTGGTTTCTCCAAAAGGTTTCATGTTTTGCATATTTCTCTAATACATGGCAGTATGTACTTAATACTTTTGGGAAACATCTCAATGCCTTTCCTAATTATTACGCAAGTTCTATACATACAGAAAAAGAGAATACAGGTAAGCATAGATTTTTTTTTTAATTACTAATAATCCCACAACTCAGAGAAAGCCACTGTTGAGAGGATTTTGGTATATGTTTCTTTTTAGTCCTATTTCTTACATAGGTGTATGTGTGTATAAGTGTACATGTGTACACATTCTTTGCATATTGCTCTATTATTTCCTTAAATTCTTAGAAGTGAAATTACTGGGGCCAGGCGCGGTGGCTCACACCTGTAATCCCAGCACTTTGGGAGGCTGAGGTGGATGGATCACGAGGTCAGGAGTTCGAGACCAGCCTGGCCAACATAGTGAAATCCCGTCTCTACTAAAAATAGAAAAATTAGCTGGGCATGGTGGCGCATGCCTGTAGTCCCAGCTATTCAGGAGGCTGAGGCAGGAGAATCACTTGAACCTGGGAGGCAGAGGTTGCAGTGAGCTGAGATCACGCCATTGCACTCCAGCTTGGGCAACAGAGTGAGACTTTGTCTCAAAAACAAAAACAAAAGTGAAATTACTGGGCCAGTTCCTCTGAATTCTTGGGAGCTATTTTTCCTAGATTTTTCTTTGCCATACCTACCTATCCAAGTTTCCTGAAGCATCAATAGCTTGGAAAATATTTAGCAGGATGATACAGGAAATAAAGAAATTCTGTTCTGGCTGTGCTAGGTTCTGTGATTTTACGGCTAGGTTCTAGTGATTTTCAAAACTTGTCATTTCCTTAGAGAAATCTGAGCACTGTAGACCATTTCTGCTTTTTATGACAGTGCCATCTCTGTGCTAAGGTCTGTATCGGTAGAGATGGAAAATGTTGGTCAGTCTCTTTGATTACTACCTTGTCTCACACTTGACACTCAGACATGAAAATGATTCCATGTAGGAAGGCAAGTGGCATTCTGAACTGTGAGTCTACTTTTTTTTTTTTTTGAGACGGAATTTCGCTCTTGTCGCCCAGGCTGGAGTGCAATGACACAATCTCTGCTCACTGCAACCTCTGCCTCCCGGGTTAAAGCAGTTCTGCTGCCTCAGCCTCCCAAGTAGCTGGGATTACAGGCGCCTGCTACCACATCCGGCTAATTTTTGTATTTTTAGTAGAAATGGGGTTTCACCATGTTGGCCAGGCTAGTCTCGAACTCCTGACCTCAGGTGATCCACCCGCCTCAGCCTCCCAAAGTGCTGGGATTACAGGTGTGAGCCACCACACCCAGCGATATTTACAGATTGTACAGATTATATTATATTATCTGTACAAGAAAGATGCTTCCATGGTTCCCTGATTATTGCCAAAGGAGTAATGTTGTCATTAGCAGGACAGCAAGACATTCATCTCAAAAAAACACTGAAACATATCAGAGAATGAACGGGAAGAATCAGTGGAATTCCTAATGAAGCATTATTTCTAAAATTTTTACATTCTTAAAATTAGTTTTAGAATATGTGGTATAGTTTGGAATGCTAGGTTTAAAAAGGGCTACTCAGGGAGTTGGGCTTGTCAGAATAACTTGTCTGACATATGTAGAACCACTTCATGGTTGTTTTCTTTTTCTTTTTCTTTTTCTTTTTTTTTTTTTTTTTTTTTTTTTGAGACAGAGTCTCGCTCTGTCGCCCAGGCTGGAGTGCAGTGGCGTGATCCGGCTCACTGCAACCTCCGCCTCCCAGATTCAAGCAATTCTCCTGCCTCAGCCTCCAGAGTAGCTGGGACTACACGTGTGCGCCACCACACCTGGCTAATTTTTGTATTTTTAGTAGAGAGGGGGTTTCACCATATTGGTCAGGCTGGTTTTGAACTCCTGACCTTGTGATCTGCCTGCCTTGGCCTCCCAAAGTGCTGGGATTACATGCGTGAGCCACCATGCCTGGCCCACTTCTTGGTTTTCAACTACAGCAGCAAACAGATTTTTAGGGAAATAATCAGAATGCAACTGTGTGGCATGAAATATAAGACGATGCTTTCACCATTTACCGTTTCATCTCTATCGTCAACTATAATGGCAGAAGCCAGGTGCGGTGGCTCACGCCTATAATCCCAGCACTTTGGGAGGCCTGGGCAACGTAGTGAGACCTTATCTCTGCAAAAAAGTAAGCAAAATTAGCTGAGTGTGTTGACAGATGTCTGTAGTCCTAGCTACGCCTATAATCCCAGCACTTTGGGAAGCTGAAGTAGGAGGATTGTTTGAGCCTGGGAAGTCAAGGCTGCAGTCAGCTGAGATTGTGCCACTCCACTTCAGCCTAGGCAACCGAGCAAGACCGTCTCAAAAATAAAATAAAATAGAAATAAAATAAATAAATAAATATAATGGCAGAGACAGTACAGTTACAGTGAATATAATATTTAAAATGATGAAATGATTGATTCTAGAGTGGGTTATAGATAATAATCCCCAAATCTTTTTCCCTTAAGAGTTTCAAAATCAGCTGCCCATCTTTCAGTGATAGTTTAATTGTAGCCGTCTCTTGAGCAAGGGATGCATTTTATTTTTAAAACTTGTTAAATATGGTTGATTTTAATAATATCTAAAAGACAAAGCTTATTTTGGTGGTGGTAAGATTTTTATACTATTTAAAAGATTAAAATGATGCTTGATAACAACTTTGGGGAGTTAGGAAGAAAAATAAAAAATAAATAAAATGATGCTTGAGACCAGGAGGTCAAGGCCGTAGTGAGCCATGATTGCGCCACTGCACTCTAGCCTGGGTGACAGAGTGTTACCCTATCTCAGAAGAATTTAAAAAATTAAAAGGAATCAAGAAATAACAGAAATTGGAAGTGGTTTGAACCTGCCTAGACTGTTGGGTAAGCTTTTTCAAAATATACATACGTGCTAGGACTCTATAAATAGAGTTGTTGAATGAGAATCTCAAAGGGAGGGCTTAGAACATGTGTTTTTGTTTTTGTTTTTTTTGAGACAGGGTCTCACTCTGTTTCCAAGGTTGGAGTACAGTGCCGAGATCATGGCTCACTGGAGTCTTGACCTCCGGGGGTCAAACAATCTTCCTGTCTCAACCTCCTGAATAGCTGGGACTACAGGCATGCACCATCATGCCCAGCTAATTTTTATATTTTTTATAGAGATAAGGTCTCACTATGTTGCCCAGGCTGGTCTTGAACTCCTGGACTCAAGCAATTCTACCACCTTGGCCCCCCAAAGTGCTGGAATTATAGGCATGAGCCACCATACCCAACCGGAACATGTGTTTTGAAGAGCTCCCCGGGCGTTTCTCACATACACCACTAACCTAGTGGGTACTCATTTAGCTAGGTGCATGAGATGCCTGATGACTTAAGGGGACAAGCCAGTTCTGTGGCCATTGGTCATGTTTTAAAGCAGAGAATGTGCCTTCCACATGCCTCTGTAGTCTCATCCCCAGTCACTCAGTCCTTAAATTCATTCACATCTTTATCATCATCACCACCATCAATAAGTGATGACGTTACATTTATCTAACCATTTCAACACTTTTTTAATAGATTATACCTGATAGAATAGTAGACTAAAAGTTTTGTATCCTACAGGTTTTAAATTTAAGTTGAAGGTCTACTTTTTCTATAAGTACTTCACCATGAAGCCCACCTGTTTTATAAAGTAATATATTTTATTTTCTCACCCCAATGTACCTATGTAATTTTATTTGTTTTTGTTTTTGCTTTTTTTGAGATGGGGTCTTGCTCTGTCTCCCAGGCTAAACTGCAGCGGCATGATCATATCTCACTGCAGTCTCGACCTCCCAAGCGATCCTCCCACTTCAGTTTCCCAAGTAGCTAGGACTACAGGCATAAGCCACCATGCCTGGCTAATTTTTTAAATTTTTGTAGAGATGGGATCTCACTTTGTTGCCAGGGCTTACTTATATAATTTTTTTAAATCACTGTATTCATAGTGATTAAATGTTTCCTCTTGTCTTCATCTCCTGATTCAATTTTAATGCAGAATAAATAATGTAGTCTCTATGTAAATAAATTTATAGATGAATAAACCTGTTTTTTACTTACATGTCTAGTACATATTGATAGACCATTTCAGGATGCCATTATACCAATAATCTGTAAACCACCATCTAGTGAAGAATTATAGAGGATTTCCCTGTTTGTTTGTTTGTTTGTTTTTAAGCCCTAGGGAGAAATAGAAAATCTTGAAATATAATAAAGTTTTCATGTAGTATAAATACTAGAAAATTAAAAATAAATGACTTGGCTGGGCACGGTGTCTCACACCTATAATCCCAGCACTTTGGGAGGCCAAGGTGGGCCGATTGCTTGAGGCGTGGAGTTTGAGAACAGCCTGGCCAACGTAGCAAACTCCACCTCTACTAAAAAAAAAAAAAAAAAAAATTAGCCAGGCATGGTGGTGCATGCTTGTAATCCCAGCTACTCAGGAGACTGAGGCATGAGAATCACTTGAACCCAGGAGTCAGAGGTTGCAGTGAGCTAAGATTGCGCCACTGTGCTCCAGCCTAGGCAACAGAGCAAGACTCTGTCTCAAAAAATAAATAAATAAATGACATTTGTATTTCTCTTTTTTACCTTTGTGTGTAGTCCTCATTGACACTGAGAAACTCTCTGAGGTAAAGATTAGCAAGAATCAGCCCTAGACAAGAATTAGGAGCTACCTAAAGAAATGAATAATAATGAAAAGTTTCTAAATGGTCAATGGAGATTCATTCCTAACATGTGAAAAAGCCAAAGACTTCCAGGTCTTCTATGTAAATAATTATTTTGATTTCATTTGTTGTCATAATAGCGGTTGTCCATGTAAATTTTACTCTTCTAAGATCCTGCCTGGCTTTGGATTCCCGGGTGACAACCAGTTCAAGTGTAAATTTTTTATTTTGGTAATAATTATAGCTAATACTTATGTAGTGCTAAGTGTTACGTTTTAAGTGTTTTATTACTTAAATCCACTTAGGTGGATTATTGTATAATCCACATAACAACTTTGTGAAGTCAGTGCTATTGTTATTTCCATTTTACATGAGGAAACTGAGGCACAGAGAAGTTTGGTAGCTCTTTCCAAACTTAGTGAATTGCTAAGCCAGGATTCCAACTCACAAAAACCTAACTCAGAATCCACACTTTCAACCACAAAACAGTGCATAATACCTATGCCAAACATAATACCTGTGTCACTCAGTGAATTGCTAAGCCAGGATTCCAACTCACAAAAACCTAACTCAGAATCCACACTTTCAACCACAAAACAGTGTATAATACCTATGCCAAAAAATACTATCTGGTAATATTTTTTAAAGTATTTTCTCCTTACATTTTTTATAAGACATCCATCTGAGAGAAGTCTTAGTATAAAAGTTATTTCAAGTTTGGAGAGTAGTATACTTTTTTTAAATCAGGTAAAATTTATATGCAGCGAATTTCACAGATCTTACATATGCAGTTCAGTGAGCTTTAACAAAGGTAACCTACAGCTCAGTCAAGATACAGAACATTTCCATCGTCCTGGAAAGTTCCCTCATGCTCCTCCAGTCAGTCTCCACCTTCATAGGCAGCCACTCTTTTGGTTTCTGTCATCATAGACTGTTTTGCCTTTTCTTGACTTTGTGTAAGTAGAATCATACAGAATCATAATATGTATATGTAGCCTTTCTGTTTGTTTAGTTTTGCTCAATATATGCAAATCTATTTAGAGTATTTTTTATTCAGTCATTGCATTTTTTCTGAGAGGCCTGTTTTACATTATAAAGGAAACACTAGCTTTTTCTTTCACCCCATTCTCCAACTGCACAGTAATAGTTTATTAATTACTTCCTTATATGCTGCGAAAACTACCTAATATTAAGCAGACTTCTTTTCAAAATCAGACCATGTTAAAATTCTAATCTAGTTAGTTTCAGGAAATAATTAAAAATACAAACCTAGATTGTAGTAGAGACCTGTATCATTTCATCCATTTTCAGTCTTTGTTATATCTTCCTTTCTGGGTGTTTTGTGTAGCTGGTAAAATATGAAGAACATTATTGCTTTTCTCTTCGAGAGGCATGATCTTAAGTGTCCTGGAAGAGCTTTCCTTCTTGGCTGCAGAATCTCAGAACTGATAGTGAGACTTTGCAGAGTCCAGCTTCCAATATCTAGGCTTTCGATTGGCTCAATAAACTTGTTAGAAGAGCCTTTCCATCTTAAGTGGTTCCACATCATAAAATGCTGACTTTGTTTTTTAATTCTTTACAGTTTTACCACGTTGCCTGAGGATCTATTGAGATATAGTTTTATCAGAAGAAATTCAGGCCAGATTGACTATAAAGTTGAGTTCTGTGATCAAAGGCCATAACACCTTCCAAGTTTACTCCTAGGGTTTAAAGGTCATTGCTTTAACACATTTTTTTTCCTCCTTCACATGGAAAGGTTTCTTTTTTCTTGAGTAAATTTTTTGTTTCTGGGTACAGTGGCTCACGCCTGTAATCCCAGCATTTTGGGAGGCCGAGGCCGGTGGATCACCTGAGGTCAGGAGTTCAAGACCAGCCTGACCAACATGGTGAAACCCCATCTGTACTAAAAATACAAAATTAGCCGGGCGTGGTGGCACATTCCTGTAATCCCAGCTACTTGGGAACCTGGGGCAGGAGAATTGCTTGAACCTGGGAGGCGGAGGTTGCAGTGAGCCGAGATTGTGCCATTGTACTCCAGCCTGGGCAACAAGAACAAAGCTCTATCTCAAAAAAAAAAAAAAAAATGTGTTGTGATGGAGAGTGCTTTGTTGCGTTGAGATTTTAGAAGTTTAGAAGCATTTACTTAATGATCACTCAATAGTGTTGATAATTAATAGGTTTGGGAAAATATAGCCAGTGTTTTAAATATTTCTCATGTAGTCAATTGTATGAAATTGGATTCAGCAAACATAGGAATACTTTGAAGGGTATAAAAGATGGTTTTTTTGATCCTGCTTTGATTTCCAAATAATTTTCTTGTTTTAGAAGTAACTTCCTGATATGTGTTAATGTATACTGTTACTAATGAAAATGAGAGATAACACATAGTTATTAAAATTATGGATTTTCTTACCTTCTGAAATAAAAAAGAATTGATTTTTAAATTTCTTTCTTTTTTTTTTTTTGAGACGGAATCTTACTCTGTCGCTCAGGCCGGAATGTAGTGGTGTGATCTCAGCTCACTGCAACCTCTGCCTCCTGGGTTTAAGCAATTCTCCTGCCTCACCCTCCCAAGTAGCTGGGACTACAGGTGTGCGCCACCATACCTGGCTAATTTTTTGTATTTTTAGTAGAGACAGGGTTTCATCGTGTTAGCCAGACTGGCCTTGAACTCCTGACCTCAGGTGATCTGCCTGCCTCGGCCTCTCAAAGTGCTAGGATTATAGGCGTGAGCCACTGCACCCAGCTGATTTTTAAATTTCTTTTTATTTTATGGACTATAGCTGTGAAATAGCCAAAAGCAAAGTTCAGGAAAGGAAGAAAATAAGATGAAAAAAAGGAAAGGTCGGATAATTCATCAGTTATAACCAGCCTCTGCTTTTGTAAGAGTATTTACTACTTGAGTAAATTAGGAAATTTTCAATGTTGAGTAACAGTGGCAGACTTAACATGAATAATTATCAAGGAAATAAATAGCTGTAGTACAAAGTTCAGTATTCTGCCTAAGAAACCTAGGAGACTCTTAGCCAGCTCAATCTTGAAAGAAAAAAATGTGATATGAGCTCTTCTTGGCCCCATTTTGTTGCTTCAGCTGCTTCACATTGGCCCGTAAGGCCTCCACTTATCACTCTCTCTTATTTCTTGCCAACTTCATCAACAAAAACATAAATTTGTTTCTATTGTAGATGTCCGAAAAGTTAAATAAAAATATTTTATTAATGGAATACAAGTTACAGAATTTGCTGGTGAGATAAACTATATATAGGTAAAACAATTAGATCCTAGGCCATGGGACATGGGTCACACCTGTAAACCCAACACTTTGGGAGGCCGAGGCAGGCAGATTGCTTGAGGCCGGGAGTTCGAGACCAGCCTGGGCAACATGGTGAAACCCCATCTCTACTAAAAATAGAAAAATTAGGCCAGGCATGGTGGCTCATGCCTGTAATCCCAGCACTTTGGGAGGACTAGGCGGGCAGATCATTTGAGGTCAGGAGTTCGAAACCAGCCTGGACAACATGGTGAAATCTTGTCTCTACTGAAAATACAAAAATTAGCCAGGCCGTGTGGTACACACCTGTAATACTAGCTATTCAAGAGGCTAAGGCAGGAGAATTGCTTGAACCGGGAAGTCGGAGGGTGCAGTGAGGTGAGATCACGCCACTGCCCTCCAGCCTGGGTGACAGAGCAAGACTCTTTCTCAAAAAATAGTAGCAATAAATAAATAAAAATACAAAAATAGTCAGGCCTGGTGGCTCACGCCTGTAATCCCAGCTATTTGGGTGGCTGAGGCACAAGAATCACTTGAACCCAGGAGGTAAGAGTTTTAATGGGCCAGGATCGTGCCACTGCTCTCCAGCCTGGGTGACAGAGCAGGACTCTGTCTCCCAAAAAAAAAAAAAAAAAAAAAATTAGATCTAAGGTAATCATATACTGAACATGAGTACTAAGGAAATTCAAAGATCTTTGACCAAGCCGTTTTTCTCCTGGGACTATCCCCATAATAATTAAAGCACCAGTACATGGGACATAAAAGTACTAAGATATAAGTACAAAGATATTTATTATAGCAGCAAAAAGCTGAAAAGCAGTTTGAATTCCTACAGTATAGAAATGGCTGAATAAGTTATGGTCTCTTCACCCCAAGAAATGTCATGGAGGCATCAAGCAGAATGAATTGAAGCTATACCAAACGACTTGAAGGAAAAGCATTCCATGACATATTGTTCTGTTGGAAAAGGAAGATACCAAAAAGAGTGTGTAGTGTCCCATTTTGTAAAACAGTAGTGATCCAAAAAGCCCCAAATGCATGTATGTATGATTTTGTGAGAGTTGAGAAAACTCAGAAAAGATACATACTAGATTACAAACCTGGGCAAGGTGTTGATGTGAGTAGGAGAAGGGAATAGGGATAAGGAGCCAAACAATGAAGGAAAGAGGGAAAAACATTTATTGAAATAATTCAGTATTACATTTATCTACAACTGTACAGTGTGTGTATATAAGGAAGTGAAATTGTTACCTTTTTAAAATTAAGAGGGGGCCGGGCACGATGGCTTACACCTGTAACCCCAGCACTTTGGGAGGCTGAGGCAGGCCAAGATTGCGCCACTGCACTTCAGCCTGGGAGATAGCGAGACTCCCTCTCAAAAAAAAAAAAAAAAACCATTGGCCAAGTCAGCAAAGGCCCTATATTGTATAGTTTCATTATATAAAATCTCTGCAGTAGGCAAATCCATAGAGACAGATAATAGATTAGGAGTTGCCAGGGGCTGGAGGATTGTGAGAAAATGGGGAGTAACTGCTCATAAACATGGAGGTTTTTTTTGTTATTGAAATGTTTTAAAATGCATTGTGGTGATGGTTGCACAATTATGTGACATACCAAAAACTCTTGAATTATATACTTTATTATTATTATTTTGAGATGGAGTCTTGCTTTGTCGCGTAGACTGGAGTGCAGTGGCGGGATCTTGGCTCACTGCAACCTCCACCTCCCAGGTTCAAGCGATTCTCCTGCCTCAGGCTCCCGAGTAGCTGGGATTACAGGCATGCACCACCACACATGGCTAATTTTTGTGTTTTTTTTAGTAGAGATGAGGTTTTACCATGTTGGCCGGGCTGGTCTTGAACTCCTGACCTCAGGTGATCTGCCTGCCTTGGCCTCCCAAAGTGCTGGGATTTCAGGCGTGAACCACCTCAGCTAGTCGGGAGGCTGAAGTGGGAGAATTGCTTGAGCCTGAGAGGCAGAGGTTTCAGTGAGCCGAGATCATGCCACTGCACTCCAGCCTGGGCAACAAGAGCGAAACTCTGTCTCAAAAAAAAAAAAAAAATTATATTCAATGAATATAACTGAGTGAGTAAAAGAATGAGCCAAAGACCTGGAAGAGATCTAAGGGGTCCATGATTCCAGATTTCAGGCGGGGCCACATTCAACTATCATTTCTTCCAAATTTTTGCAGTGGAATACAAGTTTGAAACCTGGTTATCTCCTTAATTCTCCATGTGCTGTGAGGAGATTTGGCATAAATTGAACAATTGGACTTGAGTATTTCCATCTAATATTAAACTACCTTAAGTACTTTGGCACTGCAGAAATGTAAAGCATCCCTTTTATTTGTCATTTCTAGGGGAGGTAACTCCAGGACTATCTCAGGTGGAATATGCACTTCGCAGACACAAACTAATGTCTCTGATCCAGAAGGAAGCTCAAGGGCAGAGTGGGACAGACCAGACAGTGGTTGTGCTCTCCAACCCTACATACTACATGAGCAACGATATTCCCTATACTTTCCACCAAGACAACAATTTCCTGTACCTATGTGGATTCCAAGAGCCTGATAGCATTCTTGTCCTTCAGAGCCTCCCTGGCAAACAATTACCATCACACAAAGCCATACTTTTTGTGCCTCGGCGAGATCCCAGTCGAGAACTTTGGGATGGTCCGCGATCTGGCACTGATGGAGCAATAGCTCTAACTGGAGTAGACGAAGCCTATACGCTAGAAGAATTTCAACATCTTCTACCAAAAATGAAAGGTAACAAATGGGAGCAGAAGTCACATTACAAACCAGATTGGGATTAAAACCTTTCTTGCCTGTTTAGACAAGTCCTTAATTTTGTTATCGTAGCACCACCATGAAAAGACCATGAGCACCATGAAAGAAATGTAAAGTCTTTTTCAGAAGATTGAGCTTCTTTAAAGATTTCATTTATGCCTGGTGCATTGGCTCACGCCCGTAATCCCAGCACTTTGGGAGGCCGAGGCAGACAGGTTCCTTGTGGCCAGGAGTTCAAGACCAACCTGGCCAACATGGCGAAACCCCGTCTCTACTAAAAATAGAAAAATTAGCCAGGCATGGTCGCAGGCGCCTGTAATCCCAGCTACTCAGGTGGCTCAGGCAGGAGAATCACTTGAGCCCGGGAGGTGGAGGTTGCAGTGATCCGAGATCATGCCACTGCATTCCAGCCTAGGCAACAAAGCAAGACTGTCTTAAAAAAAAAAAAAGATTCATTTATTCATTTGCAGGAGGTTACAGTGAGCCAGTGAGCTAAGATCCCGCCACTGCACTCCAGCCTAGGCGACAGAGCAAGACTCCATCTCAAAAAAAATAATAAAATGAAAGTATATAATTTAAGAGTTTTTGGTATAGTCATAGAATTGTGCAACCATCACCACAATGAATTTTAGAACATTTCAATTAAAAAAAAACTCCATGTTCACTGGATTATTCATTAATGGAGACTGTTACCTATCCTAGTTTGAAATCTCACAGAGAATTTTCTTTTAAAGCAAAGGATAAGCCAGACACAGTGGTGTACGTCTGTAGTCCAGCTACTGGAGAGGCTGAGGTAGAAGGATCGCTTGAGGCCAGGAGTTCAGGTCCAGACTGCACAACGTAGTGAGACCCCATCTCCAAAAAATAAATAAATTAAGGACAGGATGGGCATGGACCACTCTTCAAGATTACTGACCAGCTTCTTGATATTTGACAACTACTTCTTATCTTAGTGCTCTTGCCAGCTCTTCAAAAGGAGGTACTGTTCTCCAAGAACGATCCATGCATCACAGCATCAGAATCACCTGGTAATGCATATTAAAATTAAAAATGCATAATATGTAATAGAAATTAAAATCTCAGGCCTCCATCCCCTATCTACTGAATCAGAATCTGCATTTTAACAGATCTTTTGTGGTTCATATACAGTTGAGTTCTTTTTTTGTTTTTTTTTAGGCAGGGTCTCACTCTGTCACCCAGGTTGGGATGTAGGTATAGTGGCACACTCATGGCTCACTGCAACCTCGAACCCCAAAGCTCAAGCAGTCTTCCTGCCTCAGCCTCCAGAATACTGGGACTACCTGGGCACACCACTATGTCTGGCTAATTTTTTTTTATTTTTTTGTAGAGATGGAGTTTCACTTTGTTGCCTAGGCTGGTTTTGAACTCCTGGCCTCAAGTGAGCCTCCCACCTCAGCCTCCTGAAGTGCTGGGATTACAGGTGTGAGGCACCGTGCCTGGCCATAGTTGAGTTCTTGTCCCTCAAAGAAATTACTTTCTCTACAGTTATTCTGGTGAAATTTTAATCAATCCGAATGTTTTGAGATTTTTCTTCTGGGAATTTTTTCAGAACCTACACCACATTATAAACTATCTTTAGTAATTCTTAAAAAACTTTAGCTCTGGGAAGTATTTTATTTTTTGAAGTATCTTATTTGGAAAATAAGATAGATGCTCAAGTTTAAAAATACTGATTTTAGGTCAAGATAATGTATAATTATAAAGTTTTTGTTTGATTTTTCTTACATGGGTTACAAATCATATCTGAAGTTAGCTTCTAAAAGAGAATTCCAAAAATGTTTTTCACAATCATAAAATATATTAGACTGTTTCCTGTAAAGCCTCTTTTGGAAGAAAATACTCATTTGAATATGTAAGTTCTAATACATTTGATTAAATTCTTTTTATTTATAGAAATGTTTTCCATTTTATAGATAATTAGCCTGTTCAATTCATTGAACTTTCTTATGTCTTCAAAATCCACATAAATGTGGGGCATAGAATCATTTTCTTTCTAGCTTTTTTCTTACATTAGTTGCTACTTGTCATGTTCTACTGTCTAAGTTTTATTAATTCAGTATAGTTACAATCTCATGTAAAATAAATTTCTCAAAAGTACTTCTCGGTCACCATTCCTTTTTTTTTTTTTTTGAAACAGAATTTCGCTCTTGCCCAGGCTGGAGTGCAATGGCACCATCTCGGCTCACTGCAACTCCTGCCTCCCAGGTTCAAGTAATTCTCCTGCCTCAGCCTCCCGTGTAGCTGGGGTTACAGGCACGCGCCACCATGCCCGGGGAATTTTTCTGTTTTTTTTTAGTAGAGACAAGGTTTTACCATGTTAGTCAGGCTGGTCTCGAACTCCTGACCTCAGGTGATCCACCCCCCTCAGCCTCCCAGGGTGCTGGGATTACAGGCGTGAGCCACCGTGCCTGGCTAAAATCATATTTATTGAAAGGTTTAAAAACCTTTAAAAAAGTGAGCTATGATTTCATACACTTTGAACGTGTAGTAGAGATTGTTTTACTTTTTAAAAATTACAACAATTGGCCGGGTGCAGTGGCTCACGCCTGTAATCCCAGCACTTCGGGAGGCCAAGGGAGGTGGATTGCCTGAGATCAGGAGTTCGAGACCAGTCTGGACAACATGGTGAAACCCCGTCTCTACTAAAAATACGAAAAAATTAGCTGGACGTGGTGGCATGCGCCTGTAATCCCAGCTACTTGGGAGGTTGAGGCAGGGGAATTGCTTGAACCAGGGAGGTGGAGGTTGCAGTGAGCCGAGATCGCGCCACTGCACTCCAGCCTGGGTGACAGAGCAAGACTACGTCTCAAAAAAAAAAAAAATTACACGACAATTAAATTTCCATCTATCGTAAGTAGGAAGGTGTTTCCCATGTAGTATATATTTAGAACCATTTTTATTTTAAAAATGAAAATATGTAGGACATAGAATCACATAGGACATAGAATCATAGAATCAGTGCATATCCAATCAAAGTTTTCTGGATTTTTTCCCCTCTACTTTCCCCAAAGTACTTTTTAGTCATATAAAATATTCAGACCTTCTCACTTGGATTGTTAGGAATACTGTTTGTAGCCTACTGTTAGAAAAAAAGAACAAATGTAGATCTGATATTAAGTGCAAATCATTTTTATAATGAGCCTTTATATCGTATATCTTAGGCAAATACAGACCATTTCCTTAGGTCTCTAAAGTTGAAAGCTGAACTGTGATTGTTTACAAAGAGAATGTATAGCAGATGCAAAGGGAGAAGTGAGGAAATATCAACTGTAGTTTTTCCATAGCAATGAATAATTGCTCCAGAATGGGAGGAGAACCCTTTCCTCTAGTACTGAGATCATTATGTGAAAGGATGGGACACTTTACCCATAAAGTCATGATCTGAGTATGTTTTTCTGTCCTTCTGTGTGCAATTATTCAACAAGTGCCTCTAGCTCAGTAAGTGGTGGTGAAGAACAGTTGTTCTAATTGTTTAATAATGAAGGCCGGGCATGGTGATTCACGCCTGTAATCTCAGCACTTTGGGAGACTGAGGCGGGTGGATCACAAGTCAGGAGTTCGAGACCAGCCTGACCAATATGGTGAAACCTCATCTCTACTGAAAATACAAAAATTAGCTGGGCATGGTGGCGGGCACCTGTAGTCCCAGCTACTTGGGAGGCTGAGGCAGAAGAATCGTTTGAACCTGGGAGGCGGAGGTTGCAGTGAGCTGAGATTGTGCCACTGCACTCCAGCCTGGGCAACAGAGCAAGACTCCATCTCAAAAATAAAGAGAGAGAGAAAGAGAGAAAATCAAAGCTTGACTAAAGCTTTAGTCCCGTATCATCCTTTATAAAGAACACTGAAGTTTAGGGGCAGAAAAGCTGTATATTCAGTCTTAGAATATCTTGCCATTTCCAGGGAATGACCTTTCTAATGATTTATAATCAAACCTTTATTGCTTCAGTCCTGAGAGAGTCTTAAGTCTCAACACTTTAGAGTTCCACGTTACAGGTTTTATAGTTTTGACTCTTGTTCAAGTCGTTATGACAGTTGATATTTCTTGTTGCTGGTAGTTTTGTTTTAAATTTATTTTTCGGCTTCTCATTCTAAGCTGAGACGAACATGGTTTGGTATGACTGGATGAGGCCCTCACATGCACAGCTTCACTCTGACTATATGCAGCCCCTGACTGAGGCCAAAGCCAAGAGCAAGAACAAGGTTCGGGGTGTTCAGCAGCTGATACAGCGCCTCCGGCTGATCAAGTCTCCTGCAGAAATTGAACGAATGCAGATTGCTGGGAAGCTGACATCACAGGTATGATTCCTATTGAAAAGTTTTTTCCAGCCGGGCGCGGTGGCTCACGCCTGTAATCCAAGCACTTTGGGAGGCCGAGGCAGGTGGATCATGAGGTCAGGAGATCGAGACCATCCTGGCTAACATGGTGAAACCCCGTCTCTACTAAAAAAACATAAAAAATTAGCCGGGCATGGTGGCGGGCTCCTGTAGTCCCAGCTACTCGGTAGGCTGAGGCAGGAGAATGGTGTGAACCCGGGAGGCAGAGCTTGCAGTGAGCCGAGATCGGGCCACTGCACTCCAGCCTGGGCGACAGAGCGAGACTCCATCTCAAAAAAAAAAAAAAAAACAAGAAAAAAAGAAAAAGTTTTTTCCAGATTGGAAAAATCGTAAGCTCTTGAGGTCGTATACCCAATGCAGCAGTCTCCTCACCGCAGAATGGCATCTAGCTTCTGCTCCAGTGTGTAGTGAACATACCTAGAGACTTGCTTAATACCTTGCAAGACAAAGTAAATCTGCCTTCTGTTAAGATGGTTCTTTTACCCATCAATCTTAATTATTTCTCCTTAGAACGACAGAAATTAATACTGTTTCTTTTCCTTATAGTTACACTAATAGTGTCAGTTAAACAGTTTGGTTCTAAGAAAGACTCAGGACCCAAAGTGACAATGCTTACAGATCTGCAGTTTATTATAGGAAAAGGGTAAAAAATAACCATAATATGAAAGTAAGGATATATATCACAGCCAATGGCTGTCTCAAAGCAAGGAGTCTAGAGAAGCCAGGTGCAGGCTTCTCTGGTCCTCCCTAGGTGAGGGCCAGGCAGGATGTATCTTTCTCTTACAGATTAGGAATCACCAGTGTTGTCATACTCTGCTCAGGCTGCCATTACAAAATATCACAGTCTGCATGGCTTAAACAAGAGAAATGTATTGTCTCATAATTTTGCAGTCTGGAAGTCCGAGATCAAGGTGCCATCATGGTCCATTTCTGGTGAGGGCTCTCCCGGCTTACAGAAGGCGGCTTTCTTGCTGTGTCCTTACATGACAGTGAAAGAGGGCCTTTTTACAAGGCCATGGTCCTATCAAATTAGAGCCCCACCCTTAATTACCTAATTTAACCTTAACTACCTCCTAAAGACATAGAGATTAGAGCTTTAACACATTAATTCTGCGGGAAACACAATTCAGTCCATGGCACATGCAACAGACTACCTCAGAATCAGAGACTCCAAAATGGAATCTCAGCTAGGGATTTTTGTTTTTTTGGTCACATAATCATATTCCTGCTACGTAACAGTAAAGCCCCCCGAGAGTTTTCACAGAGACCAAGTGTAAACCATAAATCTCACTGGCAAACTGATAGAAACTATCCCAAAACTCCCTATTTCATTTATTCTCTCCAAGGTGTTGGCCATTGACTTAATTTAAAAAAATCTTTTTACTGTGGTGAAATGTGCATAACATAAAATATATCATTTTAACCGTTTTTAAGTATGCAAATCAATGACATTAAGTACATTCACATTGTTGTGCCCACTTTTTCCCGACTTTCTCCATCATTCCAAATAGAAACTGTACAGATAAATAATAACTTCCCATTCTCCCCTCCTCCAGCCCCCAGTAACCTCTACTTTCTCTGTGAATCTACCTATTCTAGCTACTTCATATAAATGGAATCATACAACATTTGGCTTTTTGTGACTGGCTTATCTCACTTAGCATAATGTTTTTAAATTTCTTCCATTAGAATTTCACTTTTGTTTTTTAGATAGAGTCTCGCTCTGTTGCCCAGACTAGAGTGCAGTAGCATGATCACAGCTCACTGCAGTCTCGACCTCCTGGGTTCAAGTGATCCTCCCACCTTAGCCTCCCAAGTAGCTGGGACCATTGGTGCATGCCACTATGCCTGCTAATTTTTTAAATTTTTTGTAGAGACAGGGTTTCTCAGTGTTGTCCAGGCTAGTCTCGAACTCCTGAGCTCAAGCAGTCCGCCCACCTTGACCTCCCAAAGTGCTGGGATTACAGGTATGAGCTGCCATGCCCAGCTTCATTCTTTTTAAAGACTGAATAATATTCCATTGTATGCGTATGCCATATTTTATTTGTCTATTCATCCATTGATAAACATTTGGTTTCTATCTTTTTTTTTTTTTTACTATTGTGAATAATGTTGCTGTAAACATAAGTGTACAAATATCTTGTGTTCAAGTCTCTTTTAATTCCATTTGGTATATACACACAACTGGAGTTGCTAGATCAAATGGTAATTTTATGTTTAATATTTTGAGGACCACCATACTGTTATCCATAGTGGCTGCACCGTTTCACATTCCCACTAGCAACGCACCAAGGGTTTCAATTTCTCCACTCTACACCAACATTTGTTCTGTTTTTGTGGCAATAGCCAATCCTAATGTGTGTGAAGTGGTATCTTACTGTGGTTTGGATTTGTATTTCCCTAATGATTAGTGGTGTTGGGCATCTTTTTATGTGCTTCCTGCCTTCCTAATGGTTTTTTTTTTGTTTTGTTTTGTTTTGTTTTGTTTTTTCTTTTTGAGACAGTGTCTCGCTATTGCTCAGGTTGGAGTGCATGGTGAGATCATAGCTTACTGCAACCTTGAATTCCTGGACTTAGGGGATACTCTTGCCTCAGCCTCCTGAGTAGCTTGGATTACAGGCACATACCACCATGGCTGTTTTTAGGTTTTTGTAGAGATGGGGTGTCACTATATTATCCAGGCTGGTGTTGAACTCCTGGCCTCAAGAGATCTTCCATCCTCAGCCTCCCAAAACACTAAGATCACAGGCATGAGCCAACATGTCCAGCATCCTCTTAACACTTTCAGTCAGTATGTTTCCTGCCACACCTTGACCAAGGAAGGAACTTTAGCAAAATAGCTCTGGCTAATTCTAAACCTGGAATTAGCACAACAGTTCACTCTACCCCCATAACCAACATTAACTCTATTTTTTGATAAAACAGTAATCCTGAGTTGACAACAGTTACTTCACTTCTCAATATCATATAGATAATCAAAATACATAGACAAGCAGGGCATAGTGGCTCACCCCTATAATCTCAGCACTGAGGCCAAGGTGGGAGGATCACGTGAGGCAGCGAGGAGTTAGAGACCAGCCTGGCAACATGGCAAGACCTCACCTCTACAAAAAAAGATATTTTAATTAGCCAGGCATTGTGGCATATGCCTGTAGTCCTAGCTACTCTGGAGGCTGAGGCAGAAGGATCACTTGAGCCCAAAAGTTTAAGGTTACAGTGAAGTATTATCACATCACTGCACTCCAGCCTTGGTGACAGAGCAAACACTGTCTCTAAAAAAATGCATACACAGAATCCAAACATTTACAATGATCAGTGAAGGGTTGGTACTGATTTAAACAGACAGCTGAATTATCCAATTACACTTTCTTGTGTTTTTGTACGAACTGTACAGTCCTTTGGCCTCCTTGATCCACAGTTTTCTGCACTTCATGGTATATATCTGCTGAGTTATTAAAAATAATAATCTATCATTAATCAAGTCTAAATATTCATCAAGCCAATTCTCCTCCATAGGGATAACATCCCAACAGGACTTTAATTCAGTCTCTCAATGTATTTGATCATCATCATCAGTATTATACTAAATTTTATAAGCTCCTAAAATATTAATTTTACCTGACCCCTATATTACATCATATAGCAGTACCATTGAAGTGAGAAGTCAGACAAAATTTAGCTGCTAAAGGCTTACATTAAAATAAAAATTAAGGCCAGGTGTGGTGGCTCACACCTGTAATCCCAGCACTTTGGGAGGCTGAGGCAGGAGAATCACTTAAGCTTAGGAGTTCAAGACTAGCCTGGGCAACATGGAGAGACCCCCCCATCTCTACAAAAATTTTTTTAAAATAGCCAAGTGTGGTGGTCCCAACTGCTTGGGAGGCTGAGGTAGGACGATCACTTGAGCTGGGGCAGTTGAAGCTGCGATGAGATGTGATCGTGCCACTGCACTCCAGCCTGGGCAACAGAGTGAGACCACATCTCAAAAAAGAATAATAAAATTTTAAAAAATAAAATTAACAAATAAGATGGCTGGATGCAGTGGCTCACGCCTATAATCCCAACACTTTGGGAGGCCAAGGTGGGCAGATCACTTGAGCCCAGGAGTTCAAGCCCAGCCTGGGCAACATGGTGAAACCCTGTCTCTGCAAAATATAAAAAAATTAGCTGGGCATGGTGGTACGCACCTGTAGTCCCAGCTACTCAGGAGGCCAAAATGGGAGGATCACATGAGCCCAGGGAGGTCGAGGCTGCAGTGAGCTGAGATTGCACCACTGCACTCCAGTCTGGGTGACAGAGTGAGACCCTGTCTCAATAAAGAAATAAAGAAATAGAAGACAAAATCGTGGTGTAATTATTTTGTCCCTCCCTATGCAATTTACCTCTTCTCATATACTGTATATTATTTCTCATAGGAGTCTAAATCAGAGGTCATATCTCTGCTCTTTCAAAATTCAAAACATCTTGAAAACAGCCAGATTTCCTTCTCAAAAAGTTACATGATTTGGCCAGATGTGGTGACTCATACCTGTAATCCCAGCACTTCGGGAGCCCAAGACGGGTGGATCACTTGAGCCCAGGAGTTTGAAACCAACCTAGGCCTCATAGTAAGACCCCATTTCTACAAAAAAAAAAAAAAAAAAAAAAAGTTTTTAATTAGCTGCATGTGGTGGCACATGCCTGTAGTCCCAGCTACTTGGGAGGCTGACATGGGAAGATCACTTGAGCCCAGGAAGTCAAGGCTTCAGTAAGCCACGATCATGCCACTGCACTCTGGCATGGGTGACAGAGACCCTTCCTCAAAAAGTTACATGGTTTAGCTGGGCGTGGTGGCTCACACCTGTAATCCCAGCACTTTGGGAAGCCGAGGCGGGCGGATCACAAGGTCAGGAGTTCGAGACCAGCCTGGCCTATATGGTGAAACCCCGTCTCTACTAAAAATACAAAAATTAGCTGGGCGTGGTGGCGGGCGCCTGTAGTCCCAGCTACTTGGGAGGCTGAGGCAGGGGAATCGCTCGAACCTGGGAGGCAGAGGTTGCAGTGAGCAGAGATCGCACCACTGCACTCCAGCCTGGGTGACAGAGTGAGACTCCATCTCAAAAAAAAAAAAAAGGTTACAAGGTTTGACAGATGTTCATTCTCAATGAGAAGGATCCTGCAACAGAACTCATTTATCTACCACAGAAAACACTAGTCCTGTTTAAAGTTTGTCCAGGATCCACAAACTGCACTACAGGAAAAGAATGCTTGGCACTCAGTTGCATTGTTGGAGCTGTTAAAAAGCACCTCAACAGGTTGCATCCTTTAGTTAGAATTTCCATAGACCAGAGGTTCCATGAGTCTCCCATGCATGCACAACGTGGGTTTCTGCTGTGGGAATCACTGGCAGTCGTGCTTGGGATACCTTGGACTCCATTTAAATTAAGATATCTGTAATGCAGCTTGTGTTAACATGCAAGCTTATTCCTTTTGTTGGGTTGCTTTGGGCATGCTGTCATAGTGCATGCTGTAAATTGTTAAGACCCATTTTGATAGCACTGTCTATCATTTCAAACAGCTTGCCACTTTTGTTCTTATTCCTGAAATAGGATGCCTTCAAGGCACACTCTTGGCATTGGCAAATGTATTTCTTTTCTTTTTTTTTTCTTTTTGAGACGGAATCGCTGTGTCACCAGGCTGGAGAGCAGTGGCACAGTCTCGGCTCACTGCAACCTCCGCCTCCCAGGTTCAAGGGATTCTTCTGCCTCAGCCTCCCAAATAGCTGGGACTACAGGCGTGCACTACCAGGCCCAGCTAACGTTTTTGTATTTTTAGTAGAGACGGGGTTTCACCATGTTGGCCAGGATGGTCTCAATCTCTTGACCTGGTGATCTGCCCGCCTCGGCCTCCCAAAGTGCTGGGATTACAGGTGTGAGCCACCACGCCTGGCTGGCAAATCTATTTCATCAGTATGTCTTTCCTCATTAAAAACAAATCCACCTGGCCAGTTGCTCCTAGCCTGGCTCCTAATTCCACTAAGGCTCTCTTATTTTGAGTGTGGGAACATGACATGTTGTCGCCATTAAATGTTAGTACAACTATTTGTACAACTGTTTCATTTGTACAACTGCTTTACTACAACTAGAAAATAAATTTGGGACCCCAAAATATTGAGTCCCCCAGGCTTACGTCATATGAGTGGTAGTCACACCTAAATAGACTCATTTCAATGTACTTTCCAGAATCATCCACATTGAATTTTGAATTCTCAGGAATATAGGGCCCACCAAGTTATACCTTGTTATTTATTTTTGTCACTGAGCCAAGTGTCCCAATTTTCTCTCCACCTCCTTATGCCTATTTACCCACAATAACAATGCAAATAGCTCTTTTTACACATATTATAACAGATGGAACATGGCATGAGACAGCATTCTGTCATCATATTCTGGTAACCTTTGTAAAACCGTTATCTTAATGGTTTTATGTGTTAGATTATTATCCATTGATTTTCAAATTTAACTGGCTAAATTTGAAATATTATTTATATTATATATTTAGTTTATATATAAATATATATAAATATATATTATATATTGTATATTATATATTTATATATTATAATATTATATCATAATATAATTAATATGCAAAACAGGTTGCTTTCCCAACACAGATCCTTTTTAATAGATACATCTGGCCGGGCGCTTATGCCTGTAATCCCAGCACTTTGGGAGGCCGAGGCAGGCGGATCACCTGAGGTTGGGAGTTTGAAACCAGCCTGACTAATACGGAGAAACCCAGTCTCTACTAAAATACAAAATTAGCCGGGCATGGTGGCACATACCTGTAATCCCAGCTACTCGGGAGGCTGAGGCAGGAGAATCTTTGAACCCAGGAGGTGGAGGTTGCAGTCAGCCGAGATAGCGCCATTGCACTCCAGCCTGGGCAATAAGAGTGAAACTCTATCTCAAAAAAAAAAAAAAAAAAAAAAAGATGCATCCTGTGAAACAGGAATCAAGATATAGCCTTATTTGTATTATTCCACATAGTCATGGATAGCTGTCACATTTCTTTTTCTTTTTTGTTTTTTGTGTTTTGAGATGGAGTTTCACTCTTGTTGCCCTGGCTGGAGTGCAATGGCATGATCTCAGCTCACCACAACCTCCACCTCCCAGGTTCAGGTGATTCTCCTGCCTCTGCCTCCCAGATAGCTGGGATTACAGGCATGTGCCACTACGCCTGGCTAATTTTGTATTTTTAGTAGAGACGAGGTTTCTCCATATTGGTCAGGCTGATCTAGAACTCCCAACCTCAGGTGATCTGCCCACCTCGGCCTCCCAAAGTTCTGGGATTACAGGTGTAAGCCACTGCACCCAGCAGCTGTCCCATTTCTTCATCCATTTTGAGGACATATGTCACTCCTGGAAGTGTGCTTGTTAGACTGGCTATTGCCTAGCTCTCTTTTTGGCTCTTCAAAAGAGGAGGAGAACGCCAGACATGGTGATGATGCCAGTAGTCCCAACTACCCAGGAGGCTGAGGGCAGGAGGATCGCTTGAGGCCAGGAGTTAGAAGCTATAGTAGACTATGATACAGGTGCTGCTATGATCATTTCTGTGAGTAGCCACTGCACTCACAGGCAACACAGCAAGACTCCGTTTCTTAAGAAAGGGGATTTCATAAGTTCTTTACTCCAAGGGGTATCTGAGTTAAAGCAAAGAGAGAATATTATTCTCTTGCTTTAAGCATCTCTTGAGACTCCAGAAGCATCTGTTGAGCTTCTGTACCACTCATTTATTGACTTCTTTCCCCTTAGCAACAACCTTGCCTTTCTTAATCATTTTTTAAATTTTTTTATTTATGTATAAAGTGTACAACATATTTTGATATACGTATGCATAATACAGTGGTTACTGCAGTCAAGCAAATGCCTTTATATTAATTTGAATGCAAACCTTTCCCGCTGAAGGAAACTTCCTCGGTCAGCTATTGAGCTAGTCTAATCATAGGGAGATAAATTGGATAAATACAGAAAATGACACTATACTGTTGGCAGCCAGGACAATTTTTATTAATAGTTTAAGCTTCAATGGAGCCCACTGGTATATGTCATTGTTCAGTGCGTCACTGGCTGGCTTGAGTTCCTCCACCCATTTCATAGACTTGGTTGCCATTTCAAGAGATCAAGTTAGGCCATCAACTGTTGGTTCCAATCACCTTAAAATTCTGGCATAGAGTTTCTTTGGGATCAGCATGCCCTACTTTGATTTTTCCCTTAGAATTTTCATAGAGATTTCCAAAGAGCAGCTCCTCACATGGAGGGCCCTTCTATTGTCCAGTTATTTGTGACCCACTTGTTAGACCAATTGCAAGTCCATTAGTGACAGCCCAAGAATCAATATTTACCCAAATAATAGGGCTTTTGTGTCCAGTTCTTCTATCAGGACTATGATTATAGCCTATAATTCAGCCCTGTTGACCAACTCGTTCTTAACTTTTTCCATAGGATTTTACTTTCTGCTGGACTCTGAACATCTACTTTTCATACAGAATTGCCCTCAGTTCTAGAACAGTCATCTGTGAACCAGTCCAATTGCCTGGCATCCATGGGCAAATAATTGAAAGGAGGGATCCTAGGAGGAAAAGACTACTTGCTCATGAATCTGATGATTCTTTCACATAGATCCCCTGGTAGCATGCTGCATATAGTTCATTTCCATTTTATGACAGAACTTCTTTGGACATTGTCCATCTTATTGAAATGCATTTCTTTTTTTCTTTTTAATAGAGATTAGTGCTTTTCTTTTCTTTTTTTTTTTGAGGCAGAGTTTTGATCTGTCGCCCAGGCTGGAGTGCAATGGCGCGATCTCGGCTCACTGCAACCTCTGCTTCCCGGGTTCAAGTGATTCTCTGCCTCAGCCTCCCAAGTAGCTGGGATTACAGACGCCCACCAGCACGCCCGGCTTATTTTTGTATTTTTAGTAGAGACAGGGTTTCACCATGTTGCCCAGGCTAATCTTGAACTGCTGACCTCAGGTGATCCACCCACCTCAGCCTCCCAAAGTACTGGGATTACAGGCATGAGCCACCGCACCCGGCCCAGACTTTTTTAAATTAAAAAATTTATAACTTTTAAAAAAAATTGAATTATAGACTTGAACCCTGGACTCTCACATTAAAAATCTGATGCTTGACCAACTGAGCTACACAGACTTCTAACCAGACTTTTTATCCCTTTCACAGCAGCATCCCCACATCCCATGAGTTAATTCTGTCATTCTTAAGTTCTTCATTAAGAGGCCCAGACAGTATCGTACACTGTCTTACTCCATCCAGTAGATGTAAAAGAGTTTCTTTTCCACCTCCAGGCCATTTTACTCACACATTTGTGAAAGGTCTTGTGTTCCCTGCCAGGAGTTGGGATTATGAGATCCTGGCCTATATATCAACGTTCTTCATCTCTTACCATGCTGATATTAAAACACAGCATTTTGACATCTAATGTTAGAGACTCATTGGAACCTTTCTCTTTCTAAAATTCCTTTAAACTCAGATAATAAACATATCTGCCTTGGGATTTTTATAGTCTGAGGAGTTTAATGACAGGCAGTTGTGGATCCCAAACCTTCCTGTAAAATTCTATCAGGGTTGGCCCTCTGTCAATTTTTGTATCATTATTTTTGGAGAAACAGGGTTTCACCATGTTGGCCGTGTGAGCTCCTGAGCTCGAGCACTCTGCCCACCTCGGCCTCCCAAAGTGCTGGGATTACAGGCAAGAGCCACCATGCCTGGCCTCTGTGTGTTTTTTATTTAATCGTGGTGAGATGCATATAAAATTTTATCATTTTAGGCCTAGCACGGTGGCGCATGCCTGCAATCCCAGCACTCTGGGAGGCTGAGGCAGGCGAATCACTTGAGGCCAGGAGTTTGAGACCAGCCTGGGCAACAAGGCGAAACCCCGTCTCTACTAAAAATATAGAAAATTAGCCGGGCGTGGGACACATGCCTGTAATCCCAGCAACTTGGGAGGTGGAGGTTGCAGTGAGCCGAGATCATGCTATTGCACTCCAGACTAGGCAACCGAGAGAGACTCTGCAAAAAAAAAAAAATTTACCATTTTAGCCATTTTTAAGTGTATGTCTTAAAAATGGCTAAAATAGAAATTCAATGACATTAGGTATATTCACACTGTGTGTGACTATTACTACTATCTTTTTTCAGACTTTTTTATCATCCCAAATAGAAATTGTACTCAATAAATAATAACTTCCCATTCTTCCCTCCTCCCAGCCCCTGGTAACTTTTACTTTTTCTGTGACTCTGCCTATTCTAATTACTTCATATAAGTAGAATCATACAGTATTTGTCTTTTTGTAACTGGCTTACTTCACTTAGTAAAATGTTTTCAAAGTTCATGTTGTAGCATTTTTCAGAATGACATTCCTCTATGGCTGAATGGTATTCCATTGTATGTATAGACAATGTTTCCTTCATCTTTTTTTTTTTTTTTTTTTTTTGAGACGGAGTTTCGCTGTTGCCCAGGCTGGAGTGCAGTGGCGCAATCTCGGCTCACTGCAGGCTCCGCCGGGTTCACGCCATTCTCCTGCCTCAGCCTCCTGAGTAGCTGGGACTACAGGCACCCGCCATCACGCCCGGCTAATTTTTTTGTATTTTTAGTAGAGATGGGGTTTCACTGTGTTAGCCAGGATGGTCTCGATCTCCTGACCTCGTGATCTGCCCACCTCGGCCTCCCAAAGTGCTGGGATAACAGGCGTAATCCACCGTGCCCGGCCTCCTTCATCTTTTCATCTGTCATTGGACACTTGGGTTGTTTCCATCTTTTGGGCTATGGTGACTAATGCTGCTATGTACCTGGGTTTACAAATAATTATTCAGGTCCCTGCTTTCAGTTCTTTGGGGTATATACCCAGAAGTAGAATTGTTAGATCTGTGGTGAGTCTGTGTTGTTTTTTTTTTTCTTTTTTTGAGACAGAGTCTCCATTTGTTCCCAGGCTGGAGTGCAGCAGCACCATCTTAGCTCCCTGCAGCCTCGAACTCCTGGGCTCATGTGATCTTCCCACCTCAGCCTCCTGATTATACATTTAATTTTTTGAGAAACCACCATATAGTTTTCCACAGCAAATGGACCATTTCACATTTCTACCAGCAATGCACAAGGGTTCCAGTTTTTCTACATTCTTGCCAATCGATACTTGTTATTTTCTGCCTTTTGAGTACTAGCCATCTTAATGAGTGTGAAATGACATCTCATAGTTTTTATTTGCATTTCATTAACAGCTAGTGATGTTCAGCATATTTTCATGTGTTTATTGGTTATTTGTATATCTTATTTGGAGAAATACCTGTTCAGTTCCTTTGCCCATTTTTTAAATTGGGCTGGATTTTTTTGTTGTTGAGTTGTGGGAATTCCTTATATGTTTTTGATATTAACTCTTAATCCGGTATATGGTTTGCAAATATTCTCCCATTATGAGGGTTGGCTTTTTACTATTCATAGCGTCCTTTAATGCTCAAAATGTTTTAATTTTTATAAAGTCCAGTTTTTTTGTTGTTGTTAACTGTGCTTTTGGTGTCATATCCAAGAAAATATTACCAAATCCAGTGTCATAAAGGTATTCCCCTATGTTTTCTTCTAAGAGTTTTATGTTTTATGTTTAGGTCTTTGACCCATTTTTTTTTTTTTTTTTTTTTTTTTTTTTTTTTTTTTTTGAGACGGAGTCTCGCTCTGTCGCCCAGGTCGGACTGCGGACTGCAGTGGCGCAATCTCGGCTCACTGCAAGCTCCGCTTCCCGGGTTCACGCCATTCTCCTGCCTCAGCCTCCCGAGTAGCTGGGACTACAGGCGCCCGCCACCGCGCCCGGCTAATTTTTTGTATTTTTAGTAGAGACGGGGTTTCACCTTGTTAGCCAGGATGGTCTTGATCTCCTGACCTCATGATCCACCCGCCTCGGCCTCCCAAAGTGCTGGGATTACAGGCGTGAGCCACCGCGCCCGGCCGACCCATTTTGAGTTAATATTTATATATGGTATAAACTAAGGGTCTAACCTTATTCTTTTTCATGCCCCATTTCTTTCTTGATTTTATTTCTTTTATAAAGTCCTAAACTTACTATCTTTTTATTATCCAGGAAGTTGGGATAAAAGATCTTAAACTGCCTTTTTACATCTTCCTGAGATCTAACAGCAAAGTCACATATGAAGTTCATGCTGGTGGATGCCTTTTATCACAGTATCATTCATAACCTGGGTGAGGGGTATCCCATAATGGAGTTCATTTATGTCCTCATACAACCAGAACCGTACTGTCTGCATCCACAGCATTTCTGTAGCTTCAGGAGGCACTGACTATGTGATGAGGGAGGGGCAGGACAGTTGCCCATATCTAGATACATATGATAGGCCCCTCCCTTCATCCATTTTAATAAACTAGGGGTTTCCCTGCAAACCTTTCTCACTCAGCAATATTCAAAATGAGAGATACTGTTCTTTGATCTAAAATTCTCAGGAACCATTTTTAAAGAGTTCCTCAGGGTATTGCATGTAATAGTCTAGAAAATGGCTCATTTTCTTCACTGAATAGCCCCTTATGTCCATGGTTTTTTACCCATCGCTGTCAACTTGCCACTCGAATTATTTTAGCTGTGGTTGGTCTCAGCTGACTCATCAAAAAAATGATAGTAGCCCAGTTTCTTTGGGTTAGAGCTCCATCTGTTGATCAAAAAGAAGCTCATCTAAAAGAGATTCTGAGCTTACTTTCAGCCAGCACTGAAGGCACTAACCAAACTATTGAATATTTAGCAGACCTACCAGCGATTCAGAATTCCCTCCCAATCCATTTTGCTAGCTCGTGAAGTTCAGGGTCTATCATTTCCACATTCCATGATTTCAAAGCATGTGCCATATCAAACCAAGGATGAATTTTTTTAAAAATGAGTCAGTTCTGCTGGGACAGATGGATATCCATATGCAAAAGAATGAAGTTGTGCCCGGGCACAGTGGCTCACACCTGTAATCCCAGCATTTTGGGAGGCCAAGGTAGGTGGATCACGAGGTCAAGAGATAAGACCATCCTGGCCAACATGGTGATACCTCATCTCTACTAAAAATACAAAAATTAGCTGGATGTGGTGGTGGGCGCCTGTAATCCCAGCTACTTGGGAGGCTGAGACAGGAGAATTGCTTGAACCTGGGAGGTGGAGGTTGCAGTGAGCGGAGATCACGCTACTGCACTCCAGCCTGGTGACAGAGCGAGACTCTATCTCAAAAAAAAAAAAAAAAAAAAGGAATGAAGTTGTACCCCTACTTCACACCTTATCTAAAAATTAACTTAATTAGCCAGGTGTGGTGGCATATGCCTGTAATCCCGAATACTCGGGAGGCAGTCTCCCTTTGTTCCCAGGCTGCACTGTGGTGATAGGAGAATCACTTGAACCTAGGAGGCGGAGATTGCAGTGAGCCAAGATTACACCACTGCATTCCAGCCTGGGCAACAGAGCAAGACTCTATCTCACAAATTAAATAAATACATAAATAAAATGGATCAGTGACCTAAACTTAAGAGCTCAAATTATAAAACTATTAGGAAAAAACATAAGGGTGAATCTTCATGACCTTAGATTTGCCAAAGGATTCTTAAAGATGATACCGAAAGCACAGGCAACAAAAGAAAAAGTAGATAAATTAGAATTTATCAATGTTTAAAACTTCTCTACATCAAAGGGTACTTTTCTCACACTGAGAAACAGCCTTAGGAAAAAAAAAAAAAAAGGCCGGGTACGGTGACCCACGCCTATAATCCCAGTACTTTGGGAGGCTGAGGCCGGTGGATCACCTGAAGTCAGGAGTTCAAGACCAGCCTGGCCAACATAGTGAAACCCCGTCTCTATTAAAAATACAAAAAATTAGCCAGGCATGGTGGCGGGTGCCTGTAATCCCAGCTACTGGGGAGGCTGAGGCAGGAGAATTGCTTGAACCTGGTAGGTGGAGGTTGTCATGAACCGAGATCGCACCACTGCATTCCAGCCTGGGCAACAGAGCAAGACTCTGTCTCAAAAAAAAAATAATTAAACTTAATTTAAGAATAAATTAAAAGGCTAAGTGCAGTGGCTCATGCCTGTAATCCCAACACTTTGAGAGGCCAAGGTGGATGGATCTTTTGAGCCCAGGAATTTGAGACCAGCCTGGGCAACATGGCAAAACCCCATCTCTATGAAAAATACAAAAATAAGTTAGCTGGGTGTGGTGGCATGTTCCTGTAATTTCAGCTACTCACGAGGCTGAGGTGGGAGGATCACCAGAGCCTGGGTGGCAGAGGCTTCAGTGAGCCAAGATCACAGCACTGCACTTCAGCTTGGGTAACAGAGTGAGACCCTGTCTCAAAACAATAATGATCTTAAAAAATAATAAAAAACAAAGGGAATGGGTGTGGTGGCTCATACCTGTAATCCTTGCATTTTGGGAGGCCAAGGCAAGGAAGATCAGTTGAACTCAGGAGTTCAAGAGCAGCCTGGGCAACATAGTGAGACCTCCTCTCTTTTTATTAAAAAAAAAGAATTTAAAATAAAAAACTTTAAAAAATTGTTTAAAAGGACACTATCAAGAAAGTGAAAAAACGGAATGAGAGAAAATATTTGCAAATCATATATCTGATAAGGTTCTAGTATCTAGAATATTTAAAGAACTTTTTTTTTTTTTGAGATGGAGTTTCACTCTTCTCTCACCCAGGCTGGAGTGCAATGGCCCAATCTCTGCTCACCGCAACCTCCACCTCCCAGGTTCAAGCAATTCTCTTGCCTCAGCCTCCCAAGTAGCTGGGAATACAGGCATGCACCACCACGCCCGGCTAATTTTTGTATATTTAGTAGAGATGGGGTTTCTCCATGTTGGTCAGGCTGGTCTCTAACTCCCGAACTCAGGTGATCCACCCGCCTCAGCCTCCCAAAGTGCTGGAATTACAGGCGTGAGCCACCACGCCGGGCCTATTTAAAGAACTCTTACAGTTCAACAACAGGCCAGGGACAGTGGCTCATGCCTGTAGGCCCAGCTACTTGAGAGGCGGAGCTACTTGCGCTACCACGCCTGGCTAATTTTTGTATTTTTTGTGAAGACTGGGTTTCACCATGTTGCCAAGGCTGGTTTCGAACTGCTGGACTCAAGCAATCCACCCACCAAAGTGCTGGGACTACAGGCGTGAGCCACTGCGCCCGGCTATATGACTCCATTTATATGAAATATGCGGAATAGGTAAACCCGTAGAGACAAAAAGCAGATTAGAGGATATCAGGGAATAGGGTGAGAGGAGAATGGGAATTAACTGCTTAATGGGTAAGGGATTTTCTTTTCTGGTGATGAAAATGTTTGGGAACTAGAGAGAGGTGGTGGTTGCAAAACATTGTGAATGTACTAAATGTCACTGGGTTGTTCATTTTGTTGGTTAATTTATATGATGTGAATTTTATCTCAGTAAAAAATCAAGAATGAATTAGGTGTCTTCTAAACATTCCTTACTTTTCCTTCTTTTTTTTTTTTTTTTTTTGAGATGGAGTCTCGCTCTGTCGCCCAGGCTGGAGTGTGGTGGCGTGATCTCGGCTCACTGCAACCTCCGCCTCCCAGGTTCAAGCGATTCTCCTGCCTCCTGCCTCAGCCTCCCAAGTAGCTGGTATTACAGGCGCCTGCCACCATGCCTGGCTAATTTTTTTTTTTTTTTTTTTTTTGAGGTGGAGTCTCGCTCTGTCGCCGAGGCTGGAGTGCAGTGGCGCGATCTTGGCTTACTGCAAGCTCCACCTCCCGGGTTCACGCCATTCTCCTGCCTCAGCCTCCCAAGTAGCTGGGACTACAGGCGCCTGCCACACGCCCAGCTAATTTTTTTGTATTTTTAGTAGAGATGGGGTTTCACCATGTTAGCCAGGATGGTCTCGATCTCCTGACCTCGTGATCCGCCCACCTCGGCCTCCCAAAGTGCTGGGATTACAGGCATGAGCCACCACACCCAGCCAATTTTTGTATTTTTAGCAGAGACGGGGTTTCACCATGTTGGTCAGGCTGGTTTCAAACTCCTGACCTCGTGATCCGCCTGCCTCGGCCTCCCAAAGTGTTGGGATTACAGGCGTGAGCCACCAGGCCTGGGCAACACTCCTACTTCTAAGTGGCAGTTAAATAGAGTTCAATTGTTAAAGAAGACCTAGAGATAGTGCTTGCAAATACACAGTCATTACAGGAAAAAGGTTTCATATAGCAACTGCATTAAAGTTAAAGATATGTATCACAGCCTGTGGCTGTCTCACAGCAAGGAGTCTGGAGAAGCCAGGTGCAGACTCCTCTGTTTTTCTCCCTACGTAAGGGCTTGGTGGTTCTCTCACAGACCAGGAACCAGTGATGAATGCCCAGAACACCTCAGAACCCAAGAGCCTAAAATGGAATCTCACTTAGGATTTTTTATTTTGGTCACATAGGCATATCCCTGCTACATAATGGTAAAGCCCTCTGACGAGCTCATGGAGACCCAGTACAAAGCATTGATCTGTTACCAGTACTGACAAGCTGATACAAACTGCTCTGAAACTCCCTGCAACACTGTTTATCAGTATGCTTCAGGCCGTGGCCCAAATCAGTGTCATACAGGAACTTTAGCAGAACAGCTCAGGCTAATTTCAGACCTGCTGGAATTAAGCCTCACAGCATAATAGCACACAAACATTTCAGGCCTGCTTCTCTATATTCTACCTTTAGTCTTCCAAAGTTAAACGTTCTGTTTTCCTTAACCATTCCTCATATGTTATATTTCCCCTCATTTTGGTAACCCTCTTCTGTGTGCTGTCTAGTTTGTTAATATCCTTCAAGTACAGTGTTCACTGCTAGCCCCAGCCAGACCAGCAAAGACTACTTAATACTTAAACAAGTGTGATGGACGTACATCTGTGTCTTCCTTCAAGTCATTGATTTTTTTTTTTTTTTAAGATGGAATCTTACTCTGTCGCCCAGGCTGGAGTGCAGTGGTGCGATCTAGGCTCACTGCAACCTCCGCCTCCCGGGTTCAAGCAATTCTCTGCCTCAGCCTCCCAAGTAGCTGGAATTACAGGTGCCCGCCACCATGCCCGGCTAATTTTTGTATTTTTAGTAGAGACAGGTTTTCACCATTTTGGCCAAGCAGGTCTTGAACTCCTCACCTCGTTATCTACCTGCCTCAGCTTCCCAAAGTGCTGGGATTACAGGTGTGAGCCACTGTGCCCAGTCTCAAATCATTGATTTTTAAAATAAGGAAGCTAAGAAAAGATCCATGGGACAATGTTAAGGGATCCCTCCCCCCATCTCTCTCTCTGTCACACACACACACACACACACACACACACACACACACAAGTTTCATGAAATGGTTTGTGAAATGCTTTTTCTCTCTACTCTCCCTTCTCCATTAGCTTTACAGTGTTCATTTGTAATGTGTTCTGATTATGAGATGCAGGGTGAAATGCAAAGAAAGCCCATTTTACATTTTTTAACAGTCAAAATACAAACATTCAGGTAGCACTTAGTGAAGTAAGAGTGTTAAGTCTTTATTGGGAGTATGGGCTATGTTGTGACAAGACAGTCCTAAGAAGTGCCAATCATAAAGTCTAACTCTTGATCTTTACTGGAAGGACATCAAGCATATAGTAAGGATAGGTAGCATTTGAACTGCATATCATGTGTACCTGGAATGCTCTGTAAAGAAATTGACTCATAGGAGGCACATTCCTTACAAAAAGAAGTAAAGCAAGATTAGGCATTTGATCACCTAGGAAGGAGGAGGAACTTTTGTATCCTGTTGAGTCTGCATAACAGTTTGAAAGAGTCATGACTGTCCTGGCACAATGGTGTGCACCTACAGTCCCAGCTACTCAGGAGGCTGAAGCAGAAGGATCGCTTGAGCCCAGGAGTTCAAGACAGTAGTGCACCATGATTGTGCCTGTGAATAGCCACTGCCCTCCAGTGTGGGCAACATAGCAAGACCCCATCTCTTAAAAAAAAAATTTTTTTAAGCCATGACAACAATTATCTATGCCAGGCAATAAGGGTTCAAAGCAAAATTAATAAAAAGACAAATCCCTCTTTTGAGTGAATGAAGCCACTAGGACTGCCATATGTTTTAGGTTTCATGCTAAAAATATAGTGCTGAATAAGTTATTTGTCAACATTTGTGATTGTGTGTGCAAGTGTCCTTTAATTGATTTTTTAATTTTTTTATTTTTTTTGAGATGGAGTCTTGCCGTGGTACCCAGGCTGGAGTGCAGTGGCACGATCTCAGCTCACTGCCACCTCCACCTTCCGGGTACAAGTGATTCTTCTACTTCAGCCTCCTGAGCAGCTGGGATTACAGGTGCCCACCACTATGCCCAGCAAATTTTTTGTATTTTTAGTGGAGACAGCAGGATTTCACCATGTTGGCCAGGCTGGTCTCGAACTCCTGGCCACAAGTGATCTACCTGCCTCAGCCTCCCAAAGTGGGATTACAGGCGTGAGCCACCACACTCAGCCATTTAATTTTTTTTTTTTTAATTTTTTTTTTGAGATAGAGTCTCACTCTTGTCACCCAGGCTGGAGTGCAGTGGCATAATCTCGGCTCACTGCAACCACTATCTCCCAGGTTCAAGCAATTCTCCTGCCTCAGCCTCCCGAGTAACTAGGACCACAGGCGCGTACCACCACGCCCAGCTAATTTTTTTGTATTTTTAGTAGAGACCGTGTTTCACTGTGTTAGCCAGGATGATCTTGATCTCTCCACCTCGTGAACCACCGCCTCGGCCGCCTGAAGTGCTGGGATCACAGGCATGAGCCACCACACCCGGCCCCTTTAATTGATTTTAATTGTTCATTATCCAGCAGATATTTACTGAACACCAACTGTGTGCCAGGCACTGCTCTGGGTTCTGAGGATACATTAGTGAGCACAATAGACTATCCATGCTCACTCTTCACAGTTACATTCTGGTGGAGGAGAGACAGTAAGCAAACAAGACATGAAGTCATCTGGAATTAAATGCTATGAAGAAAAGTGAAGCAGTGAAGGGGGATGAAATGTGATGGAAGGTGCTAATTTAGATGGGATAGTCGGGAAGGGCCTCTATGAGGAGGAAACATTTGAGGAAAGATTTGAATGAAGAAAGGGAGCAAACCATGTAAATATTCCCACCATTGCACCACTTGCTTTTACTCTTTTGGGCATTTTGGCAATGCCGTTCAACCTCATACTATGAAATGTTTTCATGTTTTCTTTTTTTTTTAGACAGAGTCTCGCACTGTGGCCCAGGCTGTAGTGCAGTGGCACGATCTCGGCTCACTGCAACCTCTGCCTCCCAGTTCACGTGATTCTCCTGTCCCAGCCTCCTGAGTAGCTGGGATTACAGGTGCACACCACCATACCCAGCTGATTTTTTGTATTTTTAGTAGAGATGGGGTTTCCCTATGTTGGATAGACTGGACTCAAACTCTTGACCTCATGATCTGTCCACCTCAGCCTCCCAAAGTGCTGAGATTACAGGCTTGAGCCAACGCACCCAGCCTGTTTGTTTGTTTGTTTGTTTGTTTGTTTTTAGAGAGATAGTGTCTCACTATGTTGCCCAGGCTGGTCTCGAGCTCCTGAGCTCAAGCGATCCTCTCATCTCAGCGTCCTGAAGTGCTGGGTTACAGGTGTGAGCCACCCTGGGAGGCTGAAAACATTAAAAATTATGAAAAATTTAAAAATTAGCTGGGCATGGTGGCATGCATCTGTAGTCCCAGCTACTTAGGAGGCTAAGGCGGGAGGATCACTTGAGCCCAGGAGTTTGAGGCTGCAGTGAGTTCTGATCACTCCACTGCACTCCAGCCTGTGGGATGGAGTGAGACTCTGTCTCAAAAAAAAAAAAAAAATGCACACACATATAGTGTGGTTATCACAGAGAATTAATAAAATTACTTATACTGTAGGTCAGTGATTCTCAGTGGGAGAGCAGTGTTGTCCCCTAGGGAGCATTTTGGTAGTGTCCTGTTGTCACAATTGGGAATGCTTCTGGCATCCTACATTGAACAGGACAGCTCTCCCACGAGGAATTATCTGGCCCCAAATGTCAGTAGTACTGAGGCTGGGAAACGTTGCTATAGACTAGGCCATTCAATCCATAATTTCATACATGGGGCTATTGAGGTATTTTGTTACATAAATAACAAATGTATATCTTAGTATGTTTGTCCTGCTATTACAAAGTACCTGAGATTGGATAATTTATAAGCAATAGAAATGTATTTCCTCATAGTTCTGGAGGCTGGGAAGTCCAAGGTCAAGGTGCCAGCAGATTCAGTGTCTGGTGAAGGGAAATTCCTGATAGGGGGCACCCTCTAGGTATCCTCATATGGCAGAAGAGACAGAAAATCAAGAGGGGCCAAACTCACTCCACCAAGCCCCATTATGGTCACTTATCCCATCTATGAGGGCAGAGCCCTCGTGATTTAATCACTACCCAAAAGGCCTCACTTCTTACTGTCACCCCAATGGGGATTAAATTGCAACGTGAATTTTGGAGGGGACACATTCAAGTCAAAGCAAAATGTTTTCCTTTCAGAAATCCGTATTATTGGCCCGGCACGGTGGCTCACGCCTGTATTCCCATCACTTTGGGAGGCCAAGGTAGGCGGATCACGAGGTCAGGAGATCGAGACCATCCTGGCTAACACAGTGAAACCCCGACTCTACTAAAAATACAAAAAATTAGCCGGGTGTGGTGGCGGGCGCCTGTAGTCCCAGCTACTCGAGAGGCTGAGGCAGGAGAATGGCGTGAACCCAGGAGGCAGAGCTTGCAGTGAGCCGAGATCGCGCCACTGCACTCCAGCCTGGGCAACAGAGCGAGACTCCGTCTCAAAAAAAAAACAAAAAAAACTGTATTATTACCCCCAGTAGGTCACAACTTCAGGCTGACGAAATTGTGGGAAAAGGTGCTTTTCATTTGAGCTCCAGTATTTTGAATGTTTGAGTAAGCAACATAGAATGAGATCGTGTTCTTTTCATCCTCCTTTCTCTTTGCAGGCTTTCATAGAAACCATGTTCACCAGTAAAGCCCCTGTGGAAGAAGCCTTTCTTTATGCTAAGGTGAGATTCAGATGGTTAGCTTCACCATCTTGTTGGAGGTGAATATAATAATTTGATTTGCAGAAATGGCAGTGCAGTCTGCTTTTGTGATAGTGATGACCAGCATGTCATTGGAGAGGATTTGGTTCTGAAATATCACTGGTCATTTATAAGTCTAAAATATACTACGTTACAATTAAAGGAAGAAAATTGCAAAGTAGCACAGATGATGATGAAGGGAAGATTTAGCAATGTGAGGTGACAAAAGTAATACTGTTTAGGTCAATGTGAAGAAGAGGCTGAGGGCTGGGCGTGGAGCTCATGCCTGTAATCCCAGCAGTGTGGGAGGCCAAGGCGGGCAGATCACTTCAGGCCAGGAGTTTGAGACCAGCCTGGCCAACGTGGCAAAACCCCATCTCTACTAAAAATACAAAAATTAGCTGAGTGTGGTAACGTATGCCTGTAATCCCAGCTATTCAAGTGGCTGAGACACGAGAATCACTTAAACCTGGGAGGCACAGTTTGCAGTGAGCCAAGATCATGCCACTGCACTGCACTCTAGCCTGGGCAACAGAGCAAGACTGTTTCAAAAAAAAAAAAAGAGGCTGAGGCCAGGCGTGCTGGCACATGCCTGTAATTCCATTACTTTGGAAGGCTGAGATGGGAGGATCACGTGAGCCCAGGAGTTTGAGACCAGCCTGGGCAACATACTGAGACCTCATCACTATAAAAATAAAAAAAAATTAGTTGGGCATGGTAGCACACCTGTAGTCCAGTTACTCTGGAGGTTGAGGTGGGTGGATGGCTTGAGCCTGGAAGGTTCAGGCTATAGTGAACTATGATTGCCCCACTGCACTCCAGCCTGGGTGACAGCAATACCATGTCTCAAAAAATAGAGGTTGAGAAAGTGCTGTAGATAGTAGCAGATACTCACCAACCTCCAGCTCCATCCTGTATCCTGGAACGTAGTGAAATTAGTAGGACTGCAATTTTCCTAGCATCCTTTTTCACTTTTCCAGAGCATTTAGATTTGTAGCTATTTGAAAGATTGGAATTAGTAATTTAGAGCTGTTGTTAAAAATGTAAGTCACATTTCAGTGTTTAGCTAAATAAGAATAAACAAATAGTAACCCTTACATGATAGTATTTCAAGGCTCAGCCTTCATCATAGTTTTCTATCTTCTAGACTTAATTTGAAAATTATAAGAAATTTAGAGAACACTAAAGAAAAAAGAACAGATTTAATAATAGGGTTGAAATAACAGGATTTGTGGGAATAAAAAAGTATACTTACATAGATTATAGTACACGGGGTGAGAATAAAAGAAATGGACTGAAATTACAGCATAAAAGGTTTGGTTAGATATGATGAATAGCTTCCCAGTAATGACTTAAGATAAGTACTGGTATGGAGGTATGGGCTGTTGAAGAGAGCTTGGGCTGGGGCAGCCCTACAGAAACCCTTTGTCATACCTTGCTGTTGTTTTTCACAGTTTGAATTTGAATGCCGGGCTCGTGGCGCAGACATTTTAGCCTATCCACCTGTGGTGGCTGGTGGTAATCGGTCAAACACTTTGCACTATGTGAAAAATAATCAACTCATCAAGGTACGTGAGATGCCCTCAGTGCTACTCCCACTAGGTCCAGATAGCCTAGTAGAAAACCTGCTAACCTCATGTCCTCTCACCTTCAGCTTTCACAAATTAGCTGACATTTTAAAAGTATTTTATTGCTTATAAAATGGTTTTACAGACATTATCTCATTTTGTCCTTAAATTAACTCTGTTAGGAGGAATTATTAACATGCCTCTTTAATAGATGAGGAAAACGAATTTCAAAAAATAAAACAACATAGGCCAGGCATGGTAGCTCAGGCCTGTAATCCTAGCACTTTGAGAGGCCAAGGCGGGTGAATCGCTTGAGGTCAGGGGTTCGAGACCAGCCTGGCCAACATGGTGAAACCATGTCTCTACTAAAAATACAAAAATTAGCCAGGCGTGGTGGCACGTGCTTGTAATCCCAGCTACTCTGGAGGCTGAGGCAGGAGAATTGCTTGAGCCCGGGAGGCATAAGTTGTAGTGAGCCGAGATCACACAACCGCACTCCAGTGCTCCAGCCTGGGCTATGGAGCAAGACTCTGTCTCTAAATAAATAAATAAATAAATAAATATTTAAATATTTAAATATTTAAAAACCTAAAACAACATATTAGTGCAGAGCCAAGTATTCTACTCTAAAGCCTCTGCTCATTTCATTATAACTCTACTTCTCTGAGGACTTGCGGCAACAACAGTGAGCCAAGCAGATTTCCTGGGCAGAAAGATTTTAAGAAATTGCTGTTAGCTGTGAGGGAACATATCTTCTATGATTTTCTTCCCATGTGACTATACAAGGAAGGAATTGTGTATTCCTTTATTAAGTCCATTTCTTTACTGATTTAGTATTCAGTAAATCCAAAAGAAAAAAATATAGCAAACATGTAAATTATACAGCATAATTAAAAAAAAAAACAAAAATAAAAACGAATACCCATGAACCAAGCAGTCGATTTTAGAGCTAGAACAGTAGCAATACAACACACCTACCCTTATGCTGTCCCATCCCACTTCCTCCCTCCCAAAGGTAACTGGTAACCTGAATTTTGTCTTTCCCTTGACTTTTAAGAAATAGTTGTATTACATATATGTGACTCCCCAAACAGTATTAATTAGCTACTGCTTGTTTATAAACTCTATACAAATTGTATGCTCTGTATGTAGTTTGGAGGGATTTTTTTTAACTCCTAAATATCATAGGCTGGGTGAGGTGGCTCAAATCTGTAATCCCAGCACTTGGGGAGGTCAAGGTGGGCAGATCCCTTGAATGCAGGAGTTCAAGACTGGCCTGGGCAACATAGCAAAACCCTATCTCTACAAAAAAATACAAAAATGAACCAGGCGTGATGGTACATGCCTCTAGTCCATTACTTGGGAGGCTAAGGTGGGAAGGATCATCTGAGCCTGGGGAGTTCAAGGTTGCAGTGAGCTGTGATCACACCACTGCATTGCAGCCTGGGCAACAGAGCAAGACCCTGTCTTTAAAAAAAATAAAATATAGGCCAGGCACAGTGGCTCACACCTGTAATCCCAGCACTTTGGGAGGCCGAGGTGGGTGAATCATGAGGTCAGGAGTTCGAGACCATCCTGGTCAACATGGTGAAACCCCGTCTCTACTAAAAATACAAAAAAAAATTAGCTGGGTGTGGTGGCGTGTGCCTGTAATCCCAGCTACTCAGGAGGCTGAGGCAGGAAAATCACTTGAACCAGGGAGTCGGAGGTTGCAATGAGCCGAGATCGCGCCACTGTACTCCAGCCTGGTGACAGAGCGAGACTCCGTCTCAAAAAATAAATAACAAATAAAAATATATATGATAATATAAACCTTTCCTGACTATTTGTATCTGTTTATACTTCACTAGCAGTGTGCAATTCTGTCAGCCACATCCTCTCCATCCCCTGGTATTATCAGACCTCTTAATTTCTGCATTCTACTTGGTACAACATAGCATCTCTTTGTGCTCTTAATTTTTATTACCTTAATTACCAATGAAATTGAGCATCATTTCTTATCTTTAGCACTATTCATTTCAACTTAATAATACTTAGTTTAGGATATTCAGATCTGTGTTCACGAGTGAGTTTGGTCTATATAATTTCTTTCTTATGCTGTCTTTTTCTGGTTTTCATATCAAGGTCAAACTAAGCTCAGAAAAATTAATAGTCTCATTCTTAGTATTATGGAATGACTTGAATTAATGTTTCTTGAAAATTTGGTAAACACGTGTAGAACTCTTTGGGCCTGATATTTTCCTTCGTGCACTTTTAAACTCCTCATTCAGTATCTCTCCTATATTGAGGCATTTTCTTTCTTCTTGCTTTTTTTTTTTTTTCAGATGGAGTTTCACTCTTGTCACCCAAACTGGAGTGCAGTAGTACAGTCTCGGCTCACTGCAACCTCCCTCTACCTCCCAGGTTCAAGCGATTCTCCTTCCTCAGCCTCCTGAGTAGGTGGGATTACAGGCGCCCACCATGCCTGGCTATTTTTGTATTTTTAGTAGAAACGAGGTTTCACCATGTTGGCCAGGCTGGTCTCAAACTCCTGGCCTCAAGTGATCTGCCCGCCTTGGCCTCCCAAAGCGCTGGGATTACAGGCATGAGCCACCATGCCCGTCCTATTGTAATTCCTATAGTATAGAGCAGCAGTTAGTGTGGTTCATGAAGTTAAATATATTGTCATAAGAACACAGACATTCTCTTACTAGTGTACACTGGAGTATCCCAGAAGTTTTATGATGATAACACAAAAGACTGAATGCACAGGCAGTGTGAGATTCCAGCTGTCTTCTGTGACACTAGACAAAAGAATTTAGAAAATGCAAACAGTGCCAATTTTCTATTTATATTTAGAAAAATAGTTTTTTTCATAAAAATGTTATTTATGTTAACATGTAATGGGTTTATTTTTAAATGAATTTAATAAATATTATAAAATTTTCTCAGTTTTAATTTCTTAGTGTGATAAATATTCATAGATAGACATTTATGATTTTTCCAGATTCTCACTTTGATCATTCTTGTGCATTTTTCCTGGTATACAAGTTGCCAAGTTTGTCTAAGGGACACCTAATAATGGAATTGCTGGGTCATAGGATATACATATCTGCAACTGTGATAGTACCAAAGATTTCCAAAGAGATTATGTCAATTTATACTTCTACTCTTCCTAAGACAGTTTCATAAGTTATATGTTTCTACCATTTTGTCCATTTTGTCTAAATTACTCACAGTATTGTCTTACATTTTAAGCTACTTTTTATTTATAGTTATGTACCCTTTTATATTCTTGATATATTTTTGCCTTTTCTCCTTACTGTAGTAAATCTCATTAGATGGTTTCTTTAAAAAGTAAACATACAGGGCCAGGCATCCCAGTGTCTCATGCCTGTAATCCCAGCACTTTGGGAGGCTGAGGCAGGTGGATCACTTGAAGCCAGGGAGTTCAAGACCATCCTGGCCAACATGGTGAAACCCCATCTCTACTAAAAATACAAAAATTAGCTGGGCGTTGTAGCGTGCGCCTGTAGTCCCAGCTACTCAGGAGGCTGAGGCGGGAGAATCGCTGGAACCCAGGAGGCAGAGATTGCAGTGAGCCAAGGTTGCGCCACTGCACTCCAGCTCTGGGCAATAGAGCAAGACTCCATCTCAAAAAAAAAGTCAACATGTCATAAAATACATTTTATCCAGGATTTAGTTGTTTACTAACAGAAATTTATTCCATCTTTTGCCAAAAATGAAAAATCACATCCATCATTTTAAGTTGCCATTACTGTATGTTATCATTTACCCATTATTCTACTGTTTGTCAAATTTTGTACTTACTTAGATATGAATAACATATACTCTGTCTTCAAGGGCATAGAGAGATAATTTCAGCATAACATGACAATTAGAAAGTTAGAGATATACTTAAAGTTTTCTTCTTTCCCCACATGTATTATGATGGAGAGCAAAAGGGGAAGTGGGGCCTGGCGCGGTGGCTCATGCCTGTAATTCCAGCACTTTGGGAGGCCGAGGCAGGCGGATTATGAGATCAAGAGATCGAGACCATCCTGGCCAACATAGTTAGCCAGGTGTGGTGGCGGGCACCTGTAATCCCAGCTACTTGAGAGGCTGAGGCAGGAGAATCACTTGAACCTAGGAGGTGGAGGTTGCAGTGAGCTGAGATCACACCACTGCACTCCAGCCTGGGCAACAGAGCAAGACTCTGTCTCAAAAAAAAAAAAAAAAAGAGGGAAGTGATATTCCAAGGTTAAGTGTTTAAGGGTGGCTGTGTTTGAATAAGGCCCGGCATACCACTGGCATGCCAACGTATATAGGATTGTTTTTTTCTCTTGTTTCATAAAGCAAAGGCATATGGGTTTTTTTTTCTTAAAAAAAAATGATAATAGTGATATTTATGATGTGCTAATGTTTACACCTAGTAATTCAGTCCCAAGGAGTCTGGTTCCAAAGCCTATACACTGAAACACCACGCATTGCCAACTTTCTTGTGGCAGGGTGAATTCATCTGAAAAGATTTGTTTTGTTTTCACATGCCCCCTGTTTCAAACATCTGAAAAGTTTAGATGCTGTGTAGATAAATAGAAGAAACCAGCAATTAGTGTCCTTTAAATTAGAGCTTTAAAAAAATAAAAAGGACCAAGTGCAGTGGCTCACGCCTGTAATCCCCGCACTTTGGGAGGCCGAGGCAGGCAGATCACCTGAGGTTGGGAGTTTGAGACATCCTGACCAACATGGAGAAACCCCGTCCCTACTAAAAATACAAAATTAGCCAGGTGTGGTGGCAATCACCTGTAATCCCAGCTACTCGGAGGCTGAGGCAGGAGAATCGCTTGAACGCGGGAAGCGGAGGTTGTGGTGAGCTGAGATCACACCATTGCACTCCAACCTGGGCAACAAGAGTGAAACTCCGTCTCAGAAAAAAAAAAAAAAAAGAAAGGCATACTTTGGATTACTAGAAACAACTTATAATCATGAGCTTATCCACTTTAACCTGTCTTACTTTGTTCCAGGATGGGGAAATGGTGCTTCTGGATGGAGGTTGTGAGTCTTCCTGCTATGTGAGTGACATCACACGTACGTGGCCAGTCAATGGCAGGTAGGGCTTCTACAGAGTAACGTATCCCACTGCTTCTTAGGAGTATGAGTTGGAATATGGCTATATTTGGAATGAATGACTAAAGAAATACTATAGGTCCATTCCTGGTCAAGTTAGGTTGCAAAGCTCCTTATTATTTTCTAAGACTGTTTTGTTCATCATATCACTGGATGAGGCACATAGAAACACCTAGGTAACTAACAAAGATTTTTTTTTTTTTTTTTTTTTTTTTTTTTTTGGTAAGAGACGGGGTCTCGCTGTGTCATCCAGGCTGGGGTGCAGTGGCTATTCACAGGCCAAATCATAGCTCACTGCAGCCTCGAACTCTGTCCTGAAGTGATCCTCTCTTCTCAGACCTCTTAAGTAGCTGGGACTATAGGCACATTGCCACCATGCCTGACTCACAGACATTTTTTAAAAAATAAAGTTGATTTTTTAAAATACAGAAGTAATATTCAGGTTATGGTAGAAAGCTTGATTGGATTAATCCTCCATAGATAATAATTATAAAATCTGGACAAAATATTAAAAATAACTATTTAAAGGCACTAGAGATCCCTTTGTAGCTCATGAGTGTGATGATTGGGTGTTCACGTGCAGGTATGAGATGTGCTACCCTCAAACCTTCTTACAAGGTCAGCACATTACCCATCTGACATGAAAAAAATCAAAATAAAAGGCACCAGAGAGCTTTCAAAAATAGGCAGAAATTGTACAAGTCCATTCTTTTTTTTTTTTTTTTTTTGAGACGGAGTCTCGCTCTGGCACCCAGGCTGGAGTGCAGTGGCATGATCTCGGCTCACTGCTAGCTCCACCTCCCAGGTTCACATCATTCTCCTGCTTCAGCCTCCCGAGTAGCGGGACTACAGGCACCCACCACCACGCCTGGCTAATTTTTTGTATTTTTCGTAGAGATGGGATTTCACCGTGTTAGCCAAGTACAAGTCCATTCTTAAAAAACTATAATGGGCCAGGCCTGGTGGCTCATACCTGTAATCCCAGGACTTTGGGAGCCCAAGGCAGGCAGAGCACCTGAGGTCAGGAGTTCAGGACCAGCCTGACCAAAATGGTGAAACCCTGTCTCTACTAAAAATACAAAAATTAGCCTGGGAATGGTACTCGGGAGGCTAAGGCAGGAGAATCGCTTGAACCCAGGGGACGGAAGTTGCAGTGAGCTAAGATTGGACTCTGCACTCCAGCCTGGGTGACAGAGTGAGACTCTATCTGAAAAAAAAAAAAAAGAAAAACTATAATGGATAAAAATGGTGATAAGGGCTTTTTGCCTGAGGACATTGCCCAATGCACATAGCTTGGGCGGCAGAAAGCCACAGCCTTATTGATTTAAGATATCAAATGATAGATTTAGGTGCTGACAGAATAGCCAGAAAGATGAAGGAAAATCCTTGACGAGAAGGGCTTGTGGAAACTCTGAGCCCCAAAATCTGCATACAGAATATTTAAAAATCCTTGGCTGATTACTGAACTATGTGTTCTGAGGAGGCCTCATGAGGCTCAGCAAAATACGAGCAGCTAGAAGCAGAATAAACTGAGCAGAGATTTTAGTTGCTTCCCAGTGAGAACAGAGTTTGTAGTTTGAAGCTATCCAAGTTAACAAAATTTCTAGACATGAGAAGAAACTGGTAATTGTGACCTGTAATCAAGAAAATCTGATAATGAAATAATCCTGGCCAGGTGCAGTGGCTCATGCCTGTAATTCTAGCACTTTGGGGGGCCGAGGTGGGCAGATTACTTGAAGTCAGGAGTTCAAGACCAGCCTGGCCAAAATGTGAAACCCTGTCTCTACTAAAAATACAAAAATTAGCTGAGTGTGGTGGCGGGCACCTGTAATCCCAGCTACTCGGGAGGCTGAGGCAGGAATATCGCTTGAACCGGGAAAGGGGAGGTTGCAGTGAGCCGAGATTGTACCACTGCACTCCAGCTTGGGCGACAGAGTGAGACTCCATCTCAAACAAAGGAAAAAAAAAAAGAAAGAAATGATCCTAATGTTCCAATTAGCAGAAAGACTCTAAAGTAGCTGTTATAGATAAGTTAAAGGAAGATGTAGACATAATGAGCAAACAGATGGAGAATCTCAATGAGAAATAGAAACAAAAAAGAACCAGAGATTGTGGGAAGATGGCAGCAGCAGGATAGTTTTTCAAACTTTCCAAATTGTCAAATAAACATAGAGCAACTAGCTAACAAAACCAAACACTAGGTAGTATTTGTTACCTCAAAATAATTACCTCCTAATTCACAAACATTCAGTCTGTAACTGCCCAAAATCTAGACTGATAAACTCTGTATGTCAAGCAGCCTGGATTCTTTAACAAATAAATTACAAGGAAATGAAAAGAGGTGGAGGAGGAGCCTACTAACTAAAAGAGATTTTAGTTATATCAAATATATTACAAATGAACACAAAGAAAATTATCTTGGGGTGAATATTTGGGTGATAAAAATATCTTTAAAACACAAAGGACAGCCAGGCGAGGTGCCTCATGTAATCCCAGCACACTGGGAGGAAAGACAGGAGGATCACTTGAGCTCAGGAGTTCAAGACCAACATGGGCAGCATAGTGAAACCTGGTCTTTACAAAAAAATTAGCCAGGCGTGGTGGCACATGCCTGTAGTCCCAGCTACTCAAGAGGCTGAGGTGGGAGAATTGCTTGAGCCCAGGAGACAGAGGTTGCAGTGAGCCAAGATTGCACCATTGCAATCCAGCCTGGGTGACAGAGCCAGACCCTGTCGCAAAAAAAAAGAAAAAGAAAAAAACCCCACAATGACCAAGCATAGTGGCATGCACCTATAGTCTCAGCTACTCAGGAGGCTGAGGCAGGAGGATCACTTGAGTCCAAGAGTTCTAAGCTGCAGTCCACTATGTTGATCAGGTGTCTGCAACCAGTTAGAGGTTTTTGCACATTACCTAAGGAGGGCTGAACTGGCCCAGGTCAGAAACAGAGCAGGTCACAACTCTCATACTGATCAGTAATGGGAACAAGCTTGTGAATAGCCAGTACACACCAGCCTGGGCAACAGAGCAAGACCCCATCTGTAAAAAAAGGAAACAATTTAATTAAAATTTTTAAAAAACACAAGGAATAGGGAGTGACTGCTAACAGATACAAGATTTGGGAGGAGATGGTAATGAAAATTTTCTAGAATTAGTAGTGGTGATGATTGTACAACATTGTGAATATACTTAAAACCACTGAATTGTACACTTTTTTAAGTGAAGGAATTTTATGATAAGTGAATTATATATCAATAAAAATGATAAATTCGGTCAGGCATTATGGTTCATCCTGTAATCCCAGCACTTTGGGAGGCCAAGGCGAGCAGATGACTTGAGCCCAGGAGTTCCAGACCAGCCTGGGCAACATGGCAAAACCCAATCTCTACAAAAAAACATTAAAAGTGCTTCCTTCAGCAGCACATATACTAAAATTGGAACAATACAGAAATTAGCATGGCCCCTGTGCAAGGATGACATGCAAATTTGTGAAGCATTCCATATATAATCATGAAAGAAAAAAATAGCTGGATATGGTGTCACAGGCCTGTAGTCCCAGCTACTAGAGAGACTAAAGTGGGAGGATCACCTGAGCCCAGGAAGTTGAGGCTGCAGTGAGCTGTGACTGCACTACTACACTCCAGCCTAGGCAGCAGAGTGAGACTCTGTCTAAAAAAAAAAAAAAAAAAAATCTGTAAATAACAGTACACACAAATAAAAAAAATCACAATTAACTGACTATAAACTGATATGGCTAGCATGGTGGCTCACACTGGTAATCCCAGTGTTTTGGGAGGCTGACGCAGGAGGATCAGTTGAGGCCAGGAGTTCAAAACCAGTCTGGGCAACACAGCAAGACCTCTATATCTACAAAAAATACAAAAAATTGGCCAACTATGGTGGCGCACACCTGTAATCCCAGCTACTTAGGATGCTGAGGTGGCAAAATCACTTGACCCCTGAAATTTTTGGTTACGGTGAACTATGATCACATCACTGTGCTCTAGCCTAGGTAACAGAGCAAGGCCCTGTCTCCAAAATAAAAAAGTTAGGCCAGGTGCAGTGGCTCACGCCTGTAATCCCAGCACTTTGGGAGGCCAAGGCAGGTGGATCACCTGAGGTCAGGAGTTTGAGACCAGCCTAGCCAACATGGTGAAACCCTGTCTCTACTAAAAACACACACACACACACAGAAATCAGCTGGGCATGGTGGTGGGTGCCTGCAGTCCCAGCTACTCAGGTGGCTGAGGTAGGAGAATCACTTGAACCCGGGAGGTGGAGGTCGCAGTGAGCCGAGATCACACCACTGTACTCCAGCCTGGGCAACAGAACGAGACTCCATCTCAAAAAAAAAAGTTAGGACGAGGGATATTTGTTGGTAAGATTGTCATTATTCTGGGACCTATAGAAGGGTATTCTGGGATAGTCTGCCAAGTTTTGGTGGGTTTTTTTTTTGTTGTTGTTGTTGTTTTATCTGACTGGTATTCACCTTATAATAATTTTTTTTTCTTTTTTTTTTTTTGAGACACAGTCTTGCTCTGTCGCCCAGGCTGGAGTGCAGTGGCGCAATCTTGGCTCACTGCAACCTCCGGCTCCCAGGTTCAAGCAGTTCTCCTGCCTCAGCCTCCCAAGTAGCTGGGACTACAGGCAGATGCCACCCCGCCTGGCTAATTTTTGTATTTTTAATACAGCCACTGAATAATTTCTTAAGGTTTATGTTTGATTGATTTGTTTGGCTTTTTATATCTGTGTTTTGTTTTACAATTAAAAATTTTTTAAATTTTTAAATGACAATTTTAAAGCTGAAAAGTACATTAACTGAAACAGGAAATTCACCAGGTAGACTTAACTGTAGATTGGAGACAGCAGAAGTTTGCAAACTTGAAGATAAATAGAAATTATCCAGCTGGAAGAATAGAAGTACATTGTAAAAAGGCCAGGTGCAGTGGCTCACACCTGTAATCCCAGCACTTTGGGAGGCCAAGGCGAGTGGATCACTTGAGGTCATGAGTTCGAGACCAGTCTAACCAACATGGTGAAACCCCGTCCATACTAAAATAACAAAAATTAGCTGGGTGTGGTGGCAGGTGCCTGTAATCTCAGCTACTTGGTTGGCTGAGGCAGAGAGCGATCCTCACATCTCAACCTCCCAAGTAGCTGGGATTATAGGCACGTGCCACCATGCCTGGCTAATATTTTGTTTTTTTGTAGAGACACGGTTTCGCTATGTTGCCCAGGCTGGTCTGCAACTCCTGGGCTCAAACGATTCTCTTGCCTTGGCCTGCCAAAACACTGGAATTACAGGCATGAGCCACTATGCCCAGCCAAATTCTAGGTATTTAAGAGAAATGAAAACATTTCTCAACAAAAAGGGTTGCACAAGGACATTCATAACAGCATTTATTCACAATAGTATAACAACCAAAATGTCCATCAACAGGAGAATGAATATGCAAATTGTGGTCTGTTCATACAATGGAATACCACTCAGTAATAAAAAAGAACATTTTAATTACTGATCGAATGTTTTTTGTTACTGATTGAAGCACCACCATGGATGTACTGCATAGACAACCTTCTACCCTCACTGAGCATAGATTATGTTCAGTGAAGGAAGCCAGACACAAAAGAGTATATATTATATGATTCCATTTATATGATGTTCTAGATTTGGCAAACTAAGGTCAAAATAATCACAATAGCATTTGCCTCGGAAAGTAGGGATATTGATTAGAAATGGACATGTGGGCCAGGCGTGGTGACTCATGCCTGTAATCCTAGGACTTTGGGAGGCCAAGGTAGGTGGATCACCTGAGGTCAGGAGTTCAAGACCAGCCTGGCCAACATGGCAGAAACCCATCTCTACTCAAAATACAAAAATTAGCTGGGCGTGGTGGTGGGCGCCTATAATCCCAGCTACTTGGGAGGCCGAGGCAGGAGAATCGCTTGAACCCGGTGGGGGCAGAGGTTGCAGTGAGCCGAGATCGCACCACTTCACTCCAGCCTGGGTGAAAGAGCGAAACTCCATCTCAAAAAAAGAAAAAAAGAAATGAACATGAGGAGGCTTTCAGGGGAGATGGAAATGGTCTGTATAAGGCTTGAGTCCAAAATCTATAGGGCAGACTTCAGTCCAAACTCAGGCAGGGTTTATATTATAGTCTTGAGGCAGAATTCCTTCTCCAGTATACCAAAGCAGTTGTGGCATTTGTGTTTATGTATTGTGGGTTACCTTTTGGTTTGTGTTTCAGCCAGCTAGGCAACAAACTGTTAGAACTTTTCTGACCCCTTCAGCGGCAACGTTGAATCCAGAGTCTCTGATTAGTGGACCCATATCAGTAAAGTTGCCTGATGCAACTGTGTTCCTTCTACCATTATCCCACACCATAAATATTCATTCCCACCCACATTCCCAGATTTTTGTCTTTCGGAAATTGGAAACCTCATGCAGTTCTTTTTTTGTTTTGTTTTTTTGAGACGGAGTTTCACTCTTGTTGCCCAGGCTGGAGTGCAATGGCGCAATCTCGGCTCACCACAACCTTCGCCTCCCAGTTTCAAGCGATTCTTCTGCCTCAGCCTCCCGAGTAGCTGGAATTACAGACATGCACCACCATGCCCAGCTGATTTTGTATTTTTAGTAGAGATGGGATTTCTCCATGTTGGTCAGGCTGGTCTCGAACTCCCGACCTCAGGTGATCCACCCGCCTCGGCCTCCCAAAGTGTTGGGATTACAGGCGTGAGCCACCGCGCCCAGCCCCTCATGCAGTTCTTTTTGGTGTGGAGTGGACCTCCTCATGGGTCAAGCTTTCTGCCTAACTTGGAGCCTGCTGGGACTTGAGTGTAGTTACAATTCTAGTAGAACCAAGGCAACTGCCTCAAGGGACATACCTACAAGTTTTCAGGCAAAACAGGGTTAACCTTCTCAGACGGGGGTGGAAGGGCCACTTCTGCTGGCAACGAAGACTCAGCAGAATTTAGGAGTTCATTGTTCCCAGCTTCAATAGGTTTGGTACATGAATTTGTCAAAATTGTACCGTTCAAATGTATGCATTTTAGTGTATATAAAGACACTTTGGGAGGCCAAGGCAGGAGGATCGTTTGAGCTGAAGAGTTCCAGACCAACCTGGGCAACATAGTGAGACCTTGTCTCTAAAAAAAAAAAAAAAAAAAACTATTACAAAAATGATTATTTAGTAATACTGTGGTGGGCTGGGGTATGGGTACATTATGCTGTGGGTTTCTTATGCTATTATAGTTAAGCATTCTTCTATTAGGGGACATTTAGAGTTTGTCTAATAATTTACAATTATAAAATTACAGCGAACATTTTAGTACATTCAGCTTTTTTGAATTTCAAATATTTTCTTTGGATATATTAGAGTAGAATTATAAGCTCTAGTTATATGAGCATCTTTAAGGCCTTTGATGTAATTGGCTGTATTAATTTATACTCCTATCAACAGTATGTGAGAATACATATCATGTATCATCCCAGGTCACTTTTTTATCTCGTAATTGCTAAAGAAACTGTTATTCTAAAGACACTTAAGTGCTAGTACATTACTAGTAGCCCAGATGTTGACTAGTTTATCCCATGGTATCTGCTTCACCTGTCAGAAGTGGGTCCCTAGGCTTTCTTGCCTTTTTTTTTAATGGTAGTCTATGCTGTAAGGGATTAAACAGGATCATGGCTGAGCCTCATCTGCCCACTGACTGCACTCATGGCTCAGTGCTTCTTTTGGCCCTACTTCATGTCTCTCCTGACCATTTGAAGAAGAGACTGTGTTGCTGCTCCAGCTTGAAGGATTGTTGCCCTTCCTACTGAGCACCTAGGACATGATTGAGCTCCTGGCCATATTGATAGATTGGTACTTATTAAACATCAACAGTGCCCCAGCAACAGCAGCATCTTGGGGTTTTTCTAATCAAACTTAGTAGCAAACTTCTTAGAATATCAGATTATCTAAGTTCAGGTTCTTTGGTTTTCCCGTCCCCAGGTTCACCGCACCTCAGGCAGAACTCTATGAAGCCGTTCTAGAGATCCAAAGAGATTGTTTGGCCCTCTGCTTCCCTGGGACAAGCTTGGAGAACATCTACAGCATGATGCTGACCCTGATAGGACAGAAGCTTAAAGACTTGGGGATCATGAAGAACATTAAGGAAAATAATGCCTTCAAGGTACTTCACTTCTCTTGACCCCAGTTCTCAAGAACACCTAGCATGCTGCTAGGTTTTTACCCTATATAAAGCTAATTAGACTTAGAAATGGGACAGATGTAGTGATTCATGCCTGTAATCCCAGTAGTTTAGGAGGCTGAGGCAGGAGGATTGCTTGAAGCCAGCCTGGGCAACATAGCAAGACCCATCTATATACATGTAGATATATACACACACACACACACACACACACATATATATATACACACACATACGTAGATATATATACATACACACACAGGGTTTTTTAAGTAAAAAGAAAAGATTTAGAAATCATCTTTGTGATCTATAAAAGGGATTTAGCTTTAACATGGATTAAAACAAAGGAAGTCAGTACTTATTTCTTCCAGAAGATGGCAGCACATGCTGATTCATTACATGCTGCATAACTAGCTCAGTATTCAGAAAACTTAAAATGAAGTCTGGTGCCGACAGGGTGAAAAAGGAAACAAGAAATGAGGAGAAGCCTGGGAAACATAGCAAGACCCTATCTCTACAAAAAATTTAAAAGTTAGCCAGGTGTGGTGGCACACACCTCTAGTCTCAGCTACTTGGGAGGTTGAGGTGGGAGGATCACTTGACCCCAGAAGTTCAACGCTGCAGTGAGCTATGTTCGCACCACTGCACTCCAACCCGGGCCACAGAACAAGGCCCTGTGTCTAAAAAAAAAAAAAAGAGAGAGAGATTAACTTTTAATCCTTTTATGGGTTATTCTGTAGGTCAAAGGAGAAGGTATTTGTTGTTTAAGTGACATTTTTGACACTTCAGCAATATTCCCAAAGACCATGTCATTAGTGAATTTTTTTTCTGCATCCAAAATGTGATGGTGTTCAGTAAAAACGTAAAACCTCAGCTTTAAAATTAAGATACTAGATGCCTAAGTCAGATAGACCATTAGGCATCTCCTACCTACAAGTTAAGCCTTCTAGGACTTCTGTTATCAGTAAAAATGAAGCTATAAATTGGCTGTTGCTTGGGCCAACAAATCTTTAACTAACTGACGGAAATATCCAAGCTGGCTGGGCACAGTGGCTCACACCTGTAATCCCAGCACTTTAGGAGGCTGAGGCAGGCGGATCACATGAGGTCAGGAGTTCGAGACCAACCTGGCCAACATGGTAAAACCCTGTCTCTACTAAAAATACAAAAATTAGCCAGGCATGGTGGTACATGACTATAATCCCGGCTATTTGGGAGGCTGAGGTGGGAGAATAGCTTGAACCCAGGAGACAGAGTTTGCAGTGAGCCAAGATCACACCACTGCACTCCAGCCTGGGCAGCAGAGCAAGACTCCATCTCAAAAAAAAAGAAAGAAATACCCAAGCTGGTAGGTGCCCAAAAGTGTGCCTTCTCCACAAGTTGCTGTGAGCTATTTAGGGTCTCCAGAGTAGATTCCTGAGAGGGATGTGTGAACGAACATTGGAAAGAGAACTGTGATAATAGTCATCCTCTCTTTCCCAAGAAAAGAGATTTTTTTTTCTTTCTTTTATTTTTATCTTTCCTGTGGTACTGAAGAAAAGAGACTTTCATTTGCCACAGTCATTAGTTGGAATTACTCAAGTCTGCATGTATGTAGTATATTAAATAGCGGGAATGGAAATGTGGATTGATGAGAATGCCATTGGCAGAATTGCATGTAAGAGGTCGCAGTTTTTCAGGTGCCTTTAAGTATTAGCCCAAGGAGGGATTAAACTGAAGTGGCAGAACCATGGGGGAGATAATAACACATATCTCACTGATTTATACTTGCCCAGCATTCCCTGTAAGAGGTCATTGCTCTAATGATACTGTGACAATTATCTTTTCCAGGCTGCTCGAAAATACTGTCCTCATCATGTTGGCCACTACCTCGGGATGGATGTCCATGACACTCCAGACATGCCCCGTTCCCTCCCTCTGCAGCCTGGGATGGTAATCACAATTGAGCCCGGTAAGGAGAGGTGTTACAATAGTAGTATGAGGTAAATGTTTGTTTGTTTGTTTGTTTTTGAGATGGAGTTTTGCTCTTTCGCCCAGGCTGGAGTGAAGTGGTGTGATCTTCACTCACTGCAACCTCCGCCCCCCAGGTTCAGCAATTCTCCTGCCTCAACCTCCTGAGTATCTGGGATTACAGGTGTCGGCCACCACGCCTGGCTAATTTTTATATTTTTAGTAGAGACGGGGTTTCGCCATGTTGGCCAGGCTGGTCTCGAACTCCTGACCTCAGGTGATCCACCTATCTCAGTCTCCCAAAGTGCTAGGATTATACGTGAGCTACCGCGCCCAGCCACATTGTTTATTTTTACCTCAACCAATGTAATTAAGTTAGAAGAGACAGGAAAAAAAGTCCAGTGTGGAAGGTAATTTTATTTTCGATTTATCTTTTGTATTCTTATTTAATATCACACAATTTGTTCAGTTTGACTCCTCCAATAAACAACAGATGGGGAATACTTCCTATAAGTAGATATTAAGAAATGAATCTTTTTTAATCCTGCCTTTCCCAGGGCCAGTTTGTACTGGTCTCCCATTTAGTAGTGGGGGGCTGCTCAAGCTTCCAAAGCCCCCGGTGCTTGTGTGCAGAGAGACAGGCAGACACACTATGCTCTCAGTTTCAACACCTCTGCAAGCTGCATTGAGCTACCCAGCACCATCCCACTCCTTAGTATCCATCGCCTTCCTCATAAGCTTCAGAGAAAGCTAACAATCGGATACGTTACCTAACTTGAATGGTCCTGGGTGTTGGGCAGGATTCTGAAGAGAAGCAGTGACCACAATGGTGTGTGAAGATTGATGTTGTCAGAGTTGATGGTTAAATACTGATGCTGGTTTTGTTTTGAAAACAGATCTAAATTTTAGATTTCAAGTATTTTAATCTCTGTATAAATTATGGCTGTGAAATGTCTTTTATGCCACCCTTTGAACCTAGTCATACATTGCTATCTGTGGCCATAGATATATCATTTAGTTCAATCTGTTTGGTACATGGGCGCTTCCTTAGACTGCGCTACATTTTCCTTTGCTGATCTTTCTTTTTCAATCGCAGAGCAGTATCTGTGAGGATAGTGGAGGAAGTTTACAACTTGTTTAATATAAAAAGCCCTGGTATGTGTCTAACTTCATGATTAGAAAGGGTACCTGGGGTTCCTACATTTTTCCAAATGTACATTAAAGTCTTTCAGTTTCTCTTGTATTTTATATTACACACATCAGATATATTTAAATCTTATAATGACTGTCTCTGCAGCTTCCAGTTGTCAAGGCTAATAATCTCTAAATGTTTCTTTGAATACAGTTTAAATATATTTTGTCTTTATTTTTGCAAGGTGCTCTTTTTCCAAGGGACTCTTAGGCAGGGGAAGAATGCACTTACATAATCTGCTTGTCCCCCACATATATTGACGTACTTTTAAATTAAGTAACTTTATTGGCCTGCTTGAGCCACTAGAATATGACAGAATCATGATCAGCATTGCCGTAGTTGTATTTAGCTTGTAGTCCAATATAAAGATAACCACAATAATAATTTTAGTAATGATACCAACATGTGTTGACCATTATATGCCAGCCACTTTGACATGTATTATCTCATTTAATCCTCACAGCTTTACTAGGTAGGTACCATAAAGATCCAGTATTACAGAGGAAGGAATTTTAACCCAGAGGTTAACTTACTTGCCCCAAACCACCCAGTTACTATCATTCCTGAACAGCATGTTCTTCTTTCTACTTCACAGGCATTTATATTCCAGAGGATGACAAAGATGCCCCAGAGAAGTTTCGGGGTCTTGGTGTACGAATTGAGGATGATGTAGTGGTGACTCAGGACTCACCTCTCATCCTTTCTGCAGACTGTCCCAAAGAGATGAATGACATTGAACAGATATGCAGCCAGGCTTCTTGACCTTCACTGCGGCCCACATGCACCTCAGGTTCAAAATGGGTGTCTTCTGGCAGCCCTGCACGTGTGCTTTCTGAGTGTCTCTGTGTGTGCATTAATATATGCATTCCATTTGGGAGCATAGCAGCTGTGTGAATGTATGTAATTGTGTGTGGGGGGTTTTTTGTTTTAAGTAGTTAGAAGTCTGGGAAAATGAATTTTTGAATAGTATGTTACTGCAGCTTTGGTAACATTAATTCTATAGAATTAATGATCAGAGCAAGTTTAATTTTTAAACATAAAGGTCTTGGTTACACATGTCCATGCATTCCAGTTAACACATTTAAACATATAGAAAATTCACTTCTTCTTTCAAGTCCTTCCCTTTCTATACTTTTGCTGAGATCAACCCAATATCATAAGAAGTTTGTGTGATGCCTGTATTTTTAGCTAATTACCAAGGTCTCTGCCTATGCAAAAATTCATCTTTCGGTGATTGTGGGCGGCCAATACATACCTTCTGTAACTCCTCCCTACCTATTCTAGATCCTGCATATCTACTGGAGCCATATGAGCCCTCAGGGGCACTGGTGTCCTGCAGTCTTACTAGTCAGCCACAGTCCAGGTTCCAGCAACACTAGCTACCTACCAAACAAAACACTTCTGAGCTTTTCTTGCCATTTGGTTGCCTGGGACCTGGAAAGTGTTTAGATTCTTGATAAAGATGGAAATGGAAGAGAAAGAAAATTATATATGTATATACTAAAGATCCAGACATCAGGGCTGGGCACAGCGGTTCCGCCTGTAATCCCAGCACTTTGGGAGGTCCAGGCAGGTGGATCTCTTGAGACCAGGAGGTCAAGACCAGCCTGGCCAACGTGGTGAAACACTGTCTCTACTAAAAATACAAAAATGAGCTGGGTGTGATGATACATGCCTGTAATCCTGGCTACTTGGGAGGCTGAGGCATGAGAATTGCTTGAACCTGGGAGGTGGAGGTTGCAGTGAGCTGAGCTCATGCGACTGCACTCCAGCCTGGGTGACTGAGCAAGACTCTGCCTCAAAAAAACAAATAAATAAATAAAATCCTGACATCCTGCCATCTTTTCTCTTCAATTTAAAGTTGATTTCTTAATGATGACTTCAAAAATTAATAAAAAGAAAAGAAAAAAATGATTTCTGGCCGGGCGTGGTGGCTCAAGCCTGTAATCCCAGCACTTTGGGAGGCCGAGGTGGGCGGATCACGAGGTCAGGAGATTGAGACCTCCTGGCTAACACGGTGAAACCCCGTCTTTACTAAAAATACAAAAAAAATTAGCTGGGCGTGGTGGCGGATGCCTGTAGTCCCAGCTACTCAGGAGGCTGAGGCAGGAGAATGGCGTGAACCCAGAAGGCAGAGCTTGCAGTGAGCCAAGATCGCGCCACTGCACTCCAGCCTGGGTGACAGAGCGAGACTCCGTCTCAAAAAAAAAAAAAAAAAAGAAAAAAAAAAGAAAGATTTCTTTCGCAGATATCCCTGCTCCCTCTATAGATTCTTAATGCACTGACCCTCACAGGTTACCCTTTTAGCTGTTGTGCTGCGCAGGAGCAGATCCTCTACTTACGTACCCTGTCAGAGTCACAGTAGTAGCGCCCAGTTTTCAGAGAAGTACCCCTGTTATCATTCTGTGATTTCCTCTAGTGCTAATAGAAACAAAATATGGAATCTACCAAGTACCCGTAAATATCCTATGATTCTTATCTTTCTTTGATACTAGCACTGGGAGTGCAGTGGTAAAGAGTCATACTTCTTTTTTTTTTTTTTTTTTGGAGACAGAGTCTCGCTCTGTCGCCTGGGCTGGATGGAGTGCAGTGGCGTAATCTCAGCTCACTACAACCTCCACCACCTGGGTTCAGGCAATTCTCCTGCCTCAGCCTCCCAAGTAACTGGGACTACAGGTGCACGCTGCCATGCCCAGCTAATTTTTTGTATTTTAGTAGAGACAGGGTTTCACCCTGTTGCCCAGGCCGGTCTCAAACTCCTGAGCTCCGGCAATCCGCCCACCTCAGCCTCCCAAAGTGCTAGGATTACAGGCATGAGCCACTGCGCCCGGTGTAAGAGTCATATTTTTTTAAACACAAACATTGGATACAATTATACAGCAACTCAGTTTGCAAGATGAACAGGGCTAGATTACCACAGATAGCTTATTTAGGAGCGTCTGTGATAGAGGGAAGCTTTAAGAACCAGTGTGTTCACCTCCTTTAAACCTGGATATGAGGTCAAGATGTATAAAACATGCCAATTGTTAGAACACAAATTTGAGGGTTTCTTAAAAAAACAATTTGTATTAGGGAAGCACAAGCTAGGGGATTAACAATCTCTGTAATGCTGGAAGTTTGCCTATCTTATCAGGGAAACCCAGGGTACAGAGTGAAAAGCAGACAGGCAGTGACTTCCTCAAGAGACAGATAATGTGAAAACAAAAGTGATACAAATCATATCCTGACAGTGCTAGCCTAGGAATGCCTGGCTTTGCGCACCTTATCTAAGCAGCTCTCAGAATGGAGGCTGCACAGCTGGAGTCTCCATCCCCCATACCCACCTTCCCACCTCCCTCCAATTTCTCAATCCAGAGCTTTTTAAAAAAAGGGGAGGGAAATAACTCCACAGCTCTGGCTGCTCACTTCCCAGGCTCTGTGCCCCCAACAGCCCTTTCCTTGGATTGTGTTTCCTTTGTTCATTTGTAATCCAGGAATAAGGAATTTCCTTTTCTTCTTGTATCATTTTCTTTTCTTTTCTTTTTTTTTTTTTTTTTGAGACGGAGTCTCACACTGTCACCGGGGCTGGTGTGCAATAGCGAGACCTCAGCTCCCTGCAACCTCCATCTCCCAGGTTCAAGCGATTCTCCTGCCTCAGCCTCCCGAATAGCTAGGAATACAGGCGCCTGCCACCACACCCGGCTATTTTTTTGTATTTTAAATAGAGACGAGGTTTCACTGTGTTGGCCAGGCTGGTCTCGAACTCCTGACCTCATGATCTGCCCGCCTCGGCCTCCCTAAGTGCTGCGATTACAGACGTGAGCCACCGCACCTCCTGTATCATTTTCTATGGTCTAAACTTTTCTAGCTAAAAGCCTAGGTAGCTTGTATGTATAGCAGCATACTTGGACATGAAACACACTTCTGGTTAGATTCCAGTCAAGTTCTATAGGTGTTATTGGTAGGCAGAAAGGCTGTTGTAGAATTCTTCTGGTGATTTTCAGTCCCTGACCCAGGTATATTGTCCTTTGAGTCCCAGATTAACTAACTATAGCAGCTAAGCATTTGAATCAGACTTCTCATAGCAATGTTATGGGCTGTCTGATATATTCAGGATTTGTTGAGCAGATAAGCTGTGTGTGATCTTACTCATTCTCAGCCATGCCGCAGACATACCCATTTCCCTTTAGTAATTTTTTAATACAGAGAATGCTATTAACTGTTACTGGATATCAAATAATTTTATTTTTCTAATAGTATTTTCCAAATATTTCTTAAAATTCTTAAAATTTAGGTTAAAGTTTGCTGGTCTCTTACATTTAATAAAGCTGGGACTTGAAGACTTACCATAGTTTTCAACTGCCTTTGCAAGTTCATAAACTTCTAAGGGTAAAAAGTGAATAAGATAAATTCAGAGTTTTAAGGTAAAGGCTTTATATTAGCTTTTTTTTTTTTTAAAGGTTTTTTGTGGGGTTTTTTTGTTTTTTTTTTTTTTGAGATGGAGTCTCGCTCTGTCACCCAGGCTGGAGTGCAGTGGCACGATCTTGGCTCACTGCAACCTCCATCTCCCGGGTTCAGGCAATTCTTCTGCCTCAGCCTCCTGAGTAGCTGGGACTACAGGCGCGTGCCACCATGCCCGGCTAGTTTATTGTATTTTTAGTAGAGATGGGGTTTTACTGTGTTAGCCAGGATGGTCTCAATCTCCTGACCTCATAATCTGCCCACCTCAGCCTCCCAAAGTGCTGGGATTACAGGCGTGAGCCACTGCACCCAGCCTTTTTAAAGTTTTTAATTGACATATAATTGTACGTATTTACAGGGTAAATAATGATGTTTTGATACATATATAATGATCAGATCAGAACAATTAGCATATCCATCACATTGAACATTTATCATTTATTTGTGTTGAGCCTTTAGTTCTTTTTTTTTTTTGAGATAGAGTCTCACTCTGTCACCCAGGCTGGAGTACAGTGGTGTGATCTTGGCTCACTGCAACCTCCACCCACCGGCTTCAACCAATTCTCCTGCCTCAGCCTCCCTAGTAACTGGGATTACAGGCACCTGCCACCACACCCAATTTTTGTATTTTTAGTAGAGACGGGGTTTCACCATCTTGGCCAGGCCAGGCTGGTCTTGATCTCCTGACCTTGTGATCCACCCACCTCAGCTTCCCAAACTGCTGGGATTACAGGCATGAGCCACGGCCCCCAGCCAGAGACAGTCTTGCTTTGTCGCCAGGCTGGAGTGTAGTGGCGCCATCTTGGCTCACTGCAACCTCCAACTCCCTGGTTCAAGCAGTTCTCCTGCCTCAGCCTCCCAAGTAGCTGGGATTACAGGCACGCACCACCATGCCCAGCTAATTTTTGTATTTTTAGTAGAGACAGGGTTTCACCATGTTGGCCAGGATGGTCTTGATCTCCTGACCTCGTGATCTGCCCACTTTGGCCTCCCAAAGTGCTGGGATTACAGGTGTGAGCCACCGTGCCCAGCCGAGCCTTTAGTTCTAAGTATAATAAATAATATATATACCAGGCATTCCTATTAAAAATCTTAACTTAAAAAAAATTACTCAAATGTTACTACTGGAATTTTTCTCCCTGAATTGAAGATACATGGTTAGATCATTAACAATACCACCTAAATGAAGGAAACATATCTGGATATCCAGTGTCACATACTTTTATGTATTTATTTCAGGAATTACTATTTTGTCACCATAATTAGGAAACAGACTGTGTTCTTTATTTGAAACACAACAGTATAAATACTATAGTAAAGTTGGGTGCAGTGGATCACAGCTATAATCCCAGCACTTTGGGAGACCAAGGAGGGATGGTCACTTGAGCCCAGGAGTTTGAGACCAGCCTAGGCAACATAGAGAGACCTTGTCTCAACAAAAAAATTTAAAGTTAGCCAGGTGTGGTGGTTTGCACCTATAGTCCCAGCTACTCAGGAGGCTGAGGTGGGAGGATCGCTTGAGCTTAGGAGGTCAAGGCTGCAGTGAGCCATGATTGTGCCACTTCACCCTGGGCAACAGAGAAAGACCCTGTCTCAATAAAAAAGAAGAGAAAAACTGGAGTGAGAACTCTCCTCCTCTCATAATCATAGTATCCACGTTAGGAAAATGCTTCTGAGAGTAACTTAAAGTACTGTGTGTGCATCTTCCTTCAAAACCTTGCTTTTTTCTCCGTTTTTGTAAGGTGAGAAAGGGAAAAACCTTCACCGTAGAAATACTGTCTTGAGATTAAGATACAAATAAAACATGTTAAACCTCCATCTAAAGACATTGCAACTTATTAAAACAGAAAAATGTACCTTTGTTATGTCTTTCCAAATATCCACACCCACACCCTGTTCAGCTTTGTTAATAATACAGAGATCAGAAATGTGAAGCACAAATGCTGCTTCTCCCCCTCCTGTTCCCATGTCAGAGATGGAGAAGAAAGCACAGTGAGCTGTTCACCAGTCCAGCGGTGACCTCGGAGTCCTTTGTAACAGTGTTTCCAATAACTTCTGCCAATAAAACAGAATTTGAGTTAGAACCTATCTGCTGTCCCTCAACTAGTGTCTGATAGCTGAGAATGTAATTCGTTTGTGTGTCTATTAGAAAATTAGGCAGGCACCACAGACAGTAGCAACATAAAGGAACCTGCTTAGAAGAGGTTTTTATGGTGTGATTGTGTTTTTTTTTTTTTAATTTTTGTTTCCTGAAGTAGAATCCATAGCTCAAAACAAGTTTTAAGCCTGAGAAAATATAATTTGAGGTGTTTTTTATGCTCCTAATGAAAAGATGAATGAATGCATCATTAAACCTTAACAGTAGAGCAGAATTTCACTGTTACAAACCACATGGGTTCTCCTGGTTGTGCTGCTGTTCTCTACCTGTGTGTCACTGAGTTTGAGCATCATTATTGTTTGAATCAGAGGACCCACTGGAATCAAGGCTTCTTGGAATTGCGCAAGAATCTGAGAAAACTTCAATCTTTACCAGCATTTCTTAATGCTTTCCATGACTTTTGTGCAATTATATAAGTTCAGTTTAGACAAAATGCTGTTACTTTTTAAGGCATTACTAATAACTGAAAATAGTTACGTCATTGCCCATCAAGGGAAAAGCACTTGTAACTGTCATTTAAAAAAAATAAAACTATAAAACAATATAGAGGGGTATGGTGTGTGTGTGTTACTTTAGAATCTAGAGTTTACGGTCTATTTAGTATAAACAGTATAAACGTGAGACCATCTGGTTTTACAAAATAATTTACAAAGTATTCATTAGCTGCTGTCACAAAATCATGATAGCAAACTTGAAATGATTTTATCAGTCTTATAGAGGAAGAATCTGGTGGATTTGATCCAGCCTATTAAAAGGTTGGCACAAAACTGACTGAAAGGTCTCCAGAAAGTCCCCATAACACTCAAGACTGTAAACTGTAGCCATGCACATTTTATGAAGGATGAATTTTGTGGGGAAATAGGATCAAGTTGCAAAATTATGAATATTTGACCTTTGTCAACCATATAATGAATCGTAAGTGTAGCCATCTCTCTCTCCCTGTTAGGAACCATCTTTAAAATCTGAGACTGTCTATGAGGAGTACCTTTAACATTTCTCACGTTCTGGCAGGCACAAAAAGATACTTTGTATGGCACAATGGAACAAATTTGAGGGGGCTGAGTGGTAAGTACATATGACTTGTAGAAAAAAAATTATTATACATCCTTTAACTATGATAAGAAAAATATGTACAGTGAGCCACCATGGCTGACCAACAAACATGAAATTTCTTATAATGGGAATGGATTTCTAATCCAGTTGAAATATTTTATATCAAATATTTCAAAATAAGCTATAATTTGCAGCATATACATGTATTGTTAGAACAGTCACCCTGCTCACAGACTCCACTAAGAAGTACTTCATCCACAAAAGTCGTAAGTATCCAGCATATGTAAAGCAGAGATCTGGGCTGTCTGAGGCTGCATCTGGAAGCAGCCCTGGCCCAGTCTTGAGCCCCCATGACACCTATGGCTAGCAGCCCTTACACATCTGAAACACCAACCACTCTAGCTAAATTCCATGACATCCTTGTCTTTCATGTGACACTGTGCTCAACAGCTGCCACTGAAGTAGATGACCAAATGGTAACACCTCTCCTTCTCCATATTTCAGTGAGCTCTTGAAAAATAATTCTACATCTTATGACCCTAATTTAAATACCCTAATTGAAATATCATTTAGGGTATTTAAATTAGGGTCATAAGATCTAGAATTATACTGGTAAGAATTACTCTGGACATAAAAATTTGTGTGACTGGTCAGATGTGGTGGCTCATGCATGTAATCCTAGCACTTTTGGAGGCTGAGGTGGGAGGATCACTGGAGGCCAGAAGTTCAAGACCAACCTGGGCAACATAGCTAGATCCCCATCTCTACAAAAAAATTATATTAGGTGTGATGGTGCATGCATGTAGCCCCAGCTACTTAGGAGGTTGAGGTGGGAGGATCACTTGAGCCCAGGAGTCCAAGGCCCAAAGCTGCAACAAGCCATTATCATACCACTACACTTGAGTGACAAGGGCAAGACCCTGTCTCTAAAAAAAAAGTATCTGTCACTATGTAATATTGATCTAGATTTCCACCAGTTTTTAAACCCCATTGGTTCTGAATGATTGCCACTAAATACTACATTTTCCTAGGAAACGAAAGTGGGAAGCCTACAAGGTTAGAACAAACATTTTTATTAAAATATTCATCTTGGAGGGGCAGGGGGAGGGAGAGCATCAGGATAAACAGCTAATGCATGCAGAGCTTAATACTTCAGTGATGGGTTAATAGGTACAGCCATGGCAAACATTTACCTATGTAACAAACCTGCACATTCTGCACAGTTGTGTACATGTATCCGGGAACTTAAACAAAAAAAAAATGGCCGGGCACAGTGGCTCACACCTGTATTCTAGGACTTTTGGAGGCCAAGGCGGGCGGATTGCCTGAGCTCAGGAGTTCAAGACCAGCCTGGTCGACATGGTGAAACTCCGTCTCTACTAAAATACAAAATTAGCTGGGCACGGTGGTGGGAGCCTGTAGTCCCAACTACTCGGGAGGCTGAGGCAGGAGAATTGCTTGAACTCGAGAGGCGGAAGTTGCAGTGAGCCGAGATCAAGCCACTGCACTCCAGTCTGGGAGAGCGAAACTCTGTCTCAAAAAAAAATTTTTTTTAATTTTTAAAATTTCACATTTTAGCAATTAAAAAAATACTCATCTTGAAAGATGTTATTAAATATTTTATTGAGGCCAGGTGTGGTGGCTCACACCTCTAATCCTGGCACTTTGGGAGGCTGGGTCAGGCGGATCACCTGAGTTCAGGAGTTCGAGAGCAGCCTGGCCAACATGGTGAAACCTCTCTACTAAAAATACAAAAATTAGCCGGGCTTGGCCGGGCATGGTGGCTCACGCCTGTAATCCCAGCACTTTGGGAGGCTGAGGCGGGAGGATCACGAAGTCAGGAGATTGAGACCATCCTGGCTAACACAGTGAAACCCCATCTCTACTAAAAATACAAAAAAAATTAGCCAGGCGTTGTGGCGGGCGCCTGCAGTCCCAGCTACTCGGGAGGCTGAGGCAGGAGAATGGCGTAAACCCGGGAGGTGGAGCTTGCAGTGAGCCGAGATTGCGCCACTGCACTCCAGCCTGGGCTACAGAGGGGGACTCCGTCTCAAAAAAAAAAAAAAAAAATTAGTCGGGCATGGTGGCAAGCACCTGTAGTCCCAGCTACTCGGGAGGCTGCGACAGGAGAATCGCTTGAACCTGGGGGGCAGAGGTTGCAGTGCGCCAGTGCACTCTAGCCTGGGCGACAGAGCAAAACTCAGTCTAAAAAAAAAAAAAAAATTGAAAGCAGGGACTCGGTTATTTGTACACCAATGTTCAATGCAGCATTATTAACAATAGCCAAAAGGTAGAAAAATCCAAATATCGATTGATGGATGAATGGATAAACAAAACGTGTATACATGCAATGAAATATTATTCAATTTTCTGGCCGGGCGCAGTGGCTCACGCCTGTAATCCCACCACTTTCGGAGGCCGAGGCGGGCAGATCACGAGGTCAGGAGATCGAGACCATCCTGGCTAACACGGTGAAACCCCGTCTCTACTAAAAATACAAAAAAATTAGCCGGGCATGGTGGCGGGCGCCTGTAAGTCCCAGCTACTCGGGAGGCTGAGGCAGGAGAATGGCGTGAACCCGGGAGGCGGAGCTTGCAGTGAGCCAAGATCGCGCCACTGCACTCCAGCCTGGGCGATAGAGTGAGACTCAAAATAAGATGGTTAAAATTATATTCTCACTGGCCGGGCGCGGTGGCTCACGCCTGTAATGCCAACACTTTGGGAGGCCAAGGCGGGCAGATCACGAGTTCAGGAGATCGAGACCATTCTGGCTAACACAGTGAAACCCCATCTCTACTAAAAATACAAAAAATTAGCCAGGCGTGGTGGCGGGCGCTTGTAGTCCCAGCTATTCAGGAGGCTGAGACAGGAGAATGGCATGAACCCGGGAGGTGGAGCTTGCAGTGAGCCGATTTCGCGCCACTGCACTCGCCTGGGCGACAAGGCGCAACTCCGTCTCAAAAAAAAAAAAAAGAAATTATATTCTCACTTATAAGTGGGAGCTAAACATTGAGTACACATGGATCCAAAGAAGGGAACCATAGATACCAGTGCCTACTCAAGGCTGAAACAAGGAGGGTGAGGATCGAAAAATCAGCTCTCAGGTACTAGGCTCATTACCTCAGTGACAAAATAATCTGCGCACCGAACTCCAATGTTGAGCAATTTACCCATGTAACAATCATGCAGAGGTGCCCTTTGAACTTAAAAATTTGAAATAAAGAAAAATGGGTAAAATTGGGAAATTGTATGTACATTTTGCCACAATAATTTTTTTTTTTTTTGAGACGGAGTCTTGCTCTGTCGCCCAGGCTGGAGTGCAGTGGCACTATCTCAGCTCACTGCAAGCTCCGCCTCCCGGGTTCACGCCATTCTGCCTCAGCCTCCTGAGTAGCTGGGACTACAGGTGCCCGCCACCACGCCCGGCTAATTTTTTTGTATTTTTTTTTAGTAGAGATGGGGTTCCACCGTGTTAGCCAGGATGGTCTCGATCTCCTGACCTCGTGATCCGCCCGCCTCGACCTCCCAAAGTGCTGGGATTACAGGCTTAAGCCACCGCACCCGGCAATAAAAAAAAAATTTTTTTTTTGAGACAGAGTCTCTCCCTGTTCCCCAGGCTGGAGTGCAGTGGCACGATCTCGGCTCACTGCAAGCTCCCCCTCCCAGGTTCATGCCATTCCCCTGCCTCAGCCTCCCAAGTAGCTGGGACTACAGGCGCCCGCCAGCACACCTGGCTAATTTTTTGTATTTTTAGTAGAGATGGGGTCTCACTGTTAGCCAGGATGGTCTCGATCTTCTGACCTCGTGATCCGCCCGCCTCGGCCTCCCAAAGTGCTGCGATTACAGGCTGGAGCCACCGTGCCCGGCAATAAAAATTTTTAATAAAGGAACTGTATCTGCGGGAGGCTGAGGCAGGAGAATTGCTTGAACCCAAGAGGCAGAGGTTGCGGTGAGTTGAGATCGCGCCATTGCACTCCAGCCTGGGCAAGGAGAGCGAAACTCTGTCTCAAAAAAAAAAAAAAAAAAGAACTATATCTGCATGTGGGCAACAGGAAGAGGAGGACTAAAGGCAGCTTGAGGTTGACAGTATTTGTATTTAAGTAACTGAAATGAGAATAAAATCAAATAGCAGGAGTTTGGCCAGGCGCGGTGGCTCACGCCTGTAACACCACCACTTTGGGAGGCCGAGACAGGCAGATCACCTGAGCACAGGAGTTCAAGACAAGCCTAGGCAATATGGTGAAACCCCGTCTCTACAAAAAAAAAAAAATCAAAAATTTTGGTGGTGCCTGCCTGTAGTCTCAGCTACTTGGGAGGCTGAAGCATGAGAATCGCTTGAACCCAGGAGGCAGAGGTTGCAGTGAGCCGAGATCGCACCACTACACTCCAGCCTGCGTGACAGAGTGAGAATCTGTCTCAAAAAAAATACAAAATTGAAAACAAAAACCAGGAGTTTATAATCTCATGGTCCCCTGCAATAATTAGATTATTATGTTTGAAGTATCATGTCCATTTTGGGGCACCTGTTTTTAAAAAGATATGCTGGCCAGGCACAGTGGCTCATGCCTGTATTCCCAGCACTTTTGGAGGCCGAGGTGGGCGGATCACCCGAGGTCAGGAGCTCGAGACCAGCCTGGCCAACATGGCAAAACCCTGTCTCTACTAAAAATACAAAAATTAGCTGGGCATGATAGTGGGTGCCTGTAATCCCAGCTACTTGGGGAGGCTGATGCTTGGACCCGGGAGGCGGAGGTTGCAGTGAGCCGAGATGGCGCCACTGCACTCCAGCCTGGGCAACAGAGTGAGATTGTGTCTCAAAAAAAAAAAAAATGTTAAGTAAAAAAAAAGTTAAGTAAAAAAAAGAATGTTAAGTAAATAGAATCACATCATACAGTGTGTAACCTTGAGGGATTGGCTTTTTTTTTTAATTCAGCAGAATTCTCTGGAGATTCCTCTTGTTGTTGCATATCAATAGTTCATTCCTTTTTATTGCAGAGTGGCATGGATTTACCAGTTTAGCCACTGAAGGATATCTGGCTATTAAGAATAAAACTGCTATAAACATTTATGCATAGGTTTTATGTAAATAGAGGTCTTCATTTCTCTGGAATACATGCCAGGAGTGCAATAGCTGGGGTTTTTTGTTTCCGTTTTGTTCTCTTTTAGAGTCAAGACCTCACTCTATCGCCCAGGCTAGAATGCAGTGGTACAATCACAGCTCAAAGGAATGCAGCCTCAAATTCCTGGGCCCAGGTGATCCTCCAGCCTCAGCCTCCGGAGTAGCTAGGACTAGGCACCTGTCACCACACTCAATGAAGTGTGTGTGTGTGTGTGTATGTGTGTGTGTGTGTGTGTGTGAGAGAGAGAGAAAGAGTTTAGAGACAGGGTGGAGAGTCTTGCTATGTTGCCAAGGCTAGTCTCAAACTCCTAGTCTCAAGCAATCCTCCCACCTCTGTCTGCTTTATTTTGTAAAAATACAAAAAATTAGCCAGGCATGGTGGCGCGGACCTGCAGTCCCAGCTACTTAGGAGGCTGAGGTGGGAGGATCGCTTGAGCCAGGGGCTGTCAAGGCTGCAGTGAGCCGTGATCATGCCACTGCACTCCAGCCAGGGCAACAAGAGTGATACCCTATCTCAAACAAAACAAAACACACTACCGCCAGGCGCAGTGGTGCATGCCTGTAATCCCAGCACTTTGGGAGGCTGAGGCAGATGGATCACCTGAGGTCAGGAGTTCGAGACCAGCCTGACCAACATGGTGAAACCCCTAATAAATCTCTACTAAATACAAAAAATTAGCCAGGTGTGGTGGCGCATGCCTGTAATCCCAGATACTTGGGAGGCTGAGGCAGGAGAATCGCTTGAACCCAGGAGGTGGAGGTTGCAGTGAGCCAAGATCACACCATTGCACTCCGTCCTGGGCAACAAAAGCAAAACTCCATCTAAAAAAAAAAAAAAAAGATACTGGAGATACTGGCAAACTTTCCAAAGTGACTGTACCATTTTGCATTTCTACCTGCAATGTATGAGTCATTCTGTTTTTCCACCTCCTCACCAGCATTTGGTGTTGTCACTGATTTTTTTTGTTTTTGGGTTTTTTTGGCCATTCTGATTGGTAGTGATATCTCGTTGTGGTTTTAATTTGCATTCTCTGATGGCTAATGGTGTTGAACATCTCTTCATCTGCTTACTTGCCATTTGTATTACATATATCCTCTCCAATGAAATCTCTTTTCCTGCCATTTGCTCATGTTCTAATTGGATTGTTTTTTGACAGCTGAATTTTAAGAATTCTTTCTTTATATATGCTACCTATTAGTGCTTTGTCAGATATGTGGTTTGCAAATTCTTTCTCCCACTTTATAGCTGTCTGTTCCTCCTCTTAACTGGCCCTTTCACAGAGCAAAAGTTTTAAATTCTAATGTTCAATTTATCGATTGTTCCACTTATAGATCATGCTATTATTGGTGCCAAGTCTAAGAATTCTGTCTGGCCCTAGATCCTGCAAATTTTCTCCTCTTTCATTCTAAGTTTTTTTTTTTTTTCTGGCTTTTTTTGCTGTTGTTTGTTTTTGAGACAGAGTCTCACTCTGTCACCCAGGCTATAGTGCAGTGGCACTATCTCGGCTCGCTGCAACCCCTGCTTCCCAGGTTCAAGCGATTCTCATGCCTCTCAGTCTCCCAAGGAGCTGGGATTACAGGCGCCCGTCACCATGCCCGGCTAATTTTTGTATTTTTAGTAGAGATCGGGTTTCTCCATGTTGGCCAGGCTGGTCTTGAACTCCTGGCCTCAAGTGATCCACCCATCTCAGCCTCCCGAGATTGTAATCTCGGGATTACTTGTAATCCAAGTGCTAGGATTACAGGCGTGAGCCACCGCGCTTGGCCTTAATTCTAAAAGTTTTATAGTTTTAGGTTTAAGTTCATGATACACGTTGAGTTAATTTTTGGATAACATGTGAGACATAGGTCAAGGGTTTTTTGTTTTGGTTTGGTTTTTGTTTGCCTACAGATGTTCAATTGCTCCAGCACCATTTGTTAAAAATGGTGTGTTTTTCCTCTACTGAATTACTTTTGTACCTCTGTCAAAATTCAGTTGGGCATATTTGAGTGAGTCTTTTTCTGGGTTCTCTATTCTGTTCCATTGGTCTATGTGTCTATCCTCCACCAACACCAGTCTTGATTACTGCAGTCGTAAAAAATAAGTCTTGAAAGCAGGTAAAGAGATTCCTCCCACTTTATTTTTCCTTTCCAAAATTGTTCTAGCTATTCTAGTTCCTTTGCCTTTTAATGTAAATTTTAGAATAGGCCCGGCTCAGTGGCTCATGCCTATAATCCCAGCACTTCGGGAGGTGGAGGCAGGCAGATCACCTGAGGTCAGGAGTTTGAGACCAGCCCGGCCAACATGGTGAAACCCCATCTCTACTAAAAAAATACAAAAATTGGCTGGGCGCGGTGGCTCACGCCTGTAATTTCAGTACTTTCGGAGGCTGAGGCGGGCAGATCACCTGAGGTAAGGAGTTTGAGACCAGCCTGACCAATATGGTGAAATCCCGTCTCTACTAAAAATACAAAAATTAGCTGGGCATGGTGGCAGGCGCCTGTAGTCCCAGGCGTGGTGGTGGGCACCTGTAGTCCCAGCTACTCAGAAGGGTGAGACAAGAGAATTGCTTGAACCTGGGAGGCAGAGGTTGCAGTGAGCCAAGATCATGCCACTGCACTCCAGCCTGGGCGACAGAATGAGACTCCGTCTCAAAAAAAAAAAAAAAAAATTAGCCAGGCGTGGTGGTAGGTGCCTGTAATCCCAGCTACTTGGGAGGCTGAGGCAGGAGAATCACTTGAACCTGGGAGGTGGAGGTTGCAGTGAACCGAGATCCCACCACTCCACTTCAGCCTGGGTGACAGAGCGAGACTCTGTCTCAAAAAAGAAAAAAATAAAATAATCATCTTGTCTATAAATAAAAAAAAAACTTACTGGGATTTTGATAGGAATTTTGTTAAACTGTATATCAATTTGGTGAAAACTGACATCTTTACAATATTGAATCTTCCAACCCATGAACACCGTATGTCTATTTATTGTAAAAAAATGTGTAGACCAGGTATGGTAGCTCATGCATGTCATCTCAGCACTTTGGGAGGCTGAGGAGCGATGATTGCTTGAGGCCAAGAGTTGGAGACCAGCCTGGGAAACTTGGTGAGACACATCTCTACAAAAAATACCAAAAAATTAGCTGGGCATGGTGACACACGCCTATAGTCCCAGCTACTCGGAATGCTGAAGGAAGAGGATTGCTTGAGCCCAGGAGTCCAAGGTTGCAGGGAGCTGAGATCACACCACTGCACTCCAGACTGGGCAACAAAGGGAGCTTGTGTCTCAAAAATATACATATATTTTTTATTTCTCTTATCAGTGTTGTGTAGTTTTCAGCACACAAGTCTGAAGTATGTTTTGTTAGATTTACACCTAACTATTTCACTTTTTGGATGATTAGAAGTGGCATATTCCTTTCAATTTCAGTGTCCACATATTCTTAGCTAGTATATACAAATACAATTGATTTTGGTATGTTTATCATGTATTCTGTAACCTTGCTGAACTCATTTAGTTGTAAGAGTTTTGCTAGATTCCTTGAGATTTTCTACATAAACCATGTGTCATCTAAAAATGGGACAGTTTTATTTCCTCCTTTCCAACCTGTATGCCTTTTACTTCCCTTTTTTTTTTTTTGAGACAGAGTCTCAATCTGCCACCCAGGCTGGAGTGCAATGGTGCGATCTGGGCTCACTGCAACCTCCGGCTCCCTGGTTCAAGCGATTCTCCTGCCTCAGCCTCCCGAGTAGCTGGGATTACAGGTGTACACCACCACATCTGGCTAATTTTTGTATTTTTGGTAGAGACGGGGTTTCACCATGTTGGCCAGGCTGGTCTGGAACTCCTGATCTCAGGTGATCCACCCGCCTCAGCCTCCCAAAGTGCTAGGATTACAGGCGTAAGCCACTGCGCCTGGCTACTTCCTTTTTTTTTTTTTTTTTTTTTTTTGGTCTTGTCCCACTGGCTAGAAGTTCTAGTGCTATAATAAATAACAGTGAAAGAGTGATGAGGCCTTTCTTGCCTTGTTCCCAATTTTAGGAGAAAGTATTCAGCATTTCACCATTAAGTACACTTGTCCCTTGATGTCCATGGGGGATTGGCTCCAGGATCCCCCACGTATACCAAAATCCCAGGATCTTCAAGTCCCTGAGATAAAATGGTGTAGTATTTGCATATAACCTAGGCATACCTTCCTGCATCCTTTAAATTATCTCTAGATTACTTATAATACAATGTAAATGCTATGTAAATAGTTGACGTACCATATAGTCTAGATAGGAAATAATGACAAGGAAAAAAAGGCTGTACATGTTCAGTACAAACACAACATCCTTATTGGGTTTTTTCCCCCAAGTATTTTTGATCCCTTGTTGGTTGAATCCACAGATACAGAGGACCAGAGGTATAACATCGGCGGGTTTTTGTACCTGCTCCTTATCACATTGAAGAAGTTCCCCTTCTACTTCTGTTTTTCTGAGAATTTATATCATGAATGGATGTTTAATTTTGCAAATGTTTTGTGTGCACCTATTGATATAATCATGTGATTTTTCTTCTTGAGCCCATTAATATGGAAGAATCCATTGATTTATTTTGAAATATTGAACCAGCCTTGCATCCCTGGAAAAAACCCCACTTGGCCATGGTGAATAATCATTTTTATATTTGCTAATATTTTGTCCCATTAACAAAAATTTTAAAAATGTTTGTAGCTATCATTTGCTAATATTTTGTTGCGGATTTTTGTGTGTATATTCATGACAGTTATTATTTCTGTAGTTTTCTTTTTTGTACTCTGTCTGGTTTTGTTATCAGAGTAAAACTAGCTTCATAAAATTATAGATGATCCTCAACTTTTTGTTTTTTCCTTTGAGACAAGTTCTGGGTCTGCCCAGGCTGGAGTGCAGTAGCACGATCTCAGCTCACTACAGTTTCCACCTCCCATGCTCACGCTTGTAATACCAGCACTTTGGGAGGCCAAGGCAGGTGTATCACTTAAGGTCAGTAGTTCGACACCAGCCTGGGCAACATGGCAAAACCCCGCCTCTACTAAAAATACAAAAATTAGCCAGGCATGGTGGCATGTGCCTGCAGTCCCAGCTACTCAGGAGACTGAGGCACAAGAATCACTTGAAGCCGGGAGGCAGAGTTTGCAGTGAGCCGAGATCACACCACTGCACTCCAGCCAGGGCAACAGAGTGAGATTCTGTCTCAAAAAAAAAAAAAAAAGTTATAGGGCTATTCAAATTATTTCATCTTGGATGACTTGTGGTAACTTGTTTTTGAGGAAGTGATCAATTTTGCCTAAGTCATTAGATTTTTTTTTCTTTTTTTTTTGAAACAGGGTCTCACTCTGTTACCCAGCTGTAGTGCAGTGGTGCAATCATGGCTCACTGCAGCCTCGACCTCCTAGGCTCAAGAGATCCTCCCACCTCAGCCTCCCATGTAGCTGAGACCACAGGTGTGTGGCACCATGCTGGGCTAATTTTTTTTTATTTTTTGTGAGGCAGGGTCTCACTATGTTGCCCAGACCAGTCAACTCCTATGTTCAAGCAATCCTCCCACTTCGGCCTCCCAAAGTGCTGGGATTACAGGTGTGGGCCACTGCACCTGGCTTGGACTTATCTATTTCTACTTTTAGGTCTGTCAGTTTTCACTTCACATGTTTTGCAGTGCTGTTTTTTAGTGCATACATATTTAGGATTGCTATGTCTTCTTAGTGGATTGACTCTTTTAGCATCGTATAATGTCCCGCTCTTTCTACGTTAATTTTCTTTGCTCCAAAGTCCACTTTAGTTTATTTTAGTATAGTCACTCTTGCTTTCCTTTGATGAATGCTTGTATGACACAACTTTTTTCATCCTTTTACTTGCAACTTGCCTATATCATATCTGTAGTGAATTTGTTGCAGATAACATACAACTGGTTTTTTTTAAAATCCACTCTGCCAATTTCTTTTAATTGGCATATTTAGACCATCTGCATTTAATGCAATTGTTGATATGTTAGGGCTGAAGTCTGTCATTTTATTTTTTTCTATTTTTCTAATCAGCTTCCTCAGGTTGAAGTGATTATTTTATTTTTGAGACAAGGTATCACTCTATCACTTACACTAGAGTATAGTGCCGAAATCGCAGCTCACGGCAGTCTTGACATTGGTGGGCTCAAGTCATCCTCCTGCCTCAGCCTCCCAAGTAGTTAAGAATACAGTTGTGCACCACCACACTCATGTTTGTGTGTGTGTGTCTGTGTGTGTGTGTGTGTGTGTGTGTGTGTGTATTGTTTGTAGAGATGAGGTCTCATTATGTTGCCAAGGCTGGTCTCGAACTCCTGGGCTCAAGGGATCCTCTTGCCTTGGCCTCCCAAAGTGCTGGGATTACAGATGCGAGCCAGCGTGCCCCACCTCATTTTATTTTTTGTTTTCTGCTTGTTCTCTGTTTTTCTGCCTTTCTGTGTTAAACATTTTTTACAATTCCATTTTATCTATAGTGTTTCTCTTCTGAGTGTGTCTCTTTGTATAGCTTTTTAAGTGATGGCTCATATATACATGACTTATGACAGTCTACTAATGTCATCATTTTACCAGTTTGAGAGAAATATAAAAACCTTACCTCCCTCTGTGTCCCTTCACCATTCCCAGTTTATACGATAATTGTTTGAAATATTTTCTCCATATAGATTTAGGACTATATTAGATAATGCTATAATTTTTTTTTTTGGAGACAGAGTCTCGCTCTGTCACCCAGGCTGGAGTGCAGTGGCACAATCTCAGCACATTGCAACCTCTGCCTCTCGGGTACCTGGGATTATAGGCATGTGCCACTATGCAAAGCTAATTTTTTTTTTTTTTTTTTTTTTTTTAGCAGAGACGGGGTTTCACCTTGTTGGCCAGGATGGTCTCGAATTCCTTTTTTTTTTTTTTTTTTTTTGAGACGGAGTCTCGCTCTGTCACCCAGGCTAGAGTGCAGTGGTGCGATCTCAGCTCACTGCAAGCTCTGCCTCCCGGGTTCACGCCATTCTCCTGCCTCAGCCTCCCGAGTAGCTGGGACTACAGGTGCCCGCCACCACACTCAGCTAATTTTTTTGTATTTTTAGTAGAGATGGGGTTTCATCGTGTTAGCCAGGATGGTCTCGATCTCCTGACCTCGTGATCCACCCGCCTCGGCCTCCCAAAGTGCTGGGATTACAGGCGTGAGCCACCGCGCCCGGCCTCGAATTCCTGACCTCAGGTGATCTGCCTGCCTTGGCCTCCCAAGGTGCTGGGATTACAGGCATGAGCCACTGCGCCCGACCTAAAGTAAAAATTATAGCATTCCCAGCACTTTGGGAGGCCGAGGTGGGCAGATCATGAGGTCAAGAGATTGAGACCATCTTGGCTAACACAGTGAAACCCCATCTCTACTAAAAATACAAAAAATTAGCCAGGCGTGGTGTCAAGTACCTGTAGTCCCAGCTTCTTGGGAGGCTGAGGCATGAGAATTGCTTGAACCCGGGAGGTGGAGGTTGTAGTGAGCCGAGATGGCCCCACTGCACTCCAGCCTGGGCAGCAGAGCAAGACTCTGTCTCCAAAATGAATTTTTACTTCAACTGTCATACATAATTTAGAAAACTCAAAAGGATAAGAAAAGCTTATTGCATTTGCCCATATTTTTACTTTCGTGTTTGTTTTTTCTAATTTTCCAAGGTCCTTGTTTTATTGTTTTCTTTCTTTTTAGAGAACTTCCATTAGCCCTTTCTTGGGGAAGGCCTACTGGTGACAAATTCTCTTAGTTTTCCTTCTGAGAATGTCTTGATTCCCCCTTGATTCCTGAAGGACATTTTCACTACATATAGCATTCTGAGTTGACAGGTGTTTTTTTGTATTCGCTTTTTGCATGAAAAACATTTTGCCACTTCTGCTGGCTTCTGTGGTTTGCAGTGAGAAATCTGCCATTCAAATGATTTTTCGTCTTTAGGTAAGGTGTTTTCTCTGGCTGCTGTCAAGATTTCTTCTCTCTTTAGTTTTCAGAAGTTTAATTGTGATGTGTTGTGGCATGGATTTCTATGGGTGTATTCTGTGTAGTGTTTGCTCAGCTTCTTGAATCTATAGATTTTTCTTGCCAAAGTTGGCAAGTATCCAGCCATTATTTTACCCATTACCTTTTCAACCTGGCCCTCTTTATTCTCTCCTCCTGGAACCCTGAGGACAGAAATAGTAGATCTTTTGTAGTATTTCCACAGGTCCACAGGCTCTGTTTTTAATTTTGTTTTCAGTCTATTTTTATTTTCTCTTTCTTGTTCAGATCAGGTAATTTCTATTGTTTTTTTGTTTGTTTGTTTGTTTTTTGGAGACAGTCTCACTCCATTGCCCAAGCTAGATTGCAGTGGTGCGATCTCAGCTCACTGCAACATCCATCTCCCAGGTTCAAGTGATTTTCCTGCCTCAGCCTCCTGAGTAGCTGGGAATACAGGCACGCACCACCACACCTGGCTAATTTTTTGTACTTTTAGTAGGGACAGGGTTTCACCATGTTGCCCAGGCTGGTCTCGAACTCCCGAGCTCAGACAATCCACCTGCCTCAGCTTCCCAAAGTGCTGGGATTAGAGGTGTGAGCCACCACGCCCAGCCTTATTTCTACTGTTCTATCCTCCAGTTCAGTTATTTTTTTTTCTTCTGTCACTTCCATGTCTTTTTTTCCTCCCAGCTTCTGTTGGGAAAAATGTCACTTCCATTCTGTTATTGATCCCATCCACTGAGAGTTTTTAAATTCAGTTATTTGCATTTTTCAGTTCTAAGACTTTTGTTCTTTTTTTTTTTTTTTGAGACAGAGTCTTTCTCTGTTGCCCAGGTTGGAGTGCAGTGGCACGATCTCAGCTCACTGCAACCTCTGCCTCCTGGGTTCAAGCGATTCTCCTGCCTCAGCCTCCCAAGTAGCTGGGATTACAGGCGCGAACCACGACACCTGGCTAATTTTTTATATTTTTGGTAGAGATGAGGTTTCACCATGTTGGTCAGGCTGGTCTTGAACTCCTGACCTCAAGTGATCTGCCCGCTTTGGCCTTCCAAAGTGCTGGGATTACAGGCGCAAGCCACCCTTCCTGGAGGATACCTGAACTAAAAATACAAAAACTTACCCAGGCGTTGGTGGCGGGTGCCTATAATCCCAGCTACAGGAGAGGCTGCAGAAGGAGAATCGCTTGAATCCAGGAGTTGGAGGCTGCAGTGAGCTGAGATTACACCACTGCACTCCAGCCTGGGCAAGAGAGCAAGACCATACAAAAGAAAAAAAATAATAACCTTCAATGCCTTCCCATAAGATCTGTAATAAAATCCCTGCATGCTCTGGCCCCTGCCTGCCTCTCTGACATCTCTTACTACTTTCTGCTTGCTCAGTAAGCTCCAAATTTATTTACTCAACACATAATGAGCACATACAATGTACCAGTTTTTGTTACCAATAAACAAATCAAAATTCCCTTTTCTTGCTGAGGACATACAAAAAACAATAATCCTAATACACAAGTAAATGTCAAAATATGTTTGTTTGTTAGGAGATAGGGTCTTGCTCTGTCACTCAGGCTGGAGTGCAGTGGTGCAATTTCAGCTCACTGCAGCCTCGAATTCCCAGGTTCAAGGGATTCTCCCACCTCCTTAGCTTCCTGAGTAGCTGGGACCACATGCCCAACTTAGAAAAAATATGTTAGAAGGTACATGTAAATTGGATGGGGAAGTAGATCATGTAGGACCATTTAAAGGACTTCAGCTTAAATGTCACTCTTCACAGAAGTCTTATTTAATCACCCAATTTACTGTTGCCTCCTTCTCCCCTCAATCTCATTACCTTGTTTTCTTCACAACACTTATTGATACCTGAGACTGTTTTTTTTTTTTTGAGACAGAGTTTCACTCTGTCACTCAGGCTGGAGTGCAATGGCACAATCTTGGCTCACTGCAACTGTCACGTCCCGGGTTCAAGCAATTCTCCTGCCTCAGCCTCCCAAGTAGCTGGGATTACAGGTGCAAGCCACCACACCCGGCTAAATTTTGTATTTTGAGTAGAGATGGGGTTTTGCCATGTTGGCTGGGCTGGTCTTGAACTCCTGACCTCAGGTAATCCACCCACCTCGGCCTCCCAAAGTGCTGGGATTACAGGCATGAGCCACCATGCCCGGCCAGAGACTTTTTTCAATGCAGCATTTTTTACTAATTTATTATGAGATAGGGTCTCGCTCTGTCACCCAGGCTGGTATGCAGTGGCGCCATCTCAGCTCACTGCAACCTCCATGTATGGGCTCAGGTAATCCTCCCCCCTCAGCCTCCAGAGTAGCTGGGACTAAAGGCATGTGCCACCACGCCTAGCTTACTTTTGTATTTTTTGTAGAGACGTTTCACCATGTTGGCCAGGCTGGTCTGGAATTCCTGGACTCAAGTGATCCGGCTGCCTTGGCCTCCCAAAGTGCTGGGATTACAGACCTAAGCCACCCCGCCTGGCGGATACGTGAAACTTTTTTTTTTTTTTTTGAGATAAACTCTCACTTTGTTGCCCAGGCTGGAGGCACGATCTTGGCTCACTGCTACCTCCACCTCCCGGGTTCAATCCATTCTCCTGCCTCAGCCTCCTGAGTAGCTGGGACTACAGGTACCCGCCACCACGCCCGGCTAATTTTTTTGTATTTTTAGTAGAGACAGGGTTTCACCATGTTGGCCAGGCTGGTCTCTAACTCCTGACCTTAGGTGATTCTCCCACCTCGGCCTCCCAAAGTGCTGGGATTACAGGCTAGAGCCACCTCGACTGGCCCTGAGACTTCTTGATGTATTTATTTGTTGACTTGCATATTATTCCCTAACTAGGGGTTTATTTGACTCTGTTATTATGTCTCTTCTGTTTAAAACAGAACCTGGTAAATATCAATACTTTTATTGAATGATTGATAAATATGTCTTCAAGACCTTAATTTACAATGGGTTTCTAGTATTCCTGTCAGGGCCTGTAGGCACACAACAAATTAACAACAGAAATTTTAACAAAGTCATTAAAACTTGGGCTAAGAAAAACTTTGTAGGGTTCTTGTAGCCCTTTAAGGTCTCACACAATTTTTCTTTCCAAGTCTGGATAAAGCTGTGGTGGTCTTTTCCCGGATCTGTTGTTGCTGTTTATAACTAACAAACAAATCTCAGTTCTTTCTCTTTTATTATTTTTTTTGGGGGGGAACGGAGTCTCGCTCTGTCACCCAGGCTGGAGTAGAGTGGCTCGATCTCGGCTCACTGCCACCTCCACCTCCCGGGTTCAAGAGATTCTCCTGCCTCAGCCTCCTGAGTAGCTGGGACTACAGGCGCGTGCCACCACACCCAGCTAATTTTTGTATTTTTAGTAGGGACGGGGTTTCGTCATGTTGGCCAGGCTGGTCTCAAACTCCTGACCTCAGGTAATCCACCTGCCTCGGCCTCCCAAAGTGGCTCCCAGGCGTGAGCCACCGCGCCCAGCCTATTCTTTCTCTTTAGCAATAGAGTCAGCACGCTCCATTACCCGCCAGTTATCTTTTAAGAGAAAATACAAGGCTTCAAATGCACCTGTACGACATCTAAGAGTGCTCTGGCAGAGTCACACCTCTGCAAGGTTAGAGATGTCAAAGGGAGTCCTGGTCTAGCCAGAAATGGGAGAGTGACAAAGTACAGGTGCTTGGGTCGGGTGGGATGGCTCACTCCTGTGATCCCAGCACTTTGGGAGGCCGAAGTGGGAGGATCACTTGGGCCCAGGAGTTCGAGACCAGCCTAGGCAACATAGTGAGACCTTGTCTCTATTTTTTAAAAAAATTAAAAAAGAAAAAAAAAAAAAGCGGCTCTAGCACTTTGGGAGGCCGAGGCAGGCGGATCACCTGAGGTCAGGAGTTCGGGACCAGCCTGGCTAACGTGGTGAAACCCCGTTTCTACTAAAAATACAAAAAATTAGCCGGGCGTGGTGGCGGGCGCCTGTAATCTCAGCTACTCGGGAGGCTGAGGCAGGAGAATCGCTTGAATCCTGGAGGCGGAGGTTGCAGTGGGCCGAAATCGCGCCATTACACTCCAGCCTGGGCAACAAGAGTTAAAAAAGAATGCCTCACAAAAATTCAAGAAATACAGCGACTGCAGATGGGTCGGTTTCACTACAGCACAAGCAGCGGAAAAAGGACACAGATCGGGGAGAAATCACCCTACAAAGATGACAACTGAGGAATGCGGAGTGGGGACTGACACACGTTACGGTGAAACCGTGCACCACGACCAAAGGCGGTCCTAGGACTGCGACTATGTGGGCGCAGAGGCCACCCCCCAGGCTTGGCGGGCGAGTAAAGGCAGGGCTGGGGGCCTGCTCAGTGTGGCCTTAGGGAGGAACTTCGGGGGTCTCCTCTCTCCCCATCGAATCCCTGAGCAGTTCCCGAACAGAAATCGGAGACCAGACGGTGCCTGGGCCCCAGCCCTCCCACGGGGACTGCACCTTGGGCCTGGCTCGGAAGCGGGTCAGAGTCTGCGAAAGACCAGCGAGGACTCTTGGGTTTCGGGGCAGGCCGCGGGCGCCCACCCACGCCAGCACCGGGAGCCGCGCGGCGACTCGGCGAGCCCGGCAGGCAGGACAGGACTGCGGCGCAGGTCTGGCTCAGGCGGAGGAAGCAGCCGCCGCCCCAGCTGACGGAGTGCGGCCGGGGGCTTCCCAGAGGAGGCGGCGACGTCGAGCCCTTTCGAACGTTTCCACCCGGCTAGCTCACGTAGCCTCGGCCCCGCCCGGCCCCGCCCGGCCCCGCCCCACCCACTCCGGCCACCGCCCCCTCCCCGGCCTACAGTTCGCGGGTGGGGCGACCTGCGACAGCCCCTTTAAGAGGCGTGGTCACGTGCTCCGCCCCCACCTCCGCCTCGCGCGCCAGTAAGGGGTGGGGTGCGGGAGGAGGTGCCGGGGAGGTGGGGGGAGCGAAGTGTGCGCTGCTGCGCAGGCGCGGTGGTCGGACGACAGACCGTGTGTTTCCAAAATGGCGGCAGCGATGGATGTGGATACCCCGAGCGGCACCAACAGCGGCGCGGGCAAGAAGCGCTTTGAAGTGAAAAAGGTTGGGTCTCGCCAGCGCCTTCCTCAGGGAAGCTAGAGAGGCGCGGATCTGGCTGGCAGGCCCGAGGATGGTCGAGGCGCGGAGTAAAGGGTTTCATTTCAGGGCGTTCCTGGGACCGGGTACCACGAAAGGAAGCCGGGGGGCGGGTCTTAGAGTTGATCGGCGTGACGGCGGCCCACTGTTGGGGGAAGTGTTGGTTTCGCTGTGAGGCTAAGGGGCCAATCACAGAGCTGCTTATTGAGATACGCGGGGTTGCGACTTGGCGGCGGGAGCCAAGCGCTTGAGCTGTCACTGGAGTGGTTGAGAGGTGGGGGAAGGACAGGGTAGGGTGGGGTGGGGTGGGTGGAATGGGGAGTCGAAGCGAATGCGGCGGTGGAGGATGGGGCAGTGCGGCGAGAGCCTGGAACCTGAGGTCCTACCGCATTAGAGGCCTCTGAGGACCCCCCTTGGTGATCTTGCTCCGCCCCTTTTTGAAGCTTGGGGTCCTCTCACTTGGAGGGGTCCTCTCACTTGGAGGGATCCTCGCTGAACCGAGGCCTCACACTGCCTGGTTAGAGTCTGGAGTGTAATGCTTGGCTCTTCTGAGACGTCTGTTGGCTTTTCACACAACCACCCCACTCTTGGGTTCTCTGTCACGTCCAGAATCTCCCCCTTCCAAAATAATAATAAAAAGCATGGTGGAACTTGTTAAGAAAATCCGAGCCCAAATCCTGTGGCAGTTAGGGAGGGTTGAGTACTAGTCGCGAACGACTTGGTAAGCGTGGGAAAGCAAAAATGGAACGTGTCTTTTTGCATGAAATGCCTTTTAGTGGTTTGCCACAGTTTGGGAGAACAGTATCGATTCTCACCTAACATGAAAGCTGTTCAAAATGGAGATTCTAAAATAGGGAAGATATTCCTAGAACATCTGGCTAAACACTGACAATATCCCCCGTCCTAGTGCTTTTTGGTGTCTCATTGTGGCCACTGCTGCTCAGTTACAGCCAGCAGCCATATTGAAAAATAATAGAAGTAGGGGCTTTTCCTCCACCTTGAAGCTGTGATGTGAAAAGTGGTAAAGAAGTTACTAGGCACTGAGAATGGGGTTTGAAAGCGAAGAAGGTTTGGGAGTATTTGTAATTGAGGAAGCCAGAGTTGAATGAATGAAATTCTGTTAAACTCTTACTGGAATTATTATCTTAATAGAAGAGTCTAAACATATAAAAGTTGAGAACATCAGTTTATTTTATGGTAAGAATCAAAATTCTAGTGAATTGTAGAATTTGTTATGAAGTAATCTAAGATTTAAGTGATGACCTTGTTCTGTGTACTGACACGGGTATTTAATTATCCAGCTTATCCCATGATTACCCATTTTATGATCCAGTCATTATCTTAGTTCATTCTGTTCTCTAGCTTTCACTTCATTGCTCATGCTTCCAGAGCTGTGTAGAGCAGATACTTATTCAGATTTTGAGCTCTTCTGCAACTGCCACCAAAACCTGCACAGAAATTCAAGTTTGTGCCCTTTTTTTTTTTTTTTTTTTTTTTTTGAGATGGAGTCTCACTCTGTCGCCCAGGCTGGAGTGCAGTGGCACGATCTTGGCTCACTGCAACCTCCGTCCCCCAGATTCAAGCGATTCTCCTGCCTCAGCTTCCCAAACAGCTGGTATTATAGACACCCGCCACCAGGCCTGGCTAATTTTTGTATTTTTAGTAAAGATAGGATTTTGCCATGTTGGCCAGGCTGGTCTTGAACTCCTGACCTCAGTGATCGGCCCGCCTCGGCCTCCCAAAATGCTAGGACTATAGGCGTGAGCCACTGCACCCGGCCAGACTAAATTATTTTAAACTATAGGAAACAAATTAAAAGATGACATTAATTTCTGTGTTCATATACTCAGCCTTTTGGAGAATAGAACATACGTGTAGTCTACTGTTGTCTTTGGTATAATAAGATTAACGTAATATCCAAAAACTTTTGTTTGGTGGTTCCCTGTGGCCAAAGAGATGATAACTGCAGCTGCAGCCTGAGGTCCTAAAGAGTATGTGTGTGTGTTACAAGCAGAATGCACTGTTCCCTCTTTTTGTCTTTGCAGTGGAATGCAGTAGCCCTCTGGGCCTGGGATATTGTGGTTGATAACTGTGCCATCTGCAGGAACCACATTATGGATCTTTGTAAGTAATTGGAGGAGGATGGGAGGAAGTTGAGAAGGTTGCAGAGATTGTGGCTATCTTGATGTGACTGATTTTCTTCTTCACACGAGGAGATAGCAAGCCTACTCTGAGCACTCGGTCTTCTGTATCTAGTCTGTTGGTGTGTTTGAAATAGAGTAGTTTTTTTATGATGTCCTGGAGGCATACCCAGCTCTCAGAATAAATCTACTCAATCTAAAGATGGCAGGGACACATTTAGAATTAATTGTGGACGACAGGCACTGTTGATTTTTCCTGCATATCTTCCATCTTGTACCTAGACTCAAAGGTAGAAATAGTGAAAGGAGGAAAATAAACTTTGAGCTAAAATATTCTGAGGCCAAGCGCAGTGGCTCATGCTTGTAATCCCAGCACTTTGGGAGGCCAAGGCGGGCAGATCATTTGAGGCCAGGAGTTGACCAACCTGGCCAACATGGTGAAACCCTGTCTCTACTAAAAATACAAAAATTAGCTGGGCGTACTGGTGCATGTCTGTAATCCCAGCTACTTGGCAGGCTGAGGCAGGAGAATTGCTTGAACCTGGGAGGCAGAGGTGGCAGTGAGCCGAGATCACACCACTGCACTACAACCTGGGCGACACAGCAAGACTCAAAGTCTCAAAAAAAAAAAAAAGTCTATCTGATCTAATTTTTGCTGGTCATTGTTTACAAAGGAAAGAAGCGTTAAGGAGTGAGGATTTTGTATGTTAGGCCCAAACATAATAAAAAGGAAATCATTGCCAACATCTAAATAAATAATTAATTGCACTAAAGAAATTTCATTTAAATCTCCACATATTTTATTACATGTAGTGGTCAGCACATAGTGATCTGATTATAGTCTTTGATGAACTGATTTCCTGTCCTTACAGTAGAAGGGACAAGAATGTTGATCACACCAGGAACAGTTGAGGTTACTTTTTCATCCGGGAACTAAAATGATTTGTTACTGAGGCCAGAAATGGAGGAAAGAAACTTTAAGTTTCTAGAAATGGAATTATAGGAACTTATTTTTCAGATCACTCACCTGCCTTTACAACTTTGTCTTGAGTCACTCCTGCTCACTCTGTTAGTTTACCTGGATGCTTTTTTTTTTTTTTAACTGACCACGGTGGCCAAAGCAGCCATGGCCCCGGCCAGTTTTCCATTTTTTTTCCTTATTCTGAGATGGAGTCGCCCAGGTTGGAGTGCAGTGGCGTGATCTCAGCTCACTGCAACCTCCGCCTCCCGAGTTCAAGTGATTCTCCTGCCTCAGCCTCCTCAATAGCTGGGATTACAGGCACCTGCCACCACACCCAGCTAATTTTTGTATTTTTAGTAGAGACACAGTTTTACCGTGTTGGCCAGGCTGGCCTCGAACTCCTGACCTCGGGTGATCCGCGTGCCTCTGCCTCCCAAAGTGTTGGGATTACAAGCATAAGCCACCATGCCCGGCCTGCTTTTCCATTCTTAAGTGTCCATGCTCTATTTTAGAGCCCTTAAATAGCCTAGTCTTTTTTGCCTAGAATATTCTTCACCTCTTCTCTTCCTTGGTTTTGTCTAACCCAGCACTGTCCAATCTGAATGTAAGCCAGTACAAACACGTATATAATTTTAAATTTTCTTTTTCCTTTTTTTTTTTTTTTGTTTTTTTCAGAGACGGGATCTCGCTTTGTTGCCCAGGCTGGTCTCGAACTGGCTTCAAGTGATCCTCCCACTTTGGCCTTCCAAAATGTTGCGATTATAGGCGTGAGCCACTGTGGCTGGCCTGAAATTTTCTAGTATCCACATTCATAAAGTAAAAAGAAAATAAAAAGGTGAAATTAATGTATTTTATTTAACCTTATATAGTCAAAATAGTTTTACTTCAACATGTAATTGATGTAAAAAAAAAATGAGATATTTTACATTCTGTCTTTGTACTATCTTTGAAATTCTGTGTATTTTACACTTACAGCACATCTGGATTCAGACTAGCCACATTTCAAGTGCTCAGTAGTCACATGTGGTTAATAACTACTTTATTGTGCAATGTAAGACTAACCCATAGTTGAGCTTTAGATCTTATCTTAAACTTGCTCAGATGTTTTCAACTTGAAAAGCACGAATCAAATATTTTCTGTTGGAAAGCAGTCATGGCTTATACTGGTCATGTATTGCCCTTGGCTTCTTTGAGCTTTGACACTGTTTATCTCTTCACACTACAGCCAAGGAAGATCAGCACCTACCATAATGTTTAATATAGATGCCGTGAACCCATCACAGAAAAACATATGCAGGGTTTCAAATGTGTTTGGGTGGGGTCTTTGATTACATGCTTGCCAGTTTCTCGGCCTTGCATTTTCACAAGGAGTTATACCCAGAGAAAATTTTACTTTCTTGGGGCTCTGTTTTGAAAATAGTTAATGATTTTTAATGATTTTATATAACCCTGATTTTTTTTTCTCTATATTTAAGTCAGTGTATATGTGTCTCTGGATATGAGAGAATGTACTTCTTAAAAGGACCACAGAAGACAAAGGCGATCTATATTGTCTTCTCTTAGAGTGAAATGCTTGAGACATCATATTAGGCTTTCAGTGGGATACCTGTTTTGTTTCATAATATATTTTGAATGTCAGATGAAGTAGGATATTGAAATCCTATAACAAAAACTTATGAAAGTATTTTCTAAGTCCTATCTTTTATTTATCCAATGAATATATCCTGAGCATCCTGGTAGGCACCAGGATAAAACAATGAGTGAGATCGGGCAGGTCTTTACCTTTTTTTTTTTTTTTTTTTTAAAGACAGAGTCTCTGTCGCTCAGGCTGGAGTTCAAGTGATTCTCCTGCGTCAGCCTCCCAAGTAGCTGGGACTACAGGTGTGGGCCACCTCACCCGGCTCATTTTTTGTATTTTTATGAGAGACAGGGTTTCACCATGTTGGCCAGGCTGGTCTCAAACTCCTGACCTCAGGTGATCCATTCGCCTTGGCCTCTCAAACCGCTGGGATTACAGACATGACCCATTCAAACTCCTGGCCTCAAAAAAACCACCCCCCTTGGCCTCCCAAAGTGCCGGGATTATAGGTGTGAGCCACCATGTCCGACCTCAAGTCTTTACCTTTAAGAAACACACTCTTAGGCCAGGCGTGGTGGCTTACACCTGTAATCCCAGCACTTTGGGAGGCCAAGGCGGGCAGATCACAAGGTCCAGAGATCGAGACCATCCTGGCTAACAAGGTGAAACCCCGTCTCCACTAAAAATACAAAAAATTAGCTGGGTGCGATGGCGGGCGCCTGTAGTCCCAGCTACTTGAGAGGCTGAGGCAGGAGAATGGCGTGAACCCAGGAGGCGGAGGTTGCAGTGAGCTGAGATCGCGCCATTGCACTCCAGCCTGGGTGACAGAGTGAGACTCCATCTCAACAACAACAAAAAAAAGAAACATACTCTTAGGCGGGGCGCGGTGGCTCATGCCTGTAATCCCAGCACTTTGGGAGGCTGAGGCGGGGGGATCATGAGGTCAGGAGATCCAGACCATCCTGGCCAACACAGTGAAACCCCATCTCTACTAAAAATACAAAATTAGCCAGGCGTGGTAGCACGCACCTGTAATCCCAGCTACATGGGAGGCTGAGGCAGGAGAATCACTTGAACCTGGGAGGCAGAGGTTGCAGTGAGCCGAGATCCTGCCATTGCACTCCATCCTGGACAAAAAGAGCAAAACTCTGTCTCAAAAAAAAAGACACTCTTGGCCAGGTGAGGTGGGTCACACCTGTAAACCCAAGACTTTGGGTGGCTGAGGCGGGCAGATCGCTTGAGCCTAGGAGTTCAAGACCAGCCTGGGCAACATGGCGAAACCCTGTCTCTACAAAAAATTAGCCAGGCATGGTGGCTTATGCCTGTGGTCCCAGCTACTTGGGAGGCTGAGGTGGGAAGATCCCTTGAGCCCGGGAGGCAGAGGTGACAGTGAGTCAAGATTTTGCCACTGCACTCCAGCCTAGGTGAGAGAGTGAGACCCTATCTCAAAAAGAGAAACACTGTTTATTTTTTATTTTTATGTATTTTTTTGTTAGAGACAGGGTCTCACTCAAGTGCCCAGGCTGGAGCGCAGTGGCACAGTCATAGCTCACTGCAGCCTTGACCTGGGATCAAGCAGTCCTCCTACCTCAGCCTCTAAGTAGCTGGGACCACAGACGTGCACTACCACACCTAGCTAATTTTTTTTTTTTGGAGGCGGAGTCTCACACTGTCACCCAGCTGGAGTGCAGTGGCACGATCTCGGCTTACTGCAGTCTCCACCTTCTGGGTTCAAACAATTCTCCTGCCTCAGCTTCCCGAGTAGCTGGGATTACAGGTACCCGCCACCACACCTGGCTAATTTTTTGTATTTTTAGTAGAAATGGGGTTTCACTATGTTGGCCAGGCTGGTCTCGAGCTCCTGACCTCATGATCACCCATCTCGGCCCCCAAAGTGCTGGGATTACAGGTGTGAGCCACCGCATCTAGCTGCTAATTTTTTAATTTTTTGTAGAGATTGGGTCTTGCTGTGTTGTCCAGGCTTGTCTTGAACTCCTGGACTCAAGCAATCCTCCTGCCTTGCCCTTCCAAAACACTGAGCTTACAGGTGTGAGCCACTGCCCCTGGCCACACACTTTTATTATAGACACTGAGGAGAAGTCTGAGTGCCATAACTTAAAAAAAAAAAAAGGATTTATATGGGAAAAGAACTTAGCAAGTAAAGAAAAAAATGGATTTATCATTTTTATAAAGACAATTTTTGTTAAAGATGAAAGTAAGAATCTAGATTTAGCAACGGTTGTATTTTAATAAATCTTGTCTGACCTTAAATGAGTAATTATATACATAGCTCTAAGTAAATAAGAATGATTATGGCTGTGCCCTAGTCGGATTCTGAAGACTTCCTCTTTTAAGTCCATATTGATTCTGCATGCCCTCCTGTACCTTTGTATTTATTTTATTTTACACTGTCTCCTTCCTTGGTTGTATTAAGGAGTTGCTGAAAAATCAAATATGTGAGGTTTTATTTTCTCTATTACCTCTGGTAATCTTATTCCTGATGATGGGGAATCTTCATCATCTTAGACCCAGCCTTGGCCCAGAAGATGTTAGCATCTACCTAAAACTACAGATCCATCAGTATTTTGGTTTGGTTTGGTTTGGTTTGGTTTGGTTTGGTTTGGTTTGGTTTGGTTTGTTTGAGACAGAGTCTTGCTCTGTTGCCTCGGCTGGAGTGCAGTGGCATGATCTCGGTGCACTGCAACCTCTGCCTCCCAGGTTCAAGCTATTCTCCTGCCTCAGCCTCCTGAGCAGCTGAGACTGCAGGTATGCACCAGCATGCCCAGCTAATTTTTGTATTTTTAGTAGAAACAGGGTTTCACCATGTTGGCCAGTCTGGTCTCTTTAACTCCTGACCTCGAGTGATCCACCCGGCTCGGCCTCCCAAAGTGCTGGGATTACAGGCGTGAGCCACCACGCCCGGCCCCGTCAGTGTTTTGAAAGTGTAATCTGTCTACTCTTGAGATGAAGCCATTGCTTCCTTAACAGTTCTTTGGTGGTACAGCGTTTTTATCAAAGCTTAAAGGTCCCCAAGCTTTATAAATCACATGATAGGCTTCTGCCTTGGCAGGGGTGTGACATGAACCCGTTATGTGCCACTGTCAACCTGTTCTGGGTTGACAGTGAACAGTTCCTGCCCGTTTAAACTAACTGGACTCAACCCCTGTACTTACTCTCTGCAACAAAAGCTGGAAAACTTTTGTATTGAGCACATTTTACACTAATATTTAATCATTTTCCCTGCTATATCCCTTCTTATTTGGTACTCTAGATTGCAGTAATATCCCTCCTATACATTTTTGTTCTTTGTTAGGAATTTTGTAGTAAAGAATGAATCTGGCCGGGCTCGGTGGCTCACGCCTATAATCCCAGTACTTTGGGAGGCCAGGACGCGTGGATCGTGTGAGGCCAGAAGTGCAAGACCAGCCTGGGCAACGTGGGGAAACCCCATCTCTACTAAAAATACAAAAAATAGCCAGGCATGGTGGCGCATGCCTGTAGTCCCAGCTACTTGGGAGGCTGAGGCGGGAGAATCACTTGAACCTGGGAGACAGAGGTTGCAGTGAGCCAAGATTGCACCAGTGCCCTCCGGCCTGGGGGGACAAAGCTAGACTCTGTCTAAAAGAAAAAAAGGAATGAATCTTGGTCGGATGCAGTGGCTCACGCCTGTAATCTCAGCACCATGGGAGGCCGAGGCAGGCAGATCACTTGAGGTCAGGAGTTAAAGACCAGCCTGGCCAACATGGTGAAACCCCGTCTCTACTAAAAATACAAAAAATTAGCTTGGTATGGTAGTGCACACCTGTAATCCCTGCTACTTGGGAGGCTGAGGTGAGAGAATAGCTGGAACCCGGGAGGTGGAGGTTGCAGTGTGGAGATTGTGCCACTGCCCTTCAGCCTGGGCAACAGAGCGAGACTGTCTAAAAAAAAAAGAATGAATCTGTATTTGTCCCGTATTTCTTCTATTTATAGAAATAGTTTTTGTTTGCTTGTTCAAGTACCAAGAGCCTAATTTGCACTTGGCATAGAAAGACCAGGTCCCTGCTCTGTGGGAGCTTTGAGTTGAGGGGGAAGGAGGGAGGTCAGGTATGTAAAGAGATACTCATAATTGATGTGTTAAGAGTGCCTGAAGGAGAGGAAAATGACTCAGGGTGGAAGAGTCAGGAAAAGCTTCAGTCAAGAAGTAGGGATTTAAGCTGGGTCTTGAAGGGTGGGGAGGACTTGAGAGTGATAGGAGGAGGAGCATGTTCCAGGTATGGCAGGGACGAAGGAAAGGACTCTACCGTGAAGGGAGCCTGAAGGGTTCTTTAGGTTAGTAGTGCCATGGCCACAGTCAAAAGAAAGACCCAGATCAAATTTAAACACGATAATGTACCTTGAAACAGTTTTGATTTTCACTTTAATAATTGTGGCTCTTATTTAGCTAATTTTATAATACATAGTCTTCCTCTAAGTTAGAGGATCCAGCTTAAAGGACATCATATTTACTTTTCTCTGCCATTCTTTTAATTATAGTAGTGTATTCCAGTTTCAATAAGTTCTTAAATACACTGCATAGACCCTAGATCCCTTTTTTGTTTGTTTTTAAGATGGAGTCTCGCTCTTTCACCCAGGGTAGAGTGCAGTGGCGCGATCCCAGCTCACTGCAACCTCTGCCTGCCAGGTTCCAGCGATTCTCCTGCCTCAGCCTCTCTAGTAGCTGGGATTATAGGCATGCGCCACCCACCACACCCGGTTAATTGTTTGTATTTTTAGAAGAGACAGAGTTTCGCCATGTTGGCCAGGCTGGTCTCGAACTCCTGACCTCAGATGATCTGCCTGCCTCGACTTCCCAAAGTGCTGGGATTACAGACATGAGCCACCACGCCCGGCCGAGCCACCGTGCCTGGCCTTTTTTTTTTTTTTTTTTTTTTTGATAACAAGGTTTTGCTCTGTCACCTAGGCTGGAGTGCAGTGGTACGATCATGGTGCACTGCAGCCTCAACCGCCTGTGCTCAAGCCATTCTCCTGCCTCAGCCTCCTTAGTAGCTGGGACCACAGGCATGTGCTACCACAACTGGCTAATTTTTTTATTTCTAGAGATGAGATGTTGCTGTGTTGCCCAGCCTGGTCTTGAATTCGTGGGCTAAAGTGATCCTGCTGCCTTGGCCTCCCAAAGTGCTGGGATTACAGGTGTGAGCGACTGTGCCTGACCCAATTCTTTATTTTTATTTTATTTTATTATTTTTATTTTTATTTTTTGAGACAGAGTCTCGCTCTGTTACCCAGGCTGGAGCGCAGTGGTGCGATCTTGGCTCACTGCAAGCTCCGCCTCCCGGGTTCACACCATTCTCCTGCCTCAGCCTCCTGAGTAGCTGGGACTACAGGTGCCCGCCACCACGCCTGGCTAATTTTTAAATATTTTTAGTAGAAACCATGTTAGCCAGGATGGGCTCGATCTCCTGACCTCGTGACCCACCCGCCTCAGCCTCCCAAAACGCTGGGATTATAGGCGTGAGCCACCGGGCCTGGCCCCAATTCTTTATTTTTATCAGTTGGCAAACCAAGTTACTCTGTAGTGTGAATCTGGCTAGCAAAAGTAAGTGCTTTGCTTTCTCTGTGTGTGTGTGTGTGTGTGTCAGCCTTACTCTGTCACCCAGGCTGGAATGCAGTGGTGTGATCTCGGCTCACTGCAGCCTCTGCCTCCTGGGTTCAAGTGATTCTCCTGCCTCAGCCTCCTGAGTAGCTGGGATTACAGATATCCACCACCATGCCTGGCTAATTTTTGCCTTCTTAGTAGAGAGGGGGTTTTGCCATGTTTGCCAGGCTGGTCTCGAACCCTGACATCAAGTGATCCGTCACCCTCGTCCTTCCAAAGCATTGGGATTGCAGGCGTGAGCCACTACTCCCAGCCTTTTATGGTTTGTTTGTTTGTTTGTTTGTTTTTTGAGACAGAGTCTTGCTCTTTTGCCCAGGCTGGAGTACAGTGGTGTGCAACTTCGGCTCACTGCAACCTCTGCCCCTTGGGTTCAAGCAATTCTCCTACCTCAGCCTCCCAAGTAACTGGGATTGCAGACATGTACCACCATGCACCACTAACTTTTGTATTTTTAGTAGAGATTGGGTTTTGCCGTGTTGGTCAGGCTGGTCTCGAATTCCTGACTTCAGCCTCTCATAGTGCTGGCATTACAGGTGTGAGCCAACATGCCCGGCCCACTTTCCACATTTTCGAAGAGTGAAAAGAAAAAGGTATTATCATGGTATCTCTTCCCCTAAAACCACACATGCCCATTAACATCTAGTTTTGTTTTTTTTAATAGTTTTACTTTTTTTTTTTTTTTTTTGAGACAGAGTCTCACTGTGTCACCCAGGCTGGAGTGCAGTGGCGCAGTCTTGGCTCACTGCAACCTCTGCCTCCCGGATTCAAGCAATTCTTCTGCCTCAGCCTCCTGAATAGCTGGGACTACAGGCGCCCACCACCACACACACCTGGCTAATTTTTATTTATTTTTTTATTTTTATTTTTATTTATTTATTTTTTGAGACGGAGTCTTGCACTGTCGCCCAGGCTCCAGTGCAGTGATGCAATCTTGGCTCACTGCAAGCTCCGCCTCCTGGGTTCAAGCAATTCTCCTGCCTCAGCCTCCTGAGTAGCTGGGACTACAGGCACCCGCCACCACGCCCAGCTAATTTTTTTTTTTTTTTTTTAGTAGAGACGGTGTTTCACTATGTTGGCCAGGATGGTCTCAAAGTCCTGACCTCATGATGTGCCTGCCTCGGCCTCCCAAAGTGCTGAGATTACAGGAGTGAGCCATCGCGCCTGGCCTACTCCTGGCTAGTTTTTCATATTTTTAGTAGAGACAGGTTTCACCATGTTGGGTGGGCTAGTCTTGAACTCCTGACCTCGTGATCCGCCTGCCTCAGCCTCCCAAAGTGCTGGGATTACAGGTGTGAGCCACCACGCCCAGCCATAGTTTTACTATTTTTCACCTGTAGTAGTTTGAAGTAATTCTCCCCTATTAAATAGTTTCTCCTGAAGCTTTTTATTCTTCAGAAGGGAGACTCCATTTAGTTACTATGATCAGAGAAAGCAAGTTATGCATTAGTAATTCTTGTTCTGTGAATATTTATCCCCAGTTGTGCTTTACCCATCAGATCTTGATCTCAGTCAAGAACTCATTGCAGGCCAGGTGCGGTGGCTCATGCCTGTAATCCCAGCACTTTGGGAGGCTGAGGTGGGCGGATCACCTGAGGTCAGGAGTTTGAGACCAGCCTGGCCAACACGGAGAAACCCCATCTCTACTAAAAATACAAAATTAGCCAGGCATGGTGGTGTGCGCCTGTTAATTCCAGCTACTTGGGAGTCTGAGACACGAGAATCGCTTGAACTCGGGGGGCGGAGGTTGCAGTGAGCCAAGATTGTGCTATTGCACTTCAGCCTGGGCAACAAGAGGGAAACTCCATCTCAAAAGGAAAAAAACTCAGTCTAGGCAACATGGTGAAACTCCATCTCTACAAAAAATACAAACAATTAGCTGGTGTGGTGGCACGCACCTGTAGTCCCAGCTACTCAGGAGGCTGAGGGAGAATCACCTAAGCCCAGGAAGTCAAGGCTGCAGTGAGCCATGCTCATGCCACTGCACTGTAGCCTGGGCAACGGGAGTGAGATGTGCATTTCCCATTTGTTACTCTTTTTAAACAAGGATAGGAAATCGTCAGAAAGCATACTGTTATCTCTGTCTTCTCTGTTCTTCCTTTCCCACATTCATTAAAAAACAATTATGGCTAATTAACCACTTGAGAATTGTTTTGGCTGCTATAGATTGAAACGTTGCTGCTCCCAAGGTCCAGTGATCCTGTTGCTCTTGTTCCCACAGGCATAGAATGTCAAGCTAACCAGGCGTCCGCTACTTCAGAAGAGTGTACTGTCGCATGGGGAGTCTGTAACGTAAGGAAGCATCTTTACCTGTCAGCATGGCTTGTAAACATATTTCCACTTTTCCTGCTTTGCTAGTCTTGAAAATAACTAGGGAAAAAAATGACTAGTCCACCTTTCTCCCAAAAGGTATACAAATAGTAAAAAAGATTTTAAATCATAATACTATTCACCTGTTACAGGGTAAAAATTACAGTTACTGCAAAGAGGCACTTATTTGTCTTAATTATAAAGTGGACCCAATTTTGTTAGCAGTATTTTGGGGCTTCATCTATGGGAATTGCCTTCAAAACCTACATGCACCCTTTGGAATATTCTCGTGGTAGAACTTTGTACCTTTGAAACAGGCTTTTTTAAAGACCAGGTGTCTAATGGAACTAAGTTTGATGAGTAAATTGAGTGTTGAAGTCTCTGTGTATGTGTGTTTTAAGTGTGGCGTATGTACTGAGATAAGATTATTTTTTAACATGGCTTATGCCAGAAATGTTTTGTGTAGCTTTATTGGACTGAATGGCCTTCCAAGAGTGTGACAGCTGTGAAGGATAACAAATATCAAATATGTTAGTTCTAGCATGTGTTAAAAATTCATTCTTTAAGCTGTAAAGTCCCAGTCACATGAGCTAAAATTGTCTTGTCAGGGCCTCCTGTGTCATGGGGACAGAATACTCACAGTTCCCAGCATGACACAGGGATAAGAGATTCTAGAGTCAGACCACCATTCCCTGTCTTTGTGACTTACTTGCTAAGTGACGTTAGGCAAGGCATTTAACGTCTCCAATCCTGGGTTCCCTCATAAAATGGGGCTGATAGTGGACCACATAAAATTGTAATCCGGATTAGATGATTTATGTTAAAATGTGATTAAACAACTCCCGGCACATAGTAAGCACAAGTGCTTGTTAAAAAAAATCTAAATAGGCCGGACGCGGTGGCTCACGCCTGTAATCCCAGCACTCTGGGAGGCCGAGGCGGGTGCATCATGAGGTCAGCAGATGGAGACATCCTGGCTAACACAGTGAAACCCCGTCTCTACTAAAAATACAAAAAATTAGCCGGGTGTGGTGGCAGGCGCCTGTAGTCCCAGCTACTCGGGAGGCTGAGGCAGGAGAATGGCGTGAACCTGGGAGGTGGAGCTTGTAGTGAGCCGAGACCACACCACTGCACTCCAGCCTGGGTGACAAAGTGAGACTCTGTCTCAAAAAAAAAAAAATCTAAATAAATACAAATTTGAGGTAGAGGTGTTACTGTGTAGATGGTGTTCTCAGTAGTTTTTCCTGTTGGGTTGCAACTCTTTTTCCTACCTACACTGGTTTTTTGTTTTTTTTTTTGTTTTTTGTTTTTTGTTTTTTTTTTGAGACGGAGTCTCACTATGTGGCCCAGGCTGGAGCGCAGTGACGCAGTCCCGGCTTACTGCAACCTTTATCTCCTGGGTTCAAGTGATTGTCCTGCTTCAGCCTTCCGAGTAGCTGGGATTACAGGTGTGTACCACCACACCCAGCTAATTTTTGTATTTTTAGTAGAGATGGGGTTTCGCCATGTTGGCCAGGCTGGTCTTAAACTCCTGACCTTGGGGCGATCTGCCAGCCTCGGCCTCCCAAAGTGCTGGGATTACAGGCGTGAGCCACCGTGCCCAGCCCCTACCCGCACTTTCGGGTACACCTTCTTCCATCTTTGTTGGGACCCTTTGGCCAGGCTCACAATAGACCATGTTGGCCATGGGGGAGCTTTAATCGTTCATGGGGATAAAGGAAGTATATTGGGCTCTTTGCCCTTTCTGGCATACAGACATATACTAAGAACCATGTTCCTTTATGTGGAAAGAAAAGAGAGTGAACATCCCCTTAAATTTGGCTAAGGAGAGATTCTCTGAGAGAGCCTGCCGTAGAAGAGAGCCAGCATGGTGTGGCAGAAGGCTCTGGATTAGTCCTGGGTTCTAGTTCTGGGTCTTCTACAAACCAGCTCCATGAATTAGGCAAGTCACTTGTCTGGGTTTCAGTTTCCTGTCTGTAAAATGAAGATAAAAATATCTGTCATGCTTGCCTGCCAGGGTTGATGTGAGGCCTCAAATGAGGTAATACATGTCAACATCTTCTGTAAACTGTCAAGTACTATAAATTTATCTTCTGTAAATTGTACTTTGACCGCTAAATATATCCATTAATACATCTTAGTAAATGTTCAGGGGTGCTGTCACCTCCCTGACACCTCCTTTACAGCCCCCTTTTCCCCAGCGCGTGGTATGCTCTGACTTAGTTGGGCTCTACCAGGACACCGTACTGCTGCAAAGTGCTCAGTGGGTGAGGTGGGAGAGGGAGAAGCTGTCGAATACCCTTCGGTGAGCCCGACCCCAACACCTGATGGTTAAGAAAAATGTCTCTGCTTTCTGCCTTTTGGAAATTTTGCTCTTTCTCTTTTTCACAGTGAGTTATACAAGAGTCAGCTGAAAAGGGATCTTCCAAAAGGCTGTCACTCTAAGAGAATATTTGTCCTCTTGGGTATCCCTAGTGTACTAGCTGTGGATTCCACTCTTAGTTACTGAATTATATTTTTGTCTTTGTCAAAAAACATTTCACAAGATAATAATCCATATTATATAATCCCTTAAGTTCCATACATACTTTGGGAGACGTACCGACCAGATTTCAGTTGTTATTAAATGAAGCTTGTAAAGCTTTTGTTGTTTTGTTAGGGTGAGTAATTTCTGCCCGTGCCCCACCACAGTGCACCAATCACAGACGAAATGAAGGAAGCACTTGCTGCGTCTGTCCTAATACGCACATGAGCAGGGGGAGAAGTGCTCATTGCAGAAGCATTGTGATTAGCATCTGCATGTCATGAGCCCACGCCAAAAAACTGCATGCAGATTGTCCTTTTCCCAAATCTAAGCAGACTTCTAGCTCCCTGTCAGTTACCAGTGTTCTTGATACTCTTGTCTTTTTACTTCTTGTCTTGATTATGAAATAAGCCTTTTGATGCTCTTTAGGCTGCTTGTGTGCCGTTTGTCCCTCATAAGAATACTTCCTTTTACCCCAATTTTCTTTTATCTCATTCCCTAAGACAAAGTCCCTCACCCATTAAAGGCACGTGAAGTACTGAGCTCTTGTAATATCAATATGTCTGTGAATAAATCTAGAAATAAAGTTTCTTTGACCAGAGCTGAGCTGGGTGTGGGGAGGTTGGGGAAGTGCCCGTCTCAGTTCTGGGTGGGCGGCAGTGACCATGCACTTCTCTACCAAGGGCTGGGGAGAAGGCTCTGCTCCTACAGGTCGCATTCTCCAGGGGCAGGAGGGTGGGAGGGAAGCTAGAGACCCAGAATGGGGATATTTGAAATCTGCATTGATGAGGGGCCTCCTTTCCCAAAGAAAGTGGAAGTATCCCCTTACAGGCTGAATGGGACCAAGGAGCCACATTCCACGTTCTCTTAAATAGAAGAGAGCTCAGTGCTGGCACATACTCCTGTGCTTCCTGAATGATTTCCTTTAGTAGTAATGACATTTCTAACAAATGCTTTGTTGGAAATACCCTTGCATCTAACCAAGATATAATCAGTTGTTGAACTTTTGCCTCTCGTTGTCTTCTTTTCTTTTCTTGCCCACTATATGTCACCCATGCCACTACCCTGTGGGACCTGTTGTCGCTCGATGGCTGAGCCTGCATAGAGTTATTTTTAATAAAATATATGTTTTCTTTCAGCATGCTTTTCACTTCCACTGCATCTCTCGCTGGCTCAAAACACGACAGGTGTGTCCATTGGACAACAGAGAGTGGGAATTCCAAAAGTAGGTATCTTTGGTTGTTTTGACGGGGCTTTTTGACTTGCCTCAGGCTGAAAGGAGCGTGGTCTTGGGGGATGGAGACATGATACATGCCTTGTTTTTTTTAAAACTAGTTTTTGGTTACTTAAGCTAGGACTTATCTATATGGAAAATGCACAAAGGATTAGCCAACATTAGACATTTGCAGCCTAGGGTTTCCCAACCTTTTTTTTTTTTTTTTTTTTTTTGAGACGGAGTCTCGCTTTGTTGCCCAGGCTGGAGTGCAGTGGTGCTATCTTGGCTCACTGCAACGTCCACCTCCCAGATTCAAGCGATCCTCCCACCTCAGCCTAGCAAGTGGCTGGGATTACAAGTGTGTGCCACCATGCACAGCTAATTTTTGTATTTTTCGTAGAGATTGGGTTTCACCATGTTGGCCAGGCTGGTCTTGAACTCCTGATCTCAACTGATCTGCCTGCCTCGGTCTCCCAAAGTGCTGGGATTACAGGTGTGAGCCACCGTGCCCGGCAGGTTTCCCAACCTTCTACGGTCTGTGAAAGTAGAAAATGTGATAATCTATGAACTCTTAAATATTTCCAGAATTACATCCTAATGAGGCTCCATGGACTACCTAATGTCAGGTAGCTTTGGGCTAGACTTGTATCCACTTATCATATTTCACTGGTTTATTTCACAGTGATTAATTCTGATATAGCATTTATGGCTATCCTGATTAGATTTTATTGTTATATAAATAAAACATGACCTGGTAAACTTTTAAAAATTTAAATGGTTGAAAGGGTATACCACAGAATATGAATTTCCCACTGTAGGCCCCTGCTCCGGCTTGCTGGAGCTAGCCATCAGCAACAGGACAGCTTCTTAGGAGATTTTCTGACTATCTCTTATATGTCCCGGTATTTACATGGTTGTGTGTATATATATATTTTTGTTAACATAAAAGTGAGTATCCTATACAGTAATTCACCTTTTTTTTTTTTTTCATTTTGTACATTTTGGAGATTTTCCATTTCCACAAATAACAAACTACCTCATTTCTAATGGTTGCAGAGTATTTCTTTATGTAAATGTACCTTAACTTTTTTCTTTTCTTTTTTTATTTGTTTGCATGTTTTTAACATTTTTTATATTTTTTAAAAAGTCAGTCCCTGGCCAGGCACGGTGGCTCACGCCTGTAATCCCAGCACTTTGGGAGGCCGAGGCAGGCGGATCACCTGAGGTTGGGTGTTCAAGGCCAGCCTGGCCAACATGGAGAAACCCCGTCTCTACTAAAAATGCAAAATCAGCTGGGCGTGGGGGCACATACCTGTAATCCCAGCTACTTGGGAGGCTGAGGCAGGAGAATACTTGAACCCAGGAGGCGGAGATTGTGGTGGGCTGAGATCGCACCATCGCACTCCAACAAGAGCGAAACTCCATCTCAAAAAACAAAGTCAGTCCCTATTGGTGGACATTTGTGTTTCCAGTTTTTCACTGATGCAAGCAATGTGAAGGGAGAAACATCCTTATACATGAAGCTTTGTGTAAATGTGTAGCTGTATCTGGAGCAGTAATTCCTAAAAGAGGAATTTATGGGTAAAGAGTATGGCTGGGCTTGGTGGCTCACACCTGTGATCCCAACACTTTAGGAGGCCAAGGTGGGCAGATTGCTTGAGTCCACTAGTTCGAGACCAGCCTGGTAACATGTTGAAACCCCATCTCTACCAAAAAATAGTAAATTAGGCCATGCCTGATGGCTCATGCCTGTAATCCCAGCACTTTGGCAGGTTGAGGCAGGTGGATCATTTGAGGTCAGGAGTTTGAGACCAGCCTGGCCCACATGGTAAAACCCCGTCTCTACTTTAAAAAATACAAAAATTAGCTGGGCGGTAGTGGTGCATGCCTGGAATCCCAGTTACTCCAGAGGCTGAGGCAGGAGAATCACTTGAGCCTGGGAGGCAGAGGTTGCAGTGAGCAGAGATCGTGCCACTGCACTCCAGTCTAAATGACAGAGTGAGACCCTATCTCAAAAAAAAAAAAAAGAAAGAAAATTAGCTGGATGTGGTGCCATGCACTTGTAGTCCCAGCTGCTCTGGAGGCTGAGGTGGGAGGATCGCTTGAGCCCAGGAGGCGGAGGTTGCAGTAAGCTGAGATCATGCCACTGCACTCCAGCCTAGGTAATAGACCCAATTTAAAAAAAAAAAAAAAAAAAAGCCCAGGTGTAGTTGCTCACACCTGTCATCCTAGCACTTTAGGAGGCTGAGGTGGGTGGATCACCTGAGGTCAGGAGTTCAAGACCAGCCTGGCCAACATGGTGAAACCCCCTCTCTACTAAAAATACAAAAATTAGCCAGGCATGGTGGTGCCTATAATCCCAGCTATTTGGGAGGCTGAGGCAGGAGAATCATCTCTTGAACCCGGGAGCCCAGAGGTTTCAGTGAGCTGAGATCACGCCACATCAGCCGGGGCAAAAGAGCAAAACTTCGTCTCAAAAAAAAAAAAAAAGGAATGTATATTTTTGTTTTTGATAAATAGTGTCAGGTTTTCCATTTCTAAGAATACACACTAATTTATACTCCCTCCAAACAGTGAAGCAGAACTCCCCTTTCTTCATTTCCTGCCAGTGCTTCATTATACAGTTTTTCCATCTTAGCCACTCTGATAGGTGACAATCAGTATTCGATTTTCATTTTTGAATTTTCAGTAAGATTGGGCAATTGTTCATGTTTTTATATCTCTTACGCTTTTCTGTGAACTGCTGTGTTTATCTTCCTGCACGTTGCTTTATTTTGAATTATTGGTCATTTTCTTTACTGAATTTTTTACGGGAAAGGAGTTTCTTAATTTAAATACGTCTTTATTAGGCTATTCTTGGGTTTAAAAAAACCAAAAAATAGGATTCTTTTGTTTGTGAAATGTTTAGAAATCCATTATTGGTGCAGTGATTTTGCCTTTAAATTCAATAATTTATTTTGGTAAAACATTTGGAAGTCTTATCAATGCGTATTCAGTTTTTAAGAAACCTGCCAAATACTCAGTATCTGAGTGGTACTGTTGGGCTCCCTTCAGCAAAATATATGCTAAGTACCGTGTAAAATATAAAAACATTTGAGACGGTCCTTCCTGCCCTTGGAGCTTGCATTCTACAGGGAACCATAACAGGAATACATGTCAAGGCAGAGGACTTTTCATAGTTTTCAGGGGGCCTTTGTAATTGGCTCTGCCCTACAGCAGGCTCAAGGTTCCATTTTAGACCAGAATGGTCTCGTTTTGCCAGTACATGTGCCCAGGGCTAAATCTAAGAATTGCGGGGGTATGAAGAATTCCTTATCTGGGGCTTTGACTCTGCCACTCTAACTGGTGACTTTCCCAGGTGGTAGTTATCAGTGCTTTGGGAAAACAAATTCTTCAGCTTTCTTTAATCTGATACGATTGTTCTACAGCCCATCTCACATGCTAGAGCCTAACCTATGTGGAATTTGGCACAACAGCTTTTTAAAGACAATATTCAAGTAGATTTCTTATGAGAAGCTGTGATCCAGAGTTCCAGTGCCCTAGTTTCTATCCAAATAACAAATTATTTTAATCAGGTTAACTGCCTAAAAAGATCCAGGACAAAAGATAATAATGAGGGATCTTGTGTTCAAGAAATCTGTTTATATGTGGAAGAAATTCCTTGGCTTTATTTATTTTTATTTATATATATATTTTTTGAGACAGAGTCTCACTGTGTCACCTAGGCTGGAGTGCAGTGGTTGTGATCTCGGTTCACTGCAACCTCCAACTCCCGGGTTGAAGCAGTTCTCTTGCCTCAGTCTCCTGAGTAGCTGGGATTACAGGCACCTGCCACCACGCCCAGCTAATTTTTGTATTTTTAGTAGAGACGGGGTTTCACCATGTTGGCCAGGCTGGTTTTGAACTCCTGACCTCAGGTGATCTGCCCACCTCAGCCCCCCAAAGTGCTGGGATTACAGGAGTGAGCCACTGCACCCGGCCCCCGTTAATTTTTATAATCTTCTTAGAGCCAAATTTTGGTTTCTGGGGAAAACAGAAACCTCCAAAATCCACGCCTAGCTTCTCTTCTCTTTGTATAGAACTGACTGTAATCAGAGTTGTAATTGGAGCTGATGACAGATTTTGAAATTGAAGGCTGATCAATTGCTATTCTCATTATTAGCTTTACCCTAAACATGCCTGAGTACTGGAGTTCAGGTGAAAATAGGCCGCCATGATCAGGGCAGCCCGAAAGTTCAAACTGTCTGAGCCCCTGTTGGGAGTGAGCAGGCGGAGCTCCCTTTCACAACCACCAATGACTTTTCCCTCTCACCTCCCTAATACCACCAGGCAGCTACTGGCACCTGTCAGGTGGGCATGGTTGAGTCAGAGGGAGAGCCTGTCCCTAAGAGGGGGCAGTAGGCAAGAAGTCCTGTAAGATGGGGAGGGGAAAGGGGAATCACAGCGACAGCCAAGCTAGTGTCAGTGTCGTCACCTAATCCTGGAGCACACTGTGATCACTTAGGTTCTAACTAAAGTTGCTTATGTGTTTAAGCAGGTTTTATGTCTCAAACAGGAAATTATCTTGGAATTAATCAGAGTAATTTACTTTGTCTTTCAGGTATGGGCACTAGGAAAAGACTTCTTCCATCAAGCTTAATTGTTTTGTTATTCATTTAATGACTTTCCCTGCTGTTACCTAATTACAAATTGGATGGAACTGTGTTTTTTTCTGCTTTGTTTTTTCAGTTTGCTGTTTCTGTAGCCATATTGTATTCTGTGTCAAATAAAGTCCAGTTGGATTCTGGAACGGATGCTCTCTCTTGTGTATGTGAACAAAGTGAACATAAATGAAGAGTCTCCCCTTCCAAGGCTGAAAACTCAGCTTTTGAAAGTGAAATGTTTGTTCATCGGGGCCAGAGCAGGGTTGTCCTCTGAGCGCATCACTTAGTGACGAGGAATCCAACAGCTCAAGGCAGAGTGTGGATCACCGGCTCCCGAAAACAGCAGTCAGCCCTTCTTTCTCCTGTGTGACAGCAGTGGGCAGCTGAAAGAGGGAAGAATGTGGGATTCAGTCATCAAACCCAGTTCTGAGTCCTGGTTCCACAGCTTGGGTACTGATGGCAATCTTGGCCAAGTTGTCTCTCTACTCTGAACTTTCCTCCTCTGTACTGTGGGCTTCTGAGGACTAAGTGGCATCATGTGGGCACAGAGAGAAGCTTTGTAAAATGTAAAACCGCTATACAAATGTGACCTTTGGTTGTGTATGACAGCAGTCCCCAACCTTTTTGCCACCAGGGATTGGTTTCATGGAAGACGATTTTTCCATGGACCGGGGGTGGGGCGGGGGTGTGCTTGGGGATGGTTTTGGAACTGTTCCACCTGAGATCATGAGGCAGTAGATGGACCGCGCAACCTAGATCCCTCACATGCACGGTTCGCCAATAGGGTTGAAGCTCCTATGAGAATCTAACGCTGCCGCTGATGTGACAGGCAGAGCTCAGGCGGTAATGCTCGGTCACCACCCTGCTCACCTCTTGCTGTACAGCCGGGTTCCTAGCAGGCCATGGACTGGCATCCACTCCGCAGCTCAAGGGTTAGGGAAGCCTGGTGTATGACATGTTGCTTTCTCTTCTTAGCTTAGAAAAATAAAGATATATATAATCTTGGCTGGCAAAGGGACAATTTAAGAACTCAAGTTAAAAATTGATATTGGCTGGGTATGGTGGCTCATGCCTATAATCAGGCGATTACAAGGTGAGGAGTTTGAGATCAGCCTGACCAACATGGTGAAACCCCGTCTCTACTAAAAATAAAAAAATTAGCCAGGCGTGGTGGTGTGCGCCTGTAATCTGAGCTACTCAGGAGGCTGAGGAGGAGAATCCCTTGAACCTGGGAGGCGGAGGTTGCAGTCAGCCGAGATCGCGCCATTGCACTCCAGCCTGGGCAACAAGAGCGAAACTCCGTCTCAAAGAAAAAAAAAAAAATCTTGGGAGATGGAAAGAATTGTCAGTTCTAATACTAATTCAATGGTTAATAATATAGACTTTTTAACTGAGAAGCAACATAGTTTGTTGCAGTGGTTCTCAAAGTATCATCTGAGGATTCCTGACAAGGGGGTACCTGAAACCCTTTCAGGGGGTTCATGAACCGCAAGTCTATGTGAAAGTTTTTCTTTATATTCAACCAAAGCAGCATATCTAATGAAGACACCGACTTAAGAATCCAGTGTCTTCTATTAAATCAGATGTAAAAGACATTAGCAAAAATACAAAAACAATGCTAGTCTCACTTTTTTTGTTTAAAAAAATAATTTTAATAAAAATATGCTCATAAGTGATGGGTTTTTATTCTTTTCAGTCATTTTTTTAAATTTCTGGGCTTTTTTTTTGTGGGGGGCGGGATTTGAGACATGGTCTTGCTCTGTCCCCAAGGCTGGAGTGCAGTGGTGAGATGACAGCTCACTGCAGCCCCAACCTGCTGAGTTCAAGTGATCTTCCAGCCTCAGCCTCCTAAGTAGCTGGGATTACATGCATGCACCACCATACCCAGCTAATTTTTTTTTTTTTTTTGAAAGTCTCGCTCTTGTCGCCCAGGCTGGAGTGCATTGGCACCATCTTAGCTCACTGCAACCTCCTTCTCTCGGGTTCAAGCGATTCTCCTGCCTCAGCCTCCCGAGGAGCTGGGATTACAGGTGCATGCCACCACGCCTGGCTAATTTTTGTATTTTTATTAGCAACGAGGTTTCGCCATGTTGGCCAGGCTAGCCTCAAACTCCTGACCTCAATCCACTCGCCTCGGCCTCCCAAAGTGCTGGGATTACAGATGTGAGCCACCCCGCCAGGCCCCACACTGAGCTAATTTTTAAATTTTGTGTAGCGTCTTGGCCGGGCATGGTAGCTCACACCTGTAATCCCAGCACTTTGGGAGGCCGAGGCGGGCGGATCACGAGGTCAGGAGATCGAGACCATCCTGGCTAACACGGTGAAACCCCGTCTCTACTAAAAATGCAAAAAATTAGCCGGGCGTGGTGGCGGGCGCCTGTAGTCCCAGCTGCTCGGGAGGCTGAGGCAGGAGAATGGCGTGAACCCGGGAGGCGGAGCTTGCAGTGAGCCGAGATCGTGCCACTGCACTCCAGCCTGGGCGACAGAGCGAGACTCCGTCTCAAAAAAAAAAAAAAAAAGAACTTCGGCCAGGCGCAGTGGCTCACGCCTGTAATCCCAGCACTTTGGGAGGCCGAGGTGGGTGGATCACAAGGTCAGGAGATCGAGACCATCCTGGCCAACATGGTGAAACCCCGTCTCTACTAAAATACAAAAAAATTAGCCGGGCATGGTGGTAGTCCCAGCTACTTGGGAGGCTGAGGCAGGGGAATCGCTTGAACCCGGGAGGTGGAGATTGCAGTGAGCCGAGATCGCACCACTGCACTCCAGCCTGGAGACAGAGTGAGACTCTGTCTCAAAAAAAAAAAAAAAAAAAAAAAAAAAAACACTTTAAAGTCTAACCTGGAACAAAACTGGCTCCCCCACTAAACTCACTAAACTACCACAGTACCTATTTTGTAGCAAGCACTCAAATGGAGGCAGCTGCTACTGTTCCTATTTGTATCATTTTGGGACTACCATCCTCAGCAGAAATTCCTTCTTTTAAACCCTTTCCAGGCAGCATTCAGACTGCATAAATACTTTCATTAATGAAGAACACATTGCTTTTTGCACAGATGACACATTACATATTTGCAGAATTCTGCTTGGGTTTTGATCAGAATTCTTTGTGTAAAGTACAGAAATCCAGCTTCTGCTTGGGCAAAAGGGAAATTTCTTGGAGGGCTATAGAGGTCTGCAATGCAACAGAAGAAAGGGCTGGAGACGCAGCTGGATCTAAGACTGAAGAGAAACAGGGAATCCATGCGGCTGGGATTCTCACTGCTTCTCTTTTTTATTTTTTTTATTTTTATTTTTGGAGACAGAGTTTTGCTCTGTCACCCAGGCTGGAGTCCAGTGGCGTGATCTCAGCTCACTGCAACCTGCACCTCCCAGGTTCAAGTGATTCTCCTGCCTCAACCTCCCGTGTGCCACCACGCCCGGCTAATTTTTGTATTTTTAGTAGAGGCGGGGTTTCACCATGTTAGCCGGGCTGTTCTCGAACTCCTGACCTCAGGCGATCTGCCCACCTCGGCCTCACAAAGTGCTGGGATTACAGGCGTGAGCCACCGCACCCGGCCCTCACTTCTTCTCTTTCACAGAGACCAGCTTCAGACATGACAGGAAATCTGTGGATGCCAAAGACTCTGCCACCTTTCCCACAGCTTCTGCCACAGGCAAGGGACCAACTCCAAGTTCTTTCCTTAAAAAATGAATTGGCTGGGCGCGGTGGCTCACGCCTGTAATCCCAACGCTTTGGGAGGCCAAGGTGAGAGGATCGCTTGAGCCCAGGAGTTTGAGACCAGCCTGGCAAATATGGCGAAACCTCGTCTCTACTAAAAAATATAAAAATTAGCTGGACATGGTGGTGCTCACCTATAGGTTGCAGTAAGCCAAGATCACGCCACTGCACTCCAGCCTGGGCGACAGAGCAAAACTCTGTCTCGGAAAAAAAAAAAAAAGAAAAGAAAGAAAAAGGAAAAAAAAAAAAGGCAGGGCATGGTGGCTCACACCTGTAATCCCAGCACTTTTGGAGGCCGAGACGGGTGGATCACTTGAGGTCAGGGGCTTGAGACCAGCCTGGCCAACATGGTGAAATCCTGTCTCTACTAAAAATACAAAAAAAAAAATCAGCCGGGCGTGGTGGTGAGCAACTATAGTCCCAGCTACTCGGGAGACTGAGGCAACGAGAATTGCTTGAGCCCAAGAAGTGGAGGTTGCAGTGAGCCGAGATTGTGCCACTGCACTCCAGCCTGGGCGACAGAGCGAGGCTCTGTCTCAAAAAAAAAAAAAAGAATTAAGGAAAAAAAAAAGAAAGTCAATGAATAATAGAGCATGACAATAATAACAATACCAAATAATTATTAAGCTCCTAGACTCATATATTAAAAAACGCGCACACACAAATTATTTCAAAGTGAACCATAACTATTGCAGGGGTCAGGACAAATACTTATGTCTATATCATTAGTTTAATACTGTCTCCCAGTGGACCGCCAGATCCTGACCAGATAATTGGCTTGAAAGACACGAAAGAAGTCAAAGTCAGGGCCACTCATTTGTTCATTCCTTCATTCGTTTATTCAGCCAGTATTTATTAGGGCACCATGTTGAGTGCTGGAGATTCACGGGTGAACAGGACAGACAAGGCTTTTGCTGTGCTGGAGCCTCAGAACCAGGAGGGTAGACAGGCTGTAAAGAAGTAATCACATATGTGACTGATGTTTTAGATAGTGCTAAGTGTCACGTAGACAGTGAAGAGGGTTGAGGTGTCATAGAGTAAAACTGTGTGGCCACTTCTAACAGAGGGGCAGGGAAGTCCTCTTTGGGGATATGACAGGCAAGTTGTGAGACTTGATGAAGACAGTCATCTGACATAGGTGGGGAGTCCCAGACCAAGTCCCCGGGGCAGACGATGACTTGCTCCAGTGTGGTTGGAGCTCTGTGAACACAGGAGGGAGCGTCATTTTCACAGAGGAAGGCCGGGGCCAGTTCACCTGGAGACGTGTTGGCCTCGGTAAGAAGTTTCTGTTGTTGTTGTTGAGGCAGAGTCTGGCTCTGTCGCCCAGGAGGCTGAAGTGCAGTGGCACGACCACGGCTCACTGCAACCTCCACCTTCCAGGTTCAAGCGATTCTTCTGCCTCAGCCTCCCTAGCAGCTGGAATTACAGGCATGCGCAACCATGCCTGGCTGATTTTTGTATTTTTAGTAGAGACAGGGTTTTGCTATGTTGGTCAGGCTGGTCTCGAACTCCTGACCTCAGGAGGAGGTCCACCTGCCTCAGCCTCCCAAAGTGCCAGGATTGCAGGTGTGTTCCACCTTGCCCGGCCTATTCATTGACTTTCAATGATGTGACAGGCACAAGAGAAAACTGCACCATCCACGTATTCATCACAAAAATAGAGCCTGTGGGCCAGGCACAGTGGTTCACACCTGTAATCCCAGCACCTTGGGAGGCCAAGGCGGGTGGATCACTGCAGGTCAGGAGTTTGAGACCAGCCTGGCCAACATGGTGAAACCCTGTCTCTACTAAAAATACAAAAATTAGCCAGGCGTGGTGGCGGCAGGCGCCTGTAATCCCAGCTACTCAGGAGGCTGAGGCAGAAGAATCGCTTGAACCCAGGAGGCGGAGCTTGCAGTGAGCCGAGATGGCGCCACTGCACTCTGGCCTGGGCAAGAGAGCAAGACTCCATCTCAAAAAACAAAAAACAACAAAAATAGAGCCTGTAAAATTAGTTCTGTTATTGCCCCGATGCTGCACATCAGGAAACTGATACCCAGAGAACTAAGTGACTCGTTTAAGTTCCCGTCATAGGAAATGGCAGAGGTAGAATTTTTTTTTCTTTTTCTTTTTTCTTTTTTTTTTTTTTTTGAGACCGAGTCTTGCTCTGTCACCCAGGCTGGAGTGCAGTGGCACAATCTCAGCTCACTGCAAGCTCTGCCTCCTAGGTTCACACCATTCTCCTGCCTCAGCCTCCCGGGTAGCTGGGACTATAGGCACCCGACACCATGCCCAGCTAATTTAATTTTTTGTATTTTTAATAGAGACGGGGTTTCACCGTGTTAGCCAGGATGGTCTCGATCTCCTGACCTCGTGATCCACCCACCTTGGCCTCTCAAAGTGCTGGGATTACAGGTGTGAGACACTGTGCCCGGCCGGCAGAGGCAGAATTTGAATCGGGGTCTGCCTGACTCCAAGGCTGGTGTCCTCATCCTCGGCCCACAGTTGATACCAAGCCCTGTCCCCTTACCCACCCAGAGGATTTGCTTACCCTCTCTTGGTCTTTGGTGATGATGGTTTTACCTCACCCTACCCTTTGCAGAGGGCTGCCCATCCTGCAGTATCATCATTCATGATTCAGAGTAGACAAGCTTTTTATTTTTTATGCAATATATATATTTATTTATTTGAGACAGAGTCTCGCTCTGTTGCCCAGGCTGGAGTGCAGTGATCTCGGCTCACTGCAACCTCCGCCTCCCGGGTTCAAGCAATTCTCCTGCCTCAGTCTCCCTGGAGCTAGGATTACAGGCATGCACCACGACACCCAACTAATTTTTGTATTTTTAGTAGAGATGGGGTTTCACCATGTTGGTCAGGCTGGTTTCGAACTCCTGACCTCAGGTGATCCTCCCACCTCGGCCTCCCAAAGTGCTGGGGTTACAGGCGTGAGGCATCAGGACCGGACTAATTTTTGTATTTTTTAGTAGAGATGGGGTTTCGCAGTGTTGGCCAGGCTGGTCTTGAACGCCTGACCTCAGGTGATCTGCCCACCTCGGCCTCCCAAATTGCTGGGATTACAGGCGTGAGCCACTGCGCCTGGCTGCTTGTTTTTTGTTTTTTGTTTTTTGTTTTTTTTAACCTTTTGGCTGTCACAAACAATGTCGCAATAAACACAATGTATACATATGTCTCTAGGAGACCCTGCTTTCAGTTCTTTTGGGTATATATCGAGAAGTAGAATTGTTGGGTCATACAGTAAATTCTATGTTTAGCTTTTTTAGTAATTGCCAGATTTTTCCACATACTATTTTACATTCCCACCAGCAATGCACTTCAATTTTTCCAAATTTGTATTAGTCTACTAAGGCTGTTCTAACAAAATACCATAGATTGGGCAGCTTCAACAACAGAAATTTATTTTCTATTCTGTTCTGGAGGCCGGAAGTCCAAGATCAAGGTGCCAGTAAATTCAGTTTCTGATGAGGGCTCTCTTCCTGGCTTGTAGACGGCTGCCTTCCTGCTGCATCCTGACATGGCCTTTGGAGAGAGAGAGAGCTCTGGGTGATAGCCCAGGGCTCATCTGGTTGTCCCTGCAGAAGTGTTCGCTGCTTCTCAGCACCCACAGCAGATTTTTGTTGCTGCTCCTCTTTTCTTCTAGTGCCACTGTCTAAATTTAGATTCCCCTAAAGAAGAGCCTGAGACGAGAACTTGGTAGCTTATTTTGGAGTTGATTCCAGGAAGCACAGCGCGGGAGAGGGAATGAGAGACAGGGGAGTGAGGAAAGCCACCGAGCAGGTCACCTCTGCAGGCAACTGGGCTCAGTCCCCCACCAGGCCCGCTGTGGGGACATGCAGAGCACAGCACAGCACTGCACGCCCAGGGATGGGAAGCCCGGACTCTTCTTTCTCTTCTTCTAAGACACCAGTCCTATTGGATTAGCTCCCCAACTTTTACCTCAGTTAAGCTTAATTATCTCCAAAAGACGTTATCTCCAAATACAGTCATACTAGGAGTTAGGGCTTCAACATATGAATTTGCAGGGAGGGGTACAATTCAGTCCACAGCGACATCCTTGCCAACACTTGTCATTTTACAAATTTTGATAATAGCCATCCTGGGGAATAAGAACTATTTGTGGTTTTGATGCTGTTGAGCATCTTTTCATGGCTTCTTTCTTAGCCATTTTTGGTTTTTGTTTTGTTTTGTTTTTTGAGACAGAGTCTTTTTTTTTTTTTTTTTTTTGAGTCGGAGTCTCACTCTGTCGCCAGGCTGGAGTGCAGTGGCGCGATCTCGGCCTACTGCAACCTCCGCCTCCCAGGTTCATGCCATTCTCCTGCCTCAGCGTCCCGAGTAGCTGGGACCACAGGCGCCCGCCACCACACCCAGCTAATTTTTGTATTTTTAGTAGAGACGGGGTTTCACCGTGTTGGCCAGGATGGTCCCTATCTCTTGACCTTGTGATTTGCCCACTCGGCCTCTCAAAGTGCTGGGATTATAGGCGTGAACCACCGTGCCTGACCAAGACAGAGTTTTATTCTGTTGCTCAAGCTGGAGTGCAGTGGTGAGATCTGGGCTCACTGTCACCTCTGCCTCCCAGGTTCAAGCAATTCTCCTTCCTCAGCCTCCCGAGTAGCTAGGATTACAGGCGTCCACCACCATGCCTGGCTAAATTTTGTAATTTTAGTAGAGACAGGGTTTCACCATGTTGGCCAGGCTGGCCTCGACCTCCTGACCTCAAGTGAGCTGCCCACCTCAGTCTCCCAAAGTGCTGGAATTACAGGCATGAGCCACCATGCCTGGCCCCTTTGCCATTTTTTAATTGGGTTGGTTTTTGGGGTTTTTGTTTTTTGGGGGGTTTTTTGGTGGTGGTGAGTTGTTGGAACTTTTTATATAATGTGGATATTAAATCGTTACCAGATATATTATTTGCAAAAATTTGCTTCCATTCTGTGGGTTGCCTTTTCACTCTCTTGATAGTATCCCAGCTGGACGTGGTGGCTTACACTTGTAATCCCAGCACTTTAGGAGGCCAAGACAGGAGGTTCGCTTGAGCCCAGGAGTTTGAGACCAGCCTGAGCAAGGTGGTGAAACCCCGTCTCTACAGAAAAATTCAAAAATTAGCCAGGCATGGTGCCACACGCCTGTAGACCCAGCTACTCAGGAGGCTGAGGTGGGAGGATAGCTTGCTTGAGCCTGGGAGGTGAAGGCTGCAGTGAGCCGAGATCACACCACTGCGCTCCAGCCTGGGCAATAGAGGGAAACTCTGTCTCAAACAAACAAACAAACAACAACAACAACAAAACCCATAATATCCTTTGATACACAAAAGTTTTTAACTTTGATGAATTGCAATCTATTTGTTTTTTCTTTTGGTGTCACATTTAATAAATTGTTGTCAAATCCAACATCATGAATATTTGCCCCTATATTTTCATCTAAGAGTTTTTGTGTTTTAGTTCTTAGATGTAGGTCTTTCATCCTATTTTTTTTGAGATGTAGTCTCACTCTGTCACCCTAGGCTGGAGTGCAGTGGCACGATCATGGCCACTGCAACCTCCGCCTCCCAGGTTCAAGCGATTCTCCTGCCTCAGCCTCCTGAATAGCTGGGGCTACAGGCATGTGCCACCATGCCCGGCTAATTATTGTATTTTTAGTAGAGACGGGGTTTTGTCATGTTGGTCAGGATGGTCTCGAATTCCTGACCTCCCAAATTACTGGGATTACAGGCATAAGTCACCATGCCTGGCCTACTTCCTACTTTGTTTTTGTTGTTGCTGTTGTTTTTTGTTTGTTTTGTTTTTGTTTTTGTTTTTGAGACAGAGTCTCCCTCTCTCCCCCAGGCTGGAGTGCAGTGGCGCAATTTCAGCTCACTGCAACCTCCACCTCCCGGGTTGAAGCGATTCTTCTGCCTCTGCCTCCTGAGTAGCTGGGACTGCAGGCATGTGCCACCAATCCTGGCTTTTTTTTTTTTTTTTTTTTTTTTGAGATGGAGTTTCGCTCTTGTTTCCCAGGCTGGAGCGCAATGGCACGGCCTTGGTTCAGTGCAACCTCTGCCTCCTGGGTTCAGGCGATTCTCCCGCCTCAGCCTCCTGGGTAGCTGGGATTACAGGCATGTGCCACCACACCCAGCTAATTTTGTATTTTTAGTAAAGACAGGGTTTTACCATGTTGGTCAGGCTGGTCTCGAACTCCTGACCTCAGGTGATCCGCCCATCTCGGCCTCCCGAAGTGCTGGGATTACAGGTGTGAGCCACCGCGCCTGGCCTACTTTGTTTTTTAAGATATTACCTCCCTTGCAAGTTGTCAAGAGAATGAGAGTTGAAAGTGAAGCGCCTGCCACAGAGCTGGACACATAGTAGGTGCCTAACAAACAGCAGCTCTCCATAGGAGAAGGCTGGTTCAGTCCCTTCAGGTTGAAAGGACCAGAGACTTCTCGGGTTCCCTCAAGCACACTGGTAGCACAGCAGGTTCACAGGAAATCCTCCCTGTCTGCGCAATCTGGCCTGGGAGACTGGAATGTCGCTCAGTAGGCCGCAGGCCTCCATCTGGTTGTCCCTGCAGAAGTGTCCGCTGCTTCTCAGCACCCACAGCAGATTTTTGTTGCTGCTTCTCTTTTCTTCTAGTGCCACTGTCTAAATTTAGATTCCCCTGAAGAAGAGCCTGAGACGAGAACTTGGTAGCTTATTTTGGAGTTGATTCCAGGAAGCACAGCGCGGGAGAGGGAATGAGAGACAGGGGAGTGAGGAAAGACACTGAGCAGGTCACCTCTGCGGACAACTGGGCTCAGTCCCCCGCCAGGCCCGCTGTGGGGACGTGCAGAGCACAGCACAGCACTGCACGCCCAGGGATGGGAAGCCCAGGTACTGAGCCAGGGCCTGGAGGTTTTAAATCCGTGGCCCTTCTGGGTTACCCTGCACAAAAGGCTGAGCAAGTGTTCACTGCTCCAGAAAAAAACCCCTCAGGCTGAGAAGCAGAGAGATGGGGGTACTGAAGTGAAGCTTGTGTGTGCAGGGAACCACCGCCTACACCTGCAGGTGGACTAAGAAGCCCCAAGGGGATACAGCGCAGGGGACCAACAGCTCCTGCAACCACCACGGCCTCTCCGCCGCCTTACTCCTGCGTACTCCTGCATGCTTAAAGCTTCTACTGCCTCAACTTCTACTTTTAGCTGTCATCTCTGTGGATCTCTGGGTTTCTGTGTCTCTGCTGCACAAATCTCCACGTAAGCCTTGCGTTTCATCTGTCCACAAGAAACAGGTGATTGGGCAGGACTGTTCACGCTAGCCCAGCTCACAGGGCACTGACCTCCAGAGATGGCTGCCCTTGCCACAGTCACCTGATCCTCTTCCAGTCCATGTGTCTGAAGTCCGAGGAATAGAGCATAGCAACTTGTTCATAAAAACAATTTGTGGGCCAGGAGCAGTGGCTCACGCCTGTAATCCCAGCACTTTGGGAGGCCAAGGTGGGTGGATCATTTGAGGTCAGGAGTTTGAGACCAGCCTGGCCAACATGGCGAAACCCCGTCTCTACTGAAAATACAAAAAATAGCTGGGCGTGGTGACGGGCGCCTGTAGTCCCAGGTACTCAGGAGGCTGGGGTAGGAGAATCGCTTGAACCTGGGAGATGGAAGTTGCAGTGAGCCAAGATCATGCCATTGCACTCCAGCCTGGGCGACAGAGCGAGACTCTGTCTCAAAAAGAAAAAGAAAAAGAAAAAAAATGTCTGACACCTTCTCTAGTCGGGGCTGTGGAGTGACAGCACCCAGGGTCTCCTGGATGGCTGATCTGTAGTAAGTACTGTTACCCCCTTTACAAATGAGAGTATGGGGCTCAGAGTGTTGGAGAGACTGTGCCCGGAGGCCGATTTGGACCTGAGTGCAGTCTCCTGACTCCAAATCTCATGTTCTTTCCACTGAATGACTTTACCTCTTATGCAGGGAACAAACTCTCCAAGTGTTGAGTATCATGAAATCTTCCTATTTGGAGCCGGGTGCCGTAGCTCACGCCTGTAATCCCAGCTCTTTGGGAGGCTGAGGCGGGCGGATCACCTGAGGTCGGGAGTTCGAGACCAGCCTGACCAACATGGTGAAATCCCATCTCTACTAAAAATACAAAAATTAGCCATGCGTGGTGGCCGGCACCTGTAGTCCCAGCTACAGGGGAGGCTGAGGCAGGAGAATTGCTTGAACCTGGGAGGCGGAGGTTTCAGTGAGCCGAGATCGCACCATTGCACTCCAGCCTGGGCAACAGACGAAGACTCCATCTAAAAAAAAAAAAAAAGAAGAAGAAGAAATCTTCCTATTTGGGGTGTGGGTGTGGGAGTCATCTCCCGATAGAAAGGGATCTGCCCAGGGAACCTCAGGCTTTCCAGGGCTCTGGGTTCCTGGGTGGCAGCACCTGCGTGGATGTTCACTAAAGCCGGAATAAATAAACCTGTAGCTCTCGAGTCAGATGAAATACAACCTTTTCCTGCCGGGCGCAGTGGCTCATGCCTGTAATCCCAGCACCTTGGGAGGCCGAGGCGGGCGGATCACGAGGTCAGGAAATCGAGACCATCCTGGCTAACACGGTGAAACCCCGTCTCTACTAAAAATACAAAAAAATTAGCCGCGCATGGTGGCGGGTGCCCGTAGTCCCAGCTACTCGGGAGGCTGAGGCAGGAGAATGGCGTGAACCCGGGAGGCGGAGCTTGCAGTGAGCCGAGATCGCGCCATTGCACTCCAGCCTGAGTAACAGAGCGAGACTCCGTCTCAATAAATAAATAAATAAATAAATAAATAAATAAATACAACTTTTATGAAATTCTAGTGGAGGCGAGTCATAGTAGACATCAAAGATTTCAGAAAATTTTGTGGGAGAAAAGCATTAGACTGAAAAGAATTCTATGTATTCCCTTAAATATTTCTCGGAACTGGCGTGAGCTATTGGTACCAGTCAGGTTCCTGGTGGCAAACAGAAGAGACCAACTGGCTAGCTTGTGCAGGAAGGGGATTTATTGGGAGACCATCAGACAGCTCAGCAAATGGCAGGAAGGGTTGGACAAGGGATTACACACCTGTGATCCCATCTCTTTGGGAGGCCAAGGTAGGAGGATTGCTTCAGCACAGGTGTTCGAGACCAGCCTGGGAAACATGGTGAAACCCCATCTCTACAAAAAATACAAAGATTAGCCAGGTGTGGTGGCACATGCCTGTAGTTCCAGCTACTTTGGAGACTGAGGTGGGAGGATCACCTGAGCCCGAGGAGGTCAAGGTTGCAGTAAGCCATGATCACGTCACTGCACTCCAGCCTAGGTGACAGAGCAAGATCCTGTCTCAAAAACAAACAAAATGAACAAATGGCAGGAAGGCTAGAGAAGAAACTTAGAAAAAAAAAAGGCCAAACCAAGAGGGACAATAAGGCAGCAGAGACCAAACCACAGGAGCTGTCGGCCGACACCGCCACTCCTGTACACTCATCATGGCCTGCAAGCAGGTGGCCCCTGTGACACTCACTGCCCACCACTGGCCCCTAATCCCACCCTCTATATAGGAGCCTCTCAGATTGACCCAGTCTGTGTCACATGCCCACGCCGGCTGCCCAGGGTGGGTGGCAGGAGGTGATGCCTGATCGGCTTCTCAACTTGTCACTTCCAAACCTCTGCAGGAACTCAGAGGCTCCGCTCAGTGAAACCCTCTATTCTCTAGCCACTGGCCCTATTTCTTTTTTTCTTTTCTTTTCTTTTCTTTTCATTTTTTTTTTTTTTTTTTTTTTTTTTTTGAGATGGAGTCTTACTCTGTCACCCAGGCTGGAGTGCAATAGCATGATCTTGGCTCACTGCAACCTCCGCCACCCGGATTCAAGCAATTCTCCTGCCTCAGCTTCCCAAGTGTCTGGGATTACAAGCAAGCGCCACCACGCCCGGCTAAATTTTGTATTTTTAGTAGAGATGGGATTTCACCATGTTGGCCAAACTGGTCTCCAACTCCTGACCTCAAACGATCCGCTTGCCTTGGCCTCCCAAAGTGCTGGGATTACAGGTGTGAGCCACCATGTCTGGCCCACTGGCCCTATTTCTTTGTTAATTGCCATTGTCTATTATAGAGTATGACAGGAGCAGGCTCAAATGTTATGGAGCCTGGAGCTTATGCATTCAGGAGGAGACTCTTTAAAAGGTAATACAAAGTTGCACATAGAAATTGCCAGAGCCCCTCTCTGGGCCTTGGAAGGGGTTGGTGCAAATGAGAGGCCTGCAGCTTAAGCTTCAGCAACTTCATCGTGAATCCCCCGAGGAGAGACAGACCAGTTCATGAGCCATTTCCTATCCGTGGATGTCATAGATTTGTCAGGTTTTCTGCTGTTACAAAAATGCTGCAAAGAACATTCTAATATGCAACTCTTTTGTGAACATGTGTAAGTATTTCTCCAGGTTAGACAGAAAGAGCTGGAATTGCCAAGCTGTAGAACATGAGTCTTTTCATTTTTATCTGATGGTGTCCTGCCAAATTGCCTCCAAAGGGGTGTCACTAAATCCCACTCCCATCAGAGTTGCAGTGAGAGTTTTCTCACATCTTTGCCAGCACTGGATATAATAATATTTTTCATTTTTTTGCCAACGGACGGAAAAAATGAAAGCGATCTCAACGTTGTTTTAATTTGCTGTGTTAGTTTTTTAGGGGTGGTATAACAAAGGACCACACACTAGGTGGTTTAAAAACAGAAATGTGGCCGAGTGCGGTGGCTTACACCTGTCATCCCAGCACTTTGGGAGACCGAGGCGGGCGGATCACTTGAGGCCAGGAGTTGGAGACCAGCCTGGCCAACATGGTGAAACAACGATTCTACTAAAAATACAAAAATGAGCCAGGCGTGCTGATGCATCCCTGTGATCCCAGCTACTTGTGTGGCTGAGGCACGAGAATCACTTAAACCTGGAAGGCGGAGGTTGCAGTGAGCCAAGATTGTGCCACTGCACGCCAGCCTGGGCAACAGAGTGAGATTCCATCTCAAAAAATCAATGAATGAATAAATAAATAAATCGAAATGTATTGTCTTACAGTTTTGGAGGCTCAAAGTCCAAAATCAAAGCGCTGGCTGGGCGAGGTGGCTCACACCTGTAATCCCAGCACTTTGGGAGGCCAAGGCAGGCGGATCACTTGAGGTAAGGAATTCGAGACCAGCCTGACCAACATGGTGAAACCTTGTCTCTACCAAAAATATAAAAAAATGTGCCGGGTATGGTAGCTCATGCCTGTAATCCCAGCTACTTGGGAGGCAGAGGCAGGAGAATTGCTCAAACCCGGGAGGCAGAGGTTGCAGTGAGCTGAGATTGTGCCACTGCACTCCAGCTTGGGTAATAGAGCAAGACTCCATCTCAAAAAAAAAAAACAAATAAACAAACAACAAAAAAAATCAAAGTGTGGACAAGACCATGCTTATGCTGAAACCTGTAGCATAGAATCCTTCCTCGCCCCAGCCGGGCACGGTGGCTCACACCTGTAATCCCAGCACTTTGGGAGGCAGAGGTGGGCAGATCACCTGAGGTCGGGAGTTCAAGACCAGCCTGGCCAACATAGAGAAACCCTGTCTCTACTAAAAATAAAATAAAAATAAAAATAAAAATAAATTAGCCGAGCATGGTGGCATATGCCTGTAATCCCAGCTACTCGGGAGGCTGAGGCAGAAGAATTGCTTGAACCTGGGAGACGGAAGTTGCAGTGAGCCGAGATCATGTCATTGCACCCAGCCTGGGCAACAGAGCAAAACTCCGTCTAAAAAAAAAAAAATCCTTCCTTGCCCCAGCCCAGCCTCTGGTGGTTTGCTGGCAATCTTTAGCATTCCTTGGTCTGGAGATGCCTCCCTCCAATCTTCCTGTCTGTGTGTCTCCGTCTTCACTGGCCAGCTCCTTCTAAGGACGCCACGTTGGATGGGAGCCCACCCTACTCCAGTATGACCCCATCTTGACCAACTACCTCTGCAATTACCCTGTTTCCACAAAGATCGCATTCTGAGGTGGCTGGAGGTTAGGACTAAAACATATTTTTTTGGGAATGACACACTTCAGCCCGTAACATTTACATTCCTCTAATTTCCAGGGACACTGAACATCTTTTCCTAGGTTTACTGGGAATTTGGACCCTTCTTCAAATCACCCTTTCATATGAGTTGCCCGGTTTCCTATTGGGTTTTCTTATTTGTTTTGTTTTGTTTTTGTCATTTTCTTATTTCTTTCAAGATTCTCTCTATTTTTCATTATGAAGCTGTTATACTGTGGCAGGCAAAGGTTTCTCCCAGCCCGTCACATGTGTGTTGACTTTAGTTTTTGTTCGTTTTGTTTGTTTGAGACGGAGTTTCACTCTTGTCACCCAGGCTGGAGTGCAATGGCACAATCTTGGCTCACTGCAACCTCCGCCTCCCAGGTTCAAGTGATTCTCCTGCCTCAGCCTCCCGAGTAGCTGGGATTACAGGCACACGCCACCATGCCTGGCTAATTTTTGTATTTTTAGTAGAGATGGGATTTCACCATGTTGGTCAGGTTGGTCTCAATCTCTTGACCTCGTGATCCACCCGCCTTGGCCTCCCAAAGTGCTGGGATTACAGGCATGAGCCACCGTGCCCGGCCTGTTTTTTTTTTTTGTTTTTTTTTTTAAGACAGAGTCTCACTCTGTCACCCAGGCTGGAGTGCACTGGCTCTATCTCAGCTCACTGCAACCTCCACCTCCTGGTTCATGTGATCCTCCCACCTCAGTCTCCCAAGTAGCTGGGACTACAGGCGTGCACCACCACACTCGGCTAATTTTTTTTTTTTTTTTTTTTGGTATTTTTAGTAGAGACAGGGTTTCACCATGTTGGCCAGGCTGGTGTCAAACTCCTAATCTCAAGTGATCCTCCTACCTCAGCCTCCCAAAGTGCTGGGATTACAGGCATGAGCCACCATGCCCAGCCCCTGCAGGCCTTTTCACTTGAGAGTTCTCCCTTGAAAGCATCCGTCTCACTCATTTCCTTCAGGTATTACATTTCATTTTCTCAATGACCTTTCTTCTTCCCTAAGCTCAAATTCAGGTAGAGCTCCCCACTCCTACCGGCGTTTAGCCCAGTGAGCAGTAATGTGCACCCAGCCCCTGAACTCCAAAACACACGCAGCCCATGAGTGAGAGGGAAGGTGGGTGCCCCAAGCCTGCTCCATTCCACTTTTCAGAGACAACAGAGACTCAGGTCATGGAAGACAGAAAGATGTCCCGCCCTTCAGGGTAAGAACTTGTCTTTTATTGTGCTGAAAGACGCATACTCTCTTCCTGCGCTGCCCAAGACCTGGTGCCAACCAAGAAACAAAATATTACTTGACGTGCTCTTGGCTGCTGCTCCTCCTTGACTACCTGCCTAATACCGAGGATGAATTGCCTTGGGGAGAATTAGAATTGCTAAAGCAGGAATCATAAATTCAGCTTTTGACTTTTCAGAACGGGCTCTTGAGGCCCGAATAAAATAAAATAGGCTTCTTTAGTTATCCACTTATTCAACAAATATTTATTACACCTCTGCTATCAGCTGGGCAGGTTCAAGGCGTGGGATACAGCAGTGGAAAAGGTGATGCTTCAAAGGAGGGCCTTGAAAACAAACAGGAAAGACCACGAGCGGTGGCTCACTCCTGTAATCCCAGCATTCCGGGAGGCCAAGGAGGGTGGATCACCTGAGGTCAGGAGTTCAAGACCAGCCTGGCCAACATGGTGAAACCCTGTCTCTACTAAAAATACAAAAAATTAGCTGGGTGTGGTGGCTCACGCCTTTAGTCCCAGCTACTCAGGAGGCTGAGACGGGAGAATTGCTTGAACCTGGGAGGTGGAGGTTGCAGTGAGCCGAGATGGTGCCACTGCACGCACCAGCCTGGGAGACAAAAGGAAACTGTCTCAAAAGAAAAGAAAAAGATGGTGTTTTGCCCACATCCTCCATGGAGCTTGTCCTAGTGGAGAGAGGAAAATCATCAAATCAACAAGGAAACATCGGTATGTCAGGTGCTATGGATTGATCTAGAGAATAACAGAGCAGAGCAACAGGAGAGAGTGGAGGAGGGATTGTTCTGTGGCAGGACCTTCAGGGTGGGGGTGGGCCTCTGGGAGGAGGTGGCATTGGAGCAGATGTGAGTGTTTTGAGAAGAGAGAGTAAGGAGGGCCAGTGAGGCGGGGGATGGGAGGGCAAAGGTGACCATGGCGGGGAGTGAGGTGGGAAGGAGCCCTCCTGCGGGACCCAGCCATGGACTCGGGAATCTATCCCAAGCACTTTAGGAAGCCGAAGGAGGGGAGGAGCTGGCTCTGATGTGGGTCTGGGGAGGTTCACTCTGGCTGCTCCTGTGGGAGGGTGGAAGCTGTGCCTGGGCCGGGTGAGCAGTGGCGGAAGCAGGGACCCAGCAGCAGCCATGGGGCCACAAGTGCACATGGCCCTGGTGGCTTCCGAAGCAGGAGCCGCTGGCACCTGGTGTTGGGTTGGGAAAGGGGGAAAAGGAAACAGAGGTCTCTAAGGTGACTTCTGGGTTTTTGTCCTAAGCGACAGAGTGGACAGTGGTGCCATTTCCTGGGGGAAGAGCGGGTTTGAGGGACCACGCCTTGCACTTTGGAAGGTGTTTAAAACATCCACGTGGCAGTGCCCAGCAGGTAATCCCATGTGCAGGCTGGAGCGCTGCGGAGAGGCTGGAGGTGGAGATAAATGTGGGAGTCACTCATTGGCAGAGTGTACTCCAGTGGGAGTGGGTTAGATCCCCTATGGAGTGAGCTTCAATAGAGAAGAGGAGGAGTCTGAGGAACATTCAGGGGACAAGAGCCCATGAGGCTCCACGCTGCCTAAAGCCCTTGTCTCCCAGCTCACATGTTGTCACCTGAATGCCTGGCCCCACATGGCTGTCGACATACCCCTATCTGACCAGTCTCACGCCCCTCCTCATCTGCCAAGTGCCCCACCTGTCCTCAGGCCCCAGCCCCTGCCCACAGCAAAGCCCTCTATGTCCCCACCCGCTTCTCTGCTCACCTGACTCTTCCCTGAGTGAGGACACAGCTTCCTTTCAACCCTTCAAGGAGGCTGCTTTTTCCTTCCAGGCTCCCTGTCCCAAAAGGCTGGAGATGGGGTCGGGCTCTCCCAAGTTCCTCGTTGCTTCTTCCCGATCATTGTCCCTCTCTCCTTCCTCAAACCTCGCAGCACCTTTGGTGCACAGGCTCTGGAGTGATCTCCCTGGTTCCAGCCACATGCCTTCCTCCCAGGCAATCCACGTCAGCCAGGATCACACACGCAGTGGCTCCCCGTCTGTCTCTCTGCTGCTATTCCCTCCACCTCCCTTCACCAGGATTTCAGCATCATGGATGTAGACAGCCCATCCAACCCAGGACCTAGGGCCCAGACCTCCCTGCTGCCAAGGATCTGTTCTTTGGCCACCTGCTGACCTGGTCATATTATCATTGGCAAGAACAGTAGTTGCTGCCGAACTGCTACTTTTAACCCCCCGTCTCAGACCTCCACCTCCAAATGATATTCTGTCTTCTTCCTCTTAGTCTCCTGATGTGACAACTTCCTTACATTTGGGACTCCTAAGCCACCAATGCTCCATCTTTTAACTGGTCACCATTCCCTTTCCTATTCTTTTTTTTTTTTTGAGACGGAGTTTTGCTGTCGCCCATGCTGGAGTGCAGTGGTACAATCTCAGCTCCCTGCAACCTCTGCCTCTCGGGTTCAAGCGATTCTCCTGCCTCAGCCTCCCGAGTAGCTGGGACTACAGGCACGCGCCACCATGCCCGGTTAATTTTTGTATTTTTAGTAGAGACTGGGTTTCACTATGTTGGCCAGGCTGGTCTTGAACTCCTGACCTCGTGATCTGCCTGCCTCAGCTTCCCAGAGTGCTGGGATTACAGGCATGAGCCACCACGCCCAGCCGAGCCAGAGTTTTTGATGTCACGTGCTTGGCTTTGAGCCCCTGAATGGGGAAGGACATGGTATTTATCTACTGACAGTACATTGGAAGAGAAGAGATTCACCAGAGTGGGAGGAAATTACACCTAGGGGCTTGCAGGGAGTTTGCTGGGGCCTTCTTGACCCGGGAGAAGAGCAGGAGTCGCAATCCTCTCCCAGTGCCAAGCACTCTGCCGGTGACTGAACCACCTGCTGGGACTAGGAGACACCTGCCACTCAAATGAGCTCTGCTACGCATTTCACCTGCGCCCTGTGTCCAGGAGGGCTGAGCCATGCGTCTGCCCTCAGACGAAAGCTCCCAGGACCAGCTGCTCGCACATCACCCATGGGCCATCCAGCTGGGATGCTCTTCAGCCCAAATTGGTTTGATTCGGCAATAAGGAGTTTGTTAGTGACCTGCAATAAAAGTTTCAGTGGAATTTGGGAGAGGCCAGGTGGCTCCAGGGAGTATGTGGTATGTGAGGAAACTGAGGCAGCCAATGTAAACAACTCTTTGAAGAAGTGCTTTGGGGCCAGTTGCGGTGTCTCATGCCTGTAATCCCAGCACTACGGGAGATTGAGGCAGGAGGATCACTGGAGCTCAGGAGTTTAAGACCAACCTGGGCAACATAGGAAGCTCCTGTCTGTACAAAAAAAAAAAAACAAAAAAAACAAATTAGCCAGGTATAGTGGCGTGCACCTGTAGTTCCAGCTACTTGGGAAGCTGAGGTGGAAGGATCGCTTGAGCCCAGGAGGTCGAGGCTGCAGTGAGCTGTGATTGCACCACTGCACTCCAGTCTGGGCGACAGAAGAAGACCCTGTCTCAACAACAACAACAAAAAGTGCTTTGGCTTCAGAGCTAGGTTACTTGTTAGAAAAAGACACAAGGTAGAGAGAGGGAGGTAGACATGGAAGGGTTCTTGTTTGTTCTTGGCAAGGAGTCAGTAGAGAGAGAGAGATGGAAGAAGCCCAAGAGCATCCAGGAGCCAAAGGTGGAATTTAGGGAATCAGACGGTGCACAGCGGGGAGGACTGGCCTTCAGTGGGAAAAGGACACATCTCCCCTCCAGGAGGTGATAGATGGGGCAGTCAGATAGGCACCTGGGTGGCAGGATAATGGGAGAGTTCCTGTCTGAAAGCTTCCAGTTTCTGAGTATAACAGAAAGTGAGGTTTTCAATAGCCATGATGGATGATTTTGGGGGCGAGCTGATGAGGAGAGTCAAGCTGCTGGCAGGTAGTATTGGAGGACACAGTTATGGTTGATGTCCGTGGATTGATGGCACCAGATTCTGCAGTGATGTGATTTTCTCCAGCACAGCTTAGGACCCAGGTGTAGCCAAGAAGGATGAGCAGACTGGCTCTGAGTCAGGGCTTCCGGGTTAGTGCATCAGTGAGACAGGTCAAGAAAAGTCAGGATTTCAGGCGAGGTGTCTCACGCCTGTAATCCCAGCACTTTGAGAGGCCAAGGCGGGTGGACCACCTGAGGTCAGGAGTTCAAGACCAGCCTGATCAACATGGAGAAACCCCATCTCTACTAAAAATATAAAAATTAGCCAGGCGTGGTGGTGCATGCCTGTAATCCCAGCTACTCAGGAGGCTGAGGCAGGAGAATCGCTTGAATCCGGGAGGCGGAGGTCGTGGTGAGACAAGATCGCGCCATTGCACTCCAGCCTGGGCAACAAGAGCAAAACTCCGTCTCAAAAAAAAAAAAAAGAGAGAAGTCAGGATGTTGTCAAGAGATTGGCCAAGGTAGGTAACTGTGGAATCCATGCTGGGGAAAGAAGCAAAGACTGGAGGGAGAGGCCAGACAGGAGGATTGGAGTTAAAGATTGTCTTGCAGTAGAAAGGATGGAAGTGAGAGCAGCCAACAGCAGGAGAGTAGATGACCACGGAAAGAGAAAGGACCACCCCGAACGTAGTAACTCAGGGGTGGGACACTCGGCTGCAACTTCTGGCCTTGCGAAGGGGGCAGAGCTCAAGGGAAGGTGAAATGACTGGGGGAGAAGGAAGCCAGGGAAATGACAGAGAGGTTGGTTGGTGTATGGGTCACGTAAGCGAACATGAGACATACCTAGAACAGAGGCAGAGACTGCGAGAAAGAGGAAAATAGAAAGTATGTCTGGGGTCGGGCGTGGTGGCTCAAGCCTATAATACCAGCAGTTTGGGAGGCTGAGACGGGCAGATCATTTGAGGTCAGGAGTTCAAGACCAGCCTAGTCAAAAAGACGAAACTCTGTCTCTACTAAAAATACAAAAATTAGCCGGGCGGTAGTGGCACATGCCTGTAATCCCAGCTACTCGGGAGACTGAGGCAGGAGAATCTCTTAAGTCTGGGAGGTGGAGGTTGTGGTGAGCCAAGATCATGCCACTGTACTCCAGTCTGGGTGATAGAATGAGACCCTGTCTCAAAAAAAAAAAAAAAAAAGAAAAAGAAAAGAAAGTACACCTGGGTCTAATGTTGTCACGAATTAGTATAACTGAGAGGCAAGGACTTTGAAGGTGACAAGGTCTTTAAAAGACAATATTAGCTTGTCTTTAGCGTGCACCTGTATTCCCAACTACTCAGGAGGCTGAGGCAGGAGGATCTCTTAAGCCTAGGAATTCGAGGCTGCAGTGAGCTGAGATCATGCCACTGCACTCCAGCCAGGGCAATAGAGCAAGACCCTGTTTCTAAAAATAAATAAATAGATAAACAAAATAAAAGATAGTGAATGATGATGGTTGGAAGAAGCCTCAGGGCTGGTTCCAGAGGGTCAAGGTGTGAGGAAGAAGGAGCAGCCTCCCCGGGGGAGGGGTGCTGGGAAGTGGGAACCCCAGAAGAGCACGTGATTTCTGTTAAAACATAGGCTCCAAACTGGTAGCCAATAAGCCAAACACTAGTTTGCTTTGCCTGCTCAAAAATTAAGCCAATAAAGTCCGAACCTGGTGGCTCCCACCTGTAATCCCAGCACTTTGAGAGGCCGAGGCTGGCGGATCACTTGAGGTCAGGAGTACAAGAGCAGCCTGGCCAATATGGAGAAGCTCTGTCTCTATTAAAAATACAAAAATTGGCCCAATGCAGTGGCTCACGCCTGTAATCCCAGCACTTTGGGAGGATGAGGCAGGCAGATGACCTGAGGTCAGGAGTTCAAGACCAGTTTGGTCAACATGGTGAAACCCCATCTCTACTAAAAATACAAAATTAGCTGGATGTGGTGGTAGGCGCCTGTAATCCCAGCTACTCAGGAGACTGAGGCAGGAGAATCGCTTGAACGCAGGCAGCAGAGGTTGCAGTGAGCCGAGATTGCGCCACTGCACTCCAGCCTGGGCAACAAGAATGAAACTCCATCTCAAAAAAAAAAAAAAAAAAAAACCACGTCTGGGCTCAGTGGCTCACGACTGTAATCCTAGCACTTTGGGAGGCCGAGGCGGGTGGATCACGAGGTCAGGAGTTCAAGAGCAGCCTGGCCAACATAGTGAAGCCCCGTCTCTACTAAAAACACAAAAATTAGCCAGGCATGGTGGCGCGCGCCTGTAGTCCCAGCTACTCAGGAGGCTGAGGCAGGAGAATCGCTTGAACCCAGGAGGTGGAGGCTGCAGTGAGCCGAGATCATGCCACTACACACCAGCCTGGGTGACAGAGTGAGACGCCATCTCAAAAAATAAAAATTAAAACATTAAAATAAATAGCACTGCTATAAACATTCGTGTGAAAGTTGGCATGTGGACATATGTTTTCAGTTCTGTTGGGTAGATATCTAGCTAGGAGTGGAATTACTGGGTCATGTGGTAACTCTTTGTTTAACTTTTTGAGGAATCACCAAACTGTTTTCCATAGTGCCGCGCTATTTTACATCCCTACCAGCAGTGTATGAGGGTTTCTTGCCTCTTTTAAATTATCTGAAGATCTGGCCATGCTGGGTCCACATTCCCACATGCCAGCACTCAGCCTGGAGCTGGATCAGGGAATGTGGGCTCTCATCCTCCCGGGTTCTCACTACTCACAGTCCAGGCACAGACATTACCCACTGCCTTTGGCCCTTCATGCTCCATACATTTTCTTTTTCTTTCTTTCTTTTTTTTTTTTTTGAGATGGAGTTTTGCTCTTGTCGCCCAGGCTGGGGAGCAATGGTGGTATCTTGGCTCACTGCAGCCTCCACCTCTCGGATTCAAGCAATTCTCCTGCCTCAGCCTGCTGAGTAGCTGGGATTACAGGTGCCCACCACCATGCCCGGCTAATTTTGTATTTTTGGTACAGACAGGGTTTCACCATGTTGGCCAGGCTGGTCTCAAACTCCTGACCTCAGGTGATCTGCTCACCTTGGCCTCCCAAAGTGTTGGGATTACAGGTGCGAGCCACCCTGCCTGGCCTCCATGCATTTTCCTTACCTGCTGGGCCCCCGAGCAAACCCCAGGCAGGGGAAGACTGTGGTGTGAAGGGCGGGGTTGAGGACAAGTTTGTTGACCAAGAGCCAGCTTTCGAAGAGCCAAGTAAAAAGGTCTTAGAAGGTAGGGAACAGGGAGTTGTCAAGATGAGAGGAATTAACAGCGTGGAAATGACAGCAGAAGAGAAGAGATGACCAGAGGAGCTGACATTTTGAGCAGTGACTGAGTATAACAGAGACACGAGGTGTGGTGGGAGGAGCATCCTAGCTGGGCTCTGCAGGCTGAGGCCAGGAGGCTCCCACAGTGGTCCTGGTGGAGTCAGAAGGCCAGTTCTCCAGGCCCTGAAGCTCATTAATTTAGGTGCTCAAGGAGGGATTCGTCGTTTTATTTTGTTTTGTTTTGTTGAGAGACAGAGTCTTGCTCTGTCACCCAGGCTGGAGTGCCGTGGCATGATCTCAGCTTGCTGCAACCTCTGCCTCCCGGGTTCAAGTGATTCTTCTGCCTCAGCCTCCCTAGTAGCTGGGATTACAGGCATGCGCCACCACACCCAGCTAGTTTTTTATATTTTTAGTAGAGACACTGTTTCACCATGCCAGGCAGGTCTCGAACTCCTCACCTCAGTTGATCCACCCGCCTCGGCCTCCCAAAGTGCTGGGATTACAAGCGTGAGCCACCGCCCCCGGCCAGATTTGTTTTTATCTAGATCAGAACTGTCCAACAAAAATAGAATACAAGCCATCTATATTATGAAACCATTTTTATCTTTGCCAATCATTAAGTGTAAATGGAATCTCATTGTGGATTTAAGTGAAATTGAGCATCCCTTTATTTAAGAGCCATAATAATTTTCTTTTCTGTGAATTCTCTTTTTTTTTTTTTTTTTTGAGACAGAGTCTTACTCTGTCGCCCAGGCTGGTGTGCAGTCAGGCGATCTCAGCTCACTGCCACCTCTGCCTCCCAGGTTCAAGTGACTCTCCCGCCTCAGCCTCCCAAATAGCTGGGAGTACAGAAATTTGCCACCACACCTGGATGATTTATTGCATAATCCATTCTTTCCTTTGTGTATTTGGGTGTGTTTCAGGACTTTGTATTCTATTAATGTTGTCTATTTGTGTTCCCCCAAAGAGTATTTCAATTTTTTTGTATTTTTAGTAGAGACCGGTTTTCACCACTTTGGCCAGGCTGGTCTCAAACTCCCAACCTCAGACGATCCACCCACCTCGGCCTTCCCAAGTGCTGGGATTACAGGCATGAGTCACCGCGCCCACCCTGTTTTCAGTGAATTCTTTCTTCACATCACATCCCATGACTGTTTTTCTATAGGATTTTACTCTTTTGCACTTCAGTTTACAGGACTTTTTTTTTTTTTTTTGAGACAGAGTTTCAGTCTTTTGCCCAGGCTGGAGTGCAGTGGCGTGATCTTGGCTCGCTGCAACCCTCACCTCCCAGGTTCAAGCAATTCTCATGCCTCAGCCTCCAAAGTAGCTGGGATTACAGGCACCTGCCACTATGCTCAGCTAATTTGTGTAGTTTTAGTAGAGATAGGGTTTCACCATGTTGGCCAGGCTGGTCTCGAACTCCCAACCTCAGGTGATCCACCCGTCTCGGCCTCCAAAAGTACTGGGATTACAGGCGTGAGCCACCACACCCAGCATTTTTTATTTTATTTTATTTTGTTTTTGAAATAAAGTCTTGCTCTGTCACCCAAGCTGGAGTGCAGTGATGCGATCTTGGCTCACTGCAACCTCCACCTCCTGGGTTCAAGCAATTCTTGTGCCTCAGTCTCCCAAGTAGCTGAGACTACAGGCACATGGCACCACATTCAACTAATTTTTTGTAGTTTTTGTAGAGACAGGCTTATTGAGGCTGGTCTCGAACTTCTGACTTCAAGTGATCTGCCCGCCTCAGCCTCCCAAAGTGCCAGGATTACAAGCGTGAGCCACCATGCATGGCCAAGGAGTCCTTTTTATGCAGTAGAAATTTGTCCTTTTTTTTTTTTTTTTTTTTTTGAGACTCTGGGCTCAAGCAATTCTACTGCCTCAGCCTCCTGAGTAGCAGGGATTACAGGCACATGCCACCACACCTGGATAATTTTTTTTTTTTGAGACGGAGTTTTGCTCTTGTTGCCCAGGCTGGAGGGCAATGGCGCGATTTCAGCTCACTGCAAACTCCGCCTCCCGGGTTCAAGAGATTCTCCTGCCTCAGCCTCCCGAGTAGCTGGGATTACAGGCATGCGCCACCACACCCAGCTAATTTTGTATCTTTAGTAGAGACAGGGTTTCTCCATGTTGGTCAGGCTGGTCTCGAACTCCCGACCTCAGGTGATCCACTCGCCTCGGCCTCCCAAAGTGCTGGGATTACAGGTGTGCGCCATGGCACCTAGCCAGAAATTTGTCTTATTTGTTGCATATATTATTGTTCAGTTTGTTGTCTTTTGACTATTATTTTTCCCTGGAAAATGTTAAAATTTTTACTGTGGTCAAAGTTGATAACTTCTGAGTTTTGAGTCATGCTTAAGTAAGCCCATCCCACTGCAAGATTATAAATTTTTTTAATCTGGTTACTTTTATGGTTTCATGTTTTAGACGTGTATCGTTGAGCCTTTGAAACTTATTTTAGTGTAAGTAATGTAGGAAGGATACAAAGGCATTGTTTCCAGATGGCTACTCAATATTCCAGAATGATTTATTGCATAAGCCATTCTTTCCTTTGTGTATTTGGGTGTGTTTCAGGACTTTGTATTCTATTAATGTTGTCTATTTGTGTTCCCCCAAAAAGTATTTTAATATAATAGTTGTGTTTTTGTTTTTGTTTTTGTTTTTGTTTTTTGAGATGGAGTTTCACTCTTGTTGCCCAGGCTGGAGTGCAATGGCGTGATCTCAGTTCACCACAACCTCTGCCTCCTTGGGTTCAAGTGATTCTCCTACCTCAGCCTCCCGAGTAGCTGGAATTACAGGCATGTGCCTCCACGCACGGCTACTTTTTTGTATTTTTAGTAGAGACAGGATTTCTCCATGTTGGTCAGGCTGGTCTCGAACTCCCGACCTCAGGTGATCCGCCCACCTTGGCCTCCCAAAGTGCTGGGATTACAGGCGTGAGCCACTGCACCAGGCCTAATTATAATGGTTTTATAATATATTTTAATATCTGGTTGGGCTTGTTCCTTTCTCTTTAACAATTTCCTTAGTTCTTTTGTTTTTGTTTGTTTTTGTTTTTCAAGACAGGGTCTCGTTCTGTTGCCTAGGCTGGAGTGCAGTGGCGTGATCGTGACTCACTGCAGCCTCTACCTCCCAGGCTCAAGCAATCCTCCCACCTCAGCCTCCCAAGTAGCTGGGACTACAGGCACGCACCACCATGCCTGGCTGATTTTTGTATTTTTTTTTTGTAGAGATGGCATCTCGCCATGTTGCCCAGGCTAGTCTTGAACTTCTGGGCTCAAGCGATCCATCTGCCTCAGCCTCCCTAAAGTGCAGAAATTACAGATGTGAGCCACCACACCCAGCTATGAATTCTCTTCGTCCTTAAAACCAGCTTTTCTGTTTCTTGGGGGGTCTCACAATTAATTTATAAATTAATTGAGAAATAATTGGCATCTTTATAATATTTATTTCCCTCCTTTTTTTTTACACAAAGTTAGCATACCATATAATCTATTCTGCTCCTTGCTTTTTTTCACTAAACAATATATTCCAGAGATCTTCCTTTCACACTTCATAGATTTTCCTTATTCTTTTGTATAGCTGCATAGTATTCCATTGGTAGATGTACCATACCCTGTTTAATTGGTCCCTTACAGATGAATACTTAGACTTTGAATCCTTTGCTGTTACCACCATTACTGTAATGAAATCTTGTGCATGACTCCTTTTGTGTGTACACACCAGGTTCGATCCTACCACAGGGACTTTGCCCTTTCCTCCCCACCACCCATATTCACATGGCTCACTCCCTCACTGCCTTCTTTCTCCAAGAGGCTCACCCAGCCTTCTCAATCTCCCTATCCTGTTAAATTTTTTTCGTATAGCAATCATCACCTTCAGACAGAGTATATATAATTTACTCTTTGATTATGTTTATTGTCTGTTTCCTACCACCAGATTGCAAGGGTTTTTGTTGCTGTTTTGTTTTGGTTTTGTCCAACTTGTTCACTGATTTGTATTCCTGGCACCAGAAAGGTAACTGATACTAAAATAATAATTGCTGAAGGGCCAGGTTTGGTGGCTCATGCCTGTAATCCCAGGACTTTGGGAGGCCAAGCCCAGGAGTTCAAGACTAGCCTAGGCAACATAGCGAGACTCCATCTCTATTAAAAAAAAAGAGAGAGAGAGAGAGAAAGAAAATTTTTAAAAAGAAGCAAATATAAGCATAGCATTTAGCAGAACACAGACTAAAAAAAAAACTGTTGAATTAATATACAAATATATTTGTAAGATAAATTCCTAGAATGGGATTGCTGGGTCAAAATGTAGGTCTTCCATTTTATTTCAAATTAATCTTCTTTTTTTTTTTTTTTTTTTGAGATAGGTTTTCTCTCTGTCCCCCAGGCTGGAGTCCAGTGGCACAATCACAGCTCACTGCAGCCTCGACCTCCTGGGCTCAAGCAATCCTCCCACCTCAGCTTCCTGGATAGCTGGGTAGGTGGCATGCGCCACCACACCCGACTAATATTTTGTATTTTTTTGTAGATGCGGGCTTTCGCCATGTTGCCCAGGCTGGTCTCTAACTCCTGAGCTCAAGCGATCTGCCTGCCTTGGCCTCCCAAAGTGCTGGAATTACGGGTGTGAGCCACTGCGCCTGGCCAGGCTTTCTCATTTATTTGTGTAATAATCACAGTCCTTTTAGGGTTCTTTGTAGCTATGGTTATTTTCTCATTTCATTTCTAATTTTGTTAGAAATGGTCTTAAGAAGGTATTTTCAATATTTCAAGAAGTCCAAATTCTACAGGCTTGCTTGCACTAACTAGCAAAATAAAATGCTCCAAGATTTCCTGCTTTGAGCTAAAATGCTATTAGCTCAGTGGGGTAATGGTGGTGATCTCCTGCTGATATGAAGCTCTGACAGTAGCTTGAAAATTGTTGATGTGTAAAGAGTGGAGTTACAGCTTAGTTACCACTTAAAGGCAGGTATTCTCAATAGACAAGTTTTCTAAAACATGGATCTGTGGTGAAGGTGGTGGTATTGGGGCAAACAAAGGGGTCCTTGGTCAATAACAATGGCCAATAACCGTAAAGCTGTGTTAGGAAATCTCTTCTAGCCTTTGCTGCTTTGTGTTAACCCTTGTCAGCTTGGACAGAAGAGCCATAACCTGTTTAGCAAGAAACAGGTCCACTGTTTTTGTCCTGGATTGCCTGCAGCTGTTATTTCTAAAAGTTCTAAAAGTTCAGTTACCATGACAACTATGTGAAAGCCCCAGAACATCTATCAACTTTGAACAGAGTGAATCTGGATGGAGGTGCGGCAGAGTGGGAAGAGCAAGGTGTGACTCATTCATTCATTAAATGCCTCTTTTTTTTTTTTTTTTTTTTCTTCTGAGATAGGGCTTGGCTTTGTAGCCCAGGCTAGAGTGCAGTGGTGTAATCAAGGCTCACTGCAGCCTCAACCTCCTGGGCTCAAGCCATCCTCCCACCTCAATCTCCCGATACTTTTTTTTTTTTTGAGATGGAGTCTCGCTCTGTCACCCAGGCTGGAGTGCAGTGGTGTGATCTCGGCTCACTGCAACCTCCGCCCCCTAGGTTCAAGCGATTCTCCTGCCTCAGCCTCCCGAGTAGCTGGGATTACAGGCGCGCTGTAATTTTTGTATTTTTAGTAGAGACGGGGTTTCACCATCTTGGCCAGGCTGGTCTTGAACTCCTGACCTCATGATCCACCCGCCTCGGCCTCCCAAAGTGCTGGGATCACAGGCATGAGCCACAGCATCCGGCAAATCTCCCGATATTAAATGAGTTTTGAACACTCCTCAGTATCAGGCACTGGGGATACATAGATGAGCATGGCAGATAAGGGCTCAGGAAGAACTGTAGATTGTTGAAGAGTCAGGTTTTGTTTTGTTTTGTTTGTTTGTTTTTTGAGATGGAGTCTCGCTTTGTCACCCAGGCTAGAATGCAGTGGCGCAATCTCGGCTCACTGCAACCTCCGCCCCCAGGGTTCAAGCTATTCTCCTGCCTCAGCCTCCTGAGTAGCTGGGATTACAGGCACACGCCACCACGCCAGGCTGATTTTTGTATATTTAGTAGTGACAGATTTTCACCATGTTGGCCAGGCTGGTCTCGAATGCCTGACCTCGTGATCCACCCGCCTCAGCCTCCCAAAGTGCTGGAATTACAGGTGTGAGCCACCACGCCCAGCTGTAGGCCTATATTTTAATAGTATCTCTGCCTTTTAGTAGCTTGGTGATATCGGCCACTCACTAAGCTTCTCTGAATCTCATGAGCAGAATGGGGTTACTAACACCTCCTTTGCAGGGTGAGGCTCTGGATTTAGGGCACGTGCTATAGAAATGTTAGTTTCCTTCCTCCTAACCCTGGCTCAGCCATTTACTGGCTCTGTGGCCTGGGAGAAGGTCTTTACCTTCTTGGAGCTTCTGTTTCCTCATAGGTATCTCTAAAGTCGCTTCTACACCTGGGAGCCTTGGGCCCTGATGGGTTAAATATGGAAGCTCTGAGAAGCCAGGTTGGCTGCTCCAGCTCCTTCCTTCCCAACCAAAACAAACCCGGAAGTACAGGTTCTTTCTGATGACAGCAACCCCCAGCCACAGGTTTTCCAGGGCTGGGCTAATTTCAGACGAGAATCCCGTGCTTGTCAGACCAGATTTCCTGCTTTGGGACTTGGGAAATCCAGTTGCCTTAAACTGACCTTTCTCTGGGCCACTCTTCTTGTACCAGGTGGAGAACCTGTAGCAAAAAAAAAAAAACTGGTCACAGTCCGTAGACCCACGGCCTCGTAGAGAACGGCAGTGGGAGTCACGACATCGTGCTGGGTCCCAGGGACCTGGTGTTAAGTTCTCCATGGAGCTTTCTGTTTTTCTTTCTTTCTTTTTATAATTGAGGTGAAATTCACATAACAGAAAGTTAATCATTTTTAAGTGTACAGTGGCCAGGTATGGTAGCTCAAACCTGTAATACCAGCACTTTGGGAGGCTGAGTGGAGAGGATCGCTTGAGCTCGGGGTGAGACCCCATCACTATTGTTTTTTTTTTTTTTTTTTTTTTTTTTGAGATGGAGTCTCGCTCTGTTGCCCAGGCTGGAGTGCAATGGCGCAATCTCAGTTCAGTGCAGCCTCCACCTCCCAGGTTCAAGTGATTCTCCTACCTCAGCCTCCCAAGTAGCTAGGACTATAGGACTACAGGAGCCCGCTACAACACCCAGCTAATTTTTGTATTTTTAGTAAAGTAAGGGTTTCATCATGTTGGCTAGGCTGGTCTCAAACTCCTGACCTCAGGTGATCCACCCGCCCCGGCCTCCTAAAGTGCTGGGATTACAGGCGTGAGCCACTGTGCCCCGCCCTCCATCACTATTAAAATAAATAAATAAATAAATAAAAGTGTACAGTTCAGAATCAGTATATTCACAGTATACCCCATACTCATTAAGCACTCACTCTTCATTCCCCCGTCGCTACCCCCAGGCAACCACAAATCTGCTTTCTGTCTCTATGGATTTCCCTATTCTGGACACTTCATGTGAATGGGATCACAAAATATGTGACCTTTTGTGATGCGTCATTCACTTAGCATAATGGTATTTTGTTTTTTGTGAGACAGGGTCTCATTCTGTTGTCCAGGCTGGAGTGTAGTGGCACAATTTCAGCTCACTGTAGCCTCAACCTCCCGGGCTCAAGTGATCCTTCTACCTCAGCCTCCCAAGTAGCTGAGGCTAAAGGTGTGTGCCACCATCCCTGGCTAATCTTTGTATTTTTTTGTATTTTTTCACCGTGTTTCCCAGGCTGGTCTCAAACACCTGAGCTCAAGCAATCCTCCTGCCTCAGCCTCCCAGAGTGCTGGGATTATAGGCATGTACCACCGTGCCTAGCCAGCATAATGTTTTTGAGGTGCATCAACAATTTGTTATGGAGCAGGCCTTCGTTCCTCTTAATGTCTGAATAATAGTCCATTGCATGGGTACACGTCACATTTTATATAGCCCTTCACCAGGTGATGGACATTTGGGTGGTTTCCACCTTTGGCTGTCACGAATAGTGCTGCTATGAACATTCCTGTACAAGTATTTGTTTGGTTTTTTGGTTTTTGTTTTTGTTTTTTTGAGACACAGTCTCGTTCTGTCGACCAGGCTGGAATGCAGTGGCACGATCTTGGCTCACTACAACCTCCGCCTCCTGGGTTCAAGCGATTTTCCTGCCTCCGCCTCCCGAGTAGCTGGGATTACAGGCGCCCGGCACCATGCCCAGCTAATTTTTTTGCATTTTTAGTAGAGAGGGGGATTTCACCATGTTGGCCAGGCTGGTCTCCAACTCCTGACCTCAGGTGATCCATCTGCCTCGGCCTCCCAAAGTGCTAGGATTACAGGCATGAGCCACCATGCCCAGCCTACAAGTATTTGAATACCTGTTTTCAATTATTTTGGTTATATACTCTCCATAGAATTTTAATTCCCTCAAGCTGGGAGAATCATCCCTGCCCTGCCTTACTCTTGGGCTGGTGTGAGGATCAAGTATGACAGTGGAGAAAAAATAGTCGTAGCAGTGCTAACAACTCCACGGCCTGATCCTGAATATCCAACTGCCCGTTAGATATATTCACGTGCATGTTTAACTGGGATCTATATCTCTTTTTTTTTTTAAGATGGAGTCTTGCTCTGTTGCCCAGGCTAGAGTGCAGTGGCACGATCTCGGCTCACTGCAACCTCCACCTCCTGGGTTTAAGCAATTCTCCTGCCTCAGCCTCCCAAGTAGCTGGGATTACAGGCGCCCACAACCACGCCTGGCTAATGTTTATATTTTTAGTAGAGATGGGGTTTCACCATCTTGGCCAGGCTGGTCTCAAACTCCTAACCTCAAGATCCACCCACCTCAGCCTCCCAGAGTGCTGGGATTACAGATGTGAGCCACCACACCTGGCCAGCATCTGTATCTTAATACATCCAAAATTGAGCTCCAGGCCAGGCACAGTGGCTCACACTTGTAATCCCAGCACTTTGGGAGGCAAAAACAGATGGATCACTTGAGGCCAGGAGTTCAAGACCAGCCTGGCCAACACAGTGAAATCCCGTCTCTACCAAAAAATAAAAAAATTAGCTGGACCTGGTAGCACACACCTGTAATCCCAGATACTCGGGAGGCTGAAGCAAGAGAATCACTTGAATTTGGGAGGCAGAGATTACAGTGAGCCGAGATCACACCGCTGCACTCCAGCCTGGGCAGTGACAGAGAGAGACTGTCTCAATAAAACAAACAACAACAACAACAAAAACAGAAAAAAATTGAGCCCCTGATTACCCCACTCCCAAACCTCTTTCATGTCCAGCCTAGCCCGTTTCAGTTGGTGGCAACTCATTCCTTACATTTTTCAGACTCAAAACCCTCCAGCCATCCTTGGCTCTCTCTCATACTACACATCCAACCCCTCAGGAAATAAAGCTATATATATATATCCAGAATCCGGAAGCTGAGGCAGGAGCCTCAGGAGCCTCGCTTGAGCAGGAACCTTAGGAGGCAGGAGGCTTACTTGAGCCCAGGAGTTCCAGGCTGCAGTGAGCTATGATTGCACCACTGCACTCTAGCCTGGGTTACAGACTGAGACCTTGTCTCAAAAAAAAATATATATATATGTGTGTGTGTGTGTGTGTGTGTGTGTGTGTGTGTGTGTGTGTGTGTATCCAGAATCCAACCATTTGTCACCACCACTGCTACCCCCTTGGCACCTAGTACTGAATTCTCTCTGCCCCTCTCTCCCCTTGTTCTTTACAGTCTATGCTCATCCAGGCAGCTGGGGTTAGCCTTTATTTTAATAATCTAAAGCTGGGAGTGGTGGCTCATGCCTGTAATCCCAGCTCTTTGGGTGGCCAAAGCAGGTGGATCACTTGAGGCCAGGAGTTCAAGACCAGCCTGGCCAACATAGCGAAACCCTTCTCTCCAAAAAATATAAAAAATTAACCAGGCATGGTGGCATGCTCCTGTAATCCCAGCTACTTGGGAGGCTGAGGCACAAGAATTGCTTGGGCCTGGGAGGCAGAGGTTTCAGTGAACCAAGATTGCACCACTGCACTCCAGCCTGGGTGACAGAGCAAGATTCCATCTCAAAAAAAATTATTATTATTATTATTTTTTTGACACAGGGTCTCACTCTGTCACCCAGGCTAGAGTACAGTGGCACAATCATAGCTCACTGCAGCATTAAACTCCTGGACTCAGGTGATCCACCCACTTCAAATTCCCCAATAGCTGGGACTACAGGTGCACATTACCATGCCCAGCTAATTTTCAAAAAATTTTTTGTAGAGATGAGGGTCTCGCTGTGTTGCCCAGGCTGGTCTTGAACTCCTGGCCTCAAGCAATCCTCCCACCTCAGCCTCCCAAAGTGTTGGGATTACAGGCATAAGCCACCATGCCCAGCCCCTGAGTTACATTTTAAAGGCTAACCCAGCCTGGGTGACAGAGCAATACCCTGTCTCTGAAAATAATAAAAGAAGAAAAGACTAATAACCCAAAATGTAAGTTAGATTGTGTTGTTTCTATGCTCAAAGCCCTGCCGTAGCTTCTCTTTACTTGGCTGGTGATGACCTACGTGATATGGCCACTTTACCTCTGACTTCATCCCTGTCACTTTCCCTAGCTCACTCCACTCCATCCACCCCACCTAAAGAATTTCACACTGGCCTGCTCCTTCTGTGCAAATACCCTTTCCTGAGATATGGCACATCTGTCTCCCTTCCTGCCAGTCTTTCTTTTTATTTTTTTATTTATTTTTATTTTTATTTTTGAGATGGAGTTTCGCTCTTGTCACCCAGGCTGGAGTGCAGTGGCATGATCTTGGCTCACCACAACCTCCGCCTCCTGGGTTCAAGCAATTCTCCTGCCTCAGCCTCCTGAGTAGCTGGGATTACAGGTGTGCGCCACCACACTCGGCTAATTTTGTATTTTTAGTAGAGACGGGGTTTCTCCTTGTTGGTCAGAATGGTCTCAAACTCCCAATCTCAGGTGATCTGCCTGCCTTTGCCTCCCAAAGTGCTGGGATGCCATGTGAGCCACCGTGCCCAGCCTATTATTAATTTTTTGAGATAGAGTCTCATTCTGTCACCAGGCTGGAGTGCTTGGTGCAATTTCCACTCATTGCAACCTCCTGGACTCAAGCGATTCTCTTGCCTCAGCCTCCTGAGTAGCTGGGACTACAGGTGCACACCACCACACCCAGCTAATTTTTGTATTTTTAGTAGTGATGGGGTTTCACCATGTTAGCCAGGCTGGTCTCGAACTCCTGACCTCAAGTGATCCACCCGCCTTGGTCTCCCAAAGTGCTGGGACTGCAGGCATGAGCCACCATGCCTGACCCCAGTGTCACTTTCTAATGCGGCCTTCTAATAGGGCCACCCTATTTAAAATGACAACCCAATCCATCCTTCTTCCTCTGCATCCCCTCCCCCACTCTATTTTCTTCTTCCATAACATCTTTCACCTTCCAATGATACTTCATTTACTCTTTCCTTGTGTTTATTGTCCCTCTCCCTGGCCTGAACAGAAACCCCATGACAGAAGGGTCTTGGCATGTTTTGTCCAGTGCCTAGAAAGGACCCTGCATGTAGTAGGCACTTGATACATATTTGTTGAATTAGTAAACAATACTACTAACAATGATGTTGGCCGGGTGTGGTGGCTCATGCCTATAATCCCAGCACTTTGGGAGGCCGAGGCAGGCAGATCACGAGGTCAGGAGATTGAGACCATCCTGGCTATCACGGTGAAAACCCATCTCTACTAAAAACAAAAAAAAATTAGCCGAGTGTGGTGGTGGGCGCCTATAGTTCCAGCTGCTGGGGAGGCTGAGGCAGGAGAATGGTGTCAACCCTTGAGGCGGAGCTTGCAGTGAGCCAACATCATGCCACTGCATTCCAGCCTGGGTGACAGAGCGAGACACTGTCTCAAAAAATAAATAAATAATAAATACATAAATAAAGTATCACAAAATATTTTTTAATTAAAAAATAAATACTGGTGACCATTTATTAAGCCCATTACCCACATGCTCTACAAGCATTCCATGTAAACCTCATAAGCAAGGTGGAATTTTTTTGCTTCCATTTTACAGTTAGGGAACCTAAGGCAGATGGTGTTTTAAGCGACTTGCCCAAATCAGCAGAGCTAGCTCCATAGCAGGGAAGGATTTGAGCCCAGGTTTTTAGTTGCCTTTGGAACTCTTGGTCTTTTCTACTTCGCTCAGTGTTCACTGTAGCTGCATGTAACATGGCTCACTCATTCATTCACTTGTTCATTTAGTAAATATTTCCCAAGCCTCCTCCATCCCTCCGCCACCCAAAATGCCAGGCCCTGTCCTGCACACTGGGGACCCATACATCCATGGGTCACGGACCTTGCCCCAGAGGAGCTCTGGTCCCACGGCCTGGGCAATAAGTGTCCCTGTGGGCTTCATTTTTGTTTTCTATTTTTTAAGAGACAGGGTCTTGCTCTGTTACCCAGGCTGGAGTATAGTGGTACCATCACAGCTCACTGCAGCCTCAAACTCCTGGGCTCAAGTGTTTCTCTTGCCTCAGCCTCCCAAGTAGCTGAGACTATAGGCATGCACCTCCACGCCTGGCTAAAGTTTTGTTTTGTTGGTTTTTTTTTTTTTTTTTTTTTTGAGCCTCTATGCCCCAGGCTCAAGCAATCCTGCCTATGTTGCTCAGGCTGACCTCACACTCCTGGGCTCAAGCCATCTTCCACCTCAGCCTCCCAAAGTGCTAGGGTTACATGCATGAGCCATCACATCTGGCTCCCACGGGGGGTTTTGTAAACTGAACAAAGGGAGCTCCCTTTCCCCAGCAATTCATCCCTGGAGTCCATATGAACCAATGTTCCTCATTTACAGCAGAAAAAGCAGCTTCCCATGCTCTAACCCCTGCCTGCTCCTCAGCTGAATGAGGCTGACAGGTGCACACCCTGCAGCATCCTGCACCTCACCAGGTAAACAGGCCTGAAAGAGGGAGGCCATGGGTGTGGGCACAGGCTCAGGGCCAAGCTGACCTCGCAAAGGCTGAGGGGCGGGAAGAACAGGAGGAAGTGTGGGCAATGGGGAGCTGCTGGGTCTGGAGCAATTACCATTGCCACATGGTGAAGACACCAGCCCAGAGGCTGACCTGGGGCTGAGCAGAGCCCAGCAGTAGGGTAGGAAGGGGCCCACCCTTGCTCCTCCAGCTCCCTTTTCTCCCCACCCCTCAACCCCAAACTCTGTCCCTCCTCCTCACTGCCCTGCTGTCAGTTCACCTCCTTTAACCCTTTCCTCCCGTGCCTCCCAAGGAAAAGGGGAAACTAACAGGCCAACTGATCTTCAACGGCCATGGAGCTTCGTTTCTTAAAAATTCATTAAGAGGCCAGGCGCAGTGGCTCATGCCTGTAATCCCAGCACTTTGGGAAGCCAATGGAGGTGGATCACTTGTGGTCAGGAGTTCGAGACCAGCCTGGTCAACATGGTGGAACCCCGTCCCTACAAAAAATACAAAAACGCGCTGGGCATGGTGGTGCATGCCTATAATCTCAGCTACTCGGGAGGCTGAGGCAAGAGAATCATTTGAACCTGGGAGGCGGAGGTTGCAGTGACCTGAGATTGCATCACTGCACTCCAGTCTGGGCGACAGAGGGAGATTCTGTCTCCAAAATATAATAATAATAATAATAATAATAAATAAATTCACTAAAGAAGACCAGGTGTCGTGGCTCATGCCTGTAATCCCAGCACTTTGGGAGGGTAAGGTGTGAGGATGGCTTGAATCCAGGAATTTGTGACCATTCTGGGTAATATAGAGAGACCCCATCTCTACAAAAAATTTAAAACTCAGCCAAGCGTGGTGGTGCCCACCTGTAGTCCCAGCTACTATGGAGGCTGAGGCAAGAGGATTGCTTGAGCCTGGGAGGTTGAGGATGCAGTGAGCCATGATTATGCCACTGCACTCCAACCTGGGCAAGAGAGTGAAATGCTGTCTCAAAAAAAAAAAAAAAATCACTAAGGAGTTGGTAATTGGGTTTGGAGTCTGACTAAACACACGCTCTTGGCCACACACCTGGGTTGCTTTCCTTCCATATATTCATTTAGTTCACACTCATTGTGTGCCAGACCCTCTGGCAGGTGCTGGCGTCCTGAGGAGCTCAGGGTCAGCTGGAGAAGCTGGAGAGGCTACGGTTAAACACAGTACAGCTCTGGGCCAGGAGGGGCTGCAGGGGTCCAGAGAAAGAAGTGAATGACAACGTCGTAATGACAATCCAGTCAAGCCCCAGGGGTCTGAAGTGGAGCTCATTAGACAATTCAAGTGCCTACCTTTTGCAGGACACTGTCTTTCAGAGGCATACAGGCTACTCTGATTGAGCCCTGATGTTATTCCCTGCCTAGAATCCAGGCTAGGTCTCATTGGAAGAGTGGTGTGGACAGCAGAGTGAAGTTTCTGTCATTGGAACTGTACAGCTGGGAGGTTTTAGAAAGGGCACGCTCCCTTCACCCCAAGAAAAAGAAAAGAAGGAAAGGGCACACCCATCATAGAGAGCAGCAAACTGAGTCACAAGAGGTGAGATTTGCTCACTCCCTTAGACCACAGGCTGTCTGGAGGCAAGATATCAGGCTTATCACCATGTTCGTAGCACCTGGGGCATAAAAGGCCTTAAAAAATTATCCAGAGGTAGAATATACATATATATATATTTATTTATTTTTGAGACAAGGTCTCGCTCTGTCACCCAGTCTGGAGTACAGTAGCACAATCCATGCTGACCGCAGCCTCAACCTCCAGGCAAAAGCGATCCTCCCACCTTGGCCTCCTGAGTAGCTGAGACTACAGGCAGGCACCACCATGCCTGGCTAATTTTTTAAAAATTTTTATAGAGACAGGGTAGAATATTTATTGATAGGGTAATATAGAAATGGGTTACTAAAAAGATATATGTTATCTAATCTAAATTTAAAAAAATACAGGCTGGGTGTGGTGGCTCACGCTTGTAATCCCAGCACTTTGGGAGGCCAAGATGGGTGGATCATGAGGTCAGGAGTTCAAGACCAGCCTGGCCAACATAGTGAAACCCCATCTCTACTAAAAATACAAAAATTAGCCAGGCATGGTGGTGCACCTGTGGTCCCAGCTACTCAGGAGGCTGAGGCAGGAGAATCACTTGAACCTGGGAGGTGGAGGTTGTGGTAAGCCTGGATTGCGCCACTGCACTTCAGCCTGCCTGGGCAACAGAATGAGGCTCTGTCTCAAAAAAAAAAAAAACAAAAACCATAGGCACATACACATATATTTTTAAAAGACAGACACTGGTAGACTACAAAATGTTGATGACTGTTATCTGTAACTTGTAGATTGCAGTTGTTTTTAAAAGACTTTTTAAGGCCGGGCACAGTGGCTCACGCCTGTAATCCCAGCACTTTGGGAGGCCGAGGCAGGCGGATCACGAAGTCAGGAGATCGAGACCATCCTGGCTAACATGGTGAAACCCCGTCTCTAGTAAAAATACAAAAAATTAGCCGGGCATGGTGGTGGGTGCCTGTAGTCCCAGCTACTCGGGAGGCTGAGGCAGGAGAGTGGCGTGAACCCGGGAGGCAGAGCTTGCAGTGAACCGAGATTGGGCCACTGCACTCCAGCCTGGGCGACACAGCAAGACTCCATCTCAAAAAAAAAAAAGACTTTTTATTAGGTAAAATTTGAACATGCACCAAAAAATAGAATCAGATGATGAATCTTGGCAGCTAGTCCCAACACCCATCAACCCATGGCTGATCATGCGCCATCCACACTCCATCCCTTTCCTTTGGAAATATTACATGGAAGTAAAGCCCACACCTCATATCCTTTCTTCTGTAAACATTTCAGTGTGCAGTGTGTATCTCTAAAACTCAGGCCTAAAAAACATACCTAACTACAGTACCATTGTAACAACTAAAAAGATATACAATTATTCCTTGATATCAAATGGTCTAGTCAGCGTTCAAATTTCCAATGGTCTCGTAAATGATATTAGATGTTTCTGTTTTGCAGTGGTTTTTTAGTTTTGTTTTTTTTTTTTTGACAGTCTTGCTCTGTTGCCCAGGCTGAAGTACAGTGGTGTGATCATGGCTCACTGCAGCCTCCAACTCCTGGGCTCAAGTGATCCTTCTGCCCCAGCCACCTGAGTAGCTGAGACTAACAGGTGTGTTCCACCATGCCTGGCTAATGTAGAGACAGGGTCTTGCCATGTTGCCCAGGGTGGTCTTGAATTCCTGGGCTCAAGCAATCTTCTCATCTCAGCCTCCCAAAGTGCTAGGATTACAAGTGTGAGTGACCACGCCCAGCCTGTTTTTGTTTTGTTTGGTTTAATCAAGATAAAAATAAGGACCAACCAGGCGTGGTGGCATATGCCTGTAGTCCCAGCTACTCGGGAGGCTGAGGCAGGAAGATTGTTTGAGCCCAGGAGGTTGAGGCTGCAGGGAGCCATGATCATACCACTGTACTTCAGCCTGGGCAACAGAGCAAGACCCTGTCAAAACAAACAAACAAACAAATAAACATAGCCGGGTGCAGTGGTTCACACCTGTAATCCCAGCACTTTGAGAGGCTGAGGCAGACGGATCACTTGAGGTCAGGAATTCGAGACCAGCCTGGCCAACATGGTGAAACCTCGTCTCTACTAAAAATACAAAAGTTAGCCAGGCATGGTGGTGCATGCCTGTAACCCCAGCTATTTGGGAGGCTGAGGCAGAAGAATCGCTTGAACCCTGGAGGCAGAGGTTGCAATGAGCCAAGATCGAGCCATTGCACTCCAGCCTGGGCAAGAATTGCAAAACTCCATCTCAAAAAAAAAAAACAAAACAAAACACTGTAAAACAGAAATATCTAATGTCATTTACAAGACTAACGTCATTGGAAATGTGAATGTTGACTAGACCATTTAACATCAAAGAATTATTGTATATCTTTTTAGTTGTTATAATGGTACTGTAGTTATGTATTTTTTTTAGGCCTGAGTTTTAGAGATACACACTGCACACTGAAATGTTTAAGGAGAAAGAGACACATGCACCACTACACTCCAGTCTCGGAGACAGAGTGAGACCCTGTCTCTAAAATAAATAAATAAGGACCGCACTGTGCAATCAGCTGATATGTCATTTAGGTCTCTTATCTCTAGTTTCTCCTTCCAGCTCTTTCAATTTTCAATGTAAACACATCATTTGTTCTATCATATCCTCCAGTTTGGATTTTCCTGATTGCATCCCTGTGGTACAATTTAACAAGATTTCTGTGCTTTGTATTTCCTGTAAATTCATAGTTTCTTATAGGCCTGATCAAATTTAGATTAGAGGGTCTGTTGTTTTTGTTACTGCTGTTGCTTTAGAGACTGGGTCTCACTCTGTGGCCCAGGCTGGAGTGCAGTGGTGCGATCATAGCTCACTGCAGCCTTCACCTCCTGGGCTCAAGAGATCCTTCCACCTCAGCCTCCCAAGTAGGTGGGATTCAGGCACATGCCACCTTGCTCAGCTCAGATTAGAGGTTTTTTGGTTTTGTTTTTTTTTTTTGACTCAGAGTCTCACTCTGTCGCCTGGGCTGGAGTTCAGTGGTGCATTCTCTGCTTACTGCAACAACTCCCGCCTCCTGGGGTCAAGCAATCCAGATTAGAGTTTTTTGACGTGAATAATTCATGGAAAGTGTGTGATTTCATTGAGAGGCAAATAATGTCTGGTTGTCTTTTTTTGGTGTAACATCAGCAGCCACTACTGTTCAATGCTCAGATCCCTTAGTTCATGAAGGGATGCAAGATGACGATAACCTAATGTGACCATTCTCTCTCTCTCTTTTTTTTTTTTTTTTTGATAGGGTCTCACTCTGTCACCCAGGCTAGAGTGCAGTGGTGTGATCACAGCTCACTGTAGCCTTCACCTCCCAGGCCCAAGTGATCCTCCTTCTACCTCAGCTTCCAGGGTAGCTGGGACTACAGGCTTGCACCACTACGCCTGGCTAAATTTTTTAATTTATTTTTTCTTTGAGCGGGAGTCTTGCTCTGTCGCCCAGGCTGGAGTGCAGTGGCGTGATCTCAGCTCACTGCAACCTCTGCCTTCCAGGTTCAAGCAATTCTGCTGCCTCAGCCTCCTGAGTAGCTAGGACTACAGCTGTCCACCACCACACTCGGCTAGGTTTTTGTATTTTTAGTAGAGATGGGGTTTCACCATGTTAGCCAGGATGGTCTTGATCTCCTGACCTCGTGATCTGCCCGCCTCGGCCTCCCAAAGTGCTGGGATTACAGGTGTGAACCACTGTGCCCACCCCCCTGTGAGTCTTTGACAGCTTCTTTGCTCGCTGATTTTTCTAGTTGTTCCAGACTCTTCCTGTGTTCTGCCCCATACCTGGAATCAGTGTTTCTCTAAGGAGTCTTGGTTCCCTTGGGAAGGAAATGGTATTTAGAGATCACAAGCTGGGTGCTAGAGGTATAATCGGCTTTAATTTTTTTTCACTTTTTATTTTGAAATAATTTTAGACTTACAGAAACGTTGCAAAAATAGCACAGAGTTCCCGTATATCCTCTTACCCAGCTTCCTCTAAGGTTAACATCTTACATAACCGTAGTGCAGTTATCAAACCAATACATTCACATTGGCACAATACTATTAGCTGAACTACAGACTTGATTCCAATTTTACCAATTTTTCCACTAATGTCCCATTTTTGGGTGTGTTTGTTTGTTTTTCTGTCCTAGGATCCAATCCAGGTAAATCATCATGTCTCCTTACCTTCCTTATGACAGTTCCTCAGTCTTTCCTTATCCATGACCTCAACACTTTTGAAGAATACTGGTCAGGTATTTGGGGGTTTGTTTGTTTTGTTTTGTTTTGTTTTGTTTTGTTTTTGAGACAGAGTCTCACTCTGTCACCCAGGCTGGAGTGCAGTGGCGCGATCTCGGCTCACTGCAACCTCTGCCCCCCGGGTTCAAGCGATTCTCCTGCCTCAGCCTCCTGAGTAGCTGGGATTACAGGCACAGGCCACCACGCCCAGCTAATTTTTTTTTTTTTAATTTTAGTAGAGATTGGGTTTCACCATGTTGCCCAGGCTGGTCTTGAACTCCTGAGCTCAGGTGATTCACCCAGCTCGGCCTCCCAAAGTGCTGGGATTACAGGCGTGAGCCACCTCGCGTGGCCTGTTTTTTTGTTGTTGTTGTTTTGTTTTGTTTTGAGACAGGGTCTTGCTCTGTCGCCCAGGCTGGAGTGCAGTGGCACAAACCCTTTTACTGCAGGCTCAACCTCCTGGGCTCATGCAATGCTCCTACCTCAGCCTCTCGATTGGCTGGGACCACAGGTGCACACTAATTACTTTTTAATATTTTGTAGAGACGGGGTTTCACTATGTTGCCCAGGCTGGTCTCAAACACCTGGGTTCAAGCCATCCACCCATCTAGGCCTCCCAAAGCGCTGGAAGACAGGCATGAGCCACTGCATCCGGCCTGGTCAGGTGTTTCACAGAATGTCCTTCACTTTGTTCATTTGTTGCCTGTTCCCCTCCCCTCCCCTTCCTTCTTTTTTTCAGATGGTGGAGTTTTGCTCTTGTTGCCCAGGCTGCAGTGCAATGGCGTGATCTCAGCTCACTGCAACATCTGCCTCCCATGTTCAAGTGATTCTCCTGCCTCAGCCTCCCAGGAAGCTGGAATTACAGGTGCGTGGCACCACGCCTGGCTAATTTTGTATTTTGAATAGAGACGGTGTTTCGCCATGTTGGCCAGGCTGGTCTCGAAGTCCTGACCTCAGGTGATCCACCCATCTTGGCCCCCAGAGTGCTGAGATTACAGTGTCGCCTGTTTCTTTATAACTAGATTGAGGTTATACTTTTTGGGGAAGACAAACAGGAAGAGTGACTCTCTCTTCTCAGTGCATCAGGGGTGAACAGTGTTGGCATGTTTTATTCTTGGTGATGTGCAAATCATTTGGCTAATCATTTAAGATGGTATCTGCAAGATTTCTCCATTGTCCAGTTATTATCTGTACAATTATCTTTGCATTTGCAGTTAATAAACATTGGAGGGGAGATATTTTGAGATTATGCCAATATTCTATTTCTCCTTAAACTTTTACCCACAAATTTTAGCACCCATTGGAGGATCTTGTCTGTAACAATTACAATTGGTGTTCCAGTGTTGACTTTCTCTTTTTTTTTGAGACGGAGTCTCACTCTGTCGCCCAGGCTAGAGTGCAGTGGCGAGATCTTGGCTCACTACAACCTCCACCTCCCAGGTTTAAGCAATTCTCATGCCTCAGCCTCCCAAACTGGGATTACAGGTGGACACCACCACGCTCCACTAATTTTTCTATTTTTAGTAGAGATAGGGTTTCCCCATGTTGGCTAGGTTGTTCTTGAATTCCTGACCTCAAGTAATCCTCCTACCTCAGCCTCCCAAAGTGTTGGGATTACAGGTGTGGGCCACCGCGCCCAGCCTAATGTTGAGTTTCTATTTCTCTCATTCCTATTTATTGATCTATTGATCGATTTATTATTTATTTACAGATAAAGTCTCACTCTGTTACCCAGGCTGGAGTGCAGTGGTGCAATCTTAGCCACTTGATTGTTCGTTCGAGTGATCCTCCTATCTCAGGATTACAGGTGTGAGCCACCGTGCCCAGCCTGCTTCTGCATTTGTTAATTAGATTTTTTTCCATAAGAAAGAGCTGTCCCTTCCTCTCTCCCCAACTATTTATTTATTTATTCAATTATTTATTCATATCAGTATGGATTTGTGGATATTTTATTCTATGCGTTATAATCTAGGACTGCTGTTAGTATAATAGGCTTTTAATAAATATTTCAGCCAGGCGCGGTGGCTCATGCCTATAATCCAAGCACTTTGGGAGGCCGAAGCAGACAGATCATCTGAGGTCAGGAGTTCGAGACCAGCCTGACCAACATGGTGAAATCCCATCTCAACTAAAAATACAAAAAATTAGCCAGGCGTGGTTGTGGGCACCTGTAATCCCACCTACTTGGGAAGCTGAGGCAGGAGAATCGCTTGAACCCAGGAGGCAGAGGTTGCAGTGAGCCAAGATCATGCCACGGCACTCCAGCCTGCGCCATAAGAGCAAAATTCTGTCTCAAAAATAAAAAAATTAAAAATAATAATAATAAATAAAGGCCGGGCGCGGTGGCTCATGCCTGTAATCCCAGCACTTTGGGAGGCTGAGGCGGGCGGATCATGAGGTCAGGAGATAGAGACCATCCTGGCTAACACGGTGAAACCCCGTCTCTACTAAAAATACAAAAAATTAGCTGGGCGTGGTGGCGGGCGCCTGTAGTCCCAGCTACTCGGGAGGCTGAGGGAGGAGAATGGCGTGAACCTGGAAGGTGGAGCTTGCAGTGAGCCAAGACTGCACCACTGCACTCCAGCCTGGGCAATAGAGCGAAACTCCGTCTCAAAAAAAAAATGAGGCGAGAGAGACCCTGTCTCTAAGCAAAACAAAAGGCCTCATACCTGTTTCCTGGGATTGTCAAAAGAGTTGGCCTGAGATGAGGGACGGGAAGATGGAACTTCTCACACAGGCTTTGGAAGTACCCTCTGGCCAGGCCAGAGACTTCTTAGACTCCTGGGGGCACAGCTTCCACCTGCCCGCTGGTCTCTGGTCTCCTCTGCTGGCATTGGGTGGGCATGCAACCTGATTATGATTATTTGCTTGAGGTACATCTTCGAAACTCACTGGACCCCTCAGGGACAAGCTGGTCCAAATCTTAACCCCTTCATTCATTCATTCATTCACTCACTCACTCACTCCACATATGCCGCGGTAGACATGAGGGAGTCCAAGTACAATAAGACTGACATGCAATTAAGGTGCTCAGTCCTTGAGGAGGAACCAGGAGAGTGAACAGGCCACTGTGATCTGGCAACATCCAATCCACACAGTCCTGCCTGAAGAGGCAGATGGGTAGTGGGCACGACAGGTGGATGGCACAGCTGTGGTAAGGCAAGGAAGTGAGAACCATTTTTACTGCATCTTAAAGTCTGTGGTGGAGTGGATGGAAGAAAGGCTAAAAATGTGGCCCAGGACCTTGTAAGCCTCCTGAAGGAGTCTGGGTTTATTCAGAAGGCAAATGGCATCCCTCGCAGAGGGTTAAGGATGGAATTATTAGCCAGGTGTGATGCTGCACACTTGTAGTCCCAGCTAAGAACTATGGAGGCTGAGGTGAGAGGATCGCTTGAACCCAAGAGTTAGAGGCTGTAGTGAGCTATGATCGTGTCTCTGCAATCCAGCCTGGGTGATGGAGTGAGGCCTCATATCTAAGAAAAAGAAATGATGGAATTAAAATGTTTAGTAAGATTCCGGGTAGGGATGGATTAAAATGGGAGCACTGAGGCCGGGCACAGTAGTTCATACCTGTAAGCCCAGCACTTTGGGAGGCCAAGGCAGGCAGATCACTTGAGGCCAGGAGTTCAAGACAAGCCTGGCCAACATGGTGAAACCCTGTCTCTACTAAAATACAAAAATTAGCCAGGCATGGTGGCGTACTCCTGTAATTCCAGCTACTCAGAAGGCTGAGGTAGGAGGATCGCTTGAGCCCAGGGGTCAGAGGTTGCAGTGAGCCGAGATTGCGCCACTGCACTCCAGCCTGGGCGACAGCGAGACTCCATCTCAAAAAAAAAAAAAAAAAAGCGGGGAGGCTGGGTGCGGTGGCTGAAACCTGTAACCCCAGCACTTTGGGAGGCCGAGGCAGGCGGATCATGAGGTCAAGAGATCGAGACCATCCTGGCCAACATGGTGAAACTCCGTCTCTACTAAAAATACAAAAAATATTAAATTAGCTGTAGTCCCAGCTACTCGGGAGGCTGACGCGGGAGAATGGCTTGAAGCTGGGAGGCGGAAGTTGCAGTGAGCTGAGATCGCGCCACTGCACCCCAGCCTGGGCGACAGAGCAAGACTCCGTCTCAAAAAGAAAAAAAAGGAGCACTGCCAGTTGGCAAGGAAGGACTCTGTGTGGTGATCTAGGGACAAATGGTGAGACGTCGAGGGAATTGAGGGACATTTCAGGGTAGAATCAATAGGAACTGGACCCTGCCTGAGCTGCTGGTCCTTCTAGCTTCCAGAATGATAACCCCACCCCAAGGTGCCTCTGGCACCTGCTCGGGCAGCACTAGGAATACCACACTGAGACTGTGCATACCCAGCAGGGCAGGGTGGAATGCTCGTTGCCTGTGTAGTTCACCCAGCGGCAGGGCCTGGCTTAACTTCCAACCTGGCCTTGGCTTAACTTCCTGAGTGACCTGTCTCTGCCATCCCCTACCGTGCTCCCGTCTCTATATAAGATGCATGAATTTAGTACCTGAAGTAGTCCCTGGCGCAGCATAGATACTCATGAAGTGGTAGCTGAGTTTTTTTGTTGTTCTTGTTTGTTTGTTTGCTTGTTTGTTGTAGAGACAGGGCCTCACTGTTGCCCAGGCTGGTCTCGAACTCCTGGCCTCAAGCAATCCTCCCATCTTGGCTTGCCAAGGTGCTGGGATTACAGGTGTGAGCCACTGCTCCCAGCCCAGTAGCCAAGATTATTAATTCCTTATGGCTCTGGGGAGCATTCAGAGAGACAAAAGAACACTTCATCCAGTTACTCACTATTCACCTACTGTACAGCTTTGGTCCCTCCCCAGAGCTGGGGGACAGGTCCTGGAGAGGACTAAGTTATACACAGTGTTGAAACTAAAGGAAGATGAAGGCATCAGACACTAAGCACCACAGAACTCAGGACGGCTGCGGAGAAATCGAGTTCCCTTCAGAGCTCATCAAAATTCAGATGTGTAAAGAAAAAAGGATGTTTGTCAGGGTCAGGCTTCTCTTGGTCCACACTGAGCATTTTACCATCATCTGGGAAGAGCACCAAGAGCCATCAGGACACTGGATCTTTTAAAAACATGTGAGGCGAGCCAGGTGTGGTGGCTCACACCTGTAATCCCAGCACTTTGGGAGGCCAAAGCAGGTGGATCACGAGGTCAGGAGTTCAAGACCAGCCTGACCAATATGGTGAAACCCCGTCTCTACTAAAAATACAAAAATTAGCAGGGCGCTGTGGCAGGTGCCTGTAATCCCAGCTACTCGGGAGGCTGAGGTAGGAGAATTGCTCGAACCTGGGCGGCAGAGGTTGCAGTGAGCCAAAACCACGCCACTGCACTCCAGCCTGGGTGAACTGAGTAAGACACTGTCTCAAAAAAAAAAAAAAAAAAAGTGAGGCAAGAGAGACCGTCTCTAAAAAAAGAAAGAAAGAAAGAAAAGAAAAGAAAGGAAAAACAACAGACTGGGCATGTGGCTCACGCCTGTAATTCCAGAATTTGGGGAGGCTGAGGCAGGAGGATTGCTTGAGCCCAGGAGTTTGAGACCAGCCTGGGCAACACGGCAAAACCCCGCCTCTATTCAAAAAAACAAAACCAAAAACCTGTTAGGGAGCAAATCTCCAAGTGCAGGGCAGGACCTGGAGATCCTGGGCTCTCGCCCGCGGAAGGGCCGGGGGTAGGACAGGGCCCTGGGCTGGCTGGCTCCTGGCATCTTCCAGGGCCTGCTTCTGTGGTGACACCTGGCCCCAGGAGGGGAGCCTGCTCTTTTATTGGCTTCACCAGGCCGAGCATGCTGTCTTCATCTCGGCAGCATCCGCCGGCAAAGGGCTGGCGCCGAAGCCTCAGAATATTCGATGGAAGAAGAATGAAAGGAGAGTGACTGGGTCTGTCCCACATTGTGCATTACAGCACATTTTCTAGGTTTGTGTGTGCATTTCCCTCAGGGGCAAGGGGGCCCAGAGACGGGGCTCTTCATTTGATGAGCTCAATGAGTGCCAGGCACTTACGTGTCATTTAAAATTGCCGTTTCCATTATACCGGGAAACTGAGGCTCAGAGAGGTGACTTGATGAGGTCGCACAGATGGTGGGTGGACGCGCTGCCTCAAGCAGTGTCCTGTATACTCTGTCCCTGTGCCTTCGAACCCCTACCCAGTATAAAGGGATTGCGGTGGGGAGAGGCTCCTCAGTCTGTGATAGAAGCAATGAAGGACTCAACCGTCCTGCCCCGCCCCGCCCGGCCTCCTGCTTCTCCCGGTTTCCCTGCCGCAGGCCCCGCTCAACCCCCGCTCTGCCTGCGTCCCGGCCCTCCTTTGCCGCGCCCAGCTCCGAAATGCTGCGGCGGGGGCTCGGCGGGGGCTGGGCGGGGGCCGCAGGGCCACAAGCTCCCCCGCCCCCAGCACCCACTTATGTCCCCTCTGCTCTCCAAACGGGTCCCAGGGCCACACCTGTCTCCTGATCACGACCTGGCCGGAGCCGGGACATGGGCGCCATTTCCGCAGCCCAGCTCGGGTCGCGTCGGTTTTGAAATCAGATAGTCTTTTCTCCCGACTCCAAGGGCGTCTGCCCCGCCCAGGGCTGGGCCGGAGGGGGAGGGGGCGGACACCCCGGGGGCGCGCGCCGCTGGGGGAAGGAGGGGCCCCGAACTTGGAAAAAAGGGAACTCGCACGGAAAAATCAAATCCAAGTGGTCTGCGTTCACCCCTGCTTGGGAGACACAAAGGAAGGGCGCGCGGGGCGGCGGAGGCGCGGGGCTCCGGAGCTGGCTACGCCCGCGGCTCCCGCGCCCGGGCCGCTTCCGCAGAGGACGACAATCCGGGCCGCCTGGGCTGGCTTCGGCCACACCCAGAGGCCGCACCTGGGCCGGCGCCCTCTCTCGGCGCAGCCTCGCGCGCCCGGTCCCCGCCGCGCTCGCGTCCCGGGGGGCGAGTGGGTCCAGATCCCACGAACCCCAGCCGGGACCCGCCCTCCCAAGCTCCGGGGCCAAGGTGGGCCACCTCTCTCTCGGGCTCTTCTCTTTCTGATCTTTTTTATGGCCTAAACTCGAGATCTCCCCACCCTAGTGCCCCCACCCTGCCACCCAACCCAAGGACTGAGTCTGGAGGTCGACCCTGAACCTTCCCTGATCCTCTACGACGTTCCGCGGCCGCAGTCCTCCCGGGCCCCAGGGCTGCAGGTCACGTGCCCGCGGTGGGGGCAGGGAGGGACGCGCAGCGGAGTCTCCGGGCTGCACGTGCAAGGCCTCGGGGAGGGTGGAGCTCTGGCTTCCCGAGCTGCGCTCGCTCCCGGCTTCCGCCGAGGTGCCCGGGGCGCCGGCCTGGAGCAGGCGGGGGTCTGGGTGCCTGGGCTGCGGTCGGGAGCGCCTCCGAAGAAGCACTCGGTGCCTGCCCCGCTGGGAGCGCAAGCATTGTTACCTATCAGCGCCGCACTTAACAGTTGTTAATAGCAGTAAGCCCTCACTAAATTGTCACTGCTGGCAGACCGCAGTAACTCGGTCTGACCTCAAGCACCCGATAAAAGAGTTCTTGTCCGTAAAGTCAGTTACGTAGGAGTTGGTAATCTCGGGTTTTCATTATGGAGAATTTTGAACATAAACAAAAGTCAGGATGGTAAAGTGAGCTCCTGGCGAGCATCCCCCCACACAGAACGAGCAACTCCTGATCCTGTTTTTTTTTTCTTTCCCCAGCCCCTACCCACTGTTCCTCCCTATTATTGTGAAACAAATCCCTGACATCGTGTCATATTTCAGCATATGCCCCCTGAAACAATGGATGAAAGGCCCATTGTTTGTTTAGAAAACTTTTAAAAGTCGGGTAGATAAAAATGTTAGAGTGGAGATAAAAATGTTCCTAGGTGATGATAAAGAGAATTAAAAAGCGGTTAAAGGAGTGAAAAGACTTAAGTGATATCTGTAAGCCGTGCCCATGCTTTCTGGGACATCAGGTGGCCCACGTAAGACCTTGAGCTGGGTGGAGGCAGTGGCGCTGATGAGAAGAGGCTGATTCAGGGAACTAATTGGAGGTGGAAGTGACCAGATTGGCTGATGGATTGTAGTGGGGACTTGAGGAAAAGAGAGCTTCAAGGATGAGACGCTGGCTTGGTTGAAGGGGTTCTTAACTGTAATGGGCAAGGAGCAGATATGAGAGAATGGAGAGATCAAAATAGGGTTTGGCCATGTTACATCTGAGCTGCCTTTTATTTTATTTTTGATACAGGGTCTCTATCAGTCTTCCAGACTTATTGCAGCCTCCACCTTCAGGGCTCAAGTGATCCTCCCATCTCAGCCTCTTGAGTAGCTGGAACTACAGGCATGTGCCACCATGCCTGGCTAATTTGTTTTTTAGTAGAGACAGGGTTTCACCATCTTGGCCAGGCTGGTCTTGAACTTCTGACATTGTGATCTACCCGCCTCGGCCTCCCAAAGTGCCGGGATTACAGGCGTGAGCCACTGCACCCAGCTTAATTTTTGTATTTTTAATAGAGATGGGGTTTCACCATGTTGGCCACGCTGGTCTTGAACTCCTGACCTCGTGATCCATCCGCCTCCGCCTCCCAAAGTGCTGGGATTACAGGCGTGAGCCACCGTGCCCGGCCTATTTATTTATTTTTTGAGACGGAGTCTTGCTCTGTCACCCAGGCTTGAGTGCAGTGGCACGATCTCGGCCCACTGCAACCTCAGCCTCCCAAGTAGCTGGGATTACAGGGTCGTGCCACCACACCCGGCTGATTTTTGTGTTTTTAGTAGAGATGGGGTTTCACCATGTTGGCCAGGCTGGTCTTGAACTCCCGACCTCAGATGATCCACCCGCCTCAGCCTCCCAAAGTGCTGGGATTACAGGTGTGAGCCACTGCGCCTGGCCCTGAGCTGCCTTTTTAATATCAAAGTGGAGAAGTCACACAAAGCAAGTGACAAAGTAAGTTCTCAGAGAAGAGAGCAGGGCTGGAGATAAAAATCCAGGAGTGAAGAGGAGTGAGGAGTGTGTTCAAAATCATGGGACTGGAGTTGGTAGAGATAGTGACTAATGAGACTAGAGAGAAACCGGGGGGCTGTGGTCTCCCAGAAGCCAAGGAAGAATGTGTCCCAAAAAAGAGAGACCTGGCCGGGTGCAGTGGCTCATGCCTGTAATCCCAGCACTTTGGGAGGCTGAGGTAGGTGGATCACCTGAGGTCAGGAGTTCGAGACCAGCCTGACCAACGTGGAGAAACCTCGTCTCTACTAAAAATACAAAATTAGCTGGGCGTGGTGGTGCATGCCTGTAATCCCAGCTACTTGGGAGGCTAAGGCAGGAGAATCGCTTGAACCCAGGAGGCAGAGGTTGCGGTGAGCTGAGATGGCGCCATTGCACTCCAGCCTGGGCAACAAGAGCGAAACTCCGTCTCAAAAATAAAAATAAAGAAAGAAAGAGAGATCCACAGTGTGAAATGCCAGCAAGAGGTCAGGTAGAAGGACAAAAGAGTGACCACTGGATTTAGTAACATGGACTCCCTTGGTGACCTTGGCAAGGGCAGTGTCAAAGGATTGACAGAGCTGAAAGCCAAACCACAGAGAATGGGTGAGGGAGTCATAGATTAATCTTTGAAGAAATTTTGATGTGAAGGGCATGAGGTCAAGATACATTTAGAAAACAAAACCCAAAAGAAAACCACCTTTTGGTACAGAAAATTTATTTAATTATTTTTATTTCTTTTTTTGAGATGGAGTCTTGCTCTGTCGCCCTGGCTGGAATGCAGTGGCACGATCTCAGCTCACTGCAACCTTCACCTCCCGGATTTAAGCAGTTCTCCTGCCTCAGCCTCCCGAGTAGCTGGGACTACAGGTGCCTGCCATCACGCTGGGCTAATTTTTGTATTTTTTAGTAAAGACAGGATTTCACCATGTTGGCCAGGCTGGTCTTGAACTCCTGACCTCAAGTGATCCACCCGCCTTGACCTCCCAAAGTGCTGGGATTACAAGCGTGAGCCACTGCACCCGGCCAGTACAGAAAAATTAAAACTCACACAAAAAGGAGCAAATAATATTATGTACCCATACCTATCATCCAGCTTCAGTGATTATCAACATATAGCCAATCTTGTTTTGTCTTTGTCTGCCTTGCTATTTTAAAGCAAAACTCAGAATTCATTCTATTTCTATCAAAAATATTACTAGACTTCAGAATGTATCTCTAGGAGATTAGGATTCAATCTTTAATAATAGTCAAGGACTTTTCTTTAACATATCTATAATACAATTATCACACCTAAAAATAATTAACAGTAATTCCTTAATATCATCTAATATCCAGTCACCAGTGTTCACATTTTCCTGATTGTCTCATAAATGATTTTTTTTTATAATTGGGTTGTTATAATCACCATCCAAATAGGTCCATGTATTGTATTTGGCTGATATGTCTCTTAAGCCCCTTTTAACCCATAGCATTTCCTCTTCCTCCTTTAAACAAAATGTAGTCCTAGCACTTTGGGAGGCCAAGGCGGGTGGATCATGATGTCAGGGGATCAAGACCAGCCTGGCCAATGTGGTGAAACCCTGTCTCTACTAAAAAGACAAAAATTACCTGGGCATGGTGGCACGTGCCTGCAGTCCCAGCTGCTTGGGAGGCTGAGGCAGGAAAATCACTTGAACCAGGAGGCAGAGGTTGCAGTGAGCTGAGATCATGCCGCTGCACTCCAGCCTAGGCAACAGAGCGAGACTCCGTCTCAAAAAAAAAAAAAAAAAAAGAAAGAAACCAGATCATGGCTGGGCACGGTGGCTGGCCAGACGCAGTGGCTCACGCCTGTAATCCCAATACTTTGGGAGGCCAAGGCGGGCAGATCGCTTGAGGTCAGGAGTTCGAGACCAGACTGGCCAACATGGTGAAACCCCGTCTCTACTAAAAATACAAAAATTAACTGGACATGGTGCCAGGCGCCTGAAAACCCAGCTACTTGAAAGGCTGAGGCAGAAGAATCGCTTGAACCCGGGAGGTGGAGATTGCAGTGAGCAGTGATCGCACCACTGCACCCCAGCCTGGGTGACAGAGCGAGACTCCGCCTCAAAAAATAGAAAAACAGAAAACAGATCATTTGTCCTTGAGAATTTCTCACATTCTGGGTTTGCACTGTCATGAGGATGCCATTGGCAGTAAGTCTGGTTGTCTCTGTGACTGGCCAGCGGATTCAGGAGTTGTCTGCCTCATCCGTCCATTGTCAGTCTCTCATCAGCCTTTCACGGTCACCCCATCAGCATTACGACCCCAATCAAAGTACTCTGGAAAGACAATGATGGAGAGAAATCCTCCCAAGGGGCAGAACTTGGAGCAGAATATTTAATTGTCCATATGGTTAGGACTTGGAGATGGCCTGAAATTGGACTAATGGTCAGTGGCTAACACACCTGAAAGAACAGGACTGGAAGATAGGCAACAGGAAATCTGGGGAAAAGGTACATGTGGATGGACCTCTCAGAACAGACACAGTGAACAGTGTTCCATGTGAATAGTCTCCAAGGGACATTTACTGCAGAAGAGGCTCTCAGTAATCAAGTGGACAAAGCGACGTATTCCGTGGATGTCACTCAACCTCTTTCCCCAGCCAACCTGGTGCTTGTTTGGTGGATCTATGGGACAGAGGTGTGGGCTAGACAGGGACCAAACAAGACCATCCCCTTATCAAGACTGACCTGGTTACTACTATTTTTTTTTTTTTAAGACAGAGATTCGCTCTTGTTGCCCAAGCTGGAGTGCAATGGCACGATCTCGGCTCACTATAACCTTCGCCTCCCAGGTTCAAGCAATTCTGCCTCAGCCTCCCGAGTAGCTGGGGTTACAGGCATACACCACCACACCTGGCTAATTTTTTGTATTTTTAGTAGAGATGTGGTTTCACCATGTTGGCCAGGCTGGTCTCGAACTCCTGACCTCAGGTGATCTGCTCTCCTCACCCTCCCAAAGTGCTGGGATTACAGGTGTGAGCCACCACGTCCGGCTGGTTACTACTATTCCTGAGTGTTTAACCCTCCAACAGCAGAGACCAAGACTGAATCCTCCTCTCCCCTCAACATGCCGCCATACCCCAGAGGGACCAGCCAGCCACCTGCTGGACATTGATTACACTGGAATCATAAACCTTCCATCATGGAGGAGACAGCAGTTTGCTTTCACTAGAATAAATGTGTTGTGGATAGGATCGGCCTTCCCTGTCTATTGCTTCTGCCAGTGCCACTGTCCATAGACTTTCAGAATGCCTTACACACTTTCAAGGTAATCCATACAACAGTGCTTCTGATCAAAAAAATAATTTCTGGCCGGGCGCAGTGGTTTACGCCTGTAATCCCAGCATCTTGGGAGGCCGAGGCAGGTGGATCACTTGAGGTCAGGAGTTTGAGATCAGCCTGGCCAACGTGGTGAAACTTTGTCTCTACTAAAAATACAAAATTAGTCAGGCATGGTGGCGGGCGTGCCAGTAATCCCAGTTACTCAAGAGGCTGAGGCAGGAGGATCACTTGAATCCAGGAGGCGGCGGTTACAGTGAGTGAAGATCGCATCACTGCACTCCAGCCTGGGCGACAGAGCAAGACTCCATCTCAAAAACAAAACAAAAAATTTCCTAGATTGGGGACGGTAGCTTATTCCTGTAATCCCGGCAATATGGGAGGCCAAGGCAGGAGGATCACTTGAGCCCAGGCGTTCAAGAACAGCCTGAACAACATAGAGAGATGCCATCTCTACAAAAAAAAATTAAAATTAGCTAGGCGTGGTGGCCTGGCTACTAGGGAGGCTGAGGCAGGGGGATCACTTGAGCCTAGGAGGTCAAGGCTGCAGTGAGCCCTGATAGCATGACTGCACTCTAGCCTGGGCGACAGAGTGCGACCCCATCTCTCAAAAACAACAGGTTGGGCACGATGGCTCACGCCTGTAATCCCATCACTTTGGGAGGCCGAGGCAGGTAGATCCCCTGAGGTCAGGACTTTGTGACTAGCCTGGCCAACATGGCAAAGCCCCTTCTCTACTAAAAATACAAAAATTAGCCGGGTATGGCGGCAGGCACTTGCTATTCCAGATACTCGGGAGGCTGAGGCAGGAGAATCACTTGAATCTGGGAGGCAGAGGTTGCAGTGAGCTGAGATTGTGCAATTGCACTACAGCCTGGACCACAAGAGGGAAACTGTCTCAAAAACAAAAAACAAAACAAAAAAAATCAAACAACAACAACAACAAAAATTCCTAGCAAAAGCATAGCAGCAATTCACTAATATTACCATGTAGTCCATCGCCCAAAAGCAGCTGGCCTGAAGGAATGCTAGCATGGCCTATTGAAGATTCTGTTCTGGTCCCAGTTGAGAAAAACTGCCTGAAAAGAATGGGATCTGTCTTACACAATGCAGTATATGCTGTGAACCAGTGGTCAATATATAATGCTATTTGAAGGTCTGGAAGTAGGAGTAGCTCCTCTCGCTATTACACCTATTTTTAACTCCTGCTCCCATAGCTTTGAGCTCTGATGAAAGGTCTTAGTTCTCAAGAGAGGAGTATTTGCTAACAAGAGGGGACACAAGTATGGTTTCATTGAATTGGAATCTGGACATTTTGCTCTTCTCAGCTGGTAAGAAAGAGGTTACTCTACTGGCCAGGATGACTCATTCTGATTACCAAATTGAGTTGTTGCTTTACAATGCGGGCAGCAAAACTATGTCTGAAACACAGAAGATTCTGTGTGGCACCTCTTAGTAATTCCATGCCCGCTAGTAAAAATTAATGGGGAATAAAAAAGTTAATGGGAAATTAAAGCAACCCTAACAAAGCAGGACCCCTGAGAATTCAGACCCTTTTGAAATGAAGTTTGGATGTCCAGCGCAATCACAGAACAAAAATGAAAGGGGCCTGGTGTGGTGGCTCGCGCCTGTAATTCTAGGATTTTGGGAGGCCCAGGTGGGCAGATCACTTGAGATCAGGAGTTCAAGACAAGCCTGGCCAACATGGTAAAACCCTGTCTCTACTAAAAATACAAAAATTAGCCAGGCGTGGTGGCAGCACCTAAAATTCCAGCTACTTGGGAGGCTGAGGCAGGATAATTGCTTGAACCTGGGAGGCAGAGGTTGCAGTGAGCCAAGATCGCATCTTTGCACTCCAGCCTGGGCAACAAGAGTGAAACTCCATCTCAAAAAAAAAAAGAGAGAAAGAAAAAGAAAGGAAGGAAGGAAGGAAGGAGAGAAAGAAAACGTACTAGAAGAGGCAATTTATGAATATTAACCACAGCCTCGTGAGCAGTTACAGACCTGATACAGAGGATTACAGCAGCTATGCACTGCCGTGGTGCCTTTAGACATCATGCTAACATTCTATCAGACCAGCAGCTTCAAAGTGATGGGCTATAAGGTAGGATCAGTGTCAAGCTATTGAGGTTCTTTCAGACTATATTGTGATGGAAAGCAGGAGAGGTAGCCCTGGTGTACCCTGGGAATGTGGCCTGCTATCCATCCAGTTAAATGCAATTTGCTTTGAGCTTTTTTTCGGGTAGCCATCGAAAAGAATACATTTGCCAGATCAATAGTAGCCTACTGGGTGCCAGAGGCTGTGTTGCTCTATAATGGTCAAGATACTACTTCCTCAAGGGAACTTGGCCTCCCCTTTCATTCGATGGGTTTTGGGCATAAGAGCCTCTCAAATAGGTGAGAGATTGAGATTTTCCAATTTAATGGCTGACATCAGCCATCTGCCAAGACTGTCACTACAGATCTGTATGCTAAAGATCACCTCATTGTCATTCCAGCTTTGTTCCCCATTACAGTAATTGTGTCTACCCTGTCTCTGACGATTAAGTGCTACCACCTGACCTCTGCTGTTTTCAAATCCTACCATCTGTATTGGGGCACCAGGGAGTCCAGGTCCATAGCTGCTTCTTTTATGTAAACCCTGGCCCAAAAGGACAGCTACCATAGAGTTTCTCAACAATGTTGACCCTTCACTGGTGCATTCTGTGTTGCTTTAGTGAAGATGGTGTCTTCTAGAGGTCGTGGTCAGCTCTCAGGTTCTCTGCTTTTACATAATAAATCCATTCTCATGGCTTTCTCAGCTTTTTGGTCCCTTCCTCCACACCCTGCAAAGGCAAGTCCAGCATCTCCACCCAACTCACTGTAGAATATCATTGTTTCCAAGCTTTATAAGGAGTAACTCCAGAGGGTATTAGAACTGACCACAGGCCAGGCACAGTGGCTCACCCCTGTAATCCCAGCACTTTGGGAGGCCGAGGCAGGCGGATCACCTGAGGTCAGCAGTTCAAGACCAGCCTGGCCAACACGGTGACAGAGCAAGACTTCATCTCAAAAAAAAAAAGAGGGCCAGGTGTGGTGGCTCACGCCTGTAATCCCAGCACTTTGGGAGGCCGAGGTGGGCCGATCACCTGAGGTTGGAAGTTCAACACCAGCCTGACCAACACGGAGAAACCCCGTCTCTACTAAAAATACAAAATTAGCCAGGTGTGGTCATGCATGTCTGTAATCCCAGCTACTCAGGAGGCTGAAGCAGGAGAATCGCTTGAACCTGGGAGGCGGAGGTTGTGGTAAGCTGAGATTGCACCATTACACTCCAGCCTGAGCAACAAGAGCGAAACCCCATCTCAAAAAAGAAAAACAAAAACAAAAAAAGAACTGACCACAGGAGTCTTGGACGGGATATTAAATCCTGAGTCATGAGAGGGTTCCCTCATATCAGTAAACTCTCCCAATGCCAGCTTTATAATCCACTCTCCCTGGTCCAACACTGTCAAGATTCATTCCTAGGCATGTTCTGCTTGTCCTGCTGGAACACACTAGCCAAGTTCTGAAGCTCTTTTGCTAAGACCTGACCTTAGTTTTTGGTCTAGAAGCCTTGACGGCAAGAAAAGGTAGATCTCAAGGAGGGCAAGTGTCATTGTCCAAGACATCTGCCTTTCTTTTTTTTTTTTTTTTTTTTTTTTTTTTGAGATGGAGTCTCACTGTGTCGCCCAGGCTGGAGTGCAGTGGTGCGATCTCGGCTCACTGCGAACTCCGCCCCCCGGTTTCACACCATTCTCCTGCCTCAGCCTCTCAAGTAGCTGGGACTACAGGCGCCCACCACCATGCCTGGCTAATTTTTTGTATTTTTTTTAGTAGAGACAGGGTTTCACCATGTTAGCCAGGATGGTCTCAATCTTCTGACCTCGTGATCCACCCGCCTCGGCCTCCCAAAGTGCTGGGATTACAGGCATGAGCCATTGCGCCTGGCCTTGACATCTGCCTTTCATGAGAACTTTGCATGGTCTCCAGGTAATGGGAATCCCTCTACTACTTTCCCCTAGCACAGGGTTGGGGCCAGTTCTGCTGTCCCAGATGGTTAAAGTGAATCTGAAATTTTAAGGTTCTCAGCTGCATCTGCTCAAATGTTGCTTCTAGGTCTCGGAGACCCATTCCCCTCCAGTCCCTAGCATGGTGACACCATACTGAGGCTGTGAATTTGACCTCCTTTGCAACTCTTCCACTCTTAAAATCTTGGGCCAGATTTTCAGTACTCTCCATCTTCTGGTTACAGGAGATAGGACTCTCTTTAAATGCCTCCAGAGAGACTTTTCGGCTTTCACAGCATGCTCTGAGTGGATAGTTGGCTGCCTTGAGCCTATTATTTTTAAATTTTTTTCCTTGGGCTTTTTTTTCTTTCAAAATAAAATAAAATAAAATAACAGGGTCTTGCTCTGTTGCCCAGGCTGGAGTGTAGAGGCTTGATCCTGGTTCACTGCAGCCTCAAACTCCTGAGCTCAAGAGATCCTCTGGCCTCAACCTCCCAAGTAGCTAGGACTACAGGTGCATGCCACTACACTCAGCTTATCTTTTTTTTTTTTTCTTTTGAGACAGGGCCTCACTCTGTTGCCCAGGTTGGAGTGCAGTGGCACAATCACAGCTCACTGCAGCCTCAACCTCCTGGGCTCAAGTGATCCTCCCACCTCAGCACCCTGAGTAGCTGGGACTACATTACGGGTGCACACCACACCCGGCTAATATTTGGTATTTTTAATAGAGACAGGGTTTCACTCTGTTGCCCAGGCTGGTCTCGAACTCCGGGACTCCAGTGATCTGCCCTCCTCAGCTTCCCAAAATTGGCTTTTATAAAGAGTTGGCAGTTAAAATAGCCAAGCAGTTCACAATCCTTCCAGTAACTATTATCCTCATATGTTTCAAGTGATAGCGTTGTTGGCCTGAGCCAGTGCATCTTCTGCCAGCTGTACCCCATCTTCATTTACCAAAGGTGAGACTCAGTAGCTGTGCCAGTGCCTCATGCTGGGGGTTATCCCCACCCAGCTGAATATCAATAACAGGCTCCTTCTTGCCATCTGACTGGCTAATGATCCAGTTCCAAAACTGCATCCTGAGAGCTTTATTTCTGGAGCCACTTCCAATAAGATCTTGTTTTAGCTTCCATCAAATGCAGATCCTTAGGCAAGGATTTGAGAGCAGGTAGCTTATTTAAAAAATGAACCCTGGGGCTTGGCACAGTGGTTCACACCTGTAATCCCAACAGTTTGGGATGCCGAGGAGGGTGGATCACCTGAGGTCAGGAGTTCAAGACCAGCCTGGCCAACATGGTGAAACCCCCGTCTCTACTAAAAATACAAAAATTAGCTGAGCGTGGTAGCTTACACCTGTAGTCCCAGCTACTTAGGAGGCTGAGGTACGAGAATCACTAGAACACAGGAGGCAGAGGCTGCAGTGAGCCGAGATCACGCCACTGCACTCCAGCCTGGGCAACAAAGTGAGATGCGGTCTCAAAAAAAGGAAAAAAGATCCCTGGAAACACCTGTTGATTAGTGGGAAAGTGCACCGGGAATGGTAAGGAAGCTGATATACTGGGTGTGGTTGATATACAGGATCCGCTATTTTTATTGTATTGTATTGTATTGTATTGTATTGTATTGTATTGTATTGTATTGTATTGTATTGTATTTTTGAGATGGAGTTTCACTCTTGTTGCCCAGGCTGGAGTGCAATGGCATGATCTCAGCTCACCGCAACCTCAGCCTCCCGGGTTCAAGCGATTCTCCTACCTCAGCCTCCTGAGTAGCTGGGATTACAGGCATGCACCACCATGGCCAGCTAATTTTATATTTTTAGTAGAGACGGGGTTTCTCCATGTTGATCAGGCTGGTCTTGAACTCCCAACCTCATGTGATCTGCCCACATCGGTCTCCCAAAGTGCTGGGATTACAGGCATGAGCCACTGCACCCGGCCTATTTTATTTTATTATTATTATTATTTTTTTTTTTTTTTGAGACAGAGTCTTGCTCTTGTCGCCCAGGCTGGAGTGCAATGGTGCGATCCTGGCTCACTGCAACCTCCACCTCCCAGGTTCAAGTGATTCTCCTGCCTCAGCCTCCCAAGTAGCTGGGATTACAGGCGCCTGCCACCACGCCTGGCTAATTTTTGTATTTTTAGTAGAGACGGGGTTTCACCATATTGGCCAGGCTGGTCTTGAACTCCCGACCTCAGGCAATCCACCCACCTCAGCCTCCCAAAGTGCTGGGATTACAGGCGTGAGCCACCGTGCCCGGCTTATTTTATTATTATTATTATTTAATTTTTTTAATATTTATTTTATTTTATTTTTATATTTTGAGACAGAGTCTTGCTCTGTTGCCCAGGCTGGAGTGCAGTGGCTCCATCTTGGCTCACTGCAACCTCCACCTCCCGGGTTGAAGCGATTCTCCTGCCTCAGCCTCTCCAGTAGTTGGGATTACAGGCACTTGCCACCACACCTGGCTTATTTTTGTATTTTTTAATAGAGACAGGGTTTCACCGTGTTGGCCAGGCTTGTCTGGAACTCCTGACCTCAGGTAATCCACCTGTCTTGGCCTCCCAAAATGCTGGGATTATAAGGCATGAGCCACCGCACTCGGCCCAGGGTCCATTAATGAGTGGTTACCCTTTTGACAACTAGAGTCCCATCTCAGCTCCCATCTAGGTGGTGTGGAGCACTCCTCAGGGTTGTTCTACTCTAGGAGTAAGATACTTAGCATTTGTTCACTAACTCCCACCTTTCATCATTTGGGGCTTCTCCTGGGAACGTTAACTTTCTAGCACTTCCTTACTGCCCGTGTTCAGGCTGAGCATGTTCCTGTGGCCAGAGAAAGCCCTGCAGGATTCGAGTCCTGGTGCATGCAGCAGGAAGCCTTGGGGTACACAGGAACAGTGAGTGCTGCAAGGATATGCGAGAGGTGACATAGTGTGTGTCACACACAGCTTTCTCAGCAGTCTAGGTCTCAGCTCCATGGAGCCGCTCTTCCAGGCTTTTAAGTTCTGTAACCTCAGCCTCTTGCCTTTGTTTTCCCACTTCTATGGGTGGTAGCTGCTTTCTGCATCTTGGCCGTGCCTGTTTGTGGATGGTCCCTGCTGACACTGATTTCTTTTCCCTTCCCTTTTTTTTTTTTTTTTTTTTTTGAGACAGGGTCTTGCTGCGTCACCCAGGCTGGGGTACAGTGGCGTAATCACAACTCATTTCAGCCTTGACTTCCCAGGCTGAAGTGATCCTCCCACCTCAACCTCCTGAGTAGCTGGGGCTGGGACTACAGGCATGTGCCACCACCTCCAGCTAATTTTCCCTTCCTTCCTTCCTTCCTTCCTTCCTTCCTTCCTTCCTTCCTTCCTTCCTTCCTTTCTTCCTTCCTTCTCTCTCTCTCTTTCTCTCTTTCCAGATGGGGGGGTCTCACTATGTCACCCAGGCTGGTCTCAAACTCCTGGGCTCAAGTGATTCTCCCACCTCAGCCTCCCAAAATGCTAAGATTACAGGCATGAGCCATAGCACCCACCCTTTCCCTTCTGTCTCTGTTCCATCCTCAGCTTTATTCAGCAAACACTCTACTGACCAGGGCAGTCCAGTGCCTGTGCTAGAGTGGGTCGTGCTGGGATGTCTGTCCTTTGTTTCAAGAGAACTCTGATCTTGCGGTCTAAACTTTGGGACTGGCTTGAACCTTCATGGGTATAGATTTTAGGAATCTTGGTGCACCCTCTGCTCCACTGATTGAACTTCCCTGTGGCTTCAGACATACCTTGCGGTTCCATACCTGGGGGCCTTTGCTTGTGATGTTCTTTTTGCCAAGAGCATTGTTCCTCCTGTTCCTTCTTATTATCGTGACAAACTTCTGCCCCTCTCTCAAGACCTAACTGAGGCCAGGTGCAGTGGCTCATGCCTGTAATCCCAGCATTTTGGGAGACCGAGGTAGGTGGATCACCTGAGGTTGGGAGTTCGAGACCAGCCTGGCCAACATGATGAAACCCCGTCTCTACTAAAAATACAAAAATTAGTTGGGCATGGTGGCGCACACCCGTAATCCCAGCTACTCAGGAGGCTGAGGCATGAGAATCGCTTGAATCCAGGAGGTGGAGGTTGCAATGGGCCGAGATCCAAAATCATGCCACCACACTCCAGCCTGAAGGACAGATTCAGACTTTCTCTCAAAGGAAAAAAAAAGTCCCAACTGAAATGTCCCCTCTCCTTTCCTTGACTTTCCTAAACAGGACAGTAGCTTCCTCCTTGCAATTTACATATGCACAGATGCATCTGTTATGGCCTGTATTACAACCCTTTTTTTTTTTTTTCTTTTTGAGATGGAGTCTTGCTCTGTCAGCCAGGCTGCAGTGTAGTGGTATGATCTCGGCTCACTGCAACCTCCACCTCCCGGGTTCAAGAGATTCTCCTGCCTCAGTCTCCCAAGGGGTTGGGATTATAGACGCCTGCCACCACGCCCAGCTAATTTTTGTATTTTTAGTAGAGATGGGGTTTCACCGTGTTGGCCAGGTTGGCCTCGAACTCCTGACCTCAGGTGATTCGCCCGCCTCGGCCTCCCAAAGTTCTGGAATTACAGGCATGAGCCACCACGCCCGGCCTTTTTTTTTTTTTTTGAGGCGGAGTTTCACTGTTGTTACCCAGGCTGGAGTGCAGCGGGGCAATCTCGGCTCACTACAACCTCTGCCTCCTGGGTTCAAGCGATTCTCTTGCCTCAGCCTCCCAAGTAGCTGGGATTACAGCCGCCCACCACCACGCATTGGCTAATTTTTTGTATATTTAGTACAGATGGGGTTTAGATGGGGCCAGGCTGGTCTCCAACTCCTGACCTCAGGTGATCCACTCACCTTGGCTTCCTCAAGTGCTGTGATTACAGGCGTCAGCCGCTGCGCCCGACCTACAACTTTTTTTTTAGTATATTTTTCTTTTTTTTTTTTTTTTCTGAGACAGAGTCTCTGTCGCCCAAGCTAGAGTACAATGGCATGATCTTGGCTCACTGTAGCCTCCACCTCCCGGGTTCAAATGATTCTCCTGCCTCAGCCTCCTGCATAGCAGGCACGCACCACCATATCCGGCTATTTTCTGCATTTTTACTAGAGATGGTGTTTCACTATGTTGGGCAGGCTGGTCTCGAACTCCTGACCTCAGGTAATCTGCCCACCTTGGCCTCCCAAAGTGCTGGGATTATAGGCATGAGCCACTGCGCCCGGCCTTTAGTCTGTTTTTCTCCTTCCCAGAGTATGACCTCCTTTGGGGCCTCATTCATCCCTGTGTCTTCATTCATTCATTCAACAAATCTTTTCTGAGTGCTTGCCTATCCCAGGCGTGGGAGCAGCTCACTCAATGTCTACTGAAGGGATGAATGAATTGGCGAGAGGTTGCTACCCCAATAGATGTTGTGTTGCTAGGTTACAGACTCTAGTGAGGATTGGAGAGGAGGGGGCGTGAATGCTGTTGTGTGAAATGAGAGTGAGCGTCTACACATATTCCTGCAGGATCAGGGAAACTTTGTGGGTGGAAATTCCATACTTCAGTACTGACAGTGTGGCAGGAGTGAGGTTTGGGTTTCTGACGGTGACTTTCATTATGTGTGGGGAGAGGATGGGAAGAAGGACGGTAGGAAGGAGTTGTGTTAGAGTCTTTTCAGTATACAAAAGTAGTTTGAAAAATCTTTCAGAGAATATTCTTCCATCATACCTCAAGTTGAGAATTAGTGAATTAAAAGCTTTCTAAGGTGGGGTACAGCGGCTCATGCCTGTAATCCCAATCCTGAACCTTTGGTAGGCTTAGACGAGAGGATTACTTAAGCCCGGGAGTTCCAGGCCAGCCTGGGCAACATAATGAGACCTCCATCTCTACAAAAAATAAAATAAAATTAGCTGGGCATGGTGGCACATGCCTGTGGTTTCAGCTACATGGGAGGCTAAGGCAGGAGGATCACTTGAACCTGGGAGATCAAGGCTGCAGGTGAGCTATGATCTCACCTCTGCAGTCCAGGTGGGGCAACAGAGCAAAACCAGCTTTCCTTTTTTTTTTTTTTTTTTTTTTTTTGAGGTGGAGTCTCGCTCTGTTGCCCAGGCTGGAGTGCAATGGCACAATCTCAGCTCACTGCAAGCTCCGCCTCCCGGGTTCACGCCATTCTCCTGCCTCAGCCTCCCAAGTAGCTGGGACTGCAGGCAGATGCCACCACACCCGGCTAATTTTTTTTATTTTTAGTAGAGACGGGGTTTCACCGTGTTAGCCAGGATGGTCTGGATCTCCTGACCTCGTGATCCGCCTGCCTCGGCTTCCCAAAGTGCTGGGATTACAGGTGTGAACCACCGCACCCAGCCTAAGACCAACTTTCTTTTCTTTTTTTTTTAGACAGAGTCTCACTCTGTTGCCCAAGCTGGAGTGCAGTGGCACCATCTCGGCTCACTGCAACCTCCGAGCCTCCCGGGGTCAAGTGATTCTCCTGCCTCAGCCTCCTGAGTAGCTGAGACTACAGACACCTGCCACCACACCGACTAATTTTTGTATTTTTAGTAGAGACGGGGTTTCACCCTATTGGCCAGGCTGGTCTCAAACTCCTGACTTTGTGATCCACCCGCCTCAGCCTCCCAAAGTGCTGGGATTACAGGCATGAGCCACTGCACCTGGCCAAGACCTGCTTTCTAAATAAATAAATAAATAAATAGGCTAGGCCAGGTGCGAAAGCTCACATCTGTAATCCCAGCATTTTGGGAGGTCAAGGTGAGTGGATCACCTGAGGTCAGGAGTTTGAGGCCAGCCTGGCCAAGATGGCGAAACCCCATCTCTACTAAAAATACAAAAATTAGCCAGGTGCGATTGCATACGCCTGTAGTCCCAGCTACTTGGGAGGCTGAGGCAGGAGAATCACTTGAACCTGGGAGGCGGAGGTTGCAGTGAGGCAAGATCGCGCCACTGCACTCCAGCCTGGATGACAGAGGGAGACTCCACCTCAAAAATAAATGAATAATAAAGACTAAGAAAAAAAGAGTCTACATAGATGCCTGCCAGGACCAGGCACAAAAATGTAAGTGAGAGGCAGTGATTGGTGGAGAATGTGGCTCCTGTCTGGAGGGAGTCATTGCTACTTAGCACCAAGCAGAAGCCTCCGGAGGAACTGTGGGCCCAGTGTTGCAAGACCTTCCAATTTTTCGGTAGAGGCTACAATTCCAGGTTTTAATGTGAGATCATCCCCAGGCACTGCTCCCTGCCGACGCTCTCCCTGGACACAAGGTACTCTTCCTTCTTACTCTTTCTCTGATTGGCTCTTTGCACATGTCTCATTGGCAGGGAGGAAGAAGAGAGAGAAAGAATTGGAACTAGAAGGGGAAACTGTGAATCTCCACAGCTACTGAATGACCATTTCTACATGCTTTTTGTGGGGGAAGGGAATTTAATGGTACAGAATTTACAAAACACCAAATACAACCCCAAACTCCTGCCACTGACCCCAGCCTAGGTGGATGGGTGTCAAGAGATTAAATTGCTGCATGGTTGCCTTGGCAACCAAATTTGTTAGTGATAAAACAACAGAGAGAAAGCTGCAACTTACAACCCAGATTTATGTAGTAAAACAAAATCCTATGGCCACAAGCTGGGTGCATTGGCTCATACCTGTAATCCCAGCATCTTGGGAGGTCAAGGCAGGAGAATGGCTTGAGCCCAGGAGTTTGAGACCAACCCAGGCAACAGTGAGACCCCTGTCTCTCTCTAAAAAAAAAAATATATATATATATATATCCTGTGGCCGGGAGCTGTGGCTCACTCTGTAATCCCAGGACTTTGGGAGGTCAAGGTGGGAGGATTGCTTGAACCCAGGAGTTTCAGACCAGCCTGGGCAACATGGGGAGACCTCATCTCTTAAAAAAAAAAAAATGAAAAAATTAGCCTGGCATGGTGGGGCACACCTGTGGTCCCAGCTACTCAGGAGGCTGAGGTGGGAGGATCGCTTCAGCCCAGGAGGTCGAGGTGCAATAAGCCATGATCATGCCACTACACTCTAGCCTGGTGACAAAAGGAGACCTTGTGTCAAAAAAAAAAAAAAAAAAGAAGAAGAAGAAGAAGAAAGAAAAGAAAAGAACAGAAAGAGGGAGGGGCCAGGCACAGTGGCTTGCGCCTGTAATCCCGGCACTTCGGGAGGCCAAGGCGGGCGGATCACTTAAGGTCAGGAGTTCAAGACATGCCTGCCCAAAATGGTGAAACCCCATCTCTAATAAAAATACAAAAAAATTAGCCAGGCATGGTGGTGCACACCTGTGATCCCAGCCACTCGGGAGGCTGAGGCAGAAGAATCGCTTGAACCTGGGAGACAAAGGTTGCAGTGAGCGCAGATCACGCCACTGCATTCCTGCACTCCATCCTGGGCAACAAAGCGAGACTCCAGGTCAAGAAAAAAAAAAAAAAGAAAAAGAAAGACCTGTCTGTCTGAGGTGAGGCTCTCTGGGAAGAAGTGAGGTGGTTTCTTTCTTTTTTTTCTTGAGACGGAATTTCACTCTTGTTGCCCAGGCTGGAGTGCAATGGTGGGATCTCGGCTCACCGCAACCTCCACCTCCCGGGTTCAAGTGATCCTCCCACCTCAGCCTGCCAAGTAGCTGAGACTAAGGCACATACCACCACACTCAGCTAATTTTTGTAATTTTTGTAGAGATGCAGTCTCGCCACGCTGCCCAGGCTGGTCTCAAACTGCTGGACTCAAGCAATCCATCTGCCTCAACCTCTCAAAGTGCTGGGATTACAGGCATGAGCTACCACACCTGGCCCTTCTCTGTTTTATTAGAAGGTAAAAAGATACTCCCTTGGCTGAATTCTGACATTGACTGAACATGGGTGAAGCCAATCAGTTAAGGCTCTGCTATTTCCGAAGGGAGGATGTAGTTTGTGGGAGCCACTGTACATAGTGGGCCACAGAAATTATTTCCTAATGTTCCAGCCCCCAAATGAGAGTATTATGCAATAACTTTCATTATGTCTTTCCTTAAAATCTGTTATTTCTTGGTTTCTTTTTTCTTCATAAAACTAGTATTACATTATGGAAAATTTGGTAACATACAACTTGATTTTGTGTATTTCTTTTTAGTCTTCTTTTTCCTTTATTAGGTATATTTCAGTTTTCTAATATCATTGTAGTCATATTGTATGTGTTATTTTATTTATTTATTTATTTTTGAGACAGAGTCTTGCTCTGTCGCCCAGGCTGGAGTGCAGTGGTGTGATTTCAGCTCACTGTAAGCTCCGCCACCCGGGTTCATGCCATTCTCCTGCCTCAGCCTCCCAAGTAGCTGGGACTGCAGGCACCCACCACCATGCCCGGCTAATTTTTCTATTTTTAGTAAAGACGGGGTTTCAGCGTGTTAGCTATGATGGCCTCGATCTCCTGACCTCATGATCCGCCCGCCTCGGCCTTCCAAAATGCTGGGATTACAGGCGTGAGCCACCATGCCAGCCTGTATGTTTGATTATAGATTTCCCTTTTCTCACTTGGTATCATAGAAAAGCGTTTTTAACTTAGAAGAGTAAATAAAATAAGCTTTTGCATGCATAAACATATGCAATGAGCCAGGCGCGGTGGCTCACGCCTGTAACCCCAGCACTTCGGGAGGCCAAGGTGGGTGGATCACGAGGTCAGGAGCTCAAGACTAGCTTGGACAACATGGTGAAACCCCATCTCTACTAAAAATACAAAAATTAGCCGGGCGTGGTGGCAGGCGCCTGTAATCCCAGCTACTCAGGAGGCTGAGGCAGGAGAATCTCTTGAACCTGGGAAGCGGAGGTTGCAGTGAGCCAAGATCGTGCCACTGCACTCCAGCCTGGGTGACAGAGCAAGACTCCATCCCCCACCCCCACCACCTGGCCCCCCAAAAAATATATATGCAATGGTGGTCCCTTCAATTTCATTACCACACATTTATTTATTTATTTAAATTTTTTTTCTTTAGAAATGGGGTCTCACTACGTTGCCCAGGCTGGAGTACAGTGGCTATTCACAGGTGCAATCATAGAACCCTACAACCTCAAACTCCTGGGCTCACGCAATCCACCTCCCTCACCTTCCCAAGTCGCTGGAACTACGGGTACATGCCCCTGTGCCTGGCTTTACTATACTTTTAAAGGTAGTATGGGGCAAAAATAATTCTTTCGTTACTGTTTTATGCTATGTGAAAGGAAATTGCACTTGCTTTTTATATTGATATTGAAGACAACGTTACACCAAAAAGTGTAATTTGATTTTTCTTTTCTTTCTTTTTTTTTTTTTTTTTTGAGATGGACTCTTGCTCTGTTGCCCAGGCTGGAGTGCAGTGGCGCGATCTCGGCTCACTACAACACCCTCCTCTCGGGTTCAAGCGATTCTCCTGCCTCAGACTCCCGAGTAGCTGGGATTACAGGCGCCTGCCACCACGCCTGGCTAATTTTTGTAGTTTTAGTACAGACGGGGTTTCACCATGTTGGCCAGGATGGTCTCCATCTCTTGACCTCATGATCCGCCTGCCTCAGCCTCCCAAAATGCCGGGATTACAGGCGTGAGCCACCGCTCTCAGCCTTGATTTAGTTTTTTTAAGAGTTTACAAATAGTGTGTGCTAAATAAAACCGTTTTGCAGCAAATAGGTTGATATAACTTTCTTTTTTTTAGTTTTTATTTTAGGTTTGAGGGTACATGTGAAGATTTGTTACATAGGTAAACACATGTCATGGGGCTTTGTTGTACATATAATTTCATCACACAGGTATTACCCCAATGCCCAATAGTTATCTTTCCTGCTCCTCTCCCCGCTCCCAACCTCCCCCCTCAAGTAGACCACACTGTCTATTGTTTCCTTCTTTGTGTTCATAGCTTCTTATCATTTAGCTCCCAGATATAATTTTCTGCCCACAATTTTAAATCACATGGGAAAGATTTAAAGAGAGGGAAAGAATTGGACCTAGAAGGAAGAAGTGTTTCTTTCCACAGCCACTGAATGACCATTTCTATGTACTTTTTGTGGGGGAAGGGAATTCAATGGTACACAATTTACAAAACACCAAATGGAATGGCAGATTTGGTAGGTAATGCATGTTTAATATGTGTGTGTGTATATATATATATGTATGTGTGTGCATATGTGTGTGTATGTATGTGTGTATATGTATATGCATGTTTATATATGTGTGTGCATAGGTGTGTATGTGTGTGTATATGTGTGTATATATGTGTGTATATGTGTATATATATGTGTGTGTATATATATGTGGGTGCATATAGACCCATCGTAGCCACTATTTACTTTGCCTTTTTTTTTTTTTTTTTGAGACAGAGTCTTGCTCTGTCTCCTAGGCTGGAGTGCAATGGCAAAATCTTGGCTCACTGCAACCTCCACCTCCTGGGTTCAAGCAATTCTCCTGCCTCAGCCTCCCAAGTAGCTGGGATTATAGGTACCTGCCACCACACCTGACTAATTTTTTGTATTTTTCGTAGAGATGGGGTTTTGCCATGTTGGCTAGGGTGGTCTCGAACTCCTGACCTCAGGTGATCCTCCTGCCTCACCCTCCCTAAGTGCTGGAATTACAGACGTGACCCACCACGCCCAGCTATTCTCCCATTTTGTAAGACAAATGTTTTAATTACAATGATTGAATATTTATAAATATTTAAAGTATTTAAAGGATATTTATTTCACCTAAAAGTAAGATGCAGGCCGGGCACAGTGGCTCATGCCTGTAATCCCAGCACATTGGGAGGCCGAGATGGGCAAATCACTTGAGGTCAGGAGTTCGAGACCAGACTGGCCAACATGACAAATCTCCGTCCATACTAAAAATACAAAAATTAGCCGGGCATGGTGGCAGGCGCCTGTAGACCCAGCTACTTGGGAGGCTGAGGCAGGAGAATCATTTGAACCCAGGAGGCAGAGGTTGCAGTGAGCCAAGATGGTGCCATTGCACTCCAGCCTGGGCGACAGAGTGAGACTCTGTCTCAAAAAAAAAAAAAAAACCCCAAAAAACAAAACAAAAAAAACTTACAAGTAAGAATTTAATTTTTAAAAAACGATTTGAAGAGGTTACTAATCAGAAATTATAAGGCAATAGGAGCAACTGAAAGCTAACAGTTAGCAAACAGCTAATTACATGATACTGTATGCAGTATCTCAACAGACTGCTGAGCAGCCATTGCGAATGAGAATCGTAAAGAAAATGTCGCAACATGAAAAACCGCTCCTGTACATGCAAAAGCAGAACTAGAAATTTCATATGCTCTAAGATTATTTAGCCTGATGCCTAGGACCCAGGAAGTATTCAATAAATAATAGATACTATTATACTATTATTAATTAGTTGTGCAAATACTTTTTAAATTAATTATATATACATATATAACTCCTGAGCTCAGGCAATCCACCCGCCTTGGCCTCCCAAAGTGCTAGGATTACAGGCATGAGCAACCACACCTGGCCTATTTTTGATAAATGTTTAAAATTATATTTTGGACTGGACACAGTGCCTCACCCCTGTAATCCCAAAACTTTGGGAGACTGAGGTAGGCAGACTGCCTGAGCCCAGGACTTCGAGACCATCCTAGGCAACACACAAAACCCTAAAAAAAAATACAAAAAAAAAAAAAATTAGCTGGGTGTGGTGGTGCGTGCCTGTAGTCCCAGCTACTCGGGAGACTAAGGTAGGAGGACCACTTGAGCCTAGGAGGTGAAGGCTGCCGTAAGCCTTGATCATGTCACTGCACCCCCAGCCTGAGTGACAGAGTGAGACCCTATCTCAAATAGCAATAATATTTGGAATTTTATTTTAAAATTTAATAATGATGCAAAACAAACAACCCAATACAAAAATGGAATCAAAAAATGAACAAAGGAGCTCTCATTAGTGGAAATACAAATGAGTCAAACAAATGAAAAAAATTCAGCCTCCCTCATAATAGGAGAAAGGTAAGTTATAATTGGCCTGACATGTCACTTTATTTTATTTATTTATTTTATTTTATTTTATTATTTTTTAATTTTTTTGTCGAGACAGAGTCTCCCTCTGTTGCCCAGGCTGGAGTGCAGTGGCACAACCTCAGCTCACTGCAACCTCCGCCTCCCGGGTTCAAGTGATTCTCCTACCTCAGTCTCCCGAGTAGCTGGGATTACAGGCGCACACCACCACACCCAGCTAATTTTTGTATTTTTTTTTAGTAGAGATGGGGGTTCCCCATGTTGGCAAGGCTGGTCTCGAACTCCTGACCTCAAGTGATCCACCTTCCTCAGCCTCCCAAAGTGCTGGGATTACAGAAGTGAGCCACCACGCCTGGCCCTGACATGTCATTTTAAATCTATCGGATTGGCAGAGTCCAAAGCATTTGATAACACTATGTTACAATAGTGTAGGTAAACACGTGCTCTCATACTTTGCTTATGAGTCTGTAAAATGGTACTATTTGTGGCTAGCAATTTGTCAATATTTACTAAATATAAAATAGATCTGTCTCTGTCCCTCTAATTCCACTTCTGAGAAATTACTGTACGATCTACTTAAATGTATACAAAATAACATAAAAACACTTATCTATGGAGGCATTGATGTAATACCAAATGATTGGAAATGATCTATTATAAATGTCCCCTAATACGGGTTTGTTTTAATAGTCCACACAAAGGAGCATTCTATAGCCTTTAAAAAGGATGGGGACGGGAGCTAAGTGCATTGAAACGAAGAGTCTTCCGTGTGGTATAAGTGATTAGAAGCAAGGTGTGTAAAGCCTGTTTCCCTTTGTGTGAATAAGAAACAAACAAAAAAGGCTGGTGTAAGCATAGTGGATTATCGGAACTTATTAACATCACTGTCACTAAAGTTGGTATACAGCTTCCCACTGCTAAATTTAACTGGCAAAAAACGAAACAAAACAAAACATGTTTGCCGAGGCAGGTGGATCACATGAGGTCAGGAGTTCGAGACCAGCTTGACCAACATGGAGAAACCCCGCCTCTACTAAAAATACAAAATTAGCCGGGCGTGGTGGCGCATGCCTGTACTCCCAGCTACTCAGGAGGCTGAGGCGGGAGAATCACTTGAACCTGGGAAGCGGAGGTTGCGGTGAGCCGAGATTGCGCCATTGCACTCCAGCCTGGGCAACAAGAGCAAAACTCCACCTCAAAAAAAAAAAAAGCACATTTACTATCTCTGGCAGGTTGCACAGAAGTCTCTGTGGTGGTTCTTGGGGCAGAGACACAAAAGAACAATGGTAAGGTGGCTTTTTTTTTTTTGAGACAGGATCTTGCTCTGTCATCTGTACTGGAGTGCAGTGGCACAATTATAACTCACTGTAACCTCAAACTCCTGGGCTCAAGTGATCCTCCCGCCTCAGCCTCCTGGGACTACAGGTATGTGCCACCAAGCCCGCCTCAGGGCTTCTTCTTATATACCTTCTTTTTGTTTGTTTTTGAGAGAGAGAGTCTTGCTCTGTCACCCAGACTGGACTGTAGTGGTGGGATCTCAGCTCACTGCAACCTCTGCCTCCCAGGTTCAAGCGATCCTCCTGCTTTAGCCTCCCAAGTAGCTGGGACTACAGGCGCATGCCACTACACCCAGGTAATTTTTTGTACATTTAGTAGAGATAGGTTTCTCCATGTTGGAGAAACAGGTTTAGTAGAGACACCTTTCTCCATATTGGCTAGAAACTCCTGGCCTCAAGTGATCAGCCCACCTCGGCCTCCCAAAGTGCCAGGATTACAGGCGTGAGCCACTTCACCCAGCCTTATATTCCTTTTTTGTAACTTTCAAATTTTGTAGCTTTTGCATGTTACCAATTCAAAAACTAACTGAATAAAATAACATCTCTTTTAATTTAAAAAGATGCAAAAAAGTAATCACTATTATTTTGTTTTATTTATTTTTTTATTTTTGAGACGGAGTTTCGCTCTTGTTGCCCAGGCTGGAGTGCAATGGCGCAATCTTGGCTCACCGCAGCCTTCACCTCCCAGGTTCAAGCAATTGTCCTGCCTCAGACTCCCGGGTAGCTGGGATTACAGGCATGCACCACCACACTTGGCTAATTTTGTATTTTTAGTAGGGACGGGGTTTCTCCATGTTGGTCAGACTGGTCTTGAACTCCTGACCTCAGGTTATCCGCCCACCTAGGCCTCCCAAAGTGTTGGGATTACAGGCGTGAGCCATCGCACCCAGCCACTATTATTTTAAAAATTAATAAAATCATGGTCCTTTAAAAGGTTTCTTAATTTTTTGCAGAAATCACCTGGTTCAATGGGATGGCAGCAGGGAGAGTTCGAAATCTCAGTCCTGATTCTGTCTCTGAATCAGTGGGCAATAGTGACTGCCTTCTCTCTTTTCTTCTTCCTTTCTTCATTTCCTGCTCTTCTTTTTCTTTCTTTCCTACTTCCTTCCTTTATTTCATAAATTGGCAAGTTATATTTGTATATATTTATGTGGTACTATGTGATGTTATATGTATGCAATGTCAAATGACTAAATCAAGCTGCTTAACATATCCATCACCTCAAATATTTATTTTTTGTGGTAAGAACATTTGAAATTTACTCTTAGCATTTTTTTTTATTTTAATTTTAATTTTTACTATTTTTTTTGAGACAGAGTCTCACTCTTGTCATCCAGGCTGGAGTGCAGTGGCGTGATCTCGGCTCACTGCAACCTCTGCCTCCCAGGTTCAAGCTATTCTCCTGCCTCAGCCTCCCAAGCAGCTGGGATTACAAGTGCCTGCCACCATGTATGGCTAATTTTTGTATTTTTAGTAGAGACGGGATTTCACCATGTTGGCCAGGCTGGTCTCGAACTCCTGACTCAGGTGATCCGCCCTCCTCAGCCTCCCAAAGTGCTGGGATTACAGGTGTCAGCCACCGCGTCCGGCCTATTTTTATTTTTTTAGACAGGGTCTCACTCTGTCCCCCATGCTGGAGTGCAGTGCCTCAATCTCAGCTCACTACAACCTCTGCCGCCCCACTCAAGTGATCCTCCTACCTCAGCCTCCCACGTAGCTGGAACCACAGGCAAGTGTCACCACACTCAGCTAATTTTTTAATTTTTTTGTAGAGACAGAGACTCACAACGTTGCCCAGGCTGGTCTCGAACTCCTGGGCTCAAGTCATCCTCCCTCCTCAGCCACCCAAAGTGCTGGGATTGCAGGCGTGAGCCAACACGGCTGTCCTCTTTTAGCAATTTTGAAATATACAATGTAGTAACTGGTTTCTCTTTGACCCTTCCTTTCTTTTTCAGTATAGCAATGGAATTGGATTGGGTAATCCTAATGTTCCTTTCACTTTTTGAGTTTCTTTGGAAATATTTTAAGTTGTTTACAAAAAAGATATCACTCACAAACATCTGTTAAAGTAAATGTTTTATTGCAGCATAACACAGAAGAGCACACAAATCACAAGTGTTCAACTTGGTAATCAAGTGAACAGACTCCTGTAACTCACATGTGGATCCATCTGAATCTCCAAAAACCCTTCCAGTCACTACCACCCCCAGGGCCGCTATTATCCTGACCCCATAGATTAGATTTGCCAAGGACAATTAAAAGCAAATCATTCCAGCATCCTAAAACAACTACATTCACATTTGCGCTTTTCTTTCCAGTCTTTTCAAGATGTAAACATAGGCGCACACGGTGGCTCACGCCTATAAATCTAGCACATTGGGAGGCCGAGACAGGCAGATCGCTTGAGCTCAGGAGTTCGAGACCATCCTGGCCAACATGGTGAAACCGCGTGTCTACTAAAAGTAAAAAATTAGCCGGATGTGGTGGCGCACTCCTATAATCCCAGCTACTCGGGAGGCTGAGGCAAGATAATTGCTTGAACCTGGGAGGCGGAGGCTGCATGGAGCCGAGATTGCGCCACTGCACTCCAGCCTGGGCAACAGAGTGAGACTCTGTCTCAAAAAAAAAAAAAAGATGTAAACAGGTGCTGACAGTTGTAACTAGTTGACATGCACTTTTGTTTTCACACCCACACACTCCCATCAGTTTTTTTACCTTTATGTACCTAAGACAACATAATCATTAATGCTATTCTCCTTTCTGGTGCCTATTACGATATTAAAGGGAAAATGCCATTATAGACATTTCTAGGCGAATCGCACTGGAGCAGTAAACACGTGGATGAACAGCCCGGAATCCACTCTCATCAGATAAGAGAAGAATCCAGCTGCCTCTTGCTGCACCACAGCTCCCTTTCCCTGGGGCTGTGTTTCCGATTCCTCTTGGCTCTACTTTCCCGGCCTCTGCCTGGTGGCCTGAGAGCTGCGGGCTATGGCTGGCCAGGGGGCGGGCCCAGGCGCGGAGCATGTGTTTTGAGCATTAGTGGAATCTGTCGGATTAGTGCTTCCTGCTCATGCTGGTTTCACAGAGAGAGCAGAGGCAAGATGGATGCGGGAGGCACAGGCGTGTCCCCGCGGTCCTGTAGTGTGGGTACAATGGCTTTATTTCAGACTTTGTCTGCCGGTTTCCAACTTGGCTTATCCATGTGTCCGTCCCCTGCAAGTCCACGCTGCTTCCGCTGTGGAGTCTACAGACATCTGGTTATCGAGGGAAGCATTTGTCCAGCGAGGATTCAAAGCCAGACACAAAGCCACCACTGGCTTGAGTACCATGGATGGGGTTTATAGGGGAGTGAGTTCTGAGTCCCTGCCTGCTCCCGCAGCCCACCCACCATGGCGAGGAGCAGCCGCTGACTATGCCGACCTGTTTAGTGTCGCCAGTGATTTATGGCCCAGTGGGGCCCAGCTGTTGGCCGTGGACACAGCAGCTGCTCAAGGTTAAGCAGGCCCTGTGTGAGGGATGCAAGTCACAGGATGGACCCAGTGCAGTTGTTCCCTCTTGGGGTCAAGGGGGCGATCATGTTGCCAGTCTGAAAACCAACGCAAGCTAAGGAGGGCTGTTCCCTGCAACACACATGCACTTGCCCCCTCCAGCTAAGGCCCAAAGCTCTGCTCTAAGTCTGAATCCGCTGCGTGGCTGTTGGTGCCAGGCTGAGCTGAGAGGCTGTTCAGGAGGCCTTGTGCAGCCCTGCAGGAACATGTGGGTTGTCAGAGCTGCTGCCCTGTTGTCCCATGGCATTACCTGATTGTCACCCAAGAAGGAACGTGCCTTGGAGTAAGGGCTGAGAGAGGAAGGGAACAGCCAGCTCTTTATGGAACCCTCACCATGGGCCAGGCCCTGTCCAAATGCTTTCCTTGGGTTTTCACATCTAACCCTTGCAACAAGTCAGTGGGGTAGACTTTACTAATATTTCCCTAAACCTCCTGAAAATGGGAGTTCAGAGAGGGTGAGGAAACTGACCAAGGTCACACAGCTAGGCTAGTGCCTGTCTCTGGGGCCAGAATTTTTTTTTTTTTTTTTCTGAGATGGAGTCTCACTGTGTCACCCAGGCTGGAGTGCAGTGGCGCAATCTAAGCTCACTGCAACCTCCACCTCCCGGATTCAAGCAATTCCCTGCCTCAGCCTCCCGAGTAGCTGGGACTACAGGCACCTGCCACCACGCCCGGCTAATTTTTGTATTTTTTTTTCAGTACAGACAGGGTTTCACCACCTTGGCCAGGGTTGTCTTGAACTCCTGACCTCGTGATCCACCCACCTTGGCCTCCCAAAGTGCTGGGATTACAGGCATGAGCCACCACACCAGGCCACTTCACTCTTTTTAATAGCCAAATAATATTCCATTGTATGGGTATCCCACATTTTCCTTAGCCACTCTAGTGATGGACATTCATGCTGTTTCCAGTTTTTCACTATTATAAATAATGCTGCTATTAATATTTATGTAAACAATTTTGTGTGGACATATGTTTTCATTTCTCTTGGATATATACCTAGGAATGGAATTGCTGGGTCATATGGTAACTGCTTAACTTTTTGAAGAACCACCAAACTTTCTTTTTTCTTTTTTTTTTTTTTTCAAGACAGTCTCGCTCTGTCACCCAGGCTGGAGTGCGGTGGTGCGATCTCAGCTCACTGCAACCTCTGCCTCCCGGGTTCAAGCGATTCTCCTGCCTGAGCCTCCCAAGTAGCTGGGACTACAGATGGGCACCGCCACGCTGGCTCATTTTTGTATTTTTAGTAGAGACGGGGTTTCACCATGTTGTCCAGGCTGGTCTCAAACTCCTGGCCTCAAGTGATCACCCGCCTTGGCCTCCCGAAGTGCTGGGATTACTGGAGTGAACCACTGCACTTGGCTTCTTTTTTTAAAAGGCAGGGTATTGCCATGTTGCCCAGGCTGGAGTGCCGTGGCTGGCTGTTCACAGGTATGATCCCACTACTGATCAGCACGGGACAAACTTTTTGAGAAACCACCAAACTGTTTTCCCCAGTGATGTACCATTTCACATTCCTACCACTAATGTATGAGGGTTGCAATTTCTCCACATGTTCACCAGCATTTGTCTGTCTTTGATTATAGCCATCCTAATGTGTATGAAGTGGTATCTCACTGTGGTTTTGATTAATACTTGGTCTAATGGCTAATGACATTGAGACTATTTTCATGTACTTATTGTCCATTCATGTATCTTTTTTTTTAGAGATATCTTTCTCTAAAAAGTTTTAAATCTTAAAAATTAAATCCTTTAAAAAATCTTTCTCTAAAAATAGTTTAAAAACTATTTTAAAAATTAAGTTACTGTGGTCGGGCTCGGTGTCTCACGTCTGTAATCCCAACACTTTGGGAGGCCAAGGCAGGCATATTACCTGAGATCAGGAGTTTGAGACCACCCTGGCCAACTTGATGAAACCCTGTCTCTACTAAAAATACAAAAAATTAGCTAGGCGTGGTGGCAGATGTCTGTAATCCCAGCTATTCAGGAGGCTGAGGCAGGAGAATCTCTTGAACCTAGGAAACGGAGGTTGCAGTGAGCCAAGATCGTGCCACTGCATTTCAGCCTGGGCAACAAGAGTGAAACTTCATCTCAAAAAAAAAAAATTAAGTTATTGTCTTAAAAAAATTTTTTTTTAATAGAGTCAGGGTCTCACTGTGTTGCCCAGGATGGTCTTGAACTCCTGGGCTCAAGCAATCCTCTTGCCTCAGTCTCCCAAAGTGCTGGAATTACAGGCGTGAGCTACCACGCTGCACCCAGCCTATCTTTTTATCATTGAATTATAAATATTCTTTCTAATACTCTGGATACATGATTTGCAAAGATTTTCTACCATTCTGTGTGCTGTCTTTTTGCTTTCTTTTTTTCTCCACTTTTTTATTTTTTTGAGATGGAGTCTTGCTCTGCCACCCAGGCTGGAGTGCAGTGGCATGATCTCTGCTCAATGCAAGCTCCGCCTCCCGGGTTCACGCCATTCTCCTGCCTCAGCCTCCCGAGTAGCTGGGACTACAGGCGCCTGCCATCGCGCCCTGCTAATTTTTTGTATTTTTAGTAGAGACGGGGTTTCACCGTGTTATCCAGGAGGGTCTCGATCTCCTGACCTCATGATTCACCCGCCTTGGCCTCCCAAAGTGCTGGGATTACAGGCATGAGCCACCGCGCCCAGCTGTCTTTTTGCTTCTTGGTAATGTCCCTTGAAATACAAAAGTTTTCATTTTTTTTTTAGACAGGGTCTGACTCTGTCACCCAGGCTGGAGTGCAGCAGCACCATCTTGGCTCACTGCAGCCTCCCCCTCTTGAATTCAAGTGATTCTCCTGTCTCTGCCTCTCTAGTAGCTGGGATTATAGGCACCCACCATCACACCTAGCTAATTTTTGTATTTTTAGTAGAGACAAGGTTTCACCATGTTGGCCAGGCTGGTCTTGAACTCCTGACCTCAAGTGATCTGCCCACCTCCACCTCCCAAAGTTCTGCAATTACAAGCATGAGCCACCATGCCCGGCCTAATGATTTTAAATATGTGTCAGTGGTCCCCAAGACTGCTCTCAGGATGGATGATTTATAAGGAGGACTCAGAGGACTTAGCATGTAGTCATTTTCACAGCTAAGATTTATTATAGTGAAAAGATACAAAGCAAAATCAGCAAAGGGAAACAGCTCATGGGACAAAGTCCAGAGAAAACCAGACACAAGCTTCCAGAGTGCTCTTCTAGTGGAGTCAACATATTACATATCTAATTCCTCCAGCCGCAAGTTGTGATAACATGCGTGAAATGTTGTCTACCGGAGAAGCTCACTTGAGATTCAGTGCCCAAGTTGTTAAATTGGGGCTGGTCACGTATGCACTCTCTGCCTAGCACATACCAAAGTTGCAGACTCACAGAAGGAAAGCAAGTATTTAGCATAAACCACATTGTTTGTATAGTTTAGGCACAGTGAGCCACTCTTAGGAGTCCTGAAATCCATTTCTCCAGACATTAACCAAGGGTCAACCTTGAAAGCATGAATTTCTAAGGATAGCAGTCTCACGCCCACCACGTTAAGTCTTTTCTACACAAGATGTTAAACCAGTTTTGCATCATAGGGATAAATTCCTTTGATCATGGTGTGTAACTGGTTTTGTTTTGTTTTGTTTTGTTTTTACAGACAGGGTTTCATTCTATCAACCAGACTAGAGTGCAGTGGCAAGATCATAGCTCACTGCAGCCTTGACCTCCTGGGCTCATATGATTCTCCCACCTCAGGCTCCTGAGTAGCTGGGATTACAGTCACACACCACCATATCTAGCTCATTTTTTTGGTATTTTCTGTAGAGACAAGGTCTCTCTATGTTGCCCAGGCTGGTCTCAAATTCCTGGGCTAAAGCAACCACCTGCCTGAGCCTCCCAAAGTGCTGAGATGAGCTACTGCGCCCGGCCTGTAACCCTTTTTATATATTGTGGGATTCAGTTTCCTAGTATGTATTTTATTCAGGATTTTTGTGTCTAAATGAACAAGGGATAATGATCTGTGGTTTCCTTTTCTTGTGATATCTTTTTGTGGTTTCAGTATCAGAGTAATACCGGCATCATACAATGATTGGAAAGTGTTCCCTCCTCCTCTGTTTTTTGTAACAGTTTGTGAAAGATTGGTTTAAGCATATTGATTGGCCTGTTGCAGTAGCTAATGCCTGTAATTCCAGCACTTCGGGATATCGAGGTGGGAGGACTGCTTTAGCAGGAGTTCAAGACCAACCTGGGCAACAAAGCAAGACCTGATCTCTTCAAAAAAAATTTTTTTAATTAAAAAAAAAATAAGGCCAGGCGCGGTGGCTCACGCCTGTAATTCCAGCACTTTGGGAGGGCAAGGCGGGCAGATCACCTGAGGTCGGGAGTTCGAGACCAGCCTGACCAACATGGAGAAACCCTGTCTCTGCTAAAAATACAAAATTAGCTGGGCGTGGTGGTGCATGCCTGTAATCCCAGCTACTCGGGAGGCTGAGGCAGGAGAATCATTTGAACCCAGGAGGTGGAGGTTGCAGTGAACTGAGATGGCACCATGGCACTCCAGCCTGGTTGATAGAGCAAGACTCTGTCTCAAAAAAATAAATAAATAAAAATAAATAAATAGGCCGGGCGCAGTGGTTCACGCCTGTAATCACAGCACTTTGGGAGGCTGAGGCGGGCGGATCACCTGAAGTCAGGAATTTGAGACCAGCCTGGCCAACATATTGAAACGCAGTCTCTACTAAAAAATACAAAAATTAGCCAGGCGTGGTGGCAGGTGACTTAATCCCAGCTATGTGGGAGGCAGAGGCAGCAGAATCATTTGAACCTGGGAGGCGGAGGTTGCAGTGAGCCGAGATCGAGCCATTGCACTCAAACCTGGGAAATAAGAGCGAGACTTCTCTCAAAAAAAAATAAATAATAAATAAATAAATAAATAAAATTAAGTAAATTGGTAGAAGTTTCCTATTACTGCTATAACAAATTACTACAAACTTAATGACTTAAAAAAGCACAAATTAATTCTTTTTTTTTTTTTTGAGACGGAGTCTCTCTCTGTCACGCAGGCTGGAGTACAATGGCACAATCTCGACTCACTGCAACCTCCACCTCCCGGGTTCAAGCGATTCTCCTGTCTCAGTCTCCCAAGTAGCTGGGATTGCAGGCCAGCAGGCCCACACCCCCACGCCTGGCTAATTTTTTGTATTTTAGTAGAGACCGGGTTTCCCCATGTTGCCCAGGCTGGTGTTTTTAACTCCTGAGCTCAGGCAATCCACCTGCCTTGGCCTCCCAAGGTGCTAGGATTACAGGTGTGAGCCACCACGCCCAGCCACAGATTTATTCTTTTACAATTTTGGAGATTGAAAGTTCAAAATGGGTCTTACAGAACTGCAGCCAGGTGTCAGCAGGGCTGGTTCCTCCTGGAAGCTGCAGGAGAGGAATCCGCTTCTTGCTTCTTCCAATTTCTAGAGGCTGCTCATGGCTTTTTCTTCCATCCTCAAAGCCAGCTAAGTGGCAGCTTCTCTTTTAGACTCTACGTACCTCCGCTTCCTTCTTCCTATGGCTTTGGAACCTTGACTCTTTCTGCATCCCTCTTATAATTTCCCTTGTAATCACATCTGGTCCACCCATGTACTCCAAAATAATCTCCCCACTTTGAGATTCTTAATTACATTTGCAAAATCCCTTTTGCCATATAAAGGAACACTCATAGGTTCTGCAGATTAGGGCATAGATATTTTGGGAGGGCCATTATTCAGTATTCCATAATTGGTATTAATTTTTCTTTGACTATTTGGTAGAATTCACCAGTGAAGCTATCTAGGCCTGGATTTTTCTTTATGGAGAGTTTATTATTATTATTATTATTATTATTATTATTTTGAGACAAGCTCTGGCTGTATCTCCCAGGCTGGAGTAAGGTGGCACAATCCCAACTCACTACAACCTCTGCCTCCTGGACTCTCGCCGTCCTCCCACTTCAGCCTCCCAAGTAGCTGGGACTATAGGCGTGCACCACCATGTCCAGCTAAATTTTGTATTTTTTGTAGAAACGGGTTTCTGCCATGTTGCCCAGGCTGGTCTCAAACTCCTGAGCTCAAGCAATTCAACCACTTCAGCCTTCCAAAGTGCTGGGATTACAGGAATGAGCCACTGCACCCAACAAGTTTTTATTATTAATTTGATGTCTTTACTTGTTATAGGCCTACTCAGATTTTTGGTATCTTTTTGAATCAGTTCTGGTAACTTTTTTCCTAGAATTTGTCCATTTCATCTAAGTTACCTAATTTGTTGGACTACAGCTGTTCATAGTATTCCCTTGCAATCTTTTTTTTTTTTTTTTTTTTTGAAACAGAGTCTCGCTCTGTCGCCAGGCTGGTATGCAGAGGTGTGATCTTGGCTCACTGCAACCTCTGCCTCTTGTGTTCAAGCGATTCTCCTGCCTCAGCCTCCTGAGTAGCTGGGATTACAGGTGTGTGCCACCACACCTGGGTGATTTTTGTATTTTTAGTAGAGACCATGTTGGTCAGGCTGGTCTCGAACTCCTGACCTCGTGATCCACCCGCCTTGGCCTCCCAAAGTGCTGGGATTACAGGCGTTAGCGACTGCGCCCAGTATAATCTTTTTTTTTTTTTTTTTTTTTTTTGATACAGGGCCTTACTCTGTTGCCCAGGCTGGAGTGCAGTGGTGCCATCTCAGCTCACTGAAACCTCTGCCTCCCGGATGCAAGCAATTCTCCTGCCTCAGCGGGTGCCTGGGATTACAGGCGCCCACCACCACTCCCGGATAATTTTTTGTATTTTTAGTAGAGACGGGGTTTCACCACCAACGTGGATATGTTCTAAGAGGCCCAGTGGATGCCTGAATCCTCAGATAGTACTGAACCCTATATATACTATGTTTTTTCATATACATACATACCTATGATAAAGTTTAATTTATAAATGTATAAATTAGGCACAGTAAGAGATTAACAAAAATAACAATAAAATAGAACAATTATAACAATATACCACGCTCGTGCTTTGGGACCATTATTAAACCGAATAAGGATAACTTGGACACAGGCACTGCAATCCCAAGACAATCTGATAACTGAGAAAGCTACTAAGTTACGGCCAGTAGCATCTAGAGCCTGGACAAGCTGGACAAAGGGATCATTCTCATCCTGGGCAGGACGGAGTGAGATGGTGCGAGATTTCATCATATTACTCAGAACTGCTCGAAATTTAAAACATGAATTGCTTATTTCTGGAATTTTCCGTTTAATATTTTCAGAGGGCGTTAACGGCAGGTAACCACAGAAATCAAAATTGCTGATAAATGGGGGGGGATCTAGTGTAGTATAACACTCTGGCTGGGATTAATAGCAATTTAATTCCAATTAATAAACTACAACTTTACTTCTCTGTGGCTGTTTTCCACCTCCTTTGTGCTGTTATTGTCACAAATTACATTTTTTTCTTAGATAACATGTCCTTGAAACAAATTACATTTTTATACGCTGTGTGCTCATCAACAGATTTATAATTCTTGATTTATGCAGTTGTCTTTTAAATCACACAGGAGAAAAAAGATAAACAAAATGTATTTATACTTGTCTTTTGTATTTACCTATATAAAAGTATGTACTCTGCTGGTAATCCCCAATTACAATGGCCCAAGAGTTCTATAATGCAGAGATTTTCAGGGCTGAAAAAAAAAGCCATCTGCTTTGGTATTTCAGATCTAAGTACTTATAAGGAGTGGCTTGGGAGCAGTAGCCTTAGCAAGAGGTAAGACTTAACTTCCCCCAGGGGCTATGAGCTGAAAGGCAAAACTGGGAGTAAAGATGTTGGCTTCTCAACCCTGTTTCAGAAGGATTGAAGGTGGCTACCACCTTCAAGCTCAGCACAGGCTCATTTGTAGAAGACCAAAGAACAGTATTGAGGCTTAAAAGGTATGTCTAGGCCGAGCGTGGTGGCTCACGCATGTAATCCCAACACTTTCGGAGGCCAAGACAGGCAGATCACCTGAGGTCAGGAGTTTAAGACCAGCCTGGCCAACATGGTGAAACCCTGTCACTACTAAAAATACAAAAATTAGCCACTGTGGTGTCAGGTGCCTGTAATCCCAGCTACTCAGGAGGCTGAAGCATAAGAATTGCTTGAACCTGAGAGACAAAGGTTGCCGTGAGCCAAGATGGCGCCACTGCACTCCAGCCTGGGGGATAGAAGCGAGACTCTGTCTCCAGAAAAAAACCCAAAAAACAAAAAAGATGTGTTTAGATGAGATCTTTGGCTGTAGTCATTAGCACAATTAAGCCAACAGCCAGAAACCTGCTAAATGTTTGAAGGAATTATATTACCAAAGAAACCACTAGCTGGCTCACAAAAATTATAGCTACTCAACCCCTGAAGCCATTCCCAGGCTCCAAAACCTGCACTAGCAGGATGCAGGCTCTGAAAACTGGGCAGCTTACAACAGGCCAATCTCTCCAGGGCCCACCTCTCCCGTGTCCATGGGGGATAATGCCAAAGGAAGAACCTCCCAGAAGGCAGAGCTAGGGGCTATCAGACAGTTGTACCCAACAACTAATTCTACTGCCATACAAGAGAATCCTCCCTCTTCCTGCCCAGATACCTTTACCGACTGCAAGGGACAAGCATCTGCAGCGTGTTTCATATCCCCGCATTTTTGGAGTGCTTTTTTTTTTTTTTCTTTTGAGACAGGGTCTAGCTCTTGTTGCCTATGCAAGAGTGCAGTAGTACAGTCAGGGCTCACTGCAGCCTCAACCTCCTGAGCTCAGGGGATCCTCCCACCTCCACCTCCAAGGAGCTGGGATTACAGGTGTTCATGTGCCACCATGCCAGGCTAATTTTTTTATTTTAATTTTTTTTGTAGAGATGGGGTCTTTCTATGTTGCCCAGGCTGGTCTCAAACTCCTGGGCTCAAACGATTCTCCTGCCTCAGCCTCACAAAGTGCAGGGGTTACAGGAGCGAGCCACCACACCCAGCCCAGTGGTCATTTTTATTGTGATTATTTTTTTCCTATTCCACAACTGTATATTGAAAGATAGTTTGTCTTTCAGTTTATAGGTAGTACCTATATCCAGACCTAATGAATAGTTATGGACTGTGAGCTGAACACACTGGGAGTAAAGATGTTGCCTTTCCAACCCTGTTTTCTCTGCTGCGGAGCAAGTGAGTACTTTACGTGTGAAAAGATATATATTTTTCCACATATATATAAAAATATATATATACACCTCTATATATTGATATAGATGTATATATATATACTGACGATATAATTTATCATTCAGTCTATGACACTTTAAAACATCTCTATTGTTATTTTTATCTATTTATTTATTTCGAGACAGGGGCTGGCTCTGTCGCCCATGTTGAAGTGCAGTGGCAAGATCTAGGCTCACTGCAACCTCCACCTCCCCGGCTCAAGCGATCCTTCCACCTCAGCCTCCCCAGTAGCTGAGAACACAGGCATGCACCATCATGCCCAGCTAATTTTTGTGTGTGTGTGTGTGTGTGTGTGTGTTTGAGATGGAGTCTCGCTCTGTTGCCCAAGGTGGGGTGCACTGGCGTGATCTCAAGTCACTGCAACCTCTGTCTCCCAGGTTCAAGCAATTCTCCTCCCTCAGCCTCCCGAGTAGCTGGGATTACAGGTGCCCGCCACCATGCCTGGCTAATTTTTGTATTTTTAGTAGAGACGGGGTTTCACCACGTTGGTCGGGCTGGTCTCAAGCTCCTTACCTCAGGTGATCTGCCTGCCTCGGCCTCCCAAAGTGCTGGGATTACAAGCCTAAGCCACCATGCCCAGCATTTTTTTTTTTTTTTGAGACAGGGTCTCACTCTGTTGCCCAGGCTGGAGTGCAGTGGCGCAGTCATAGCTCACTACAACTTCAAACTCCTGGGCCAAAGCAATCCCCCTACCTCACAGTCCCAGGTAGCTGAGACTACAGGTGCAAGCCATCGTGCCCAGCTAGCTTTTGTAGTTTTTGTAGAGATAGGGTTTCGCCATGTTGCCCAGGCTAGCCTTGAACTCCTGTGTTTAGGTGATCCTCCCACTTTCAGCCTCCCAAAGTGCTGAGATTACAGGTGTGAGCCACCACGTCCAGCCTACATCTACTCTCAACTCTTTTGGATATATACCGGGGAATTGCTGGATTATAAGGTAATTCTGTGTTTAACTTTTTGAAGAACCACCAACTGCCAACTGTTTTCCTTTCTTTTCTTTTCTTTTTTTTTTTTTTTTTGAGATGGAATCTCGCTCTGTCGCCCAGGATGGAGTACAGTGGCACAATCTCAGCTCATGGCAACCTCTGCCTCCCAGGTTCAAGCAATTGTCCTGCCTCAGCCTCCCACGTAGCTGGGACTACAGGCACATGCCAGCACGCCCAGCTAATTTTTGTATTTTTAGTAGAGACAGGGTTTCACGACATTGGCCAGGCCGGTTTCAAACTCCTGACCTCAGGTGATTCGCCTGCCTCGGCCTCCCAAAGTGCTGAGATTAGAGGCATGAGCCACCCTGATGGCCCTGCAGAATCTTTTTATCCAGCTTAGACCACACCCTGAGGCTGACACACAGGTATCCAGCTGCCTGCTGTCACTAGTGCATGGTCCTTTCACAGGCCCATCTGTCTTGATGGCTTCATCATCTGTAATTTGCTAGGACTGCTATAACATAATACCACAGACAAGTAGCTTAAACAACACAACTTTATTTTCTCACAGTTCTGGAGGTTAGAAGTCCAAGATCAAGGTGTTAGTTTCTCCTGGTGCCTCTCTCCTTGGCTTCAGATGGCTACCTTCCTACTGTGTCCTCGTGTGGCCTTTTTTCTGTATGTACACATCCCTGGTGTCCCTTCCTCTTCTTGTTAGAATACCAGTTATAGGCTGAGCTCAGTGGCTTACACCTGTCATCCCAGGACTTTGGGAGGCTGAGGCAGGAGGATCACTTGAGCCCAGGAGTTGAAGACCAGCCTGAGTAACATAGTGAGACCCCATGTCTATTTCTTTTAAAAAAATTTTTTTTAATTAAAAAAAAGAACACAGCTGGGCGTGGTGGCTCACACCTGTAATCCCAGCACTTTGGGAGGCTGAGGTGGGTGGATCACCTGAGGTCAGGAGTTTGAGACCAGCCTGACCAACATGGTGAAACCCCATCTCTACTAAAAAAAAATACAAAATTAGCTGGGCATGGTGGTGCATGCCTGTAATCCCAGCTACTTGGGAGGCTGAGGCAGGAGAATCGATTAAACCCAGGAGGCAGAAGTTGCAGTGAGCTGTGACTGCGCCACTGCACTCCAGCCTGGGCAACAAAAGCGAAACTCCGTCTCAGAAAAAAAAAAAAAAAAGAACACTAGTTATAACACTAGTCATACCGGATTAGGACCCCACTCTAATGACCTCATTTTAATTTAATCAGCTCTTGAAGGCCCTTTTCTCCAAATATGGTTACATTCTGAGGTACTAGGGGTTTGGACTTCAACATATGAATTGGCGGGGGAGCACGATTCAGTCCCATATATCATCTTTCCCAGAAATTTTGCCTTCATTTTTCACTGAGTCATTCAATACACGTTTACTAAACATGTAGAATGGCACTTAATGCCATGTTTGTGGATGAGGCTGTCCAGGGATAGGTTGTGGTCATAAAAGGCTAAGAATAGTGCCCTAGGGAACTCAGCCTCTTTTTCTTTCTTTTTTTTGGGGGGGTGGAGGGGTAGACGTGGGGTCGTCCTGTGTTGCCCAGGCTGGTCTCCAACTCCTGGGCTCAAGCCATCCTCCTACCTCAGCCTCTCAAAGTGTTGGGATTACAGGCGTGAATCAATGTGCCCAGCCTGAGCTCAGTATTTTCTTTTCTTTTTTTATTTTATTTATTTATTTTTGAGATGGAATGTCGCTCTTGTTGCCCAGGCTGGAGTGCAATGGTGCAATCTCAGCTCACCGCAACCTCCGCCCCCCCGGGGTTCAAGTGATTCTCCTGCCTCAGCCTCCCGTGTATCTGGGATTATAGGTGCCCATCACCATGCCCGGATAATTTTTGCATTTTTACTAGAGATGGGGTTTCGCCATGTTGGCCAGGATGGTCTCAAACTCCTGACCCCAGGTGATCCACTCGCCTTGGCCTCCCAAAGTGCTGGGATTACAGGCATGAGCCACCACGCCTGGCCTATTTTATCTTACTTTATTTTATTTTATTTTTTAGAGACAGGGTTTTGCTATGTTGCCCAGGTTGGTCTTGAACTCCTGAGCTCAAGTGATCCTCCTGCCTTGGCCTCTCAAAATGCTGGGATTACAGGCATGAGCCACTGAGCCTGGCCCTTAGTGCTGCATTTTATTTGTTTTGTTTCGTTTTGAAATAGGGTCTCACTTTGTCGCCCAGGCTGGAATGCAGTGGCTCGATCAAGGCTCACTGCAGTCTCAACTTGCTGGGCTCAAACAATCCTCCCATCTCAGTTTCCCAAGTAGCCAAGGACTACAGGGCAGGTACCACCACACCCAGCTAGGTTTTGTATTTTTTAGAAACGGGGTTTTGCCACGTTGCCCAGGCTGGTCTCAAGCTCCTGGGCTCAAGTAATTTGACTGCCTTGGATTCCCAAAGTGCTGGGATTACAGACGTGAGCCACCACACCAGGCCAAGCTCAGCATTTTAAAAGCGGGGGAGGAGAGCCCAGAAAATGAGATTGAAGAGCAGTGAAACCTCCCCATTGCCAGCACGTGAATGCTCCCTTGTTCCCCTCTCTCCCCATCCCTCTGGTGTGACAGCAGTCCCAGTTCATTCGCTTCTGATGTTGCATTCCAGTGGAGGCTTCCTCCGCTTGGAGGTCTACTTGGTCTCCAAGGAAGATGGGGCAGAGAGGGAGTCTAGACCTCCTAGGGACCTGTAAAATCTTTGGCATTTCCTCTTCGGTTCAGTCTCTATCAGCAGTGGCTGGAGGTGTTTTGCTCCTCAGTTACCAAAGGGCAAAGTCACCTCATCACCATAGAATTCATTTTCTCCCAACCTCACACCGGGTAGTCACACGAAAAATATAATTTATTCCTATTGGTAGGATTTTGCCTTGTTCACTTCAAAATGATAAAGATTCCCTGGCCTTTTTGTTCCAACAATTCATTTGCTTTTCCCCTAAGCCTTTTTTTCATAAAAATGATTAAATGACGGCCGGGTGTGGTGCTGCACGCCTGTAATCCCAGCACTTTGGGAGGCCGAGGCAGGTGGATCACCTGAGGTGCGGAGTTCAAGACCAGCATGGCCAAAATGATAAAAACCCCGTCTCTACTAAAAATACAAAAAATTAGCCACGCATGGTGGCAGGCACCTGTAATCCCAGCTACTTGGGAGGCTGAGGCAGGAGAATCGCTTGAACCCGGGAGGCCGAGGTTGCAGTGAGCTGAAATCAAGACACTGCACTCCAGCCTAGGCAACAAGAGCAAAACTCCATCTCAAAAAAAAAAAAAAAAAAAAAAAGAAGATTACCTGAAAAAGATTAAATGTAGGCCGGGCATGGTGGCTCACATCTGTAATCCCAGCTCTTTGGGAGGCCAAAGCAGGCAGATCACTTGAGTTCAGGAGCTCGAGACCGGCCTGGCCAACATGGAGAAACCCGGTCTCTATTAAAAATACAAAAATTAGCCTGGCGTGGTGGTGGAAGAATCACTTGAACTCAGGAGGTGGAGGTTGCAGTGAGCCAAGATTGTGCCGCTGCACTCCAGCCTGGGTGACAGAGTGAGACTGTCTCAAAAAAAAAAAAAAAAAAGAAAGAAAGAAAAACGAAAGATTTCCTACTTTTGGAGACCCCTGAATCCCTTGGCCTCTGCAGCACTTCTCCTCTCCTTCCTCCATGACCATGCCTTCTGAGTCGACACTGTGCTGTTCCACATACAGCCAGCTCCTTAGATGATGCGTTTCTCCAAGGTCCAGGACCCTCTTCTGTTTTAGCTTTCTCCGGTCTCCCTGGGAAAGCTCATTCACCCCTTAGCATCAAGTCTTAATTATATGCTGATACTTTCAAAGGCTAATCTCCGTTTGCAACCAATTTATCATGTTTCATATCAGTATTTCTACCTGCTTAGTGAATAATAGGGTTAGAAAGATTTTGGTTAAAGGATATAAAATTTCAGTTAGACAGCAGCACACAGTACAAGAGATCTATTGTAAAACATGTAACTATAGTTAATAACAATATGTTGTATACTTGAAAATTGTGAAGAGTAGATTTTAAATGTTCTTTTCACAAAAAAGATGTGTGTGAGTTAATGGATATGTTAATTAGCTTAACGAGCTTGATTTAGCCATTCCACAATGTATGCATATATCAAAACATGGGCCCGGCTCAGTGGCTCATGCTTGTAATCCCAGCACTTTGCGGGGCCGAGGCAGAAGGATCACTTGAGCCCAGGAGTTTGAAATCAGCCTGGGCAACCAAGTAAGACCCTGTAACTATAAAAAATTTAAAAATTGCTCTTTCTCAGTGACCGGGTTCTAGGCTTAGGCGCAGACGGGTTAGGGGAGCCAACATGCCAGTGGCCCGGAGCTGGGTTTGTCGCAAAACTTACGTGACCCCGCGGAGATCCTTTGAGAAATCTCGTCTCGACCAAGAGCTGAAGCTGATCGAAGAGTATGGGCTCCGGAATAAACGTGAGGTCTGGAGGGTCAAATTTACCCTGGCCAAGATCCGCAAGGCCGCCCGGGAACTGCTGACGCTTGATCAGAAGGACCCACGGCGTCTGTTCGAAGGCAATGCCCTGCTGTGGCGGCTGGTCTGCATTGGGGTGCTGGATGAGGGCAAGATGAAGCTGGATTACATCCTGGGCCTGAAGATAGAGGATTTCTTAGAGAGACGCCTACAGACCCAGGTCTTCAAGCTGGGCTTGGCCAAGTCCATCCACCACGCTCGCGTGCTGATCCGCCAGCGCCATTTCAGGGTCCGCAAGCAGGTGGTGAACATCCCGTCCTTCATTGTCCGCCTGGATTCCCAGAAGCACATCGACTTCTCTCTGTGCTCTCCCTATGGGGGTGGCCGCCCGGGCCGCGTGAAGAGGAAGAATGCCAAGAAGGGCCAGGGTGGGGCTGGGGCTGGAGACCACAAGGAGGAGGATTAAGCCCACCTGTCCCTCCTGGGCTGCTGCATTGTCTAGTTTTCCTGCCAAATAAACAGGATCAGCGCTTTAAAAAAAAAAAAATTTTTTTTTTTTTTTTTTTTTTTGAGACGGAGTCTTGCTCTGTCGCCCAGGCTGGAGTGCAGTGGCGCGATCTCGGCTCACTGCAAGCTCCACCTCCGGGGTTCACGCCATTCTCCTGCCTCAGCCTCCCGAGTAGCTGGGACTACAGGTGCCCGCCACCACGCCCGACTAATTTTTTTGTATTTTTAGTAGAGACGAGGTTTCACCGGATTAGCCAGGATGGTCTCGATCTCCCATCTCCCGACCTCATGATCCGCCCGCCTCGGCCTCCCAAAGTGCTGGGATTACAGGCTTGAGCCACCGTGCCTGGCCAAAAAAAAAAAAATTTAAAAATTAGCCAACCGTTGACCGGGTGCGGTGGCTCACGCCTGTAATCCCAGCACTTTGGGAGGGCAAGGCAGGCGGATCACGAGGTCAGGAGATCGAGACCATCCTGGCTAACATGGTGAAATCCCGTCTCTACTAAAAATAAAAAAACTTAGCCAGGCATGGTGGCAGGCGCCTGTAGTCCCAGCTACTTGGGAGGCTGAGGCAGGAGAATGGTGTGAACCTGGGAGGCAGAGTTTGCAGTGAGCCGATATCAAGCCACAGCACTCCAGCCTGGGCCACAGAGCAAGACTCCATCTCAAAAAAAAAAAAAAAAAATTCCCAAGCCTGGTGGTAGCCACCTGTAGCCCCACATACTCAGGAGGCTGAGGCGGGGGGATTGCTTGAGCCCAGGAGGTTGAGGCTGCAGTGAGCCGTGTTTGTGCCACTGGACTCAAACCTGAGTGACAAAGCGAGGCCCTGTCTCAAAAAAAAAAAACAAAAAACAGGGTACTGTTATGACAAGATTTTTTTTAGCCAAATTTAGCACTGGGAGGTCGTATACCAAATGTAGTGACACTAATGTTAGTAAGCTCTGACAACCCACTACCATCGGACCAGCCAAGAAGCCAGATTTGATGTTGGGCATCAACAAACATCTATGACAAGGTTCCTCTTCCTGCACCCCTTTTCTTGTTTAATGGTAATATCTTCAATTTAATCACCTGAGGCAATCCTTGTCAGATCCCCTACATCAAATCAGCCACCAAATCTCAAGATTCTAATCTATTTCTCCTCTCTATCCCCAATGACAGGTTGCCACACGCTATCTTACAATTTCACAATGACCCTCCAACCCTTACCATGTTTGCCTGCCCTACCGACTTTGGAGTTGGCCATATGACATGTTTTGAACAAAGGGATATGAGTGGACATGAATTTTGTCCCTTTTTTTTTTTTTTTTTTTTTGAGACACAGTCTCTCTCTGTTGCCCAGGTTGGAGTGCAGTGGCGCCATCTTGGCTCACTGCAAGCTCCGCCTCCCGGGTTCACGCCATTCTCCTGCCTCAGCCTCCCGAGTAGCTGGGACTACAGGAGCCGGCCACCACGCCTGGCTAATTTTTTTTATTTTTAGTAGAGACGGGGTTTCACCATGTTAGCCAGGATGGTTTCGATCTCCTGACCTCGTGATCTGCCCGCCTTGGCCTCCCAAAGTGCTGGGATTACAGGCATGAGCCACCGCGCCTGGCCTTGTCCCTTTTTTTTTTTTTAGACAGAGTCTCACTCTGTTGCCCAAGCTGGAGTGCAGTGGCGCGATCTTGGTTCACTGCAACCTCCACCTCCTGGGTTCAAGCAATTCTTGTGCCTCAGGCTCCCGAGTAGCTGAGATTACAGGTGTGCACCGCCATGCCTAGCTAATCTTTGTATTTTGAGTAGAAATGGAGTTTCGACATGTTGGCCAGGCTGGTCTTAAACTCCTGACCTCGGGTGATCCGCCTGCCTCAGCCTCCCAAAGTGCTGGATTACAGGCATGAGCAACCACGCCCGGCCTTTTTTCTGTTTTTGTTTTTAAGAGAAGGGGTGTCACCATGTTGCGCAGGCTGGTCTGGAACTCCTGGGCTCAAGTGATCCTCCCACCTTGGTCTCCCAAGGTGCTGGGATTACAGATGTGAACCACTGCACCCAGCCTGAACTTTGTCACACTTGAGCAGAGCTTGAAATGCAATTGTGCAGCTTGGCTGGGGTACTTTTGGTTAGTCCTCCTCTGTGAGAACAATGTGCCCCAGATAGTGGCTATTGTTCAGCATGGGTTCCAGAATAAGAAGATGTGTGCTGATCGGGCACGGTGTCTCACCCTGTAATGAGACACCTTCACTTAATGGCAGGCACCTTCATCCACACTACTGTCTCTGCCTGAGGCTCTGCCCTTTACTTGTCTGTCACTACTTGTCCTTCAAGATTTACCCAGGCTGGGCACAGTGGTTCATGCCTGTAATGCCAGCAGTTTGGGAGGCCGAGGCAGGTGGATCACCTGAGGTCAGGAGTTCGAGACCAGCCTGGCCAACATGGTGAAGCCCTGTCTCTACTAAAAAAATACAAAAACAAACAAACAAACAAACAAAAATTGGCCGGGCGCGGTAGCTCATACCTGTAATCCCAGCACTTTGGGAGGCCGAGGCCAGTGGATCACCTGAGTTCAAAAGTTCAAGACCAGCCTGACCAATATGGCAAAACCCCCTCTCTACTAAAAATACAAAAAAAAAAAAAAATTAGTCGGGCATGGTGGCACATGCCTGTAATCCCACCTACTCGGGAGGCTGAGGCAGGAGAATCGCTTGAACCCGGGAGGCAGAGATTGCTGTGAGCCGAGATTGTGCCACTGCACTCCAGCCTGCGTGATGGAGAGAGACTCGGTCTCAAAAATAAATAAATAAATAAAAATTAGCCAGGCATGGGTGGTGTATGCCTGTAATCCCAGCTACTTGGGAAGCTGAGGCAGGAGAATCACTTGAACCTGGGAGGTGGAGGTTGCAGTGAGCAGAGATCGTGCCACTGCACTCCAGCCTGGGTGACAGAGCCAGACTGTCTCAAAAAAAAATTTTTTTTAAAATAAGATTTACCTCCAGCCACATCTTGTATTAAGGAACCTTCTCCCCAAGTCAGATTAGATCTCCTCTCCCTGCTCTGTGCTCCTACAGCTCCTGGTGCCCACCTACCCCTCTCTTAGCATAAAGGTCACTAACGTCACCATTCCTGGCCCTGAAGTTCCATGAGGACACAGACAGGGTTGGGTTTGTCTCTATGTTCCCTAGACTTGGTGGTCTCTCATTGCAGCCTCGCCTCCTGGGCTCAAGAGATCCTCCACCTCAGTCTCTCAAGTAGCTGGGACGACAGGTGCACACTAGCACAACCGGCAAATTTTTGTATTTTTGGTAGAGATGGGGTTTTGTGGTGTTGCCCAGGGTGGTCTCAAACACCTGAGCTCAAGCAATCCACCCACCTTGGCCTCCCAAAGTGCTGGGATTACAGGGACGAGCCACCATGCCTGGCCTCAATGAAGTTTCTTAACCTCCTTCAACTTTTAATCTGTAAACTCTCATTACGGCAGTACCTACGTCCCTGGTTGCTGAGAAGACTGAGCGACGGAATCACACCAAGTCCTGGACAGGTGCTGCCCCCACAGGAAATTCTTTTTTTTTTTTTTTTTTTTTGAGACAGTCTCTCTCTGTTACCCAGGCTGGAGTGCCATGGTGCGATCTCAGTTCACTGCAACCTCTGCCTCCCGGGTTCAAGTGATTTTCGAACCTCAGCCTCCCGAGTAGCTGGGATTACAGGTGCCCGCCACCGTGCCCGGCTATTTTTTTTGGTATTTTTAGTAGAGACGGGGGTTTCACCATGTTGGCCAGGCTGGTCTCGAACTCCTGACCTCAAGACATCCGCGTGCCTCGGCCTCCCAAGGAAATTCTTACAAAATATTAGCTTTTATTATTATAATGATCCTCCATTTCCTTCATTCAGTCATCCAATCACCATGTCTGTAGATTCTAAGTTCTCAGTGTCTATTGAAACCGTCCTGTCCTTTCTGTCCCCCACCACCACCTCCTTAATCCAGCCTCCTGTCTCCTCTTGTCTGATGACTACAGAAGCTTCCTAACCCATCTTCTTCTTTTCTTTTCTTTTTTCTTTTTCTTTTTTTCTCTTTTCTTTTTTTTTTGAGACGGAATCTCGCTCTGTCATCCAGGCTGGGGTGTAGTGGCTTAGTCTCGGCTCACCACAACCTCTGCTTCTGGGGTTCAAGTGATTCTCCTGCCTCAGCCTCCCGAGTAGCCAAGATTACAGGCACACACCACCACGCCCAGCTAATTTTTTTTGTATTTTTAGTAGAGATGGGGTTTCACCATGTTGGCCAGGCTGGTCTCGAACTCCTGACCTCAGGTGATCTGCCCACCTTGGCCTCCCAAAGTGTTGGGATTACAGGCATGAGCCACCACACCTGGCGTAACCCATCTTCTTGACTCCACTCTTGCCCCTTTCAATCCTTTCTCCACATTTCTAGCATGGCTTTTTCTGAAAACCAATTTGACTCATGTCAGCTTCCGGTTGAGCTGAACTTCTTTCAGTTCCTCAAATTAACAGAGCTTTGCCCTCCTCCACAAATGCTGTTTTCTCTGCTGGGGCCTCCTGTCCCTTAAGCCACCTCCATGGACTGGCTCCTTCTTCTTTCTGCCCCCCATGTAAATTTCAGGCTGCCTGCCCACCTCCAAGACTGCTGGGTGTCCCTGCTGTGTGTCACCCTCCTCCGAAGTGCCTTGGTGTTGGTGTGCCCCGTCACAGTGCTCATCACACATCCCTGCAGTGCTGAGTTCAGGGAGTGTCTCCCAGCACCAGACTGGCAGCTCCCTAAGGCAAGGTTTCTGTTTTGTTCACCACTGTACCTCTAGAATTTAGTACAGGCCTGACATGTTAAAATCACTCGACTTACTTTTATTTTATTTTATTATTTTATTTTATTTTGAGACAGAGTCTCACACTGTCGCCCAGAGACAGGGTTTCCTCATGTTGGCCAGGCTGGTCTCGAACTCCTAATCTTAGGTGACCCACCCACCTCAGCCTCCCAAAGTGCTGGGATTACAGGCATGAGCCACTGCGCCTGGCCGTTTGACTTACTTTTCATAGGGAATACATGCATATCATAGAAAATCTGAAAGGTGCAAATTGATGTACAGTAAAAAAAAAAAAATTATATCTTTTCACCCTGATTCCCCAATCACCCACTGACTATAGCTCTATACCTTTTTAATTAATTAATTAATTAATTTTTCTGAGATGGCATTTCTCTCTTGTTGCCCAGGCTGGAGTGCAATGGAGCAATCTTGGCTCTCTGCAAGCTCCACCTCACGGGTTCAAGTGATTTTTCTGCCTCAGCCTCCGAAATAGCTGGGATTACAGGCGCCCGCCACCATGCCCAGCTAATTTTTTTGTATTTTTAGTAGAGACAGGGTTTCATCATGTTGGCCAGGCTGGTCTTGAACTCCTGACCTCAGGTGATCTGTCCACCTTGGCCTCCGAAAGTCCTGGGATTACAGGCGTGAGCCACCGCGCCCGGCCTTCTCCAAGATATTCTATGTGAAAACAAGCATATATGCATATACACTCTGGGGATTATCGTATATTTTACACATATTCTGCACCTGATTACTTCCTTACTTAATATTGTGTCTTGGAAAATATGCATTTTCAGTGTATATAAAATGGATTTTTAAAACTCAGTATACTGTACCTTTGTAAAGATGTATCATAAATTGTTTAATCAGTCTTCATCACTGGGCATTTAAGTTCTTTATTTAAGTTCAAATAAATAATAAATTACCACTCCGTCACACAGGCTGGAGTGCGGTGGTGCAATCACGGCTCACTGCAGCTTCAACCTACTGTGCTCAAGCAATCCTCCCTCCTCAGCCTCCTGAGAAGCTGGAACTACAGATGCGTGCTATCACGCCTAGCTAATTTTTTTTTTTTTTTTTTTTTTTTGGTAGAGACAAGGTTTCATCAGGTTGTCCAGGCTGGGTTTTTTTTAGCATTTTTTGTTTGTTTGTTTGTTTGCTTGTTTGTTTTTTGAGACAGGGTCTCATTCTGTCCCCCAGGCTGGAATGCAGTGTCATGATGAGGACTCACTACAGCCTCAATCTCCTGGGCTCAATTGATCTTTCTGCCTCAGCCTCTGAGTAGCTGGGACTACGGGCACACACCACCGTGTCTGGCTAATTTCTGTATTTTTTTTTTTGTAGAGATGAGGTTTCATCATGTTGCCTAGGCTGGTCTCCAACTCATGAGCCCAAGAGATCCAGCCACCTTGGCCTCTCAAAGTGCTGGGATTACAGGCCTGAGCCACCTCGCCTGGTCAAGTTCTTTTCAAAATTTTGCTATTATAAACAATGTTACCCTGAATATCCTTGAACGTGTCATTTCACACGTGAGTATATCCATAGGACAAATTCTGAAAAGTAAAGTGGTTGAGTGAAACTGTACACACACTTTTTCTTTTTTGTTTTGAGACAGTCTCGCTCTGTTGCCCAGGCTGGAGGGCAGTGGCGCAATCTTGGCTCACTGCAATCTCCGTCTCCCAGGTTCAAGTGGTTCTCATGCCTCAGCCTCACAAGTAGCAAGTGCCACTATGCCTGGCTTTTTTTTTTTTTTGGTTTCGCTCTTGTTGCCCAGGCTGGAATGCAATGGTGCGATCTTGGCTCACCGCAAACTCCGCCTCCCGGGTTCAAGCGATTCTCCTGCCTCAGCCTCCTTAGTAGCTGGGACTACAGGTGCCCACCAACATACCCGGCTAATGTTTGTATTTTTAGTAGAGATGGGGTTTCTCCATGTTGGTCAGGCTGGTCTCAAACTCCCGAACTCAGGTGATCCACCTGCCTCAGCCTCCCAAAGTGCTGGGATTACAGATGTGAGCCACCACACCCAGCCTAATTTTTGTATTTTTAATAGAGACAGGGTTTCACCATATTGGCCAAGCTGGTCTTGAACTCCTGGCCTCAAGTGATCCACCAGCCTCAGCCTCCCAAAGTGCTGAGATTATAGGCCCGGCCCACACACTTTTTTTTTTTTTGAGACAAAGTCTTGTTCTGTCGGCCAGGCTAGAGTGCAGTGGTGTGATCTCAACTCAGTGCAACTTCTGCCTCCTGGGTTCAAGCCATTCTTCTGCCTCAGCCTCCCGAGTAGCTGGGACTACAGGTGCACGCCACCATGCCTGGCTAATTTTTGCATTTTTAGTAGAGATGGGGTTTCACCATATTGGCCAGGCTGGTCTTGAACTCTTGACCTCGTGATCCGCCTGCCTTGGCCTCCCAAAGTGCTGGCATTATAGGCCCAGCCTCACACAATTTTAATAGTGCGTTAGATATGCCAGACTGCTTTCCACTGAAGTTCACCAATTTACACTGTGATCCATACATTCTTCACATGACTGTCAACATGGTATTATTAAATGCTTTGGTTTTTGGCCTATCTGATAGTGACAAAAAGAATATCATTGTGGTTTTGTCATATCTCTTTTTATAGTTGAAGTTGAACATCTTATCATATACTTAAGGTCCATTTGCAAACTTAAAGGGCAAATAATAAAGTGGAAATTACAAATCATATCAATGAGACAAAGACAAACAAGAAATTGAAAAAAAAACTTGAACTGGAATGTTACAAAAGAAGAAATCCAAATGGGCAATAAAGGAACTACCAACTGAAAATTAGAATCAGCCAGGCATGGTGGCTCACGCCTGTAATCCCAGCACTTTGGGAGGCTGAGGTGGGCGGATCATCTGAGGTTGGGAGTTCAAGACCAGCCTGGCCAAAATGGTGAAACCCTGTCTCTAGTAAAAATACAAAAATTAGCCGGTGTTGTGGCGTACGCCTGTAATCCCAGCTACTTGGGAGGCTGAGGCACCAGAATCACTTGAACCCGGGAGGCAGATGTTGCAGTGAGCCGATATCGCGCCATTGCACTCCAGTCTTGGCAACAGAGTGAGACACTGTCCCCAAAACAAAACTAAACTAAACTAAACTAAAATCACAATAAAGCACCATTGCATGCTCATCTGAGTGTTTAAAATTAAGAAGTCTGTGAAAACCAAATATTGCCAGTGAAGTGGAGCAGTGGGAACTCTCACACACTGAGAGTAGAGGGAACTCTCACACACTGGGGCAGGAGTATAAATTGGTGAACTGTACAGACAAGTGGTTTAGCATTATTTAGAAAAACTGAAGATATACACACCCTTTATCTCAGCAATTCCATCCCTAGTATACGTACTCCTTGACGAAGCCTTCCCTATGTGTTCCAGGAGTCTTATAAATTATCGTTTAGAGCAGAAGTGTTTCTAATAGAACAAAAATGGAAAACCTAGCTAGGCTTGGTGGCATGCACCTGTGGTCCCAGCTACTCAGGAAGCTGAGGTGGGAGGACCACTTGAGCCCAGGAGTTCGAGGCTGCAGTGAGCTATGATCTCACCACTGCATTCCAGCCTGAGCAACAAACACAGTGAGACCCTGTCTCTAAAAATAAGAAAGCGGGGGGGAGCCTCAAATGTTTGTTCATAGTAAAGTGGCAAACTAAATTGTGTTTCATTAATACAGTGGAAATCACACAGCAATGAAATGAACAAATCACAGCTTTACACATCAATGTGGCTGGATTGCCAAAAGGAAAGGGAATAATGGTGACGGGAGTCGGTGTAGTGATTATATCTTCAGGGAAGCAAAGGGTATATTGGAAGGCCACACAGTCGGGAGTTGATCTGCTAAGACTGGCTATATTTTATTTCATGGCCTGGGTAATGATTACACAAATGTTGGCTTTATCTTTAAATTGTACTTATTATATTTCATATATGCCCTGTGCGTATGATTGCCAGGGTTTGAATGTATATGTTCCTCCAAAAAATCATGTTGAAATCTAGTCACCAAGGTGATGATGTTAGGAGGTAGGGCTCTGGGAGGTGGTCAGGTTGATTAGGTCATGAGGGCAGAGCCTCTGCCTTTTTTTTTTTTTTAAGGTGTGCACTTTTATTTAACTTGGTCTCAAGTCAGTGTACAGGTAAGCCCTGGCTGCCTCCACCCACTCCCAGGGAGACCAAAAGCCTTCATACATCTCAAGTTAGGGGACAAAAAAGGCGGGGCGTGAAGGCTGATCATTCAAAATAAAACAAAATAAAAAAATATTAAGGCGAAGATTTAAAAAATTTTGCATTACATAATTTACATGAAAGCAATGCTATGATCTCCCCTGTGTGGACTAGGGAAAGGACCGGGCCATTCTCCTTAGAGAGAAGTGGGGTGGCTTTTAGGAGGGCAAGGGGCTTCCTGTAACAATGCATCTCACGATATTTGGAATGACTATTAAAAAAAGAGCAATGTACAGTCAAAGTCCTCGGCCACATTGTAGAACTTTGGGGGATGCTCGCTGCAACCAACTGCTGTCTCCTTCACTGTTCCAGTTTTTAAATCCTGAGTCAAGCCAAAAAAAAGCCCAAAACAAAACAAAACAACAACAAAAATAAAGCCATGCCAATCTTATCTTGTTTTCTATGCATTAGGTTTTGTCAAGAAAGTGTGTAATGCAACTAAGTCACAGTCCACCTAGAAGCATTCGTGGACGATGGAGGGGCCGGACTGGTCATACTTCTGCTTGCTGATCCACATCTGCTGGAAGGTAGACAGCGAGGCCAGGATGGAGCCGCTGATCCACACGGAGTACTTGCGCTCGGGAGGAGCAATGATCTTGATCTTCATCATGCTGGGTGCTAGGGCGGTGATCTTCTTCTGCATCCTGTTGGTGATGCCAGGGTACATGGTGGTGCCGCCAGACAGCACTGTGTTGGTGTACAGGTCTTTGCAGATGTCCACGTCACACTTCATGATGTAGTTGAAGGTAGTTTTGTGGATGCCACAGGATTCCATGCCCAGGAAGGAAGGCTGGAAGAGCGCCTCGGGGCAGTGGAACCGCTCGTTGCCGATGGTGATGACCTGGCCATCGAGCAGCTTGTAGCTCTTCTCCAGGGAGGAGCTGGAGGCCACCATGGCCATCTCCCGCTCGAAGTCCAGGGCGACGTAGCACAGCTTCTTGATGTCACGCACGATTTCCCGCTCGGCCGTGGTGTGAAGCTGTAGCCGTGCTCAGTGAGGATCTCCATGAGGTAGTCAGTCAGGTCCCGGCCAGCCAGGTCCAGAGGCAGGATGGCGTGGGGGAGAGCATACCCCTTGTACATGGGCGGTACGGACGGAGGCGTACAGGGACAGCATGGCCTGGATGGCCACATACATGGCTGGGGTGTTGAAGGTCTCAAACATGATCTGGGTCATCTTCTCACAGTTGGCTTTGGGGTTCAGGGGGGCCTCGGTCAGCAGCACAGGGTGCTCCTCGGGAGCCACATGCAGCTTGTGTAGAAGATGTGGTGCCGTATCTTCTCCATGTCGTCCCCGTTGGCGATGATGCCATGCTCGATGGGGTACTTCAGGGTCAGGATGCCTCTCTTGCTCTGGGCCTCGTTGCCCACATAGGAGTCCTTCTGACCCATGCCCACCATCATGACCTGGTGCCTGGTGCACCCCACGATGGAAGGGAAGATGGCCCAGGGGACATCGTCACCCGCGAAGCCGGCCTTGCACATGCCAGAGCTGTTGTCAACAACGAGCGCAGCAATATCATCATCCATGGTGAGCTGGCTGGGGGTGTGGACAGGCAGCCAAGCGGCGAGGGTGAGGCTCTGTGCTGCGGAGCAGACGCAGTCTCCTTTTTTTTTTTGAGGCAGAGTTTACTCTGTTGCCCACACTGGAGTGCAGGGCTCAACCTCCTGGGTTCAAGCGATCCTCAAGCTCCCTGGGACCACATATACACGCCACCATGCCCAGCCAGGTATGGTGGTTCACGCCTGTAATCCCAGCACTTTTGGAGGCTGAGGCAGGTGGATCGCTTTCAGCTCAGGAGTTCAAGACAAGCCTGGCCAACATGGCAAAACCCAGCACTTTGGGAGGCCGAGGCAGGCAGATTGCTTTGAGCTCAGGAGTTAAGACAAGCCTGGCCGACATGGCAAAACCTCGTTTCTACAGAAAACACAAAAATTAGCTAAGTGTTTGTGGCTCGAGCCTGTAGACACAGCTACATGGGAGGCTGAGGTTAAAGAATTGCTTGAACCTGGGAGGCGGAGGTTGCAGTGAGCTATAATCATGCCACTGCACTCAAGCCTGGGTGACAGAGTAAGACCCTGTCTCAAAAAAAAAAAAAAAAAAAAAAGAGGTGGGGTGGGTGGGGAGTTCAACTTTGTTGCCCAGGCTGGTCTCAAACTCCCAGGCTCAGGCATCCCAAAGTGCTGGGATTACAGGTGTAAGCCACTGCGCTGGGGCCTTATCTCACAATTTCTGTGGATCAGGAGTCCAGGCATAACTTAGCCAGGTCCTCTGCCCAGGGTCTTCCAGGGCTGCAATCAAGGTATGGCCTGGGCTACATTGTCATCTGGAGGCTCCAATGGGGAAGAATCTGCTTCCAAGCTCATGCAGATTGTTGGCAGAATTCATTTCCCTGTGGCTGTGTGGCTGAGGGCCCTGGCTTTTTATTGTTGGCAGGAGGCCTCTGGCAGATTCTAGAGGCCACCCAGAGTTCCTTGCCATGTAGGCTTCCTCAACATGTGGGTTATTTCATCAAGCCAGCAAGGAGAATCTACTGATTCAATCTGCTAACATAGAGTCTTATATAACATGATATAATCTGGAAGTGACAGCCCACCACCTTTGCCATATTCCTTAGAAGTGGGTCATAGGTTCTGCCCACATGCAAAGTGAGGGGATCACACAAGGATGTGGACACTAGGAGGTGGGAATTATTAGGATTCTCCTTAGGGTTAATCAGCTACAACTGCTTATTGTTTTGGAAGGTGTTGCCTATTTTTTTCCCTTTTTTTTTCTTATCAATTTACAAGACCTCTATAGATTAAATAAACACACCCTTTGTTTGCCACATAAGGTGCCGCTTCAATACTTTTTTTGTTTTTGTTTTTGAGACAAAGTCTCACTCTGTTGTCCAGTCTGGAGTGCAGTGGTGCAATCATGGCTCATTGCAGCCTCGACCTCCTGGGCTCAAGCGATCCTCCCACCTCAGCCTCCTGAGTAGCTGGGACTACAAGCACCACCACACTTGGATAATTATTTTTATTTTTAGTGGAGATAGGGTCTCACTATGTTGCCCAGGCTGGTCTCAAACTCCTGGGCTCACGCAATCCTCCTGCCTCAGCCTCCCAAAGTGCTGGCTTTACAAGTGTGAGCCACCGTGCCTGGCCTCAATACATTTTTGATAAATAAATAAATCACTTAATGAATATCTCTACTGGTTTTTCTACACATTTGGCAGCAGCAACAATGATTTCATCAGCCTTATCAAGAGTCTATTTCTCTTACCAAGAAAGCTGAGCTAGGTCAAAGCACAGAATTTTACTGAGGTTCAAGAATTTAAACTGAGGTACTGATTTGGATTTGATTTAAAATTGCATTTACTTTGATTTATGCAAAATGAATCAAAATAGTACAAAAGATCAACCTTCAGTGAGGCTGCAAGGAGGAAGACAAGGCAGGCATTCCTCTTGTGTCTCATGGAGATGCACCTGAAGCCCTGTGGTCTTGGCATCCCATATGGAATATGATGTTTGTCAGGTTGGAGGAGCATGGAACGGTGAAGGCTTGCTGTCTTTTTTCTTTTTTTTTTCTTTTTATGAGACAGAGGTCTCACTATGTCATCTAGGCTATCGTGCAGTGGCACAATCACAGCTCATTGCAGCCTTGAAATCTTGGGCTCTAGTGATCCTCTCTCCTTAGTCTCCCGAGTAGCTGGGACTACAGGTATGCATGTGCCACCAAGCCTGGCTAATTTTCTAATTTTCTGCAGAGATGAGGTCCTGCTGTGTTGCCCAGACTGGTCTCAAACCGCTGGCTTAAATGATCCTCCCACCTTGGCCTCCCAAAGTGCTGGGACTACAGGCATGAGCCACCATGCTTGGCCAAGGCTTGCTGTCTTGTATGCCTCTAGCAACCTTGATACCCCCAAAGTCTTACATCACTAGGCAGTGCCATACATTCCCCTCTCTTGTAAGCCACGTCACCAGTGCCCATTGTCCAGGTGCTGGGCTTTACGGATTTGCTGTGCCAGCCCTGGCCATGTCCCCCTTACTTGTGCCTGGACTGCAGAGCCAAGCAGTTGTCCAATTATTTCACACAGGCTTCTTCCTTTTGCCCAGGAAAACCACTTGGAATCATTCAAGACTCAACTCCTGGTGGGGTGTGGTGGCTCATGCCTGTAATCCCAGCACTTTGGGAGGCCAAGCGGGTGGATCACGAGGTCAGGAGATCAAGACCATCCTGGTTCACATGGTGAAACCCCCGTCTCTACTAAAAATACAAAAAATTAGCCAGGCATGGTGGCAGGCACCTATAATCCCAGCTACTCAGGAGGGTGAGGCAGGAGAATCGCTTGAACCTGGGAGGCGGAGGTTGCAGTGAGCCGAGATCAAGCCACTGCACTCCAGCCTGGGCAACAAAGCAAGACTCTGTCTCAAAAATAAATAAATAAATAAATAAATAAAATAATTCAGCTCCTAGGCTGTCTCCTAGAGGAACATCAACATTTCCAGGGCATGGTAGTTACACCATCACCTTTGTGTGAACCTCTGTGTTAACTTCCACTACAAAATTCTGTCATTGGGCCAGGTGCGGTGGCTCACGCCTGTAATCCCAGCACTTTGGGAGGCTGAGGCGGGCGGATCACGAGGTTAGGAGATCGAGACCAGCCTGGCCAACATGGTGAAACCCCGTCTCTACTAAAAACACAAAAATTATCTGGGTGTGGTGGCGCATGCCTGTAATCCCAGCTACTCGGGAGGCTGAGGCAGGAGAATCGTTTGAACCCAGGAGGCAGTGGTTGCAGGGAGCCGAGATCATGCCACTGCACTCCAGCCTGGTGACAGAGGAATACTCTGTCTGAAAAAAAAAATACTGTCATTGATCTATTGTTTTATTGTGTTTACATTTCTGTTTCACTAGATAGTAAGACCCTCAAGGACATGGACTGAGTCTGATTTTCCTGTGGTCTTGTTTGTCCAGCTGTCCATGCATGATCTCCATATGGGCATCCCACAGGCACATCACCATGCCCACTGCTGAACTCATCTGAAGCACTCTCTGAATGTCCATACATCACCCAAGCCTCTATCATTGCGTCTCCCACATGAGCTTGCTGTTTCCTATTTATGAGTCTGACTCTCCTACTAGGTAGTGAACAACTGAAGACAGAAACCAGGTGAGTTTCATTTGTTCTTCTATCCCTGCTGCCCAACACAGTGCCTGCCACATAGAGGTTAATTCATGTTCATTGAACTGAACCAGATATTTGTATCTTCAGGGCCAGTTACCTAAGAAATGCTCAAGACCTGTTTGTTACATTACATTCTAGAAAAGATGCTTCTCCCAAAGCCTTCTGCCCACCCTCCTTCTCTGGCAGGCTTGGATTAACACTGAGAGCCAATAGTTTGTCACATAGCAACAATAGTAAAGAATGAGCTACTGCCGAATAGAGCAGATGCTTGCCTGCTCCAGAGAGCAGAGCAGAGCTATTTTGAGATCCTTTAGGTAGAGTCACAGTCTGATAGGTCCACCCATTGTGGCTACAGTTACCACACATGGCATCAGCTTAGGGGGTACAAGGCATCAAAAAAATCTTATTTGCATATCAGTTTCTTTTGCCATCCTTTGGAGAATCCTTTTAGAATATAAAGGACTAGGCCGGGTACGGTGGCTCATGCCTGTAATCCGCGCACTTTGGGAGGCAGAGGCAGGCAGATCAACTGAGGTCGGGAGTTTGAGACCAGCCTGACCAACATGGAGAAACCCTGTCTCTACTAAAAATACAAAAAAATTAGCTAGGTATCGTGGCACATGCCTGTAATCCCAGCTACTTGGGAGGCTGAGGCAGGAAAATTGCTTGAGCCTGGGAGGCGGAGGTTGCGGTGAGCCGAGATCATGCCATTGCACTCCAGACTGGGCAACAAGAGTGAAACCATGTCTCAAAAAAAAAAAAAAAAAAAAAAGGAAAAAAAAAAGAATATAAAGGACCAAATTTTAGGTATTTTTTTATAATTTTCTAATTATGAAGTCAATTGGGCTTTTGTTTATAATACTGTTAACATTTTAATATTCCACTGAATTACTGTACAGATGTGCTAATTGATAGATAAGATGACCACATATTCTAGGGCCGGGCGTGGTGGCTCACACCTGTAATCCCAGCACTTTGGGAGCCCAAGGCGGGTGGATAACCTGAGGTCAGGAGCTCAAGATCAGCCTGGCCAACGTGGTGAAACCCTGTCTCTACTAAAAATACAAAAATTAGCTGGGCATGGTGGTGCATGCCTGTAGTCCTAGCTGCTCAGGAGGCTGAGGCAGAAGAATCGCTTAAACCCGGGAGGCAGAGGTAGCAGTGAACTGAGATCGCACCACTGCACTCCAGCCTGGGTGACAGAGTGAGACTCTGTCTCAAAAAAAAAAAAATGACCACATATTCCAAAATAGGACCCAGGTGTCCTATATTCCAAAAGGCAGGACCCAGGTGTCAGCCCAAACTTCCCAGCATCATACCCATGGCCCTCTGTTGTCTGGCTGGGCCCACCTTTTCAGTGTCCTCTCCTGCCTGGGCACATGATGCTTTACCCATGGTGAGCAGCATTCAGGCACCAATGTGACAGGTGCTTATGCTCATGCATTATCCATCTATGTTTGCCTTGAGGGAGCCCCACCACTCTGGCCAGTAACTATTTATTTCTACAAGCTTCTCTCCAAGTAGATGGTGTGTCACCAGGACAGGAACAGTGTGTACTCCATCTTTGAATTCCTAGTACCCAGCACAGTGCTGGGCGCAGAGAAGAGGCTTCATAAGGGTTGGGTTGGGGTATAAAGAGTGCAAGTTCTGGCCAGGCATAGGGGCCCATGCCTGTAATTCCAGCACTTTGGGAGGCTGAGGCAGAAGGATGGCTTGAGGCCAGAAGTTCGAGACCAGCCTGGGTAACACAGCGAGACCCCGTCACTACAAAAAATACAAAAATTTTGCTGGGTGCAGTGGCTCACGCCTGTAATCCCAGCACTTTGGGAGGCTGAGGTGGGCAGATCGCTTGAACCCAGGAGCTCAAGACCAGCCTGGGCAACATGGAGGTCTAAAGCAAGTGAAATGTCCTTCATTAATGAGTACAAAGACTTACTCTCCCTCTGGTTTAAAGTCTCTGCTAAAAACAGAAAAATAAGCTGGGCATGGTGGTGCAGACCTGTAATCCTAGCTACTCGGGAGGCTGAGGTGGGAAGATCAGCTGAGCCGGGGACTTGGAGGTTGCAATGAACCAGCATCGTGCCACTGCACTCCAGCCTGAGCCACAGAATGAAACACTGTCTCAAAAAAAAAAAAATTAGCTGGGTATGGCACTGCACATCTGCAGTGAGGCTGAGTGGGAAGGATCACTTGAGCCCAGGAATTGGAGGCTGCAGTGAGGCAGGATCGCACCACTGCACTCTAGTCTGGGCAACAGAGTGAGATCCTGTCTCTATAAAAACAATTTCTTTTTTTAAAGAGTGCAAGATCCTTGGTTACCTCTGGTTCCGCTGGTGCATTTCATTCCTGATGGTGGCACAATCATGCCTAATGATATGGAAAGTCACAAGTTCTGTGGCTGTTTTTGTGGGTTTGCCACTCTGTTTTTAAATTCTATGGAAAAGATATTGTGTGCATGTGAGTGTGTGTTTGTGAGCATGTTTATGTATAGAACTTCCCTCTTTCTTTATTCATTCAATAAACACTCATTGGCTATGTATTCTAACCCAGTTCCTGTCCTAGGTGCTAAGGTCTTGAGGAAGCATAAGACCTGCCTCCTGCCCAAAGAAAGTAGTAAGGGTTCTGTAGAAAGAGTCCTGGATATCATGCTGGAAGACCTCCATTCCAACCTTCCTTTTGCTTCAGTTTGGGGCCTCATGAAGGACATTTCATTTCCTTTAGAGCTCGTTTCCCAGAGTAAACACTTACTCTATTTCTGGTGTAATTATAAAGAATCCAGTCAAGCTATCTGAGATTCCAGAAGACAGAGAGGTTGACTGGCACCCTGATGGACAAGTAAGCTAGATCAAGTCCTTTTCAGGGCCAGAAAGCCCTTGTGGCTGTAGTAGCATAGATGAGGTTGGGGCAGGTGGGGATCCACTAACCCTGACCAGATTCACAAATCGATGGTATGTATTCATCTGAACGATAAGTTTGGGTTGAGTCCCTCTTCATCAGGTCTTAAATTAGGAGCTGGGAAAGAGAGATGGACGACATGGTCGCCTTCCCTGCTGTGCAGGAAAGGCTGACAAGGACCCAGGCAACTATAATATGGTGTGTAATGTAGGTGATTCAAAAGTACAGGATAGGCTGGGAATGGTGGCTCACACCTATAATCCCAGCACTTTGGGAGGCTGAGGCAGGAGGATCGCTTGAGGCCAGGAGTTCGAGACCAGCCTGGACAACATACTGAGAGCTGTCTCTATTAAAATAATAATAATAGCCAGGCACGGTGGCTCATGCCTGTAATCCCAGCACTTTGGGAGGCTGAGGCAGGTGGATCATGAGGTCAGGAGATCTAGACCATCCTGGCTAACATGGTGAAACCCTGTCTCTAATAAAAATACAAAAAAAATAGCCAGGCATGGTGGCAGGCGCCTGTTGTCTCAGCTACTGGGGAGGCTGAGGCAGGAGAATGGTGTGAACCCGGGAGGCGGAGCTTGCAGTGAGCCAAGATCGTGCCACTGCATTCCAGCCTGGGCGACAGAGGGAGACTCCATCTCAATAAATAAATAAATAAATAAATGAACAAATAAAAAATAATAATAACAAAAGAAGGCCAGGCACAGTGGTCATGCCTGTAATCCAAGCACTCTGGGAGGCTGAGGCAGGAGGATCTCCTGAGGTCAGGAGTTGGAGACCAGACTGGCCAACATGGTGAAACCCCATCTCTACTAAAAATACAAAAATTAGCTGGGCATGGTGGTGGGCCCCTGTAATCCCAGCTACTCGGGAGGCTGAGGCAGGAGAATTGCTTGAACCCGGTAAGCAGAGGTTGTAGTGAGCTGAGATCGTGCCACTGCACTCCAGCCTGGGTGACAGAGTGAGACTCTGTCTCAAAAAATAAAAATAAAAAAGGCTGGGCACGGTGGCTCTAGCCTGTAATCCCAGCACTTTGGGAGGCCGAGGGGGATGGATCATGAGGTCAGGAGATCAAGAGCATCATGGCTAATATGGTGAAACCCCATCTCTACTGAAAATACAAAAAAATTAGCTGGGCATGGTGGCATGCACCTGTAGTCCCAGCTACTTGGGAGGCTGAGGCAGGAGAATCACTTGAACCAGGGAGTCAGAGGTTGTAGTGAGCTGAGATTGCGCCACTGTACTCCAGCCTGGGCAACAGAGTGAGACTCCGTCTCAAAAAATAAAGAAATTAATTAATTTAAAAAATTAAAAAATAATTAAATAATTAAAAATAAATAAATAATAAAATAAGTACAGGGTATTTGCCAGAGAGGGCACAAGAGGAGTGTGTAACTAGGGCTCAGAGGGATCGGGGTGGGGGGGTGCTTTATAGAAAAAGGAATATGTTAGTCGAGACCTGCAGGGTGATCAGGAATTTGTGGGTAAAGAAAGGATTGCAGTGGTGTTTCAGACAGGAGTATATGTGTGTGAATGTCCCAACAACAGAGAGAGCATGGCACCAGAAGAATAGAAATAATTCCACTTGGCTGCCGGGAGGGAAGTTCAGAGAAATAAGGTAGGTAAGCATGTACCATTCCCTGCAATTGAAACTTTATCCTAACAGCAAAGAGGAACCATTGAAGGTGTTTTTGTTTTTGTTTTTTGAGACGGAGTATCGCTCTGTTACCCAGGCTGGAGTTCAGTGGTATGATCTCAGCTCACTGCAACCTCTGTCTCCCAGGTTCAAGCAATTCTCCTGTCTCAGCCTCCTGAGTAGCTAGGACTACAGGTGCACGGCACCATGCTGACTAACTTTTTTTTTTTTTTTGTATTGTAGTAGAGACGGGGTTTCACTGTGTTGCCCAGGCTGGTCTCGAACTCCTGAGCTCAAGCAATCCACCCACCTCGGCCTCCCAAAGTGCTAGGATTACAGGCATGATCCACTGCACCCGGCCTGAATGTTATTTTAGAAAAAATACTTTCTAGTTTTGACTTCAAACATCATAAAAATTTGTAACGTACAATGAACACTCCCCATAACACTTCTCTCACCCCAGTACTGCTAACAGTTTGGTGCATATTCCATCAGCTTCTAACCCTTTATTTATTTATTTATTTATTTTTATTTTATTTTATTTTTTTGAGACAGAGTCTTGCTTTGTTGCCCAGGCTGGAGTGCAGTGGCGCGATCTCGGCTCACTGCACGCTCCGCCTCCCGGGTTCACGCCATTCTCCTGCCTCAGCCTCCCAAGTAGCTGGTACTATAGGCACATGCCACCATGCCCAGATAATTTTTTGTATTTTTAGTAGAGATGGGGTTTCACCTGTGTTAGCCAGGATGGTCTCGATCTCCTGACCTCGTGATCCTCCTGCCTCAGCCTCCCAAAGTGCTGGGATTACAGATGTGAGCCACCGTGCCTGGCCCTAACCCTTTATTTATTTATTTATTTATTTATTTATTTATTTATTTAATTTTTTTTTGATTTTTATTATTATTTTTTGAGACAGAGTCTCGCCGTGTTGCCCAGGTTGGAGTGCAGTGGCACAATCTCAGGTCACCACAACCTCTGCCTCTCGGGTCCAAGTGATTCTCCTTCATCAGCCTCCCGAGTAGCTGGGACTACAGGCACGCACCACCATGCAGGGCTAATTTTTGTATTTTAGTGGAGACGGGGTTTCACTATGTTGGCCAGGCTGGTCTCAAACTCCTGACCTCATGATCCTCCGGCCTCAGCCTCCCAAAGTGCTGGGATTACAGGCATTAGCCACCATGCCCGGTCTAACCCATTATTATTAATAATTATATTTGTAAAAATAGAGACATTCTATACCTACTATTTACCAATATGCTTTTTGTCCTTAGTAATACATAGACATCTTTCTATGGTAGTATATATCTGCCTACTCATTTTCAATTGACTGCATAATATCCCATCATTGTAAGACTGTTCCATAGTTTTTGTTGTTGTTGTCTAGCTGTGATAAAATCTATGGTACGTAGGCCATGCGCGGTGGCTCACGCCTGTAATCCCCGCACTTTGGCAGGCTGAGGCGGGTGGATCACCTGAGGTCAGGAGTTCAAGACCAGCCTGGCAAACATGGTGAAATCCCATCTCTATAAAAAATACAAAAATTAGCTGGGCATGGTGGTGCACACTTGCAGTGCCAGGTACTTGGGAGGCTGAGGCACAAGAATCACTTGAACCCAGGAGGTGGATGTTGCAGTGAGCGGAGACTGCACCACTGCACTCCAGCTGGGCAACAGAGTGAGACTCTGTGTCAAAAAGAATATATACATATATTATTCCCACAGTGCTGGGATTACAGGAGTGATCTATTTTTCTTTTCTTTTTTTTTGAAACAGGGTCTCACTCTGTCGCCCAGGCTGGAGTGCAGTGGTATGATCTCTCAGCTCATTGCAACCTCCACCTCCTGGGTTCAAGCAATTCTTGTACCTTGGCCTCCAGAGTAGCTGGGATTACAGGCATGTGCCACCATGGCCAGCTAACTTTTTTGTATTTTTAGTAATATATATATATATATATATATATATATATATATATATATATAATCCCTGTAATCCCAGCCCTTTGGGATTTTTATATATTTTATATATATGTTTTATATATATATACATAACATGTATAGAGAGAAAGAAAGAACATAAAATTTATCATTTTTACCATTTAAAAAAACTTTAGTAAGTTCTCATGAAATACACATATATAAAATTTATGGTCTTAACCTTTTTTTCGTTTTTTTTTTTTTTTTTTTTTTGAGACAGAGCCTCTCTCTGTCACCCAGGCTGGAATATAGTGGAGGCATGATCACGGCTCACTGCAGCCTTGACCTCCCAGGCTCAGGTGATCCTCTCATCTCAGCCTCCTGAGTAGCTGGGACCACAGGTGTACACCATCATGCCTGACTAACTTTTTTTTTTAAATGTTTGTAGAGACAGGGTGGGGGGCGTCTCACCCCGTTGCTCAGGCTGGTCTCGAACTCCTAGACTCAAGGGATCCTCCAGCATTGGCCTCCTAAAGTGTTGGGATTACAGGCATGAGCCACCATACCTGCTTCCTCTTAACCATTTTTTAGTGCACAGTTCAGTGGCATTAAGTACACGAAACTGTTGTACAGCCAACACCAGCATGCATCTGCAAAACTTTCTCATCTGCTCAAAGGGAAACTTTGTACTTATTAAATAGATCTTCCCATTCCCTTCTGTCCCCAGCCCCTGGCAACCACTGTTCTACTTTCTGTCTCTATGAATTTGGCTACTGTAGACACCTCATATAAGGAGAATCATATCCATTGTTTGTTTGTTTTTTAACCATTCGCCTACATACAGGCTGTTAGTTTGTTTCCCTTTGTTGGGGAAGGTGAAGAGGAGGGACTATTACACTGCTGCAGGGAACATTCTCACATCTTTGTACACTTGTAGAATGTGTCCTAGATTCTGGGATTTTCAAAGGCTATAAACATTCAGTATGAACCTAAAAGTTTGTACCACGCTCTATTTCCACTAACAGTGTATGAAAGCCCAAATTCTCCACTTCCTTGCCAATATTGGCTATTAAAATATTTTTCTTTTTCTATTTTTCTTTTTTTTTTTTTTGAGACAGAGTCTCACTGTGTTGCCTACGCTGGAGTGCAGTGGCACAATTGTGGCTCACTGCAACCTCCACCTCCTGGGTTCAAGCAATTCTCTGCCTCAGCCTCCCTCCCGAGTACCTAGGATTACAGGCGCCCACCACCACACCCGGCTAATTTTTGTATTTTTATTTTTTGAGACGGAGTCTTGCTCTGTGGCCCAGGCTGGAGTGCAGTGGCGCCGTCTCAGCTCACTGCAAGCTCCGCCTCCCGGGTTCACGCCATTCTCCTGCCTCAGCCTCCAGAGTAGCTGGGACTACAGGCGCCTGCCACCAGGCCCGGCTAATTTTTTTGTGTTTTTATCAGGGACGGGGTTTCACCGTGTTAGCCAGGATGGTCTCGATCTCCTGACCTCGTGATCCGCCCACCGCGGCCTCCCAAAGTGCTGGGATTACAGGTGTGAGCCACCGCTCCGGGCCTAATTTTTGTATTTTTAATAGAGACAGGGTTTCACCATCTTGGCCAGGCTTGTCTTGAACTCCTGACCTCAGGTGATCCACCTGCCTTGGCTTCCCACAGTGCTGGGATTACAGGCGTGATCTATTTTTCTTTTCTTTTTTTTGAAACAGGGTCTTACTCTGTCGCCCAGGTTGGAGTGCAGTGGTATGATCTCTCAGCTCACTACAACCTCCACCTCCTGGGTTCAAGCAATTCTTGTACCTTGGCCTCCGGAGTAGCTGGGATTACAGGTGTGTGCCACCATGTCCAGCTAACTTTTTTGTATTTTTAGTAGAGACGGAGTTTTGCTATGTGGGCCAGGCTGGTCTCAAACTCCTGACCTCTAGTGATCTGCCCGCCTCAGCTTCCAAAATGCTGGCATTACATGCGTGAGCCACCATACCCAGCTTCAATTCTGCTGTTCTGAAGCCATCTTAAGAGTCACCTTGATTGTCTTTGTGTGATCCATATTTTCTTGCCATCAGCCACTTCCAACATGGCCAATTTCAGGTTCAGGGTCCTGGGGAAAGGCCAGAGGAGCACATCTCAAGAAGATGCCCCAAGCATCAGAGTTCTGCATGTACAGCAGAGCCGGGGGCCATGGCCTCTGATTTCTTTTGGTTGAATTTTCTCATGGGATGTTCCTCAGATCTCCTTCAATCCACTTCTTATATCTAGTCCTACAGTATTTTTGGCCAGGTGGGCAAGGTATGTTTGAATGCTGCTTTGATTCAAGCTGGATCCTGTGTAAAACTAAGCAAATCTTTTTCCTAAAGTTTACAGAAACTCTTTAAAAAGAAAAAAAAAAAAGCTGGGTGCGGTGGCTCACGCCTATAATCCCAGCACTTTGAGAGTCCAAGGCAGGCGGATCACGAGGTCAGGAGTTCGAGACCAGCCCAGTCAACATGGTGAAACCCCATCTCTACTAAAGATACAAAAAATTAGCCAGCGTGGTGGCGCAAGCCTGTAATCCAAGCTATTCGGGAGGCTGAGACAGCAGAATTGCTTAAACCTGGTAGGCGGAGGTTGCAGTGACCCGAGATCGCACCACTGCACTCCAGCCTGGGTGACAGGGCGAGACTCTGTCTCAAAAAAAAAAAGAAAAGAAAAGAAAAGAAAAGAAAAAGAGGCCAGGCTCGGTGGCTCATGTCTGTAATCCCTGCTACTAGGGATACTAGGGAGGCTGAGTCAGGAGAATTGCTTGAACCTGGGAAGCAGAGGCTGCAGTGAGCCAAGATCATGCCACTGCACTCCAGCCTGGGCAACAGAGTGAGACTCTGTCTCATAAGAAAAAAAAGAAACTCTTAAAAAAAAAAAAACCAGCTGGGGCCAGGTACAGTGGCTCATTCCTGTAACAGCACTTTGGGAGGCCAAGGTGTGTGGATCAACTGAGGTGAGGAGTTTGAGACCAGCCTGGCATGGTGAAACCCCGTCTCTACTAAAAATACACAAAATTAGCTGGGTCCGTGGTGGTGCATGCCTGTAATCCCAGCTACCAGGGAGGCTGAGGCGGAAGAATCACTTAAACCTGGGAGGCAGAGGTTGCAGTGAGCGGAGATCATGCCACTGCACTACAGCTTGGGTGACAGAGCAAGGCTCTGTCTCAAAAAAACAAGAAAACAAACAAACAAAAACAGGCCGGGTGCAGTGGCTCACGCCTGTCATCCCAGCACTTTGGGAGGCCAAGGCGGGCAGATCACGAGGTCAACAGATCTAAACCATCCTGACCAAAATGGTGAAACCCCATCTCTACTAAAAATACAAAAATTAGCTGGATGTGGTGGCGCACACCTGTAGTCCCAGCTACTCGGGAGGCTGAGGCAGGAGAATCACTTGAACCCAGGAGGCAGAGGTTGCAGTGAGCTGAGATGGCGCCATTGCACTCCAACCTGGCAACAGAGCCAGACTCCGTCTCAAAAAAAAAAACAAAAAAAAAAAACTGGGCAAGCAATCTCCCACCAGGAAATGACAGAGCAAGTTTCCAGGTGTCCTCCACATTTCTCATTTCTTTGCTTTGTTTTTTAAAATATTTATTTATTTATTTTAAGAGACAGGATCTCTCACTCTATTGCCCAGGCTGTAGTGCAGTGGCATGATTACACCTCACTGCAGCCTCGACTTCCCAGGCTGAAGTGATTCTCCCATTTCAGTATCTGGAGTAGCTGGACTACAGGTGCTGTGTACACCACCGCGCCTAAGTAATTTTTTTTTTTTAACTTTTGTAGAGATGGGGAATAGGGGGGTCTCTTTATGTTTGCTGGGCTCAAGCGATCCTCCCACCCTCGTCTCCTGAAACGTTGGGATTACAGGCATGAGACACTGTGCCCGACCAACATTCTTTCCTTTGTACTCCTTAGTCTGAATATGGGTATAAACTATTAAAAATAACAAAATTATCCCTGAAGGCCAATCTTGATCTCACTCCTACACATTGAATTCATCCTGTAACAACTTTAAGATAAAGAAGTTCTGTCCTTTTCAATTTGCCTGCTTTTTTTTTTTTTTTGAGACGGAGTCTCGCTCTTTCGCCCAGGCCAGAGTGCAGTGGCGCGATCTCGGCTCACTGCAAGCTCCACCTCCCGGGTTCACGCCATTCTCCTGCCTCAGCCTCCCGAGTAGCTGGGACTACAGGTGCCCGCCACCGTGCCCGGCTAATTTTTTGTATTTTTAGTAGAGACGGGGTTTCACCGTGTTAACCAGGATGGTCTCGATCTCCTGACCTCGTGATCCGCCCGCCTTGGCCTCCCAAAGTGCTGGGATTACAGGCGTGAGCCACCGCACCTGGCCTTTTTTTTTTTTTTTGAGACAGAGTCTCGCTCTGTCGCACAGGCTGGAGTGCAGTGGGCGATCTCTGCTCACTGCAGGCTCTGCCTCCCAGGTTCACGCCATTCTCCTGCCTCAGCCTCCCGAGTAGCTAGGACTACAGGTGCCCGCCACCACGCCCAGCTAATTTTTTTGTGTGTGTTTTTAGTAGAGACGGGGTTTCACCGTGTTGGCCAGGATGGTCTCAATCTCCTGACCTCCTGATCCGCCCTCCTCGGCCTCCCAAAGTGCTGGGATTACAAGCGTGAGCCACCACGCCCGGTTCAATTTGCCTGCTTTTCTACTGCAGTTTGGGTGATCTAGGCCTGATCATTAGAGGACAGATTCCATCCCTGTCAGCAACTTCAATTGCTCCATTAGGATCTTCACTCTTATGTTCTTATTTATTCATCCCAACATTAATTTAAAAAACAAACAGAAACAATATAAAAAAAAAAACAAAGAAAATCCAACAATTTGCAAATACCAGCTACGGAGCATGAGATATGAAATAAAAGAAAAAAAATTTTTTTTTCTTTGGGACAGAGTTTTGCTCTTGTCGCCCAGGCTGGAGTGCAATGGCACAATCTCAGCTCACTGCAACCTCCGCTTCCCGGGTTTAAGAGATTCTCCTACCTCAGCCTCCCAAGTAGCTAGGATTACAGGCGTGCACCACCACACCCGGACAAGTTTTGTATTTTTAGTAGAAACGGGGTTTCACCATGTTGGCCAGGCTTGTCTCGAACTCCTGACCTCAGGTGATCCACTGGCCTCGGCCTCACAAAGTGCTGGGATTACAGGCGTGAGCCACCGTGCCTGGCCGAGAAAAAGCTTTTAACCGTATCAGTAGATACTGGTTTCGGGGTTTCTTTCGGGGTCACTTACACCCCTGCCACCTCCTCCAGTACCAATTTACCCATGGCCAAACACAGGGTGATGTGTAGGAACCTGAAAGCACGTCTCCGACCTCAGCTGCAAAACTGTGGAGTCCCACACACTAGACTTTATATTCCAGCATTTCCTCTCACCATTACATTTTTGCTTTTTTCCATCCTTACATTACCTTTACCACATTTTTGTTTTTCCCATAATTACATTAGATAAGGCAATGGCTAGACGTGGTCTTTTACTAACTTGTTCTATTGGGAGCGGACGAGAAAAAAAAAAAAGACAAACCCTAGAAATGTCTTCAGGTCCCAGCCATGTTTAGGAAAATACTTGAAGGCTTCTGCGGTGAGAGTGCTACCTGGTAAGGGCGTATGGACACACGTGGAGGGCAAGAAATGAATTTGGGTCTGGTGCCGAAACATCTTTCCACTGCTGTGATTTTGTTTTCTGGTCAGAGTAATAATGCTCGTTGTAAAATAAATAAATAAATAATACATAAAAAGGAAAAGGAAAATTCAGAGAAAATGAAAACAACTCGTAATCAACGTGCTTTTTGGATGTGAACTGCTCCCTTTGGGAGGGCAATGGAGAAGTGAGGACGCACTGGGTATCTGGCCCGGAACAGCCGGCAGTGGGTACACCCTGCCTGGTGAATTCGACCGGGGTTTTGGGGGACCCGCCACCCAAGGGCCGAAGAGCAGGGCCGCCCTACGGGCGCTCCCATTTGGCCACCTGAGTGGCGACTTGGCGCCTTCCTCGGAGCAGCTCCGGGGTTCCGTCGTCCCGGTTCCCACTGGTCCCTTACGCAGAGACCAAAGGCAGGAACCTTCCCTCGTAACTATCCACCGACTGAAAATAGATTCTGAGTCCGCCCCCGCCCCTCCCCCCTTAAAATCCTCCCCACTCTTAAAATCCTCCCCTTTAAAGGGAGCCACAGGGTGACGCCGGGGGAGTTTGCGGAAGCGCTAACCGCGTTGGGGCCTAGGGCGGATCCCGTGATTGGGACAGGCCCCGCCCCCGGCTCCACTTCCCCCATTGTGTGAGCGGCTCGGGCCTAGGCCCCGCCCCCCTCCGGAGGCCCGGCCACTCCCCTTTTCCACCCCCCCTTGGCTCATTTCCGGCCGCCGCCGCTACCGCTAGCCTGTAAGGAGGATTCGGCAGAGGGAAGAAACAACAGCCGCCATCTTGTTTGTGTGCTAGGCTGGGGGGGAGAGAGGGCGAGAGAGAGCGGGCGAGAGTGGGCAAGCAGGACGCCGGGCTGAGTGCTAACTGCGGGAGCCAGAGAGTGCGGAGGGGAGTCGGGTCGGAGAGAGGCGGCAGGGGCCGAGACAGTGGCAGGGGGCCCGGGGCGCACGGGCTGAGGCGACCCCCAGCCCCCTCCCGTCCGCACACACCCCCACCGCGGTCCAGCAGCCGGGCCGGCGTCGACGCCTAGGGGGGACCATTACATAACCCCGCGCCCCGCGGCGTCTTCTCCCGCCGCCGCGGGCGGCCCCGAACGGAGCCCCGGGGGGCGGGCGCTCCCAGCACCTGGCCGCCGGCGGTGGGGGCCGTAGCAGCGGCCGTATTTATTTATTTTCCGCGGGAAAGGAAGGCGAAGGAGGGGAGCGCGGCGCGAGGAGGGGCCGCCTGCGCCGCCGCCGGAGCGGGGCCTCCTCGGTGGGCTCCGCGTCGGCGCGGGCGTGCGGGCGGCGCTGCTCGGCCCGGCCCCCTCGGCCCTCTGGTCCGGCCAGCTCCGCTCCCGGCGTCCTTGCCGCGCCTCCGCCGGCCGCCGCGCGATGTGAGGCGGCGGCGCCAGCCTGGCTCTCGGCTCGGGCGAGTTCTCTGCGGCCATTAGGGGCCGGTGCGGCGGCGGCGGCGCGGAGCGCGGCGGCAGGAGGAGGGTTCGGAGGGTGGGGGCGCAGGCCCGGGAGGGGGCACCGGGAGGAGGTGAGTGTCTCTTGTCGCCTCCTCCTCTCCCCCCTTTTCGCCCCCGCCTCCTTGTGGCGATGAGAAGGAGGAGGACAGCGCCGAGGAGGAAGAGGTTGATGGCGGCGGCGGAGCTCCGAGAGACCTCGGCTGGGCAGGGGCCGGCCGTGGCGGGCCGGGGACTGCGCCTCTAGAGCCGCGAGTTCTCGGGAATTCGCCGCAGCGGACGCGCTCGGCGAATTTGTGCTCTTGTGCCCTCCTCCGGGCTTGGGCCCAGGCCCGGCCCCTCGCACTTGCCCTTACCTTTTCTATCGAGTCCGCATCCCTCTCCAGCCACTGCGACCCGGCGAAGAGAAAAAGGAACTTCCCCCACCCCCTCGGGTGCCGTCGGAGCCCCCCAGCCCACCCCTGGGTGCGGCGCGGGGACCCCGGGCCGAAGAAGAGATTTCCTGAGGATTCTGGTTTTCCTCGCTTGTATCTCCGAAAGAATTAAAAATGGCCGAGAATGTGGTGGAACCGGGGCCGCCTTCAGCCAAGCGGCCTAAACTCTCATCTCCGGCCCTCTCGGCGTCCGCCAGCGATGGCACAGGTTAGTTTCGGCAGCCCCGGCCTTCCACGTTCCCTTTAATCTTTTCTACTCGGTGCGCCTTTATTCTTCCATTTTTTTTTTCTTCCTCTCTCTCTAGTTCCCTGCCCCTTAATTAATTTTAAAGGTATTTGAATGAGCTGGTCGAAGACGTCCAGTAGCCCAACCATTTTCTTTGCCTCCTAATACATTGATTGCAACACTATGTCATATCGGTGTGTGTTCTGGAATTAGAGCTCGTAAGTGGGTGCTATATAGAAATGGCCTGTATTGTTGCTCTCATGCAATTTAATTTGGGAAATGCCAATGCATTTGTGTGTAAGAGCTCCTATGCAATTTAAGTTTCATTTTTTTTGTTCTTGGCAAATGAATTTCGAATCCTTTCTCTTTACTGTACTTACTGTGTTTCCTCTACTTTCCACTCTTCGAAATTTTCTCTCCTTTGCAGAATATTTTCTGTTGAGGAATAGGGTGTAAAAAAATCTTGATTTTGTGTGTGCGAGGTCCAAGATTTCAGGTTAGAGGTGAAGTTTAACAATTCTTTTATCTTACCTACCATTCTTAGCTTTTTTTTCCTTTTTCTTCTTATTTGCTTTAAGAATCAATATGGAGCGCAGTTCATTTCACATCTCCCAGTTCTTTGGTGTGAGACCAAAATGTCTGAAACTCTGGGTTTTTAGGTTGGGAGAACAGGGGCATGTTCTTTGCAGTTTGCAGTCACTTTCTCATTTTAGGGGAAATAAGATAAACAATTTTGTGGAGTTACGTACCTGGAAATCAAGGTTAGAAGTTGAAAGAGTTCCAATCATGAACTACAAACGTGAACTGATTGTACAAAAGTTTAAAATGTGCATTAGGTTTGGTGTTTGTGTGTGTCTTTGTCTTTTTACACTTTTAAACATACTTGGAGATCAAGATTTTCGTTTAAAAGCTTTACGACCAGTTCATTCAGTTGTGGACTAGCTCCTTTGTCAGGAGAAGTTCAGGGAGACTTCTTCCATCATCCCTTCATTCTTTTCTTACAGTTAGTTTAATGGTGTTATCCTGATGGGTAAGGACCTTTTCTTTGCTGGGATAATGAAGATGAAGAATGGCTGGCCATCTGACAGTCCACAAGATGTTCCCCTTTACTACGGAGCATCTCTTTAACTCCCTGAGAGCAGGCTCAGCGTCATCCCTCCATCTGCCAGTGAGAGTGCATAATGGAGTTAAATGTACCCTTTGAGTTTGTAGAGAACTTCGAGAGCATGTTTCTAAATAGGCTTCATTTCAGAGGGTGAAAATGGGAAGACAGAGCTAATGCTTTGAATTCGTTGCTTTTATAAGAAAGATGTGAAATGAATTTAAGTTAACCTGCAAAAATTGAGAAGTAGGAATCTTGCGAGTTCCTCTACCTAAGGCTTGTAACATTGATTATGCATGAACTTTGATCTGTACCTATTCTATGAAGGTACTGTAGTCTCCAGGGATTTTTTTAGCTGGTTTTTTCCTTCAGAATTCATACACATACACAAACGTCGTTGTATTCCTTTGCACCTACTAAAGTGCCATTCAGAAACATTTTTTAGATCATCTTTAGAGACTTAATCACCTGTAGATTTTTGTGGTGTTTCTTTCGTATTTGTGTAATGTGGTAGTTTTTGCTTTTTAGTTTTGGTGTAACGTGGTAGTCGATTTTACATTGGAGTTAGCCAGTGACTTGGAACGTAGGGGAAACTTTTTTGTGTACTTTGAGTAGTCCTGATTTGAGCAGTTTCGTCTTGGAGCTGTATTGTTTAAATACTTCTGTTCAGGTGTGCTACTACTTTCTCCATGTCGGTCTGTTTTGCTACTTGAAATATCTTTGAATAATTACAAGAGTTTTAAATGTGTTAAGTGGGCTTTTATAGTTTAAAAAAAAACTCAACATTGAGATTAATTCATTCACTCATAATGCTAAGAGTTTATCTTAGTTACTTTTCTAAATTTTGTAATGAGGGTTAACTTTACCCCCCTCCCCAAATCAAGATTCTACTCCAGGAATTCTTTGGTGTACGGTTTTTAATTGTAACCAGTCTGGGTTTGGGGGAGGGGAGAAGTGAGTATAAAGAAAATACTGTCCCTCTGTTAACTTACTTCAAGTTGGGTACCATTGTAATTTTTTTTTTTTTTTTTTTTTTTTTGAGATGGAGTCTCATTCTGTCACCCAGGCTGGAGTGCAGTGGTGCGATCTCACTACAACCTCTGCCTCCTGGGTTAAAGCAGTTCTGTCTCAGCCTCCCTAGTAGCTAGGACTACAGGCGCAGACCACCACGCCTGGCTGATTTTTGTATTTTTAGTTGAGACAGGATTTCACCATATTGGTCAGGCTGGTCTCGATCTCCTGCCCTCAAGTGATCCACCCACCTTGGCCTCCCGAAGTGCTGGGGTTACAGGTATGAGCCGCCCGGCCAGAGGTACCATTATATCTTGAATTTTTTTTTTTTGACATTCTGCAGTTTGTAATATGTTTGCAGGTAACTTTTATTGGAGGCACATCACCTCTTAAAACTTTTAAGTTTCAAACTTGTAACTTTTGATTTTTGAGTTGTCACTTGGGTATTTTATAAATGTGAAAGAAAATTATTTCTTGATATTATGGTTTTTGTCTAGAACTGGTTGAAATAAGCCCGAAATTCTAGCACCTAAAACTTTTTTAAAAAAAGTGATTTAGGCTTGCAAATTTCGTGATGTAAATATATCCACCAAGAGCGTTCTAATGTCAGCTTTAAAGGAAAGAAAACTGGAATCCAATGGGATGACATGCTAAAGTGTTACAAATCAAATTATTACTTAAATCTCAACCTCTGAATTGCTGTTTAATACTCAGATATTCTCCTAAAAAATTTCCAGGTTGATTCAAATAACTTAGGTTAAACTCAACTTTTACGTGTTGGGATGGGGAAGAGAAGACTTATTTGTAGCCTTCACACCTTTATGTTCCTGTTTCAGTATTTGCATTTGATCCATTGAAATTTTTATTTCATTTGGTATGGTTAGGGTAAAACAAATCATTTGAGAAATGACATTTTGTTCTCCCTCTCCCTCCAAAAAAAAAAGATTATGAAAGCCACTTGTAAACTTTTTTTGTAAAAATGACCAAAAGACTGGAAAAGTTAATGTTAGGCAAATCCTGGAAATATCTTTTGGAGCTGTTTCTGATCATCTTGAGTGATGGAAATGATGAGGGTCATCTGTTGTCTTCATTACTCAGTGAACACGTTTTGTCACTGCTTGGTAAACGCTTAATGCCGTATGCACTTAAAAAGCACCTGGAAAGATAGGATTTTAGGATCTGGCATATAATTAAGTAGGGTAAAGATCCTTCTGGTCTTGGTACAGTTTTGTGGCCCTGGGTTTTGTGCTTTTTTGTTTTTTGAGTTTTTCCCCCATTTCAAAGACACAGGGCAGATAGTGTGTAAAGTATACCTGCTTTTTGACCAGTAGATTAATGTACACAGTGGAGAAGTGGTAAGGCTTTTTAAAATGTCAGCTCTACTTTTTTTTTTTTTTTTTTTTTTTGAGACAGAGGTTTGCTCTCGTTGCCCAGGCTGGAGTGCAGTAGCTCGATCTTGGCTCACTGCAATCTCAACCTCCCAGGTTCAAGCGATTCTCTGCTTCACCCTCCTCAGTAGCTGGGATTGCAGGTGTCCACAACCATGCCCAGCTAAGTTTTGTATTTTTTAGTGGAGACAGTATTTCACCATTTTGGCCAGGCTGGTCTCGAACTCCTGACCTCAGGTGATCCACCCGCCTCAGCCTCCCAAAGTGCTGGGAATACAGGCGTGAGCCACCATGCCCGGCTGTCAGCTCTATTTTCTTAAAATGCCATTGTGTTAGTGGTTCGTCATCCTAACCAAAACATTTTGATCAAGACCATTTATTTTCCAGCTCTGTAACTTGTGATATGCTATGTTTTATTTTATTTTGGCTTGAATGTTTACATAAGAGTTTGCTTCTGGAGTCTTGCAGATATAGCTCCTGATTTAGTGAGGCATTTCTCTCCTCAGTATTAAATTGCAAAACATTTTACTAAAGTGCTTTAAGTTTTTCTGGCAATTATTCTCAAGGCCTTGTAAGTTCATTTATAGGACTTCAAGAAGGTTGTCTCTGGTTGATAGTGAGATAAAGTGACTTTTAAGTTGTAAATCTTGAATGCGTTACAATATGGGGGTCTTATTCCAGCAGGAGTTCATCTTCTATAGCAGAGGTTGGAATTGTATTGGCATGTCCAGTGAATGGATAATAGGGAGGAGGGAGGAAAGGGTTTCTGCCTTGGTGGCCTTTTGGCATTATTTTGTGTTTTTCTTTGCTTTTCTCTCTCTTCTTTATTTAATAAAAACAAAAAAATGGAAACAGTTGAAAATTAATGCAAAGTGGTATTTGTAGGGACATTAAGTGGTAAATAGGAAAGAGAAAAAGAGTAGGAAGAGTGTTGCAGATACAAGTGGGAGTGTAAAATACTTTTTCCTGGTATATTTACAAAAACAATTTGAGAGTTATTCTGCCAATTCATATACCCAGCAATTAATGGAAAAGTAAAAGATGCTAGTTTTATGTTTGTCCAGATTTTAGGGTTTCCTTCTTTGAAGATTTCTAAAGTTGAATATTTTTTTAAGTGAGGCAAGCAGTAAAATTAATGGGCAAATGAAACCAATTATACCAAGTCTAAAATTTTTCTTTTTTTTTTGAGGCAGAGTCTCGCTTTGTAGCTGGGACTACAGGCGCCTGCCACCATGCCCAGCTAATTTTTTGTATTTTTAGTAGAGACGGGGTTTCACCATGTTGGCCATGATGGTCTCGATCTCCTGACCTTGTGAACCTCCCATCTCTGCCTCCCAAAGTGCTGGGATTACAGGCGTGAGCCACCGCGCCCAGCTAAAAATTTTTTTTTTTTTTAATACTTTTAAGTTTTAGGATACATGTGCACAACGTGCAGGTTTGTCACATATGTATACATGTGCCATGTTGGTGTGCTGCACCCATTAACTCGTCATTTAGCATTAGGTATATCTCCTAATGCTATCCCTCTCCCCTCCCTGCTAAAAAATTTTTTAACATTGAACTTCGCAGGTGATTTTTTTTCGCTTAATAGACGGTAGTTTCATTTTGAAATTTTCATGGGAAATTACTGCTCACTTTCCCAGAAGCGCTTAAGAGGATAAATAATAATTGAGGTGTTAAGCCTCTTCTGAGCAATTTGGATATAATTTGTTTTTAGATCTAGATTCTTTTTTATAAATGTCCCAAAGCAATTAGAAGTGATTGTTTTTTTTGAGACGGAGTCTCGCTCTGTCGCCCAGGCTGGAGTGCAGTGGCGCGATCTCGGGTCACTGCAAGCTCCGCCTCCCGGGTTCAAGCCATTCTCCTGCCTCAGCCTCCCGAGTAGCTGGGACTACAGGCGCCCGCCACCACACCCGGCTAATTTTTTGTATTTTTAGTAGAGACGGGGTTTCACCGTGTTAGCAAGGATGGTCTCCATACACTGACCTCGTGATCCGCCCACCTCAGCCTCCCAAAGTGCTGGGATTACAGGCGTGAGCCATAGCACCTGGCCCTAGAAGTAATTTTGTTGAGAGAGAGAGAGTAAAACTAAAAGTACTGAAAAGAGTAAGAGAGTAGCTAAGAGAATGAGTATTGGAGTCAGACTGCTAGAGTTCATAGCCCAGGCTTGTATTTATTAACTGTGAACTTTGGGCCAAATACTTAACCTGGCTCAACCTCCTCACATTTATTCCTAACCACAGCCCTGTAAGGTGGGTGCGCACCTTATAGGAATCCACCTTACTTACCCACCTTACAGGATTGTGGTTAGGAATAAATGAGAATTCTCTTTATCAGATGCTTAGGACTATGCTTGCTTCTGTGTAGTATGTGTTCATTGTTAACTGTTTTTAACTTTACTGCTAAATATATCAGAAGGAAAGCAGTGGTAGATGGTTTGGGGGTTGTTTTTGTTTTTTTGATTTGCAACGAAGTCTTGCTCTGTTGCCCAAGCTGGAGTACAGTGGCGTGATCTCGGCCTATGACAACCTCCGTCTCCCGGCTTCAAGCGATTCTCCTGCTCAGCCTCCGGAGTAGCTAGGACTACAGCTGCGCAGCACCATGCCCGGCTAATTTTTGTATTTTTAGTAGAGACAGGGAGTCCTGACCTCGTGATCCACCCACCTCGGCCTCCCAAAATGTTGGGATTACAGGCATGAGCCACCGCGCCCGGCCTGTTTTTGTTTTTCGTGGATATACAGTAGTCCCCCCTTATCCTTGCGGGATACATTCCAAGATCTCCAGTGGATACCTGAAACCCTGTATAGTAGTGAATATAATTGTCATCAGTCAGAACACGTTTCTGTCCGTGTCTTCCACACACAAATTTAATGCCTTTTCCATCTTAACTAATCACTTGTCATGCACTGTGGCTGTGATGTTTGCAGTTTGAGGTACAACAGCAAAACTATCACGAATTTTTTTCCTTCACAATTTCATGTATAGATTTGATCTTTGTAACCTCCGCATACAATTTTTTTTCATTCCTTATTAAGTCAAGAACTTTCACCTTCAAGCAATTTACAGCTTCTCTTTGGCATATCCATATAGCTGTCATTGCTACTTTTGGACTTAGGGACTGTCATTAAGTAAAATAAGGGTTACTTAAAACTCAAGCATTGCCCTGCCCCATAGTCAGTCTGACAATCTGATAACTGAGATGGCTACTAAGTGACAAATGGCTGGTAGTTTATACAGGTGAATACATTAGACGGAGGGGAGATTCACTACCCGGTCAGGTGAGATTTCATCAGGCTACTCAGAATGGCGCACAGTTTAAAACATTGTTGTGGCTCACGCCTGTAATCCTGGCACTTTGGGAGATTGAGGCAGGAGGATTGCTTGAGGCCAGGCATTCAAGACCAGCCTGGGCAATGTAGTGGGACCCCCCATCCCCCCACCATCTCTAGAAAAAAAATTTAAAAAGTCAGCAAGGCATGGTGGCATGCATCTGTAGTCCTAGCTTCTTGGGAGGCTTAAGGTGTGAGGATCTCTTGAGCCCAGGAGTTTTGAGGTTACAGTGAGCTATGATGACACCACTGTACACTCCAGCCTAGGTGACATAGCAAGACTCTGTTTCTAAAACAACAAAAATTAGTGTTTATTTCTGCAGTTTTCTTTGTAATATTTTTGTACCACAGGTGTTTGAAATGGCAGAAAATGAAACGGGGTAAGGATGAACTCCTGTATAGATAGACTGGATAAAGAGAAAGCCAAGTGCATGATGTTCATAGAGGAGTCTTAAGAGTAAGCCTTATGTCATCTATCCAAATGTTGTTTTCTAGGAGTATAAGAATATAGGAACAGAGCTTAAAATGGAAAAATACTGTACAGTTAGCCTTCCGTATCTGAGGGTTCCGTGTTTGTGGAGTCAGCCACAGATTGAAAATATTTAGGGGAAAAAAATCCATGGTTGCATCTGTACTGGACATGTACAGACTTTATTTTCTTGTCATTATTCCCTAAACAATACAGTGCACCAACTATTTATGTTGCATTTACACTGCATTAGGTATTGTAAATAATCCAGAAAGAATTCAAAGTATATGGGTGGGTGTGTGTAGGTTATATGCAAATACTACATGTCCCCTTTATATCAGGGACTGGAGCATCCTCAGATTTTGGTATCTGCAGTGGAGGGAGTGGATTCTGGAACCAATTCCCAGCAGATACCAAGGGACAACCATATATATATAGTATCATGACATCTTGTATCATGTCACGTATATATATATCATATATATTATCATGTCACGTATACAAGACATCTTATATATCCTATCATGTAAGATGTCTTGTATACGTAAGTAATAGAAATGAAAATCAGCAGATAGTTAAGGCATAATGAGAAAATGGAAAACATTGTTCTTGTTAGAAATGTTTAAGAATGGCTTCTTGATAAAGAACTGTGTTAAGCATATTCTTTCTTCTTTTTAGACACAGAGTCTCACTCTGTTTCCTAGACAGGAGTGCAGTGGTGCAATCCTGGCTCACTGTAGCCTCCATCTCCTGGGTTCAAGCTATTCTCCTGCCTCAACCTCCCAAGTAGCTGGGATTACAGGCACCTGCTACCATGCCTGGCTAATGTTTGTATTTTTAGTAGAGATAGGGTTTCACCGTGTTGGCCAGGCTGGTCTCGAACTCCTGACCTCAGTCTGCCCACCTCGGCCTCCCAAAGTGCTGGTATTAGAGGCGAGAGCCACAGTGCCTGGCCAATTAAGCATAATTTTTTCTATTTTTCATTTTCTTACATGGATCTTTTTTTTTTTTTTTGAGACGGAGTCTAGCTCTGTCACCCAGGCTAGAGTGCAGTGACACGATCTCGGCTCACTGCCAGCTCCGCCTCCTGGGTTCATGCCATTCTCCTGCCTCAGCCTCCCTAGTGGCTGGGACTACAGGCACCCGCCACCATGCCCGGCTAATTTTTTGTATTTTTAGTAGAGATGGGGTTTCACCATGTTAGGCAGGATGGTCTCGATCTGCTGACTTCATAATCTACCCTTCTCGGCCTCCCAAAGTGCTGGGATTACAGGGGTAAGCCACCGTGCCCAGCCACCTGGGTCTTAAAGAATAAATTTTCTTGAGATGGAGTCTTGCTGTGTTGCCCAGGCTGAAGTTATCCTCCTGCTTCGGCCTCCTGAGTAGCTGGGATTGCAGATGTGAGCCACTATGCCTGCCTCTAAGAAACTTTCTTATAAAGGAGGAAGAAGAAAAGTAGCAGTGCAGTGCTCCAAAGAATTTTTTTACAACACTTAAGGAAGAACTACCTTTAACTTGTAGCACTAGAGACTCTGTTTCAAAGAATGCACAAGAATACTTACCCTTATTACTTGTAATATACTCTCATATTTTCTGTTGCTTTTTTTTCTTTTCTTTTTTTTTTTTTTTTTAGTACTGGTTGCAGCCTACTATATTGATTTTTATGACCCACTGTTGGCTTTTGAGCCATAATTTGAAGAATACTGGCGTAGAAGAGTTGACAAGATGGCAGTTATTCTGTATTAGGCCAACATTTTCTGTATGCCAGGAACTTATCCTCTGTACATTGTTCCTTCTTTCCTTCCTGGAGTTTATAGATAAGGGAAGAAGACTGGCATTCACGGAGTCTGGTGTGATCAGCATTGTATTTGGGAAGTACGTATATAGTGGGAGGAACAGGAGAACCTAACCCAGTAGTTATCCTGGTGGCTGTCTTTGAGGAATTGTGTCTGATTTTGGGATCTCACAGATAGAGATAGGATTAGTAAAAATGAGCCCAGGCTAGAAAGGAGACTGTGTGAGGCCAGGTATATCCTGTTCTGGGAACCTGTGAGTGCTGTCTGACTGGTAGAATAGCCAAAAACTTGACTGTAGAGGTGAGCAAGGGGGCCAATCATGGAGGGCTTATAATACAGGAATTTAGACTTTCCATTTTACCCATTTAATGGATGGGGCAGAATTGTGCTTTAGGCAGTTAAGTAAAAGGAGGAATAGTTTGGGAAGAACAGGGAAAAACAGGAGGCAGGGAGACCAGTGAAACAGCTGTTTTAGGGTTCCAGCCACCCTTACCACAGAAGATGGAAAGAAGTGGAAAGATTTGAGGGAAGATGGATGATCAGCAGAACTTGGTGACTGATTAGAAGTTAGGTAGTAAGATGGACAAATCAAGGATAATTCCCCAGTTTAAAGTTTGAGCAACTTGTTGGGTGATGATTTATTTATTATTTATTTATTTATTTTGAGACAATCTCTGACCCAGGTTGGAGTGCAGTGGTGTGATCTCAGCTCACTGCAACCTCCGCCTTCCGGGTTCAAGCGATTCTCATGCCTCAGCCTCCCAAGTAGCTGGGACTAAAGGTATCCACCACCACGCCTGGCTAATTTTTGTATTTTTAGTAGAGATGGGGTTTCACCATGTTGATCAGGCTGGTCTCGAACTCTGGCCTCAAGTGATCTGCTCGCCTTGGCCTCCCAAAAGTGCTGGGATTACAGGCATGAGCAGCTGTGCCCAGCTGGATAATTATTTAATAAATTGGGGAGCATAGGAAGCATAGTATTTGTGAAGTGGGTAGGCAGGTGTGATGGGGGTAGTGATGTTACATTTGGGGCATTTTGAAGTTGGTGGTTCTTCTGAGTTGAGCAGTCAGTCACTCTTCATTTGCTGCACCTTTATCTCATTTTAGCCAACAGACATTGAATACCTACCAAGTCTTAGGTATTTGCAATGTAAAGACAAATTAAGGTGCCTTCTGCTGTCAGAGACTTCAGAGATACAGTGGGGTTGGTATACATGTCCACACAGTTTTCCCGTAAGTTATGCTTTAAAAGGTTTTTTAAATGTTATATATAAAGGCAGGGGATGGGTTGCTTTTGACAGAGTAGGTTTGGAGCGTTGATGGAAAACTTCATGGAGAAAATGTATATTTGAACAGGGTTGGTGGAAATTAACATACCTTAGAAGTAGGGAAAGTTGGAAGGGTTTTTCAGATGAAGCTAACATGTTTCTGATGTGGCTAGAATATACGCTGTGTGATAGGGTTTTTCATGGGAGAGAGATGGGAAAGGATGTTGGGGTTCTATTGTGGAAAGAGAAATATGCTAAGGAATTTGCCATTTATCTTAGCATCAGGATAAGAATTGTATGAGCAGGGGAGTGACATGGTTGGGGAAAGACTAATTCTGGTAACACCGTACAGAGCAGCAGTAGGTAGAACCTATGGCAGGAAGACTAGGAGTACATTATTTACCTCTTTTGAAATGAGTTTGTCATTTGCCTTGGAAGTTTTTGGTACATTGTAATTAACAAAGTGAATTGTTTATTTTGTTCAAGATCCATGCTTGGTTTGCCAGTTGTTATAAATGTAGAAAATATACCAGATACCAACTTAGAAACCATTCACTCTCCTTGTTATTTACAGATATGCAAGGTTTTTTTGTTGTTGTTTTTGTTTTGTTTTGTTTTTAAAGGGTATGTTTCTCCATCTAGGATTCCCTGTAGGCCTTCCCTTGTAACAAATCTCAAGGTTTGCTCAAAATCAAGAAATGTTCAGTGACAGTTAAGTTAGCACACAATTTAGGCTTACTATAAAACATGTCCTTGAGTTGATTCTTAAGGTGGGATTTTAATAAATAATAGTGTCTTCATCATGTAGTTTTTTTGGTTTTTTTTTTTCATACAGAGTCTTGCTCTGTTGCCCAGGCTGGAGTGCAGTGGTGTAATCTTGGCTCACTGCAACCTCTGCCTCCCCGGTTCAAGTGATTTTCCTGCCTCAGCCTCCCAAGTAGCTGGGATTACAGGCGCCCGCCACCACACCCAGCTAATTTTTGTATTTTTAGTAGACACAGGGTTTTGCCATGTTGGCCAGGCTGACCTCGAACTCCTGACCTCAGGCGATCCGCCCGCCTCGGCCTCCCAAAGTGCTGGGGTTACAGGCGTGAGCCACCATGTCCGGCCTCATGTAGTTATTTTCACAAGAAGTGTCACTATATTAATACATTGAAAAAGAGCAAGGTGAATTGTCAATGTGAATTTTCTAAACATGGCCCCAGGTCACATTCTTGATCAATTAAAGCACTTCACCTCTTTAAAATTCAAGACTTAAGGCTGGGCGCAGTGGCCTACACCTGTAATCCCAGCACTTTGGGAGGCTGAGGCAGGTGGATTACTTGAGGTCAGGAATTCAAGACCAGCCTGGCCAACATGGTGAAACCCCATCTCTACTAAAAATACAAAAATTAGCTGGGCATGGCCGGGCACGGTGGCTTACGCCTGTAATCCCAGCACTTTGGGAGGCCAAGACGGGCAGATCACGAGGTCAGGAGATTGAAACCATCCTGGGTAACACGGTGTAACCCCGTCTCTACTAAAAATACAAAAAAATTAACCCCGTCTCTACTAAAAATACAGAAAAATTAGCCGGGCGTAGTGGCGGGCGCCTGTAGTCCCAGCTACTCAGGAGGCTGAGGCAGGAGAATGGCGTGAACCCAGGAGGCGGAGCTAGCAGTGAGCCGAGATCGTGCCACTGCACTCCAGCCTAGGTGACAGAGCGAGACTCCATCTCAGAAAAAAAAAAAAAAAAAAAAAAAGCCGGGCGTGGTGGCAGGCGCCTGTAGTCCCAGCTACTCGGGAGGCTGAGGCAAGGGAATCTCTTGAACCCGGGAGGCGGAGGTTGCCATGAGCTGAGATTGCACCTGGGCCACGAGAGTGAAACTGCATCTCAAAAAAAAAAAAATTCAATATTGAAATGTTTTGGGTTTTTTTGTTTGTTTGTTTCTTTTTTTGAGATGGAGTCTCACTCTGTCATCCAGGCTGGAGTGCAGTGGTGCAGTCTCCACTCACTGCAGCCTCCGCCTCCCGGGTTCAAGCGATTCTCCTGCTTCAGCCTCCTGAGTAGCTGGGACTATAGGCACATGCCACCACAGCCGGCTAATTTTTGTATTTTTAGTAGAGATGGGGTTTCACTATGTTGGCCAGGCTGGTCTTGAACTCCTGACCTCATGATCCACCCACCTCGGCCTCCCAAAGTGTTGGGATTACAGGCGTGAGCCACCACCCCTGGCGTGTTGGGGTTTAAAAAGAATAAACTTCAAGTTAATCTCTTCCCAAAGTATAAGTATACCTTTTGATGTCATGATAGCAGGACCATGTGAAGAGTACATATTTTGAAATTTGCTTGCACTTTTGCCCTTTCACTCTATTGGATTTCAAAATTCAACAGCTGTCAGCATTTGTAGCTGTGTAATCCTGTATAATTATCATCTTTTATCCAAATTTGTATAAAACTTACAAGTTTTCCTAATTTTTTTGGAGTATTAGAGATCTTGCCTGTCTTTCCAGCATGGATATTTTATTTTAATTTTCTTAATGTTCCTTCAAATTACGTAGTTTGAAATGTTTGTACATCTTTATTTCCTTGCTAGATGGGTTGTTTATATGATTAGATAATTCTTCATTTACAGAGGGTTAAAGTAACTTTTTTTAAATGAAGTACTGAATAGAGGTTAGGAAAGTTGTTGGAACCTGATAAATTTGTAAAATTTACAAAATTTCTCATTTTAAAAGCTACAGTTTTAAAATTTCATGCTTTTTAAGCATCCATTGTAAGAGTAGGAGTGTCCAAAAGCAATAAGAACAAGAAATCTTTGTAAGATTGGTAGTTTCAGTGTTTAGCCAAACCATTATCAGAATTAGAATGACTAATGTTATGTAGGTTTGGTTTTCAACTCCATTCTTTTTTTGTTTCATTTTTTAAAAAATTCCAAATCTCTAACCTGGCCTTGGCGCTCTGAGTCTTCTGATCTCTGCCCACCTCATCACTCACTTTGTTCTCCCCATTTTGTTTATTTCAATTGCTGAACTGGCTGAGCTTTTACTCTCCCCACCTTAGGTTGTTCCACTCTTCATCTGTCAAGCTCCTACTCATCCTGTGGACTCAACCACTGGGTTAGATGAAAGAAAAGTTTGACGTGTCCACTCTTTAAAAACATTAAGTGTTTTTTGTTGTTTGTTTGAGACTGTCGTCCAGGCTGTAGTGCAGTGGCGCAATCTTGGCTCACGGCAGCCTCGACCTCCTGGGCTAAATGATCCTCCCACCTCAGCCTGTAGCTGCACCACCATGCCTGGCTAATTTTTAAATTTTTTTGTAGAGGCAGGGTCTTGCTATGTTGCTCAGGCTTGTCTAAAACTCCTGGGCTCAAGCAGCCTGCCTTGGCCTCCCAAAGTGCCATGATTACAGTTGTGAGCCACCTACCAGGTCTGGCCTAAAAGCATTTTTTTATTTTTATTTTTTGAGGTGGGATCTCGCACTGTCACCCAGGCTGGAGTGCAGTAGCGTGATCTCGGCTTACTGCAACCTCCGCCTCCAAGGTTCGGGTGATTCTCAAGCCTCAGCCTCCTGAGTAGCTGGGATTACAGGCGTGCACCATCACCCCCGGCTCATTTTTGTATTTTTAGTAGCGATGGGGTTTCACCATGTTGGCCAGGCTGGTCTCAAACTCCTGATCTCCGCCAGCCTCGGCCTTCCAAAGTGCTGAGATTACAGGCATGAGCCACGGTGCCTGACCTAAAAGCATTTTAATGCCACAGAGAAAGCCAGCTAAAGGGAGGAGGAGCAGTAGATGGATTCTGTCTTCTAAGTGGGATTTGAGAATTGACTGGATTTTAAATAATTAATAAAGGTGTTTTACTTAATGAACACAGTTTAAGAGAACTGAGTTGATTTTACTTCATTTTACCTAAAGTACAAAGGTAAGTGTGTTTACTCAAATAATATGTGAGCCTTTTAAGTAAAAAAAAAAAAAAGTGTAACTGTGAGAGATACTAATATAGTAGAATTAGATTTTGAGCCAAAATTGTTTTAATTTTAAATTACATTTTGTGTCATAGTTAAGTAACTAGAAAATTGTCTGATTTATGTTCATAGTACAGTGTTTGGGATTATATTTTTAATGGTTCTAATTTTGAAGGTTATGCTTCATTTATATATAATACTTCATTTGTTCAATTTCTCACGTATCATTGAATTATTTTGATCCTTTGATTTTTGGAAAGGCTAAATGAACCGAGATTATTTTTTATTTATTTATTTGGAGTTTGGCTTTTGTTGCCCAAACTGGAGTGCATTGGTGCAGTCTCGGCTCACTGCAACCTCTGCCTCCTGGGTTCAAGCGATTCTCCTGCCTCAGCCTCCCAAGTAGCTGGGATTACAGGCATGTGCCACCACACCCAGCTAATTTTGTATTTTTTTTTTGTAGAGACAGAGTTTTTCCGTGTTAGTCAGGCTGGTCTTGAACTCCCGACCTCAGGTGATAGCTTGCCTCGGCCTCCCAAAGTGCTGGGATTACAGGCGTGAGCCACCACGCCCGGCCACCGAGTTTATTTTATAAGGGATTATATGGTTACATCTGTTGCAAGGAGCAAACCACAAGCAATATAGAAGACAACAAGGGTGATCTACAGAATCAGTATGTGATAATGAAAGGATGTTTTGACTCAACACTAGTTTCCACGTGTTTAATCCAAACTCAGTTGTTGTTTAAATTGTTAAATTTCTAATACACGGTCCACTGGGTAAACCATGTATTAGGCTAAACTTTTCTTTTTCTTTTTCTTTTTTTTTTTTTTTTTTTTTTGAGACAGGGTCTCATTCTGTCGCCCAGTCTGGAGTGCAGTGGCGTGATCATGGCTCGCTGCAACCTCAACCTCCTGGGCTCAAGCAATCCTCCCATCTCAGCCTCCCAAGTAGCTGGGACTACAGATGTGCACCACCATGCCTGGCTAATTTTCGTATTTTTTTGTTGACACTGGTGTCCTTCTACATTCCAGGCTGGCCTTGAACTCCTGCGTTCAAGCAACCCTCCAGCCTTGGCCTTCCAAAGTGGTAGGATTATAGGCGTGAGCCACGGTGCCCAACCTATGCTAAACTTTTCACATCAGATTTATATGTGTCCTGTCCCGTTTTACTTCACCATGATTGGACTCAGTGTACACTCAGATGAAGAAACTTCAAAAAAAAAATACTGCTCCTTGTGAAGCAGAAGAAAGATTTTACTGAAAGTGATGTTTGTATTGGAGCATCATTAAAGGCATAAAGGAACTTGTGAACAAACTACTTGGTAGAAGCAGCCTGGTGATGTTGATTGGTTGATACTTTAGGAAGCGGGAAATGTCTTACTGGAGATAGTTCCTTCATTTCAACAGTCATTTGTGATACTGTTTTTTAATATTTGCCATAGGATAGTTAAAAGGTAATGGAACAAACTTCAGATTTATAAGTTTTTAATTAAATATAAAGGGGGCAAAAGTAGATAAATATCTTAAGAGCTCACCTTACTGTCTAGAAAAAATACTTGCTGGCCCAGCGCCGTGGCACACATATGTAAGTAATCCCAGCACTTTGGGAGGCCAAGGTGGGAGGCTTGCCTGAGCCCAGGAGATTCAGACCAGTCTGGGTAACATGGTGAGACCCCCATCTCAACAAAATAAAAAATTAGGTGTGGTGATGTGTGCCTTTGGTGGCAGCTACTAAGGAGGATTGCTTGAGCCAGGAGGTGAAGCTGCAGTGTGCTGTGATCCCGTCGCTCCACTCCAGGCTGGGCGACAGAGCAAGACCCTGTCTCAAAAAAAAAAAAAAACAAAAAAAAACGGAAAACATAAGACAGCAATCAAATACAATAGATTTGGCTTCAGTAAATGAAAACCCTCACTGTAGGCCCTAGAATAACAAGACTTCTATATTACTAAAGCTGATTACTGCTTGATGAACTCTGTACATGTGATGTGACTAGTATGAACTTCTGAGGTTGTTGAGATGAATGAGAATAAACGTGAGGTGCCAAGAAAAATGCCTGACACATTGAAAGTGCTGGATAAATGTATGCTGTCATCATTGTAAGCTGGGCTATCTCCTAATAGTGTAATGAGTCCATTGAATAACAATAGGTAACATGTTTATAGTGCTTAGTGTGTGCCAGGTACTGTTCTAAACACTTTACATTTATTCACTCATTTAATCACAAATAACATGAAGTAGGCACTTTGCTGTTATGCAGAGATGGAAACAAGGTTATCCCTGCATCTTTTTTTTTTGGCAGGGGGAGGAGGACGGGAACGGATGGAGTTGGTTTTTTTTTTTGGAGCTTCTGAGACCCAAGCTTCAGGCCATGCTCCCCCAAGCACCTCCCCACCACCACCCCCCAAGATGTAGTCTTGCTCTGTTTCCCAGGCTGGAGTGCAATGGCGTGATCTCAGCTAAACGGAACTTCTGCCTCCCGGGCTCAAGCAATTCTCCTGCCCCGGCCTCCTGAGTAGCTGGGATTACAGGCGCCTGCCACCACGCCCAGCTAATTTTTGTATTTTTAGTAGAGATGGGGTTTCACCATCTTGGCCAGGCTCGAACTCTTGACCTCAGGTGATCTGCTCGCCTCGGCCTCCCAAAGTGCTGGGATTACAGGTGTGACCCACTGTGCCCATCCTGTTCCCTGCCCCCCCCCCCTTTTTTTTTAAGTTATTGAGACAGAGCCTCACTTGGTCACCCAGGCTGGAGTGCAGTGGCAGGATCATAGCGCACTGCAGCCTCAACCTCCTGGGCTCAAGCAGGCCCTTTGAGTAACTGGGACCTGTAGGTGCATGCCAGCATATCCAGCTAATTTTTTTTTTTTTTTTTTTTTTTTTTTTTTTTTTTTTTGAGACAAAGTCTCACTCTGTTGCCCAAGCTGGAGTGCAGTGGTGTCATTGCAACCTCCACCTCTCGGGTTCAACTGATTCTCCTGCCTCAGCCTCCCGACTAGCTGGGACTACAGGCATGCTCCACCATTCCCGGCTGATTTTTTTATTTTTAGTAGAGATGGGATTTCACTATGTTGGCCAGGCTGGTCTTGAACACCTGGCCTCAAGTGATCCACCCGCCTCGGCCTCCCAAAGTAAAGTGCTGGGATTGCAGATGTGAGCTACCACATCCGGCCTATATCCAGCTAATTTTTAAAAATAATATTTTTGTAGAGAGGTGGTCTTTCTCCCCTCGGCCTTCCAACGTACTAGGATTACAGGCGTGAGCCACCCTTCTGGCTGTCTTTTCCTTTTTATTTTTTCACACTTCCAGTGGTCCTTGGGATCTGTGTATACTTTAGAATCATCTTGTCCAGTTTCTTGACAAACTTCTAGAAGTTTGATTGATACTGCATTGAATCTATAGATCAGTACTGGGGAATGATGTTTTTAATACTGAGGATTTCTAAGTGTTTGAGATATTCTGTTTAGTCAGCCTTTACTTTTGAGTTTACACCTGTTTTATATACATTGTCAGTTTTTCCCTATGTTATAAATCTTTTTTTTTTTTTTTTTAAATTTGAGATAGAGTCTCACTCTTGTCACCCAGGCCGGAATGCAGTGGTACAATCTCTGCTCACTGCAAACTCTGCCTCCTGGATGCAAGCGATTCTCGTGCCTCAGCCTTCTGAGTAGCTGGGACTACAGGCATGTGCCACCACGCGCAGCTAATTTTGGTATTTTTAGTGGAGACCGGGTTTCACCACGTTGGCCAGGCTGGTCTTGGCTGGTCTTAAACTCCTGACCTCCAGCAGTCCACCTGTCTCAGCCTCCCAAAGTGCTAGGATTACAGGCGTGAGCCACTGTGCCCGGCTCTACATTATTTAAAAAATTATTTGTAACCATTTGTTGCTGGCATACAGAAATTCACTTTGATACGTTTATATTTATGGTATAACCAGTCATCTTGCTAACCTCTCACAATTTCCAGTTGTATGTATTTCTTTAAAATTGACAACAGTTGTGTATATTCATGGGTTATAGTGTGATGATATATGTATTTGCTTTGAACTTTCTATGTCAACAGTTATATTATCTACAGACAATAAGTTTTGTTTCTTCCTTTTTCCTTTTTCTTTCTTTCCTTCTTTTTTGTTTTGAGACGGAGTTTTGCTTTTGTCACCCAGGGTAGAGTGCAATGGCACTATCTGGGCTCACCACAACCTCTGCCTCCCAAGTCAAGCGATTCTCCTGCCTCAGCCTCCTGAGTAGCTGAGGTTACGGCCTGCACCACCACGTACCGCTAATTTTGTATTTTTGGTAGAGACGGGGTTTCTCCATGTTGCTCAGGCTGGTCTCGAACACCCGACCTCAGGTGAACGCCTGCCTTGGCCTGCTAAAGTGCTGGGATTACAGGTGAGAACCACCATGCCCGGACTTTTTTCTCTTTTTTTTTCTTTTTTAGAACTTGTAACCTTTTTTTTTTTTTTTTTTTTTTTTTTTTTGAGACAGAGTCTCACTCTGTCGCCCAGGCTGGAGTGCAGTGGCGCGATGTCCACTCACTGCAAGCTCCGCCTCCCGGGTTCACGCCATCCTCCTGCCTCAGCCTCCCGAGTAGCTGGGACTACAGGCATCCGCCACCGCGCCCAGCTAATTTTTTGTATTTTTTAGTAGAGACGGGGTTTCACTGTGTTAGCCAGGATGGTCTCAATCTCCTGAACTCGTGATCCGCCCGCCTTGGCCTCCCAAAGTGCTGGGATTACAAGCGTGAGCCACCATGCCTGGCCACCTATTTTTTTATGTGTGTGTGAGACAGTCTCGCTCTGTCACCCAGCCTGGAGTGCAGTGGCACTGTCTCTGCTCACTGCAACCTCTGCTCCCCTGGGTTCAAGCGATTCCTTGCTTCAGCCTCCCAAGTAGCTGGGACTACAGGCGCCTGCCACCACACCCAGCTAATTTTTTGTTTTGTTTTGTTTTTAGTAGAGATGTGGTTTCGCTATATTGGCCAGGCTGGTCTCAAGCTCCTGACCTCAAGTGATCTGCCCACCTTGGCCTCCCAAAGTGCTGGGATTACAGGCGTGAGCCACTGTGCCTGGCCAAGATGAATCTTATATTTTCTTTATCCTTTGTTACTATGGCGAATGACAGTTTATAGATGTTCTGGTGTCCCCTGGATTCCTGGGATTATCCCAACTTGATGATGATTTTTGAGCCTTTGGTTTGCTCTTTTTAAAGAGTCTTGTTTCTGTGTCCATGAAGAAGATTGGCCTGTGTTTTTCTTATATTGGCCATGTGTAATTTTTATATTGTTTTTTTTTTTTAGAAGTATTTGTGTTAGCTTGAATTGTATTTTCCTTGAAAGTTTGGTGTAGGGCATGCCTGTAAACAATTCGGATATGGTGCTTTCTTTATGGAAAGATTAACCAAGGGCTTATTTTCTCTAGTAGCAGTAGGATTACAGTGGTCTGGCTTCCCATGTGCCTATTACCCAGCTTCAGGTTTACTAGTATATTATACTACCCTTCCCCCCTTTTTTGCTGGAGTATTTTAAAGCAAATCCTAGCCATGTCATTTCACCAGAAATATTTCAATGTATATCTTTCAGTAAAAAGGATTTATTTTAAAATAATGCCATTGTTATAGTCAATAAAGTTAATGATTTCTTAATATCACCCATTTCTCAGTCTGTACCTAAATATGTCTTACTCTCATTTCAAAATGTGTGTTTATAGTTGGCTTGTTTGAATCAGGATTCCACCCCCCCCCCAACTTATGCTATGGATTTGTTGGAGAAACTGGGACATTCCATATCCTATATGATTTCTTTTTTATTAAGGTTTGAGTATTTTCTCCGGAATTTATTTATTTTGTATGTTTTCTTCATTTGTATAAAGTTGATAGTATTGCTTTATCTTTTAATTTTCTTTTTTTCTTAACCTTCTTGAAGTTCGTCTTTTGTTACTCCAAAAAACTAACTTCTAGTTTTGGTAATGCTGTTACATTCCTATTTCCTGTTTCGTTTATGCTTTTGTCTTTGATTGTCTTCTTCATATTAATACTATTTTTCTAATATAATTTGGATACTTAATTCATTATTAGCAACCTCAGGAGACTCACTGGAGAGTTCATTAATTTGTAACTTTATTTATTATTATTATTTTTTTGAGACGGAGTCTCGCTCTGTCGCCCAGGCTGGAGTGAAGTGGCGTGATCTCGGCTCACTGCAAACTCTGTCTCCCGGGTTCATGCCATTCTCCTGCCTCAGCCTCCTGAGTAGCTGGGACTATAGGCGCCCGCCACCACGCCCTGCTAATTTTTTGTATTTTTAGTAGAGATGGGGTTTCACCGTGTTATCCAGGATGGTCTCGATCTCCTGACCTCGTGATCCGCCCACCTCGGCCTCCCAAAGTGCTGGGATAACAGGCGTGAGCCACTGCGCCCGGCCTTTTTAACTTTATTTTCTAACATAGGCCTTTAGGTTTTGAAATATATTTTTTATTACTCAATTTCCTTTGTGATTTCTTTTGTAATTTATCACTGCCTGTTTTTAAAATTTCTAAAGTGGAGATTTTTTTGCCCTCTATGTTCAGTATGCTAATGATAAAATATTTTCTTGGATACTCCAGGGGAAAAGTAAAAATTGCAAATAAAGTATGATCTCAGTTTTGTAAATCACGTAAGTATAAGGAAATAATGAAGGAACTATATCAGTATATTAAGCAGGCATTTTTGAATAGTGGTTTTAGGTCAGTTTTGTTACACATTTGGGTATTTGTTGTTGTTGTTGTTGTTGTTGTTTGAGATAGGATCTCGCTCTGTCACCCAGGCTAGAGTGCAGTGGTACATTCACGGCTCACTGCAGCCTCAACTTCCCAAGCTGCCGCTATCCTCCTTCCTCAGCCTCCCTAGTAGCTGAGACCACAGGTACAGGCCACTAGGCCTGGCTAAGTTTTGTATTTTTTTGTGCAGTTTGGTTTTCTCCATGTTGCCCAGGCTGGTCTGCTGAGCTCGAGCCGTCTGCCCTCCTTGGCCTCACAAAGTGTTGGGATTACAGGTTGTGAGCCAAAGTGCTCAGCCTTGTGGCACATTTTTGATGGAGGAGCCCATATGATATTTCAAAAGGAAAGAGTAATTCTGTAAAACTCTGGACTCTAAATTATGCCCTGAGATCTTGGGATACAATTTGACTTAGTTCATATATGACCACATGTTGGTTTAGTTAATATATGACCATGTGCTTACTATGTTGCCAGTAGGCAAGGAGCTGGTATATAAGTGGTAAAACATGTCCTTCGCGAAGAATGCATGGTTGGAGTGAGGGGTGGTCACAAGGGATGGCAAGGGGAGGAGAGGAGGCAAACCCAGAGATAATTTCAGTGACATGATAAAATGCTAAAAGATACAGAAGGAGCAGGATTGGGAAGAAAAAAAAAAACTACAAGAAGAGGAAGGGCACATACAGGAAGAGTTATACTTAGGAACTAAGATTAATTGGATCAAGTAGACCATTAAGGCAATATTTTGTCTTCAAGGGATGGTCCATTTTTTAAGAGGATAATAGCTGTGGAATTTTTGTTGTTGTTAGTAGACAAGGTCTCACAGTGCCCAGACTTGATGTGAATTCCTGGGCTCAAGCTATCCTCTTGCCTCAGCCTCCTGAGTAGCTTGGACTATAGATGTGTACCACTATGCCCAACACCCAGTAATGCCTTTTTAATGTGAAAACTACTTTAGAGAATTGAAAGGAAAGAAAACTCAAATAATTTTTATAGTAGGTTAATACTGTCAATAGGTCAATCAGGAGTAATTTTCTTCCCCCAGGGGATGTTTGGTGATGTCTGGAGACAGTTTTGATTGTCACAATTGGGATATGGGTGCTACTGGCATAAGTAGAAAGACCAGGAGTCTCCTAATGATAATAGAGGGCACAAGACAATCACCCTCCACCCACAACAAAGAATTATCACATAGCTCAAAATGTTAATAGTGCCAGGGTTGAGAAACCCTGCATTAATCTATACTTAGCACCCAGTTTTGTTTGTTCTTTTTTGAGACAGGATCTTGCTCTGTCACCCAGGCTGGAGTGCAGTTGTGCAGTTAAAGCTCACTACAACCTCAAATTCCTGGACTCAAGTAATCCTCCCACCTTAGCCTCCTGAGTGGCTAGGAGTATAGCCTAGTGCCACCACACCCAGCCGACTTTATTGTTTGTAGAGACAGGGTCTTGCTGTGTTGACCTGGGCTGAAGAATTCCTCCTGCCTTGGCCTTCTAAAGTACTGAGATTACAGGTGTGAGCTACCAGGGCTGGTCTTGCACCCTGTTTTTGGTAGGGGTGGTTTGTATGGTGAAGGAGCCAGAGGCATGGTGTTGTACCCTATTCTGGCTAGACTTTGGTTAAGGAAAGCTATTCTGTAGGCTACAGGTCAAAAACTCCGCCTGTTAAAGGCCTACTTTGAGGCAGGTACTATATAGGAACTTGGTAAAAAATGGTGGATAGCCCTCTGCTTAACTGGAGCACACACTGAGTGTTCCACAAATGACAGGTCTTTTGTATCAGTTGTGTGTCTTTATGTATTACAATATTTAAAATGTTTTCTTTCCATCCTGAGTTTAGTTTGTGTGTAGATATTTTAACTGTTCTTCTAAGGAACTTGGGAATATTAATACAGCTTAATTGCATTTCTTTTTTCCATGACTGTGGATACAAACCTTTAGCTAGCAACTCATGTAATAATGGGTGTTGCACTTTTTTTTTAACAAAAAATAAAATTTTATTTCAACTATTATGCTAATTCTATAACATTATTTAGAATGTTTTTCTTTTTTTAATTATCCTTTAAGTTTTGGGATACATGTGCAGAACGTGCAGGTTTGTTACATAGGTATACATGTGCCATGGTGGTTTGCCGCACCCATCAATCCGTCATCTACATTAGGTATTTGTCCTAATGCTATCCTCTCCTAGCCCCCCATCCCCCAGCAGGCCCTGGTGTCTGATGTTCCCCTCTCTGTGTCCATGTGTTCGTATTTAACTCCCACTTATGAGTGAGAACATGCGGTGTTTAGTTTTCTTTTCCTATGTTTTCTGAGAATGATGGTTTCCAGGCTTCATCCTTGTCCCTGCAAAGGACATGAACTCATCCTTTTTTATGGCTGCATAGTATTCCATGGTGTATATGTGCCACATTTTCTTTATCCAGTCTGTCATTGATGGGGGGTGTTGTACTTTCAATCCCTTTTTTCCTTGGTCTTATTTTAGGTATAGTTCTTAAGTGTTTAAGTTTGTTGATATAACCAAATATCCCCTCAATTTAAAAAATCTATAAAATGGTTTTAGTATGACCTAAAAAACTACCATACAAATAGTATATATATAGGGCTGTGTGTGGTGGCTCACACCTGTAATCCCAGCACTTTGGAAGGCCAATGCAGACAGATAGCTTCAGCTCAGGAGTGTAAGACCAGCCAGGTCAACATGGCAAGCTCCGCCTCTACTAAAAATACAAAATTTAGCTCGGTGTGGTGGTGCGCACTTGTAGTCACAGCTACTTGGGAGGCTGAGATGGTAGAATCACTTGAACCTGTGGATAGAGGTTACAGTAAGCCAAGATCGCGCACCACTGCACTCCAGCCTGTGCAACAGAGTAAGACCCTGTCTCAAATAAATAGAAAAACATGGAGTGAGGTTGGGAAATGACATTTAATGCTTATTGAGAACAATATAGAGCAGTTTTTTATTTTGGTTTTGTCATACTTTGACCTTTGTCTTTTCCCTTTGCTTTTAGATTTTGGCTCTCTATTTGACTTGGAGCACGACTTACCAGATGAATTAATCAACTCTACAGAATTGGGACTAACCAATGGTGGTGATATTAATCAGCTTCAGACAAGTCTTGGCATGGTACAAGATGCAGCTTCTAAACATAAACAGCTGTCAGAATTGCTGCGATCTGGTAGTTCCCCTAACCTCAATATGGGAGTTGGTGGCCCAGGTCAAGTCATGGCCAGCCAGGCCCAACAGAGCAGTCCTGGATTAGGTTTGATAAATAGCATGGTCAAAAGCCCAATGACACAGGCAGGCTTGACTTCTCCCAACATGGGGATGGGCACTAGTGGACCAAATCAGGGTCCTACGCAGTCAACAGGTATGATGAACAGTCCAGTAAATCAGCCTGCCATGGGAATGAACACAGGGATGAATGCGGGCATGAATCCTGGAATGTTGGCTGCAGGCAATGGACAAGGGATAATGCCTAATCAAGTCATGAACGGTTCAATTGGAGCAGGCCGAGGGCGACAGAATATGCAGTACCCAAACCCAGGCATGGGAAGTGCTGGCAACTTACTGACTGAGCCTCTTCAGCAGGGCTCTCCCCAGATGGGAGGACAAACAGGATTGAGAGGCCCCCAGCCTCTTAAGGTAAGTACAGTTTTGGTTTGTGTGCACAATCGGCATGCATGTGAGTATTGTCATGATGGATGGAGGGTTTGCCTTACATTGTATAGCAGTTTCCACTATTACACGCCAGGAATTTACTGTGCTGTCATAAGTTTTAAGAAGTGCCTGTATTTAAGTAAAACGTTTATTTTACAGCTGGTATTCTATAACTTCATACTTCCAAATGATTGCTGGCTAATGCTGGTTCTCTCTGGCACAAGTATTGGAATGTTTTTATCTCATTTCCAAGTCCAGTTTAGCCTTGTAGCCTCCTTATAAAATTACAGTTTTGAGATGGCTGGCATTACACTGTCTTCAGATGGATACTCCATTTGTTCCTATTGCTTTGAATGTCCCTGGTTTTCAAGAGATACATTTATTCTGAGAAATGTATTAACTGTTATTTTTCTTTATTGGTTGATGGAAATTAAGGTGCATTTGTTCATGTGAAACCTCAACAGTGTAGATGTTTCAGTGAACCAGAACTTGGCCAAAGACTTCTGTTAGCTTTATTAACTAGAGAATGCTAAGTATATTAAAAATATTTTAAACTTTTAAATGTGGATCCTGTATACATAAATAAGGCATAATCACACATACTTTAGTGCTTATTTCTTCATATTTTTCTTTACATATTTTATCTGTTTTTCTTAAAATGGGATCACACTATGGTTGCCAGTGCCTGGCATGTAGTTCGTTTTTGTTGAATGAGAGATGGCTTCACTTCGAAGATGAAATTGGAGATAGGTACGATTTTCACAAGGAGTCAAGAGCAAGCTTTCTCTGTAACAGGAATAATTTGAGCAGACATCAGGACTTCTGTGTTCCTGAGAATCTTGGGTGCAGTGGCTCATGCCTGTAATCCCAGCACTTTGGGAGGCCAAGGCTAGAGGATCGCTTGAGCCCAGGAGTTAAGAGACCAACCAGGTAGCATTGACCCCATCTTCTATTTAAGGGGAAAAAAAAAAAAAGAACCTTGATGGTGACAGAGAATGCAAGTGTGAATTGAAGACAGATGGACAAACTTGTGTTGGGGGGAACTGAGGTGACATGTAGGAATTCAAAAACCTTAAATTTTTTTTTGCTGCGAGAATATTGACAAGTTAGGATTCTGTTTTAGCATTCCTTTGTAGATTCTCCCTTTCTGCCCCTCACCCCCGCCACCTTTTTTTTTTTTTTTTGAGACAGGGTCTTACTCTGTCACCCAGGCTGGAGTGCACTGGCCTAATCATGGCTTACTGCAGCCTCAACCTACCAGGCTTAAACAGTCTTCTCGCCTCAGCCTCCTGAGTAGCTGGAACTGAAGGCACATACCACCATGCCTGGCTTATTATTATTTTTTTTTTTTTTTTTTTTTTTTTTAAGAGATGGGGTCTCACTATGTTGCTCAGGCTAATCTCAAACTCCTCTTGGGCTCAAGTGATCCTCTTGTCTCAGCCTCCCAAAGTGCCAGGATTACAGGTGTGAGCCACTGCACCCATCCTCTGACACTTTTAGATTGCCGTGTCAGTGTAGTTTACTTAGAATATTTGGAGTGAGAACCAAAAACAAGGTAAATTATTAAGTACCTCTTCTAGGATCTAGGAACATAGCTATGAAGAGAGAAAGTCCTTGCCACCGATGTTTATATTCTGTTACGGAGAGGAGGGATGACTTACAATAAACCCTCACTGGTGGACAAAATACTTTAGGGTTAAAGTAGTGAATGAACTTATTTTATGTAACCTACTTTCTACTGTGCACATAAGATATAAATTTTAGAGTATGCCAGGTAAGTGCTATGGAGAAAAATAAGGAAAGGCTCATTGACATCTGCTTGGGGGTGTGGGACTATTATGGTTATAATCTTAATTTCTTTCAGAAACTGGGTTTATATAGAAGTGAGCAAAACAAAAATCCCTGTCCTTGTGGAGCTTGTATTTTGATGAGAAGGAGGAATTCAAATTTTAAACTTCTGTTAAACGATATTTTATTTCCTTATTTGATTTTTATTTTGAGACCGAGTCTTGCTGTTGCCCATGCTGGAGTGCAGTGGCGTGATCTTGGATCACTGCAACCTCTGCCTCCCGGGTTCAGGCAGTTCTCCTGCCTCAGGCTCCAAGTAGCTGGGACCACAGGCATGCGCCACCAAGCCTGGCTAATTTTTGTATTTTTAGTAGAGAAGGAGTTTCACCATGTTGCCCAGGCTCGTTGTGAACTCCTGACCTCAAGTGATCTGCCCACCTCGGCCTCCCAAAGTGTTGCCACCGCACCTAGGCCTATTTTCTTATTTTAAATGAATCCACCTATATTGATATTTTGTAGAGTACTTATATCAGTGTTTGACAAATGAGGGAGCTTTAAATGTTTAATAAATTTAACAAATGTTTTAAGTTATGTAGGTTTAGGATAAGATAACCACTTAAGGCTGGATGCAGCGGTTCACACCTAGAATCATTCCAGACCAGCCCCAGCAACATAGTGAGACCCCCATCTCTACCAAAAACAAAAAATTATCCTTGTGTCGTGGCACACCCACGCCAGCAGTTGCCCTTCCACTGTACCAAGTCCTAAAATTATCTTGTAGAGCGAATTATACTCATTACATTTCTTAAACTCCTAAGACTTGTGATATTTAAGAATTAGGATTTAAGGTGTAAGAAAGTTTTCAGTAAGATTTGATGACTGTAACCCTGTTGGCAAATGACATCAGCTTTTGCACACCGTTCTTGTCATGGATGAATCTGTGGTTCAGGAGGTGCAGGCAGGTGGTGACATTACTACTACAGCTGTCTTCCAAAAGTCTGACCTATGGTGATTTATAGGAAGAAACTTGGATCATACTGCCTTTTACCCCAATCTTTAGATTCAGCATAAACTAATCAAAGCCAGAATGTTTTAAGTTACTTTTGTTTTTGAGACAGGATCTCTTCCTATCACCCAGGCTGGAGTACAGTGGCACCATCACAGCTCACTTGCAGCCTTGATCTCCCAGGCTTACGCGATCCTCCTACCTCAGACTCCTAAGTAGCTAGTACTACAAGGACTGTCATGCCCTGCCAGTTATTTTTATTTTTGTTGAGACAGGGTCTCACTATGTTGTCTTGGCATCAAGCAATCCACCTGCCTTGGTCTTCCAAAGTGCTCAGATTACAGACAGGGGCCACTAAGCCTGGCCACATTTTTTTCAAGAAGAAAAAATAGGCATGGCTCAGTAGTTCACATCTGTATTCCTACCGCTTTGGGAGGCTGAGGCAGGAGGATCTCTTGAAGCCAGAAGTTCGAGATGTGCCTGGGCAACATAATGAGACCCCATCTCTACTTTTCTTTTTTCTTTTTTCTTTTTTTTCAAAAAAGAAAGAATAGTTGTCTGCAGGACGCATTTCTTGTAGCTGCCTAGAACTTTGTGTGGCTTCCTCACCCTCTCCTTTTTAGTTTAGGTAGCTATTTGTATGGTGGTGGGTAATTGGACATCTGGAGCATATTAGCTATGGAGAAAGAAACAAGATCAAATAACTATAGTGTAGCAGAAATTAAGTACAAAATCTTCCTTATTACATTTAGTGTGGGGAGTAAAGAAGCAGGGCTCAGGAGATAGAAGGGGCAGTGATCTGGAGGTTGGTTGGTATTTTATTTTCTAATTCCTCAGCAGATCTGTGTGGGAGATGGAAAAACAAAAGCTAGAGAATCTTTTTTGGTCACAGTGACCAAAAGTGTCAGGAAGAAATTACTGCCAGCTGATCAGCAATCAGTGTAGTCTGTGTATTTAAACCCATAGTCTGCCATAGAGGAGCTTGGAGTTTCCAGGTAATGCATCGTGATCAAGGGAACAAGCAGTGTCAGGAATTGGTTGAAATTCAGTTGGTCTAGGCAGGCAAGGCATGCAATCATGAAGGACCAGATTGTTTGGGGAAATATTTGGATAAAGACATTACATTTATTAACAAGAGACAACAACACAGCTTAGAAATTCCAACATTTTGTTGATTCAGATAATAGGACTCTTGAGGGCATAATTTATTGTCTTAGTCTTTTATTGTTTGTCATGCGGGTTCTGTGATAGAATGACTTTCATACTATATCTATCATGAATTTTCATGCTAATAAGAAACAGGTTAAACAACTCCCCCATGTATAGGTATGGATATTATTGGAGCCACATAGGATAAATACTAGTAGTTTAAAAAAAACATAGGTAGCAGCAGCACTTGCAGTCAGATTTGTAACTACCAAAAGTAGCCTGGACTTGATTTAAACCTGTTTCTGCATTCTATTGCCCCTGCAATCTTTTGGCCATATTTACATAGAATCAAGAAGGTTTTTTTCTTTCTTCTTCTTCTTTTTTTTTTTTTTTTTTTTTTTTGGAGACAGAGTTTCGTTCTTGTCGCCCAGGCAGGAGTGCAATGGCCCAATCTTGGCTCATTGCAACCTCTGCCTCCCAGGTTTAAGTGATTCTCCTGCCTCAGTCTCCCGAGTAGGTGGGATTGCAGGTGTGTGCTACCACGCCCAGATAATTTTTGTATTATTAGTAGAGACAGGGTTTTACCATGTTGGCCAGGCTGGTTTCAAACTCCTGACCTCAGGTGATCCATCCACCGCCACCTCTCAAAGTGCTGGGATTACAGGCGTGAGCCACCGTGCCCGACCAAGAAATTATCTTCTCTGAATGCTTCTCATTTCAGGCCACCTCATTCTTTTATGCTTCCATCAAACTGCCACTTGTAAATTACTTGTAAATCATTCTTGTAAATTACTTACCTTAGTCTCTGAATTTCATCTGGAAAATGAAAATGTTCTTTAACTTTTTTTTTTCATTTTTTGGTAATAGTATAAAGAAGATTAATTTACATTTTTTTGTTTTTTTTAATAGAGGCAAACTGCTGAACCAAAAAAGATGTCATATTCATAGATTTGCAGAGTATAGATATTGCATATGATTTAAAGAACGAATTTTAGGCCAGGCATGGTGGGAGATGCCTGTAATCCCAGCACTTAGGCAGAAGGATTGCTTGAGGCTAGGAGTTCAGTCAACTCCTGGGCAACATCTCTACAAAAATAAAAACAAAAATTAGCTGGGCATGGTGGTGCAAGCTTGTAGTCCCATCTGCTTGGGAGGCTGAGATGGGAGAATTGCTTGAGCCCAGAGGTTGGGAATTATAATGAGCTATGATAATGCAACTGCACTCCAACCTAGGCAACAGAGTGAGACCCTGTCTTTTTATATAAAAAGTAAAAGAAAAATTTTATTAAGAGCTTTGTACCTGTCCAAAACAGATGCTTCACAGAGGTAGTAACATTTGAAATTACAAGGATGAGTAGAATCTGCAGGTGTTTCTTAGTTAGGTTGTACTATCTAAGGAACCAACAGAAAATGCCTCTCTGTGAACTTGGTGTTTATTTCCAGGTTGGCATTAAGGAGTCAAATAGGAAAGAAAATGTGCTACTGTTCAGTTGTAGGGAAAGGGAAAAGCTTGAGGCAAATGCTGGAGGCTCAAGGAGCGTGATACTTTCAGACTTTAAGAAATCAGTACAGGAAATATATAAGATACCATAGATAGGTAGTCAGACTTCATAAAGGCTTTGGTATACGTACTGTGGGGTTGATTTTTTTCTTTTATAGAGGCAGGTGAAAACAGAAGACAGGCAAACCTGTTGTCCACAGTCTGTACAAGCACTGTGATAGGTTTGAGTTAAGACAGTCACAGTAGGTAGGAATACATGGGAAGGGTTTTAGTGTCTATGTGTGCTTTTAGAGGTAGAATTGAAGGACCCTTTGATTGGTCTTAGCAGACAGAAATCTGGTATGAATCCTTTAATTGGGCAGTAGCTATAGTATCTTGAGTTATTCTGAGTGTTTGCTCAATGTTTCTAGTAGTGATGATGACTTGTAGTTGGGATCCTATGTGTAATTTGGCAGAAGAGGACGGTGGCTTCAAACTTTGTTTGGGATATAAAGTTGACCCCATTTTGAATTATTTTAAAATAATTTGAAAGATTAATGAAAATGCATTTTTATAACTTTCATTATTAGTAAAACGTTTGACTTTAGAATAATGCTGTTTTTCAATTAATTATTATTATAGTATAATGGCTCCAGGTGAACTTAACATAAATATAGAACATAAACTACTTTTTAAAGTACAGAGGGAGCCGGCACAGTGGCTAACGCCTGTAATCCCAGCACTTTGGGAGGCCGAGGTGGGCAGATCACTTGAGGTCAGGAGTTCAAGGCCAGCCTTGCCAACATGGCGAAACCCCGTCTCGACTGAAAGTAAAAAAATTAGCTGAGTATGGCGGCGCACGCCTGTAGTCCCAGCTACTCAGGCTGAGGCAGGATAACCGCTTGAACCCAGGAGGCAGAGGTTGCAGTGAGCCGAAATTGCACCACTGCGCCCCAGCCTGGGCGACAGAGCGAGACTTTGTCTCAAAAACAGAGAAGTACATAAGGGTTGCAAAGTCAAATGACTTGAAGGGCCAAGCAGGTGACTTAGCAGGTGACTTAATAGAGCAGCTAGGTTTAAAACAGCAAGGAATAGTGTGGAGTCTGGACTTCCGCATGCTCTATGTAAAGGAGTCAGAATCAGAAGTTTTAAAAAACACTGTCATCAGTGTCCCTACACAAAAAAGGACATATTCCCAAACCATCAGTTTTCTACTTTTTATACAAACAAAATACAGGAATAATTATTCAAATGAGGCCAAGCATGGTGGTTCACGCCTATAATCGCAGCACTTTGGGAAGCTGTGGTGGGAGGATTGCTAGAGCCCGGGAATTTGAGACCAGCCTGGGCAACATGGCAAGACCCTGTCTCTATTTTTTAATAGTCAAAAAAAAGAAGAAGAAGAAAACATTCAAATGCTTGAACATGACAAAGGGGTTAGATGGCTTATTAAGTTGAATTCGCCATGTAGCATCATGTGTGACGTAATGGAAATGAATGGCAAACCTTGTTTAACAGAATTAAATGAAGATGATTAAAAGTATTTCTAAAACATCTTTATTTCAAATATTTATGAAAATAACTCTGTACATTTACCATACCCAAGGCCCCTAAATCTTAATTTTGATCTTAATCTTGAAAATGTATTGTTGTTAGCATACTTTGTATAGTGGGTTTTTTTTGTTTGTTTGTTTTTGAGACAGGGTCTCACTCTGTTGCCGAGGCTGGAGTGCAGTGGCCTGATCATGGCTTACTTGCAGCCTCAACCTCCCAGGCTCAGGTGATCCTCCTACCTCAGCCTCCTGAGTAGCTGGGACCACAGGCACATGCCACCACATCCAGCTTTTCTTTCCTTTTTTTTTTTTTTTTTTTTTTTTGAGATGGAGTCTCACTCTGTCGCCCAGGCTGGAGTGCAGCGGCGTGATCTCGGCTCACTGCAAGCTCCGCCTCCCGGGTTCACTCCATTCTCCTGCCTCAGCCTCCCGACTAGCTGGGACTACAGGCGCCCGCCACCACACCCGGCTAATTTTTTGTATTTTTAGTAGAGACGGGGTTTCACCATGTTAGCCAGGATAGTCTCTATCTCCTGACCTCATGATCCTCCCGCTTCGGCCTCCCAAAGTGCTGAGATTACAGGTGTGAGCCACTGCGCCCGGCTGTTTTTTGGGGTTTTTTTTTTGTATTTTGGTACCGATGGGTTTTCACCATGTTCCCCAGGCTGTTGTCAAACTCCTGACCTCAAGAAACCCTCCTGCCTTGGCCTCGCAAAGTGGTGGGATTACAGGTATGAGTCGCCAGGCCCGGCCACTTGGTTTTTTGCCATCATGGCTCCCTACAACCTCTACCTCCCAGGCTTCACTGATAATCCCACTTTAGCCTTCCAATTAGCTGGGACTATAGGCTTGCGCCACCATGTCCAGATTTTTGTATTTTTTAGTAGAGATGGGGTTTTGTCACGTTGCCCAAGCTGTAGTGTCTTTTCTAATAGAAGCTGAGAATTTCCTTTGAAACTGTCTTTGTGAACTTGGAAGTGAAATCAGAAAAGGAATAATAATGTCTTAAATTTTATTGCTTATTTTGTTTTCTTTTGTTTCTTACTCTTAGATGGGAATGATGAACAACCCCAATCCTTATGGTTCACCATATACTCAGAATCCTGGACAGCAGATTGGAGCCAGTGGCCTTGGTCTCCAGATTCAGACAAAAACTGTACTATCAAATAACTTATCTCCATTTGCTATGGACAAAAAGGCAGTTCCTGGTGGAGGAATGCCCAACATGGTGAGTACTAATCCATTACAGACTTGTTTTCAAACTGGCATTTTGACAAAAGAATTGTGTTAAACTTTCACCCTTCTGTTATATATGCTGGGATTTGTACCCACTAGGAGCCTAAATTGATATGTACTTGATGATCCCTGTGAGGAGGCTTGTGCTTCCTTTCCATTTCTCTGTTTTTTTTGTTCCATGTGGTTATTGATCAGTGAGCATGTTGATCCAAACAGGAGTAAGTGAACTGCTACAATGAAGTTTTAGGGGCCTGCCATTCAGCAACTTGGTCTTGTGAGCGTTTCCATACGATACGAAAGCGGAACCTTTCACTTTTGGGGGAAGGAATCTCTGGCAAAGGATCCGAACTCTCAGTGACCATATTTACCAATATTATTTGATTCTACTACACCCAAGTAAATTCCCTCTCAAAAGTAATGTATTGTTTTAAACAGCAATTTTTGTTAAATAAAATTTTCAGGAACTTCTAGTGTTATTTTTGTACAGTCAAACTACTAGTAGTAAATGTGTCTGCATTCAACTTTGGAAAAACATTGTCTGAAAAAATCCTCTTTCAGATGTTTTAGTTTTGTCCTTTGTGTCATTATGTTTATGGACTGCCTATATTTGAGATACTCTGCCAAGTACTGGAGTTATACAGATGAATGAAACATGTCATCTCTGTCCCGAGAAATGTTCACTTTTTTTTTTTTTTTTTTTTTTTTTTTTTTTTGAGACGGAGTTTAGCTCTTGTTGCCCAGGCTGGAGTGCAGTGGTACGATCTCGGCTCACTGCAACTTCTCCCTCCTGGTTTCAAGCAACTCTCCTGCCTCAGCCTTCTGAGTAGCTGGGATTACAGGCATGTGCCATCATGCCCGGCTAACTTTGTATTTTTAGTAGAGACAGGGTTTCTCCATGTTGGTCAGGCTGATCTCGAACTCCCGACCTCAGGTGATCCGCCTGCCTCGGCCTCCCAACGTGCTAGGGTTACAGGCGTGAGCCACCGCGCCCGGCCTGAAATCTTCACTTTTTAATTTAAAAAACTAAATTTATCCCAGAGTTTAGAAAAACTAGTTTTTCACCAACCCGAAAGACCCCTCTGCTGAGTCTCTTGAGGAGTTCTTCATTGCTCTTTAAAACCTAATTTGGGTGTGCTTTTAACTACAGACACCCTCTCACCCTTCCCTCTCCCGCTGGAGTTTACCATGTCCTTCTCTCTGCTTTTGCTCTCTGTGTATTATACATACTTATATCACTTCGTAATGTCATTTTTTTTCTTATTAAATTGAGCTTCTTAAAGGTAGGAGCCATGGTTTATGCATTCCCTGTGTCAAAAAATGGAGTCTGGCTTATAGTAGACTAACCATAAAGGTTTTCATTGAAAATATCCACATCTCTATTTATTAAGAAATAGCACATTATGACTCCTACCATTAAATATATTGTTATATCTCTCAGGGTCAACAGCCAGCCCCGCAGGTCCAGCAGCCAGGCCTGGTGACTCCAGTTGCCCAAGGGATGGGTTCTGGAGCACATACAGCTGATCCAGAGAAGCGCAAGCTCATCCAGCAGCAGCTTGTTCTCCTTTTGCATGCTCACAAGTGCCAGCGCCGGGAACAGGCCAATGGGGAAGTGAGGCAGTGCAACCTTCCCCACTGTCGCACAATGAAGAATGTCCTAAACCACATGACACACTGCCAGTCAGGCAAGTCTTGCCAAGGTAAGTGGACCCACAGGGTTACTGTACTTAGCAATTTTTACAGCCAGGGAGAAGAAGGAAAATGTGATCAAGTCTATTTTGTGGTGATGGATATGTTTAATACCTTAATTGTGGTGATGGTGTCTGTATGTACAAAGTCACCAAAATGTATACATTAGACCAGGTGTGGTGTCTCACACTTACAATCCCAGCACTTTGGTAGGCCAAATGGGGAGGATTGCTTGAGGCCAGGAGTTTGAGACCAGCCTGGACAACATAGCAAGACCTCGCCGGGCATGATGATGCACCTGTAGTCCTAGCTGAGGGACTAAGAAGGCTGAGGAAGGAGGATTGCTTGAGCCCAGGAAGTCAAGGCTGCAGGGGGCTATGATTGCGCCACTGTACTCCAGCCTGGGTGACAATGTGAGACCATGTCTTTAAAAAAGGTTGGGCGCAGTGGCTCATGCCTGTCATCCCAGCACTTTGGGAGACTGAGGTGGGCAGATCACTTGAGGTCAGGAGTTCAAGACCAGCCTGGGCAATATGGTGAAACCTCGTCTCTACAAAAAAATACTAAAGAAAATCAGCCAGATGTCTGGGTGTGTTCCTGTAGTCCCAGCTACTTGGGAGATTGAGGTGGGAGGATGGCTTGAGCCCAAGAGGGCAGGGGTTGGTGTGATTCGACATCATACCACTGCACTCCAGCCTGGACGATAGAACCAAACCCTGTTTCAAAAAAAAAACAGTGTACATATGTGTAATTTTTTAAAATTATTTTATTTTATTTATTTGTTTTTTGAGACAGAGTCTCGCTCTGTTTCCCAGGCTGGAGTGTGGTGGCACAATCTCGGCTCACTGCAAACTCCACCTTCCAGGTTCATGCCATTCTCCCGCCTCAGCCTCCCAAGTAACTGGGACTACAGGCAGGCGCCTACCACCATGCCCGGCTAATTTTTTGTATTTTTAGTGGAGACGGGGTTTTACCGTGTTGGCCAGGATCGTCTCAATCTCCTGACCTTGTGGTCCACCCGCCTTGGCCTCCCAAAGTGTTAGGATTACAGGCGTGAGCCACCACGCTTGGCCAATATGTGCAATTTAAAAAATATTTATACCCCAAAGCATTTAGAAAATTCCATTGTCTAAATGCATCATCACAGTTAACTCACTCGGTAAAGGTCGTCTTGGCTGCGTCCATTCTGTGGCAATTACGAATAAAGCTGCCATAAACAAAATCAATTTTGAGACTCCTTTACTGATAGTGACGTTATTTTAGGAAATGATAAAAACACAGTTTTTTTTTTGAGATGGAGTCTCGCTCTGTCGCCCAGGCTGGAGTGCAGTGGTGTGATCTCAGCTCACCGCAAGCTCCGCCTCCTGGGTTCATGCCATTCTCCTGCCTCAGCCTCCCGAGTAGATGGGACTACAGGCGCCCGCCACCATGGCGGCTAATTTTTTTTGTATTTTTGGTAGAGACGGGGTTTCACTGTGTTAGCCAGGATGGTCTCTATCTCCTGACCTCGTGATCCGCCCGCCTCGGCCTCCCAAAGTGCTGGAATTACAGGCGTGAGCCACCGCGCCCGGCCAAAACACACTATCGTTTTTGTGAGCAAGTATCTAAGGATGTGAGAAGAGAATAAATTTTAAAGGTCTTCCCATGTGGTGATCCTCATAGACTTTGATTTTTATTTGCCCTAGCATAGCATACTTTAAATGTTATTGAGGGTTTGCTAACTGTCATGTAGGCAAGTGTTCAATTTAATACAATTTACTGCAGTCATTTTTACCCGATCTAATACAATTTGTATGAAGTCATTAAAAAGTGTTCTTATAGGCATGTGTGTCATAACATTGGTTTAGAGTACATTTGCTTAGAATAAAGTAGGTTGTGTATAGCATGGTGAAAAATGAGGGCTCTTAAGCCAGACTGCTTGAGGTTGAATCTCACTTTGAGTACTCTGTGACTTTGTGCAAATTGCTTACCCATTCTTTTTGCCTTTCTTGACTGTGAATTCTGAGTATTAATAGGAGCTACCTTATAGGGCTGTTAGGAAGATGAAATAAGTTAATGCATTTATGTTACTTATTAAGTGGTCAACAAGTTAGCTATTATTAATGTAAAAACATTAACCTGCTCTTGAAAAAATATGTTTTCTTCTCTTTAGTGGCACACTGTGCATCTTCTCGACAAATCATTTCACACTGGAAGAATTGTACAAGACATGATTGTCCTGTGTGTCTCCCCCTCAAAAATGCTGGTGATAAGAGAAATCAACAGCGTAAGTGATGAAATCTTTTGAAGGTTTATATGAAAAGTTTTAAAGTCTCACCAGTGCCATTTATAGTACTACTTGATTATGTGAGGGACCTGTGGTGTTGTACTATGTTGAATAAATGTTTTTTTCCCTTTTAATTTTTCTGCTTCCCTAGTGCATAGAATTGAACTGCTTAGGGAGTTTGAGGCTGCAGTGAGCTATGGTCATGTTACTGCGCTCCAGCCTGAGTGATGGAGTGAGAACCTGCCTCAATTAAAAAAAAAAAAAAAAGAAAGAAAAAACAGTGCAGTGGCTCATGCCTGTCATCCCAACAGTTTTGGAAGCCAAGGCAAGAGGATTCCCAGGAGTTCAAGACCAGCCTAGGCAACTTAGCAAGACCTTGTATCTTCCAAAAACTTTAAAAATTAGTTGTGTGTGGTGTGCCTGGCTGAGATGAGAGGATTGCTTGAATCCAGGAGGTGGAGGCTGTAGTGAGCTATGATTGTGGCACAGCAGTCCAGCCTGGGTGACACAAGGATACCCTGTCTTTAAAAAAAACAAAACAAAACAAAACAAAAAAAACAACTGAACACTGCTTAACATCCAAAATAAGATCCAGGAACTCTCAATACTTATTATTTATACAAACAGCAATAGGTAAATTTATGTTCTGCTTTGAACCTATGAAAATTTAAAGACCGTTGCTTTGGCATTGGGCAAGTTATTCTTTTATACTATACTTGTGATCTAAACGTTCCAGGTACTTGGAAATTATTTTAAAAAGAAAAAATATGAGATTATTTTTATAATATTGGGATATAGAAGAGCTTTTTTTTTTTAAGAGAAAAGACGAGATTAACACTTTAAAATTGTAACTACCACATCTCTATAGCAACAAAAATTTAAGCTTTTAGGGTTAAAGGACAAATTTGGGAAGTATTGTACAGCATTTGAAAATGGAATTAAATTTTATAACAAGAATTGGGAATAGAAAATAGACAATTCACCAGAGACGGGAGGAGAGAGGGGAACTCCCAATATAATTCACTATTAAGAAGAGAAATAAGGTATCGTTTCTCTCCTGTAGTGTAGGCAGAAATGATGCTGCCGGGTGTTGGCAGTTGAATGGCTCCAAAGCATTCATACAGTGTTGGTCGGAACATTAATAAAGCCCTTTGGGAAGGCTATTGGGCATTCAGAATCAAAAGCCTTTTATACCAGTGGTCCCCTTTACCAATCAGTTCTGCATCTAGAAATTTCTTCCAGGAAATAATGGAAGACAAGATCCACATACTCAGATGTTTCATAATCACGTAACAATAATTTTGTGGGGTTTTTTATTAGACATGTTAGTCTTTTTTTTCTCACCAGCATTAATTTGTAATACTATATCTTTTGTCTTCTCTAGCAATTTTGACTGGAGCACCCGTTGGACTTGGAAATCCTAGCTCTCTAGGGGTGGGTCAACAGTCTGCCCCCAACCTAAGCACTGTTAGTCAGATTGATCCCAGCTCCATAGAAAGAGCCTATGCAGCTCTTGGACTACCCTATCAAGTAAATCAGATGCCGACACAACCCCAGGTGCAAGCAAAGAACCAGCAGAATCAGCAGCCTGGGCAGTCTCCCCAAGGCATGCGGCCCATGAGCAACATGAGTAAGTTTGTGTCATCCTAATAACATGGTATTGGTTGTGTCAGTAAATGACATCTATAAACACAGTGTTGTTAGCTCCTTTTTATTTTTTCTGCTACATGATTTTTTAAGTAATTTTTTAAAGATTACAGTGTAAAAGGTCCCTTACAGTTCATCTACGAGAGGTAACTGCCACTGGTTTGTATCTTCCTTGATCCTTTTTTGCATTATATGAGTTCAGATTTGCAGAAATGAGATCCCATATGTTATTCCACAACAAACTTTGATTAATACTGTGTAGACGGGCCGGGCATGGTGGCTAACACCTGTAATCCCAGCACATTGGGAGGCCAAGGTGGGTGGATCACAAGGTCAGGAGTTTGAGACCAGCCTGACCAACATAGTGAAACCCCGTCTCTACTAAAAATACAAAAATTAGTAGGGTGTGGTGGTGCGTGCCTGTAATCCTAGCTACACGAGAGGCTGAGACAGGAGAATGGCTTGAACCTGGGAGGCAGAGGTTGCAGTGAGCTGAGATTGAGCCATTGCACTCCAGCCTGGGTGACAGAGCAAGACTCCATCTCAAAAAAAAAAAAAATACTATGTAGACATCTTTCATAGTCAGTATTCCATGTATCATTTTAAATGGTTGTATAGTATGTCATTCTTTCATTCTTTTTTTTTTTTTTTTTTTTGAGATGGAGTCTCGCTCTGTTGTCAGGCTGGAATGCAGTGGCACGATCTCGGCTCACTGCAACCTCTGCCTCCCGGGTTCAAGCGAATCTCCTGCCTTAGCCTCCTGAGTAGCTGGGACTACAGGCGCGTGCCACCATGCCCAGCTAATTTTTGTATTTTTAGTAGAGGTGGGGTTTTCACCATGTTGGCCATGATGATCTCAATCTCTTGACCTCGTGATCCACCCACCTGGGCCTCCCAAAATGCTGGGATTACAGGCGTGAGCTACTGCACCCGGCCCAACAATCTCTTACAGATGGACATTGAGATCTCCAATTATTCTGCTGCTTTAAACTATACAACAGAAATTGTGTTTTGACTTGAGGCATTTTGGGCTGAAACATATAGAAATGAGTGTAGTTGGTAATGATTTCCTCATGTCTGGCAGGAGGAATAGTGTGCCTTTTCAAATAGTTTTTTTGTGACTTGTTTGCCTCACTTCCTGTTTTATGACTGAGAGGGAAGAGGGAGAAGTGTTCCAGTATCCTAATTTGGGGATATATATGTTTCTCTGATTGCATATGATAACATTGGAAGAATTGTTCTAATATCTTAATTTTGGGATATGTATGTTTCTCTAATTGCATATGATAAAATCAAACAGCTTTTTTCTGTGTCTATCCCTCTGCTGTCAAGCAGTTCAAATATCTAAGCTATTTTGTTTGAGTAGTTAGACATCCAGCATTGTAGAGACCAGGTCTTGTCCAGGTTGGTCTTGAACTCCTGGTCTTAAGCAATCCTCCTGCCTTGGCCTCCCAGAGTGCTGGGATTACAGGCATGAGCCACCGCACCTGGCCTAAGATTATCCCCCCCCCCACCCCCACCCCGGAAACAGAGTCTCGCTGTGTCACCGAGGCTGGAGTACAGTGGCACGATCTTGGCTCACTGCAACTTCCGCCTCCTGGGTTCAAGCAGTTCTTCCTGCCTCAGCCTCCCAAATAGCTGGGATTAGAGGCACCTGCCACCACACCCAGCTAATTTTTTTTTTGGAACGAAGTTTTGCCATGTTGGCCAGGCTGGTCTTGAACTCCTGACCTCAGGTGATCTGCCTGCCTCAACCTCCCAAAGTGCTGTGATTACAGACATGAACCACTGTGCCTGACCCTCTAAGATTATTTTTTAATACAGATTGAGTATCCCTTTTCCTAAATGCTTGAAAGCAGAGTACTTTAGATTTTTTTCGGAGTTTGGAATGTTTATATTTGCTGGTTGAGTTGAGAATCCCAAATCCAAAAATCAAAATGCTGCATTGAGCATTTCCCTTGAATATCATTCACAAAGTTTTGGATTTCTGTATTTGGGATGCCAACCAACCCATACTGCTATTTTTTACTTTCTTCCTATTTTCCACTGCTGTGTTCTGTTGCTCCCATTTTTGGTTTTTGAATTAATCTTCAGGACATTTTTTTCTTTCTGTTTTTCTTTACTATATAATAACAGTATTTTCAAACCAGTGATCTGCTTTTAAGCACATGTTGAGCCACTGTGCAGTAAAGTTTAATGCTCCTGTTTTCAAAACTGTTGAACAACTGTTTTGTCAGAAACTGAAAGTTATGAGAGTGAAATGCAAACATTTTTAGACCCATCAATTTTGATTTTGACTTTTAATAATTTAAGATCTAAAATGCTAGATAGTGACATGGAGCTTCTTGTATTCAAGTTTGTAAGTCAGATTTTGCAGTCACTGGCATGACTATTTTAGACAGTTGTGCTAATGCTCATTGTACCAGACCATTTCTATTTTAATATTCTTTAGATTCTTCATTCCTGCCCTGTTGTTATTGTTTATTACTTGGTCTGTTGATTTCATTCTTTTCTTTTTTTTTTTTTTTTTTCTGATTTCATTCTTGAAAGTAGTATTTTCAAGGAGGATGTTTTTCTTGAGTTTTACCTAATCAGGGACTTAGATAAGTTTTCTTAGATAAATTATGGATAACTAGAAACGTACGTGTGTGTTTGAGTTTGGTCTCGCTGTGTGCATGTGTGTTTTTGAGACTGGGTCTGATAACTGGAAACGTACGTGTGTGTGTGTGTGAGATTGGTCTCACTGTGTGTGTATGTGTGTGTTTGAGACTGGGTCTCGCTGTGTCACCCAGGCTGGAGTGCAGTAGTGCGATCTTGGCCTGCATCCTCTGCCTCCTGGGCTCAAGCGGTACTCCCACCTCAGCCTCCCAAGTAGCTGGGACCACATACGTGCACCACCACGCCTGGCTAATTTTTGTATGTTTTGTAGAGACAGGGTTTCGCCATGTGGCCCAGGCTGGTCTTGAACTCCTGAGCTCAAGTGATCGCCTGCCTCGACCTCCCAAAGCAGTTTGTGTTTTTCGTTACTTCCATGACAACCAGTACTAACTAGTTAAATAATTATTGAGTGACGAGTTTTTAAGCAGGACTAGGAAAAGGGATGAGGAGCAATCTTGCCTTTTCAGGCTTCCTTTTACCTCTTCTGTATTGAAAATAACATGTACAGCGGTAATGGAAAGTTGGACCTGGACACTAGCATATTTTCCCCTCTTGTTTTATATCTTCTGTCTTGGAATGAGCATTGCTTTTTTCTTTCTTTCTTTCTTTTTCTTTTTGAGACAACATCTCACTCTGTCGCCCAGGCTGGAGTGTAGTGGCGCCATCTCGGCTCACTGCAACCTCCGCCTCCTGGGTTCAAGCGATGCTCCTGCCTCAGCCTCCAAGAGTAGCTGGGACTAGGCGCACACCACCACCTTTTTGTGTTTTCTTTTAGTAGAGACAGGGTTTCACCACATTGGCCAGGCTGGTCTTGAACTGCTGACTTCGTGATCCGCCCACCTCGGCCTCCCAAAGTGCTGGGATTACAGGACGCCCAGCCAGCATTGCTTTTTTATCTCCCATTCCATGTTACGCAGAATGCACTTACCTTTTTCCTTAAGTTTTAGTAGGTTGTTGTCTTCCCCTGGCCTGGAATTTCATTACTGTAATTGGGTAGTTCCCTTTTGTTTTTCAAAGTTATGTTTATAGTTCCTATTATAGCTCTTTTCCTCTCATTATATTATCTTGCCTATGTACTTTTATATATATGCACAATTATTTGAATGATAATTTTGGGGGATTTTTGCCCCCATTTCTTCGTGTCTTTTTATTTAGAATTAGATTTAAGATTACTCAAGTTCCCTTTGTTTTTATTTCTTCTGGTCTCCTGAAGTGCTGAGATTACAGGCGTGAGCCTCTGCGCCTGGTCACATTTGCTTTTTTTTTTTAAGTTATGTTTCGTTTTCTATGATTTACTGTTGGGTGCTTCATCTTTTTCTTACCTGTTTGTAAGGGTGCTTCAAATCAGCCTTTACATATGTGTTGCCAGTTATATTGTCAATTATTTATTGTATATGCTGCAAATTTTTTTTCTGATTTGTCATTTGTTTCTTAACTTTATAGTATTTATTGTATGGTGGCTGTTGTATTTATTTCTGTCTCCTGTTATTTCATTTTGACTTAGGTGCTAGTCCTATGGGAGTAAATGGAGGTGTAGGAGTTCAAACGCCGAGTCTTCTTTCTGACTCAATGTTGCATTCAGCCATAAATTCTCAAAAGTAAGTCTTAACGTGATTTATACCCTGGGTCACATTACAAATACTACTGGTTAACAATTCATTGTTTGACTTTTGAACTTAGTTTCCTCGGTTTGAGGATGTCTTTGAATACAGATAGATGTTTGAGTCCATTCTTTCTTTTTTCGCTCTGTAGCCCAGGCTAGAGTGCAGTGGCATGATCTCAGCTCACTGCAACCTCTGCCTCCTGGTTCTGGTTAAAGCAATTCTCCTGCCTCAGCCTCCTGAGTAGCTGGGATTACAGGAACACACCACCATGCCCAGCTAATTTTTGTACTTTTGGTAGAGACAGGGTTTCACTGTGTTGGCCAGGCTGTTCTTGAACTCCTGACCTCGCGATCCGTCTGCCTCAGTCTCCCGAAGTGCTGGGATTGCAGGCGTGAGCCACCACGCCTAGCCCACTCTTTCTTCTTTCTACAGCCTTAATCGAAATTGTATTGATTTTCTAGTGTAGCCTACACCTTCCCTAATACAGTAGGATGTTGCAAGGTTACAGCTCCATAATAGCCTTATCCTGATGTTAAGAATTAGTCCACCAGCCTGGGCAATATGTCAAGACGTCTTCTCTACAAGAAAATACAAAAAAGTTAACGGGGCATGGTGGCGTGCACCTGTAGTCCCAGCTACTGATGAGGCTGAGGTGGGAGGAGCACTTGAGGCTGGGAGGTCGAGGCTCTGGTGAGCCGTGATTACACCACTGCACCCTAGTCTGGGTGACAGCGAGACTGTGTCTCAAAAGATAAAAATTATTATTTTAAAAAGAGAGGTAGTCCATCATCCAAAGCATTCCCTGAGGTGAGCTGTGTTAAAATGACAGCTTAGTCTGATAACACAAGCCTTAGAAAACTAAGTATGGGCCGAGCATGGCAGCTCCCCTGTAATCCCAGCACTTTGGGAGGCCGAGGCAGGCAGATTGCTTGATCTTAGAAGCTCAAGACCAGCCTGGGCAACATGGCGAAATCCTGTCTCTGCTAGAAATAAGAAAATTAGCCGGGCATGGTGGCATCCACCTGTAATCCCAGCTACTCAGGAGGCTGAGGCAGGAGAATCGCTTGAACCCCGGAGGCAGAGGTTGCAGTGAGCTGAGATCATGCCACTGCACTCCAGCCTGGGTGACAGAGCGACACGCCATCTCAAGAAGGAAAAAAAAATGGCTGGGCTCAGTGGCTCACGCCTGTAATCTCAGCACTTTGGGAGGCCCAGGTGGGTGGATCACTTGAGGTCAGGAGTTTGAGACCAGCCTAGCCAACATGATGAAACCCCATCTCTACTAAAATACAAAATTAGCCGGACGTGGTGGCGGGTGCCTGTAATCCCACCAACTCAAGAGGCTGAGGCAGGAGAATCGCTTGAACCCAGAAGGCAGAGATTGCAGTGATCTGGGATTGCACCACTACAGTCCAGCCTGGGCAACAGAGCAAGACTTTGTCTCAAAAAAAAAAAAAAAAAAAAGGCATTACAGACAAAACCCAGAAAATGAAGTCTTATGATATCTTGTGTTAGGACATCATCCTGCCCTCCAAAGAAATACAACTTACCCTCACACAGGTATGAACATGCACAGTTTAAAATCAGTCTAGTCACACACTTCTCCCTGCCTAGCTCCTTAATGCGAATAGAAGTGACATAGCATATTGATTCCATTACAATAATCAGTGTCAGCTTGAATTAAATGAGGTCTTCTCCTACCTTTCTTCACTAAAACTATTTGGTGACCCCTTTTTGAAGCCCAATGATGAGTGAAAATGCCAGTGTGCCCTCCCTGGGTCCTATGCCAACAGCAGCTCAACCATCCACTACTGGAATTCGGAAACAGTGGCACGAAGATATTACTCAGGATCTTCGAAATCATCTTGTTCACAAACTGTAAGTAAGATTGTGGACACGTCTCATTCGTAAAGAGATGTTACGTCAACATGTTTTCAATCTCCTGGGCATTTAATTACTAAAGGAATATTAGCAATTTTTCTGTAGCATGGAGGTTGATGTTGATACTTCTACTCTTGTGGATTTCTTGCTGCTGCTGCTTTTTTCCTTCTCAACCTTTCCCACCATCATCTATGGTAGTCTTTCAGCTTTAATGGTATGTGAACTATTCTGTCTAGTGACAGTAAATAATATATTAAACATTGTTTTTAGCTATTGCCTTTGCAAAACTTATATATCTAAGAAAAACTAGGCCTCAGCTCATTAAAATATTGCATTGATAACATCCTTTTCTGTTACTCCTGGTAGAGCAGGGGTTTTTTGTTTGTTTGAGATGGAGTCTCACTCTGTTGCCCAGGCTGGAGTGCAGTGGCACGATCTTGGTTCACTGCAGACTTCGCCTCCCAGGTGCCAGTGATTCTCCTGTCTCAGCCGCCCAGGTAGCTGGGACTACAGGCACGTGCCACCTCACCTGGCTAATTTTTGTATTTTTAGTAGAGACGGGGTTTCACTGTGTTGGTCACGCTGACTTCAAATTCCTGACATCAAGTGATCCGCCTGCCTCAGCTTCCCAAAGTGCTAGGATTACAGGTGTGAGCCACCACGCCTGTCCTGGTAGAGCTTTTATTATGTAAAAATCTGGTAGGGTGGACTCTCTGGTCTTCTCGTCCTCCAGATGTGCACATGGCAGTTTATTTTTGAGAAGTTGATATATTTCAGGCACTCTCCCCTTACGAACTCCATCTTAATCTAAAGAGTTTTTGTCAGATGAAGGAGGGGGAGGCATATAGAGCAAGGTAATGAAATGTGCTCAGCATCATAAAAAGGTAGAGCTTGGACCTTGCCAATTACAGAGTTTACCCTTCAAACACCATGCAGTATTTTTTCTTGGAGAAGTCTTTTCATTTCACTTTCAGTTAATAGCAGGGTCGTCTTTACTGTATCCATATTTTTTAATTGACTGAGGAACTATTTATCATTTTGTCTTAATTTATTTTTATGTTATGTCAAACTACCAATTATATACGTTTCATTTAGGAATTTTTTTTTCCTCCCACGAACCCATGCTTGCTAATCATTTAGGATTCTTTGTTTGTTTGTTTTTGTTTTTGTTTTTGAGACTGAGTCTTTCTCTGTCGCCCAGGCTGGAGTGCAGTGTCGTGATCTCGGCTGGCTACTGCAACCTCCCGTCTCCTGGGTTCAAGCGTTTCTCCTGTCTCATCCTCCCAAGTAGCTGGGGTTACAGGTGTTTGCCACCACACCTGGCTGATATTTGTATTTTTAGTAGAGATGGGGTTTCGCCGTGTTGGCCAGGCTGGTCTCGAACTCCTGACCTCAGGTGATCCACCTGCCTTGGCCTCCCAAAGGGCTGGGATTATAGGCGTTGAGCCACTGTGTCCAGCCAGGAATTCTTCAGTGGTAGCACTAAGTAACGGAATTTGACAAGGAAAGAACTTCACAAGTTTAATGAAATTATTCCTTTAATAAAGAATAACCGATCTCTTATTTTGTGACAGACTATTCAGGAACTTTTATTTAATGGACAGAGATGATTATTTGGGGTTGATCATTTGACTTTACGTTAAAAGTTTATTATATATGCTCGAGTTTTCTACCAACTTGGTATTATTCTGGACTTCCATTTATATCTTCTTGATCTGGTTCCTTCAAGTCCTATGCAACTGAGTACGGGATGTCCAAATAAAATTAGTGCCTAAAGATCACATTTGTCAGTCATAAGAGATACTAGTGCAAAACATTTTGTTAGGGAATTGCATGAAAGTGAAAAACTGAATCTAACAGAATCATTACGCATTTCTGGTCTGTCCACTTCAGGTTTTTGGTTTTTTGTTTGTTTTTTATAAGCCTTTGTCAGAACAGTTCAAGTTTTTGATGTTTTAACATTTTAGAGTGGTTACTGAATTTTATTTCAGTAAGCTAAATAATAAATTTAGAAGAGCAGATGGAACTCTGAAGGCTACTTGATACTATGACAAGGCCTGTTTTCCTCACTGTCTTTAGTATGTAACCCAAAGTAATATTTTGCTTTATGTCTAGAGTAACAGGGACCAAAGAGTATTTTTTATAGAGTCATTTCTTATATTGTGAACGGAAATATAGACAAAAATTCTTTTGTTTATCACAAAAAGATAATTTCATTTCAGTAAGTAATATATATCACCTTGCCATTATTTTTTCTTTTCCTCTATGTGTTCAGTGTATAAAAATCAGAAAAATACTAATTAAATGCTGACATGATATTACAGTGGTAGGATTTTCTTTTTCCAGCGTCCAAGCCATATTTCCTACGCCGGATCCTGCTGCTTTAAAAGACAGACGGATGGAAAACCTAGTTGCATATGCTCGGAAAGTTGAAGGGGACATGTATGAATCTGCAAACAATCGAGTGAGTGTCTGGTTTTTTTCTATTAATAGCCAAGATTGAACCTGTTGTGGTTATTTTATTCCTCTTTAGCATGTACAAGTAGTACATATGCTTCAGACGGGGGACACGCTGTAGCTATCCCGTCTTATTGTCCCCAAGCATAGTTAGGATACCAAAGCAGTTTCTTAAGTGTATGTCATCAAGAATCTTATGTTTTTCCTCCTAATACAGTGCACTCATGTGGCACTTTATCTGGTTGTCCTGTCAACCTAAAAAGTGGCTGAGCTGGCCGAGTGCAGTGGCTCGGTGCCTGTAATCCCAGCAGTTTGAAAGTCTGAGGTGGGCGGATCACTTGAGCCTAGGAGTTGGAGACCAGCCCGGGCAACATAGCAAAACCCCATCTCTACAAAAAATTAGCCAGGCATGGTGGCACGTGCCTGTTGTCCCAGCTGCTCAAAAGGCTGAGGTGGGGGAATCACCAGAGCCTTGGAAGTCAAGCTGCAGTGATTCGGGATTGCGCTGCTGGTGACAGAGGGAGACCTTGTCTCTCTCAAAAACAGGAGTGGGGTGGTGCTGAGCTGTTACCAGCTGTGTTCTCTTTTCACTAGAATATAATGAAGTAGCGACTTAACTGTTGTTCACGGTAGTTCAGATTCTCTACATAAGTTGAACTTTCCTTTCTAAATTGGCACCAGTTCTTAATGCAGCATATAAAATGAAACTAATATCTATTCTCAGTTTATTTTTTCTGTTACCTGGTGGTAGTTCCTTTTTTCCTCATCTCCCTTATTTTACTTCAACAATTCAAAAGGCGGAATACTACCACCTTCTAGCTGAGAAAATCTATAAGATCCAGAAAGAACTAGAAGAAAAACGAAGGACCAGACTACAGAAGCAGAACATGCTACCAAATGCTGCAGGCATGGTTCCAGTTTCCATGAATCCAGGGCCTAACATGGGACAGCCGCAACCAGGAATGACTTCTAGTAAGTGGTTTTTGTTATATTTCTGTTTGAGAGAAATTGATAATAAAATAGTTTCTATCTAAAGTCATTAATTTCTGTAAGCTTGTGTAACTATTCTAGAGTTTTTTAAATAACCATTTGCCTTTGCAAAGAAAATAACTCATCTACTAGTAAAAACAGAAGCAGAACAAGTATATTTAAGATGTCTGGGCATGGTACTTAACATACCTTGATAATCTGGAATTGTTTTTAGAGCCCAAGGTGTAAACTTCTCTAATAGTGACATCTAGAAAGCAATAGCCTACATACAGATGTTCACAGATTTCTCTGAGACTGGCTTGTGTGGTAAGTAGCCAGTAAATGTTTGTAGGCTGACCAGGTTCAGGAGCCCTGTAACACACATAATATCATATTACACTGTCACACTTTCTACTTGACATAAAATATTCTAAGTCTAGGAACTCTTTTTTTTTTTTTCTTTTTCTTTTTTTTTGAGGCAGAGTCTCACTCCGTCACCCAGGCTGGAGTACGGTGGCATGATCTTGGATCACTGCAGCCTCCGCCTCCCAGGTTCAAGCAATTCTCCCACCTCAGCCTTCCGAGTAGCTGGGATTACAGGCACATGCCACCACGCCTGTCTAATTTTTGTATTTTTCGTAGAGACAGGGTTTTGCCATGTTGGCCTAGCTGATCTCAAACTCCTGGCCTCAAATGATCCGCCCACCTTGGCATCCCAAAGTACTAGGATTACAGGCATGAGCCACCACTCCCTGCCTAGAAGCATCATTTAAAATTACATTTTGACAGCTTCAGTTTCTGATTATAGCATCATTGTTGACCTGATGAATTAACCAGATAGCCAAGACTATGATAAATAGTCTTACTCAATCGTTGACTTATTGGTACGATCAAAGTAGTGAAATATGGAGCAGGCACACCATTTTCAGGAATGGCACAGGCTGTAAGTGCTGTGAGCAAGGCTGTGATAGGAAAAACCTGCATTTACTGAGTTAGGAAATGCTAATGACCTCTAAGAAGTGCCAACTGAGCCAGCGGGCAGTAAACCTCATACGATCAGTAGATTATAGGTGGGCTGAGAAGTTCATCTCTTTCATTCATTGAAGTAGTAAAGTAGAGAACCATTGGTTACCACTGGCCTTTAGCAGCCTCATTTGCTAACTGAAGTGTGCCAGGTACTGTTTTGTAATGTGTAAAAAGTTGGGAGGAGCAACATTGCTGAGGAAATAGTATACATGGAGGCTGCCCAATAGTAAGGAAAAACACAGATTTTTTGAGTAGTTAGAACAAATTTTCAGGAATGAAAAAGTCAAGATTAGAGTTGAGACTGCTTCAGTACATGATTTGGACTTGAGTAGTAACTAAAGATTAAAAAAAGTAGACAGGCTGGGTGCGGTGGTTCATGCCTGTACTCCCAGCACTTTGGGAGGCCGAGGCGGGTAGATCATGACGTCAGGAGATGGAGACCATCCTGGCTAACACGGTGAAACCCCATCTCTACTAAAAATACAAAACAATTAGCCGGGCATGGTGGCGGGCACCTGTAGTCCCAGCTACTCAAGAGGCTGAGGCAGGAGAACAGTGTGAACCCGGGAGGCGGAGCTTGCAGTGAGCCGAGATTGTGCCTCTGCACTCCAGCCTGGGCAACAGAGCGAGACTCTGTCTCAAAAAAAAAACAAGTGGACATACCTGAGATACTTGGTTTTGGTAGAATTTACTCAAGTTCTGGGTGAAGTTCTGAGCCAAGTTTAAAGTCTGTGAGATATTAAATTGTATTCTAATGTCAGTATAAACAGTATGGTACTGATGTAAGCAGGAATAAGTGGTAGTGGAACTGAGTATCAGCCTTAAGTATATGTTGACCTTTAGCTCGTACTAAATCTGACATTTTGTAGAATGAGATTCTTACCTTAACCTGATACACAGAAAATAATAGAAGCATAAAAGTGGTCGGGCATGGTGGTGGCTCACGCCTGTAATCCCAGCTCTTTGGGAGGCTGAGGCTGCAGATCACTTGAGCTTAGGAGTTCAGAACCAGCCTGGGCAACATGGTGAAACTCTGTCTCTATAAAAAATACAAAAATTAGCCAGGCATGGAGGTGTGTGCCTGTAGTCCCAGCTACTCAGGAGGATGAGGCAGGAACATCACTTGAGCCCAGGAGGTCAAGGCTGCAGTGAGCTGTGATTGTGCCACTGCACTTAAGCCTGGACAACAGAGTGAGATCCTGTCTTTAAATAAATAAATAAGGTTTGTAAACTTTGAAAAAACAAAATTGAAAGAACTACGTAGAATGTTGAAGAAAACATAACATTCTCATCTTCATGTTTCTTTAACATTTGTTTTTTTGTTGTTGGTTTTGTTTTTGTTTTTTTTTTGAAACAGTCTCTCTTTGTCACTCAGGCTGAAGTGCAGTGGCACCATCTAAGCTCACTGCAACCTCTGCCTCCCAGATTCAGTTGATTCTTGTACCTCAGCATCCCCAGCAGCTGGAATTACAGGCATGCATCACCACACCTAACTAATGTTTTGTATTTTCAGTAGAGACAGGGTTTCACACCATGTTGGCCAACCTAGTCTCGAACTCCCGGCCTCAAGTGATCCGCGTACCTTGGTCTTGCAAAGTGCTGGGATTACAGGCTTGAGCCATCACACCTGGCCACGTTTGATTTTTTTGTTTTAATACAAAGAATACAGTTATTATAGAATCAGAGAGTGGCAATGGCAGGACTATGTGTATTGGCCTAAAAATATGCCCATAGTAAACTTATGTAACGTGTACCATCTTGAAAAAATAATCCCGGTTGTTAATGGAGTTGAAGGTAGGTAACTCTTTCCTTATTAATTTTTTGCAAAGATACGAAGTTTCAGGAAAAGCTGATGACAGAAGTATGCATGTTATAGTCTGAGTTTTTTTAAGTGTGGCATATGCCCTAGAAAAAGTTCTGGAAGAAGTAAATACTAATCTCTGAACATGGGCTTCTGATGGGGGCAGTGGAATTCCAGGATACTTGTGTTGTGTGATAAAGGGTTTTTGATTATTTGACTTAATGCATATAGTTTGCATTAAGGGCATATATATTGAAATGTGAAAGATGGACATTTTTGTTTGTGTATATTTTCTTTACCTCTAAATATTTATATATATACATTTTTGAGATGGGGTCTGTTTCGCCCAGCCTGGAGTGCAGTGGTGTGATCTCGGCTCACTGCATCCTCCATGCCTCCCAAGCTCAAGCAATCCTCCCACTTCAGCCCCCCAAGTAGCTGGGACCACAGGCACACGCCACCATGCCTGGCTAATTTTTTTTTATTTTTTAGTAGAAACAGGGTTTCTGTATGTTGCCCAGACTAGTCTCGAACTCCTGAGCTCAAGATATCCACCCACCTCGGCCTCCCAAAATGCTGAAATTACAGGTGTGACCCACTGCGCCCAGCCTTTAAATATTTATCTTAAAAAATAGTATCAAGATGTTCCTTTAAATAATTCATCAAGTTTCCTTAAAATGACAAGAGCTGCCTCATGGAGCAATAATAGATACATTCGTATCTGCATCATATGGGGCAAATGTGGGCAGTAGGATTGCGGTTTTATTTTTAAACCATTTTCATTTGATTAGTCTCAAATACTTAAAAATCAGAAGATTTTGCATTTAAAAAGTCTGAATTTCTGGCTGCTTTAAAAAAAAAAGGACATGTCTGGCAGACTTGACCCCCTTTCTCCTACAGTGACACCTGTCTATAGCTGCACTCATGGCTGACTCTAGAAGAGCTGTGTTTTCTCTCCACTTCAGTCCTCACCATTCTCTATTGTTTTGGGTACTTAAAACAGTTTTACTTGGTATTAGCTGCTTGGCACTTGCCATTTAGCTTGGAACACCTATCCATATTGTTGACTTGAAAAAAAAGTTACTCATATCTTAGGTGAAAACATTGTTTTGTAGATAGTGTGCGTGAATACAGATATGTGTGGGGAGGAAGAGGAAAGGTTTATCTCAAGGTCATTTGTTGGATCCTGATTCATTTTTCTATTGATTTTTAATTTTTATGTAATGAGCATGGATTATGCATATACTTCTTATAAAGCTTGCAGAGTTACAGATAAAAGTTTATATGAATAAATGTTGAGCATTTCCTCTCTCAGTTTTGCTCATTTACTAAAGGTTGAAATTTGTCTGAAGGGATGGACATCTCCTTAGAAGAGCAGCAGGTCTTCCTCTCCTATGCCTGAGGCTTGAATGTACAGCCCTTGATGGAGGGTATGGCCAGGGTGGAGCCAGGTCACTACAGACATCTGTCCTTTCCGAGGGTGCTGTAAAAATATTTTCTCTGTGCACTATGTTGAAAGTACTACACTAGAGCATGTGCAGATAATCCAGGAAAAAGACCTTAGAATTTATGTATTTATATTTTAGGTTTTTTTTGAGACGGAGTCTCGCTCTGTCGCCCAGGCTGGAGTGCAGTGGCACGATCTCAGCTTACTGCAAGCTCCACCTCCCGGGGTCATGCCCCGGGTTCACGCCATTCTCCTGCCTCAGCCTCCCGAGTAGCTGGGACTACAGGCGCCTGCCACCACGCCCGGCTATTTTTTTGTATTTTTAGTAGAGACGGGTTTCACCGTGCTATCTAGGATGGTCTCGATCTCCTGACCTCGTGATCCGCCCGCCTCGGCCTCCCAAAGTGCTGGGATTACAGGATATTTTATTTTTTTAAGAATTATTTCTGTTTTTGTATTTAAGAGGTACATGATATGTAGTGTGGTATAATATGCATATTATTTAAAATCAATGTTCACAGTTTATGTGCATAAAAACGTTGTGCTACATGATCAAATTCGGCCACCATTAGACATGATTCATAGCTATTATCCATGGAGATACTCTGTTGCATGCCAACCAGACTCAGACTTTGTTAAACAATAACATATTAAATGCTATGATGGCCTCAATTTTTTTTTTTTTTTTTGAGACAGAGTCTTGCTCCATCGCCCAGGCTGGAGTGCAGTCGTGTGATCTTGGCTCACTGCAACCTCCGCCTTCCAGGTTCATGCGATTCTCCTGCCTCAGCCTCCTGAGTAGCTGGGATTACAGGTGCCTGCCACCACGCCTGGCTAATTTTTTTGTATTTTTAGTAGAGACAGGGTTTCGCCATGTTGGCTAGGCTGGTTTTGAACTCCTGACCTCAAGTGATCCACCCACCTCAGCCTCCCAAAGTGCCAGGATTACAGGCGTGAGCCACTGTGCCTGGCCTATAATGGCTTCAATAGCTTATTTTTCTATCAACATTGAAAGCACCCGGGCTCATAAAGGAATACCAACAAATCCACTTGGAGGCATTTTTCTGTATTCCAGAAATAACATTTTCTTCAAGCTTCTGTCTAGTTCAGAGCTTTATTTTGTGATTCATACTCAATTTTCAAAGGTATTATTAAAAATATTTTGTGGGGTTTGTGTGTGCAGTGAGTTTTTGTTTGGTTAAGGGAAGATGGTGCAAAGATACTTATTTCTCTTTTTTACTCTAGATGGCCCTCTACCTGACCCAAGTATGATCCGTGGCAGTGTGCCAAACCAGATGATGCCTCGAATAACTCCACAATCTGGTAAATAGTGAAAAAAATTTTTTTATTTTAAAAGAATCCCCGGTGTACTGCAAGATAATACTTGCTACCTGAACACCCGCTTTATGCCAACAGCAAGTGTCATGATTACCTGCCCATAGAGGAAGAGGGGGTGAAGAGCAGGTTGGCTGGCAGATCACAGGGCAGGTGACATTAAATGATCAAGTATCCATTAAAAAACAACTGCAGGCTGGGCATGGTGGCTCACGCTTGTAATCCCAGCACTTTGGGAGGCCGAGGCTGGTGTACCACCTGAGGTCAAAGTACGAGACCAGCCTGGCCAATGTGGTGAAACCCTGTCTCTACTAAAAATACAAAAAAATTAGCCGGTTGTAGTGGCACGGGCCTGTAATCCCATTTACTCTGGAGGCTGAGGCTGGAGAATCACTTGAACCCAGGAGGCGGAGTTTGCAGTGAGGCGAGATCGCGCCACTGGACCCCAGCCTGAGTGACAGCAAGACTTCGTCTCAAAAAAAAAAAAAAAAGCAGATTGTAAAATTTGTAAAATTCAGTTTGGAGATCCTGTTAGTTGATAATGTCTGTTTACTGCTACTGTGAATGAGACAGATTTATTTATACTTAGAAGGTTGAAAGCCAGTTTATTAGTCCTGATAGAATCAGGGCCAGGTGCGGTGGCTCACGCCTGTAATCCCAGCACTTTGGGAGGCTGAGGCGGGCAGATCACAAGGTCAGGAGATAGAGACCATCCTGGCTAACACAGTGAAACCCCCGTCTCTACTAAAAATACAAAAAATTAGCTGGGTGTGGTGGCGGACGCCTGTAGTCCCAGCTACTCAGGAGGCTGAGGCAGGAGAATGGTGTGAACCCAGGTGGCAGAGCTTGCAGTGAGCGGAGATTGCGCCACTGCACTCCAGCCTGGGCGACAGAGCAAGACTCCGTCTCAAAAAAAAAAAAAGATACAGAATCAGACATAAGAATTCTATCTTTTATTATTCAATTTCACAAAGGCATTCAGATCTAACATTTTGCTCATATTCACAGGTTTGAATCAATTTGGCCAGATGAGCATGGCCCAGCCCCCTATTGTACCCCGGCAAACCCCTCCTCTTCAGCACCATGGACAGTTGGCTCAACCTGGAGCTCTCAACCCGGTTAGTTTGACGTCTTTGGTAATCTCTTTGGCCTTTACCTGGTATTTTGAAAATCCTGTTTGTTCCTACTTTATAAATTCTCACAGTCATTTAAACAGACCATAACTCCTAGTTCTTCTGTAATTCTTCTGTATTTAACTCTACTAGAAAGCTGACCAAAAAACGAAAACAGCCAGTCCCTTGTCCCTGGAGTGTCAGTGTTTAGTGGCCTGCATGCGTTTTCACGGTCACTTCTCTTCCCTGATGTCTGTCTTCCCTCCTCCAGGCAGAGAACTGTCTTGCAAGGTTGATGGTGCGTTTTTGCCTGGTTCTTGAACTCGGAGAAGAGAGACTAGGCTTCTCCTGCTCCTTATGCGAACTCTTAACCAGTCCATCTCTCTACCTTGACCCTAACCCTCCTGCTGCCCTTTAGAGTTAGCTGGTGCCTCTGATTCTTGACCCTTTTGGGGGTTCCTGAGCATTACTACTTCTCACTAATCTGCCATTTTCAACAGGGAGTTCTGTCCTTCATTTTAACCTATAAGACAGATGGTCTTAGCTTATGAAGTTTTTGGCCTTTGGTACTCGAGATTTCTTTCTTTAAGGCCTGAATTTGTGTAGGGTAATTTTGGAAATGACATGTAACAGTGCTAGAGCATTTGTGGACCATGAATGCTACCAGATTCTGCTACAACTTGTAAGATTTTCTTGTTTTTACATATTATGGGTCTTAGAATTTGTGTTATTACATCACTGACATGACCTCATGAAATTGTGATTAACTCTCCTCACTTAACAGAGCATGCAAAGAAAATTACCTGCTATCCTTGTGCTAGGCATATTTGTGTACCAAGAGAATGTGTGTTCCATCCTCTTACTATTTCTTGGAGTAGGCCTAGGTAAACTGTGAGGCTATTTCTCTTTATCTTGGCACAAGAGTCAGTTGTTCTACAACTTTCTTCCTTCTCCTCTTCAGCCCTCTTCACCTATACTCCTGTCTTTGGCTTTTCTCTACTTAATAAGCCTGACGTTAGGAGCATTTGATGATTTTAGTTATAGTAGAATAACTATAATGAAGCAGTTTGGTGATTTGTGTTTTTTTTTTTTTTCAGCCTATGGGCTATGGGCCTCGTATGCAACAGCCTTCCAACCAGGGCCAGTTCCTTCCTCAGACTCAGTTCCCATCACAGGGAATGAATGTAACAAATATCCCTTTGGCTCCGTCCAGCGGTCAAGCTCCAGTGTCTCAAGTATGTCTCATAAGTGGATTTTTCACTTATTTTTGATTCTTGAAACTTCTCTTGATGTAGGTTTTTATAGGAGAGAGTGGCAGCAAATAGTGGGTGAAAACAGATGATTTTTTAAAAAATAACAATTTTGGACTTAGGGTATTCTGAACATGAAGAGATTATTCTGTGACATAGCAATGGTGTTAATTGTTACAAAGTAGGAAATAATTTAAATGGATAGTTTTAATTGTTTTTACTAGTGAACACTTTAAAATAAATCTTAGAATTAAACACAATGTAGAAGGAAATCTGGCTGAAAAGAGCATAGGCAGGCCCTAGAGCACTCTGCACTCAATTCTGCCATTTTTCTGCGGTGGCTGAGGCCATTCTGCTGAATGGTTTGAAGTCTCTTTAGTTAAGTACTATCTTGATGGTGCTGTCCAAAGATACATGCCCAGTAATAGGGTATTTTACACATTTTGAAATAGACACATTGCTACTCTTTGTTTAATCAGTTTGTGTCCTAAATTTATATATCATGCCTATGTAAGTATTTCCTTAATTCTGTTCTGAATTGCTGTCTTGTTATGTTTTTTATTTTAACAGGCACAAATGTCTAGTTCTTCCTGCCCGGTGAACTCTCCTATAATGCCTCCAGGGTCTCAGGGGAGCCACATTCACTGTCCCCAGCTTCCTCAACCAGCTCTTCATCAGAATTCACCCTCGCCTGTACCTAGTCGTACCCCCACCCCTCACCATACTCCCCCAAGCATAGGGGCTCAGCAGCCACCAGCAACAACAATTCCAGCCCCTGTTCCTACACCTCCTGCCATGCCACCTGGGCCACAGTCCCAGGCTCTACATCCCCCTCCAAGGCAGACACCTACACCACCAACAACACAACTTCCCCAACAAGTGCAGCCTTCACTTCCTGCTGCACCTTCTGCTGACCAGCCCCAGCAGCAGCCTCGCTCACAGCAGAGCACAGCAGCGTCTGTTCCTACCCCAACAGCACCGCTGCTTCCTCCGCAGCCTGCAACTCCAGTAAGTAGAGATTTGGATTTAGGCAGAATCATTAGAGCTATACTGTAGTATTATATTACTTCTGGGCCATTTCCATTCTCTTTTGCTTTATCTCTTACTGTTTTCTCCACAAGTAGAATGTAATCTATTTTTCATTAGGGACTTTTGTATCCTGTTTTGCCTTCCTGTGATAGTACCTATCGTAGCAGGAGCATAAAGATTTTATTTAGCTCTGACTTTGACCATTATGTTTCATGTTGTACCCTGAGGTCTGAAGGTACGTAAAGGGGTACGACAAGGGGACACAATCCTTCTCCTTATTTAGTATATTATTTAGTGCAGCACATAAATTTTACATATATTTAAGGAATCTTTTTCAAACAGTTTGAGCCATAAAACCTAGAGATTGAATTTAAAAATTGCAGATTTGGACGGGCGCGGTGGTGTACACTTTTCATCCTAGCACTTTGGGAGGCTGTGGCAGGCAGATCACTTGAGGTCAGGAGTTCAAGACCAGCCTGGCCAACATGGTGAAACCCTGTCTCTACAAAAAAATAACAAAAATTAGCCAGACATGGTAGCGGGTGCCTGTAATCCCAGCTACTCGGGAGACTGAGGCAGGAGAATGGCTTGAACCTGGGAGGTGGAGGTTGCAGTGATCCGAGATTGCGCCACTGCACTCTAGCCTAGGCGACAGAGTGAAACTCCGTCTAAAAAAAAAAAAAAAAATTGCAGATTTATGAGTCCTTGTGGCCCAAACCAAAGTTTAAAAATAAGATGAGAGAATTATAGACCCAGAACAACCTGTAGCTTCCTTGTGAGAGGTTGGTTATGTATATAATAAAAATCCAAATTCTCATCTAATAGTTGAATCCTTATTAATAGAACTTTTTTTAAGGGTTTAGAAGCTTCTACTTTGATACCGATATTAATATATATCGGTATCCAATAGTTCTCAGCCATGTTGATGAACTGAGAAGTTCCATGAGTCACAGCCGTTTTATAAAGTACTGTACTTGACGGATGGCTGGTTCATCGTGGCCTCTGATAGACAAGGAAGGACAGAATGAGAGAGGAACCAGTGGATCTGCTTGATTTTATTCTTTATAAAATCAAGGATACTTCCAGAAAATACTGACTTCTCATTAAGAGATTTCTTATGACAAGCCTTAGGATAAAGATAGGGAATGCCAGTTTATCTCATTAGAATCTAGCGATTCAAAACAGCCACTCTCTGGGACATCATTATATTTATTGTCTCCTTTTCTGTACCTTTGAAACTTTCTCTGGTGAGAAGGTAAAAACAAGCCAGTCTTTCTTATTTTCTTTCACTCATTTCTGTATAAATGTGAGCTCCTCTGAAGCAGACATCTTTGAAATCCCCACACACTGCCAGATAATGATAGTTATCAATGAAATAGTTGCTGGTTCTTTGATGTACAATCAGCCAACCAGTATTTACAAGTCTTAATTCTCCTGTTCTTAAGCATAATTAAGGGAGGTGAAATGGGCAGAGCAAATGAAAGCACCATGAATAAATATAAGCCAAGAAATAGGTGGCTAATTCTGCTATCCTGTTGCTTACCTTACATTCTGATTGTATCGTTGGCAGACTCTGCGTGTGTCTCACCTACTTCCCTTTTTTTTCTGCCCAGCTTTCCCAGCCAGCTGTAAGCATTGAAGGACAGGTATCAAATCCTCCATCTACTAGTAGCACAGAAGTGAATTCTCAGGCCATTGCTGAGAAGCAGCCTTCCCAGGAAGTGAAGATGGAGGCCAAAATGGAAGTGGATCAACCAGAACCAGCAGATACTCAGCCGGAGGATATTTCAGAGGTGAGAGTAGGGCAATTACTGTTTGATTTGGTTAGGACCTCAGTATAGGAACCCAAGTTTTAAAAAATATTGCAGAAAAATATTTTGATAATTAGATCTCATGGCATAGATTTTGCATGAGAAAGGGTGTTCAGATTACTGATTCCCAACTAGATATCTTTGGAATACTAAAAATTCTTACGTTTTCTTTTAGTCTAAAGTGGAAGACTGTAAAATGGAATCTACCGAAACAGAAGAGAGAAGCACTGAGTTAAAAACTGAAATAAAAGAGGAGGAAGACCAGCCAAGTACTTCAGCTACCCAGTCATCTCCGGCTCCAGGACAGTCAAAGAAAAAGAGTGAGTCTCTGAAGCCATTCGTTCTGGAGGTAGCTGAAGAAACCAAAGACCCAGGGCAGAATTGCGGTCATGCCTCTTGGGCCTCAGAAGTTGCCATTATTGTGATTTCATTAACCTGGAAGCCCTGGGCCTGGTCTCTTCATTGTTACTAATAATTTTTCTTTCTTTTTTTTTTTTTTAATATTCACTTGCAGCAACCAATGAGTTAAGTCATTCCCCTCATTTCTTCAGGGTTCCCTGTGTTAGTACACCCTAAAAATTGTCTCATTTTTCAGGAGAGAGAAATGTTTGTAAATAGCCTTGACTAAAATGCAGGAAAGAATAGCAATAGTAATAGCATTTGTCATTCACCTGCTGTGTGCTAAGTATCCACATTGTCTCATTTAATAATTTCTTTCTTTCTTTTTCTTTTCTTTTTTGTTTGGAATCGGATTCTCACTTTTGTTGTTCAGGCTGGAGTGCAGTGGCGGGATCTGAGCTCACTGCAACCTCCACCTCCCAGGTTCAAGCGATTCTCCTGCCTCAGCCTCCCGAGTATCTGGGACTGCATGCGCATGCCACCATGCCCGTCTAATTTTTGTATTTTTAGTAGAGACAGGATTTCACCGTGTTGGCCAGGATGGTCTCGATCTCTTGACCTGGTGATCCACCCGCTTCGAGCTCCCAAAGTGCTGGGATTACAGGCATGAGCTACCACACCCGGCCTCATTTAATAATTTCACAACAGCTCTGAGGTTATTGGCCTGAAGCTTAGCAAAGTTAAGTAACTTTCCACAGGTTACTCAGCTGACCCTACTGCCTGGGCCAGGAAGCAGACCCAGGCAGTCTGAGGCAGAGTGCTCAAATCCAGCCATTCCAACAAGTGTTAATTGACTATTTTAGGACTAGAACTTTTGTGGCTCTAGTGATCTGCAAAAGGCACCAGGTAGGACATACCTGAGGAGTGAGTCTGCTGGCTCTTACAGATGATATATATTGAAAAGTGTTCCATTAATACAATGTGTTGTAAAATGTTGGGATTAAAAAATTATTTTCATTTTAAAAATAAGACTTGTATATATTGAGGTGTTTTAATATGGGCTGTAACAAACCCAGTCTTACTATTGGCAATCTCTCTTTAAAATGTGTGTTCCCTCATGCCTGTAATCCCACCGCTTTGGGAGGCCGAGCGGGCAGATCACTTGAGGTCAGGAGTTCAAGACCAGCCTGGCCAATATGGTGAAACTCTGTCTCTACTAAAAGTACAAAAGTTAGCCGGGTGTGGTGGCTCTCACCCGTAGTCCCATCTACTTGGGAGGCTGAGGCAGAAGAATCACTTGAACCCGGGAGATGGAAGGAGGTTGCAGTGAGCCAAGATGGCGCCACTGCACTCCAGCCTGAGTGACAGAGAGTAATTGTCTCAAACAAATAAATAAAATAAAATGTCTAATTTCACAAGTTTATTCAAATAGTCCTTATTTTTAGCACAGCTAAATATGAGTGACAAGCATCTTCGTAGTCTGGTTTCCCCCCACTCCATGGCAACCCCCCAGAGGTGAAAATTATCTGAAGTAACAAATATACTCTACCGATGATGAAATTTTTTTTGCCAATTAAGAAAAAATAAGGCCCTTGCTGAAATTGAAAGCTTTTTAAATCACTGGCTTCTCAAAGAACTGTTTGATTCCATTTGGGACACACCAACAAATTTTTCCGGACTTTTTGGGAAATATCATTGAGAACACATTTGAACTTAATTTGATCAACTAAGTCTATTATTTTAGCAATACCATTTTTGTTCTCTCTTCTTTTAAACTTAAACCTAACATTTGTCATTAAAATAGTACATGTCTCTTTTTCTTTGGCTCTAAAATACCAAGCATTTGAACGAAGGAGTCTTCTCTTCTGTGCCCCTGACTCCTTGTAGTATAAGACAATACCTGATCTAGTCTAGTTTCTGACTTGTTAAATACTGATGTCATGAAGAAAGACTTTTCTGTTCTTGCTTGACTGCATCTCCCTCTTAACACGAGTATCTTGTGCACTCTTTTTTTTTTTTTTTTTTTTTTTGAGATGGGGCCTCATTCTGTTGCCTAGGCTGGAGTGCAGTGGCGCCATCTCGGCTCACTGCAACATCTGCCTCCCGAGTTCAAGCAGTTCTCTTGCCTCAAGCCTCCTGAGTAGCTGAGACTAGCATGCCACCATGTCCGACTAATTTTTTATATTTTTAGTAGAGACGAGGTTTCACCATGTTGGCCAGGCTGAAACTTCTGACCTCAAAGTGATCTGCCCACCTCAGCCTCCACCGTGCCTGGTCCCATGGACTCTTATTTGGCAAAGTCTCTTCATAAATTTTTAGAAGCCTTTGGATTCTGCTTCTAATTGACCGAGTCTGTCTTCACTGACTTTGTGACTGAAAAGTTAAGCTGAGGGTGAAGAGTGTTTTAAGGTGATAAGACACAATGTTTTTTAGGAGCTGTCTGAAACAAAGCGGGGCTTAGAATCTAGAATCAGTGATTGAGCCTGTAGTGATATTTCCATGGGGACAGAGTGGTTAATTTTGTTATTGATTCTTGAGATGCTTTTAGAGCTTCAGGCTGAATGATTTTTTAAAGTTCTTCTGCTTAATTGGTAACTAATTTCAAATGCACTTTTTTTTTTTAAGTTTTCAAACCAGAAGAACTACGACAGGCACTGATGCCAACTTTGGAGGCACTTTACCGTCAGGATCCAGAATCCCTTCCCTTTCGTCAACCTGTGGACCCTCAGCTTTTAGGAATCCCTGTAAGTATTTGGTGGTACTTTTGATTTTATTTTTTAATTTGATAACAGCTTTATTGAGAGATAATTCACATTCCAAACAGTATAGCCACTCATTTCAAATTTGTAATTCAGTGATTTTTTTTTTTTCCCCCTGAGACAGGGTCTTATTCTGGTTGCCTAGGCTGGAGTGCAGTGGCACGATCGTGGCTCACTACTGTCTCCACCTCCCGGGCTCAGGTGATTCTCCCACCTCAGCATCCTGAGTAGCTGGGATAACTACATTCATGTGCCACCTCACCTGGCTAGTTTTTTGTATTTTTTAGTAGAGACGGGGTTTCGCCATGTTGCCCAGGCTGGTCTTGAACGCCTGGACTCAAGCAATAGGCCCATCTCAGCCTCCCAGAGTGCTGGAATTACAGGTGTGAGCCACTGGGCCTGGCCTAATTCAGGGAGTTTTAGTATATTCACAGAGTTGTGCATGACACTTTCATTTTCATCATCTGAAAAAAATCCTTTACCATTAACAGTCACTCACTATTTTCTCCCATAGCACCCCAATCCTAGACATCACCAGACTGCATTCTGTCTCTGGATTTGTCTGTTCTACATGTTTCATTAAATTGGAACATACAGTATGTGATTCTTTGTGCCAGGACGTTCCTTAGCATAATGTTTTCAAGGTTCATCCATGTTGTAGCATGAATCAGTAGCACATACCTATTTATAGCCCAATAATATTCCATTATTTTTCTTTACCTGTTGATGAGTTGATAGACATTTAGGTTGTTTACACGTTTTGACTATTAAGATAGGACTGTAGTGAACATTGTGTGGATTTAAGTTTTTATTTCTCCTTGGTATTTACCTAGGAGTGGAATTCCTGGGTTATATAGTTTGTTTACTTTTTTGTTGTTGTTATTTGTTTTTTGTTTTTTTGAGATGGAGTTTCACTCTTGTTGCCCAGGCTAGAGTGCAATGGCGCAATCTCAGTTCACCTCAACCTCCCCCTCCCGGGTTCAAGCAGTTCTCCTACCTCTCAGCCTCCCGAGTAGCTGGGATTACAGGCATGTGCCACCATGCCCGGCTAATTTTGTATTTTTAGTAGAGATGGGGTTTCTGTATGTTGGTCAGGCTGGTCTCAAACTCCCAACCTCAGATGATCCACCCACCTCGGCCTCCCAGAATGCCCAGATTACAGGCGTGAGCCACCGCACCCGGCCACTTTCGTTGTTTCAAGAGCAATAGGTCATAGCAGAAAAAAGGACCGTGGTTAGCTTTGTTTTTAAAGTTGCCTCCATATACTAGGCTGCTGGCAGATTTCATTTGGTGGTTTTAAACTGTTACTTGGCCGGGCACGGTGGCTAACGCCTGTAATCCCAACACTTTTGGAGGCCAAGGCAGGCAGATCACTTGAGTTCAGGAGTTGGAGACCAGCCTCACCAACATGGTGAAACCCCATCTCTACTAAAAATATAAAAAGTAACTGGGCGTGGTGGTGCACGCCTGTAATCCTGGCTACTTGGGAGGCTGAGGCAGGTGAATAGTTTGAACGACCCTGGGAGGCAGAGGTTGCACTGAGCCAAGATTGCACCACTGCACTCCAGCCTGGGCAACATGTTGACAGAGACTCCATCTCAAAGGTCAAGTGCTTCCAGGGGCAAAAGCCTTTTAGGACTTTTCCTCTCTTGTATCTTGCTGTGATTTCAGATGGAACATTTTAAGTTCTGTGGGCTTAGTTTCCTCATTGTACACCCCTTCTAGTACTAAAATTTTAAATGTCTTTGACTTTACTGATCTCACATGTACTTTCATAAAGAACCTGAAGTTGCTTCAGTAGAATATCAGCCTGATGTCTAGAAAGTCCATAGTAGTTCTGTTTCTCTGCCCTTTGAGTAGTTTAATATCTCTGTAAACTAATATTTAAAGAAGTGATGGACATCAGTCACCTCTTGGGGAATATAGACAGGCCAGAAACTAAAACACTGCCTGGAAAATTAACAATGATAATGGATGATACTCCATCTCCCGTAAAAATAGTGAGACTTGAGTAATGTTTGATGTCACTTGTCTTTCTAGGATTACTTTGATATTGTGAAGAGCCCCATGGATCTTTCTACCATTAAGAGGAAGTTAGACACTGGACAGTATCAGGAGCCCTGGCAGTATGTCGATGATATTTGGCTTATGTTCAATAATGCCTGGTTATATAACCGGAAAACATCACGGGTATACAAATACTGCTCCAAGCTCTCTGAGGTCTTTGAACAAGAAATTGACCCAGTGATGCAAAGCCTTGGATACTGTTGTGGCAGAAAGGTAAGAAATGTGTTTCAGATTTGACTTTAACTTTTCTGGGATACCTAGAATAATATAGTGGTGACTGGGATAAGAGAATATCCTGCTTCTGGCTTTGACATGGCTTTTTTTTTTTTTTTTTTTTTTCCTTTTTGACAGGGTCTTATTCTCCCAGGCTGGAGTGCAGTGGTGAGGTCATAGCTCACTGCAGCTTCAACCTCCTGGGCTCAAGCAATTCTCCCACCTCAGCCTCCTGAGCAGCTGGGACTACAGCCGTACGCCACCATGCCTGGCTGATTTTTTAAATTTGTTTTGTAGAAACAGGGTCTCATGATGTTGCTCAGGCTAGTCTTGAACTCCTGGGCTCAAGCAGTCCTCCTGCCTCGGCCTCCCAAAGTGCTGGAATTACAGTCATGAGCCACCTCTCCCAGCCAACACAGTCTTTCTCTTACTGTGTGCCACAGTAGTAATATCTCTTAATATGAAATGGGCTTTCTTTAAAGGCATTTTTTCAGAGTGGCAATTGTATGGAAAAGTTGACTAATTAAATAATCAACAGACTGTTAACTCATCTGGAGTAGGGGCATTCTTATATTCACCTGTGGGTGCAGATTCCTCAGCATGTGCTGGCTTTCCTGTACATACCAATTCACATTATTGGTTTTTTGTTTTTAAAATAAGACTATGGTCTTGCTGTGTTGCCTAAGCTGGTCTGGAACTCTTGGGCTCACGCAGTCTTCCCACCTCAGCTTCTGAGCACTGCAGGCATGTGCCACCCTGCCCAGCTATTCCTGTTAGGTTCTTTGGTAAAGTGATGGAAGGATATGACTGCTAAGCCTACCTCAGCGTTTTGAAATAATGTGGTAGTAAACTGAGAATGATTTTCAGGAACTGAATTAGCCCATCATTATTAACATAAATGAGAACTAAGACACCACTGACTTCTGTTTCTGACTTGCCATTCTTACTGTTCTAGCTTGTCCTTAAGGCCTCTGTGCTTTTTAACAAATGGTTTCTTTTGCAGTTGGAGTTCTCTCCACAGACACTGTGTTGCTACGGCAAACAGTTGTGCACAATACCTCGTGATGCCACTTATTACAGTTACCAGAACAGGTAAGCTTGGCCAGGTGTGGACCATGGTCCATGTGTCCACATGTCCAGGGAGTGCATGCGGATGGGCCAGCACACATACAGTCATGGTTCATGTGTATCTTGCTTGAAGACAGCTGTATAGCACAAGTTCTGTTTTTTGCCTTCTGCCTTTGTTTGCAGAACAATAAAATTTTCTATCAGAGTAGCCTTGCATCAGTTACCTGGGTTCCTCCCAAGAGCTTGAGAAGTTAAGCAACTTTGTGAGTTGTTGGCCTAGATGGGTCTATATCCCAGGCCCCACTTCTCTTTCTACTGTGTGTTTGTTGATCACCACAGCCTGAGGCAAAACTGAGAAGATTTTTAAACTTTTAACTGAAACTCGCTAGACAGCTTTTTGGAAATATTTCCTTTTTAGATGAGGCCTATCCCTAAGTAGTTGTTATTAGAATATATGAAAACAGGATTCTGGAGTCTTTTCTTTGCCTCATATTAAGCAAATTAAAAGGAAAACCTCACATAGCTCTCTGTACCTTACTTTTCCCAACCCAGCCTTGTATGTGACAGAGGATGATTTGAGTCTAATAAACGAGGCACCTCTGCCTAATTTTCTCCTGCCCAATCAATGGCTGTAATCACATAAATCTCATTCACTAATCTATCTTAACCACAATTTGTCTCCTGTTTTCAGTGATCAGCTACAAGTATAGCTTGCATTGGGTGTTTATTTGGGGCTCTGATACAATAATAACAAGGCTGGATGATATTAATACCCTTTATTTGTTTGTTAATACCAAATCCATGGTGTTGGTTTTTGCTGAACTTGTGTGTTGCAGATGCATTTCTAGCTTTGAAAAGTCACTTAAACTTTTTCTTTTATTTACAAAAAGTTAGGCGTGCTTCTAATGCTTTGTAGACCTAATGCTTTGATTTTGCAGTGAGTAAAAATCTAGCTCTTTACTCATTTGAAACCTAGAAAAGGTGGGACTCAAGTTGTTATAAGTACCTTATGTTTAAAAAAGCAAGTAACTGGACATGAAACTTTTCTCATGTTTACTAAAACAGTAGTCTAAAGTGTTTATCTTTGCACCAAGCCATCTTTAATCAGGTACCTGCACACATCATTTCCTTTTGAAATGTATCACTTGATGGCTGTAGTCAGTATTTAACTGCTTGTGCAGGCTTTTCAATAAACAGTTTTTTTTCTTTCTTTGTTGAGACAGGGTCTCACTCTGTCACTCAGGCTGGAGTGCAGTGGCGCAATCTTAGCTCACTGCAACCTCTGCCTCCCGGGTTCAAGCGATTCTCCTGCCTCAGCCTTCCAAATAGTTGGGATTACAGGTGTGTGCCACCATGCCTTGCTTATTTTTGTATTTTTAGTAGAGACAGGGTTTCAGCATGTTGGCCAGGCTGGTCTCGATCTCCTGACCTCAGATGATCCACCCTCTCAGCCTTCCAAAGTGCTAGGATTATAGGTATGAGCCACCACGCCTGGCAATGGTTGTTTTAGATTATTGTTTTCTGCAGTTGTATCTATAGTGGGCTTTTGGGGTGGGGGGTGGGGGTCTGTGGTTTTTTGTTTTGTAAGTGGGAAGAGGTGTGATTCCTGTATTTAGGTAATGAGTAGCAGTTCTTCTCTCCCTGGTATATTTATCCTTCTTCCTCCTTTTGATTATTTACATCACATAGCGTTAATTGCTGAAATGAAAGGATATGGGTCTGTGTAATTGAAACATTTGCTTTTATTTGCAGTAATCATTTGCTACTTGTGATCCCATTTGAGATATTTAATGCTAATCTGTGCTTTGCCTTGGCTTTCTGCTTTGTGTTGTTCTGTCTTGCTTTTATGTTTTTTGTTGTCTTGCAATCCCTCATTTCTTCGTTTGTTTTGTGTTTTTTTTTCTCCCTCATGCTTGTCGTTGTCTGCACTTGGCTTTGATTGCAAAAAAAAAAACAAAAAAAAACAAAAAAACAAACAAAAAAACCAAAACCCAAACTGTGGGGCCCATATATCTGCATCATTGAATGTCCTTGTCGCCGTTGATGACCTGCTCTCTGCTCCCGTCCCCCTCCTTGGCCTGCTGTGATTGGTGGCTTCGTTGCTTGGCTTGGGCTGTGTTGTGTGAACGGAACAGTTCACCCCAGTATGGCCTTCTTGCCGACAGGTATCATTTCTGTGAGAAGTGTTTCAATGAGATCCAAGGGGAGAGCGTTTCTTTGGGGGATGACCCTTCCCAGCCTCAAACGTAAGTAACTGCATTATTTTGAAAAGTGCTAATTAGTTTGTTGTCCAGTGATTATGCACAGCTTATTTCTAAATGAACTTAAGCTATGCTGTTGAATATGGTAGCCATTAGCCACATGTTGCTATTTAAATGCATATTAATTTAAATAAAAATTGTTTATCACATGGAATACTCACATTTCAACTGTTCAGTAGCTATCTGTGTCTGGTGGCTACCATATTGGTCAACACAGAGAACATATCCATCATAGTAGAAAGCTCTTTGAGACATCAATGAATTAGGGAATATGTCAGCAATGGGCAATCATCTTAGTTCTAGTAAAAGTATTCTGTATAGGAAGCAATCAGCTTCTCTTCGAAAAATTGGAGGTTAGTACAAGAAAACATCATTATTAACTGTTCTGAGTTTGAGGGTGATTGAACTGATGACCACCTTACACCCTTCTCTTGTAGGTTAACAGAAGACCCAAGTCACTATTGTAGTGAATAATAGACTTTAACAGCATGCCGGGGTTTAAGAGATTTGCTTGTGCTTTGCAGTCTCACAAGCTCTTACCATTTGGTAAATGGCCAAGAAAAAAATTTCAAACATATAGTCTAATAGTTTAATCTCTGGCCAGGCGTGGTGGCTCATGCCTGTCATCTCAGCACTTTGGGAGGCCAAGGCGGGCGGATCACGAGGTCAGGAGATCGAGACCATCCTGGCTAACACGGTGAAGCCCTGTCTCTACTAAAAATACAAAAAATTAGCCGGGCATGGTGGTGGGCGCCTGTAGTCCCAGCTACTCGGGAGGCTGAGGCAGGAGAACGGCGTGAACCCGGGAGGTGGAGCTTGCAGTGAGCTGAGATTGGGCCACTGCATTCCAGCCTGGGCGACAGAGCGAGAGTCTGTCTCAAAATAAATAAAAGAAAAAAAGAAAAAAGTAACTTAAGATGTAGGCAGTCATTAGAATTCAAACTGGGACTGTCTAAGAAGGAAAAACTGTTCAGTGTAATTTTAATATTATTGAAAGTTCATATTTACTTCTGTTCAGGACGTTGCACAAAAATTTGGAATTCTCTTGTTCCTAGTAAAAATGGGGCTTCTGAGAAAAGCTGGTTAATTTTTCTAAATTGCGTTCTAAAGATAGCAGTGTCTGGGTGCTAGCTAGGAGAGTAGATACTAGGAGCCTTTGATCCTTGAAACATTTTGACATTTGGTTAAGCCAGGAAGGTTAGCTCTAGGGTAAGTTTCCTTGATGCAGGAAGAGACGTAAGCCTTGTCATTGAACTCTCAGGTGGCTTACCAAATAGTCTAAACCTTAAGGCAGTACATCTCTAACTTTGAAAAGAGTAGGAACAAGACCCTTCCCAATTCTGCAGGCCTGTAGTGGATCCAAGTGTCTATTTCTAACTCCCAGATTGTTCTGGTGCTGCTCATCTTCAGATTGCACTTGGAGTAGCAAGACAGGCCATTCAGGAAAATGCTATTAACAGAGATGAATGAATCTCTAGGCCATAACTAGTATAAGAAACGGTTTTCAATGTGGACATGTCCTCATTTTTGTAAGGAAGTATAACAGAAGTCCAAGTTGGTCCCCCTAATGTTGATTCTAGTTGGAGAATGTGGATCCTAGTTGGAGAATGGTAAGACTGTTAGCTTTTGTATGTAGTGAGGCTATGAGCAGTGTGTTATGCTGGGTTTCAGGATGGGAAGCCATGATACCTAACACCAAGAATAGTAACAGACAAGATTTTAAAAGGAAAAGAAGAAACAGTATTTCTAGTTCTTCCTGGGTTCTCCATTTCTGATAAGAGGAAATTTATTTACTATGAAGTCCTATAGAATATTCCTTTACATAAACATGCATTTTGTGTGAGCCAAGAATACACCTATTTAAATGTGTATTCTTAAAAAACCTGAATCTCTATATAGGGTGAAGTTTGTTCCTTTGGTTAGAACAGCAGTCAGATTGCTCATCTCTATCACTTTTTCTCATTGTGTCCCTTTTCTCTCCTTAGTACAATAAATAAAGAACAATTTTCCAAGAGAAAAAATGACACACTGGATCCTGAACTGTAAGTACGATCCCCTTGAATAGTCAGTACGCTTTGGCTTTTCTTTTTCCCTTTCATTCTCTTGAAGTTTGCATGACCAATCAGATGATCCTATATTCTTGGGCTAAATCTACATAACATACATCTAATGGATAGTAAAACCATGGAAAACACTGAAGTACTAAGGAACATTATTTCTTAATGTTAATTTTAATGTTCTTAATGTTGAATGTGAAACATTAAAGATCTAAACTTCTAGTTTGCAGTGAGGCCTTTTAGATCATGGAGGACTGACATGTATGTCTTCTAGATGTTCCTAAAATGGATGGGATGGTATTTGGATTTATTTGGAATTTTCAGCACCAGGAATCTGTCTTAAAAATTAGCCAGGTTTTGGCCGGGCACGGTGGCTCACGCCTGTAATCCCAGCACTTTGGGAGGCCGAGGCGGGCAGATCACGAGGTCAGGAGATCGAGACCATCCCGGCTAAAACGGTGAAACCCCGTCTCTACTAAAAATACAAAAAATTAGCCGGGCGTAGTGGCGGGCGCCTGTAGTCCCAGCTACTTGGGAGGCTGAGGCAGGAGAATGGCGTGAACCTGGGAGGCGGAGCTTGCAGTGAGCCGAGATCCCGCCACTGCACTCCAGCCTGGGCGACAGAGCGAGACTCCGTCTCAAAAAAAAAAAAAAAAAAAAATTAGCCAGGTTTGGCCGGGCACAGTGGCCCACATCTGTAATCCCAGCACTTTGGGAGGCCAAGGCAGGATCACCCAAGGTCAAGAGTTCGAGACCAGCCTGGCCAACATGGCAAAATCCCGTCTCTACTACAAATATATAAATTAGCTGTGCGTGGTGGTGCGCGCCTGTAATCCCAGCTACTCGGGAGGCTGAGGCAGGAGAATCGCTGGAACCCGGGAGGCAGGGGTTGAAGTGAGCTGATATGACGCCACTGCACTCCAGCCTGGGCGACACAGAGAGACTCCATCTCAGAAAACAAAACAAAAAACAGCCAGGCATGATAGTATGTGCCTATCCTAGCCAGGTAGCTGAGAGGCCAAGGCAGGAAAATGGCTTGAGCCCAGGAGTTTAAGGTTGTAGTGAGCTGTGATCATGCCACCCACTCCAGCCTGTACAACAGAGACCCTATCTCTAAAAAAATAGAAACTTTATTAAAACTATTTTCAGTTCTTTGGTCATGACCTTGGCTGTCTTTGTCAGAAGTCATGGGAAATATTGCAAGTTTTCATTTGGTTAAGGTTTGGGGTTAATTTTGGAATTGGCTCTGCTCTTCCAGGTTTGTTGAATGTACAGAGTGCGGAAGAAAGATGCATCAGATCTGTGTCCTTCACCATGAGATCATCTGGCCTGCTGGGTAAGTCTTAACGTTGTTACTTTCTCTGGAATTTTTCTTTATCGTGAATATTAACAAGTTTTTTATTCTATGCAATTGACTGTATTATATCTTCAAAGTTACTATCTTTAAATTGTTTTCTTTGGGTTTGGCCACGATAATTATAGTTCGCTTTTTAAAAATTAAGTAACCTAGTATCCAAAAATAGATTTTTATCTTATTTTTATGCATTCTTCTTAGCCATATAAATATATTTTATTCTGCTGGATTGTTTATTAAAATTATATTGTAGTTATTACACATCAAAAGTAAATATTTATGGCCAGGCGAGGTGGCTCACGCCTGTAATCCCAGCACTTTGGGAGGCCGAGGCGGGCGGATCACCTGAGGACAGGGGTTCCAGACCAGCCTGACCAACATGGCAAAACCTCGTGTCTACTGAAAATACAAAAATTAGCCTGGCGTGGTGGTGCACGCCTGTAATCCAGCTACTCAGGAGGGAGGCTGAGGGAAGAGAATCACTTGAACCTGTGAGGGGGAGGTTGCAGTGAGCTGAGATCACGCCACTGCACTCCAGCCTGGGTGACAGAGTGAGACTCTGTCTCAAAGAAAAAAGTAAATGCTTTTGTTCCGGCATCTAGAAACTAGGATCATGCTGCTGGCATGAATAGGTCTGGCCCTGGTAAGGGTCACCATTTGGTTAGGGCAGGAACAGCAAGTTATAAGGCTGCAGTCATAGTGTAATTGCCTAGTAAAAGGGAGGGGCCATCGCTCTGTACAAGAGGAACTAATCCCAGCCATGTTCCAAAGGAAGCGGGTATATGGGACATCCAGTGCCTCTCATTAAGATGGGATCTCCATCTCTTCTGCTCTGTTCTTGGGCTGATTGTTGTTCCTGATTTGGAGGTTACAAGAAAGGGCAGGCTAATTGACAGATTTCACTTTTCTTTTTTTCACCGTTATTTTCACATAGAAAATAACACTAAGGAAAATAGGTGATGGTTTAGTGGATACTTTATTTTCAGTGTGACTTGTCTTTTAAGTGTGCCTTTTTAGTGCTTTCCTTAACAGATTTCGTAAGAATGATTAAGAGACTTCTTGTGGTTCTTCTAATTTAGGATCAGTCAACTGAATGAAAATAATCTGTTATTACTGTGTTAAGCTTGCTTTTTCTTAAAAGTAATTTATGTTCATTATAAAATTTGAATAGTATGACAGTTTATGAAGTAAAAAGCGACGGTCTCAGCTTCTCTCTTCCCACCCAGATTCCTCACTACAGGAATAACACTCTTTTGTACATACAATCATACATTTTCTTTTTTTCTTTTTTTGAGACAGAGTTTCGCTCTTGTTGCCCAGGCTGGAGTGCAGTGGCGCGATCTCGGCTCACTGCAACCTCTGCCTCCCAGGTTCAAGTGATTCTCCTGCCTCAGCCTCCCTAGTAGCTGGGATTATAGGTGTGTGCCACCATGCCCGGCTAATTTTTGTATTTTGGTAGAGACAGGGTTTCATCATATTGGTCAGGCTGGTCTTGAACTCCCGACCTCAGGTGATCCACCCACCTCGGCCTCCCGAAGTGCTGGGATTACAGCATGAGCCACTGCACCTGGCACATTTTCTTGATTTATGTGTATTTAATTTTTAATTTTTGTATTTTGTTATAAGTCATAGACTTTTTTAATTGAGTCTCACTTTCATCACCCAGGCTGGAGTGCAATGGTGTGATCTCAGCTCACTGCAACCTCCACCTCCTGGGTTCAGGCAATTCTCCTGCCTCAGCCTCTCCTGCCTCAGCCTCTCGAGTAGCTGGGATTACAGGCACATACCACCATGTCTGACCAATTCTTGTATTTTTACTAGAGACAGGGTTTCATTATGTTGGTCAGGGTGGTCTTGAACTCCTGACCTCAAAAGATCCACCCACCTCGACCTCCCAAAGTACTGGGATTACAGGCGGGAGCCACCACGCCTGGCTGGTCATAGACACTCATTTATGTCTGCTGCATTTTTAATGGATGCATAGTATTCTGTAACATACTATAATCCATTTATTTACTTGGTTGATGAACAAGTTTATACAAGAAACTACTTAGGAGACAAATATCATGTGCATTTGCAGTAGCTGAATCTATTGGTTCTACTCTCAAAATGTACTTTCCAACTAGTAGCATATAGGAAATGTCACCTCTTAGGATTTTTCTCCCCTATCACATTAGCAAAACCTATCTTGATTTGTAATCCTTGATCATCTTTTCCTGTGTAAACCAATTTATATGCCCTTCATGTTTCTTCATGTCTGTTGCTTGATTTTCAATTATCTTTTTTATTCTTACTGATTTCTAAAAGCTCTTTGTGTATTAGTTTTATTAACTCTTCATTAGAAATTTAGAAATACTTCTGCTAGATTGTCTTTTGAATTTTAACTTTTTGTTAGTATAAATTCAACGGTTTATCTAAGTTGTGTAAGCAAAGTTTTGGTTTACATTTAGATTCGTCTGTGATGGCTGTTTAAAGAAAAGTGCACGAACTAGGAAAGAAAATAAGTTTTCTGCTAAAAGTAAGTTTTATTCTTAAAGGTAAATTTTGGCAAAACTTATCTGAAGCCTAGATAAGAAACCATCCAAAGTGAATTACTTTGTTTTTAATCACAGTAATAGAGTAAAAATAAAATAATTCTATAATCTCCTTATAGTTGATCTGTAATATATTTTTTGGTGTGAAATTTATTAGACCAAAGAAAAAAATTTCCAAGGAACGGATTTGTAGAATGCACAAGATACGTGTTTTTCCTGTTCCTATATTTTTCCCTATTTGGGGCATTTCATAAAGGAGGAATAAGGTGTGGAAATGATTGGCCGGAATTGCCATCTCTCAGTTTGTTTATTTATTATTTTTTATTTTATTTTTTGAGAGTCTCACTCTGTCCCCCAGGCTGCACAGTGCAGTGGCACGATCTCAGCTCACTGCAACCTCCGCCTCCCAGGTTCATGTGATTTTTCTGTCTTAGCCTCCAGTGTAGCTGGGACTACAGGCATGTGCCTCCACACCCAGCTAATTTTTGTAATTTATTAGAGATGGCGTTTTGCCATGTTGGCCAGGCTGATCTCAAACTCCTGATCACAGGTGATCCACCCACCTTGGCCTCCCAAAGTACTGGGATTACAGGCGTGAACCACCATGCCCAACCCCTCAGTTCACACCATTTATATGGGCTACCTTTTGGCCTTATGTGATTGTTTTCTACTGTGCCAGGAGGATGTCAAAAATTTTATCATGTAAGTAATTAACACTAATAATCTAAATGTAGTATTTGATTTAGTTTTGGGGTGTTTTACTGATCTACAGATTATTTTGATTCTTGTAAGGTTTCTCAAAATGCTCAACCTTCGTTACTTTAAAATATTACTGCAATCTAGGCAAAGTACATAGAGATGTTCATTGTTTATATATTTGTGTGTGTGTGTGTGTGTGTGTGTATATATATATATATATATATATATATATATATATATATATATATATATATAATGTTTGGTTGGTTGGGTTTTTTGTTTTTTGGAAACAAGGTTTCACTGTGTTGTCCAGGCTGATCTTGAACTCCTGGATTCAAGCAATCCTCCCACCTCAGCCTCCCAAAGTACAAGGATTAGGATTATGGGTGTGAGCCTTGTCTCCTGGCCATTGTTCTATTTCTGTTTGTTTTTGTTTTTTTTTTTGTTTTTTTTTTTTTTTTTTTTTTTTTGAGACAGAGTCTCGCTGTCGCCCATAGTGGCGCAGTCTCAGCTCACTGCAGCCTCTGCCTCCCGGGTTCAAGCGATTCTCGTGCCTCAGCCTCCCAAGTAGCTGGAATTACAGGCGTGCACCACCATGCCTGGCTAATTTTTGTATTTTTAGTAGAGACGGGGTTTCAGCATGTTGGCCAGGCTGGTCTCGAACTCCTGACCTCAGGTGATGCGCCCACCTCAGCCTCCCAAAGTGCTGGGATTACAGGCATGAGCTACCGCACCCGGCCCCTGTTCTGTATTTTTATAAACTCTTCCAAAATTGGAAATTTTTCAAAATGAGAAGTTGGGGAAAATGATATTTAGAAATTATTGAGTACTGTGTCTGCTTTAATAGCACATGTATTAAAATTAGAATGATATGAAGATTAGCATGTTCCCTGCACTCATATGACATGTAAATCTGCAAAGTAGTGACTACTTTGCTATGATTTTTTAAAATTTCACCAAGTTATCCTGTTTGTATTGAAAAAAGTACAAATGAGATTTGAGGTTGAACCTTAAGACTAACAACAGTAAATTTGCACCTCAGTAACTTTTAACTTTTACATTCCTAGGGTTGCCATCTACCAGACTTGGCACCTTTCTAGAGAATCGTGTGAATGACTTTCTGAGGCGACAGAATCACCCTGAGTCAGGAGAGGTCACTGTTAGAGTAGTTCATGCTTCTGACAAAACCGTGGAAGTAAAACCAGGCATGAAAGCAAGGTATCTAGTCATTTCACTTTTCTTCTCCTCGTGGATCCAAAATTGCTCATACATGGTTACTATTGGTGATTCCAGTCTGAATGAGTTATGTTGTGGTTCCCCCACCATCTCAATTGTATAGGTTTGTGGACAGTGGAGAGATGGCAGAATCCTTTCCATACCGAACCAAAGCCCTCTTTGCCTTTGAAGAAATTGATGGTGTTGACCTGTGCTTCTTTGGCATGCATGTTCAAGAGTATGGCTCTGACTGCCCTCCACCCAACCAGAGGTATGACTAGCTCACAGTGGCTAGCTCCGGATTTGTGTGGGAGTTCCAACTTATAATAGGTGGAAAAGCATAACAGGCAAGAAAATGTTTAGTGTGTTTGGTTTGGAAATGCAAAATCTCAAGTGTCCAGTAATTTTAAAGTGAAACAGATTAAAAAGCAAACCCCCAAACAAAATAACCGCTCAATACTGCTCTTCTGTGGTCATAGTAATAAAGGATATGAATAGCAACCTGAAATTGGAATTTGAAAACAAACGTACTACTCTTCAGAAAATGAGCTTAAATCTGGATTAAGTAGCTATGTGAAAATATATCATACAAATCGGGTGGGAATTTCTTTTCTCCAAAAATAGTATAAAGGCAATAATAAAAACGTATAGGGATCACCAAATACTGATTGATGTGTATGTGCCAGGCACTGCTAGTTACTACAAATAGAAGGAAACCACAGGCTCACTGAACTTCCCTGAAGGGTTCACGGCGGAGTCGCCTACCTGCCTGTGATGAGCTTCACAAATAACGATGTGAGCAAAGAGCCTGGGAGAGTGAGAGGGTGTTATTAGGCACATGGAGTAAAGAACTCATTATGTGACCTGACTTTTTTTTTCCTCTTCATTTCTCTTCATTTTGTATAGGAGAGTATACATATCTTACCTCGATAGTGTTCATTTCTTCCGTCCTAAATGCTTGAGGACTGCAGTCTATCATGAAATCCTAATTGGATATTTAGAATATGTCAAGAAATTAGGGTAAGCATATTTTGATAATGGCTTTTTTTCTTTAACTAGCATGGCATTCTGGTGAGATATAGGTTAAATATGCAAATATATAACTCTTGGCCTTTTTTTCCTCATTTTAGTTCTTACGTAACAATTCTCTTAACTTTGTTGGAGCCCCTTTGAAGTTAATGTCAGTAGAGAGAAATGGATATGTTGGCCCTAGTTTCACCCATCCAACATTAGTTTTGTTTGTAAGCTAAGCCATTGGGTCCACTTTGCTTTGAAGTTTGATTTGTGCCCCTCATTTGAGGGCAGAATTTTAACTGCATTTGATCCTTTTACAACCTGGGTATGAAGACCAAAAACAGTTCTGGAGATACTTCTTACCTTTAGAGTATGTATGTCATTGGAAACATTCACTCCCTCATCTTGAAGTCTGTTTCTCTGAACAGTGTGCCTTTTAATTTAGCTCTTGTTAAATGGGTCCATTTTCCTTTGCAGTGTAATCTTCATTTGGTCTTAACATGCAGACTTAGGGTTTTTGGATCCAGGGCTAAGTCACCCACTTCGTGGCTGAGATTCGCAACATCCCACCATGGCCTCCAAAAATAAGTAGGCAATATGAGATCCATTGTTACTACTGTGAGTTATGCCTAATTTTGGCCTCACAATGTTAATCTCATTCTGGGTTATATATACACTGTGTTATCTTGGGAAAAATTATTGGTATCTATATCAACTCCAACTTGTGGTTTAAAATGTAGCCTTCTAGAATAGATTATCTCTTTTCCTTAATGTTCTTTCTCTTTGTATTGTTAGTTACACAACAGGGCATATTTGGGCATGTCCACCAAGTGAGGGAGATGATTATATCTTCCATTGCCATCCTCCTGACCAGAAGATACCCAAGCCCAAGCGACTGCAGGAATGGTACAAAAAAATGCTTGACAAGGCTGTATCAGAGCGTATTGTCCATGACTACAAGGTCAGTTGGGACATAGGGGCCAGGTGCTGACAATAGATCTGGAAATGCACTAATGTTGCTGCTCTTTGTTCTGTCATTTAACTTTTTTTTTTTTTTTTTTTTTTTTTTGAGACGGAGTCTCGCTCTGTCACGCAGGCTGGAGTGCAGTGACACGATTTTGGCTCACTTCAAGCTCCGCCTCCTGGGTTCATGCCATTCTCCTGCCTCAGCCTCCTGAGTAGCTGGGACTACAGGCTCCTGCCATCACACCCGGCTAAATTTTTTTGTATTTTTAGTAGAGACGGGGTTTCACCGTGTTAGCCAGGATGGTCTCGATCTCCTGACCTTGTGATCCGCCCGCCTTGGCCTCCCAAAGTGCTGGGATTACAGGCATGAGCCACCGTGCCCAGCCTTTTTTTTTTTTTTTTAAACAAAAGTCTTGCTTGTTCTACCTCTTGCATGTAATTCCTAAAAATGCTAATTTGATTGCTTTTATTTTGTATATTCAAAATTTTTCAATATAAGAAAAACCAGGTTTTGAAGAGCGGTAGATCAAGAAATCCCTGTTTTAAACATGTAACCAAAATTTTATTTTATTTATTTTTGGGGGGAGGGTGGGGATAGAGTTGGGGTATCGCCATGCTGCCCAGGCTGGACTTGAACTCTTGGCCTCAAGCATTCCAAAGTGCTGGGATTACAGGCATGAGCCACTGTGCCCGGCCTTAAAATATATCTTTTTGTTTTGGTTTTTTGTTGGTTTGGTTTGGGTTGGTTAGGGTTTTAGGGGTGTGGGTGTTTTGTTTTCAGAAAGGGTCACTCTCTGTCACCCAGGCTAGGGTGCAGTGGCATGATACCCGCTCATTGCAACCTGTGCCTCCCAGGCTCAAGCCATCCTCCCATCTCAGCTTCCTGAGTTGCTGGGACTAGGTGCACACTACGAGAGCTAGCTGATTTTTGTATATTTTTTGTAGAGACAGGATGTCACCATGTTGCCCAGGCTGGTCTCAAACTCCTGAGCTCAAGTGATCTGCCCACCTCAGCCTCCCAAAGTGCTAGGATTATAGGCATGAGCCACATCACCCAGCCAAAAATATATTCTCCCTTTTTTTTTTTTGGACGGAGTTTCAGGCTGGAGTGCAATGGTGCAGTCTCCTGGGTTCAAGTGATGGTCCTACCTCAGCCTCCCGAGTAGCTGGGATTACAGGCATGCACCACCAAGCCAGGCTAATTTTTTCTATTTTTAGTAGAGACGGGGTTTCTCCACATTGGTCAGGCTGGTCTCGAACTCCTGACCTCAGGTGATCCACCTGCCTCGGCCTCCCAAAGTGCTGGGATTACAGGTGTGAGTCACTGCACCTGGCCAAAAATATATTCTTAATTAACAGTATTATGTTATTCATAAATATAGGTTGTCTCATGATACAGACTTGTCTTCCTCAATTTAGTAGTTCAACTAAATAAAGAAGTTTTCCTAAGCAGCCCAGCAAATCATTCTGCAGCAGATACTATTTCCAGTATTTGTAGTTTTGGTCATTTTGAACAAAGCTGTCAGTAAAAGCTGCTGAAATTCCAAGGATGGGTGTGAGGAGGGCATGCTTCATACCACATATTCTGTGATAAGGAGTGGTAGGGGCCATGGCATGCATGATGGTGCTACCACCCTGACGTTGATCCTGGCAGGATAATTGCCACTTGGTTATATAAAGGCAGATAAGCTCCCTGTTTTTGTGGGTAGAAGAAATAGAAAACCGGAAATATTGACTTTAGGCCAGGCCTTTTCACTATTTATTTTTCTAAATACTCCCTGGCTTACGGCTTAGGTATAAAGTCTCTGCCAGCTTTCAAGACATTTTAAGCTTTCATGTTTCTTGTCAGCCATGATTATTCTGTATAATCAATGCTTTAAAAGAACATAGAAATTCCTATATGTACATGCATGTTTTCACAGGATATTTTTAAACAAGCTACTGAAGATAGATTAACAAGTGCAAAGGAATTGCCTTATTTCGAGGGTGATTTCTGGCCCAATGTTCTGGAAGAAAGCATTAAGGAACTGGAACAGGAGGAAGAAGAGAGAAAACGAGAGGAAAACACCAGCAATGAAAGCACAGATGTAAGGGCATTGAGTTTCCTTTGAAACTTCTATCATGATTCTAATATTTAATCCAGAAGTGCACTTAAACTTTCAATTGGGTTTTAAAGCTTTCAGGTGTAAAAGAGCTCTTTAAGTTGGACAAGAAATATTGGCTTAGAGAGGTTATTAGGGTTCTGTTTCAGTGGTATTAAACTTTTAAAGCATCAGAGCCCCTTTTAAAATGGCATCTCAGACTTTGAGTAATGTGAAATGATAAAAGAAACTGAAGGAAATCCTGAAAAACTGATAGAAGATTACTTATCTGAAGGACTAGGTTATGAATATTATAGGCCTTGTGGGTCACATATCTCTGGCATATTTTCTGTCTTTTAAAAACACACTCTTTTTAAATGTAAAAAACCATTCTTAGCTATACAAAATAGGCCTGAGCCAGAATTTAAGTTACTAAGCCTGGCTTAGTAACCTCACCAGTTATTTCCCCATAGCATATCTCGAATTACCTCCATTGAATTTAACTTAACAAAAGGCACCCTTAAATAGTCTGTTAACAAACTCTTACAGCCTTGTCATTTAGTATTTGTAGGCTCATAACATTTTAGAATATGAGTGGAAGGAAATAAAACCAAGGTCTTCTGGCTCCCCACTTTGATACACTCTTCACTACCCCAAAGTGCCACCCCTTCCTTGTTCCCTAGCCCCAATCTGGGATACATTCAATCAATCTACAGGGTCTGCACATTCTGTGGCCTCTTCTAGGCAAAAAGCTAAAGGGCTGCCATTGCCTTAAAGATCACTGGGAGAAAATTAGGTCAAATAACAACTTTAAGGAGAAAGAATAAGTGAAGAGAACAGCTAGTAAAATAAGTTACAGGCATAAGATTATGATATCTAGTTTCAAAGAAGGGAGATATTCTGTGCTATTCCCAAATTACTTAACAAAAACCTTATTTTCTTGTCTCCTTTGTGCTACTCTGCAGGTGACCAAGGGAGACAGCAAAAATGCTAAAAAGAAGAATAATAAGAAAACCAGCAAAAATAAGAGCAGCCTGAGTAGGGGCAACAAGAAGAAACCCGGGATGCCCAATGTATCTAACGACCTCTCACAGAAACTATATGCCACCATGGAGAAGCATAAAGAGGTAAGATGCAGCCACCCAGAGTTGGGGAAAAACGGCAAGATTTCTGGCCAGGCATGGTGGCTCACACCTGTAATCCCAGCACTTTGGGAGGCCAAGGCGGGTGGATCACCTGAGGTCAGGAGTTCAAGACCAGCCTGACCAACACGGTGAAACCTTGCTCTACTAAAAATACAAAATTAGCTGGGCATGGTGGCACATGCCTGTAATCCCAGCTACTCAGGAGGCTGAGGCAGGAGAATTGCTTGAACCTGAGAAGCGGAGATTGCAGTGAGCCGAGGTCACTCCATTGCACTCCAGCCTGGGCAACAAGAGCGAAACTCCACCTCAGAAAAAGAAATAAGAAATGAATAAAAACACTGACTGTTCGCTGGGCGTGGTGGCTCATGCCTGTAATCCCAGCACTTTGGAGGTTGAGGCAGGCGGATCACTTGAGGTCAGGAGTTGGAGACCAGCCTGGCCAACATGGCGAACCGAAACCCCGTCTCTACTAAAAATACAAAAATTAGCCTGGCGTGGTGGCACACACCTGTAATCCTTGGGATGCTGGGGTGGGAGGATCACTTGAACCTGGGAGGCAGAGGTTGCAGTGCACTTACAGCCTGGGTGACAGAACGAGACTCTGTTTCAAAAAATAAAAAGATTTAACCTTTCTGAAAGTGAATTAGTAAATAGAATTGGAGAAAAGTTAAACTTCCACATATGGACTTACAACCCCCTTCTCAAAACTTTTTGAGTTATTTCATCATTTACATTGTTTAGTTGTTCTTGCAGTCATTTGGGAAAATAACTGGGTAAGGTTTTTTTTTTCTCTCTTTAATATCATATAATTGATAACGAAAGCCAGGAGAATTGAAGAGTAATTCCTCTCAGGGTTTGTCCAATGGTAGTAATCTCGATTGTTCAGTCAGACTCCTCATTTTACTATCTCGGTTCTCAGACATATAATCAAGTTCTTATAGGAAGTGGTAATTAAGTTGAGAGGGAAATGAAGGCTTGATTTCAGGTTGTAATTCCGTACCTAAAAATTGGTTAAACAGTCTCTTTGGGAGAGAAATAGTTAACAAAATCTTTTTTAGAGAGGAATTTGTTATAATGATGTTATCATGGTGAACACCTATATACATAGGTGTTCAAAGTATCTTTTCCCCCACTGCTCCCCCCATCACCACCCCTTTTTTGTTAGCCTAGAATAATGGGCTACGATGTAATAATGGTAATAACCATTATCTCAGCCATGCTAGTGAAATGGAAGGATTCCTGAGTTCTAATACGTTAGGTAATGATTATTAACAATTAATAGTTACTAGCTATTTCAAGCAGTAAGTAATGCCACAGAATCCTAGGCAGTTGGGAAAAGCCCTTAGAATATATTGTAATAGGTTTGACTTAAATTGTGGACACATTCCATGGCTGTTTAAATTTAGGTTGTAAATCCAAGTATTGGCCTGGTTGTAGGGTGACAGAAGCAGCGAACATTGCTGGCCAGAGACTGTGAGTGTGGCTGCCAGTGTGCACAGATGTTGAATAATCTGTTATCAGTACAGCAGTTTCTCACAAGTTCCTAATTTCTTAAGGGGATGTTTTACATTTTATTACTTTAATAGGTGTTTATAGTTATATACTAATTAATGTCAAATACATATGTAATACCAGCTTTTTATACCTTTTACACTAATGGTTATGAGAATTGATGGTTGTTACAAGTTTTTTCAAACTTCAATGAACAAGAATTTTATTGCTTTGTCAACAAAGACTAAGATTTTTTATCCATTCCATTCCCTTCCAAACCTGTAGGAAAAGTTACACAGGAAAGTTGCATAGGGGACCTTCATGAGTCCAGGCCAGTTGTTTTTCATACTGTCTCCATATTTGGATTTGTCTGGTTTGTTGTAATTAGATTGAGGTTAAACCATGGATTGCATCTTAAAGTAGACTGCCTTGAGGCAAAATGTCCACTGTGCATGGTGCTATACCTCACCCAGACCATTGTTACTCTGAAGGAGTTACTGAATGAAGGAGAAAAAAATCACAGGATGTGCATTTCAGTTCTATTTATAGTCAGTCTCAAGAGACCAAAGAGGTAAAGCAGGAAAAGGAACAGGAGGCGTATGGTGGTGAAACTAACTCAGCATTCGCCAGTCTCATTGGTGCTCAGCCTGCTGTACCTGCTCACACCTGTAATCCCAGCACTCTGGGAGGCTGAGGCAGGCAGATCACTTGAGCTTAGGAGTTTGAGACCAGCCTGGGCAACATGGCGAAGCCTCGTCTCTACAAAAAATGCAGAAATTAGCCAGGTGTGGTGGTGTGGGCCTGTGGTCTCAGCTATTCAGGAGGCCATGGTGGGATAATTGCTTGAGCCCAGGAGGCAGAGGTTGTAGTGAGCCAAGATCACGCCACTGCATTCCAGCCTGGATGACAGAGCGAGGCCCTGTCTCAAAAAAAAGAGACTGTCTGTTTTTCAGGTCTTCTTTGTGATCCGCCTCATTGCTGGCCCTGCTGCCAACTCCCTGCCTCCCATTGTTGATCCTGATCCTCTCATCCCCTGCGATCTGATGGATGGTCGGGATGCGTTTCTCACGCTGGCAAGGGACAAGCACCTGGAGTTCTCTTCACTCCGAAGAGCCCAGTGGTCCACCATGTGCATGCTGGTGGAGCTGCACACGCAGAGCCAGGACCGCTTTGTCTACACCTGCAATGAATGCAAGCACCATGTGGAGACACGCTGGCACTGTACTGTCTGTGAGGTAGGCACCGGGTTGTGGGAAGGAGGAGGTGAGCTCCGCAGGGTTGTTCTGAGGGGCCATGCAGCCACGTATTTTATAGAGGCCTGTGGGATGCTAGGGGCTTGGCCTCGTGTTTGAGGGGCAGAGCTGAAGAGGCTAGTTTTTGTTCTACGAAAGGGGCTTTTCTAGCCCAAACAATATCTAAAATACTTTTGAATGACTTAAATCTTGGAGAGTTTACGTGCACCTCCTGTTTTTTCCCTAGGATTATGACTTGTGTATCACCTGCTATAACACTAAAAACCATGACCACAAAATGGAGAAACTAGGCCTTGGCTTAGATGATGAGAGCAACAACCAGCAGGCTGCAGCCACCCAGAGCCCAGGCGATTCTCGCCGCCTGAGTATCCAGCGCTGCATCCAGTCTCTGGTCCATGCTTGCCAGTGTCGGAATGCCAATTGCTCACTGCCATCCTGCCAGAAGATGAAGCGGGTTGTGCAGCATACCAAGGGTTGCAAACGGAAAACCAATGGCGGGTGCCCCATCTGCAAGCAGCTCATTGCCCTCTGCTGCTACCATGCCAAGCACTGCCAGGAGAACAAATGCCCGGTGCCGTTCTGCCTAAACATCAAGCAGAAGCTCCGGCAGCAACAGCTGCAGCACCGACTACAGCAGGCCCAAATGCTTCGCAGGAGGATGGCCAGCATGCAGCGGACTGGTGTGGTTGGGCAGCAACAGGGCCTCCCTTCCCCCACTCCTGCCACTCCAACGACACCAACTGGCCAACAGCCAACCACCCCGCAGACGCCCCAGCCCACTTCTCAGCCTCAGCCTACCCCTCCCAATAGCATGCCACCCTACTTGCCCAGGACTCAAGCTGCTGGCCCTGTGTCCCAGGGTAAGGCAGCAGGCCAGGTGACCCCTCCAACCCCTCCTCAGACTGCTCAGCCACCCCTTCCAGGGCCCCCACCTGCAGCAGTGGAAATGGCAATGCAGATTCAGAGAGCAGCGGAGACGCAGCGCCAGATGGCCCACGTGCAAATTTTTCAAAGGCCAATCCAACACCAGATGCCCCCGATGACTCCCATGGCCCCCATGGGTATGAACCCACCTCCCATGACCAGAGGTCCCAGTGGGCATTTGGAGCCAGGGATGGGACCGACAGGGATGCAGCAACAGCCACCCTGGAGCCAAGGAGGATTGCCTCAGCCCCAGCAACTACAGTCTGGGATGCCAAGGCCAGCCATGATGTCAGTGGCCCAGCATGGTCAACCTTTGAACATGGCTCCACAACCAGGATTGGGCCAGGTAGGTATCAGCCCACTCAAACCAGGCACTGTGTCTCAACAAGCCTTACAAAACCTTTTGCGGACTCTCAGGTCTCCCAGCTCTCCCCTGCAGCAGCAACAGGTGCTTAGTATCCTTCACGCCAACCCCCAGCTGTTGGCTGCATTCATCAAGCAGCGGGCTGCCAAGTATGCCAACTCTAATCCACAACCCATCCCTGGGCAGCCTGGCATGCCCCAGGGGCAGCCAGGGCTACAGCCACCTACCATGCCAGGTCAGCAGGGGGTCCACTCCAATCCAGCCATGCAGAACATGAATCCAATGCAGGCGGGCGTTCAGAGGGCTGGCCTGCCCCAGCAGCAACCACAGCAGCAACTCCAGCCACCCATGGGAGGGATGAGCCCCCAGGCTCAGCAGATGAACATGAACCACAACACCATGCCTTCACAATTCCGAGACATCTTGAGACGACAGCAAATGATGCAACAGCAGCAGCAACAGGGAGCAGGGCCAGGAATAGGCCCTGGAATGGCCAACCATAACCAGTTCCAGCAACCCCAAGGAGTTGGCTACCCACCACAGCAGCAGCAGCGGATGCAGCATCACATGCAACAGATGCAACAAGGAAATATGGGACAGATAGGCCAGCTTCCCCAGGCCTTGGGAGCAGAGGCAGGTGCCAGTCTACAGGCCTATCAGCAGCGACTCCTTCAGCAACAGATGGGGTCCCCTGTTCAGCCCAACCCCATGAGCCCCCAGCAGCATATGCTCCCAAATCAGGCCCAGTCCCCACACCTACAAGGCCAGCAGATCCCTAATTCTCTCTCCAATCAAGTGCGCTCTCCCCAGCCTGTCCCTTCTCCACGGCCACAGTCCCAGCCCCCCCACTCCAGTCCTTCCCCAAGGATGCAGCCTCAGCCTTCTCCACACCACGTTTCCCCACAGACAAGTTCCCCACATCCTGGACTGGTAGCTGCCCAGGCCAACCCCATGGAACAAGGGCATTTTGCCAGCCCGGACCAGAATTCAATGCTTTCTCAGCTTGCTAGCAATCCAGGCATGGCAAACCTCCATGGTGCAAGCGCCACGGACCTGGGACTCAGCACCGATAACTCAGACTTGAATTCAAACCTCTCACAGAGTACACTAGACATACACTAGAGACACCTTGTAGTATTTTGGGAGCAAAAAAATTATTTTCTCTTAACAAGACTTTTTGTACTGAAAACAATTTTTTTGAATCTTTCGTAGCCTAAAAGACAATTTTCCTTGGAACACATAAGAACTGTGCAGTAGCCGTTTGTGGTTTAAAGCAAACATGCAAGATGAACCTGAGGGATGATAGAATACAAAGAATATATTTTTGTTATGGCTGGTTACCACCAGCCTTTCTTCCCCTTTGTGTGTGTGGTTCAAGTGTGCACTGGGAGGAGGCTGAGGCCTGTGAAGCCAAACAATATGCTCCTGCCTTGCACCTCCAATAGGTTTTATTATTTTTTTTAAATTAATGAACATATGTAATATTAATAGTTATTATTTACTGGTGCAGATGGTTGACATTTTTCCCTATTTTCCTCACTTTATGGAAGAGTTAAAACATTTCTAAACCAGAGGACAAAAGGGGTTAATGTTACTTTAAAATTACATTCTATATATATATAAATATATATAAATATATATTAAAATACCAGTTTTTTTTCTCTGGGTGCAAAGATGTTCATTCTTTTAAAAAATGTTTAAAAAAAAAAAAAAACTGCCTTTCTTCCCCTCAAGTCAACTTTTGTGCTCCAGAAAATTTTCTATTCTGTAAGTCTGAGCGTAAAACTTCAAGTATTAAAATAATTTGTACATGTAGAGAGAAAAATGACTTTTTCAAAAATATACAGGGGCAGCTGCCAAATTGATGTATTATATATTGTGGTTTCTGTTTCTTGAAAGAATTTTTTTCGTTATTTTTACATCTAACAAAGTAAAAAAATTAAAAAGAGGGTAAGAAACGATTCCGGTGGGATGATTTTAACATGCAAAATGTCCCTGGGGGTTTCTTCTTTGCTTGCTTTCTTCCTCCTTACCCTACCCCCCACTCACACACACACACACACACACACACACACACACACACACACACTTTCTATAAAACTTGAAAATAGCAAAAACCCTCAACTGTTGTAAATCATGCAATTAAAGTTGATTACTTATAAATATGAACTTTGGATCACTGTATAGACTGTTAAATTTGATTTCTTATTACCTATTGTTAAATAAACTGTGTGAGACAGACACCCTGACTTTGTTTCACTTGATAACACATCTTTGTCTTGGAGTACACCCGTTTTAAGTGCCTAATGCTTAGGATTCAGAGGAAAAAGTGAAAGCATTAGCTTATAGCCTCTTTAATCTACTACGTATAATGTATTCACAAGTAGATCTTGGTGAATTTATCCAAAGTTCTGGGAAAAAGTACTGCAGGTACCAGCTAACAGTCAAGGTGGAAGTGATAACCTACTTAACACCTTGATACAGGACCCCTTAAGGATGACCTCATGGTCTTCCAATCACCTTCATCTTACAGGGATGAGAAGGAGGACCTAAGAAGACGGATCATATCTGCCTAAGTCCCAAGTAACTTCTTGGAAAAAACAAGACTTGCCAGGCATGGTGGCTCACGCCTATAATCCCAACATTTTGGGAGGCCAAGGCAGGCAGATCACGAGGTCAGGAGTTCAAGACCAGCCTGGCCAATATGGTGAAACCCCCATCTCTACTAAAAATCAGCAGGGCGTGGTGGTGGGCACCTGCCGTCCCAGCTACTTGGGAGGCTGAGGCAGGAGAATCAGATCCTGGTGGAGGTTGCAGTTAGCCAGGATCTCACCACTGCACTCCAAAGACTCCGTCTTTTAAAAACAGAGAAGATGAAGCTAGGGGAACACTCCTGTTTGCTAACTGAATACAAAGAAGTCAGTTGGAATCGGGTTGAAGGGAAGGAAAATGTGTGGAAATAAAACCTAGAAGGCTGAGAGAGATTACACATGAGTCCAGTAATATGCTAGATGCTCAAAGAATGGAGAGATTATTGATCCTCCATCTGAACATTGCAGTAGCTGTGAACAAGTTGTTAAAACAAATGTGTTAGTACACTAAAAAGTACTGAGCTGCTTTGGTATCAATTCCAGATCTTTCTTTTATCACAGAGATTTACACTAACCATATATGACTGCTAAAGGATTTCAGATACGTTGACCTGTTGCTACTATTTTAGTCTGAAAACAACCAGCATCTTTTTTTTTTAAGACAGTCTCGTCACCCAGGCTGGAATGCAGTGGCACAATTGTAGTTCACTGTAGCCTCAAACTCATGGGCTGAAGCAGTCCTCTTACCTCAGCCTCCCTAGTAGCTGGGACTCAAAGGTGTGTACCATCATGCCTGGCTGACTTTTTAAAATTTTTATAGAGACAGGGTCTTGCTATGTTACCCAGTCTGGTCTCGAACTCCTGGACTCAAGTGATCCTCCACCTTGGCCTCCCAAATTGCTGGGATTACAGGCATGAGCCACCTTACCAGCATCTTAATGTGAGGTGAACTCACTCAGCATTAATCAGAGCCAGCCCCAGAAAATGTATCTAGTATCAAGCATCCAGCATCCACCTGCTTCAGCTCAGTGACCCCGCAGATATCCATGGAGCAGCTACATCTGTGCCAGGCCAGGCAGAGCACACATGAACAGCATGCAGCCCTGCCCTCAACCTAACCAGCTTAAGGTCTAGAAGACAGCATGACAAAGTACAAAGCACCAAGTGATCTATGCAAGGAATGCAAGAGGGAATCCATGAAAGAAAACCTAGCTGATGGGAATTGGAAATGTTTCTGGAAAGGGTAGCATGGAAGCTGGATGTTGGAGGAGAGATAGGAAGAGGAGGAGAGGAGGCGGCGCCCAGAAGAGTGCACCACATTCTGCTAGGGAGCAGCTCCAGGTCTACTTGGCTGAGACCCGATAAACGGAAGTAGTGAACACCTGTTCCAGAAATACGGCCTTCCAGCTCCCTAAGACTAGGGGCCCAGGATTCATGTGAATAAACCCTCAAAAGGGAAATGTTTAGAATTCCATCCCATTTCCAAGCAGTAAATTCCCAGGTTTCAAAGCTCTGCCTCTGGCTAAAGACAGCCGGGTTGAAGTGTTAGACCAGTGCATTCTTACTGCAATGATGAAAGCAGGAAGTAGGGGCAGAAGTCATTAAATAGGAAGGAGGCTGGGCACGGTGACTAACACCTGTAATCGCAACACTTTGGGAAGCCAAGATGGGTGGATCAAGACGAGCCTGGCCAACATGGTGAAACCCCGTCTCTGCTAAAAATACAAAACTAGGCCCCGGGCACGGTGGCCCACACCTGTAATCCTAGCACTTTGGGAGGCTGAGGCGGGTAGATGACCTGAGTTCAGGAGTTCGATACCAGCTTGGCTAACATGGAGAAACCCCATCTCTACTAAAAAAAACAGCTGGGCGTGGTGGCGGGCACTGGTAATCCCAGCTACTCAGGAGGCTGAGGCAGGAGAATAGCTTGAACCCAGGAGGCGGAGATTACAGTGAGCCGAGATCACGCCCTTGCACTCCAGCCTGGGAGACAAGCAAAACTCCGTCTCAAAAAAAAAAAAAAAAAAAAAAAGAAGGGCGGGGGGAAAAGCTGCCCTTTCCCAGATCAGAAATAGTGTTATGGAGGTAGAAGATACGGATTAATCCAGAGTCAGCAATATAATAAGATGATTTCAACGTTTGTAGTTTTTTGGATGTTCACAATGAAAAGTTAGGAAGAGGCCAGGTGCAGGTTTCCACCTGTAATCCCAGCACTGTGGGAGACTGAGGGAGGAAGGATTACTTGAGGCCAGGAGTGGGGAGACCAGCCTGGGTAACAGAGTGAGACCCTCATCTCTACAAAAAATAATTAAAAAAAAAAAAAAAAAACATGGTGGCACACACCTGTAGTCTCAGGTACTTGGGAGGCTGAGGGGGGAGAATTGCTTGAGCCCAGGAGGTCGAGGCTGCTATAAGCCATGATTGTGGCACTGCATTTCTGCTAGGGTGGCCGAGTGAGACCCTCCTGGGCTGTTACAGCACATCAATCTATGAAATGGGTCCAGTGTGCTAGCAGTGCCCCAGGTGCTGTCATTCACTTCGCTTACTGACTCCTCAATAACAGCCCCACTCAACAAATGAAAAACAAGCTCAGGTGAAATAAGGTCCTCAAGATCACATAGCCAGTAAAAGGCTTACCAGGACAATGGCCTGTTGGACTCCAAAGCCATTCCTTTCCATGTCCTTTATCTCCTTTACAGCAGAGAAGCCCCACTGGTGGCTGCAAATTAACCAGCAGATGTGTCATAGGGACACTCAAGCAGACTCAAAATACAGACTAAACACTGAAAAGTGGAGGGGAAGGGGACAACTAAGGAAGCATAAAAATAATCTCCCTAGGCTTCTCATTTTACAACCAAGGAAACATCTCCAGACAGTATTATGTTCATGATGAGGTCATCCTACTTAAAGACAGAGGACAAAGGCTGGCATCAAAAAGAAAAAAATTGGCCGGGCACAGTGGCTCATGCCTGTAATCCCAGCACTTTGGGAGGCCAAGGCAGGCAGATCACGAGGTCAAGACATCGAGACCATCCTGGCCAACATGATGAAACCCTGTCTCTACTAAAAATACAAAAATTAGCTGGGCATGGTGGTATGCACCTGTAGTCGCAGCTACACAAGAGGCTGAGGCAGGAGAATGGCTTGAACCGAGATCTTGCCACTGCACTCCAGCCTGGTGACAGAGCGAGACTCTGTCTCAAAAAAAAAAAAAGGAAGAATAAAATGTTAGGAATAATTTTTTTTTTGAGACGTTTCACTCGTTACCCACGCTGGAGTGCAATGGCGTGATCTCAGCTCACCTCAACCTCTGCCACCCGGGTTCAAGCAATTCTCTTGCCTCAGCCTCCCAAGTAGCTGGAATTACAGGCATGCACCACCACGCCCAGCTAATTTTGCATTTTTAGTAGAGATGGGGTTTCTGCATGTTGTTCAGTCTGGTTTCAAACTCCTGACCTCAGGTGATCCGCCTGCCTTGGCCTCCCAAAGTGTTGGGATTACAGGCGGAGCCACCGTGCCCGGCCAGGAATAAATGTAACAGAAGCGCAAAAAACTTGTACATTGAAAACTAGAAAAGACTGTTGGAAGAAATTAAGGACCTAAATAAATGGAAAGACATTCTTGTTTATAAATCAGAAAACCTTATATTGTTAAAGCAATACTCCTGGGCCAGGGTCAGTGGCTCATGCCTGTAATTCCAGCACTTTGGGAGGCCGAGGCAGGCAGATCATGAGGTCAGGAGATCGAGATCGTCCTGGCTAACACGGTGAAACCCCATCTCTACTAAAAATACAAAAGATTAGCCAGGCATGGTGGCACGTGCCTGTAACCCCAGCTACTTGGGAGGCTGAGGCAGGAGAATCCCTTGGACCTGGGAGGTGGAGGTTGCAGTGAGGCCAAGATGGCACCACTGCATTCCAACCTAGGTGACAGAGTGAGACTCCGTCTCAAAAAAAAAAAAAAAAAAAAAATTAACAGGCTGAGCACAGTGGCTCACACCTGTAATCCCAGCACTTTGGGTTTGGGAGGCTGAGGCAGGAAGATCACCTGAAGTCAGTTCAAGACCAGCCTGGCCAATATGGTCACCTCTACTAAAAATACAAAAATTAGCTGGGTGTGGTGACACACGCCTGTAAGTCCCAGCTACTCGGGAGGCTGAGACGGGAGGACTGCTTGAACCCAAAAGGCGGAGGATGCAGGGAGCTGAGATCACACGACTGCACTCCAGCCTGAGCTACAGAGTGGACCCTGTGTCAAAAATTAAATAAAATAAAAAACAAAAGCCTATTTAAAAAATTTTTTTGTTTTCAGACAGGGTCTGTCTCCATTACCCAGGCTGGAGTACAGTGGCACGATCTCAGCTCACTGAAACCTCCACCTCCTGGTCTCAAGTGATCTTCCTGCCTCGGGAAGCTACTCAGCTTCCTGAGTAGCTGGGACCACAGGCACATGCCACCAAGCCTGGCTAATGTTTCTTTTGTTTTGTTTTTTGTTTTGTAGAGATGGGATTTTGTCATGCTAATCTTGAACTCCTCCCAAAGTGCTGGGATTACAAGCGTGAGCCACCATGCCCAGCTGAAAGGCTGACCCTAAAATACATATGAAAATCCAAAGAAGCCAGAACAGCCAAAATAATCTTGAAAAATAAAAACAAATTTGGAGCACTCACACTTCTTGATTTGAAAACTTACCATGAAGCTATAGTAATCAAGACTCTATGGTACTGGCATAAGGACAGACATTTAGATCACTGGAATAGATCTGACAATCCAGAAATAAATCCATACATTTATGGTCAATTGATTGTTTATAAGGTTGCCAAAATAATCCAATGGAGAAAGAGTAACATTTTTAACAGATACTTCTGGAACAACTAGACATCCACATCTAAAAGAATAAAGTTGGCCGGGCATGGTCGCTCACGCCTGTAATCCCAGCACTTTTGGGAGGCCGAGGCAGGCAGACCACGAGGTCAGGAGATCGAGACCATCCTGGCTAACATGGAGAAACCCCATCTCTACTAAAAATACAAAAAATTAGCCAGGCGTGGTGGCAGGCGCCTGTAGTCCCAGCTACTCGGGAGGCTGAGGCAGGAGAATGGCGTGAACCCAGGAGGCGGAGCTTGCAGTGAGCCGAGATCGCGCCACTGCACTCCAGCACTCCAGCCTGGGTGACAGAACAAGACTCTGTCTCAAAAAAAAAAAAAAAAAAAGAATAAAGCTGGAGGCCAGGCACGGTGGCTCACGCCTGTAATCCCAGCACTTTGTAGGGCAGAGGCGGGCAGATCACTTGAGGTCATGAGTTCGAGACCAGCCTGGCCAACATGGTGAAACCCCGTCTCTACTAAAAATTTAAAAATTACCATAGTGATGGGGCCTGTAATCCGAGCTACTCAGATGGCTGAGGTGGGAGAATCACTTGAGCCTGGGACACAGAGGTTGCAGTGAGCTGGATCGCACCATTGCATGCCTGCCTGGGCAATAGAGTAAGCCTCCATCTCAAAAATAAATAAAGTTGGACCCCTACCTTATACCAAATATAAAAATTTACTCAAAATGGATCATAGACCAAAACATAAACACTAAAATATTAAAATCACAGAAGAAAATATAAGTATAGGCCAGGCACAGTGGCTCATGCCTGTAATCCCAGCACTTTGGGAGGCTGAGATGGATGAATCACGTGAGGTCAGGAGTTAGAGACCAGCCTGGCCAATGTGGTGAAACCCCATCTTTACTAAAAATACAAAAATTAGCTGGGCGTGGTGGTGGGCACTTGTAATCCCAGCTACTTGAGAGGCTGAGGCAGGAGAATCGCTTGAACCCGGGGGGCAGAGGTTGCAGTGAGCCATGATCGCTCTATTGCACTCCAGCCTGGGTGACAAGAGTGAAACTCCATCTAAGAAAGAAAGAAAAAAAAAGAAAATATAGTTATAAATTTTCATGATCTTGGAATAGGCAATGGTTTCTTAGATATAACACCTAAAAAGCACAAGCAACCAAAGAAAAAACAAATTAGACCTCAAAACTTTCATGCATCAGAGGACATGACCAAAGAAGTAAAAAGATATACAGAATGGGAGCATATATTTGCAGATCACATATTTCTGTATCTAGACTATACTTAAAAATTTCGGCCGGGCACAGTGGCTCATGCCTGTAATCCCAGCATTTTGGGAAGCTGAGGCGGGCAGATCACCTGAGGTCAGGAGTTTGAGACCAGCCTGGCTAACATGGTGAAACCCCTGTCTCAACTAAAAAAAAAAAAAAAATTAGCCAGGCACAGTGGCAGGTGCCTGTAATCCCAGCTACTCAGGAAACTGAGGCAGCAGAATTGCTTAAACCCGGGAGGCAAAGGTTGCAGTGAGCCAATATCGCGCCATTGTACTCCAGCCTGGGTGACAAGAGCATGACTCAGTATCAAAAAAAAAAAAAAAAAAAAGGCCAGGCACGGTGGCTCACGCCTGTAATCCCAGCACTTTGGGATCACGAGGTCAGGAGATCGAGACCATCCTGGCTAACATGGTGAAAACCCGTCTGTATTAAAAATACAAAAAATTAGCCAGGCGTGGTGGCAGGCGCCTGTAGTCCCAGCTACTCAGGAGGCTGAGGCAGGAAAATGGTGTGAACCCGGGAGGTGGAGCTTGCATGAGCAGAGATCTCGCCACTGCACTCCAGCCTGGGGGACAGAGCAAGACTCCACCTCAAAAAAAAAAAAAAAAAAAAAAAAAAAGAAAAACAAACTTACTCTCAACAATTAAAAAAGGAGTAATATAGTTTTTTAAATGGGCAAAGGATTTTAGTAGATATTTCTCCAAAGAACATATACAAATGGCCAATAAGCACACCAAAAGATGCTCAAAACCGTTAGTCATTAGGGAAATGCAGGTCAAACCAAAATGAGATACTGCTTCACACCCACTCAGATGGCAGTAGTCCAAAGGACAATACCAAGTATTGGCTAGAATAGGGAGAAACTAGAACCCTCATACACTGCTAGTGATCATGGAAAATGGAAAACAGTCTAGCAGTTCCTCTAAAAAGTTCAACAGAGTTGGCCGGGCGCGGTGGCTCACGCCTGTAATCCCAGCACTTTGGGAGGCCGAGGCAGGCAGATCGCGAGGTCAAGAGATCGAGACCATCCCGACCAACATGGTGAAACCCCATCTCTACTAAAAATACAAAAATTTTAGCTGGGTGCGGTGGCACACGCCTATAGTCCCAGCTACTCGGGAGACTTAGGCAGAGAATTGCTTGAACCCGGGAGGCGGAGGTTGCAGTGAGCTGAGATTGTGCCACTCCACTCCAGCCTGGCAACAGAGCAAGACTCCGTCTCAAAAAAAAAAAGAAAAAAAAAAAGTTCAACAGAGTTACCATAGGACCCAGCAATTCTCCTGAGTATACACCCAAGAGAACTGAAAACATATGTTCACACAAAAACACATACACAAATGTTCATCAAAAGTATAAGCAATTCAGGCCAGGTGCGGTGGCTCACCCCTGTAATCCCAGCACTTTGGGAGTCTGAGGCGGACGGATCATTTGAGGTCAGGAGTTCAAGACCAGCCTGGCCAACATGGCGAAACCCCGTCTGCACTATAAATACAAAATTAGCCCAACATGGTGGCACTCGCCTGTAGTCCCAGCTACTCGGGAGGCTGAGGCACAAGAATCGCTTGAACCCGGGAGAGGGAGGTTGCAGTGAGCCGAGATCGCAGCAGTGCACTCCAGCCTGGATGACAGAGTGAGATTCCCTCTCAAAAAATTAAAATAAATATAGATATGTATCAAAAATAAAATACATTTAACATACCACTTAGCAATCTCATGTCTAGATATTTACCCAAGAGAAATAAAAACATATGTCCACACAAAGACCCTCATGTGACTGTTGATAGCATTTGATAGCATTATTAAAAATAGCCAAACGATAGGAACCACTGGAATACCTAACAGCTACTAACAGCGTAAACAATCGTGATACATTCAAACAATGCATTATCACCCAGCAATCAAAAGGAACAAAGAGCAAATAAACAACATGAATGAATCTGAAAGCGTTATGCTAAATGAAAAGAGCCAGATTTGCTGGGTGCAGTGCCTCACACCTGTAATCCCAGCACTGTGGGAGGCCGAGCCAGGAGGATCGCTTGAGACCAGGAGTTTGACTCCAGCCTGGGCAACATAGTGACACTTGTCTCTACAAAAATAAAATAAAATAAAATGAGTAATCATAACTAGCCAAAAAAAAAAAAAAAAAAGAAAAAAAAAAGCCAGATGCAAAAGAGTAAATCCCATATGGATTTCGAGAAAAGACAATAAAGGAAAGCAGTGGTTTCGAGGGGGAAGTAGTTGGGAAAGGGCAAGAGGCACAAAGGAGCTTTTTGGGGTGATGGAAGTGATGGTGGTGCTTTCACAACTGTGTACGTCTGTCAAAACTCATTGATTTAAAAAAGATGGATTTATTGTATATAAATTATATCTCAATAAATTTGAATGCCACAATGAGACACCAGTCATACTCACAAAAAAGGCTAAAACAAAATGTTGGACAATACCAAATGTTAGTAATGATATAAAGCAATGGAAACTCTCATCTAATTCTGGTAGAATGTAAAAATAGTGAAACTATTTTGGAAAAAAGTTTGGCCATTTCTTTTTTTTTTTTTTAAGGCAAAGTTTTGCTTTTGTTGCCCAGGCTGGAGTGCAATGGCGTGATTTCAGCTCACTGCAACCTCCACCTCCCAGATTCAAGCGATTTTCCTGCTTCAGCCTCCCGAGTAGCTGGGATTACAGGTATGCATCACCATGCCTGGCTAATTTTGTATTTTTAGTAGAGATGGGGTTTCTCCATGTTGGTCAGGCTAGTCTCGAACTCCTGACCTCAGGTGATCTGCCCGCCTCGGCCTCCCAAATTGCTGGGATTACAGGCGTGAGCCATGGCACCCAGCCTTTTTTTTTTTTTTTTTTTTTTTTTTTGAGATGGAGTCTTGCTCTGTCGCCCAGGCTGAAGTATGCAGTGGTGTGATCTCGGCTCACTGCAACCTGTGCCTCCCAGGTTCAAGCAATTCTCCTGCCTCAGCCTCCCCAGTAGCTGGTACTATAGGCACAAGCCACCATGCCTGGCTAATTTTTGTATTTTTAGTAGAGATGAGGTTTCACCATGTTGGCCAGACTGGGCTCGAACTCCTGACCTCAGGTGATCCACCTGCCTCAGCCTCCCAAAGTGCTGGGATTATAGGTATGAGCCACTGCATCCTGCTGGCCATTTTTTTTTTCTTTTTTTTTTAAGATGGAGTCTCATCAGTTTTCCATTGGTCTACAGACCATTCTGCCTTGGATGCCTTTGCTTCCTGCTGCTCGCTGAGAAGCTTCATCAGGAGGCCTGTTCGTGACATGAGCTTGGCACAGGTCCCTTGCACATGTGTTTCTGAACATTCCATTTTCAAGGTCCAGATAACATGAGACATGAACCTTCTCACATCCTCATTGGGGATGAGGGACCATAGCTGCTGGGTTAGCTGAATTTCAAACTGATCACCTGGGGACGAGAGCAATGGGTAATTGAAGCTTTTGGGCTTGGGGGACAGGTCAGTGCCCATGCTGTTGTATTCCCATTTTGTCTCAGTTTGTTTAACAGTTTGCTCTAAGTTGAATGCAGTCCCAGTGGAATCTGCCTCAGGAGGATGATTGTAGTTTGTGTTTTCAGAGATGGTGCCTTTTGGCATAATAATGTTTTCCATAAAAACGATTTCTTCAAAGGCAAAAAAAAAAAAAAAAAAGAAAAAAGAAAAAAAGATGGAGTCTCGCTCTTGTTGCCCAAGCTGGAGTGCAATGGCGCGATCTCGGCTCACTGCAACCTCCGCCTCCCGGGTTCAAGCGATTCTCCTGCCTCAGCCCCCCAAGTAGCTGGGATTATAGGTGCCTGCCACCATGCTGGGCTAATTTTTATATTTTTAGTAGAGATGGGGTTTTGCCATGTTGGCCAGGTTAGTCCCAAACTCCTGACCTCAGGTGATCTGCCCACCTCAGCCTCCCAAAGTGCTGGGATTACAGGCATGAGCCACCGCGCCCTGCTGGCCATTTCTTATATAGTTACTCATTCATTTTCCCTATGTCCCAGCAATTCTACTTCTGGTATTTATTCAAGAAAATAAAAATATTTGTCCACAAAAAGGATGTTTACAGCAGGATTATTCCCCGTAGCTAAAACTGGAAACAGCTCAAATGTCCATCAACAGATGAATGGATAAACAAATTGGTACAATGGAATACTGCACAGCAGCAAAAATGAATGATTATAATATGTGCATCGACATAACTAAATCTGAAAGACATTATGCTGTGTGAAGGAGAACTCAAAAGAGTACATGCTGCATGATTCTATTTATATGAAGTTCTAGAGCATATAGAACTAAGTTATGATTATAGAAATCATAATGGTAAAATATGTTGCAAAAATATTAAATACAATTTACACTTCTATATTTTAAAAATTAAGCTGAAACAGGGATTAAGTTAGTATTCAAAATACATGCCATCAGATCCAGTACACCTGCAAGGACAGGGTCACAGATTTGACTTTTAGCTTCTTAGCCACGGAAGGAAAGCGTTCAAAACAATCAGTTATATGATTGTATCCAAAAGATGGGTGTGGGGGCGGAATCAGCTATTGGCCGGGCACAGTGGCTCATGCCTGTAATCCCAGCACTTTGGGAGGCCGAGGTGGGAGGATCACTTGAGCTCAGAAGTTCAAGACAAGCCTGAGCAACACAGCGAGACCCCATCTCTACAACAAATTTTTTTTCTTTTATTATTTATTTTATTTCTTTATTTTTTGAGATGAAGTTTCGCCCTTGTCACCCAGGCTGGAGTGCAGTGGCTCGATCTCGGCTCACTGCAACCTCTGCCTCCCAGGTTCAAGCGATTTTCCTGCCTCAGCCTCCCGAGTAGCTAGGATTATCAGCACATGCCATGTCCGGCTAATTTTTTGTATTTTTGGTAGAGAGAGGGTTTCGCCATGTTGGCCAGCCTGGTCTGGAATTCCTGACCTCAGGTGATCCGCCTGCCTCAGCCTCACAAAGTGCTGGGATTACAGGCATAAGCCACTGCACCCAGCCAAAAAAATTTTTTTTTTAATTAGCCCAGCCTGGTGGTGCAGGCCTGCAGTCCCAGCTACTCGGGAGGGTGAAGCAGGAGGATCACTTGAGACCAGGAGGTCAAGGTTACATGAGCTATTATTGCACCACTGTACTCCAACCTGAGCAACAGAGTGAGACCTTGTCTCTTTAAAAAAAAAAAAAAAAAGAACAAAAATAACAAGTATTTTTTACATTTTGGAATTGAGATATGAGAGAAATTCCCACACTGCACCACAGTTGAGGTAGTGGACAACCAAGTTCAGTCTACACACATTCCACTTGGCTGTTGCTTAAAAGGTCTTGTGATGTAACAACAAAGTAAACTTCAGTTGAAGCACCTTTATGAGAGGCAATGACACATGAATCGGACCCCACTGAAACCAGTAATAGGGATAAATGGACATGCTGTTAGGGTATAAGACAGCCAAAAAATTTTCTCTCAGGATAGACATTACAGCCCTAATAACACACTTGATTCTTTGCTTTAGCCTAATAAGGAAAGCAGATTTCCAATCAGTGAGAGGAGTTCCCCTCCGCCAGCGATTTGGGAAACTGTTGGGAGTTGTGGTGGTAGCAGAACACAGGAGCAAGCCACTCAGGAGCTGGACAAGGGTGGTAGCAGTGGGGATGCAGAAAGGGGACATACTGGAGATGTGTTTTGTGGTGAGAAGTAGTTCAGATTCAGAACTTGCTCACAGATTTGCAAGTAGGAGAAAGTGAAATCAAGGCTAATAGTTCCTAGGTTTTTGTTTATAATTTGGTTTTCTCTTGTGATTACATTCTTTCACTTCACAGTTTTTATTGAGAGCCTGCTAAATGCCATGTTACATTCACGGTGCCTGATTACAGAGGTGGAGAAGATAAGGACCTGCTCTCGCTTGATTAAGAGCACGGATGCTGAAGCTAGTCTGCTTGGATTCAAATCCCAGCTCTGGGCTGAACATGCTGGCTAATGCCTATAATTCCAACACTATGGGAGGTAAAGGTGAGAGGATCACTTGAGCCCAGGAGTTCAAGAGCAACCTGGGCAACATAGTGAGACTGTCTATACAAAAAAAAAAAAGAAAAAGAAAAAGAAAAATTAACTGGGCATGGTGGCACATGCCCATAGTCCCAGCTAGTGGGGAAGCTAAGGTGGGAGGATGGCTTGAGCCCTGGAGGTCAAGGCTGTAGTGAGCAATGAATGATCTTACCACTGCACTCCAGCCTGGGTAATAGAGTGAGACCCCGTTTCAAAATATAAAAAATAAAAAATCCCAGCTCTGCCACTAACTAACTGTATGACCATGTGCAAGTTACTTAACCTACCAAGACTCAGTCTCCTCATCTGTAAAATGGGCATAATAAAAGTAGCCACCTTCTAGAGTAATAGGCCCGATTCTAAATGCCTAACAAGATTAAACATTAGCCAGGTGCGGGCTCCCACCTGTAATCCCAACAATTTAGGAGGCCAAGGCGAAAGCATTACCTGAGCCTAGGAGTTTGAGACCAGCCTGGGCAACATGTCAAGGCCCTGTCTCTACAAAAAATACAAAAAACTAGCCAGGCATGGTGGTGCACACCTCTGGTCCCAGCTACTTGGGAGGCTGAGGTGGGAGGATCACTTGAGCCCGGGAAGTGGGGGTTGACATATTCCAGCCTGGGCAACAGAGCAAGACCCTGTCTCAAAAAAAAAAGAAAGAAAAAGAAAAAGCATATTAAGTTTTAGCTATTACAATTTAAGGAGCTTTCATTCTAGTGAAGGGAAGCAGAAAATAAACTAGCACTAAATATTAGGTTATGGTAAGTTCAAAGAAGAACATTTAAAAAGGAGATATAGAGAACTTCATGAACTACTTCACTTAGGTGCTCCGGAGATGACATTTAATCTGAGACCTAAATAGCAAGGGGCCAGACATGAAAATATCTAGGAAAATAACATTCTGGAAAGAAACAATGAATGCAAACTCCCCAGGGCGAGAACAAGCTTAGCACATCCCAGGGACAGAAAAAAGGGTAACAGCCGGGCGCAGTGGCTCATGCCTGTAATCCCAGCACTTTGGGAGGTCAAGGTGGGTGGATCATTTGAGGTCAGGAGTTAGAGACCAGCCTGGCCAACATGGTGAAACCCTGTCTCTACTAAGAATACAAAAAAATGAGCCGGGCATGGTGGTGCACGCCTGTAATCTCAGCTACTCGGGAGGCTGAGGCATGAGAATCAGTTGAACCCAGGAGGTGGAGGTTGCAGTGAGCTGAGATCGCACCACTGCACTCCAGCCTGGGCAACAGAGTGAGACCCTGTCTCAAAAAAGGGAGGGAGGAAGGGAGGGAGGGAGGGAGGGAAACAAGGCTGGAATTCAATGATAGAGGAAGAAAACGATGCAAAATGAAGTTGTAAAGCAACTAGTTGACAGATCAGTAGGTCCTGATAGGTCAAGGCAAGGAATTAGATGATGATGATGATGATGGTGATGATGATGATGATGATGATGATGATTATCATTATTATTTTGTAGATGGAGTCTCGCTGTGTCTCCCAGGCTGGAGTGCAGTGGCGCAATCTCAGCTCACTGCAACTCAAGTGATCTCCTGACCTCAAGTGATCCTCCTGCCTCTGCCTCCCAAAGTGCTAGGATTACAGGCGTGAGGCACTGCGCCTGGCCTTAGGTATTATTTTAAGCGCAATGAGGGGCTAGGGGAGCACTTTAAGAGAAGGGTGGCATGATTTGTCTTACATTTTAAATAAATCAGTCAGGCTGTTGTGTGGAGAATAGGTTTTAGGGTGGCAAGAAAGGAAGCAGAAAATTAGGAAGCTATTATAGGACTGCAGGCAAGAAATGACAAGTGACTTCATCTGGGGTAGTAGGCGATGGACAGATCTGGGATGTGTCTTAGATATAGCATCGGCAAGACTTACACTTTAACCTGAGCGCAGTGGCTCACACCTGTAATCTCAGCACTTTGAGAGGCAGAGGCAGGAGGATGGCTTGAGTCCAGGAGTCTAGAGACCTGCCTGAGCAACACAGTGAGACTCTGCATTTCTTAAAAATAAAAAAAAAAAAATTAGCTGAACGTGGTGGCATGCACCTGTGGTCCCAGTTACTCAGGAGGCTGAGGCAGGAGGCTCACTTGAGCCCAAGTCAAGGCTGAAGTGAGCCATGATCACACCACTGCACTCTAGCCTGGACAACAGTGAAACCCTCAAAATAAATAAACAAACAAATAACTTCTGTCTTTCAAGTTTGTTGGGAGGATAAACAAGCTATAGGATAAGTGAAAAACACTTAGCCCCAGCACCTGACACATATCATAGGCAAAAGGGTAACAGCCGGCTTCTCTTCCCTTTCACAGTCCTATGGGGATTTTAAAAAAATAGCATCTCTTGGTATACTGTCAGTGTTTGTGGTGATGGACTACCACCTGTGTAGACCTCTCAGCATGTATTAATAAATACATTCCTCAAAAACGGACATTTGGGAGCCGGGCATGGTGGCTCACGCCTGTAATCCCAGCACTTTAGGAGGCCGAGGTGAGCAGATCACCTGAGGTCAGGAGTTCAAGACCAGCCTGGCCAACATGGTGAAACCTTGTCTCTACTAAAATACAAAAAATTAGTCTGGTGTGGTGGCGGGCGCCTGTAACTCCAGCTACGCAGGAGGCTGAGACAGGAGAATCACTTGAACCTGGGAGGCACAGTTTGCAGTGAGCTGAGATTGTGCCACCACACTTCAGCCTGGCTGACAGAGTGAATGAGACTCCGTATCTCACACACACACACACACACACACACACACACACACACACACACACATGCATTTGATAAGCACTTGCCAATTAACCTTATACATCCAGAAATAACATCACCAAATTAACTACCATTATTCTAAACATAAACAATTTTGGGTCTTTTAACTGATACTTCAAAATCCCTACTTACTTTTCTCATATTCCTTCCAATAATTTGTTAGGAGGTGGACCTGTCAATAGGAAGGACAAAAAATTATTATCACCAATACTCTCAAAGTAATCGTCACTTTGGGTAGAAACCCCAGTACACTCGGGGAATTTTCAGAATTCAATCAAGCCCATCCAACTGTCTCCAAGTTTTGACACTGCCTAAAGGACTCCTCACAGTTGGTTTAGCCCAACCCAGTAAGAAACATTTAACAAATAATTAAAAGTGCTGTGCCAGGGTGGTTGTGTTGCCGAGATACGGTTGTTGGTAGCTGGGGAGTGGCAGGCAGATCCAGCCAAGAATTGTGCCCTAAGCCAGGAGCTCTGATGATGAAATCACAGGATGTTTGAGTTTGGGGCTTGATGGTCATCCCAGGTGGTTTCCTATCGTGGAAAACATTTGATGTATAAGAGTAAGGCTCAGCCAGGCGCGGTGGCTCATGCCTGTAATCCCAGCACTTTGAGAGGCCGTGGAAGGCGGATCACCTGAGGTTGGGAGTTCAAGGCCAGCCTGACCAACACGGAGAAACCCCGTCTCTACTAAAAAAAAAAAAAAAAAAAAAAAGGCCGGGCGTGGTGGCTCATGCCTGTAATCCCAGCTACTTGAGAGGCTGAGGCACGAGAATCGTTTGAACTCGGGAGGCGGAGGTTGCAGTGAGCTGAGATTGCACCATTGCACTCCAGCCTGGGCAACAAGAGCATAACTCTGTCTCAAAAAAAAAAAAAAAGAGTAAGGCTCCACTGGGTGCGGTGGCTAACACCTGTAATCCCAACACTTTGGGAGGCCGAGGTGGGGAGATCACTTGAGGTCAGGAGTTCAAGACCAGCCTGGCCAACATGGTGAAACCCCCGTCTCTATTAAAAACACAAAAAGCAGCTGGGTGTGGTGGCTGGCGCCTGTAGTCCCAGCTACTTGGGAGGCTGAGGCAAGGAGAATTGCTTGAACCTGGGAGGCAGAGGTTTCACTGAGCCGAGATGGCGCCATTGCACTCCGGCCCTGGGCGACAGAGTGAGACTCCGTCTCAAAAAAAAAAAAAAAAAAAAAGAGTAAGGCTCTATTGCTACTCCCTGATTTAATAAACGTCTCTGGGACAAAATTTCTTCATCTGTAAAAAAGGTAAATAAAAAAAACGCTTACTTGGCAAGTTCATTGTGACGAATTATCTACGACACCGGAATGGAAAGTGCTTTACAGATTGCAAAGCACTCCTTACACATGAGTAATTAGTGTTCACAGGTCCAGCCACTTTTGGGGAGGAGGAAAGTGTGGTCTTTTAGAGACCAAACGTCTTTCTAAAGTCCTGACAGCCAACGAAGGGCTCGGTGATCTCTGCGCTTCAAACTCTGCCCAATTCTCAAAGCCTGGTTTAAGTACACTTTTCCCTCAGCCTAAGGGAGTGGCCCAAGGGCAAACCGTCCCGGGTTCGTGTCCCACCTCTGCCTCAAAGATTACACCCTCTTAGGACAGGTGCGTGTCCCTGGTGGCCTGGGCTGCCAGCTCGGGAAGGAGGAGGTGGCAACCGCACCCGGGCGGCCGAGTGCTTAATAATGGCAGTTGCCCTGCCAGCCCGGTCACCTGTCACTCCCTCCTCCGACTTCTCCCGCACCGCGGCCGCAATCCAGCCCGGACACTCTGAGGGCTCTCTCTGAGCTGGGCACGGTCCTCGCTGCTCGGCCGAGTGCAGCCCCCTCACCTCAGTGCGACTGAGACAAAGCAAGGGTCCCACCGGCCCCTGTCCCCTCCCTAAGGCGCGCCCTCAGGGCGGGAGACCCACCTCAGCCAGCCCCCCAGCTCAGTGGTCCAGAGGCTCGGGTCCCGCGCTGACGCCCAGCGCCTCCCTCCTCCACAGCCGTCACTGACCGCTCGCTCGCCTCTAGCCTGGACCCCGCTGTCCAGCAGTCCCGGCTGGCCCGCGCCGCGCTCCTCCCGCTCTGGCAGTCCTGGCACTGGTAGGACGCCCGCAGCCTTCCACCCTAGAGGGCGCCGGGCGGGCACGCGCTGGGGGCGACGGGGGTGGGGCGGGGGAGGCGGGGCGACGCAGCGCGGGGCGGCCGGCGGTTGGTGCTCGCAGCCCGCGCGCCCGCCTTCCCGGCCACGTGACCTTTGGGCCCCGCCCAGATCGGGAGTTCCGCGCGGACTCTTGGTGCGACCCCGTCCCACTGAGCGCTCGGGTCGGGACCTTCCCGGTGTCCCTGTGGGGCAGAGTCCCGTTGTGCAGAAGAGGCGAGCTGAGGCACGGTGGCAGGCGGGGCGTCCAAGCAGTTAGCGCCGCGCCTGGCCGCTCGTCCGCGCGGGAAAGCGTTGTCTCCCTTCCTTCGGATGGAATTGGAACGGCAGCTCTCGTAGCGCCCGAACTGTGCGGTCCTTGATTTCACTGCTGTACCCACAGTGCGCAGAGCACAGGGGCACGCGGTACATTATTTGAATGAATAACTTTCTTATCCTGGCCTTTCTCTAACTCTCTCACTTCTACTTGGGTCACCCGCCCCCTCCCCAGGAGTCTTATAAAACAACCAGGGGAAGAGGAAACAGAAGTGGCTCATATGGGTAAAAGCCCTCGTCCTGCAAATCAGTGACACAAGGGAGTTAGTCCATCCAATGTACAGTTTTAAAAAGATTGCTACGTAGAAAAATAATAGGATAGGGTAAGAGGAGAACCCAGCTAGGAGCTTCAGTGGGATCCAGGGTGTTGATATGATGGTGGTCTGGATTTAAGTGATGGCAGTAGGGATAAAAAGAAGTAAAAATTCCAGCCTGGGCAACATAATGAGACCCTGTCTCTACAAAAAAAAAAAAAAAAAGTTTTTTTTTTTTTTTTAATTATCCGTGTGATTGTCACTCCTGTAGTCCCAGCTACTGGGGCGGGGTTTGGGGGTTGGCTGACGTGTGAGGCTCCACCAGGAGGTGGAGGCTGCAGTGAGTCGTGATCGTGCCACTGCACTCTAGCCTGGGCGACAGAGGGAGACCCAGTCTCAAAAAAATAAATAGAAGTAAAAAATATTTGAGGTAGCTTTTGGAGAATAAACGGGATTTGCTGATGGATTGAACAATAAGGGATGGAGAGGGAGAAATCAAGAGGAAATCACTGAATGGTTGGTAGTGCTATGTATTAAAATGCAAAAACTGCCGGGCGCGGTGGCTCACGCCTGTAATCCCAGCACTTTGGGAGGTCGAGGCAGGTGGATCACTAGGTCAGGAGTTCAAGACCAGCCTGGCCAACATGGTGAAACCCTGTCTCTAATAAAAATGCAGCAATTAGCCTGGCATGGTGGTGCACGTCTGTAGTCCCAGCTACTCGGGAGGCTGAGGGAGGAGAATCGCTTGAACTTGGGAAGCAGAGGTTTCAGTGAGCCAAGATCATGCCACTGCACTCTAGCTTGGGCGACAGTCAGTTTCAAAAATAAATAAATAAAATAAATAATAAGTGTGCAGTACTGGGCACAGTATATGGTAGTTATGATCATCCTATTAGACACTGGGATGGTAGCAACCGGTTGAGAAAAATAACCTTTATTAGTTGCTTAATCTTTTATTAATACTTTAGGGGCACAGCCATACATTTCACAGAGAATCTGCTAGTGACAAATCATCTTATTCATCAAATATTTATCTATTTATTTATTTGAGACGGAGTTTCGCTCTTTCTTGCCCAGGCTGGAGTGCAGTGGCGCAATCTCAGCTCACTGCGACCTGTGCCTCCTGGGTTCAAGCGATTCTCCTGTCTCAGCCTCCCAAGTAGCTGGAATTATAGGTGCCTGCTGCCACGCCCAGCTAATTTTTGTATTTTTAGTAGAGACGGCGTTTCACCATGTTAGCCAGGCAAGTCTCGAACTCCTGACCTCAGGTGATCTGCCCGCCTCGGCCTCCCAAAGTGCTGGGATTACAGGTGTGAGCCACTGCGCCTGGCCTCATCAAATATTTATTTAGTGCCTACCGTGCACCAGGCCCGGTGCTGGACTCTGGGAAAACACAGGTGAATTTCTGTCCTCACAGAGCTTCCTACCTCCTGCAGGGAGACAGTGAAGACTTATCAAACATCTAATTCCAACTGAGGAGGAATTTAGCAGGTGTTGTGATGGAGCCTAGGCAAGGGGGGAAAGGCCTGCTAGGTAGGGAACATACCTTTACTTGCAGGATAAGAAGGAGCTATTTCTGGGAAGGGAATTGTGGGGGAAGAGCATTTCAGGCAGAGACCCAGAATATAGAGACTGAGGTGGAGAAAAGTTCCAGTTAGCAGGAGAGCACAATGGAAAACCTTTGAAGGTTTTAAGCAGGCGAGTAAATTGATTTGATGTCTGTATTACATTTAGTGTCTGTGCGAAGAATGAACTGGAGGTGGATCAAGAGAAGAAGCAAGGGGGCCAGGTGCAGTGACTTGTGCCTGTAATCCCAGCACTTTGGGAGGACAAGGTGGGTGGATTGCTTGAGTCCAGGAGTTCAAGACCAGCTTGGGCAACATGGAGAAACCCCCTCTCTACAAAAAATACAAAAAATAGCCATGCCTGGAGGCGCACACCTGTGGTCCCCACTACTCAGGAGGCTGAGATGGGAGGATTACTTGACCCTGGGAGGTTGGGGCTGCAGTGAGCTGTGATTGTACCACTGCACTCCAGCCTGGGTGGTGACAGAGCAAGACCCTACCTCAAAAAAAAAAAAAAAAAAGGAAAAGAAAAAAAGATGTTTCTTGTGGCTGGATGTGGTGGACACACCTGTAATCCCAGCACTTTGGGAGGCCAAGACAAGTGGATCACTTGAGGTCAGGGGTTCTAGACCACCCTGTCCAACATGGCGAAACCCTGCCTCTACTAAAAAAAGTACAAAACATTAGCCCAGCATGGTGGCACGTACCCATAGTCCCAGCTACTCCGGAGACTGAGGCAGGAGAATCGCTTGAACCTCAGAGGCGGAGGTTGCAGTGAGCTGAGATTGTGTCACTGCACTCCAGCCTGGATGACAGAGCTTGACTCTGTTTCTTTTCTTTCTTTCTTTCTTTTTTTTTTTTTTTTTTGAGACGGAGTCTCACTCTGTCGTCCAAGCTGGAGTGCAGTGGCATGATCTCGGCTCACTGCAACCTCCACCTCCTGGGTTCAAGCAATTCTCTGCCTCAGCCTCCTGAGCAGCTGGGGTTACAGGCACCCACCAACATACCCAGCTAATTTTTGTATTTTTAGTAGAGACGGTGTTTCACCATCTTGGCCAGGCTGGTCTTGAACTCCTGACCTCATGACCCACCTGCCTCGGTCTCCCAAAGTGCTGGGATTACAGGCGTGAGGCACCGTGCTGGGCTGAGACTCTATTTTAAAAAAAAAAAAAAAAAGCCAGGCGCAGTGGCTCACGCCTGTAATCCTAATCCCAGCACTTTGGGAGGCCGAGGCGGGCAGATCACCTGAGGTTGGGAGTTCGAGACCAGCCTGACCAACACGGAGAAACCTTGTCTCTACTAAAAATACAAAATTAGGCCAGTCACGGTGGCTCACACCTGTAATCCCAGCTCTTTAGGGAGACTGACGTTGGTGGATTAACTGAGGTCAGGAGTTCGAGACCAGCCTGACCAACATGGTGAAACCCCGTCTCTACTAAATACAAAAATTAGCCTAGCATGGTGGCGCATGCCTGTAATCCCAGCTACTCGGGAGGCTGAGGCAGGAGAATCGCTTGAACCCAGGAAGCAGACGTTGCAGTGAGCTGAGATCACGCCATTGCACTCTAGCTTGGGCAACAAGAGCGAAACTCCGTCTCCAGAAAAAAAAAAAACAAAAGCAAAAAATGCATACATCAACAGTACAAGGAAGTAAAAACCTGAGCATCCAGTTTCAGCGTATGAGATAAGCAGAGCAGGAACACCAGTGACAGGAACCGTTGGCGTAAGTTGAAATGGCCGTTTATTAGGAATTCAGTTGAAACATCTTATTAAGCACAGGTTGCTAAGCAATAGTGGCCGCCCCAGAACAGTAACAGTGTGGCAGTTCCTTCTGCTATGGAGCTCCTGGGCAGGGGTTTCATCCTGCAGCAAAGGTACCCTTTTTGGCTGGACTAATTCATCCCTCTACATGTGGACCTAATACGCTCCTCTCTTTTAAGGCCCTCCCTCTGTGCATCACTGTCCCTCTGTCTGGGATCATTGATCTGTCTCTCTCTACTAGATCACTCCCAATAGCAACACAAACGTGCTCTTCTGTTCCAAACTATGTACATAAATCCCTTAAACTCACCTCTTCTGCTCTATGCCCTGCCATTGTGCTATTCCACCCAGACAACTTTTTTGTTGTTGTTGGTTTTTGTTTGTTTGTTTGTTTTTTGAGAGAAAATCTTGCTCTGTCGCCCAGGCTGGAGTACAGTGGCATAATCTCGGCTCACTGCATCCTCCACCGCCCTGATTCAAGCAATTCTCCGGTCTCAGCCTCCCGAGTAGCTGAGACTACAGGCGCATGTCACCACACCCGGCTAATTTTTGTAGTTTTAGCACAGATGGGGTTTCACCATATTGGTCAGGCTGGTCTCGAACTCCTGACCTCAGGTGATCCACCTGCCTCAGCCTTCCAAAGTCCTTGGATTACAGGCATGAGCCACTGTGCCCGGCCAATATTTTTCTATTTTTAGTAGAGATGGGGTTTCACCATGTTAGCTAGGCTGGTCTCAAACTCCTGACCTCAAGTGATCCACCCACCTCAGCCTCCCAAGTAGCTGGGACTATACGCTTGTGCCACCACACCAGGCTAATATTTTGTAATTTTTTTTAATTGACACAGGGTTTTCACCATGTTGGCCAGGGTGGTCTAGAATTCCTTTTTTGTTTTTTTTCCAAGCTGGAGTGCAATGGCGCGATCTCAGCTCACTGCAACTTCCGCCTCCTAGGTTCAAGCGATTCTCCTGCCTCAGCCTCCGGAGTTGCTGGGATTACAGGCATGCCTCACCAAGCCCGGCTAATTTTTGTATTTTTAGTAAAGATGGGGTTTCACCATGTCGGCCAGGCTGGTCTTGAACTCCTGACCTCAGGTGATCCGCCCACCTTGGCCTCCCAAAGTCCTGGGATTACAGGCGTGAGCCACCGCGTCTGGCAGAACTCCTGATATCAAGTTATCCACCTGCCTCAGCGTCCCAAAGTGCTGGGATTACAGGTGTGAGCCACCATGCCCAGCCAGACAACTTTTTTTTTTCTCTGTCACCAGGGTAGAGTGCAGTGGCATGAACATGGTTCACTGTAGCCTCAACCTCCTGGGCTCAAGCAATCCTCCCTCCTCAGCCTCCAGAGTATCTGGGACCACAGGTACATGCCACTACACTTAGCTAATTTTAAAAAATTTTTAGCTGGGCACAGTGGCTCAGGCCTGTGATCCCAGCACTTTGGGAGGCCAAGGCAGGCGGATCACGAGGTCAGGCGATCAAGACCATTTGCCCAGGTGGGCGAATCACCTGAGGTCGGGAGTTCGAGACCAGCCTGACCAACATGGAGAAACCCCATCTCTACTAAAAATACAAAAAAAAAAAAAAAAAATTAGCCAGGTGTGGTGGTGCATGCCTGTAATCCTAGCTACTTGGGAGGCTGAGGCAGGAGAATTGCCTGAACCTGGGAGGCAGAGGTTGTGATGAGCCGAGATCGCGCCATTGCACTCAAGCCTGGGCAACAAGAGTGAAACTCTGTCTCAAAAACAAACAAACAAAAAAACTCTAATGCCGTTCCCTTGCACAGAATAAAATCCAAGCACTCCACAAGACCCTGAATGACCTGGTCTCAGCTTTCTCTCAAACCTCATCTTGTATCACCCTCTCCATGTTTTGCTATATCCATCTACTCTCTCTGTCTTTCTGTTTATTGCATACCAAGCTTGAGTTGGCCCCAGGACCTTTGCACTTGCTGTTCCACCAATGTGGCCTTTGCACTTGCTGAACCAACCTGTCTTTTTCTTTTTTTTTCACCACTATCTTATTCCAGAACATTTATTTTTATTTTTATTTTTTGAGATGGAGTCTTGCTCTGTTGCCCAGGCTGGAGTGTAGTGGTGCAATCTCGGCTCACTGCAACCTCTGACTCCCTTGTTCAAGCGATTCTCCTGCCTTAGCCTCCCAAGTAGCTGGGATTACAGGCACCCGTCATCACACCCAGCTAATAGTTGTATTTTTAGTAGAGATAGGGTTTCATCATCTTGGCCAGGCTGGTCTCGATCTCCTGACCTTGTGATCTGTCCATCTTGGCCTCCCAAAGTGCTGGGATTACAGGCGTGATCCACTGCACCCGGCCAGGTCAATGAGTTTTAAAGATCACCTGTGTGTATTAAAGGTGAAGATTTAAAAAGGGTGACCACAGGAGGTGGAGGTTGCAGTGAGTGGAGATCCCACTGCATTCCAGCCTGGGCGACAGGGGAGACTCCATCTCAATCAATCAATCAATCAATAAAAGAAAGAAAGAAAGGGTGACCAGTTGAAGGGCTGCTGCAATGGGCCGGTGGCTTGTATTAGAGTGGTAGTGGTGGAGGAAATACAGGATATATTTTGGAGGTAGAAAAACCAACACGTTGACAGCATGGATACAGGGGTTTAGGGTGGAAGGGGTTGAAGGAAAGAAAGACCTCTAGGAAGAGTTTGACATCTCCACGGCGGACTTCAAATTTAGGCATATATTTTATATGTATTCAGCCTCCACATATTGCATTTAGAGTCTCAATTAATTCACTGGGACACGGCATGGCATAGGGAAGGAATCTGTACTAAATTTGGAATCCCAATCCTGTGTGATCTTGGAAAGTGCCTAAACCTGAAGTGGTGAAGAGCCACCACTTCCTCTTCTTTCAAACGGTGATAGGATGTCTAAGGGTTTGAAAAGATGTTTGCAAAGCTCCACAACAGCACCTAGAACTCAGGGTGTCTAAGGAGGTTGTGGGAAACCCTAACGGGATGAGGCAGAGAGCCTCAGATTCGAGGTTTTTACCCAGGAGAGAGTGGTGAAGGAGGAATGTTGTAAGATTTTGAGCAGGCTGGACATTTACAGTATTGAGAAAAAGAATATTCCAGTTTCAGCCGGGCGCGGTGGTTCACGCCTGTAATCCCAGCACTTTGGGAGGCCGAGGCGGGTGGATCCCGAGGTCAGGAGTTCAAGACCAGCCTGGTGAAACCCCGTCTCTACTAAAAAATACAAAAATTAGCCGGGCTTGGTGGTGGGCGCCTGTAGTCCCAGTTACTTGGGAGGCTGAGGCAGGAGAATCGCTTGAACCTGGCAGGCGTAGGTTGCAGTGAACCGAGATCGCGCCACGGCACTCCAGCCTGGGCGACAGGGCAAGACTTCGTCTCAAGAAAACACACACACACACACACACACACACACACACACACACACACACACACACAGAGTATTCCAGTTTCTTCCTTTTTTTTTTCTTTTTAATCTGGAGTAGTCCAGTTTCTGCCTGAGTTGGAAATGAGTCCCTCTGCTATGCATCCCAGCAAAAGGGCACCTTAAATATCTAACCCGGGAGAGTACGAGGTTATTCCTGGAGTCTGGAACAGTGACTATCATAGGTGCTCAATAACCGTTTAGGGAAGAATAACATCCAGTGAAGTCAAGAGGTTGGCGTAATTGGAACACTCGGCGTGAGGCGCACCAGGTTTCCAGCGCCCCTGGTTTCCACGTCGCTATGGTAACGACTCACCCTGCACACATGCGAACTACAATTCCCATAACCGCCCGCGGCTTCCCCGCCCACAGGGAGAGAATGGCGGGAGCAGGCACGGAACCGGCTTTTCCTCCTTCCTGCAGCGTGATTGGCCCGCGGCTCAGGGAGGCGACCAATGAGTGCTCTCGCGGAGAGCGACGGGGCAGGCCAATATGGCTTCCTGCACCTGGTGACGCTTGGCGAAACTGAGGTCTCATGGAGAAGCCCCGGAGTATTGAGGTGAGAAGGCGAGGACTTAGCGTGACTGGGAAAGGGAACTCCGAGAGCCTCGCTCCGTGGGCCCTTCTTTAGGGCTTTTAGCGACGCCTGGAGGGTGGAGGGTGGGAGGATGGATAAACTGAGGTAGTTAAACTGAGCCAGGGGCAGAGGCAATTGACGTTACTTTTTGCCCCTCTCCTGCTGGGGCCAACGTTCGGCGAGGAGTTCAGGGAGGAACAGCCGTCCCTGGCCTGGGGGAAAGGGAACTAGGTTTAGGATCTGAGAGCTCCTGAATCTTCCTTATCCTGCTTGTCTCGTGGCTGTGTTGTTTAGGGCTTGTGAGGCCTGTTACATGAGGTGGGAAGTGAAGGGAGATTAAAGTTGGGTGAACATCACTCCTTGTCTGTAACGTTCACGTGCATTATCTTCCAGTACACTCACAGCAATCATGTATTATTCTTTCGTCTTTGTCGTTCAAGCCACTGAGGCTTAGAGGTGGTGCGACACCCCAGGAAGTTACCCCGGCTGGAAAGTGAAGGAGATTGGCACTAAGTCTGTCCGCCTCTGAAACTTTGCCTGTTATGCTTTTCACACTGTACTGCAACCTGGAACCCACTCATCCTTTTTTTTTTTTCTTTCAGACGGAGTCTTGCTCTGTCACCTAGGCTGGAGTGCAGTGGCGCGATCTCGGCTCACTGCAACCTCCGTCTCCCGGGTTCAAGCAATTCTGTCTCCATCTCCCATGTTCCTGGGATTACAGGCATGTGTCACCACACCCGGCTAATTTTTGTATTTTTAGTAGAGACGAGGTTTTGCCATGTTGGTCGGATTGGTCTCGAACTCCTGACCTCAGGTGATCTGTCTGCTTCACCTCGGCCTCCCAAAGTGCTGGGATTACAGGCATGAGCCACTGCACCCCGCCTCATCCTTTAATCATTTGGTTTCTGGGCACCTTATATTTAAGAGACGGGGTGTTCCTATGTTGCCCTGGCTGGAATGCAGTGGTTACTCACAGGCGTGATGACAACGCACTGCAGCCTCTAACTCTTGGGCTCAAGCAATCCTTACACCTCAGCCTCCTAAGTAGCTGGGACTATAGGTGGTCTCTGTCACCCTGCCTGACAAGGGTACCTATATTTGAATTGTTTCCTTGCTGGGTGCGGTGGCTCACGCCTGTAATCCCAGCACTTTGGGAGGCCGAGGCGGGCAGATCACGAGGTCAGGAGATCGAGACCATCCTGGCTAACATGGTGAAACCCCATCTCTACTAAAAATACAAAAAAATTAGCCGGGCGTGGTGGCAGGCACCTGTAGTCCCAGCTACTCGGGAGGCTGAGGCGGGAGAATGGCGTGAACGTGGGAGGCGGAGCTTGCAGTGAGCCGAGATCGGGCCACTGCACCACTGCACTCCAGCCTGGACGACAGAGCGAGACTGTGTCTCAAAAAAAAAAAAAAATTGCTTCCTTTCTAGCATATTTGCATGTGTAGTTGCAAATATAAGGTGGAATAGCTCAAACTTTCTGCAAGGGTAAACGAGAATAATCATGTGGAGAATAAGAATAGCAAGTCACACTTTTAGAGCTGTTACTGACTGCTGGAAATAGAACTAGGTTTTACATATCTTATCTCAATCTTCGTAAGAATTCTCTAAAGAAAGCTTATTACCTCTCTTGTAATGATGACAGCAGCAAGATAAAATACGCACAAAATCACACAGTTAATAAATGTTAGAGCCAGGATTCAAACTCAGGCAAATCAGAGCCTATGCTTTCAACCAGTAAAAATTGGCAACCTTTATTGAGCACTTACTATATGCAAGTCACTATTCTGAGAGCTTTGCCTGTATCGTCTCTTACTTCTCCCCCAAATCCTTTTTTTTTTTTTTTTTTTTTTTTTGAAACAGGGTTGCTCTCTGTCACCCAGGCTGGAGTGCAGTGGTGCAGTCATAGCTAACTGCAGCCTTGACCTCCCTGGCTCAAGAGTTCCTCCCACCTCAGCCTCCCTAACCAAAACACCCAGCTAATTTTTTCCATTTTTTATAGAGACAGGGTTTCCCTATGTTGCCCAGTCTGGTCTTGAACTCCTAGGCTCAAGCAATCCTCCTGTCTCGGCCTCCCAAAGTGCTGGGATTACAGGCATGAGCCACCATGGCCAGCCCCCAAACCCTATGAAATAGGTGGTACTATCCTCATTGTACAGATGTGGAAACTGAAGCACTGCAAAATTGACTTGCTGCAGGTCATACAGCGAGTAAGCACTAGAGATATTTGAGCTCTGGACCAGAGGCCAAACTTTTCTCCTTTCTTCACACCTTTTTTTTCCTTTGAGACAGTGTCTTCCCTCTGTCATCCAGGCTGGAGTGCAATGGTGTGATCATGATTCAGTGCAGCCTTGACCTCCCAGGCTCAAGCTGTCTTCCCACCTCAGCCTTCTGAGTAGCTAGAGCCACAGGTGCATGCCACCACCACCCAGCTTTTTTTTTTTGAGAAGGAGTCTCACTCTGTTGCCCAGGCTGGAGGGCAGTGGTGCAATCTCGGCTCACTGCAACCTCCAACTCCTGGGTTCAAGTGATTCTCCTGCCTCAGCCTCCCGAGTAGCTGGGATTTCAGGCACCCACCATCATGCCCAGCTATTTTTTGTATTTTTACTAGAGATGGGATTTCACCATGTTGGCCAGGATGGTCTTGAACTCCTGGTCTTAAGTGATCCGCCCGCCTCGGTCACCCAAAGTGCTGGGATTATAGGTGTGAGCCACCGCACCCAGCTTTTTTTTCTTTTTCTTTGGAGACAGGATGTCATTCTCTTGCCCAGGCTGGATTGCAGTGGCATGGTTATGGCTCACTACAGCCTTGACCTCCCAGGCTCAAGCAGTCCTTCCACCTCAGCTCCAAGAAGCTGGGACTACAGGCGCATGCCACCACACCTGGCTAATTTTTTTTTCTTTTGTAGAGATGGGGTGTGGCTGTGTTGCCAAGGCTGGTCTCAAACTCCTGGGTTCAAGCAATCCACCTGCCTCAGCCTCCCAAAGTGCTGGGATTACAGATGTGAACCACCGTACCCAGGCTCTTCACACGTTTTCTGTTACATGCTGGGTAGATTCATATACATTATCTCATTTGCATCTCACGAGTCAAATATTTTTATTTTATAGATGAGAAAGTTGAAGCCCACAGAAGTTAAATGACTTGCCCAAGGCCCTATAGCTAGTTAGGCTCAGAGCTGAATCTAGCGCTGTAGTACACACCAAGATGCCACAGTTATCTGTGTGTCATCTGCCTCTCCCATCCTCTTTGGAGCAGTCTAGGTCCCAAATTAACTTTTCTGTGACTTAAATTGTTTCTGAGTTGAGATCATTTTGATGTATATTGAACGGGGAAGAATTTTTGTTTTTCTTTTTGAGACAGCATCTCACTCCATTACCAGGCTGGAGTGCAGTGGCGCGATCTTAGCTCGCTGCAACCTCCACCTCCCGGGTTCAAGCAATTCTCTGCCTCAGCTTCCCAAGTACCTGGGATTACAGGCACCCGCCACCACACCCAGCCAATTTTTGTATTTTTAGTAGAGACGGGGTTTCACCATCTTGGCCAGGTTGGTCTTGAACTCCTGACTTCGTGATCCACCCACCTTGGCCTCGGAAAGTGCTGGGATTACAGGTGTGGGCCACTGTGCCTGGCTAAGAATTAATTTCTAATATATCTTCTACCCCAGAAAGTCTTTGTGAAGTACCTTAGGATATTTCACTTTTTTTTTTTTTTTGAGATGGAGTCTTGCTCTGTCACGCAGACTGGAGTGCAGTGGCACGATCTTGGCCCACTACAACCTTTGCCTCCTGGGTTCAAGCAATTCTCTGCCCCAGCCTCCCAAGTAGCTGGACTACAGGTGCCCGCCACCACGCCTGGCTAATTTTTTCTTGTATTTTTTTGTAGAGACAGGGTTTCACCCTCTTGGCCAGGCTGGTCTCGAACTCCTGACCTCAGGTGATCTGCCAGCCTCGGCCTCCCAAAGTGCTAGGATTACAGGCATGAGCCACCGCACCTGGCCCACATTGTTATACAGTATTCTATTTGAACCATGTTAAAATATCATCATTTGTAAATCCACAGAGGAGCCTGGTGAATTCCTAACACATATTTTCTGTCTTGTTAAGCTGTTGAATTGCATCATGGTGGAGAAATGTGTAAATAGAAGTAATGATCTTG